>NC_000022.11:23709564-24959564 GCF_000001405.40 Homo sapiens
GAAGGTCACAGAGATGCCAGATATGATGATTTGATCATGATGCTACATATACATGTCAAAATGTCCCTTGCACTCTTACGGTTGTGTGTGTTTGTGTGTGTGTGTATATATATATACACATACACACACACATACTCTACAGAAACAAAACTGCCATCAAATGTTGGTAGTATTCATTCTAACTGCAGTGAGATGAAATCTTCAGTGTGATTTTCACTTACGCTTTTGTGTGAATCAGCGATGGTGAGAATCTTCTCTTCTACCTGTGCCTCCACCTCACGTCTTCAGGTCCTCCATCCAGTCCTAACAACAAATTAAAAACAAATTCACAATAACTTAGCAAGTACCACTTATCATACACACACAAAAATCAAAAACACACTCAAGATTCCATCTCACTCTACATGCAATGGATGCTACAAGAAAAAAGTTGAAACATTAAAGCACAAAAAAATCAAGGTGTGGATTTCCAGAGGAGGAACTTGTCTCCACAGTTGCTGGGAAACGGTGAACTAGTACGCACACTAAAGAAACCACTTGGGTGTTCCTTGAAATCCTAAAACTTCAACTACCGTTTTCTCCAGCAATTCTATTCCTAGGTATATACACAGAGCACGTGATCAGGACATGGAAGAGATTATCTGTCATCCCAGGTGGAATTCAGCCCTATGCCCAAAAGCCAAGATAAGAAATCAGCCTACCTGTCCATCCACAGATGAAGGGATGAAGAATCTCTAGTATACAGACACAATGGGATACTTTTGGGCCATCAAAATTCATGGAATCCTATCATTTCCAGCAACATGGCTACACCTGGAGATACTATGTTCAATCAAATCAGAAAGGCAGACTAAGACCAAGCCTGCATGTTCTCACTCATGTAGGAGCTGAAAAATTTAACTGACTGAAGGTGGAAATACAGCAGTGGTCACCACAGGCTAGCTGGAGGAGAGGATATCAAGGATTGGCAATAGGTACACAATAGGTACACAGAGAGTTACAGGAGAGGAATACATTCTGGTATTCCACTCCAAAGCACGGCGACGATACTTAACAACATGATCATGCCATTTTCAAAACAGCTACCAAGGAGGATACTGAATGTTCACACATCGAGGATATAAAACCTATACGTGGTCACAAGCATGGGAAACTCCCTGATTTTATCCATACTCAAGGTATACAAACAAGTATCACAATGTCCCAATGCACCCCTAATTCTGGACATGAAGTATGAAACAAACGTTTTATGAAATGTTAACGATACATGGCTAAAAATTCACATGGAACCACCAAAGACCCAAAGAACCTGAATATGCAAAGCAATCCTAGGGAATACAAACTCAATTGGAGGCCGCACAATCCCCAGTTTCAAATTACAAGTAAAACCTCCACTCATCCAAAGACTACAGTAGTGGCATAAAAATGAATCCACGAACCTAGGGACGTAAGAGAACCTAAACACACACCTGTACGCAGTCAACACATTTTTTTCAAAGAACACCTAGAAGATGCAATGAGGCCGGGTGCTGTGGCTCACACCTGTACTCCCAGTGCTTTCGGAGACCAAGTCGGGTGGATCACTTGAGGTCAGGAGTTTCAGACCAGCTTTGCCAAAATCGTGAAATCCTATCTCTAGTAAAAATACATGCAAAACCAGGTAACCCAGCCAAAGTTGGGCAATGAACCCGAAGAGACATTTCTCAAAAGTCCCAGCTACTCGGGAAGCTGAGGTGGGAGAATCACCTGAGCCCCGGGAGGTCAAGGATGTAGTGAGCTGAGATTGCACCACTGCCCTCCAGCTTGAGCAACCAGAGCCAGACACTATCTCAAAAAAAAGGAAAAAAGGAGAAAGAAATAAACTACACAGAGAAAGACAAACATCACATTTTCTCACTCAGGAGGAATCCACAAAACTTTATTTCATAGAACTAGTAAGCATAACTGTTCTTACCACGGGTGGGGGTTGAAAGGTGGGGCATAGTCAGAGATTGGAAACGGCATAAAGTTACATACTCCGTGAGAGGAATGAAACCTGTAGTTCTATTCCACAGCAGCAGGGTGACTAGGTCTAACATTATCAGAGCGTACTTTTCAAGAAAGCTAGAAAAAGAGGATACTGAATGTCTTCACCTCAAAGGAATAATAACTCTATGAGGCAAGAGAGATGCTAAATACCCTGATTTCATCATTACACAATGTACGCATGGACCAAAGTGTCTCATTCTACCTTCTGGTAGTACACCTTTACCATAGGGTAAATTTTTATAAAGAAATTTAAGGAAACAGGCTGAGCATGGTGGCTCATGCCTGTAATCCCAGCATTTTCAGAGGCTGAGGTAGGTGCATCACTTGAGGCCAGGAGTTCGAGATCAGCCTGGTCAACATGGTGAAACCCCATCTCTACTAAAAATACAAAAATTAGCCAGGCATGGTGGCACACGCCTGTAATCCCAGCTACTTTAGGGAGACTGAGGCAGGAGAATTACTTGAACCTGGGAGGCGGAGGTTTCAGTGAGCCAAGATCGTACCACTGCACCACTCCATCCTGGGTGACAGCACAAGACTCTGTCTCAAAAAAACAAAAAACAAACATAAAAAAAAACGTGTATTTGGCCAGGGGCAGTGGTCATACTTGTAATCCCAACACACCACCACAGGGAGGCTGAAGAGGGAGGATCACTTCAGCCCAGTAGTTCAAGACCAGCCTGGGTAACATAGAGAAACCACATCTTCCCTAAAAAATAACAAAAATTAGCTGGGCGTGGTGGTGTGTGCCTGCAGTCCCATCAGCCCCAAGTACTTGGGAGGCTGAAGTGGGAGGATTGCTTGAGCCAGGAGTTTGGGGCGGCAACGAGCTACGATCTTGACGCAGGGTAGGTAGTCAAGGAAGTGACCGTGTCCTTCGGACGTGCCAACCACGGCGCTGAGACATCTGATGTGTGAACAAGCATGTACAGCTACAGCCCATGTGCACCCAGAGGATGACCCAGAACGTGCTTAGAGTAACACCTCTTCCAACTCCTTAGGAATTCATCATGGAAGACTCCCAGAAAGGGAGTTTCCCCAGTAATAATCAGCGCTCTCTCATCCTTAGGAGCAGACTGCCCTGAATCCTCTCTCAGGGTGAACCGTGTATTTTGGACTTCACGATCTTTTTTTAGATGGGGTCTCGCTCTGTCACCCAGGCTGTCTCAGCCTCCCGAGTACCTGGGATTATATAATGGAGTGTTGCAATCTCAGCTCACTGCAACCTCCACCTCCCAGGTTCAAGCAGTTCTCCCATCTCAACCTCCCTAGTAGCTGGGATTACAGGCATAAGCCACTGCACCCAGGCTATTCTGCACTTAACTTGCAAAATACTTTTCCCTTTACAATAAATTGCTCTATGCTGCATCACCTTTGCTGTGTGATTTCTTATTTAAATTCTTTTTTATTTATTTTAATTATTCATTCTTTTTGAGACAGGGTCTCACTATGTTGCCCAGGCTGGTCTCGAACTTTTGAGCTCAAGCGGTCTGCTGACCTTGGCCTCCCAAAGTGCTGGGATGACAGGCATTAGCCACCACACCCAGCCTAAATTCTTTGAAACTTACAACTGCGGCCCCACAACAGCTGTCAATCATCGCACCACTGCCATCCAGCCTGGGCAACAGTGCAAGGCCTCATCTCACAAAAGGAAAAAGATATATTTAAAAAAAAAAAAATTAAAAAACATTTTTTTTTCTTAAAGACAGGGTATTCCAGCCATGTGCGGTGGCTCACAGCTGTAATCCTTGCACTTTGGGAGGCCGAGGCGGGTGAATCATTTGAGGTCAGGAGTTCAAGACCAACCAGGCCAATATGGTGAAACCCCATCTCTGCTAAAAAAAAATACAAAAATTAGCTAGATGTGGTGGAAGGTGCCTGTAATCCCAGCTACTCGGGAGGCTGAGGCAGGAGAATCACTTGAACTCGGGAGGTGGAGGTTGCAGTGAGCCCAAGATTGCACCAGTGCCCTCCAGTCTGGGCTCCTACAGAGTGAGACTCTAGCTTAAAAACAAATAAAAATAAAAAAGACAGGGTCTCCCTCTGTTGCCCAGACCAGAGTGCAGTGGCGTGGTCACAGCTCACTGCACCCTTGACCTCCCAGGCTCAACAGATTCTCCTGCCTCAGCAGCTGGGACTACTGGCATGCATCACCATGCCTGACGGTTTTTAATTTTTTGTGGTGATGGTCTCGCTATGTTGCCCAGGCTGGTCTTAAACTCCTGGCCTAAAGTGATCCTCCTACCAAGTCCTCCTTACAAAGAGCTGGGATGACAGGCGTTAGCCACCGCACCCGGCCCCTCGAAGCTGCCTGTTCCTTGAGCACAATGTGTAGCAAGGGGAGCTAGAGTGAGAGCAGCACCGTGGGGAAGGGACAGGATTGCCACCCTGAGCTGTGTGACGTTAGGCCAGACCCCTCTTCTCCAAGCGAGATCTACCACATGGGTGATTTCGGGAGCCCACGCCGGCTCAGACAGCCTGGATTTTAGCTTCATAGGTGGATGGGAACCTATGAAGGTTTAGAGATGCTGGGAGAGCTTTCCAAACAGAGAACAAACACAGCCACCCTGGGCCCCACTGAGGGAGGATCTTACCAGAAGCCCTCACCACTGTCTCGCTTCACGCCGGTGGTGACGGTGACGTCATCGATGTAGGTGGGGGGTGTCGTGTATAGAAGCAGAGACCACAGCAGTCCTGCGTAGCTGAAGAAGTCAAAGTCTGTGTTCTGGACAAAGTAACCCTTGGGATACCTAGGGCGGGAGAATTGTGGTTCGCTGGGCCCTTGCCATGGGTCTTTTGACCTCAGCTCACATGCCTCCCCAGATCCAGGGCCTCCTCTCTGCGAAGGCCACCCTGTCCCTGGCAGGAAGACCACAGGGTGGGGCGGGAAGGTGGGTGCGTGCAGTGGAGGCAGGATGGTCCCCACTTGGAGGTGTCGGTCATGTACAGATGGTCCCTGGTGGCAGGGTTGGGGGGTGAGCGTGTTGTTGATGGCGATAGTGATGCAGAGGTGGGAGGGCAGGGGCTCCACCTGGAACAGGCTGCTGATGTCGGCCTCAAAGGGGAGGTAGCCCCCTTCATGCTCTACCGTGTCGACCCCATTTACCCACTGCAGACATAGGAGATATGGGGAGGGGGTGGCAGGTCAGGGCATGAGGAGGGGCACTGCTATCAGGCACTCCCTCACATAACCTGCAGTATGGGGATCGGGGGCCTGCCAGCCAGACGGGAAGAATGACATCCCAATGGGGTACATCAGGCCACCTATCCCTCTACACAGGGCACAGCCTCCAGGGCAGGGCAAGGACCCCCACCGTCCCACCCCAGAAGACAGGCTATGGGTGGTAGCTGAGGGTCCCATGCTGTTCAGCAGCTGTGCCCACCCACCCGCCCTGCCTGCTCCTGGCCTCACTGACCACGATGGCATAGAAGTGGGCACTGCCAATCCTCAGCACCACTCTTGTGCACAGGTCCTGGATCCATCGCTCCAGCAGGGTCACCTCCCGTTCATACCACAACCAGCTGACAAAATGCCGCAGCCGCCAGCCCTGGCCGATGTCGTTGAAGCTGGAGGGAACCGGCATGTCCACGGTGGGGCCTGACTGCGAAGAGAAGGGCTGGGCTCAGCTCCTAGGCCCCCCAAAGGGATCCAGGACCAGTGTACTGCACAGCCACGCCCCCAGGCCTAGCGCAAACACTGACACACGGTGGGGACTCCTGGTGGAACAGACAGATAACTTGCTGATGACAGGTCAATTGCCAGGGCGGTTTGTACACCTGGGCCAGTGGGGCCAGGAGTTCCTCCTTGGAGCGGATGGAACCCAGTATCTCCCAAGACAGGGGTGAGCCCAGGGGCACATCCCAGCACGAGGCAAGAAGGTTCAGACCTGTGACTAAGAGGCAGATGGCCCACTGCCTGTCACAGGGAGGAAGGCTGGTTAGGGGGATGGGGGGTGCTTTGCTTAGGACACTGTGAGTGGGGCACACGCTGGCACCCAGCCTTCTCCTCTCTTTCTCCTGTACTGAATGCCGTAAAGTCAGAAAAAGAGGATGTAGGCTGGGTGCGGTGGTTCACACCTGTAATCCCAGCACTTCGGGAGGCAGAGGCAGGCAGATCACAAGGTCAGGAGTTCGAGACCAGCCTGGCCAATATGGTGAAACCCCATCTCTACTAAAAATACAAAAATTAGCTGGGTGTGGTGGGCCTGTAGTCCCAGCTACTCAGCAGGCTGAGGCAGGAGAATCACTTGAACCCGGAAGGCTGCACTGAGCCAAGATCGTGCCATTGCACTCCAGCCTGGGTAGCAGAGAGAGACTCCGTCTCAACAAAAAAAAAAAAAAGAAAGAAAAAAAGAAAAAGAGGATGTACACCAGGCAAACGCGGCCCAAACCTCATCGGATCCCACTTCTCTGCTGACCACATCCAAGTCAGGAGGGGAAGAGGGGTGGCGTCCTTGGCCTGAGGTCACATTCTGTCCTCTATCTGAACCGTGAAAACCAAGGTACCTTCCCACCTTGGCAGAGCTGACCTCAAAATATCTAAACTGTCGCCTCCTCCCGATCCCCGGGCCCAGCTCTGGGCAGCGCCTGCCTCTCAGGCCTGACGAGTGCCTGGGTGGCTCATGCCTGTAATCAGCACTTCAAGAGGTTAATGTGGGAGGATGGCTTGAGGCCAGGAGTTCGAGACGAGCCTGGGTAACTTAGCGAGACCTATATCTTAAAAATACGAACAAAAAAAACAAAAAAAATTGATTTTGTTTTTAAGACGGAGTCTCACTCTGTCTCACAGGCTGGAGAGCAGCGGCGTGTTCTCGGCTCACTGCAACCTCCGCCTCCCTGGTTCAAGCAATTCTCCTGCCTCAGCCTCCCAAGTAGCTGGGATTACAGGTGCTCACCACCACGCCTGGCTAATTTTTGTATTTTTAGTAGAGATGGGGTTTCACCACGTTGGCCAGGCTGGTCTTGAATTCTTGGCCTCAGGTGATCGGCCTGCCTCGGCCTCCCAAAGTGTTGGGATTACAGACGTGAGCCACGAGCCCGACCAAGTTTGTTTGTTTGTTTGTTTAAATTAGCCAGGCATGGTGGTCCCAGGTAACTTGCAAGGCTGGGGCGGGAGAATCGCTTGAGCTCAGAAGTTAGGATTGCACCACTCCGCTCCCACCTGGGCAGCAGGGCCAAACCCGGTCTCAAAAGCATTTCAAAAATTAAAATTAAACATTAGAAAGAAGGACACTGCCCGGGCTCAGCCTTCGCCTAGGAACGGGACTCGACAGGAGCGCTTCTTCCTCCTCCCGCCTCCACCGCTCCGGCCCTCGCGGGTCCCCCAGGTACTCCCGTTCTCCAATCCCGCGCCCCCAAGCCCGTTGACCTTTAACCTCCTCCGGGCCCCCAGCTCCGGGGCACTACGGTGAAGGAGGCTGCAGGGCGCCGGGGCTTACCCCATTCCCACCGCCGGGCTTCCGGGCGACTCCTGGCCCTGCCCCGAGTCCGCGCCTCCGACAGCGGTCGCCGGTACCTCTGCTCCTCGAAGCCCCGGCGTCGGTTGTCGGAGAAGTCGGCGCGGAAGCTTCAGAGGCCGTCCAGCTGCTTGCGCTGCCACGACGGGCTCTCTCGGGGATACAGCATCCCGTCCGGTAGCGCCAACGTGCAGCCATACAACAGCAGCCGGAGAGCCGCCCAGGCCACTGCCGCCCCCCAGGCGAGGCTTCCCCCTCCCCGTCTCGGCCGCAGTCTACGGGGATAAGAGCTGCGCGGGAGGAGCATTGCGGCAAGGTCGCGTGACGCGCCGGTAGCGTGACGCGACTTAGGTCGTCCGCGCCATCTTTGTTGAGGGCGATTGCCAGGCCTGGAGGGGCGGGGCGGCGCCTGTGGCTGGAACCCTGGGCTAGGCCTTTAGGGAAGCGGGACCCCCACCCTCAGCCCCAACCAAGAAGGGCGTCGTCTGCTCCCCATCGTCGTCTGCTCTGTGCTGGATGATCCAGGGCCACAGGCCAGGACAGAACCCCTGAGATTGGTGGGATCCCCGTTTCTTCAAGGGGCACCTCCACTTGCTTTCCCCAGCAGGAACTAGAGCAGGCCCCAGTGGAGCCTCTTCCATGACTGCTGGATGCAGCCTCTTGCAGGCATGCACGTCCTTGGGAGGCGGCGGTAGCCCTGACCCTGGGCCTCTGGGACCTCGACCCTAACCGAGGGGCCAGAAGCTCCCTCTTGGCGTTGAAGACACATGAAGATGCAGGGAGAGAGGCCAAGTGCAGTGGCTCACGCCTGTAATCCCAGCACTTTGGGAGGCTGAGGTGGGCAGATCATTTGAGGCCAGGAGTTCGAGACCAGCCTGGCCAACATGGCAAAACCCCATCTCTACTAAAAATACTAAAAAAAAAAAAAAAAAAAAAAAAAAAAAGCCAGGCATGGTAGCAGGCACCTGTGATCCCAGCTACTTGGGAGGCTGAGGCTGGAGAATCGCTTGAACCCAGGAGACGAAGGTTGCAATGAGCCGAGGTTACACCACTGCACTCCAGCCTGGGCAACACAACAAGAATCTATCTCAAAAAAAAAAAAAAAAAAAACATTGCACAGAGAGGGTGCCCTGCGGGACCCCACTTTACTCCAGTAGGGAAGGCACCGTGTGGAAGGGTAGAGGAAGAGATCTGGAGACAGTAAAAAAGACAAAGGTTTATTGAGGGGACTTTCACACAGGTGCAGTGGCTATGGCTGGACATGAGAACCACTACATGATTTGTAAAAACCATGCAGCTTCCATAACATTTTCACCTAACATCCTCGACCAGTTACCGGTGGAAGGTATCCAACTTCCCAGTGGTGAATCCATACACATCTGTAGCAACCTCAATTCTTGCCGCCTCAGAAGAAAGAATTTGACCGAGGGTCATAAGGCAGAAACCAGACAGAGGCAAGTTGCAGAGTAGGAGTAAAAGTTTATTAAAAAGCAGGCCGGGGCCGGGCATGGTGGTTCATGCCTGTAATCCCAGCACTTTGGGAGGCTGAGCCAGGTGGATCACCTGAGCTCAGGAGTTCAAGATCCGCCTGGCCAACATGGTAAAAACATGTCTGTACTAAAAATACAAAAATTAGCTGGGTGTGATGGTGAGCGCCTGTAATCCCAGCTACTCAGGAGGCTGAGGCAGGAGAATCTTTTGAACCTGGGAGGTGGAGGTTGCAGTGAACGAGATTGAGCTACTGCACTCCAGCCTGGGCTATAGAGTGAGATAGTATCTAAAAAAAAAAAAAAGTTTATTATAAAACTTTAGAACAGGAAATAAAGGAGGAAAGGAAAGAAGGAAAGTACAACTTGGAAGAGGGCCAAGCAGTCGACCTGAGAAACCAAGTGCCCAGCTTGACCTCTTGACTCAGGGTTTCATAGGTTGGCATCGTTCCAGGATCTTGCCATTCCTGATTCCTTAGCTTGGGGCTCCGAACACACATTCTTCTTAGACCATAAAGTCATTCTTCTTTTTTTTTTTTAATTTTATTTTTTTGAGAAGGAGTCTTGCTCTTTCGCCCAGGCGGCACTGCAGTGGCACTATCTCGGCTCACTGCAAGCTCCGCCTCCCGGGTTCACGCCATTCTCCTGCCTCAGCCTCCTGAGTAGCTGGGATTACAGGCGCCCGCCACCGCGCCCGGCTAATTTTTTGTATTTTTAGTAGAGACGGGGTTTCACCGTGTTAGCCAAGATGGTATCGATCTCCTGAGCTCGTGATCCGCCCGCCTCGGCCTCCCAAAGTGCTGGGATTACAGGCGTGAGCCACCGCGCCCGGCCGACCATAAAGTCATTCTAAGGGTACACATCAGTTATGGCTGTTGGGTGCCTCTGCCATACAGAGGGGTCCCTTTGGTCCTAGGAACCTGGACTGGACACAGTTGTTTGTACGATTACTCCCCCACCCCATTTTTTCATGCTCGCCAAATCCACCTTCTGAGAATGGACCTTAATACTGGAAGGATACCCCAGTATAGTGAAAATAAATACATTCTAGGAACTGACAAGGCCTAAAGGCTTTTTCCCAAATGTTTATGCTTGTTTTCTTATTTAGTTATTTAGTTTTTTTTTTTTTTTTTTTGAGACAGAGTCTCGCTCTGTCGCCCAGGCTGGAGTGCAGTGGCACAATCTCGGCTCACTGAAAGCTCCGCCTCCCGGATTCAGGCCATTCTCCTGCCTCAGCCTCCCGAGTAGCTGGGACTACAGGTGCCCGCCACCATGCCAGGCTAATTTTTTGTATTTTTAGTAGAGACGGGGTTTCACTGTTAGCCAGGATGGTCTCGATCTCCTGACCTCGTGATCCACCCGCCTCTGCCTCCCAAAGTGCTGGGATCACAGAAGTGAGCCACCATGCCCAGCCTATTTTCTTTCTTTAAAATTTTACTTGTATATTCCTTTAGTAAAATGCTTACATGCTTAAATTAGGATATAGTTCACTGTTGATGAGGCAGCTTTAGGCCAAATTTAACAAAAGTAAGAAAAAGTAGGATGCCAAAGTTTATACAGTATGTAAAAATCAGTAATTCAGGACGGGCTTAGTGGCTCACACCTGTAATCCCAGCACTTTGAGAGGTGGAGGCAGGAGGATGACTGGAGCCCAGGAGTTTGCAACCAGCCTGGGCAACATAACGAGACCGCTGTCTCTACAAAAAATAAAAAAATTAAAAAATTAGCTATGTGGAGTGGTGCACGCCTATAGTCCCATCTACATGAGAGGCTGAGGCAGGAGGATTGATAAAGCCCGGGAAGCAGAGGTTGCAGTGAGCCGAGATTGTGCCACTGCACTCCAGCCCAGGTGACAGAGCGAGACCCCATCTCAAAAAAAAAAAAAAAAAAAAAAGACTAAAGGGTGCCAGAGAAGATGCCTTCCTTTTTTCCTTTTCCTTCTTTCTTTTTTTCTTTTTTTTTTTTTTTTTGAGAGTCGCGCTCTGTCGTCTAGGCTGGAGTGCAATGGCCTGGTCTCGGCTCACTGCAACCTCTGCTTCCCGAGCTTCATCAATCCTCCTGCCTCAGCCTCTCATGTAGCTGGACTATAGGCGTGTGCCACCTGGTTCAAGCAATTCTCCTGCATCAGCCTCCTGAGTAGCTGGGATTACAGGCGCCCACCACCACGCCCGGCTAATTTTTGTATTTTTAGTAAAGACAGGGTTTCACCATGTTAACCACACTGGCCTTGAACTCCTGACTTCAGGTGATCCGCCCGCCTCGGCCTCCCAAAGTGCTGTGATTACAGGCATGAGCCATCGCGCCTGGTGAATTCAAATATTTTTTACGTTTACAGTTGGTTAAGAAAGCAAAGCTTTATCTAAAACCTTGGGGTCAGCAGAAGGGATGTTAAGTTTTCACCTGTGAGTCTGATTCCCTCCAAGCCCCTCAGGAAGAAATTTAGAACAAAGAACTCCAATCAGAGTTCAGCCCTTGGTTCACCCTTATCTGAGGTCAACGTGAAAGCTGTCGCCATTTTTCATCTGGTTGAGGTCTGCGCTTCTGAAAAACAACTTAGGGACATTTGTCAAGATGTTATCTTTACTTTCTATAGGGGATCAAATATCTTGTGGCTCTAACCGACTTGGGTGGCTGTTGTTCTGAGCTATTATTACTTTTTCTTGTTTTTTGTTTTTTGTTTTTTTTTTTGAGACGGAGTCTTGCTCTGTTGCCCAGACTGGAGAGCAATGGCCCAATCTAAGCCCACTGCACCCTCCGCCTCCCGGGTTCAAGCAATCCTCCTGCCTCAGCCTCCCGCGTAGCTGGGATTACAGGCATCCGTCACCACACCCAGCTAATTTTTGTATTTTTAGTAGAGATGGGGTTTCATCACATTAGCCAGGCTGATCTCGAACTCCTGACCTCAGTTGATCTATCTGTCTCGACCTCCCAAAGTGCTGGGATTACAGGTGTGAGGCACTGAACCCAGCCAATTATTACCTTCTTCTCATCAAGTTGCTAATTTACTTCTCAAGATAGCTAGGTGCCCGGAATTTCCCTCGAAGGGTAATGTGGTTTGGGTATGTGCCCTCCAAATCTCATGTTGAGATGTGATTTCCAGCCAGGCGCAGTGGCTCACACCTGTAATCTCAGCACTTTGGGAGGCTGAGGTGGGCAGATCACTTGAGGTCAGGAGTTCAAGACTAGCCTGGCCAGTATGGTAAAACCTTAATTCTACTAAAAAAAAAAAAAATACAGGCCGGGTGCGGTGGCTCATGCCTGTAATCCCAGCACTTTGGGAGGCCAAGGCGGGTGGATCACAAGGTCAGGAGATCGAGACCATCCTGGCTAACACGGTGAAACTCTGTCTCTACTAAAAATACGAAAAATTAGCCAGGCGTGGTGGCGGGCGCCTGCAGTCCCAGCTACTTGGGAGGCTGACGCATGAGAATGGCGTGAACCCGGGAGGTGGAGCTTGCAGTGAGCCGAGATAGTGCCACTGCACTCCAGCCTGGGTGACAGAGCAAGACTCTGTCTCAAAAAAAAAAAAAAAAAATTAGCCGGGCGTGGTGGTGTGCATCTGTAGTCCCAGCTACTCGGGAGGCTGAGGCAGGAAAATTGCTTGAACCTGGGAGGCAGAGGCTGCAGTGAGATGAGATCACACCACTGCACTGCAGCCTAGGTGAGAGAGCAAGACTCTGTCTCAAAAAAAAAAAGAGATGTCATTCTCGGAATTGGAAGTGAGGCCTGGTGGCAATGATGGGATCATCCCCTTGGTGATGAGTGAGCTCCCACTCAGGTAGTTCCCATGAGATCTGGCTGTTTATAAGAGTGCAGCGCCTCCCTGTTCTCTCTCTCACTCCCTCTTTCACCATGTGACATGCCGTATCCCCTTTTGCCTTTGTGAAAAGAAAATAAATCTTGGGACCCCTCCTACCCTGACAAGTCACTAAGCCAAAGGGAAAAGTCAAGCTGAGAGCTGCATCAGGAAAAGGTAGGATAGGCATGATGGGGGCAGAGAGGGCTCTCCCCTCGCCCACTAGAAATGTCAGCAGATGGTTTGGCGATCATCCCATTGCCTCTCTAAAAGGGATAAATTGGCCGGGCACAGCACCTTGTGAGGCCGAGGCGGGCGGATCACTTGATGTTAGGAGATCGAGACCAGCCTGGCCAACATGATGAAACCCCGTCTCCACTAAAAATACAAAAATATTAGCTGGGCATGGTGGTGTGTGCCTGTAGTCCTAGTTGCTCAGGAGGCTGAGGCAGGAGAATTGCTTGAACCCAGTAGGTGAAGGTTACAGTGATATCGCACCACTGCACTCAAGCCTGGGTGACAGAGCCAGATTCTGTCTCAAAAAAAAAAAAAAAGTGACAAATTGGCAGCTGGCACCAGGAAAAGGCCATTGCCTGCTGGTCCACACCTGTTGCATTAAAGTATGAATTGAATGCAGGCACAAGGGAGAGGCACAAGGGGGCTTCTGATAAAATGTCAGGTATTGGATGAGTGAGTCCAGGCATGTGCAGTAAGAGACAAAATGGGGGAGTATGACCTTTCGGGGGCACTCCACCAGAAAAGGGAAGAAAGCCTTAGATGGGTGTGCACAGAAGTTTCTAAACACATAGCGGGTGCTCACCTGCCCCCTGTGGCAGCCCACCCTAAAGGAAGGAACATGGGAAAGAGGCCAGCCTATAAAGTCCTAGGGTCAAGGTTAAACACCGCACTTGACCTTGGTGCCCTCTTGGGTCTCTTCCAAGCGTACTTTTCTTTCCTTTCTTTCCTATTCTAAAGCCTTTTAAATAAACTTCCACTCCAGGGCTGAGCACGGTGGCTCATGCCTGTAATCCTAGCATTTTGAGAGGCCAAGGCAGGTGGACCACTTGAGGTCAGGAATTCAAGACCAGTCTGGCAACATGGTGAAGCATCGTCTCTACTAAAAATACAAAAATTAGCCAGGTCTGGTGGCACATGTCTATAGTTCCAACTACTAGGGAGACTGAGGTAGTAGAATCACTTGAACCCAGTGGGTGGAGGTTGCAGTGAGCTGAGATGGTGCCACTGCACTCCAGCCTAGGCAACAAAAAAAAATTTTTTTTTTTTTTGAGATGGAGTTTCGCTCTGTCCCCAGGCTGGAGTGCAGTGGCACAATCTCGGCTCACTGCAAGCTCCGCCTCCCGGGTTCATGCCATTCTCCTGCCTCACCCTCCTGAGTAGCTGGGACTACAGCCGCCTGCCACCATGCCCGGCTAATTTTTTTTTTTGTATTTTTAGTAGAGACGGGGTTTCACCGTGTTAGCCAGGATGGTCTCGATGTCCTGACCCCGTGATCCACCCGCCTCGGCCTCCCAAAGTGTTGGAATTACAGGTGTGAGCCACCGCGCCTGGCCTAAAATATTTTAAATATATAAGCAAACAAACTAACTTCCACTCCTGCTCTGAAACTTACCTTGGTCTCTTTTTCTGCCTTACACACCTCAGTTGAATTCTTTCCTGAGGAGGCAAAAATTGAGGTCACTGCAAACCCACACAGATTCACTGCCTGGAACACTGATACCTTCCACCGATATCAAAGCTGCCTCATATTTTATTCCTAAATAAGATAGCAACAAAGATTTTTTTAAAAAGCTACATATGCCAGGTGCAGTGGCTCACGCCTGTGATCCCAGCACTTTGAGAGGCTAAGGTGCGCGGATCACTTGAAGTCAGAAGTTCGAGACCAGGCTGGCCAACCTGGTAAGACCCCGTCTCTACCACAAAAACAAAAATTAGCCAGACATGGTGGTGTGTGCCTGTAATCCCAGCTACTAGGGAGGCTGAGAAAGGAGAATCGCTTGAACCTGGGAGGTGGAGGTTGCAGTGAGCCAAAATCGTGCCAGGTTTTGTAATGTGTTTCCCGTCTTTATAACATTAGGGTCTGATGGACTTAGACGTCCCAGTTCCCAGGATTGGGGTAAGCAGAATACTTTCTTTTCTTTTTTTAATTATCTTTTTTTTGGCTGGGTGTAGTGGCTCATGCCTGAAATCTTACTTTGGGAGGCTGAGGTGGGCGGACTGCTTGACCTAAGGAGTTTGAAACCAGTCTAGGCAACATAGCAAAACCCCATCTCTACAAAAAATACAAAAATTAGCCAGGCATGATGGCACATACCTGTAGTCCCAGCTGCTCAGTGGGCTGACGTGGGAGGATCGCTTGAGCATGAGAGGTTGAGGCTGCAGTGAGCTGTCATCGCACCATTGCACTCCAGCCTGGGGGACAGAGCAAGACCCTGTCTCAAAAAAAAAAAAAAAAATGTGGGTAGTAGAGGAGAAATAATGTTTGAAGGCTGGGTGTGGTGGCTCATGCCTGTAATCCCAGCATTTTGGGAGGCTGAGGTGGGAGGATCACCTGAGGTCAGGAGTTCAAGACCAGCCTGGCCAACATGGCGAAACCCCAGCTCTACTAAAAACACAGAAAATTAGCCAGGCATGGTGGCACGCACCTGTAATCCCAGCTACTTGGGAGGCTGAGGCAGGGAAATCGCTTGAACCCCAGAGGCCGAGGTGGCAGTGAACTGAGATTGCACCACTGCACTCTAGCCTGGATGACCGAGCAAGACTCTGTCTCAAAAAAAAAAAAAAAAAAAAGGAAGAAAAGAAAAGAAAAAGAGAAAAAAGAAATAATGTTGGATATGTATGGACCCAGAAGCTAATGTGTGTAAAGTATTTCCAGTCATCAGAGAAGTACAATTGTAAGCGTATAATTCCATTCTTGTTGATACCTAGTCATAATATCTCATCAATCCTAACAGAATGGCCTCAATCATTTGGTATATGCAATCTCACACGTAGAGTTTTGTTTTGTTTTGTTTTGTTTGCTTGTTTTAGAGACAGGGATGTGCTCTGGCACCCAGGCTGGAGTGCAGTGGCACAATCATAGCTCACCGCAGCTGCCAACTCCTGGGCTCAAGCAACCCTCCTGCCACAGCCTCCTGAGAAGCTGGACACAGGCATGGGCTACCACACCCGGGTAACTTTTTTAACATAGAGTTTGCATTTTTATGAGAATTTTGTGCAGTAGAAGTTATTACAATTTTTGTGTTTGTAGGGTACAAACCTGTACCAGTACTATAAACAATAATAATATCTTTTCATGAAGTCACAGCCCAATGTGTCAGTTCACATTTTTTTTTTTTTTTTTGAGACGGAGTCCCACTTTATCTCCCAGGCTGGAGTGCAATGGTGCAATCTCGGCTTACTGCAACCTCCGCCTCCTGGATTCAAGCGATTCTCCTGTCTCAGCCTCCCAAGTAGCTGGGATTACAGGCACACGACACCACACATGGCTGATTTTTGTATTTTTAGTAGAGACTGTGTTTCACCATGTTGGCCAGGCTGGTCTCGAACTCCTGACCTCCAGTGATCTGCCTGCCTCAGCCTCCCAAAGTGCTGGGATTACAGGCATAAGCCACTGTGCCCAGCCTTCAGTTCACATCTTAGCACACCAGGAAGGCTATGTGGTTCTACAGCAAATAGACTAAAGAAATGCTTCAGTAATAAAACTCCCACATATATTCATCAATATATCAATGTGTGTTGAGAAAGAATAATTTGACTACATAATTATGTAGTTTAGTACCAAGTAGCGGCTTTTTGAGACAGGGTCTCACTCTGCTGCCCAGGCTGGAGTGCAATGGTACCATCATAGCTCACTGCAGCCTTGACCTCCCGGGCTCAAGTGACTCTCCTGCAGCAGCCACCTGAGCAGCTGGGACCACAAGTGCACACCATCATGCCTAGCTAATTTTTCTATTTTAAGTAGAGACGGGGTTTCACCATGTTGGCCAGGCTGGTCTTGAACTCCTGACCTCAAGTGATCCACCCGCTTCAGCCTCCCAAAGTGCTGGGATTTCAGGCGTGGGCCACTGCACCCGACCTATTTTTGTTATTATTATTATTATTATTATTTTTTGGAGACAGGGTCTCATTCTGTTTCCCAGGCTGGAGTACAGTGGCACCATCACGTCTCCCTGCAGCCTCGACCTTCTAGGCTCAAGTGATCCTCCCATCTCAGCCTCCCAGGTAGCTGGGACCACAAGCGTGTACCACCATGCTCTGCTCATTTTTAAAATTTTTGGTGACATTTTGGAGTCTCACTATGTTGTTCAGGCTGGTCTCAAACTCTTTGGCTCAAATGATACTCCCACCTCGGCCCCCCAAAGTGCTGGGATTAAAGGCTTGAACCACCATGCCCGGTCTCCTGGTGCACTTGAAATATAATTTAGACTCCTCACAATGGCCAACAAGGCTTTGTATGACCCAGCCCCTGCTGTATGACCCAGCCCTTACTCTCATTCACTGTTTTCCAAACATTCAAGCCACTTTCTGTTCCTCAAAAGCCCATTCCTGCCTTAGAGACTTCACACCCGTAGCTCTTACAATTTCTGCTTCTTTATCATTGAAGCCTCAGCTCAAATGTCACATCCTCAGTAAGCTCCCATCTGCCCACTTTTTAAATTATGGTAACTAACCATGGAAGTTCAGCAAATATTTCTTTCTCCCTCTTTTTAGACACGAAGTGGAATTGCATGTCTTTGACTTTGTCATGTGAGGGGTGACCATGTGACTTTTTTGGTCCATAAAATGTAAAGAGCAATTTTTTCTTTTTTTGAGAGACAGGGAGTGTCTCACTCTGTCACCCAGGCTGGAGTGCAGTGGCACGGTCTCAGCTCACTGCAACCTCTGCCTCCCAGGCTCAAGTAATCCTCCCAACTCAGCCTCCCAAATAGCTAAGATTACAGGCGAATGACACTGCGCTGGGGTAATTTTTTGTATTTTTTGTAGATACGGGTTTTTGCCATGTTGGCCAGGCTGCTCTCGAGCTCCTGAGCTCAAGTGATCTGCCCGCCTTGGCCTCCCAATGTGCCTGGATTACAGATGTGAGCCACCACACCCAGCCTTAAACAGCAAAAAAAAAAAAAAAAAAAAAAAAAAAAAAAAAAATTTGAGGCGGAATCTCACTCTGTCACCCAGGCTGGAGTGCAATAGCGTGATCTTGGCTCACTGCAACCTCTGCCTCCCAGGTTCAAGCAATTCTCCTGCCTCAGTCTCCTGAGTAGCTGGGACTACAGGCATGTGCCACCACATCCAGCTAATTTTTTTATTTTTAGCAGAGATGGGGTTTCACCACATTGGCCAAGCTGATCTTGAATTCCTGACCTCAGGTGATCCACCCACCTCGGCCTCTCAAAGTGCTGAGACTACAGAAGTGAGCCACCACGTCCAGCAGGCAGCAACATTTTTAAGAGCCAATGCCTGATTTTCTGCATCATCCCTTTTTCCTGTCTTGGTGATCACAGAAGCACGTGTCGAAATTGAGCACCTCTCAGTCAGGATCCCTGAGCAACTTATGGAAATCAAAGCCCCCTTTCCAACCAGTGATGGATGTGTAGGATGAATGAGAAATAAACCTTTATTGAGTCAAAAGACTGAGGTTTTGGAGTTGTTACTGCAGCTTAATTAGCCTGTCCTGACTGATACACTATGTGCCAGACCCTCATCTGGGGTCTCTACCCACATTATCTCATCTACTTCTCACAACATCCGAATAAAGTAGCTTGTCCGCTTATAAAGGAATAGCTGAGGCTGAGGCTGGGTCATTTGTCTTTTTTGTCCAAAAGAGACTTGTTTGGCTCATGGTTCTGCAGGCTGTACTAGAAGCATGGCCCCAGCATCTGTTTCTGCTGCAGGATTGGAAGCTTCCACTCATGGCAGAGGCAAAGGAGAGCTGTGTGCAGATCACATGGCAAAGGAGGAAGCGAGAGAGCAGAGGTGCCAAGCTCTTCCAACAACCAGTTCTTACAGTAACTAAGAGTGACAATTGGCCAAGTGTGGTGGCTCACATCTGTAATCCCAGCACTTTGGGAGGCCGAGGCTGGGGGATCACTTGAGGTCAGGAGTTCGAGATCAGCCTGGCCAACATGGCAAAACTCCATCTCTACTAAAAATACAAAAATCAGCCAGGCATGGTGGCAGGTGCCTGTAATCCCAGCTACTTGGGAGACTGAGGCAGAATTGCTTGAACCCAGGAGGTGGAGGTTGCAGTGAGCTGAGATCGCACCACTGCACTCCAGCCTGGGCCACAGAGCCAGACTCTGTCTCAAAAAATTTTGAAAAAGCTGGGCGCAGTGGCTCGTGCCTGTAATTTCAGCACTTTGGAAGGCTGAGGCAAATGGATCGCCTGAGGTCAGGAGTTCAAGACCAGGCTGATCAACATGGTGAAACCCTGTCTCTACTAAAAATACAAAAATTAGCTGGGCCTGGTGGCGGGTGCCTGTAATTCCAGCTACTCGGGCGGCTGAGGCAGGAGAATCGCTTGAACCCCAGAGGTGGAGGTTGTGGTGAGCTGAGATCACACCATTGCAGTCCAGCCTGTGCAACAAGAGCGAAACTTCGTCTCAAAAAAAAAAAAAAAAAAAAGAAAAGAAAAAGAAAGAAAGAAAGCATTTTGTAGTCAGGCTCTCACTATGTTGCCTAGGCTGGCCTTGAACTGTTGGCCTCAAGCAATCCTCCCAGCTCACCCTCCCAAAGTGTTGAGATTATAGGCATGAGCCACCATGCCCGGCCTCAAAGACTTTCAAATTTATGTTTGAAGAAGGAACTGACGGAGTCATGGGTTTTATTATATACTCATATATTGCAAGAAAAGAGAACTGCCAATTTTCATACTCTGGGTATATATGAATGAAATGTATAGTTTTTATTTTTTTTTACTTCATTTTATTTTATTTTATTTTTGAGATGGAGACTCGCTCTGTCACCAAGGCTGAAGTGCAATGGTGCCATCTCGGCTCACTGCAACCTCTGCCTCCTGGGTTGAAGCGATTCTCCTGCCTCAGACTCCTGAGTAGCTGGGACTACAGGCGCCCGCCATCACACCTGGCTAATTTTTTGTATTTTTGGTGGAGACAGGGTTTCACTGTGTTAGCCTGGGTGGTCTCGATCTCCAGACCTCATGATCCGCCCTCCTCGGCCTCCCAAAGTTCTGGGATTACAGGTGTGAGCCACTGTGCCCAGTCAGATTTTTTTAATAGAAATGGGGTGTTGCTACATTGACCAGGCTTGTCTCAAACTCCTGGCCTCAAGTGATCCTCCCGTCTCTGCCTCTCAAAGTGCTAGGATGACAGGTGTGAGCCACCGTGCTCGGCCCATATGTAAATAAATACAAGTGTTTATATCTTTATGTGTACAGAGATGTCATTTGATATTTTAATTGTTACTTTAATATTCTAATAGCAATATCATGACAACAATTATCAAACACAACATCCAATTAGAATAACAGGCATTTCTGATCTCCCACCTCAGCTACCTTTTGTGCGGTTTTTGAGGTTAAAGGTTTTTGGTTTCGGGGTTTTTTTTTTTGCAAGACCTAAAAATAATGTCTGAATTCTGAGTGTCTTCAAAGACCCCTTCCCTTTGTACAAATACTGCCAGGGACAGTTGTTTTATTACTTAAAATAAATGTTATTGAAGTATAGTTTACATACAATACAATGCACTTATTTTAAATGTATAGGTTTTTTTTGAGACAGGGTCTCACTTTAACTGTACAGTTTGATGAGGCTTAGCAAATAGATATATCTGAATACCCACTGCCACTATCAAGATATAGAACTTTCTGCTGGGTGCAGTGGCTCATGCCTGTAATCCCAACTTTGGGAGGCTGAATCGGGAGGATTGCTTGAGGCCAGGACTTTCAGGACAGCCTGGGCAACGTAGGAGCTACCTGGCTACAGTTTTTTTAAAAAATTAGCCAGGCATGGTGGCATGCACCTGTGGTCCCAGCTTCTCAGGAGGCTGAGGCAGGAGGATCACTTGAGCCAGGAGTTGGAGGCAGCAGTGAGCTATGACCACAATACTGCACTTCAGCCTGGGTGACAGGGCAAGATGCTGTCACAAAAAAAAAAAAAAAAAAAAAAATTAAAGCCGGGTGTGATGGCTCACACTTGTATTCCCAACACTTTGAGAAGCCAAGGTGGAAGCATTGTTTGACCCCAGGAGTTCCAGACCAGCCTGGGCAATATAGTGCTATATCATCTCTACAAAGAATATTTAAACATTTAGCCAAGCGTGTTGGCAAAGGCCTGTGGTCCCAGCTACTTGGGAGGCTGAGGTGGAAGGATCACCTAGGCCCAGGTCAGGAAGGCTGTTGTGAATTGAGGCAGCGCCACTGCACTCCAGCCTGAGCAACACAATGAGACCCTGTCTCAAAATAAAAACAAAAACAAATCAACAAAAAAGAACTTTCCCTAGGCCAGTGTGGTGGCTCATACCTGTAATCCCAGCACTTTGGGAGGCCAAGGCAGGCTGATCACCTGAGGTCAGGAGCTCAAGACCAGCCTGGACTACATGGTGAAACCCTGTCTCTACTAAAAATATAAAAATCAGTTGGGTGTCGTGGTGCATGCCTGCAATCCCAGCTACTCAGAGGCTGAGGCAGGAGAATTGCTTGAACCTGGGAGGCAGAGGTTGCAGTGAGCCGAGATCGAGCCACTGCACCCCAGCCTGGGTGATAAAGTGAGATCCTGTCTCAAAAAAAAAAAAAAAAAAAAAAAAAGAACTTTCTCATTACTCCAGGGAGTTCCCTCTGACCCCTCCCAGTCAATCCACCTTCCAGCCCTGACCCAGGCAACCACTGATCTGCTCTGTGTCACTATGGATTAGATTTGGTGTTTCCAGAATTTTATATCAATAGAAGTATACGGGGCGCTCTTTTAGATCTGGCTTCTTCCACACAGCATGTTTTTGAGATTCATCCATTTTCTGCATGTTTTAGTATCTTGTTCCCAAGTATCACTTTTAGCAACAGAAAACAGAACAAATTTCATGAGTATATCAATTACACACCTTATTCAGGCAAGATTCTTTGAATCAATTTTATGACATGAAATGGTGTCTACCACTTTGCAGCTGCTGAAAAGAGACACATCCTCTTTCTTTCTTTCTTTCTTTCTTTTTTTTTGGAGACGGAGTTTCACTCTTGTTGCCCAGGCTAGAGTGCAATGGGACGATCTCGGCTCACCACAACCTCCACCTCCTGGATTCCCGGATTCAAGCGATTCTCCTGCCACAGCCTCCTGAGTAGCTGGGATTACAGGCGTGTGCCACCACGCCCAGATAATTTTTGCATTTTTAGTAGAGACAGGGTTTCACCATGTTGACAGGCTGGTCTCGAACTCCTGACCTCAGATGATCCACACGCCTCAGCCTCCCAAAGTGCTGGGATTACAGGTGAGAGCCACTGCGCCTTGGCTCTCTTTCTTGTCTCCCTGAAATTGCTTTTCTCTCACAACATTCTCAAGCTCGATATCAGTTTTCCATAAGCTGCAAAAAAAAAAAAAAAAAAAATTAAGGCCAAGGAGCTCAAAACCTAACATATGAAAAGGGAAAAGGCAAGATGGGAATTTTAAACAGGAGGAATGAGGGGCACATAATGTGTTTCTCGGTTCCACCTGATATAAATTCTTATCTGTAGCCTGAGAGCAGCATAGCAAGATCCCATCTCTACAAAAAAATACAAAAACTAGCCAGGAGTGCTGGTGCACACCTGTGGTCCCAGCTACTTAAGAGGTTGAGGCACAAGGATCTTGAGCCCAGATTGAGGCTGCGTAAGCTGAGATCACACCACTGCACTCCAGCCTGGGTGACAGAGTGAGACCCTGTCTCTAAATAAATAAATTAGCATGTGTTCCACTCACCTTCTCACATCTCCCTGATTAATCTTTGAAATTTGGCATAATCTGAAATTACCACTGAGCAGATATGGTGGCTCACGCCTGTAATCCCAGCACTTTGGGAGGCCAAGTCTGGAGGATCACTTGAGCCTAGGAGTTTGAGAGAAGCCTGGGCAACAGAGTGGGGCCCCATCTATAATAAAAATGTCGTTAAAGGTCAGGCGCAGTGGCTTATGCCTGTAATCCCAACATTTTGGGAGGCCAAGGCGGGCGGATCACGAGGTCAGGAGATCGAGACCATCCTGGGCAACATGGTGAAACCCTGTCCCTACAGGCGTGGTGCACGCCTGTAATCCCAGCTACTGGGGAGGCTGAGGCGGGGAATTTCTTGAACCCAGGAGGCAGAGGTTGCAGTAAGCTGAGATCGCACCACTGCACTCCAGCCTGGCAACAGAGTGAGACTGTGTCTCAAAAAAAAAAAAAAAAAAGTTGTTAAAATCAGCCGGGTGGCATGTGCACATAGTCCCAGCCACCTTGGAGGCTGAGGTAGGAGGATCGTTTGACCCCAGGTGTTTGAGGCTGCAGAGAGCTATGATCGCACCGCTTCACTCCAGCCTGGGCACCAGAGTGAGACTCTCTCTCAAAATAAAAAGAAAAAAGAAACAAATTACTTTGTTTATTTCTCTGAATGCCTGTGGTCTGCAATTCTGCAGCCTTTGCCTCCCAAGTAGCTGGGACTATAGGCGTGCACCACCATGCCCAGCTAATTTTTGTATTTTCAGTAGAGACAAGGTTTCGCCATGTTGGCCAGTCTGGTCCCGAACTCCTGGGCTCAAGCAATCCTCCCACCTCAGCCTCCCAAAGTGCTGGGATTACAGGTGTGAGCAACTGGCGCCCAGCCAATACCTGAAGTTCCAGCTCATCCATATTAACTGCTGGAGTATGTTCCATGGTGTGGATTCACCACTATCCTTTTCCTGTTGAGCATTTAGGCTGTTTTCATTTTTCACTTGTTCAATCAATGCTGCCATGTACACTCCAGCAGTACACTGCAGTAGTGGCTTGTGTGAGATTTCTCCAGGTGTGTCCTAGGGTTGGAGCTGCTGGGTTGCAGGGTCTGTTCATCTCCAAGGAGGTTGTCCACACCAGGGCTTTTACCGCCAGCTGCCTCACAATAGAGAAGCATCCAGTCACCAGGGCCTCCCTTGGCCCCATGCAGGTCCGGGTGTCCACCCCAATCAACAGTTTTGCTTATTTCTGGTCCACAAAAAGGTTTCAGTTATTTTGATCTTGGCTAGACCTTTTGGGGGTCTTTTTTTTTTCCTTGAGATGTAGTTTTGCTCTTGTTGCCCAGGCTGGAGTGCAATGGTGCAACCTTGGCTCACTGCAACCTCCACATCCCGGGTTCAAGTGATTCCCTTGCCTCAGCCTCCCAAGTAGCTGGTATTACAGAGGCCCGCCACCACACTTGGCTAATTTTTTTGTATTTTTAGTAGAGACGGGGTCTCACAACGTTGGTCAGGCTGGTCTCAAACTCCTGACCTCAGGTGATCCACCCACCTTGGCCTCCCAAAGTGCTGGGATTACAGGCATGAGTCAGCGTGCTCAGCCTATTATTACTGTAATAATATTTGTCATGCTGATCTATGACCGGTGATCCTTGATGTTACTATTGTATCAGTGCAAAAGTAATTGTGGGTTTTGTCATTAAAAGTAATGGCACTAGGCTGGGCCCTGCTCAGTAGCTTATTTGGTAAGCCGGTGGGTCCTGAAAGTTTGCTTTTTTTTTTTTTTTTTTTTTGGATATGAAGTCTCATTGTCACTAGGCTGGAGTGCAGTGGTGCGATCTCGGCTCACTGCAACCTCCGTCTCCCGGGTTCAAGCAATTCTTCTGCCTCAGCCTCCTGAGTAGCTGGGACTACAGGTGTGTGCCACCACGCCCAGCTAATTTTTTTGTATTTTTATTAGAGATGGGGTTTCTCCATGTTGGTCAGGCTGGTCTCGAACTCCCGACCTCAGGTGATCCGCCTGCCTCGGCGTCGCAAAGTGCTAGGATTACAGGTGTCAGCCACCACGACCAGCCGAAAGTTTGCATTTCTAGCAAGTTCCTGGGCAATAATTATGATGGCCAAGAATGACAGTCTGAGAACGACTGCTCTGGAAGATTTTATCTGTGACCCAGAGCTTTGACCCTTTTGGGGATTTGGTGTGTCATGTCCTTACTGCTGGAGTTTGCTTTAGTTAACAAAATCTGTCATTGCTCCCAAATCACTTGGTAGGGGTTATTCATTCTTCCTTGAGTTGAGCTTCTTTATCTTTGCTGTTAATAAAATGTAAGTTTCAAACATTTCTTTTTTCTTTTAGGGACAGGGTCTTGCTCTGTTACCCAGGCTGGAGTGCAGTGGTGCCATCACAGCTCACTGCAGCCTCCCACTGCTGGGTGTGGTGGTGGGCGCCTGTAGTCGTAGCTACACAGGAGGCTGAGGCAGGAGAATCGCTTGAACCTGGGAGGCGGAGGTTGCAGTGAGCCGAGATCGTGCCACTGCACTCCAGCCTGGGCGACAGAGTGAGACTCTGTCTCAAAAAAAAAAAAAAAAGAAAGAAAGGAAGGAAGCAAGGAAGGAAACAGAAAAGAAATGAAGCCTGACTTCAAGAAGTTCCAACATAGCATGGAGGAGGAGTGCAGGGAGCACGAGGGCGTGTGGGGGGGCGTCTCTGTTGGGAACTCAGGGAAGATGTTCTTGATCTGATTAATTATTCAACCAAAATGACAGGCTGGATTCTAGGCACTGGGAGTACCCTGAAGGGGCTTCTAGTAAACCTGTCCTCTGCATTGGGTCTTGGAAGATAGGGGGAATTTGCCCAAGGAAGAAGGGGAAAAGAACATTGCAGGCAGAGGGAGAAGTCTGGACAAAAAGGGTGACTGGCCTGCTTGAAGAACAGGAAGTCATCCAAGTGGCTATAACTATAACAAAAGGTAGGGAGGAGACGTGGAAAGAGTTTGGGGGAAGGCTGTGAAGAGCTTTGAATGTCAAGAGAGGGAGTTTGATCTTGGTCCTTTAGGTCATAGGGAGCCCCAGTCAATTTTAAAATCAGAAGAGCCAAATTTATTTTATTTTATTTTTATTTATTTATTTATTTTTAGACGGAGTTTCGCTCTTGTTGCCCAGGCTGGAGTGCAATGGCATGGTCCGGGCTCACTGCAACCTCTGCCTCCCAGGTTCAAGCGATTCTCCTGCCTCAGTCTCCCAAGTAGCTGGGATTACAGGCATGCGCCACCACGCCCAGCTAATTTTGTATTTTTAGTAAAGATGGGGTTTCTCAATGTTGGTCAGGCTGGTCTCAAACTCCTGACCTCAGGTGATCCACCCCCCTCGGCCTCCTAAAGTGCTGGGATTACAGGTGTGAGCCACTGCTCCCGGCCAAAACCCCATCTTAAAAAAGAAAGAAAGGAAGGAAGGAAGATAAATCTAGCTATAGTATTGAGCTATATGGGATGGAACAGAGGGAGAAAAAGAGACCAATGGCTGGAATGTGTTGTGGTTTGACGATTTCTAGCCCTGGCTCAACTTAAGAATGGAATTACTTGGAGTTCCCAGAATGGATCCAACTGTTTCAAGCCTTCCTAAATGCTCTTCCCTGTGCCTGGGATGCCCTTCCCTCAGTGTCGGTCTTGCTACCTCCCATTCATTCATCAGTATTCTAGCCAAACATCATCAATGTCAGGTAGGCTCCCAGTTGATCCAGGTGTCCAACTCTGGGCTCCCATGTGATCCTGAGTAGTACGGGCATTTAGCGATCTTTTCCTGATTTGGGAGCACTGTAGTAGTGCCTTCTGGGCCTTCTCCACCACCCAAGTGGTAAGCTCCTTGCAAGCAAAGCTTCGTCTGACACATTTTAGTGTCCTGACTCCAAGCCCTCTCCTGTCTTCCCCCACAGAAGCCCTAGAACTGGGCTGCAGCTGACCACTGGGAAGACAGGAAAGACTGTGAGACCAACTGTATGCCATGTGGTCCTGAAAAATGCGAAAATGGAGTGGCAAGTCCTGAGAGCCACCAGCTAGTGTCTGAGGCCTGGCATCCCTTTCTGGGAGGCCTCGTGTGAAAGCCAGTGGCATTCTGCAGATGTGAGGTCGTACTTCTGAATACGCAGCAAAATCCTGGGGCCAAATGCTTTGACAGATGAATTGAGGCTAGAAAGAGAGTTGGAGAAGTGGTTTGACAGCAGGGCTGTAACCACAATACCTAACATGGGTAAGTCACCAGGTGGCAGGCTCTGAGCTAAAATTCATCTCATTGCATCTTCATGACAGTACTGTTTATACATAAAGAAACAGAAGCTGGCCGGGCATGGTGGCTCACGCCTGTAATCCCAGCACTTTGGGAGGCCGAGGCGGGTGGATCACCTGAGGTAGGGAGTTTGAGACCAGCCTGACCAACACGGAGAAACCCCGTCTCTAATAAAAATACAAAATAAGCTGGGCATGGTGGCGCATGCCTATAACCCCAGCTACTTGGGAGGCTGAGGCAAGAGAATCGCTTGAACCCGGGAGGCAGAGGTTGTGGTGAGCCGAGATCTTGCCATTGTACTCCAGCCTGGGCAACAAGAGCAAAACTCTGTCTCCAAAAAAACAAAAGAAAAAAAGAAAAAAAAAAAAAACAGAAGCTGCAAAGGGTTAGGGGTTAGAGGACATGCACACAGGCACCCAGGTAGAAGGGGACACTCAGTCTGGCTGCCCAGATGACAGAAGAGAGATTGTCAGTCCAGGTTTCTTTGCAGCAAACAGCAAGCTTGCAAGCTTGGTATGTGCGGAGGCCACGCTGTAGGTATGGGGAAGAGAACTCAGGAAGAGGAGAAAGACAGGAAAGCAGCATAAAGGCTTGCAAAAAAATTAAAAACAAATAAAAAGCAGATGAGTCAAAAGAGTCTGCAGCTGAGTCCCTGACAGTCGACACTGAAATGGACATAAGCCTTTATCCTGAGGAAGCATCCTTGGCATTAAAGACTCATAGGAGGCCCAGGCGCAGTGGCTCATGTCTGTAATCCCAGCACTTTGGGAGGCTGAGGCTGGTGGATCACCTGAGGTCAGGAGATAGAGACCGGCCTGGCGAACATGGGGAAACCATGCCTCTACTAAAAATACAAAATTAGCAGGGCATGGTGGCGCATGCCTGTTATCCCAGCTGTTATCCCAGCTACTTGGGAGGCCGAGGCAAGAGAATCGCTTGAACCTGGGAGGTGGAGGTTGCAGTGAGCTGAGATCACGCCACTGCACTCTAGCCTGGCAACAGAGTGAGACTCCGTCCCCCAAAAAAAAAAAAAAAAAATTAGCCAGGTGCAATGGCGCGTGCCTGTAATCTCAGCTACTTTGGAGGCTGAGGCAGGAGAATCGCTTGATCCTGGTTGCAGTGAGCCGAGATCGCACCACTGCACTCCAGCCTGGGCTACAGAGCAAGACTTCATCTCAAAAAAAAAAAAAAAGAAAGAAAGAAATACTTCAAAACACTAATAGTGTAATAATCAACTGCACCTGATAGTTTGCTAAGCATGTTTGCATTCCTTATACCACTGAGGCCCCCAAGGCTGTGAGTGTCATCATTCCCCCATGTTATAGCTTAGGACCCTGAAGTCAGAGGCTGTAACTTGAGGAATGGGCTCAGGGCAGATCTTGGCACTGAACCCAAATGTGACAAGAAGAGAGACAGGTGGGCCCAATGGCAGACCTCTAGTCTATCCAGAAATGACACTCCACATATGGTTAATAACTCCTAGAGATGGGAGTGAGGGGTGAGCATGGCTTTTTGAGGTTAAATTAGTTAATATATATTAAAATATTAAAATGAAAATAAATTATGCCTTGCTCAATAGTATTAATGATAGAACTTCTCGTACAAAAATAAATTACAGAAAGAACCAGAAAACAAACTCTAACAATTTGTTGTTTATGTAGATGTATAGCAAAATATATACACAAATTTAAAAAACAAAATGCTGAGCTAAACTCTACCAGGCAAATTCAAGAAAAGCAGGGGGCTTCAATTATAATATTTGGAAAAGACAAGTTTAAGCTAGAAATATTAAAAGAGGCAAAGAGGGTACTTAGCATAGTTTTTCTTTTTCTTTTTTTTTTTTTTTTTTTGAGATGGAGTCTTGCTCTGTCACCCAGGCTGGAGTGCAGTGGCACAATCTCTGCTCATTGCAACCTCCACCTCCCGGGTTCAAGTGATTCTTCTGCCCCAGCCTCCCAAGTAGCTGGGATTACAGGCACAAACCACCATGCCCAGCTAATTTTTTGTATTTTTAGTAGAGATGGGGTTTCACTATTATGGCCAAGCTCGTTTCAAACTCCTGACCTCAAGTGATCCGCCCACCTTGGCCTCCCAAAGTGCTAGGATTACAGGCATGAGCCACTGTGCCTGGCCGAGTTTTTCAATATATCACTATTAAATATATATGCCCCAAACATGATACTTATTTATTGATAATTCATACCCTGCCTATTTCTCAAAAATGACTTGAGAAAAACTGCACAACATAGCGACAATACACATACAGAAATTAAAAGTGAAACAGGAATACATAGAGATATAACACACAAACATCAAACTATGATTAGATCAGGTAAATGAGTGTTCTGAACTGCTTTGGTGTCACAGAGGCATTTAAAAATATAGTAAATACTACAGATCCTTGTCCCAGCAAAATTCCTTCAAGCACATACCCAGCTTTGTTCGATCCCTAGGGGTCTGCAACTCCTAAACCCCTACATGCTAAAGACTCCTAGGCAGGCCATGGACCCCCAGATTAAGAACTCTAAAGTAAATGAAAGTCAGAGAAAATATGGATTTGAATAAAATAATGAAAAAATTGAGTTAACAAATAGAACTGGTAGAATAAAAACACATTTTGAGATTACACAAATGCTTTTATAAAAACTGATAATATATTCAGGCCCAAAGAAGTCCTATGGACACTTAGAAATGTTGACACCACAGTACAGTAAGAAATAAGCAGCAATACCCTAAGCATTCATCACTTAGAAATTTTTTTTATATATATTTTTTTTGAGACAGAGTCTAGCTCTTTTGCCCAGGCTGGAGTGCAGTGGCACCACCTCGGCTCACTGCAAGCTCTGCCTCCCGGGTTCACACCATTCTCCTGCCTCAGCCTCCCAAGTAGCTGGGACTACAGGCGCACAGCTGCCTGTAGCCACCACGCACGGCTAATTTTTTGTATTTTTAATAGAGACAGGGTTTCATCGTGTTAGCCAGGATGGTTTCGATCTCCTGACCTCATGATCTGCCCGTCTTGGCCTCCCAAAGTGCTGGGATTACAGGCTTGAGCCACCGCTCCCGGCTATTTTTTGTTTTTGTTGTTGTTGTTTTCCCCGAGATGGAGTCTTGCCCTGTCACCCAGGCTGAAGGGTAGTGGCACAATCTTGGCTCACTGCAACCTCCGCCTCCCGGGTTCAAGCGATTCTCCTGCCTCAGCCTCCCGTGTAGCTGGGATTACAGGCACCCGCCACCATGCCCAGTTAATTTTTGTATTTTTAGTAGAGACGGGTTTTCACCATGTTGGCCAGGCTGGTCTTAAACTCCTGACCTCGTGATCCACCCACCTCGGCCTTCCAAAGTGCTGGGATTACAGGTGTGAGTCACCATGCCCGGCCCACTTAGAAATATTTTTAAATAATAACATTTGGGCAAAAGGAAATTCTTAATACTATAACAAAAAACACCACGTCAAAACTTACGGAGTGCAGACAAAGCTGTCACTCTAAGGAGAAGAAGAAATAAAAAAATGCCGAGCGCGGTGGCTCACACCTGTAATCCCAGCACTTTGGGAGGCCGAGGCGGGCGGATCACGAGCTCAGGAGATAGATACCATCTTGGCTAACACGGTGAAACCCCGTCTCTATTAAAAATACAAAAAATTAGCCGGGCGTGGTGGCGGGTGCCTGTAGTCCCAGCTACTTGGGAGGCTGAGGCAGGAGAATGGTCTGAACCTGGGAGGTAGAGCTTGCAGTAAGCCGAGATCGCCCCACTGCACTACAGCCTGGGTGACAAAGCAAGACTCCATCTCAAAAAAAGAAAAAAGAAAAAAGAAAAAAAAAGGTAGGACAACAAAAACAAAGAACAACTAAATTAAAAGATAATTGATTAAAATATTGCCAGGGATGATCTTTTATAACTTTACACTGTTTGAGAATCTAAATAGAATGAGAGAGTTTAAAAAAAAAAATCTAATAAGCTGGCTGGGCACATGGCTCACGCCTGTAATCCCAACACTTCAGGAGGCCAAGGCAGGCAGATCAGGAGGTCAGGAGTTCGAGACCAGCCTGGCCAACATGGTGAAACCCCATCTCTACTAAAAATACAAAAGTTAGCCAGGCGTGGTGGCACATGCCTGTAATCCCAGCTACTCAGGAGGCTGAGGCAGGAGAATCACTTGAACCCGGGAGGCAGAGGTTGCAGCAAGCCAAGATCGCACCACTGCACTCCAGCCTGGGTGACAGTGAGACTCTGTCTCAAAAAAAAAAAAAAAAAAAAAAAAACTAATAAAACAAGGAAAGAATTTGAACAGAGGGAATGAGGCTCTGGTCATACTTCCAAAAAAGAACCTGGTCTTACCATGTTTATCTGTTAACCCTTGGGAGAGAGGGGGGATCTTCATCTCCACGTTACACAAAAATTAGAAAGAGAGAGGGAGGGAGAGGAGGAGAAAGTGCACATTTCAAAATGCAAGAACAGCACAGAATTATGAGCTGGGAGTGATGCTGGAGTGGGCAGGGGCGGCCTGATCTCCATGCGGCTTGCTCAGAGTGGGTAAACCAGGTTGGCTGAAACGAGGGTTTACGTGCAGGAAAGCTCCTGAAAGTTGGTTTTAAGGAGAGTGGTGACTTGTGCAAAATGATGCTTTAAAAATCAATTTGGCTGGGGTGTGCAGGAAGGATGGGGAGGGAGAAACCAAAGATAGGTAACAGACATTTGCCAGATGATAACGGTGGGGAAGAGGGGCAGGTGTAAAGAGGAGGTAGATCTTTCAGGGACCCCTGCTTGATGCCGCCTGCTGTCCCCACTGCATCCTAGCATTCTCTCTTCACTCTTGATAGAGACAGGCCTGAAATGACAGGCCACTTGCAGGCAATGCCCAGGGCACCATCCAGTCAGTCCAACTGGTTACACAGAGGGTTCTGGTGGACAATGGAGTGCTGGTTAAATGTTAAATGTTTCACATACGTAGCAAAGACAGGGGCTGGACAGAGGCATGGCTGGAACTCCCACCATGACCTCTCCAGCCCATCATATCTGTCATTTGGAAATCTCTGGCCTATCAAGACCCACTTAGTAACAGTTATGGCTTTCCCATGTTTATTCATCAAAACTAGGCATAATGGCCATGCTGAGCTTCTGATCAGCTGAAATACCCAGTGTTACCATGATGAGTTCATGTTAGCCCAGCCATAAATGTTTAGGAAACTTCAAAACAGCCTAGACTGCCTCCTTCCCCACTAGCTCTGAGGAGCCCAAGGGAAGCCAGGACTAAAGAGATCCCCAAGGCCCCAGCCAAACACTTTCCAAGCGCCCAGCTGACCATCAGCCTGAGCCCATCCCTGAGGCTCCGGGTGCGGGGAGCAGGGAGTGAGGGCACTGAGACAGAATGGCCTTCAAGCTCTGCTCAGCCAAAGCCAGCAGGCTGACATTGGAAGCTGTCGAGGGATGCACAAAAACCCAGCATGGGCCAGGTGTGGAGGCTCATGCCTGTAATCCCGGCACTTTGGGAGGTCAAGGCGGGCAGATCACGAGGTCAAGAGATCGAGACCATCCTGGCCAACATGGTGAAACCCCGTCTGTACTAAAAATACAAAAAATTAGCCAGGCATGGTGGCACGCACCTGTAGTCCCAGCTACTCAGGAGGCTGAAGCAGGGGAATCGCTTGAACCCAGGAGGCAGAGCTTGCAGTAAGCCAAGATCACGCCACTGCATTCCAGCCTGGCAACAGGGCAACACTCCATCTCAAAAAAAAAAGCCCAGCACAGGGCCCACAGCCTGGCTGCACACTAGGAAGTTATAATCACCTGGGGAGCTTTAAAACATGCCACCACTGGGGCTGACTGAACTGGTCCAGGTGGGACACAAGCAATGGTACTGTTTAAACAAGCCCCACGTGAACTCCTAGTTGGCAGGCGGGGAAGACAGACAGAATGTGGAAGTGCAGAATGACACTGCTGCTACAGGAGGCTCAGGATGGCATCCTAGAGGAAGTGTCCTTGTGTGGGACACTGCATCCGCAGGCATACACAGCCCAGGCTGCAAGGGGTGGAGGGAGAGAAAGCCCTGTTCAATGAGAGGTCCCACTGCTCAGAAACCAGACGGGAACATCTCTCCAGTCCGTGGAAATGCACAGGGGTGGGGCAGGGGTCACTCTGGGTCTCTGTCCTCAGTCACCATGACTGCTCACAGTTGCCAAAGCACTTTCACAGTGGCTGTGTTCTGAATGACAGCCTGGCACCAACCCTTAGAGGCACGTGGCCAGTTCCCATTACCCCAACTCTTGGATGGGGGAATGGAGCCTGGGGAAGTTACAGGACTTGTTCAAGCTCACCCAGGTAGGAGGGGGTGGAACTAGGACTTGAACCCAGACCTTCTGATTAGAACACAGCCTCCTCCAACAAGCCACCCAGCTTCCCAGGTCCCCTGACACTGGGGCAGGAGGGCTGCATCATTGCCAGAACAGACCAGACCCAGGCCCTGCTGATGTCCAAGGCACACTGTGGTCTTGGGGACACTATGTCTCAGGGAGGGGTTATTCCTGGAGGGCAGTCATGTCCGGTGTCCAGGCTGAGTCACGGCTGGGTGTCAAACATCCTCTGGCCAACAGGATCAAATCTCTATCCTCCTGTAACAGAGCTGTCTGAGGGAAACTGCCCTAGGGCTAAGGAGAGGGTTAAGAGGCCACGCCCAGGGGCTCACCACCCTCATCCCCAATCTCAAGACCCACCCTCCAGACCTGCCTTTGCTCTGCAGACCTGTTTTGGTTGTCCCCACCAATGCCCAACGCAGTGAGAAAATTCTACTTTGCTGCTGACACATCTACTTTTGAATTCATTTTTCTTCTACTGCTTTGGACTGTGAGTGTGGTTTCTGTCTTCTAAAAGTGCCAGACTGCAGCCTGTTTTAAAGAGTTCTTCTGATATTTTCCTGGGTTTAATTCAACTTTCTCCCTCTTGGCATTTATTCTTCTAGATTCTGGGAAATGTGAAGACAGGGCAAAATGAAATCCTGTAGGCTTGGGAGTCAAATGCAAGAAGGAGAAACTGAAGGCCAGCTGTCTTTTCTGGCTGCCCTCCCTATCACCCCACCTTCCCTTCCATGCAGAAAACCTGCTGAGAGCTGGCGTGCTTGGCCCAGGGCCACACAGGGCCTTCCTGCTAGTGGGATGTTCAAGAGCGCTTAGGTGGGAAGGTTTCCATTCAGCATCAGGGAGGTAGGTGGGGTCTTGGAGACCACGCGACGTGGAATAAAGGCTCCATCTGGCACAGGCTTTCAAGCTTTGTGTGGGCTCCTCTTTCTATAGCTTCTCCCCAGAATGAATCTTCTGATGGCGAATCAGGTGCGAGCTCCCCCGGAAGGACTTGCCGCACAGATTGCACACGTAGGGCTTCTCTCTGGTGTGGGTTTTATAGTGCTCAATGAGGGCTGACCGGTGCCGGAAGGCTTTGCCACACTCGCAGGTGTAGGGCTTCTTGCCGGTGTGGATTCTCTGGTGCTGGATCAGCGCAGAGCTGTGGCAAAAGGCCTTGCCACACTGACAGCACTCGTAGGGCTTCTCACCGGTGTGGATGCGCTGGTGCTCAATGAGGGAGGAGCTCTGGCTGAAGGCTTTCCCACACTTCTGGCATTTGTAGGGCTTCTCGCCAGTGTGGGTCTTGCGGTGCTCAATGAGGTTGGAGCTCTGGCTGAAGGCCTTCCCGCACTCATCGCATTTGTATGGTTTCTTCCCAGTGTGGATCCGCTGGTGTCGGATGAGGTGTGACCTGTGACAAAAGGCTTTCCCACAGAGATCGCACTCGTGAGGTTTCTTTAGGGTGTGGATCTTCCGATGCTGGCTCAGGCCTGAGCTCTGGTTGAAGGATTTCCCACATTCCTTACACTGATAAGGTCTCTCTCCTGTATGAATTCTCTCGTGTTTTCTGAGGCTGGAGCTCCGGCTGAAATCTTTCCCGCATTCCCTGCACTCGTAGGGCCTCTTTCCGGTGTGGATCTTTTGGTGTTGCGTGAGGGCTGAGCTCTGGCGGAAGGCCTTCCCACACTCCCGGCACTCGTAGGGCTTCTCCCCGGTGTGGATGATCTGGTGCCTGAGCAGGTGGGAGCTCTGGCTGAAGGCCTTCCCGCACTCACAGCACTCATAGGGCTTCTCCCCAGTGTGGATCACCAGGTGTCGGAGCAGGTGCGAGCTCTGGCTGAAGGCCTTCCCACACTCTCGACACGCATAGGGCTTGGCTGGTTGTGGGGTTCTGTGAGGTGCGTTAGGTCCTGAGTCCCCTCTGTCTGTTTCTGCACAATCGCATGGACTGGGCTCTTCACTGTGGATTATCTGACACATGCTGAGGTCGGATTTCTGGAGGAAGGTTTGTCCGAAGAGCTCATCATCCTGGGGTCTGGTTCCTGGGGGGATACTTTGATGCTGAACAGGGCTTGAGCACAAACTGAAATTCCCCTCGTAATCATCATTTTCTTCGTCCTGCTCACCAAGAGGGATCTCCTTGTAGATCACAGCCATTTGCTCCAAACCTCTTTCCTGAAGAAAAGGGTCCCCCAGGTCCTCCCCTGGGAAAAGCCCTTGTTGTGACTCTAACCTGTTCTCAAATGCAAAGGTCTCACCAAACTTTGTTGCTGGGGGAACCTCCATTGTGAATCTGCTATCATCCCCAATGGTTGTATTTCTTTAAAAATGTTCTTCTTTGGGCCACACTTACTGTTCTCACAATCTGAAAAGAAAACAGGGAACTCTGTCAAGTCAGCAAGTCAAGCAGCTCATATGTGCCTGCTTCATATCCTAGAATCTATGGTAGAAACAAGAAAATACGCATAAGACACAATCTTGCCCTTAAGATGATCCCAAATGAGTTAGAGGCAAGTTTTGCTTACCAGAGACAATTGAAGGCAGACAGACAGACACAATCAAGTGCCACATCATGGTGTCTAGACTCAACGGGCTGAAGGTGTTCAGAAAGGTGAGCTAAAACAGGAAGTGGGGGCTGGGTGCGGTGGCTCACACCTATAATCCTAGCACTTTGGGAGGCCGAGGCAGGCAGATCACTTGAGGTCAGGAGTTCAAAACCAGCCTGGTCACATGGTGAAACCCGGTCTCCACTAAAAATACAAAACAATTAGCTGGGTGTGGTGGTGGGTGCCTGTAATCCCAGCTACTAGGGAGGCTGAGGCAGGAGACTCGCTTGAACCTGGGAGGCAGAGATTGCAGTGAGCGGAGATCAGCCCACTGCACTCCAACGTGGGCAACAAAGCGAGACTCTATCTCAAACAACAACAACAACAACAGCAACAACAACCAGGAAGTGGGGCCATTGCAGAAAAGGAGCAAGACTCCAGCTACTGGGTGACATTGGGGGCAGGTTTTGCTGGGAAAGAGAAAGAGAGCTCTTCCCTCTACCCTCCAGTCGCACTCCCTCCAGCCAGGTGCCCCAACCTGGGAGTCAGCATAACCGCTCTTATTCTCACCCGACCGGTCCCCTCTTATCTACTTCCTGAGGCTGCATGGGCAGCGTCTCTGTCTCTCAGTCCTCACTGCCACTCTGCAGCTCAGGCTTCAGAGCTACCTCCTGGGATCTTTTCAGGGCTGGCCTCCAAACTAGCTGCTGACCTCCGGCTTCCTCCTCTCCCTCTGGTGCATGCCCTACACTAACAATGGAGTCAAATATCCAAAACATAAGCCTGATTATGGTGGTTCCCTTTTTTTTTTTTTTTTTTTTTTTGAGATGGAGTTTCACTCTTTCACCCAGGCTGGAGTGCAGTGGCACGATCTTGGATCACTGCAACCTCTGCCTTCCAACTTCAAGTGATTCTCCTGCCTTGGCCTCCCGAGTAGCTGGGATTACAAGCGCCCACCACCATTCTTGGCTAATTTTTGTATTTTTAGTAGAGACCGGGATTCACCATGTTGGCCAGGCTGGTCTCAAACTTCTGATCTCAAGTGATCTGCCTGCCTTGGCCTCCCAAAGTGCTGGGATTACAGGCGTGAGCCACCATGCCTGGCCTGGTGGTTCCCTTCTTAGGATCTTGTGACAGCCCAACTCCTTCACACCTGGCCCTTCCAATCCATCTCCTGTCTGTCTGCCCCATACACCTCTTCTTTTTTATTTGAGATAGGCTCTTGCCCGTTGCCCAGGCTGGAGTATAGTGGTGTGATCTTGGCTCACTGCAACCTCTGCCTCCCAGGCTCAAGTGATCCTCCCACCTCAGCCTCCTGGGACTGCAAGTGTATGCCACCACACTCTGCTAATTTTTTTAATTCTTTCTTTTTGTAGAGATGAGGTCACACTGTATTGCCCAGGCTGGTCCCCCCAACACTTCTAATTTTCCAGCTCAATGACTAATTTGCACTGCTGTTGTCTGGTCCTAACAGGTAAGGACCATTCTCAGACTGCCACTTGCTCATCCTTCAGGACTCGTCCAAATGTCCCTTTTTCTCTGCACCCTCAGGTTCTTGACCATCTCAGGCCCCCATCGTTAGCTTGAAAATTCCCTAAGGGCAAATACTGTGCTCCTTCATTTCAGAATCCCCAGCCCCCAGCACAAAAGCACAATCCCAATGTACACAGTTGTTGAATAAATTATCAAATGGAGGAAAAGCCATTTGTTTTTCTAGAACTGTCACTTTTTTTGGTCAAAGAACACTTTAGTCAAATAAGTCAACTGTCTAGGACAGGGGTCCCCAACCCCCAGAGTGGGGGACAGGCACCAGTCTGTGGCCTGTTAGGAACCAGGCCGCATAGCAGGAGGTGAGCGGAAGGTGAGCGAGCATTACAGCCTGAACTCTGCCTCCTGTCAGATGAGCAGTGGCATTAGATTCTCATAGGAACTGGAACCCTATCGTAAACTGTGCATACGAGGGATTTGGTTGTGCACTCTTTATGAGAATCTAACACCTGATGATCTGAGGTGGAACAGTTTCATCTCAAAACCATCCCCCATGTCCCCCACCCATTCATGGAAAAATTGTCTTCTGCAAAACTGGTCCCTGATGCCAAAAAGGTTGGGGATCACTGGTCTAGGAGACATAAATAAATAAAACAGACAAGTCCGGGCGCGGTGGCTCACACCTGTAATCCCAGCACTTTGGGAAGCCGAGGTGGGCAGATCACGAGGTCACGAGATCGAGACCATCCTGGCTAACACGGTGAAACCCCATCTCTACTAGAAATACAAAAAAATTAGCCAGGCGTGGTGGCAGGTGCCTGTAGTCCCAGCTACTCGGGAGGCTGAGGCAGGAGAATGGCGTGAACTCAGGAGGCAGAGCTTGCGAGATCATGCCACTGCACACCAGCCTGGGCAACAGAGTGAGACTCCGTCTCAAAAAATAAATAAATAAATAAAAATAAAAATAAAATAAAACAGACAAAAGCAGAGCTGCTCCAGTTGAAGGAGGGCGCGTTAGCAGGGACAAGGAAGGAAGCTAGAACAGCCCACTCAGCACTCCCCCTCCCAGATGTGGCCCCTGAGGAAGCCCCAAAGAGCCCTATTCAGAAACTTCTGTGCTAGATAAAGGCAAAGTCTTCAGGTGACACAATAATGATAGCAACAGCTCATATTCACTGAGCACCTACTCTGTGCTAGGCACTAATAGGTCCTTCAAGGCACCTCATTTAATCTTCACAACTCTATACAAAGGCACAATTATCCTTATACTGCATCTAGAGAGTAACTGCCTCAGAAAAAAAAAAAAAACTAAATTAATCAGAACAGTCATAACAGAACTCATTTCTACTTGGAAAAAAAAATTTTTTTTGAGACAGGGTCTCACTCTGTCACCCAGGCTGGAGTGCAGGAGTAGAATCACAGCTCACTGCAGCCTTGACCTCCCCGGCTCAACTGATCCTCCAACCTCAGCCTCTCAAGTAGCTGGGACTACAGGGGCATATCAACACATCCAGCTAATTTTTTAATTTTTCTGTAGAGATGAGATAATATTATGTTGCCCAGGCTGGTCTTGAACTCCTGGGCTCAAGCAGTCCTCCCACCTCTGCCTCCCAAAGTGCTGGATTACAGGCATGAGCCACCATGCCCAGCAGAAATGATTTTTTTTTTTTTTTGAGGTGGAGTCTCACTCTTGTTGCCCAGCCAGGAGTGCAATGGCCCAATCTCGGCTCACTGCAACCTCTGCCTCCTGGGTTCAAGCAATTCTCCTGCCTCACCCTCCTGAATAGCTGGGATTACAGGCACCCGCCACCAGGCCCGGATAATTTTTGTATTTTTAGTAGAGATGGGGTTTCACTATGTTGGCCAGGCTGGTCTCGAACTCCTGACCTCAGGTGATCCGCCCACCTTGGCATCCCAAAGTGCTGGGATTACAGGTGTGAGCCACCACGCCCAGCCCAGAAATGATTTTTTTAAATGATTTTTCAGCCAATAGACCGACTGGATATAAAAAAAAAAGAGCACTGAACTAAAGTATTTTCTTTTTCCAGAATGGAGTGCAGTAGTGTGATTACAGCTCACTGGAACCTCTGGCTCCTGGGTTCAAGTGATTCTCCTATCTCAGCCTCTTAAGTAGCTAGGACACCATCCTGGCTAACACGGTGAAACCCTGTCTCTATTAAAAATACAAAAAAGGCCGGACGCGGTGGCTCACGCCTCTAATCCCAGCACTTTGGGAGGCCGAGGTGGGTGGATCATGAGGTCAGGAGTTCAAGACCAGCCTGGCCAAGATGGTGAAACCCCGTCTCTACTAAAATTACAAAAATTACAGCGCGTCTGTAATCCCAGCTACTCCGGGAGGCTGAGGCAGGAGAATCGCTTGAACCTGGGGGGCGGAGGTTGCAGTGAGCCGAGATCGCGCCACTGCACTCTAGCCTGGGTAACAGAGCGAGACTCCATCTCAAAAAAAAAAAAAAAAAAAAAAAAAAAAAAAAAGCCGGCCGTGGTGGCAGGTGCCTGTAGTCCCAGCTACTTGGGAGGCTGAGGCAGGAGAATGGCGTGAACCCAGGAGGCGGAGCTTGCAGTGAGCCGAGATCGCGCCACTGCACTCCAGGCTGGGCGACAGGACGAGACTCCGTCTCAAAAAAAAAAAAAAAAAAAAAAAAAAAGTAGCTGGGAATACAGGCTCTACAGGCACGTGCCACACCTGGCTAATTTTTGTATTTTTTGTAGAGATGGGTTTTCGCCATGTTGTGCAGACTGGTCTCGAATTTCTGAGCTCATGCGATCCACCCATTTTGGCCTCCGAAAGTGCTGGTATTATAGGCGTGAGCCCCCTCGCCCAGCCCTAAAGTATTTTCAAAAATTCTTTGATCACTTCAACTCCTCTCACCCTCCCCCTCCTCTTCAGCAACCCATAATCTCCAACTCTTCCAGCTCTCTCACTCAATTTGTGCTTTTCGACCTCATGAAATCCAAGCCATTTTTACTGTAGTTCTCCTTTTCTAGCTCCACCCCTTCTCCATCCAGCTTAGACTCTCCATACTATGCGCATCACTTCAACTCTCACGCTCTAGCACCATGCTCCTCACCTCCTCGTCCGGCTGCAACTAGCCGCTAAGTCCCAGTCTTCTCGGCCAGTTCCTCCTAAGTTGTTAAATGTTGCCAAGAAAAATCATACAACTATGTATGGCACCACGACAAATTTCGAGTTTCCGATTTCAGCTGGGACCTCAGCTCTGGCATTCTATGACCTCCTTATTGCCAATCCCTCTCTTCTCGGTCTTCACCTTCCCACCCCATCTGGCACTGCTCTCCAATACCTCCTTCTCAAAACCCTTCATTTCAGAGGTTGCAAATTGGCAGCCTGAAGATCCTGCTATGTTATGTTTGGCTCTCGAAGAGTTTGGCTTTTCCTGTTCATTTTCCTTAGTTACCAATATTTAAAACTCAGTAGGTTTCTGGCTTTCTCTTGAAAAACGAAGATGTGACAATATCCCTTCACCCGCCCACATTGCCTACCTAGGTGCATGAAAGCTTTGAGCTACCCCCCAACCCCATCCCCACCCTCGCTTTCTTCCCAATTTTCATGGCTTCCAAGTTCTCTTTCTTGATATCTTTAGATTGCAACTCTTCCTCCGCCCACCCATTAAGTCCTGGTGTTCTCAAACTTCCCTCCGTAGAGGTTTTCCATTCCCACTATATAGCCCCTACACCCTGAAGTCTCCACTCAGAAAAAAGTTGGCAACCCTTTATCTGTCTCCCACAACATGATAAGTGTTTTTGGACCGAAAATGCAAAGATCTGGAACTCCATGCTTCCCACCTCTGTCGGGGCCTTCTCCGGGTCCTCCTGCATCTGTCATCCCATCCTCCAGAGAGTCCCTAGGGCCTGGGCACCCTGCAAACTCTTAGTGCAGTCAAGGTTTCCTGGCTGGGGGCCCAAGAGTTGCCACGGACCCGCACACGCTGCCCAGGCGGCGACGTGGCGCCCCTACAGGCTTCCCCGCGATTGGGGACACGCACACCCAGGGCCACCGGAGGGACAGGTGGTCAGGCGGACTCAGGTCACACCGGCGGACGCGGGGCCACTCACCTGGGCCGGGGCGGGGCAGCTCACCTGGGCCGGGGCGGGGCCGCAGGCGGGCGGGGCGGGGCCGCACCTGAGCTGCTCCAACCCGCGGCCGACGCGGCCGACGCTGCCTGGCTCCACAGCAGCTGCTGACGCGGAGCCCGCGGCCGCCCGAGCACCCAGAGCCCCGCCCCCGGCCCGCGGGCACTTCCGGGACCACTCTAGGCCGCGCGGAGGTCCCGGCGTCTCGGTGGTCCCACCGCGCCGGTTGTCGCCGCGCGAAGCCGCCCGGGCCCCGGGACACAAGGACCCGAATCAGGAGAGTCTCTCCAGTCGGCATGGTGGCTCTGGCCGTCCCCGAAGCGCGTGCTGGACGTGGGGGAAACAGAGATGGGCAGGCGTTGGCAGGAGAGCAGAGGAGGAAACAGGTCCGGACGGGCGGGCCGACCTCGAGCCGCCGGCACTCGGGGCATCTGCGCTGGTGCTGGGTGCAAGCCAGAAGCCACTGAGGCAGCTGGGGTCTTCAGGGAAAGGAGAGTGGAGCCCCAGAGCTGTCGACCCTGTCACTGTCCACAGGCACCGGGGTCCTGTTAGGATCCCCCTCCCCCAACCTGCTTCAAGGGTAGCCCTGTTCCTGTCTGCCCTCCCCGCCCCCACAGAAATAGAGATGAGAAGGGGCAGGCGAAGAACTAGGAGTGTCTGCGAGACCATCCCAGGACCCTGAGCCCCCCAACTCTCTGCATCCCAGGGCTGACTTCGACATGAAGCGCCTCCTCTCAGGCGCACCGGGAGGGAAGAGGAATGTGTTCTTGAAATGGCCGCCCCCTTGGCCGGGCGCGGTGGCTCACGCCTTTAATCCCAGCATTTTGGGAGGCGGAGGCGGGTGGATCACGAGGTCAGGAGTTCGAGACTCAGCCAGACCAACATGGTGAAACCCTGTTTCTACTAAAAATTATCCGGGAGTGGTGACAAGCGCCTGTAATCCCAGCTACTGAGACAGGAGAATCGTTTGACCCTGAGAGGCGGAGGTTGCAGTGAGCCAAGATAGTGCCATTGCACTCCAGCCTGGGCGACAGAGCGAGACTCCATCTCAAAAAACAAAAAAAAAAAAAAGAAAAGGAATCTCCGCCCCCTCCTTGCTGCTGATGGCAAGACTGGCCCCTCCACCCAGTGTTCTGCCCATGACACCCCCCCCTCAGGTGCAGCTGCCCAGCTTGTGGGAGAGCTTCCCTCCGCAGACCTTGGCCCAATCACAGGACATCAGGAGAACACACTGTCCCTGGGAAAAAGGATTCTGCCCCAGCCGCCCACCTGCCTTCAGCACCCTCAGCCTTGGCGCTCGAGTGCCTCCAATGCTACCCACACACACCTGCCTTCCTGCCCCATTAATGCTCTGTCGGGCCTTGGGCACAGACTCCAAGGGGTAGGCAGTGGCTGCCCCTCCCCAAGCCAACAGCCTGAGCTCCATGGGGACCAGCCACCCTAGAGCCATAACCCTTGGACCATAACCAGCCATGCAGAGTTGGGGGCGGCAAGGGCTGGTTCCTTTTTCTCCCTCCGGCTCCTCAGGTCACAGGAAGGTCAGGCTACCAGTTTGAGCCCCCAGGGGGCCATGGTGGGGGAGTCTGGGCCATGCCCCAATAGTCTCAGGTGCTTCCTCTTTGACAACAGTCCCCAGAATCCCCATTCCCCCGCACACTGCTCCCCACCCCAGGAGTGGGTCTTCGACTCCCAGACCCACCACAGTCATTTTTCTCAGCCAGGATCTTATGACCCTCACAATAGCTGTTGTTGACATGTTGAATATTATTAACCCATTTTACAGAGGGGAAGCAAGGCTCAGAGAAAGTTTAAAAGGGACCCAAGGTCAGGGGCAGAAATGGGAGGCAGAGGGGAGGCACCCATCTCACACCCCACCCCTAGGGACTAAAGCCGTAGCCAACAGAGCAGTAGTAATCCGCGTCGTCTTCAGGCTGCACGGGACTAATGGTGAGGACACAGGCATTGTGGGCCTCATCCTTGGCTGCCGAGAATCGATCGGGGATGTCAGCAGGCCGGTGGTGATCCTCCTCCGAGCGGTAGTAGAGGAGATATCGAGGGGCACTGCCTGCCCGCTGCTGGTACCAGGACACACCGTAGTCCCTGATGGTGACGTGCTGGGGGCTGAGCGTGCAGGAGAGTTGAGCCACTTGGCCTGGGAAGACCAGCAGTGCATCCAGCTGGGCCAGGACTGTCTGGGAAACTGCGAGACACAAACCCACTCAGCCTGAGCCCCTTCCCTCCCACCCCTGCCCTGTGAAGGCTTGGTTGGACTCCATGGAGACTCCCAGTCCCAAAGGGCTCATAGCCCAGTGCTATGGGATTAGCAATGAACGGGGTGCAGGAGGCCTGGTTCTGTGTGACTTAGGGTGCCCTATCTGGACCTCCATCTCCCTTTGTGAGTGAGGGGTTTGGAGTTAGCCCCCAAATCTCCATTAGTGCCATATCCTCAAGGATCTGTGTTCAGTTAAAGGCCCAGAGCTCAGAAGGTTGGACTAGCAGCCTCTAGGTCCCTCTGCTACCCACCCACGTTTCTCTGCAGAACTGCACCCCTCTCCCCCACTTCCCCGCCCACTTCACTTCAGCTCTTCCAAACCCTGAATACAGACTAACCACCCCCAGGAACCTCCTGGGCTGTCCCACACATCAACTCAGCCTCAGGCAACTGGCTGCAGGGACCCTCTCAGGGAGGTTAGATTGCCTCAGGCCCTGTGGGGTAGGGACCAACCCACAATAGCTTCCCCTGTGAAAAACTAAGAAGGAGACCCAAAGTCAGAGTCCAGGGCTCTAGTGATCTGGTCATTCACGAATGAGAAAACCAAGGCCCACACAGGGAAGTGATTTGCCCCAGGTCAAGGGCAGAGCTGTCTGAAGCCAGGTCACCCCTCTACCTGAATACGCCTCCCAGCCAGGTGCAGTGGCTCAAGCCTGTAATCCTAGCACTTTGGGAAGCTGAGGTGGGCGGATCACCTGAGGTCAGGAGTTTGAGACCAGCCTGACCAACATGAAGAAACCTTGTCTCTACTAAAAATACAAAATTAGCCAGGCGTGGTGGCGCATGCCTGTAATCCCAGCTACTCAGGACGCTGAGGCAGAAGAATCGCTTGAACCTGGGAGGCAGAGGTGCAGTGAGCCGAGATTGCACCGTTGCACTCCAGCCTGGGCAACAAGAGCAAAACTCCGTCTCAAAAAAAAAAAAAATACCCCTCCCAGGACCTGCCCTACTGTCCCCATCGATTTGCCTCCTTGCAGGGGCCTTCTGGGGCCAGTACTGTTCCCCACCCCACACCCAGGTGACTGAGGCCCAGGAAAGATTCACCTGACAGGAAGGTCCCCATCAGAAGGAAGCTGAGGCACCGGCAGGCCATGGCCAGAGGCAGGGAGGCAGGCAAGTAGAAGTTCTGCAAGGCTATATGCTCCAGGTGCTTTGGGGCACAGGGCTGGGAAGGCCACTGGACCACAACAGAGCATGCAAATCAGCCTATTGACTGAGGAAGGAGGGGCGGTGACTGGGGCCCAATGGCCAAGCCTTTTCTTCCCAAATGTCAGGGTCCTGGCACCACAAGGCCTTCCAAGAATAGGAGCCCAGAAGTCCTCATGTGCAGTTATAGCAGGTGGAAATCTACTTTTTTATTGAGGTACAACTAGCATACAGTAAAGTGCATAAATCTTAAGTGCATAGCTTGATGATTTTATGTATATGTATGTATGCCCACAAGCATGCATGCATGCATGTGCGCGCACACGCACACGCGCGCACACACACACACACACATACACACGCACACACAGACCCCTGCAACCTCCACCCAGATCAGGATTTAGAAAATCTCGGCTGAGGGCGGTGGCTTACGCCTATAATCCCAGCACTTTGGGAGACGGAGGCAGGTGGATCACTTGAGGTCAGGAGTTTGAGACCAGCTTGGCCAACATGGTGAAACTCCATATTTTTTGTACTAAAAATACAAAAATTAGCTGGGCGTGGTGGTGCACACCTGTAGTCCCAACTACTGGAGAGGCTGAGGCAGGAAAATCGCTTGAACCCGGGAGGTGGAGGTTGCAGTAAGCCAAGATTGCTTCACTGCACTTCAGCTTGGGCGACAGAGCGAGACTATGTCTCAAAAAAAAGAAAAGAAAAAAGAACACCTCCATCTCCCCTGAAGGCCCCTCAGTTAATGACATGCACCCTCAAGGGAATCATCATTCTGACTTCTATCACCTTAGATTAGTTTGTGCCTGCTCTAGAACTTTAACTATAAGTGGAATGATAGTGTGCCCTCTTTTGTGCCTGCTTCTTTTGTTGAACATGATGGGAGTGATCCATGTGTGTGCAGCAATATTTCATTCATGCCCATAGCTGTGTGTAATCCATTGTGTGAATGCACTGTAATCAGGTTTTCCATTCTCCTATTGTTAGATATTTGGATGCTCTCCAGTCTTTGGCCATTACAAATACAACTTCTGTGAATGTCTCTGTCGATGTCTTTTGGTGTACTGGTGCACTCATTTGTGCTGGAGAGACACCCAGGAATGGAGCTGCCAGACGGCAAGGAAAGAATACATTTAGCTTTACTAGGTCTGCCAGGGTTCCTGATGTGTTTGTAACAATCTGGTCTTCCACCAGCAGAGTAAGAGAGTTTACTGTGACTTCGCATCCTCGCCAGCCCTTGACATTATCACAACCTTTAATTTGCCAGGATTCCAAGTAGCTGAGGTGGTTTTGAACTTGGGTTTGAATCCCAGCTCCTGCTTTTCTTAACTGCATGACTTCAGCCAAGTTACTTCCCCCCACTGTGCCTCGGTTTTCTCATCTGGAACATAAAGTTAAGCATAATGCCAGCCTGAGGATTGTGAAAATGCAAAGATGGGACCTATTTGCTCAGGGCTGGCCACAGTGGGTGGATTAACCATGTCATTTATTTTCTGTATTCCAGTGCTGTGTAATCTGGGCCCTTGCTGACCATTGAGGGACTAACCCTCCCAGGGTTACCCAGTCCCTATAGATAGTAAATAACTTTTTTTTTTTTTTCTGAGACGGAGTCTCACTCTGTCGCCCAGGCTGGTGTGCAGTGGCGCGATCTTGGCTCGATGCAAGCTCCGCCTCCTGGGTTCACGCCATTCTCCTGCCTCAGCCTCCCGAGTAGCTGGGACTACAGGTGCCCGCCACTGCGCCTGGCAAATTTTTTATATTTTTAGTAGAGATGGGGTTTCACCATGTTAGCCAAGATGGTCTCGATCTCCTGACCTTGTGATCTGCCCGCCTTGGCCTCCCAAAGTGCTGGGATTACAGGTGTTAGCCACCGCGCCCAGCCGATAGTAAATAACTCTTTTTCTTTTTTTTTTTTTTGAGACAGAGTCTCACTCTGTCACCCAGGCTGGAGTGCAGTGGTGCGATCTTGGCTCACTGCAAGCTCTGCCTCCGGGTTGACGCCATTCTCCTGCCTTAGCCTCCCGAGTAGCTGGGACGACAGGCGCCCACCACCATGCCCGGCTAATTTTTTGTATTTTTTAGTAGAGACGGGATTTCACCGTGTTAGCCAGGATGGTCTCAATCTCCTGACCTTGTCATCTGCCCACCTTGGCCTCCCAAAGTGCTGGGATTACAGGTGTGAGCCACTGCACCTGGCCAACTCTTTTTCTTTTTTATCAGACAGAGTCTCGTTCTGTCCCCCAGGCTGGAGTACAAAAGCACCATCTCCACTCACTGCAACCTCCGCCTCCCGGGTTCAAGCGATTTTCCTGCCTCAGCCTCCCAAGTACCTGGGATTACAGGCATGCGCCACCAGGCCCAGCTAATTCTTTTTGTATTTTTAGTAGAAATGGGATTTCACCATGTTGGCCAAGATAATTTCGGTCTCCTGACGTCAAATGGTCCACCTACTTCGGGCTCTCAAAGTGCTGGGATTACAAGCTTGAGCCACCTCACCCAGCCATGATAGTAAATAACTCTTCTGAAAGCACGCTTTTCAAATGCAAGTCAACTAATCCCAACCCCCTCAACTCCCTCCTTAATCTGCTCTTATACTCCACCTGCCCTAATCTCTCCAGGGCCACGCACCAGACAACTAGGGACAGCCCATGCCCCAGAATCCACTTTAATTATTCAGTCCTAAGCCTGCCCAGCGTTGGAAACCACAATAGAGGCCCTTGCCCACAGTTCCTCCCTCTCCCTCTGCCTGCCCATCAACTGTGGTGCTTCCTGTGTGGCCCACCTTGGTGTACTCCCTGTTTTAGGGGAACTTTGAGTAACAAGCTATCTTTTCTTTTTCTTTTTTTTTTTTTTTTTGAGACGGAGTTTCGCTGTTTGTTGCCCAGGCTGGAGTGCAATGGTGCAATCTCAGCTCACTGCAACCTCCGCCTCCCAGGTTCAAGTGATTCTCCTGCCTCAGCCTCCCAAGTAGCTGGGATTACAGGCATGAACTGCCACGCCCGGCTAATTTTTTTTGTTTTTTTTTTTAGTAGAGACGGGGTTCACCATGTTGGTCGGTTTCACCATGTTGGTCAGGCTGGTCTCGATCTCCTGACCTCATGATCTGTTCGCCTTTGCCTCACAAAGTGCTGGGATTAAAGGCGTGAGTCACTGCGCCTGGCTACAAACTATGTTTTCAATGGCACTTCCCCCCTGCCCCTCCCCTCCCCTCCCCTTCCCTTTCTTTTCTTTTCTTCTTTTCTCTTTTCTTTTCGTTTTTCTTGAGACAGAGTCTTGCTCTGTTGCCCAGGCTGGAGTGCAGTGGCGCGATGCTCAGCTCACAACCTCTGCCTCCTGGGTTCAAGCGATTCTCTTGCCTCAGCCTCCCGCGTACCTGGGACTACAGGTGCGCATCACCATGCCCAGCTAATTTTTGTATTTTTAGTATATTTTGTATTTTTGTATATTTAGGAGACGGAGTTTCACTGTTTACCTCGTGATCTGCCTGCCTCGGTCTCCCAAAGTGCTGGGATTACAGGCGTGAGCCACCGTGACCAGCCTTCTTTTTCTTTTTTCTTTTTTTTTGAGACGGAGTGTTGCTTTTTCTTTTTTCTTTGAGACAAGGTCTCATTCTGTCACCCAAGCTGAAGTACAGCGGCTTGATCATAGTTCACTGCAGCCGTGAACTCCTGGGCTCAAGCAGTCCTCCTACCTTAGCCTCCGGAATAGCTAGGATTACAGGTGCATGCCACCATGCCTGGCTAATTCTTTTATTTTTGTTTAATTGATGTACTTATTTTGAGACAAAGTCTTGCTCTGTTATCCAGGCTGGAGTAGAGTGGTGTGATCATAGCTCATTTGCAGCCTCGAACTTCTGTGCTCAAGTGATCCTCCCACCTCAGGCTCTCGAGAAGCTAGGACTACAGGTGTGAGCCACCATGCCCAGCTAATTCTTTAATTTTTTTTTTTTTTTTTTTTTTTTTGTAGAGACAGGGTCTTACTATGTTGCCCAGGCTGGTCTTGAATTCCCAGCCTCAAACGATCCTCCTGCTTCAGCCTCCCAAAGTGCTAGGATAACAGGTGTAAGCCACCGTGCCTCACAAGAGTGCACCATTTTAATCGGTTTTATTATTATTCAAGTAAGGTAAGGCTAACATCAGAAAATAACTGTGACACTGAGCACGGTGTCTCACGCCTGTTATCCTAGCACTTTGAGATGCCAAGGCAGGAAAATCGTTTGAGGCCAGCAGTTTGAGACCAGCCTGAACAACGGAGCAAGACCCTGTCTCTACAAAAAAATTTTTTTAATTGGCCAGGCGTGGTGGCTCACATCTGTAGTTTTAGCTACTTGGGAGCCTGAGGTGGGAGGATCACTTGAGCACAGGAGTTTGAGGCTGCAGTGAGCCATGTTTGTGCCACTGCACTCCAGCCTGGATGACAGAGTGAGACTCTGTCTCAAAAAATAATAATAAGGCTGGACGCAGTGGCTCATGCCTATAATCTCAGCACTTTGGGAGGCGGAGGCGGGGGGATCACTTGAGCTCAGGAATTTGAGACCAGCCTGGTCAACAGGGTAAAACCCTGTCTCTACGAAAAATACAAAAAATTAGCCAGGCGTGGTGGTGTGCACCTCTAATCACAGCTACTAGGGAGGCTGAAGCGGAAGAATCACTTGAACCTGGGAGGCTGCAGTGAGCTGAGATCGTGCCACTGCACTACAACCTGGGCGACAGAGTGAGACTCTGTCTCAAAACAAAACAAAACAAAAACAAACAAACAAAAAAAACATGGGCGGGGCTAGGTGGCCCATGCCTGTGATCCCAGCACTTTGGGAGGCTGAGGTGGGCGGATCACAAGGTCAGGAGTTCGAGACCACCCTGGCCAATGTGGTGAAACCCTGTCTCTACTAAAAATACAAACAAAATTAGCTGGGCATGGTAGTGGGCGCCTGTAATCCCAGCTACTCAGGAGGCTGAGGCAGGAGAATCACTTGAACCTGGGAGGTGGAGGTTGCAGTGAGCCAAGATCGTGCCATTGCACTCCAGCCTGGGCGACAAGAATGAAACTCTGTCTCAAAAAAGAAAAAAAAAAAAAAACATGGAGCACTTTTTCCCGGGACAGAACCATATCTGGGAATCCACGTCCCACAGAACACAGCTCAGGAGACTGTTAAGTGTGGAGCCTCCAGTGCCTGAAGCCAGAATCTGGAAGGAAAGGCCACTCCAGGCCTGGAGCCTCAGCTCTTGTAGTCACCATCTGCCATCCAAGGATCTCCTCTTCAGTGCCACCAAGGAGGGAATCAAGAGACTGTATCTTGACTGTCATGGAGATACCCTGAGGAGGTGTCAAGAATGGAGTGGTACCTGGGAAGGGGCTATGTAGCCTCCCCAAGGGAATTCTGGAGGCTGTGAGTTAAAAAAAGGGCACTGTTTTTTGTCTTTTTTTTTTAGTCAAGGTCTCACCGTGTCACCCAGGCTGAAGCGTAGTGGTGTGATTTTAATTAATTTCTGCCTTGAACTGGGCTCAAGTGATCTTCCCGCCTCAGCCTCCCGAGGAGCTGGGACTACAGGTGTGAGCCACCACGCCCAGCTAATGTTTTTATTTTTACAGAGATGAGGCCTTGCTGTGTTGCCCAGGCTGGGCAGATCCTCAGCCTCCCAAAGTGTTGGGATTACAGGCATGAGCCACTGCGCCTGGCCATCTCATGTTTAAGTAAGCTTGGGAAGTGCTACCTGTTTCTGCAATACTGATTGGAGTGCTTGCTCCATCACGGTGCTGAGCACAGAGACAGCTCTTTAAAATTTATCACACTTAATCGTCACCACAGCCCTGCTAAGTCACGGGTCATACCCCCCTTTTACAGATGGAAACACCAAGGCAGTCCAAAGGAAAGTGCTTATCCAGAGCCGGAGTCTGACAATGGCAGGCTTCATGGAAGACTCAGATTTCCTCCACCCTCACTGTCCAGAACTCTGCCTGTAAAAGGCAGGACACAGCCGAATCATGGGGGCTGGAAGCACTTCTAAAACCTTGGGGGTAAGGGAGCTGGGGAAAGGGAGGTGTTGCTCCAGGCATCCACCTGGTGCCCTGGCTGGAAAGGTCTGGTGGGGGTCATGGGGTGAGGGCAGGAGACAGAAGTGGAGAGACAGAGACAGAGGGGAGGCAGTAAGCAGGAAGGAAAGGGAAAGGATAATGAAAAGAGACATGAGAACAAAAGTCAAAGGAAGGATGAACACGGAGAGGCAAAAAAACCAATGTGAGGCTGGGACCAGTGGCTTGCACCTGTAATCCCAGCACTTTGGGAGGCCAAGGTAAGAGGATTGCTTGACCCCAAGAGTTCAAGACCAGTCTAGGCAACATAGTGAGACTCCATCTCTACAAAATTAAAAAGAAAAAAATTTCAACAGGCATGGTGGCATGCACCTGTAGACCCAGCTACTCAGGAGGCTGAAGTGGGAGGATTGCTTGAGCCCGGCAGGCCAAAGCTGCAGTGAGCTGTGATTGTGCCACTGCACTGCAGCCTGGGCAGCAGAGTAAGACCCTGTTTCAAAAAAAAAGAGAACAGAAAAGAAAGAAAAGAAGAAAGGAAGGAAGGAAAAGAAAAAGAAAGAGAGAAAAGGAAGGAAGGAAGGAAGGAGGGAAGGAAGGAAGGAAGGGCAAAAGAGCGAAAGAGCAAAAGAGCGAGAAAGCAAGCCAGCCAGCCGGGCGCAGTGGCTCACGCCTGTAATCCCAGCACTTTGGGAGGCCGAGGGGGGGCAGATCACCTGAGGTCAGGAGTTCGAGACCAGCCTGGCCAACATGGAGAAACCCTGTCTCTACTAAAAATACAAAATTAGCCAGGTGTGGTGGCACATGCCTGTAATCCCAGCTACTTGGGACGCTGGGGCAGGAGAATCGCTTGAACCCAGGAGGCGGAGGTTGCGGTGAGCTGAGATTGCACCATTGTACTCCAGCCTGGGCAACAAGAGCAAAACTCTGTCAAAAAAAGAAAGGAAGGAAGGAAGGGAGGGAGGGAGAGAGGGAGGGAGGAAGAGAAAGGAAAAAAGGGAAAGGAGGGAGGGGAGGGGAGGGGAGAGGAGGGGAGGGGAGAGAGAATGTGAAGCCTAGACAGAAAAGGAAGACGGAGAGGAGGGGAACAAGAAGGGGAGAGACTGGGAGAAGCAGACAAATACAAAAGACACGAAATGGCCGAAATGGCCGGGCACAGTGGCTCATTCCTATAATCACAGCACTTTGAGAAGCTCAGGCAGGTGGATCACCTGAGGTCAGGAGTTCGAGACCAGCCTGGCCTTCCTTATGTCTACTAAAAATACAAAAAATTAGCCAGGGGTGGTGGCTGGCGCCTGTAATACCAGCTACTCCGGAGGCTGAGGCAGGAGAATCGCTTGAACCCGAGAGGCGGAGGTTGCAGTGAGCCGAGATTGCGCCACTGCACTGCAGCATGGCTGACAGAGCGAGACTCATTCTCAAAAAAAAATAAATAGGTCAGGCTTGGTGGCTCAGCACTTTGGGAGGCCAAGATGGGCGGATCATTTGAGGTCAGGAGTTCGAGACCAATCTGACCAATATGGTGAAACTCCATCTCTATTAAAAATACAAAAAAAGGCCGGGCGCAGTGGCTCACGCCTGTAATCCTGTAATCCCAGCACTTTGGGAGGCCGAGGCGGGCAGATCACGAGGTCAGGAGATTGAGACCGTCCTGGCTAACATGGTGAAACCCCGTCTGTACTAAAAATACAAAAAAAATTAGCTGGGCGTGGTGGCGAGCGACTGTAGTCCCAGCTACTCAGGAGGCTGAGGCAGGAGAAAGGCGTGAACCCGGGAGGCGGAGCTTGCAGTGAGCCGAGGTCACACCACTGCACTCCAGCCTGGGCGAGGGAGCGAGACTCCGTCTCAAAAAAAAAAAAAAAAAAAAAAAAAACTAGCCAGGTGTAGTGGTGCACACCTGTAGTCCCAGTTACTTGGGAGGCTGAGGCAGGAGAATCGCTTGAACTCGGGAGGCGGAGGTTGCAGTGAGCCGAGATCGTACCACTGCATTCTAGCCTGGGTGACAGGGAGACTCCATCTCAAAAAATAAAAATTTAAAAAACACCAATAATAATAATAATTAATAAACTTAATAAATAAATAAATAAAAGACAGGAAATGACGGTGAGAACCGGTGTGAGGGACTAGCTAGTGGCCAGTGCTAACAAGGAGGTGCTTGTGACCTGCTATGGACCTGGAAGCGACTAGGGCTGAGTACAAAGGGGGCAAAGGAATTTGGGGGTGATGGAAATGTTCTGTATCTTGACTGTGGTGGTGGTTATATGAGAGTTGGCATAACTTTAAAACACCAGAAAGGGTGAACTTTACTGTACAAGTGGTTCACAACTGCAATCCCAGCACTTGTGGGAGGCTGGGGCTGGAGAATTGCTTGAGCCAAGTTCGAGACCAGCCTGGGCAACATAGGGAGACTGTCTCTAAAAAAAATCAATCCCAATGATGGCATTCCCCGCCTCAGGGAATGCCAGCCCCCACTTCTTCTGTCACCTCTCCCCCATGGGCCCCGTTAACGGATACAGGGAGGAAGGCATTTCCTGCCTAGATGTCTCCGCCCCCACTGCCATGGAGACCAGCTTGGAAGCTTAGGGGAGCTGCTGTGGCCCAGGGCTCAGTGGGGAGGAAGAGGAGGCCAGGAGTCTTGGACTAGCTGCAGGGTTTGAGCTAGGCTGAAGCAGCAGAACCACAGAGGTGGCTGAGCAGGGGCCTGGCCCTGGGACCCAGCCATCCACACTCACACATCCACTTCTCCCTCCAGAGCCCGGCCCTGAAGCAGGTCTCTGCTCCACGCTTTTCCTTAGTTGGGGAATCGAGAGTTGGGGGATCAAAGCCCCCCACATCTCCCTCACCCGCTGCAGCTATGTTTATCAAGGTGATGTTTGGGGGTAAGTGGGGTCCCCTGTCTTGGTAGGCGGATAGGGGGATGAGCACACTCAGAGGCGTGCTTCCTTCCGCCCTTGCGGTGGGTGGGGAGGCAATGGCGGGAAAGGGGGGTGGTGCACATGGCGGGGGTCGTCGGGGAAGCGGCTCTGTGAGGAGGCGAAGCCAGCACCTGGAGCGAGTCCCTTAAAGGGAAAACCCGAGCTGAGTCCTGCTCATTCACAAGGGTTCCTCTCGGCCAGAGACCGCCGCATTACCCTGGAGCAGGTTTTTAAGCCGCACAATCTCTTCGCCATTCAATCCGTGATCCTCAAGCTTCAGCGTGCATCAGACACCTGAAACTCTAGCCACAGTTGCAGGGTCCCCGTGCCTCTGGCTGGAGGCGGGTCGGCCCTGTGCGGTAGCGGAAGGGAAGAGAGGAGCCGGTGGGTGCGGAGGGCGGGGACTGGCTGGGTCCCGTGGGGGCGGGTCCCGGGAGGAGGCTGGGCTGGCGCCCACTTCGTGCTTTGCAGGACTCAAGAGACCAACACTTGGGAGTCACCACACATGGGAGAAAAGTCACCACACATGGGAGATGGATGGAGGGTTCTCCAAGGCAGTTTAAGCAACAGATGTTGGAGCTGTTATGCCCGGGGCACAGTCTTAGCCCATAGGCCCAGTCGCAGCTCTGGGAAAGGGAGAGATGGGAGGGAGAGACAGAGGACCCCGATTTGGAGGAAGGTAAGAGATCTCACAGGCTCACCTTTGCCCCTCTCCACAGCTGGCTGCTCGGTGCTGGTGAACACCTCTTGCAGGCTGGTGAACCTCACCGCCCACCTGAGGCAGAAAGCAGGGTTGCCCCCAGATGGTGAGGAGACAGGGAGGAGAAGGAGGGGCTGAGGGGTCCCAGGCAGGGGTGCCAGCCCTGCCCAGTCTCTCTCCATGTCCTCCCAGCGACCATTGCTCTCCTGGCTGAGGATGGCAACCTAGTGAGCCTGGAGGAGGACCTGAAGGAAGGGGCTTCCCGGGCCCAGACCATGGGCAACTCCCTACTGAAGGAGCGAGCCATATATGTCCTCGTTCGGATCATCAGTAAGGTGGCCCAAGGTTCTCTCCCCTGCAGCTATGGTAGAATGTAAGAGGGGGGCATAGCAGACCATAGACCACCCAAGGCCCTGTCCGGCCTCCCACCTCGGCTGGGGACCTAGCCCCAATCCATCCCTACCCAATGCTCTGCTCCCAGCCTGGACTAGCAAACAGTTCCAGAGTGAGAGGCAGAGTAGGGACCATTAGGCCAGTCAGGTGTCCTTCATCGTCTCTCCACATGTCACAGAGGGAGAGGACATGGCCTCCACCCGCTATGAGTCCCTATTGGAGAACCTGGATGACCATTACCCAGAGCTGGCAGGTGAGTGTCAGGGTACAGCCCAGGGGGAGGGCACACCTTCTCCCTAACCCCTACCAACAGGACTTCCTGGGCCTTCCAGAGGAACTGCGCAGGCTGTCAGGCCTCTCCTCTGTGGGCCACAACTGGAGGAAGCGTATGGGCACTCGGCGAGGCCGCCATGAGCAAAGCCCCACTTCAAGGCCCAGAAAGGTGAGCTCCCTGCCACCCAGGAGTTGCTAGCTGGGGCAGGGAGCCAGGTACAGAGCAGATTTGGACATCCACAGAGACACCCAGAGTGGGATCCCTTCCTGCAGGACAGACACATATGATGAGGGGCAGACCCTCAACACCAACTCCACGCACATATACCCCCAGATGGAACACACTGTACCCTGAGACAGGTCCCCACCACCCCACGGGAGTGCCAGCGCACTAAGGGCCGGAATGTCCTCAGGCTTCACAGATGTGGCATAGGGGCTGGCACACAGTAGGAGCTCAGTGCACAACTGCTGGATGAACTCAATGAAGGCGGCAGCATGGTGTGTGATGGCACGGCCCACACTGGGTTTGAAGGGCTTGTTCTTCCATTCTGGCAGGCTTGGGGACCTGGCACACTACTGCCAACTAGCCAAGTTGGACTCAGACCCAAGGGGGTTAGCCATGACCTCTGCCTTGTGTGATCAGGTGCAAACAGACAACAACCCAGCAGGACTCCTCTTGCAGAATCTGGAATTGCTGAGAAGTTGCATCAGCAAGAGGGGCAAGGTCAGACAGGATTTGAGGCCGCCAGGGGCACCTAAGCTGTGGGTGCAGAGAATGGGATGCAGAGGTAGAGACAAGAAGGGTAGAGGTGGCAGGTATCCCTGATAAGGGGGAGACCATGGGTTCATCCTGGGATTCCACCCTCAGAGTCAGATGCCCTTGGGATCACCGACTAATGCCTCTCCACCTCACTCTGGACTGCCCAAGGAATCTGTCCTGTGCTACCCACAGTGCAGATTGCAACAGGGCTCCTCCTCCCCACCCAGGGCCCTGATTAAGGGGATGGATTGCACACTGTAGTGAGACATCCATCCTGACCCCACCTCATCAGCCAGGGAGCTCCCTGAAGACAGGCCATCGAGAGAGGCACACAACAGGCTGTGGTCTAAAATAAACTTTTAATTGCACATTTGTGTCTTGGGTTATCTGTGGGGTGAGAAACCTCCTCACTTCCAATCCCAGCTATCTGGGTACAATCTGGTGTTGTGGTCTGGCTGTCGGCGAGGGGTAGAGGTGGGTGCAGGACTGGCCCCCGAGTCTGCACCGACCTCTTCAGGGCAGGGAGCTCAGACCTGGGAAGGGAGGGGCAGCACAGGCTGGTGGTCAGCCTGCAGGTGCAAGAGGAGGGTTGGCCTCTCCCCCTCCCCGCCTGAGTCGGGGTCCACTCACTCACCATGGTAGTACTTGCACTGCTTCAGGGCCTCGCTGAAGCCCTCACACAGGGACAGGTCACTCTGAGTGGTGGAACAGTCCAGGAACTGCCTGATCTCGTAGGCGCAGGGCCCCATCTGCAGGGGCTGGGGGGCAGCGGGGGTGGGGGCCTGGGGGTACAGTGCAAGAGGCTGCAGGATCAGCTTGGAGTTGGCACCTGGAGGTGCGTTTCAAACCTGGGGCCACCTGCCCCTCCCCACATCCCCAGCCTGGGTGTCCCAAGGGTCCTAGGCAGGCTGAGTGATCCAGCAGCAGAGGCGGCTACAGACAGCATGTTTCTGCTGCCTTTTTTTTTTTTTTTTTTTGAGACAGAGTCTCACTCTGTCACCTAGAGTGGAGTGCAGCGGCGCAGTCTCGGCTCACTGCAACCTCCGCCTCCCGGGTTCAAGTGGTTGTCCTGCCTTGGCCTCCCAAGTAGCTGGGGCTACAGGCGCCCGCCACCATGCCCAACAAATTTTTTGTATTTTTAGTAGAGAGGGGGTTTCACTATGTTGGCCAGGCTGGTATCGAACTCCTGAACTCATGATCCACCCGCCTTGGCCTCCCAAAGTGCTGGGATTACAGGCATGAGCCACTGCGCCTGGCCTCTGCTGCCTTCTAATGGGCACTTTGGGCGGGTGCAGGAGAGGGAGGAGAAGGCTCTAGGAAAGCCCAGTACTCTGCCTGTACTCTCAGAGTATGAGCCCCACCCCCACAAGTTCTAGCACCTTCCTGGCTCAGCTACACTAATCCTCATGACCCCTGACCTAGCCACAAAGCCACATTTGGCTTACGGCGGTGGGGTTCCTAGCAGGGGAAAGGTCATCAGGGAAGTGGCTCCCCTTCGCCCTTGCGCCCAGCGGCCACAGTGCCCAGACCTGGGTGTGGGGAGAACAGGGGCTCAGGAAATCCAACATCCCTCCCCTCTGCTAGGGTGAGGTGACCTTGGGCGAGTCTCTGAGCCCTCAGGGCCTGGGTTTCCCATCTTTAAAGGGCTGGTTGGTGTCTCTCCCTGGGAGCTTAGGGACCCTGGCCTCAAGGGAGAGGCCGGGAAGCCTGCCTCTAAGTGACAGTGAACTCAAGACCAGTGGACTAGGACCCTTCCCGGGCAGAGTCCTGGGCTGAAGCAATGGTGAATACACGCGGACACTCCTCACTGGACACTTGGGCAGCTCCCTGTGTGGCCTCGAGATAATCCTGCCTCAGTTTCTCTTGGACTCGCTGCTCACCTGCTGGACAGCAGGCTGGGAGGGCTCCGAGCTCCCCCCGCTGAAGGCTCCGGTCAGGGCGCTGCCCATGACGTGTCCCACAGCCGAGCCCACGGCTACCCCTGCGGCCGTGGTCGCCATCTGAGCCATGAGCCCCGGCTGGCCCGAAGGGGCGGGGGCTGGGGCGGCTGCCGAGGGCGGTGGGTGCGCGGGCGGGTGGGCAGAGGGCGCGGCTGGGCGGCTGCGGGGGTGGGAGGAAGCAGGGTTAATCCTGGCCAGACCCCAGGCTGGAGGGCTGCAGCTCCTGGAAACGACCCCCGGAGAGATGGACGACCCACGTCTCCACACGTGGGTGCTGCACCCCCACCCCTCCCCCCGCCAAGATGGCGCAGCAGCAGCCAAGGTCACTCTGCGGACGCCCTTAGGGGAGTGCCCACACTTCCCTAACCCCCTCCCCACAGGGCCCTTGTCCCCCTCACACCTGGCTGGCCGGGAGGCCGCGCTGCGGCTTCCCCGAGGCATGGTGGCGGCGGTGGGACCCGGGCGACCTTAGAGACGGCGGCAGCGGTGCTGTCGCGGGGACAAATGCCGCAGCGCTTGTCACAGCCGGCGCAAAAAAGGCGGGGCCCCGGGCGGGGCCTCAGGAACACGCCCCCAGCGGGAGGCGGCACTGCCCCCAACCCTATCCCCCTTCTCCCGTCCTCCGGACATCTCCCTTCCAGCAGCTCCGGGTCTCGGCTGGAAATGGGACCCTGCTCCCTCCCTGCGCCTGGCAGGCTGTGCGGGTTCTGGGGACAGGGGCCAGTGTCGCAAAGCGCCGAGGGCTTAAGGAGGGCGACAGTGCCTTCTGTTAGGACCACCGCAGAGGGCAGGGAGCGGAGTTGGGGGTTGTTGCGAGCCCTGGAGGGGAGAGGAGACGGGGAGGCGACGGGATGGGGCCAGCTGGGAAGGGGACGCGAGGCTCCAGGCTGGACTCCGCTCTCTGCCCCCTCCCGGACTCGGCTGTCTGTCCCCTCCCTCCAGACAGGGTCTGCTGACCACCGCGTGGCCTGGGAGTCTCCGGTGGCCTAGGGAAGTGAAGCGCGGCCCTGGGGAAGGCCTGGAGCAACCCATCCCCAGAACTCCCACGAGGGGGCGTCCCAACCCGTCTTCGACTGTTGGCCAAAATGCGCTGCCAATGCTGGCAGCCTTACGCAGTGCCCGCGGGGGATATGAGGCCCCCCGCGCGGCCCTGAACCCCACCGGATTCCCCGGGCCGGCCCGACCGCCCCCACCTAGTCCCTGGCCCCGCGAGTGCAACCCCCGACACTAACGGCCTTTACGCGACATCCGAGCAGCGTGTCTATCCCAAAGGCCTAGGAGCATTTGCCCGGCTCGGTCAAATCTAGCGCAAGTTTGAAGCCTGCGGCCTCGCAATTTTAGCAGCTTCGTTCCAGGCCAGGTGAGCTGGAGCGCGGATTTAGAATGCTTTCCTGCTCTTCGAGAACTTGAGGTTTTAATTTTACTTTTTACTTTTTTTTTTTTGACACGGAGCCTTGCTCTGTCGCCCAGGTTGGAGTGCAGTGGCGATCTCGGCTCACTGCAACCTCCACCTCCCGGATTCAAGCAATTCTCCTGCCTCAGCCTCCTGAGTAGCTGGGACTACAGGCTCGTGCCACCACACCTGGCTAATTTTTGTATTTTTAGTAGAGACGGGGTTTCACCATGTTGGCCAAACTGGTCTCCAACTCCTGAGCTCATGATCCTCCTACCTCAGCCTCCCAAAGTGCTGGGATTACAAGCATGAGCCATCGCGCCCGGCTGAGCTTGAGGTTTTTATGGTCTTTTCTGGGTGACTTTGCAGTGGTCATATTATTACTCCTAGGTGGGGGAAGGTAGGGACTGTCCCTCATCACTGCTGTGCCTGCAGAGGACTCCTGACACCGGGATTGTCGGCAGGGTGCAACCAAGAGCAAAAGCACCCAGAAGTGGGGGTGTGGGTCACCAAGTAAGAGAGGAGGCCCCTCCATAAGGAAGGAGCAGGTCAAGGGGCAAGGGGAGTGGTGGCTGGGGCGTTTGGCCCTGCCTGGCATGCTCAATTCTGTGTGTGCACAGCTGTCCCCAGCCATGCATGCTCTCCATGGAAGTCAGGTGCAGCCCTGTGTTCTCTCACACTGCAGTCCTTTCAGCCAGCCTGTGAACAGGGCCCTTCCCCGCCCTGTCTTCAGTTTCTCCTCTCTGAAGGGGGGTGACCACCCACCTTGAGGGTGGCCTCCCAGTGAGGTGAGCACACCAAGGGTGGGCCATTCTTTCCTGGCAGACTCACCAGGCCTGGTCCAGCCGCTACTCCCTTGTTCATGCAGTCCATGCCACCTGGTTCCTGTTTGCCACACCAAACAAACTGAACACTTCTCATGGTGGTCCCCGGGCCTAAACTGCAGAGAGTTGTTACTTCAGCTCCCATGGCTGATGGACTGCAGGTTCCACAAAGCATGGCCTTGCACCTCGGAGGCACCCAAGACCACTTAAGTGGGTTACACAAATGAAAATGAGGCTGAAAGGATGACACTGAAGCAGGCATTGAAATGCCAACTTTTTTTTTTTTTTTTTTTTGAAACGGAGTCTTGCTCTGTCGCTCAGGCTGGAGTGCAGTGGTATGATCTCCACTCACTGCAACTTCTGCCTCCTGGGTTCAAGCGATTCTCTTGCCTCAGCCTCCCGAGTATCTGGGACCACAGGCACATGCCACCATGCCCCGCTAATTGTTTGTTTTTTGTTGTTTTTTTGTTTTTGTTTTTGTTTTTTTAAACAGAGTCTCACTCTGTTGCCAGGCTGGAGTGCGGTGGTGTGATCTCAGCTTACTGCAACCTCCACCTCCCGGGTTCAAGTGATTCTCCTGCTTCAGCTTCCCAAGTAGCTGGGACTACAGGCACGTGCCACCATGCCCAGCTAATTTTTTTTTGTATTTTTAGTAGAGACAGGGTTTCACCATGTTGGCCAGGATGGTCTCTTGTGATCCGCCTGCCTCAGCCTCCCAAAGTGCTGGGATTACAGGCATGAGCCACCACGCCTGGCCTGAAATGCCTACTTTTTAAAAATGAGTCACTTTAGCGGGGAATAGTGGCTCATGTCTATATCCCAGAACTTTGTGAGTCCCAGGCAGGCAGATTGCTTGAGTCCAGGAGTTCGAGACCAGCCTGGCCAACATGGTGAAACCCTGTCTCTACAAAAAATACAAAAATTAGCAGGGCATAGTGATGCACACCGGTAGTCCCAGCTACTTGGGAGGCTGAGGCAGGAGGATCGTTTGAGCCTGGAAGGCGGAGGTTGCAGTGAGCCAAGATCACACCATTGAGCAAGACCCTGTCTCAAAATAATAAAAGTAAATAAAAGTGAGTGACTTTAAAGAAAAGATTGCCTTTCAGGCGCGGTGGCTCACGCCTGTAATCCCAGCACTTTGGGAGGCCGAGGCGGGTGGATCACCTGAGGTCAGGAGTTCAAGACCAGCCTGGCCAACACGGTGAAACCCCATCTCTACTAAAAATATAAAAAATTAGCTGGGCATGGTGGCGGGCGCCTGTAGTCCCAGCTACTCGGGAGACTGAGGCAGGAGAATGGCATGAACCTGGGAGGCGGAGCTTGCAGTGAGCCGAGATCGCGTCACTGCACTCCAGCCTGGGCGACAGAGAGAGACTCCGTCTCAAAAAAAAAAAAAAAAAAAAGAAAAGATTACGAACAGTGTAGGTTGTAAAAATTACTGCTGTCTTACTTCTCCTCGCCCTCTAGGAGTCTCTGTGGAGTCTTCTTGAATAAGCTGTGAAACATTTCCCCACCCGCTTCCCTTTCTTGGCCCAGGCTTCCTGACCACAGCCTCACCTTTGAGCAGCTCAGAGCCCTGCCTGCCAGGATGCGAGCCACTGCCTGGATCGTGGCTCTGCAGGGCCACCCATGATGGAACAGGTCGCCTGGTGAGGTGGTGAGGCCCTTCATCATTTCAGGGGGTGTACAGCAGTACTGGGTAACCCCGAAAATCAGGGATGAGACTGAAGGATCCCTTCCAGAATGTGGACACAACCCCTCCTTTGAGTCTCACCTCCTTTCCTTCTTTTTTTTGAGATGGAGTCTCGCTCTGTCACCCAGGCTGGAGTGCAATGGAACAATCTCGGCTCACTGCAACCTCCGCCTCCCGGGTTCAAGTGATTCTCCTGCTTCAGCCTCCTGAGTAGCTGGGCTTACAGGTGTGTGCCACCACACCTGGCTAATTTTTGTATTTTTAGTAGAGACAGGGTTTCACCATGTTGGTCAGGCTGCTCTCCAACTCCTGACCTCGTGATCCACCTGCCTCGGCCTCCCAAAGTGCTGGGATTACAGGCATGAGCCACTGCGCCCGGCCTCTCGCCTCCTTTCTTTCAAGTCTGAGGTGGCTAGCCTGGAGGGGTCCCCAGGGGCTTGTTGGGCACTGACGAGGGGACACCCTGGGGGCCCAGTACTCCACTCAGACACCTCCCACAGCCTTCTGACAGCATCCTTCCCACAGCTGACCAGCTAGAGGACCTCCTGACCCCTCCACTTGTCTGCTGGTGTGGAAAAGCCTGGACCCTCCCTCTTGGAGCCTCAGTTTCCCTATCTGTAAACTTCGGTCTATCCCAAGCTGAAGAACTGGCCAGTCCCTGCCATATGCCTCACTTTCCCCTGGGACACATTTTAATATCCCTTTCCTGGCCAGGTGCAATGGCTTCCCCATGTAATCCCAGCACTTTGGGAGGCCAAGGTGGGCAGATCACTTGAGGTCAGGAGTTCGAGACCAGCCTGGCCAACATGGTGAAACCCCATCTCTACTAAAAATACAAAAATTAGCCAGGCATGGTGGCGCACGTCTGTGGTCCCAGCTACTTGGGAGGCTGAGGTAGCAGAATCGTTTGAACCTGGGAGGCGGAGGTTGCAGTGAGTGGAGATCACACCACTGCACTCCTGCCTGGGAGACAGAGTGAGACTGTGTCTCAAAAAATAATAATAATAAAAAATAAAATAATATCCCTTTCCTCACAGGGGCTATTGTGTCATCTTCTAGAAGGATCCGTTGAGGCTCTGAGGGGTGGGGGAACTTGCTTGTGGGTAGGACCACCTGTCAGAGGTCAGAGGTCAGGCCACCAAGGAGACCCAGTGGGATGCGCCTTCCAAAGGTGGGGGTACGGATGGGACCCATGAAACCTGACTCCTCTCAGACTCTAGCCAAGTCTAAGACTTTGGACGGCCACCACCCAGAGGAGAAACTGAGACCCAGAGCGGCACGGGTTGGCCAGGGTCACCCAGCACCAGATAGGGACTTTGCCAGCCCCGGGGCAGGACCCTGTCTCCGGCCCTCGACCCCGCTGGGCCGTACCCTCCCCGTTCACCTCCCCCACCCGGGCCGCGGCTGCTAGGAGAGTTCAGAACAAAAGGCGGCGGGGGGCGGGGCCGAGGCGGGCCGGGGGTGGGGCGGAAGCTATAAGGGGCGGCGGCCCGGAGCGGCCCAGCAAGCCCAGCAGCCCCGGGGCGGATGGCTCCGGCCGCCTGGCTCCGCAGCGCGGCCGCGCGCGCCCTCCTGCCCCCGATGCTGCTGCTGCTGCTCCAGCCGCCGCCGCTGCTGGCCCGGGCTCTGCCGCCGGTGAGTGCCCGCCACTCGCCGGCCGCTCCTCGCTGAGGGGGCGCCGGGCACGCGGGCTGGGCCCAGCGGCGGATCCGGACCGAAGGGGGCGCCCCGGGTGGCCTCCAGCGCCCGGTACCCGAAACGCTTTCTGGTTCCCTCTAGGCGTGATAGACAGCGAGCTTGCAGTCCCTGGGGGTGTGAAGGGGAGCCGGCGCCGGCATCGTTCGGGCTGGTGGGACGGGACTCCACGCTGGACTCACGCTTGCTCCCAGCGTGGGGACCTGCCTCTCGCGCTCCAGCCGCGGGTGCTGGAGTGTGCGTTGAAGGAAGCAGCAGAGGGAGTGGTAACAGGGCCCCCTATTCATCGCAGGGACAAAGCCGAGCAGATCCCAGGCAGGTGTCAGCCTGCAGGTGTGTGGCCGCAGTTAGTACACCTCCAGGTGTGCGGTGGGATGAAGGATAAAGGGAGAAGGGAGGGCAGCGCTGTGCTGCGGGAAATGGGGTCTAAGCCTGGAGATGTCCCCCGCGGGCACCTGCCGGCAGCAGTTTTGGGAGGCTTGGAGCCAGGAGAACATGAGTATGAAATAGTATGAGTGCAGTGTGTGTGTGACTGAGAGGTGGCTGTCAGAAAGAAGCGGGGAGAGAAAGGAAAGGGAGAAAATGTGTGCTCAGGAGAGGAGAAGAAAGCCCAGGTAAGAGAGGACAGCAGAGTGAGGAGAGGAGGGACTGTCATGGAGTGTGTGTGACAGCTTGCATGTGTCCCAAAAGCTGCCCCTTCCCTGGGGCGCTTCCAGGCACCAGTCACAGGGCCTGGGGCCAGAGCCTGGGCCACTCCACTCCACAGCGGAGGCATCCAGACAGCTCGGGCAGGGAAGGGAGCAGGAGGGTGTGACAGGCAGGAGTCTCAGGACTGGCCTGGTGAGGAGGCAGGCCTGGCCAGGCTGGGACCCTCTGTCCAGCCACTCTGGCTCTGCTCAGGGCAGCCTTGTCCTGTGCTGGCTATGGGAGCAGAAAGGGATGGGATGGGTGGGGTAGAGTGAATGGGGGGCATCTCAGTCTGGAGTCTTGCCTCCTTCCCAGCCCCTCTTGGTTCCTAGGACTTGGGACAGAGTCAGGAATCACTGTGGGTAGACATTGAACCACAGGTCTGGAAATTGGAGAGATCTGGGTTTGAACCATGTGACCCTGGGTGAATCCTGCCATGCCTCAGAATCTCACCCACTCCATCTCTAATGGGAGTGCAGGTGGGAGGGGGCAATGGTGCCTACTGCTGTGTCCACTGTTGAGCAATGAGGTGATGCCAGGCTCACTAGAAACACTGTCACCTGTAGCTGCCACTTTGACGCTTGTGCATGGTCAGTGCTGGAGCTGGGGGCCAGCTTGGGGTGGGGTCTGAGCTGGACTGTGGTCTGTCACTCTGCAAACACGCAGGGAGCATGTGGGGTCACCTCTGATGTGTTTATCCCCCGGCTGCCTTCAGCAAGGCTGGGAGAGCTCTGTAAATATTTATCCAGCCCAGTTCCCAGCTTTCAGGGTTGATGGAAGCCCTGCAGTCCGATGGATGGGACGAAGCTACCGTCCCTCCTGGAGCCAGCAGCAGAGGGGTGAGAATAGGAAGATTAGGTGGAAGCTTGAGGGAGAAGATATCCCTGCTTGCCACCTGGCTGTGTGAGTTGGGCAGGTTGCTTGACCTCTCTGAGCCTGCATGGTGATGCTCCCGTCTTCCTCCATAGCCTAACAAGTGCCCTCCTCGAAGTCTTGCCTCCCACCGACATCAGAAGGCATAGCTATGATTAATTATACCCACTAGACCAACTGCAAACTGAGGCCCAGAAAGGGGCACAATGAGCCCAGCCTTTCGCAGTGTTTCCTGGCACCCTGGGGTCCTCCCTTATCTCCCCTCTATCTGGTGCCTCCCATTTTCTGGATTGCAAGTTGACCCCAGGGCGGGGTTGACTCCGAGTCTCTAAGCTCTGCCAGGACACTGGGTCAGCTGAGAAATTCCTTGAATGTGTCTGCAGCTGAGGTTTGGTGTCTGGCAGAAGAGGGTGGGGCTGAGTGAGCTAAGAACCCACCACAGGGCAGGCCAAGGGAGGCTACTGGCCAAGACAGAGGGAATGCACTGGAAGCAGAAATGCTTCTTGGGAAAGTGGGTTTTGGAGAAAAGCCAAGAGCTGGGGAGACAGGGGGAAGCCCTGGAGGTGGGAGGCATGAGCCCCAGGTCTAGGTCCAGCTCTTGCATGACTTGCTGTGTGACCCCGGGCAAAGTCCTTGAGCTCTCTGGGCTCTGTCTCATCCTCTGGGAAATGGGGGAGCTGCTTCTTCCTCAAGCTCCCCAGGGGTGTAGATGAGGCCAGTGGTGGCCTGTGTCTACCACCTCACCTCACTGAATCCTGAGAGTCCTGGGAAGGCCAAGCCCACCTGTCTCACAAGTAGCAAGCTGCTTCATGCCGTGCCTTGTAGTTAGGGCATCTGGCCCCAGGCCAGAAAGGACTTGGAAAGATGAAGTGTGGGAGGACAGTGAGGCAGAATGTGTGTCCTATCCCAGCCATGGGGAAACTGAGGCCAAGAGCTCATGGGCTCTAAAAAAATAATGGGCTCTAAAAACAACCTCACTAGCTAGAGGCCTCATTTCTAGCATCTCCTGCTCACTCAGTTTCTAAGAATTTAATGAACAAGACAGGGACAGGGAGAAGAGACCTTGATATGTGGGAGACCCTGCACAAGGCGCTTCTCTTTTCTAGGCCTGAAAGCTCCCTTCTAGCTGCAACTTCTGTTTTACCATTTAAAGCCTGAAGATTTTGTTGGGTAGCTAGAGGGGCGGTGGGTGATGGGAACTGTAGGGACTGGCAAGGGCAGATTCCCAAGCGTGGGAGGGGAGGGCCTACAGGGACAAGGAACAGGGCCAGGTAAGAGGTGCTTTTCTGTGCCAGAGGCTACAGCAGGCATTACAGAAGGATGTCATGTAGCCCTTTGCTGTGGCATCATTCCCATTTGACAGATAGGAAAGTTGAGGCTAAGAGAGGAAGGTGACTTGTCTAGAGTCTCCATGTCATAGAACTAGGCCTTCTGAACCTCAGTGGCTGGCTCTTTTTGTGACACTAAGACTGTCATGATCCAGGGGTTTGGGCATGGACTGGGTGCCTCATGAGGGAAGGACAGGAAGGGACAGTGGAAGGGGTGGGGGCATGCCCGTGGCTCTCCCTCCATGACTGTCTGCACCAGGACTCACTAGAGGGCAGAGGAGAGAAGAGATTTCTGACCATGGGCATAGCAGGGCTGGCAGGCTGGGCTCTGGGTTGTTTGGAGCTCCCAGGGGAGAGCACAGCTCTGCCCTTTCCAGGGAGGGTCTTCATACCCCTGCCAGGCTGGGGAAAGGAATCTGTTTCTCCTGTAAGTCAAGGGGGCAGTGTGGCGAGGAGGAGGAGGCAGGCCCCTCTGGCAGCCCACATCCTCCATGGGAGAACTTGGATATGTAGCATCTCCACCTGCCTGGTGGATATTGGAAGCCCAACGAACCTGCCTGCAAAATGCCCGGGAAATAGCAGGCGCTGAATAATTTGCACCTCACCAAGGTGAGGCCAGCCTGGGTCCCTCCTTCAGGGGAAGGGTAACTCAACCCCTGCAGAGCAGAGCAGAGGTAGCAGGGAGCTGGGTGGGCTGTGAGCACAGACAGTCCGCTGCCTGCCAGCTGTTGTCTGATCAAGCTGCTTAACTCCTCTGGGGCCCATTTCCTCATCCTGGAAATGAGGGTGATGATGGTGGAGTTGGTGAGAGGTTCCATCAGGGGCTAAGAGCAAGTCTGTGGAGCTGTTGCCAAGGTCCTAGCCTGCAACCAGTGCTAAGTACTTTTTTTTTTTTTTTTGAGATGGAGTCTCGCTCTGTCACCCAGGCTGGAGTGCTGTGGCACGATCTCGGCTCACTGCAAGCTCTGCCTCCCAGGTTCACGCCATTCTCCTGCCTCAGCCTCCCGAATAGCTGGGACTACAGGAGCCCGCCACCACGCCTGGCTAATTTTTTGTATTTTTAGTAGAGACGGGGTTTCACCGTGTTAGCCAGGATGGTCTCGATCTCCTGACCTCATGATCCGCCTGCCTCGGCCTCCCAAAGTGCTGGGATTACAGGCGTGAGCCACCAGGCCCGGCCAACCAGTGCTAAGTACTTATTAACAATAAGCCCAGGCCGGGCGCGGTGGCTCACGCCTGTAATCCCAGTACTTTGGGAGGCCGAGGCAGGTGGATCATGAGGTCAGGAGTTCAAGACCAGCCTGGCCAAGATGGATAAACCTCATCTCTACTAAAAATACAAAAATTAGCCAGGCGTGAGGCTGGGTGCGGTGGCGCATGCTTGTAATCCCAGCACTTTGGGAGGCCGAGGCAGGCGGATCACAAGGTCAGGAGATCGAGACCATCCTGGTAACATGGTGAAATCCCGTTTCTACTAAAAATACAAAAAAATTAGCCGGGCATGGCAGCAAGTGCCTGCAGTCCCAGCTACTCAGGAGGCTGAGTCAGGAGCATGGCATGAACCCGGAAGGCGGTGGTTGTAGTGAGCCCAGATCACACCACTGCACTCCAGCCTGGGCGATAGAGCGAGACTCTCTCTCAAAAAAAAAAAAAAAAAAATTAACCAGGCGTGGTGGCAGGCACCTGTAACCCCAGCTACTCGGGAGGCTGAGGCAGAGAATTGCTTGAACCCGGGAGGTGGAGGTTGTAGTGAGCCGAGATCGCGCCACTGCACTCCAGCCTGGGCAACAGAGTGAGACTCCATCTCAAAAAAACAAAACAAAAAACCAATAAGCCCAGAATCGGCCAGAACCCACAACCCAGTGAGACTGCGCTGTGCCAGGTAACCATGCAATAAGCAAGCTCGGAAATGGGGGGAAGCTGCTTCAGGGCCTCACGCCCTAAGTAGTTCCATAGCCTCCGTGTTCAGAAGGCCCCCCTTCATGGTGGGGTGTTCTTGATGCCTCAGCTCTGGGATCAGGAGCAGGGAGCGTTGGGACGCTGATCAGATCCCTGGGGTGTATGGAGCCTGGGAGAGCTGCCAAAGGCTGAGGGTGAGGTGGGGCCTGAGTGGCTGAGCTCCTACCCCAAATATGGCTGTGAGGAGGCTGCAGTTGCCCAGACCAGACAGGTGCTGAGTCTCTCAGCAAGCAGCACAGCTCCATCCCTCTCCTTCAGTGCAGGAAGGACACTTGGCTTCTGTGCGGTGTCCAGAGCCAGGCCTTAGCCTTAGGCCTGAGCCACCAGAGTCCTGGCCTGGCCTTGCCATGCCCTTGCTGGGTGACTTTGCAGGGTCTCCAACCTCTCTGAGCTTCTGCTTTTCTCATGCACAAGAACTGTAACTTCTGCCCTGGAGACTTATAGACAGGTAGCAGGATGTAGCTTAGGTCTGAATCGCCATCTGTGGTCCTGGGGCTTTGGCGAGTGGGGCTGGGCACCTGGTAATTAACTGTCCCCACCCTCCCCGCTTGAAGAAGGCAGGCAGATCACAGATCAGCTCCCACTGTACTCCTAGCCCTGGTGGGGTGTGACCAAAACCACCTCTGCTAGAAGCCAGGCCTCAGTGGCCAGGTGCCTTCCCGGGTGCTGGGCCTGTGCTAGGTGCTGTACATACCTCACCTTGTCCAGTCCACAAGTCAGTGTCACCCCCAGCAGTCAGGTTACACTGACTGAGGCCACACTGCAGGGCTACAGCCGCTCCACACTGGGGAGGAGGTGGGGGAAATCCTGGGCAGGAGAGAGGGCAGATCCTGCTCACATGACAGGGACAGGAGCATGACCCAGGTGTGTCTGAACTTAGCGGACACAGGAAGAAAGGGAGTTGGAAGCAAGTTTCTGTGGGGAGCAGGAGGAGGTTGCCTGGTGTTCCTTCGGAGGAAGCTTTTTGGGGTCCATTCCTGGAGTGTATGGCTCATAGCCAGTCCCAGTGTGCCCCCACCCCCAGACCTCATTGGCCTAAGTAGCTGGAGTAGGTGACAGGCAGCCCAGGGCCCTCCACGATGTGGGGGACAGCTTGATGCCTTGGAACAAGGTGCCAAGAAACCAGAGAGCCAGCCAGATGCCAAAGGGCCCTGCCATGTGCCGGTGCCCTTTCCCTCTCCATTTGCCCAGCCACACAGTGGGCTGGGGTTGCACGTGTGTTTGCTGACAGGCCACATCTCTAACTGTGGGCCATGTGGACCTTAGGCCTGACCAGACCCTCATGTCATCCTCCTGCCTAGGACGCCCACCACCTCCATGCCGAGAGGAGGGGGCCACAGCCCTGGCATGCAGCCCTGCCCAGTAGCCCGGCACCTGCCCCTGCCACGCAGGAAGCCCCCCGGCCTGCCAGCAGCCTCAGGCCTCCCCGCTGTGGCGTGCCCGACCCATCTGATGGGCTGAGTGCCCGCAACCGACAGAAGAGGTTCGTGCTTTCTGGCGGGCGCTGGGAGAAGACGGACCTCACCTACAGGTAGGGGCCTGGGAGCAGGACACTAGGATGCCACCTGTGTGTCCGTGGGTAAGCCAGCTGCCCTCACAGCTGCTGCTTGAGACACAGGCCAGGGTAGATCTTCGTGTCTAACAGACCTGTGTGTCCACTGAACCCCAGGGAGGTCATCTATGGGCAAACCCCCTGAAACCCCAACTTAGACACATACACATATGGAGACCCTCCCTCAGCAGAGGGGCAGAGCCTCCGTCATCATGCAAAGAGTCGCAGCACATGCCTGCGGACGGGTGTTCAGTCACTCAGGCAGCCTTTACAAGAGACCTGTGAGGACCAGGCTCTGGGACTCCACGGTGAATGAGGCAGACACAGCCCCATCCTCTGTGTCAGTCTGAGGTGGGTGTCAGCCATGTCATTGTCCAACTCTACCATCACAACTTGGGCTTCGAGCAGGTGGAGACAGTGGTAAGCGGGGAGAGGCAATAGTGGGCATCTCACTGGGTGACCTGGGAGGACCCTGGGCAGGTGATGGGGAAGCTGAGGCTCACACATCCTGCGGGTGGGGACCCAGCCTGAAGAATGGGCTGGTGTCACACAGCATTGGAGCTGAGACTGGGGTCTTTAGAATTTCCTAGGTGGGGGCCTGGGAACCAACAGGGGCTCAAGGAACCAAGGTGTCCCCACAGTAAGTGGCACTGTCAGGTCTAGGATGGGGGTCTCGGGACCCCTGGTCCTGGTTCTTTCCACTGAATTCAGACACTTGTATTTGCCTAAGTATGAGCAAACCACATACACATGTGCCCATGTGGCCAGGGAGACCAGTGCGCTGAAGCTGAGGCCCAGAGTACACCTGGCCTGTGTCCTGAGTGTTCACACACCCACCAAGCATCCAGGGGCAACTCCTGGTGCCTCAGCCATCGGGGGCTGTCCCTTCCCTGAGGCCCAGGCCCCTCCATCTCCCTCCAGGATCCTTCGGTTCCCATGGCAGTTGGTGCAGGAGCAGGTGCGGCAGACGATGGCAGAGGCCCTAAAGGTATGGAGCGATGTGACGCCACTCACCTTTACTGAGGTGCACGAGGGCCGTGCTGACATCATGATCGACTTCGCCAGGTGAATGGGCGGCCTGGGACCCCTCCGGGAACAGCCTCGCCTGCCAGCAGCCACTGACCCCGCCCCCACCCATCTGTAGGTACTGGCATGGGGACGACCTGCCGTTTGATGGGCCTGGGGGCATCCTGGCCCATGCCTTCTTCCCCAAGACTCACCGAGAAGGGGATGTCCACTTCGACTATGATGAGACCTGGACTATCGGGGATGACCAGGGTATGGGCTGGGGACCCATTTTCCAGATGGGGCAACCGAAGATCATAAAGAATGGGGACTCGCCAAGGTCACTGAGCTGGGGTCTGGAGCTGGATGTCCTGGGCAGGAGGTTCGGGGGTTGCTGAGCCACCTCCCTTTTTCAGGCACAGACCTGCTGCAGGTGGCAGCCCATGAATTTGGCCACGTGCTGGGGCTGCAGCACACAACAGCAGCCAAGGCCCTGATGTCCGCCTTCTACACCTTTCGCTACCCACTGAGTCTCAGCCCAGATGACTGCAGGGGCGTTCAACACCTATATGGCCAGCCCTGGCCCACTGTCACCTCCAGGACCCCAGCCCTGGGCCCCCAGGCTGGGATAGACACCAATGAGATTGCACCGCTGGAGGTGAGGCCCTGCCTGCCAGTCCCCCTACTCCTCTGCTGGCCACTGTGACTGCAGCATATGCCCTCAGCATGTGTCCCTCTCTCCCACCCCAGCCAGACGCCCCGCCAGATGCCTGTGAGGCCTCCTTTGACGCGGTCTCCACCATCCGAGGCGAGCTCTTTTTCTTCAAAGCGGGCTTTGTGTGGCGCCTCCGTGGGGGCCAGCTGCAGCCCGGCTACCCAGCATTGGCCTCTCGCCACTGGCAGGGACTGCCCAGCCCTGTGGACGCTGCCTTCGAGGATGCCCAGGGCCACATTTGGTTCTTCCAAGGTGAGTGGGGGTTGGGGATCTGCTCGAGAGACTTCCCAGAGCCAGGAATGTTATGGCCAAGGGCAGGAACAGACAGATGGATCCTTAGGGACACAGTGGATAGGGAGAGCTGCCCCAAAGCCTGGGGGCCGAGGGAGAGAGAGTGTGGTTTGTTCCTCAGGCACAGGTAGGAGGTTCTCGGAGGTGGCTCTTGAGATAGGAGCAGCGTGGAAGGGATTGCACGGTGGGGCCTCGTGTTGGTGCGTTCAACCCTCAGCCACCCCATGGGGCGGGGTTCTAGAGATGAGGCCTCTGGGGCCCCGAGGCAGTGAAGTGACTCACTGTGAGTGCAGCTGGGAAGAGGCAGGGCAGGGAATTGATCCAGGTCTATCATCCTAGAGCTGGGATTTCCATCCTCAACTGGCAGAGATGAGAGCCTGGAGCATTGCAGATGCCAGGGACTTCACAAATGAAGGCACAGCATGGGAAACCTGCGTGGGTTCCAGGGCAGTCCAGCCTGCAGGGGCCCAGGGAGTGGTCAGTAGGCATTTGTCACAGCCAAATGCCAGTGGAAGGAGCAGCCGCCCAGGCAGCCCTCTACTGATGAGAGTAACCTCACCCGTGCACTAGTTTACAGAGCATTCACTGCCCCAGCTTATCCCAGGCCTCCCGCTTCCCTCTGCGGGTGGGGTGCTGAGCAGGCATTATTGGCCTGCATGTTTTACTGATGAGGAAACTGAGGCTGGGAGAGTCTGTGGTAGGGGTCAAGCAGGTCCACAGTGGCGGGGCATGGCAGTGGTGGCTGGGCAGGTCCTTGCAGCCTTCCCTCTCCGGCAGGTGCTCAGTACTGGGTGTACGACGGTGAAAAGCCAGTCCTGGGCCCCGCACCCCTCACCGAGCTGGGCCTGGTGAGGTTCCCGGTCCATGCTGCCTTGGTCTGGGGTCCCGAGAAGAACAAGATCTACTTCTTCCGAGGCAGGGACTACTGGCGTTTCCACCCCAGCACCCGGCGTGTAGACAGTCCCGTGCCCCGCAGGGCCACTGACTGGAGAGGGGTGCCCTCTGAGATCGACGCTGCCTTCCAGGATGCTGATGGTGCGTTGGGGGTGAGGCAGCTGGTGGGAGGTGGGCACAGCAGCCGCTTCTCCCACCTGGTGGTGGCTGGGCTCCCACATGCCTGCCACAGGAAGTCTGGCTCTTCATCACAGGTCCTTTGTCCAGAGCCATCTGCCCTCCTCTCGGTGGCCGGCTAGTGCTACATTCCATATTGCAGATGAGGAAACTGAGGGTCAGAGAAGTGCAAGGTCTTACCCTGGTTTTTCAGCCACAGCCAGTAGAACAATAAACTGCTGTACACTGAGGGCCAACAATGCTCTAAGCTCCTTACTGGTCTCATCCAGTTCTCAGAACAGCCCTCTGATGTGACACCTGTTGTGAACCCAGTTTCCAGAGGAGCAAACAGAGGCTCAGGCAATGAGGCCCCTAACCTGGACTACCCTGGTGGTCCCTGCTCCTAACCACTGACCCACCCAGCCTCCCACAACCACAGGGGGCTAGAGCCAGTCCAGTGCTCCCTCCCCTGCTAGGCTCCTCTTCTGTGCTCTTTCTCCCACATCAGGACCCACTGGGAGAGCTATCCTAGGGTAGCCTCCAGCTCCAGGACTCCAGGGTGCCCGTCAATAGCCTGGCTAATTTAATAGATGCAGGAGAGAGTGATGTGGAGGGTGGTGGGGGCAACGGGACTTGCTTTCCTGAGAGGTGGGACTCAGGCCTCTGAGGCTCTGGGTACCTGTCAGGCTGGGTATTAGCCCAGCCCAGATTCCGGGGCAGGCAGAAGGGCTCCCTAGAGGGAAGAGAGGTTCTGAAAGGCCGGCCCTGGATCCTGCAGGACTCGAGGAACTCAGCAGTGGCCAAGGGCTTCCCACTCAGCCCTCCCTTAGTGCCCATCCCTGGGCACAGCCTGACAGGCAGGAGTAGGGCCCAGTGTCCGCTCGCCCAGGCTTGACCACCTTCTCTTCTCAGGCTATGCCTACTTCCTGCGCGGCCGCCTCTACTGGAAGTTTGACCCTGTGAAGGTGAAGGCTCTGGAAGGCTTCCCCCGTCTCGTGGGTCCTGACTTCTTTGGCTGTGCCGAGCCTGCCAACACTTTCCTCTGACCATGGCTTGGATGCCCTCAGGGGTGCTGACCCCTGCCAGGCCACGAATATCAGGCTAGAGACCCATGGCCATCTTTGTGGCTGTGGGCACCAGGCATGGGACTGAGCCCATGTCTCCTCAGGGGGATGGGGTGGGGTACAACCACCATGACAACTGCCGGGAGGGCCACGCAGGTCGTGGTCACCTGCCAGCGACTGTCTCAGACTGGGCAGGGAGGCTTTGGCATGACTTAAGAGGAAGGGCAGTCTTGGGCCCGCTATGCAGGTCCTGGCAAACCTGGCTGCCCTGTCTCCATCCCTGTCCCTCAGGGTAGCACCATGGCAGGACTGGGGGAACTGGAGTGTCCTTGCTGTATCCCTGTTGTGAGGTTCCTTCCAGGGGCTGGCACTGAAGCAAGGGTGCTGGGGCCCCATGGCCTTCAGCCCTGGCTGAGCAACTGGGCTGTAGGGCAGGGCCACTTCCTGAGGTCAGGTCTTGGTAGGTGCCTGCATCTGTCTGCCTTCTGGCTGACAATCCTGGAAATCTGTTCTCCAGAATCCAGGCCAAAAAGTTCACAGTCAAATGGGGAGGGGTATTCTTCATGCAGGAGACCCCAGGCCCTGGAGGCTGCAACATACCTCAATCCTGTCCCAGGCCGGATCCTCCTGAAGCCCTTTTCGCAGCACTGCTATCCTCCAAAGCCATTGTAAATGTGTGTACAGTGTGTATAAACCTTCTTCTTCTTTTTTTTTTTTTAAACTGAGGATTGTCATTAAACACAGTTGTTTTCTACCTGCCTGCTTGGTCTCCTTTTGTGAATGTTCAGCCAGGATGGGGAGGCCTGGCCACTGTCCAGCCCTATCCTGGGAGCCAGGGTCGAAGTCCACCACCCCCAAGCCTCTGGCCCTTGGGGCTGGGCACAGTGCTCAGGGCTCCTTCTGCTCCATTTCTACATCACATTTTGCTACAGTGGCTTCTTAACTGGCTCCCCACTTTCCTACTTGTCCCCTCTGTTCATCCTCCAGAGTGGTGGTTTATCTGCTCATGCCACAGCCCAGCCTGCCATACATAGCTGTGGTTTCTGCATCCGTAGGCTCAACTAACCTCGGGTAGAAAAAACAATGTTTAAAAAAAGGATGCGGACGGGCGCAGTGGCTCGTGCCTGTAATCCCAGTTCTTTGGGAGGCCGAGGTGTGTGGATCACCTGAGGTCAGAAGTTTGAGACCAGTCTGGCCAACATGGTGAAAACCCATCTCTACTAAATATACAAAAATTAGTTGGGTGTGGTGGCTCATGCCTGTAATCCCAGCTACTTGGGAGGCTGAGGCAGGAGAATCACTTGAACGTGGAGGCAGAGGTTACAGTGAGCTGAGATAGTGCCATTGCACTCCAGCCTGGGTGACAAGAGCAAAATTCCGTCTAAAAAAATAATAAAGTAAATAAATAGGCTGGGTGCAGTGGCTCATGCCTGTAATCCCAGCACTTTGGGAGGCTGAGGCCAGCAGATCACGAGGTCGGGAGATCGAGACCATCCTGGCTAACACCATGAAACCCCGTCTCTACTAAAAATACAAAAAATTAGCCAGGCGTGGTGGCGGGCGCCTGTAGTCCCAGCTACTCGGAAGGCTGAGGCAGGAGAATGGCGTGAACCCAGGAGGCGGTGCTTGCAGTGAGCCCAGATCATGCCACTGCACTCCAGCCTGGACGACAGAGCAAGACTCTGTCTCAATAAAATAAGTAAATAAATAAATAAATAAATAAATAAATAAGGGATGGTTACCTCTGTACTGAACATGTACGGACTTTTTTCCCTATCATTGTTCCCTAAACAATAGTATAACAACTATTTATATAACATTTGCATTGTATTAGGTAGTATAAGGAATCTAGAGATGATTTAAGGTATACAGGAAAGTGTGTGTAGGTTATATGCAAGTATGACACCATTTTATATAATGGACTTGAGCATCTGTGGACTTTATTATCTGCAGGGGGTCCTGGAACCAATTCCCATGGATACTGAGGGATGACTGTACTTTGGTTTCCCACCACTGTGAGGATACAGAACAAAGCAACTTCAGTCACTGCCCTTCCCAACTCTCCAGTGTCTCCTTGCCCTACCTTCCAGCCCCATGTGTGTCTTCGTAATAGCATAGTTGCATTTTTTTTTTTTTTAAGAGAGGCAGGGTCTCCCTTTGTTGCCCAGGCTGCAGTGCAGTGGTGCAATCAGCTCACTATAACCTTGAACTCCTGGGCTCAAGGGATCTTCCCCTCTCCACTTCCCAAGTAGCTGGGGCTACAGGTGCACACCGCCATGCCACACCCAGCTTATTTATTTTAGAATTTTTGTAGAGACAGGGTCTTGCTGTCTTGTCCAGTCTGGTCTCAAACTCCTGGCTTCAAGTGATCCTCCCTGCCTTGGCCTCCTAAAGAGTTGGGATTACAAGGCCGGGCGCAGTGGCTCACACCTGTAATCCCAGCACTTTGGGAGGCCGAGGGGGGCGGATCACGAGGTCAGGAGATCGAGACCATCCTGGCTAACATGGTGAAACCCTGTCTCTACTAAAAATACAAAAAATTAGCTGGGCGTGGTGGCGGGTGCCTGTAGTCCCAGCTACTTGGGAGGCTGAGGCAGGAGACTCCAGCCTCAAAAAAAAAAAAAAGAGTTGGGATTACAGGCATGAGCCGCTGAGCCCAGCCACAGCTGCAATTTCATTAGATTGAACGGTGTGAAATCATCAGTAGTGGGCCACTGTTTTACTCCCTGCATTATTCAATCATGATTGCTTTCAGACTTTCATTAGTTTCACTAGCTTCGCGCTGTAAGAGCCAAGAGGCAGAGCCACAGGGCTGGGCTGCCTGGTTTCACTCCCCACTGCAGGGCTCGGTTAAGCAGAGTGTAGGCTAAGAGAGGAATGGAGAAGGTGGAAGGTGTCTCTCCCTTCCAACGCTCATCTGATGCACCAGCCAAACCAAATACCACCTGGGCCTTTGAACATTGCCAAGCCTCATCCGCTGTTGTCATTTTGCCCACCTCCACAGCTGCAGGGACAGCCGTAGGCCCGGAACTGGGATATCTCTTCCTAGGGGCCTGCCTATCTGCTCAGCTGCACTGCGTTTTAGGGGTGGGGAAGCTAAGGCACGAGATTGGGGTCCCAAAGCATGCCCAGACCACCCAGGCTTCCAGATACTAGGTCCTCCTCCTTCAGGCCTCACTTCGTTGCTTTTCCCCTGGGCTCAGTTCCAGTCCTGGCTGTAAGACTGGGAAAGCCACTGCTTGAGTCAGGACCTCATTGGCTATTTTTGTCCGTGAGAAGTCCTCTACACCACGACTTGGGAGGCAGCCTGGGAGAAAGAGAAATTAGTCGTGGCTCCTTTAAGGGGTCCGCGGAGGCGCGCCCGGCCTTTTGTTTGAGCGGCGGCGCGCGCGTCAGCGTCAACGCCAGCGCCTGCGCACTGAGGGCGGCCTGGTCGTCGTCTGCGGCGGCGGCGGCGGCTGAGGAGCCCGGCTGAGGCGCCAGTACCCGGCCCGGTCCGCATTTCGCCTTCCGGCTTCGGTTTCCCTCGGCCCAGCACGCCCCGGCCCCGCCCCAGCCCTCCTGATCCCTCGCAGCCCGGCTCCGGCCGCCCGCCTCTGCCGCCGCAATGATGATGATGGCGCTGAGCAAGACCTTCGGGCAGAAGCCCGTGAAGTTCCAGCTGGAGGACGACGGCGAGTTCTACATGATCGGCTCCGAGGTAGCCCGGGGCGCGTTCTCGCCCTCCCCGGGCTCGGCCCCGCGGGAGCCCCGGGGCGGGCCCATGCGCCGAGAGCGCGCGTCTCCATTCATCGGGGCGGGCGGGCGCGCGCGCGCGCGCTCGGGGCTGTGGGGCGTGGCCTAGTGGGCGTGTCGGGTGTGGCCCCCGCCCCCTCATCGACCTGGGATTTCCTTACTTATTTCGCCGAGGTCCGCCGCCTTCAGTGCTGCCAAGATTTTGGCGCCGCGAGGGGCCCCAGTGGTTCCGCGCTGGGTTGGTTTCCAGTCAGACGCAAAGAAACGGGATATTGAGTTAGCCCCTGCGACGCTTGGGGGACTGCACTGCTGCCTTTGACCCTTTTTAGATGTCGTAAATTTCACGTGCACCCCTCCCCGTATTGCTACTTGTGGGAACCTCAAATGGCAGGCTGGAAACCCTGGACTTAGTGAGGGCTCATCCCCATTGTGTTTGTTGCCTCTTAGGTGAGCAGTGGAGGTCTTTTGACCTTTGTTTACCGGTGAAGAAACAGATTGGAGGAAGATGTTTGCTTTTGGGTGAATAAGGGCCCCATGCCTAAGCTAGATCTTTCAGCAGTTCTGAAGCGATTGACACTTTCCATATCTGTGAACTGATTCTGAATTATTACAGGGGAAAGAGCCTAAGGATGTTTAACCCTTAACTAGAGTGGCTGCATTTTGTTGCATCAACTGGATGACTGACTTCAGGAAAACTCTACTGGCCTTTGAATGGGTGTTTGTTCCAAGTCTATTAGGTTCTTGTTTTTTGTTTTTTATAGAGACAGGGTCTGGCTATGTTGCGCAGGCAGGTCTCCAACTCCTGGGCTCAAGCAGTCTGCCCGTCTGGGTCTCCCAAAGTGCTAGGATTACAGGCATGAGCCACCACACCCGGCCATATATTAGGTTTTTACAGATTGTCTCAAACTAGCCTTTTTTGCTCCAAAGGCAGTCCCCAGCTAGTATATGTTACCTTTTTAAAAAAATTATGGATATACAGTTCAGATGTACAAATGTCAAGCAGTAGAATCTCATGTAAGGAAGTAAGTGCCAATCCTGGAGAATTAAAGCTATCATGAAATGCCAAGAGTTTCTTCTCCTTATAGCAGTTTTTAGTATCATATTCCAGCATTTTATTCGTACTTTATTTTCTTTTATTTTTGAAAAAAGATCTCACTTTGTGCAGTGGTGTGATCTCGGCTCACTGCAGCCTTGACCTCCTGGGCTCAAGCGATCCTCCTGCCTCAGCCTCCCAAGTACCTGGGACTACAGGTGTGCACCACCGTGCCCGACTAATTTTTGTATTTTTTGTAGAGACAGGGTTTTGCCATGTTGCCCAGGCTGGTCTTGAACTCCTGGGCTCAAGTGATCCTTGCACCTCAGCCTCTCAAAGTGCTGGAATGACAGGTGTGAGCTACTGCACTCACACTCAGCGCATTCATACTTTTTAAACTTGTGGGTTTTATCCTTCACAATTGAGCATAGCATGAATGAATGAAGCCTCAAGATGGTCACACTGAGTCCCATGGATGAGACTAAGGTCAATAGCATCAGAACTTTAGTGTTAGCATTTTCCACCATTTTTTTTTTCTGGACGAGGTTTGACTCTATCACCCAGGCTGGAGTGTAGTGGTGTAATCTCGGCTCACTGCAACCTCCGCCTCCCAGGCTCAAGCCGTCCTCCCACCTCAGTCTCCCAAGTAGCTGGGACTACACGCACACACCACCACACCCGGCTAATTTTTATATTTTTAGTAAAGATGGGGTTTTACCATATTGTCCAGGCTGGTCTTAAACTTGTGAGCTCAAGTGATCTGCCCGCCTCGGCCTCCCAAAGTGCTCGATTATAGGCGTGAGCCACTGTGCCTGGCCTCCACTAATTTTTATAAAACAAAAAATATAGGATTCAATAAAATTTTCACGTTGTCACTTAAATTACAACTGTTCAAAGATGCCAGTGCTGGGGAGGTAGAGCCAGTGCCTGTCCATCTGCCACAGTTCAGAATGGTCCTCATTGGCCAGTAGGCACCTGCCTAACTGCAGAATGCAAAAGGTGTCAAATTTCAGCCTGTGATACTAGGCGAGTTGTTTACCTGATCTAATGGGTGTAAAAGTAATCAGTTTGGCTCTAAGTAGGTGACACTTCAAAAGAAAGCTTTCATTTATTAGTTGGAGCAAATTGAGAAGCTGTGCGTGGCCAAGTGGGAAGAACCTTGGGAGGCCTGGTTCCAGCCCTGCTCTGCCTTGCTGTCGTGTTTCTCATGTGTATAATGTGATGCTTAGACTAGATGGTCTCCAAGATCTTCCCCAAAACACATTTTAGTTTCTAGAAAGCTAATTACAGTCTTGTCTTTCAGCCCCTTGACTCCTGGGCCTCCCAGTAAGAATAATCTTCCTGAGACCCAGGCTGTAAGAGACTCAGTTGGAGAGGCAGTTTGTTCTTTTGGGCCTGACTTAATCATCAGACCTTCGGAGTTTAGGGAAGAGTTCAAGGTCAGAGCTCTATTGAAATTCAGTAGCTCCAGTGATAGTAGTGGATGGACGGTCTCAGCCCACTGCCCTGTGGAAAACAGGCACTGTATTCAGAGAGGTGGGCCAGCCATAGCAACATACCCAGTGCCTCCATGCGCCATCTGTGGAGCTGTCTTGGGAAGGCATCTGCATTTACTAAGAGTGTGTGTCACTGTTCTGCCATTAACAGACAGCTGTATTTACCAAGCCGGAGTCATGGAGCTTTGAGGACCCTAACAGATCCCCAAGTCCAGCACCTTGATTTTATATTCAGGAAACCTGGGTCCCAAGAGGGTGAAGGCTGGTTCAGAGGAAAGCCAGGAAGGCAAGCCCAGTTTCCTAAGTTCTGAAGGGGCTTTGGGGGGCATCTAGGAGACTCAGAGCCCTGCAGGGCCTGCAAGGTAGTCATAGGGGGGAGTATTGTCAATTTCTTTTAAAAAACCTAATGGAAACTCTACATTTACCATGATACTGGATGATACTGACACACAAGCCAAATAACATAGAGGGGTCTGTGCCCTCTATGTGGAAAGCGAGTGACTTGCTGTGTCTGCTCTTCTCTCAGCGTTCAGTAGCCCTGGTTGTTGATTACAGTCACTGCTGAAAATGGAGAAACATTTTATTTAATACTATGCCTGGGTCTCACACCTATAATCCTAGCACTTTGGGAGGCCCAGGCAGGAGAATCACTTGAACCCAGGAGTTTAAGACCAGCCTGGGCAACATAGTGAGACTCTTGTCTCTACAGATTTTTATTTTTATTTTTTTTAATTAGGCCGGGTATGTGGCTCACACCCGTAATCCCAGCACTTTGGGAGGCCGAGGTGGGCAGATCGCTTGAGCCCAGGAGTTTGAGACCAGCCTGGGCAACATGGTGAAACTCCGTCTCTACAAAAAATACAAAAATTAGCCGGTTGTGGTGGCAAGCAACTATAGTCCCAGCTACTCAGGAGGCTGAGGCAGGAGGATCGCTTGAGCCGAGGAGTTCGAGGCTGCAGTGAGCTATGATCGATCGCACCACTGCAATCGAGCCTGGGTGACAGAGCGAGACCCTGTCTCAAAAATAATAATAAAAATTAAAAATAAATTTAAAAATGCAAAATATATACTATGTTGCGTAGATAAAATGGGAAACATAATAGAAGTGGTCCTTCATGGGGGTGAAGTTCAGAGTTGCTGAGCATTTGGCAGATGAGTAAAGGGTACCCAGAAAATGGGAAGTGATCCCAGGTTACAGATGGAGCCAGCACCTGGCACCCAGTCTATTGGCCATCCCCTGCAATGTGACTCCGAAGTGATCATACTTGAAAAGTCAACGAGACAATAGGGTACCCTCATAAAAACTTTAGGTCTAGATTTATTTTCCTTAAGGAAGTCACACTTTCAGTATTTGCTACAAGCAAACTGAAGCCATTGTTTGAGTCAGTGATGATTTATATAGCAGTCTGGTGATTGCCTTGTAAACCTTTTGGAAAATTCCTTTGGTATCCCTGGTTTGGGTTTTGTTACTAAACAAAGCAACACAGGCCATGGGGGAAATTATCTGGCATCTGTCTAAAATTAAAAGACCTTTTTGGTGTTTATTACATTGTAAAGATATCAAAGTCTTGTCCTTAAGATAAAAGAAGGTCAAGGAGGCCTTGCATTTCTGGAAAGTGCCAGAGATCCTTAGTCCAAAATCAAAATCACCACGAACTTCTTGCTAAGCTCTGGGGGCCTCCCACTCAGGCATCTGCCCAGGCCTTTCGGAACTTGGTTCTGTTGTCAGGATGCACATATGCAGGCCAGATGTGCACTGCTGGTGAACCCTTCATATCAGCAGAATGTGTTTTAATGCTGCCGAAAGCGTGGCGCCTGGGGGCCACCTCAAGGCCTGTTTGTCTGTTGCTTGATGCAGTCTGCGCCAGGACCCTCCCCTTCCCTGTGGTGCTGCGACCCTTATAATGAGCCTTCTTGCTTTACTCATAGGTGGGAAACTACCTCCGTATGTTCCGAGGTTCTCTGTACAAGAGATACCCCTCACTCTGGAGGCGACTAGCCACTGTGGAAGAGAGGAAGAAAATAGTTGCATCGTCACATGGTAAAAAAACAAAACCTAACACTAAGGGTGCGTCTTCACGAGGGTTTGTAAACCTGTTTCAAAACCACTCGCTTATGTCATGAAGATAAAACGTTTTCACTCCAGAGTGTCTTCACTGCAGCCTTGGCCTTAGTCGGGCAGGGAGCATCCCGGGGTGGGCCGCCCTGTGAGCACTCCAGGCAAGGAAGTGGCTCCAGGGAGCCATTGGTGGTCCACTGTCAGTTATTTCCAGCAGGGCCATTGGGTATGTGAGCGGGCCGGGGCCAGGACACTAGCAGGTGCTGTGAAGACATGTTGGTCTCAAAACGTTTTAGGAATGCTGCGATGCTCTGCCATCTGTCGTGGGTGTGTCGCCATAATCATCTTCCATGCAGCCCAAGTGGCGGGTGGTGGTCCCAGCTCCCACTCCCCTCTGGGGCTTTCACTGCTTGCTTCCTGGAGCACATCCATCCCATAGCACTTCATCCTGGCAGCCAGTGTGCTAGAGCCCATGTGCATGTCCCTGCTCCTGGTGGCCTGCGTGTGCCTGGGGCTTGCTAGGTACACTAGTGAAACTAGTGGGCTTTGGGTCACGGCAGCTCTGTGCAGGGTGAAAGGGTGCTCTTCAGACACTCTGGGGGCTCTGTGGGAGACACTCCCATGGAGACATTTGGGTGTGGACACAGCATGTCCTTGGGCAGGTGGCAAAACTGCTTCCCACGTGGCAATGGCGCCTTGTAGAGAGCTGCCCTGGGCCTGGGTGTGTCTGTGAGCATGTGCGCGATGCTTCGTAGTCTGCCCTGTTTGTTTGTGTCTGTAGGTGCTGCTGTGGTTTTGTCCACTGCGGGAAAGTAGTGGTTCTTTTAATGCAGGAGCCGGAGCTTCTTTTTGATCTGCTGCTATGACATTTCCACTCACTTGCTTAAAACAGTTTCCTTTTTGTTCCCCCTCCTCCCCTAGCAGAGCATCAGTCGCTAACACAGTGAGTCCCCAGCTTTGCTTCCCCCTCCGCAAGTCCCTGGGCTAAGTCTTGGGAGATACCTTCCCCATAAGCGATTGATTTCTCCAGGAGAAGCCAGACTGGGCCCACAGACAGGTAGCTCTTGACGGAGATTCCCCGGAAGAGCTAGGGGTCGAGCTGCCTAGAATCTGTCCTGCTTCCCAGGCAGCACGTGTGGACCGGCTCGGGGATAGAAATTCGTGTTTGGTGTGAAGCAGCTCTTTCCAACTCTCTGGGCTCTTGTTTTAAAAGAAAAGTATTCTTCATCTTCCATTCCATCTCCCCACCTTGCATCGTGTTGTGGATTGTGGTGGTGTCAGACCTCTTCCCACTGGGGTGTTACTCTGGGAGCTTTCTTTTCCCCTGAGTGAGGACCAAGAGAATATGTTCTGGAGTCGAGTGTCCCCGCTGGTCGTGCTGTATTGTAGTTGCTGGTGCTGCCCTGAGCACTTCCCTCTGCCCCGAGCCAGTGCTCCTGGGGCAGATTAGTCCAAATCAGTCCCATTGGAGGCTCTACCCAGCAGGACTTGTAAGTAAAGCACTCAGTCCAGATTGCCCTTTTGGAAGAGGCCAGCATTCAGCAGTAGTAAGTTTGACACCTTGCTTTTCCCACCTCCCGCATGCGAGGACCTTGATGTGCTGCATCCACTTGGCTGGCTGCTGTGTGCCACCGCCACCAGCAGAGTGACCCAGTGATGTTTGTCTGTTACAGATCACGGATACACGACTCTAGCCACCAGTGTGACCCTGTTAAAAGCCTCGGAAGTGGAAGAGATTCTGGATGGCAACGATGAGAAGTACAAGGCTGTGTCCATCAGCACAGAGCCCCCCACCTACCTCAGGTAATGCGTTCCTGGCCAGGGCATCTCTGGGGACACCTGTGGGGTCTTTTCTGAGACTCAAGAACTGGTTGGGTTGAAGTTAAATTGAAACACTTTTTTTTTTTTTTTTTGAGATGGAATCTTGTTCTTGTCGCCCAGGCTGGAGTGCAGTGGCACGATCTTGGCTCACTGCAACCTCTGCCTCCCAGGTTCAAGCGATTCTCCTGCCTCAACCTCCCAAGTAGCTGGGATTACAGGTGCCTGCCACTATACCTGGCTAGTTTTTTTTTCTTTGAGACAGAGTTTCACTCTTGTTGCCCAGGATGGAGTGCAATGGCGTGATCTCAGCTCACTGCAACTTCTGCCTACTGGGTTCAAGTGATTCTCCTGCCTCAGCCTCCCAGATAGCTGGGATTACAGGCATGCGCCACCACGCCCAGCTAATTTTGTATTTTTGGTAGAGACGAGTCTCTCCATGTTGGTCAGGCTGGTCTCGAAACCCCACCTCAGGTGATCCGCCCGCCTTGGCATCCCAGAGTGCTGGGATTACAGGCGTGAGCCACCGCGCCCGGTCCTGATTTTTGTATTGAAACACTTTTTAACAGTTCCCTCTGTTTTTATACATTTTCTTAGCCAGGTTTCTAAGTTTCTTCTATATCATTGGAATTTCTAAGAAACGTAAGCCAAGTCCTGGATTCCGGAGAACAGTTACAAATGCTTGGAAAGTGGGACTCGTGGGGCACAGTGGCTTATGTTTGTAATCCCAGCGCTTTGGGAGGCCGAGGCATTGCTTGAGGCCAGGAGTTTAAGACCAGCCTGGGGCAACACAGCAAGACCTCATTTCTTAAAAAAACATGTAAGTGGGACCAATTTGTCAGAAAAATCAGTGGCTCACATAAACTCACAAAAGAAACAACAATAGATTTGAATGTATAAAAACTTAGAACCTGGCTGGGCACGGTGGCTCACACCTGTAATCCCAGCAGTTTGGGAGGCCGAGGTGGGCAGATCACCTGAGGTCAGGAGTTAGAGAGCAGCCTCATCCACATGGAGAAACCCCATCTCTACTAAAAATACAAAATTAGCCAGGTGTGGTGGCACATGCCTGTAATCCCAGCTACTCGGGAGCCTGAGGCAGGAGAATTGCTTGAACCCGGGAGGTGGAGATTGCAGTGAGCTGAGGTTGCACCTTTGCACTCCAGACTGGGCAACAAGAGTGAAACTCCACCTCAAAAAAAACAAAAACAAAACAAAACTTAGAACCTTTAGAAGAGTATTTATAGTAACAATTAAAAAACCAAGTAATTGGGAAGTTACGATGTTGTATCTAGAATCTATACATCTAGATTTATACAACAAACTTGGATACCCCAACAAATAGGTAAAAGATGGTCCATACCTTGAAGTACAAGGGAGTAAACAAACATGGAAAGAATTTGCCCTCATGTGTAATTTCAAAAATTCCAAGCATAAGACTGGGCATGGTAGCTTATGCCTGTAATCTCAGCACTTTGGGAAGTCAAGGCAGGAGGATCGCTTGAGCCCACGATTTGACTGTGTTGCCCAGGAGACCAGCCTGAGCAACATAGTGAGACGTTATCTCTACTGAAAGTTAAAAAAATTAGCTGAGTGTGGTGATCACACCACTGTCCTCTAGCCTAGGTAACAGAACGACACTCTTTGTCTCTTAAAAAAAATAAAAAACAGGCCGGGCACGGTGGCTCACGCCTGTAATCCCAGCACTTTGGGAGGCCGAGGCGGGCGGATCACCTGAGGTCAGGAGTTCGAGACCAGCCTGACCAACATGGTGAAGCCTCATCTCTGCTAAACGTACAAAGTTAGCCTCGCATGGTGGTGCATGCCTGTAATCCCAGCTACTCAGGAAGGCTGAGGCAGGAGAATCACTTGGACCCGGGAGGCGGAGGTTGCGGTGAGCCGAGGTTGCGCCATTGCTCTCCAGCCTGGGCAACGAGAGTGAAACTCCATCTCAAAATAATAAAATAAAATAAAAAATAAATAAATAAAAAATAAAAATAAAAATTCCAAGCATAAAACAAAAAACTGGCAACATAAGGAATTGGGGAAGGTGTGATAGAACTGCACTCATGTGTGCTGGAGGTGCTTTTTTTTTTTTTTTTTGAGATGGAGTTTTCACTCTTGTTGCCCAGGCTGGAGTACGGTGGCATGATGTCGGCTCACTGCAACCTCCGCCTCCTGGGTTCAAGCGATTCTCTTGCCTCAGCCTCTGGAGTAGCTGGGATTACTGGAATGCACCACTATGCCTGGCTAATTTTTTTGTATTTTTATTAGAGACGGGGTTTCACCATTGTGCCCAGGCTGGTCTCGAACTCCTGACCTCAGGTAATCCTCCCGCCTCGGCCTCCCAAAGTGGTGGGATTACAGGTGTGAGCCACTGTGCCCAGCCGGGAGTGCCCTTTCTGTAAAGCATCCTGACATCAAACTTTTTTGTTCTCTGGCCCATTAATACCGCCCCTGGGAATTTGTCCCAAAGAAACATTTTCAAAGAACAAAATGAATCAGTAAACCCACTATATGTACAGAGATTCTCTGTAGCATTGTGAATAATACTGGAGAATATGGAGTCGCTTAAGTATCCAGCCTTTAAGGAAAGGCTAGGTTAGTGACGGGTCAGCCACTTGAATGGACAAAGGTGTGACCCATACATGGTATAATTAAGTAGATTCTGCAGTGACCCGAGACGGGTCCTGTGGGTGAGACGTGCAGAATACAAGATTGTACCCATCTACCTTGTGCATTCAGCTCTCAACAAAGTATGCATTTCTCTGCACAAAGCCCAAGGAGCATTAAGAAAAAGGATTATTGTTCAGAGTGATGTGGTTATGGAAAATCTTTTTTATGATTCCCCTGAAAGGTGGCACGCCTCCAGGCTGGCCAGTGTTACAGACGTGTGCTTTGCAGATTCTTTTTCCCCCAAGGGATGTGGTAAGAACATAAGGATGGCTTGGCCTTCCCAGGGAAGTTGCAGAAGGAAATTGTGTACATATGGAGGGCACTTTAATTCTGCACATGTCAGCTGGGAATCTTTTATGGGGCGATAAAACAGTTTCTTGGTGATCATGTCGTGAGGAACAGCTGCAGGAGTGGAATCCCGTTGCCCTGGAGGTCAAGTCTTTAGGGGTGGGGGCTGGCAGAGGTTTGAGGGAAGTGGCTTTGGCTGGCTCCACACTACTCAGTCAGCCCAATAAGGGGACTTATGGCACCCTCCCCATCCTGTCATCGGACAATTTGAGCAGAGGCTGGGTGCCCTCTCTCAGGGATGCTGGGATTGCAATGGAAGGAAGGTTGTTTTTCTTTTTTTTTTTTTTTTTGAGACGGAGTCTCGCTGTCGCCCAGGCTGGAGTGCAGTGGCGCAATCTCGGCTCACTGCAGGCTCCGCCCCCTGGGGTTCACGCCATTCTCCTGCCTCAGCCTCCCGAGTAGCTGGGACTACAGGCGCCCGCCACCTCGCCCGGCTAATTTTTTGTGTTTTTAGTAGAGACGGGGTTTCACCGTGTTAGCCAGGATGGTCTTGATCTCCTGACCTCGTGATCCGCCCGCCTCGGCCTCCCAAAGTGCTGGGATTACAGGCGTGAGCCACCGGGCCTGGCCTGTTTTTTTTTATTATTATTATTTTTTTTGAGACGGAGTTTCGCTCTGTCGCCCAGGCTGGAGTGCAGTGGCGCCATCTTGGCTCACTGCAAGCTCCGCCTCCCAGGTTCACACCATTCTCCTGCCTCAGCCTCCCGAGTAGCTGGAACTACAGGTGTCTGTCACCACGCCCGTCTAATTTTTTTTGTATTTTTAGTAGAGATGGAGTTTTATTGTGTTAGCCAGGATGGTCTCGATTTCCTGACCTTGTGATCCGCCCACCTCGGCCTCCCAAAGTGCTGGGATTACAGACATGAGCCACTGCGCCTGGCCTTTTTTTTTTTTTTTTTTTTTTTTTTGAGATCGAGTTTCGCTCTGTCACCCAGGCTGGAGTGAAGTGGCGGGATCTCAGCTCACTGCAACCTCCCCTTCCCGGGTTCAAGTCATTCTCCTTCCTCAGCCTCCCAAGTAGCTGGGATTATAGGCACCAGGCACCACACCTAGCTAATTTTTCGTAGTTTTAGTAGAGACGGGGTTTCACCATGTTGGCCAGGCTGGTCTCGAACTCCTGACCTCAGGTGATCCGTCCGCCTCGGCCTCCCAAAGTGTCGGGGTTACAGGTGTGAACCACCACACCTGGCCAGAAGGTTGAATTTTATGGCTTAGATTTGCAGATTCTGTGTATGGCTGAGCATGTTACTCACATTCACTGTGTCTAGTGACACTTGCATTGTCCACTTGAGTTGATAGCTAGACCTGGAAATGAGAACTTGCTACTGAGATAGGGCAGGATGAGGGGGCAGGGGCTCAGCCCAGGCTCTAACGTATCCAGTCAGAAAAGAGGAGGTGGTCAAGATCTGTGGTTTGCAAATACAGGCTCAGCTACCTGGAAATCACCCGTGGAAGCTGCAAAGAACACATCTTCTTGGGCCCTTCCTCAGAGGTGGGAAGTCACTCCACCTGGGTGGGGCTCAGGAATGTGCTTCTTAAAATTTTGCATTCTGGGTTTGGGTGTTGTAGCTCACACCTGTACTCTCAGCACTTTGGGAGGCCAAGGTGGGAGGATTGCTTGAGCCCAGGAGTTTGAGACCAGCCTGGGCAACATAGTGAGACCCCACCATCTCTATAAAAATAAAAAAATTTAAAAATTGCACTCTGAGCGGCCAGGATTAGGAACTATGACCCAGATAGGTTGTAGAGGGGACCCCTGTCTTGCTGTCCCCTCTCATAGTCTCTGCCCAAGCTGATTCCATGTTCCCCAAATTGGGTACTACAAAATCCTCCCTACCCCTACCAGCGATCAAGGGGTAGTCCCAGCCTCAGCATCAGACGTGTAAGTGATTCCCACTTTAGAAGGGAAAAGAGTTAAAGGGCCCAGAGTCCAGGCAGGTCTTGGCCATTGCTTCTGCCCTCCCCCACCCTCTGGAAAGGAGAAGGACCTTTGTGCTGTCTTCCCGGGTCCCTCCTTAGAGGGAACTGTCAAACGTTTGTCGGCCGGGCGCGGTGACTGACGCTTGTAATCCCAGCACTTTGGGAGGCCGAGGCGGGCGGATCACAAGGTCAGGAGATCGAGACCATCCTGGCTAACAGGGTGAAACCCCGTCTCTACTAAAAATCAAAAAACTTAGCCGGGCGTGGTGGTGGGCGCCTGTAGTCCCAGCTACTCGGGAGGCTGAGGCAGGAGAATGGCGTGAACCCGGGAGGCAGACCTTGCATTGAGCCCAGATGGCGCCACTGTACTCCAGCCCAGGCGACAGAGCGAGACTCCATCTCAAAAAAAAAAAAAAAAAAAGTTTGTCATGACTTGCTCTGAATGGTTGAATAGTTATTGTGGAAGTGGTTGCGCAGGTGTTGGGGTTACACAGGGAAGTGACACACAGTCGCTGCCTGCTCCTGCTCACAGCCTTGCCAGGGAAAATGGAAAAGCACAGAGCACAACGGGCACCCAAATGCTCTCATCTGTTTCACCCAGCCCTGGAGCCTTAGTTTAAAACAGCTTTTGGTATTTTTTTTTTTTTTTCGAGATAGGATGTTGCTCTCTCGCCCAGGCTGGAGTGCAGTGGTTGATCCCGGCTCACTGCAACCTCCGCCTCCTGGGTTCAAGTGATTCTCATGCTTCAGCCTCCTGAGTAGCTGGATTATAGACGTGTGCCACCACGCCTGGCTAACTTTTGTATTTTTGGTAGGGTTGAGGTTTCACCATGTTGGCCAGGCTGGTTTCGAACTCACCTTTTGGTTTTTTTTTTTTTTTTTGAGATGGAGTTTCGCTCTTGTTGCCCAGGCTGGACTGCAATGGTGTAATCTCGGCTCACTGCAACTTCTGCCTCCTGGGTTCAAGTGATTCTCCTGCCTCTGCCTCCTGAGTAGCTGAGATTACAGGTTCCTGCCATCACACCTGGCTAATTTTTTTTTTTTTTTTTTTTTTTGAGACGGAGTCTTGCTCTGTCTCCCACTCTGGAGTGCAGTGGCGCAATGTTGGCTCACTGCAAGCTCTGCCTCCCGGGTTCACGCCATTCTCCTGCCTCAGCCTCCTGAGTAGCTGGGACTGCAGGCGCCTGCCACCACGCCCGGCTAATTTTTTGTATTTTTAGTAGAGACGGGCTTTCACCATGTTGGCCAGGCTGGTCTTGATCTCCTGACCTCGTGATCTGCCCGCGTCGGCCTCCCAAAGTGCTGGGATTACAGGCGTGAGCCACCGCGCCCGGCTACACCTGGCTAATTTTAGTATTTTTAGTAGAGACAGGGTTTCACCATGTTGGCCAGGCTGGTCTTGATCTCCTGACCTCAGGTGATCCATCCGCCTTGGCCTCCCAAAGTGCTGGGATTACAGGCGTGAGCCACCGCACCTGGCCTGGTTTCGAACTCTTGACCTCAGGTGGTCTGCCCATCTTGACCTTCCAAAGTGCTGGAGCTACAGGCATGAGCCACTGCACCTGGTGCTTTTGGTAAAAGCAACCTGGAATTTGGGAGAAAAGATCAAACGCTTCATGGGACATGGGTTATTTAAATTACCTTGGATGTCACCTCTGGAAGGTATTTATCAACCCATCTTCTCAACTTCTACTGCTGTGGAAGCTGAGAGGCCAGAGGCCTTGCCTAGTCCATCTCAGGATGGCTGGTATGTCTAAAATGACAGCCTGATCATGTCTCTTCCTTCAAAACCCTGGGGACTCCCAGCCACCTGCTGAGTAAAGTCATCTCACGGAGCATGTGAGACCTGTGATCGGTCCCCTCCCTGGGGACCTCCTCCCTGGACTGCCCCTCAGTCTCTCCTCCTTGCTGCTGCCCGTGCCCCTCCCCGCAGTGAACCCTGACTCAGTGTCTAAGGCTGTGCTCTATTATCCACTCCTCTGGGAAGTCTCCCCCTTGTACCACTTCCCCGCATCCAGGAAGTGCTTCCGTGGAGCCATGCCTGGCTCATAGTGCAGTACACCATGGCCGTGCTGTGTCTGGTGCCCCTACGTACCCTTGCCCTTGCCCAGGTGCCTCTAGCATCTGATGACAGCCTGGGGAGCAGGCTCCTGCAAAGTCAGGTGCACAGACAACTCCCATGGGAGCCTCGAGCCTGACAGAGGTACAGTGGGCATCCCTGGAGCATTAGTTGATTCCTGGTGGGCAGGATCAGGCTCCTATACTGACTGGGAGGACTTTTCTTGTATCTCCTCAGGGAACAGAAGGCCAAGAGGAACAGCCAGTGGGTACCCACCCTGCCCAACAGCTCCCACCACTTAGATGCCGTGCCATGCTCCACAACCATCAACAGGAACCGCATGGGCCGAGACAAGAAGAGAACCTTCCCCCTTTGGTGTGGATGCATCGCTGCACTCACCCTCCGTGCTGATTCCGCCTTAGTTCTCCAGCACGTTTCAGTTCCTTCCTCCCCAGAAAAACACTCTGCTTTGACCTTGTGCTCCCCACAACGCCACAGTACCTCCTCGCCTTTGAACTGTTGTGTTTCCCTGACTTCCAGGACATTGTCCATAGCCTCCTTGGCTCTGTCTGCTGTCACCTTGCCATGTCCTCCTCACCTCTCTGGCCCCTCAAGTGGAGTTACTCAGGGCGCGGTCCTTGGGCCCTTTCTCTGCCCTCAGTTTCACATGAGTGGGCCACAGCCAGTCTGATGGTGCAGATGCCATCCACGTGACTCCCACTGTGCCACCATTTCCCAGAGCCTGCTGGAGTAAACCACCACAAACTGGTGGCTTCGAGCAGAGCACATTTCTTCCCTCACAGTTCTGGGGCCCAGGAGCCTGGATTTAGTTTCACTAGACCAGACTCATGTGTGGACAGGGCCATGCTCCCTCCAGAGGCCATCGAGGCGATTCGGTCCTTGCTTCTTCCAGCTTTGGGGGCTGCCACGTTCCAGTCTCAGCCTCTGTGGTCACGTGGCCTTCTCTGCATGAAACTTCCCTGTCTCTCTCTTAGAAGGACACTTGGCGATGTAATTTAGGGCCCTTCTGGTTAATCTCTCAGGATCTTTCACTTAATCGTATCTTCAAAGTCTCCTTTTTTGGCCATATGAGCTGACAGTCACAGGTTTTGGGGATTAAGTTGTAGATGTCTTCGGGGTCTGTTTTTTACCTCTGTGGCCCAGACTTCCTCAGCTGCCCTCACCCCCTCAGCCTCATGCTGCCTGAAGACCTCTCCATCTCGGCGCGTGGAGATCCAGCCCTCTCCTTGCTCAGGCTGTAGGTTTCTTTCCCAAGGCCTGCCTTTTCCTCACACAGCAAGTCCAGTCTCTCCAGGTTCTCCCCTGGGACTGCCTCAGACAGCCCCCCACTGCTCTCCCTGGGGTCTCTAGCAGCCCCTACCTCCCCTCCCTGCTGCCTTCTCAGCTCTGCAGCTGGTGTGGCCTCTGCTCCAGGCAGATCATGTCACCTCTCCACGCAGAATCCTCCAGGCTCCCCATCACCCTCGGAGCAGAAGCAGGAGTTCTCACTGGGGTGCCAGGCCCAACCTGGCCTGGTGCTGCCACCGCTGCACTCTGCCCCACTCACCCTGCCTCAGGCCTGAGAACGTCCTCATTGCTGTCAGACCTCCCAGAGCTCCTGCCCTGCAGTTGCCTCTGCTGAGGTTTAGCCCCGTTCTCCCTCCTCCCCTCTTTCCTTTCCTCCTTCCTTCCTTCCATCATTCCTCCTTCCCTCCCTCCCATCCTACCCCCTCCTCCTTTTCCTTCTGTCTTCCTTCCCTCTATCTCCTCTTCCCATCCCTAGTTGACTGTCCCCTTCTCCCTTAGAGTGGCCACCCCTTTTCTGCAGCATCCCTGCCCCTTTCCCTGTCTGTTTCCCAGCGCATTCATGCCTGGCACTCAGCTCACTTTTCTCTGTCTTCCATCTACCTCCCAAGGTCACTGGGGGCCTTTCGCAGCCCTCTCCATGCTCCCAGACGCCCTTAGGTGTCCTGTGTCCTCCAGCTCCATTTCACCAACCTGCCTGCCGGACTCTTCCCTCTTTATCTTCCCAAAGTACTCCATTGCTTGGAATCCTCCTGGGACTCCCTCAGGGCAGTGGCCAGTTTGCATAGCCTGAGGGAAGAACTGTGGGTGCTTCGACACCCGCTAGCTTTGCAGCATCCCTGACCACTGCTCCTCACGGAATCTGTGCTCTGTGGTCTGTTTGTACGTCCTCAGCAGTTCCTCCATTCACCTGCCTTGGCCTTGCTAGAATATTTCCTCTTCTGGAAATGCCCTTCTCCTTTCCCATAGCCTTCCATGAAAGTCCTGCCAAATTTCAGGCTTAAATATCCCTTCACAGGATGTCTGGGTGTTGTTCCAACACTGCCCAGGTCGATTCTATTGCAGACAGACTGGTGCTTGTTATTTATGGCCCCAACTGTCCCCATTAGACCGTGGCCCCGGGACCCCTGCTAGCCTCGTCTGCTGCCTCAGCTGTTAGCTGACAAGCGGCCATCTTCCCCAGATGGGTTTGCAGAAGCCTGCTGTGCAGAGAGAGAGGCTGAAAATTTGCATACCTAGGGCTCCGGCCCCCTCGCTGACTGTTGCTTCCATTTCACTTTCAGCTTTGATGACCATGACCCAGCTGTGATCCATGAGAACGCATCTCAGCCCGAGGTGCTGGTCCCCATCCGGCTGGACATGGAGATCGATGGGCAGAAGCTGCGAGACGCCTTCACCTGGAACATGAATGGTACAAGGCAGTCGGGCTTGGCTGGGCCTGGCCCCAACCCCTGTGTGTTACGTGGGAACAGTCCCGTTTCCTGCCAGCTGCCTGTCAGGCAGATTCTGGACCTGACACGCAGGACATCGGGGCATAGTTTTGGAGGGTGTGGGCTCTGGGTTCAGTCCTGGTTCTGTTGCTGTTCACTGTGGATTGGGCCTGTGAACTTTGGACTCTTTCCCCATACTGAGGTTGGGTGGCCCAAGAGGCCTGGCATGGGAGGCGGCTGATCTGCATAGCATGGATGATGATGACAATGCCAGTCAGACCTAGTTCAGCCCCCGAGCCCTGCACACACCTGCCTTGGGTCCTGTCCACCACTCTGCTTCTGCTGTGTGAGGCTGCATGTGTGCCCCGTGCCTCTCTCCTCCTCTAACTGGTCATCTCTAGACATCCTCACTCTGTAAGTCCTGGGTCAGATGCCATCTCTTCTGGCTCTTCCTGGGCTTCCAAAGCCTGGACAGAACTCGGTCTTTGTGCAAATGTAGACAGAAAGGTTAGAAGGATATGCATCCCAGGTGTCTAGACTGCTTATCCCATCTGGGAGGGTGGATCATGCATGCATTTATTGTTTTCTCTATTTTTAAGTCTGTTAGAATGTATTTTTATTATTTTATTTTATGATTACTGTTTTTTTAGATCTTGTTGCATACCAGTTTTTTTTTTACTTAGTGTCTGTATCCTGCTGAATTTTTATAATGAACATACTATTTATATTCAGACAAAATGCAGTGAATATCATCTTTATTTTACTTATTTTTTTTTTTAAGAGACAGAGTCCCACTCTGTTGCCCAGGCTGGAGTACAGTGATACTCTCATAGCTCACTGTAATCTTGAACTGCCTGGGCTCAAGCAGTCCTCCTGCCACAGCCTCCCAAATAGCTAGGAATACAGGTGTGCACCACTGTGCCAAGCGTTACCATTTTTAAATGAGTAAATGTTTAAAATCATCAGAATCTCACCACCTGAATAATGTTTTCAGTTTTACCTTTTCTGTCAATTCCACATGCAAACATATTTAACATAGTTGTCACTATAGAGCAAGTATCGTTTTATTTTTCTTCACTTATCATAAGTATCTTTCTGGTTTCTCTTTTTTTTGGGAGGGGAGATGGAGTCTCACTCTGTCGCCCAGGCTGGAGTGCGGTGGCACGATCTCGGCTCACTGCAACCTCCGCCTCCTAAGTTCAAGCGATTCTCGTGCCTCAGCCTCCTGAGTAGCTGGAACTACAGGCGCGTGCCACCATGCCTGGCTAATTTTTGTATTTTTAGTAGAGATAGGGTTTCACCATGTTAGCCAGGCTGGTCTTGAACTGACCTCAGGTGATCCGCCTGCCGTGGCCTCTCACACTGCTGGGATTACAGGCGTGAGCCACTGCACCCAGCCTCTTTCTGATTTCTTTAATCTTCAAACAATGCAGCATTTTCTCCTGGGTCAAGGCGCCTTTGTTTGCTAAAACTCCCCCTGCTGTAGACGGCTCCACAGCAGATAACGTAGTTGCAGCATTTTTCTCTCAGAAGGGATTTCCTAAGGGAGGAGAGTATGAGTGGTTGTTGATATGTGGCTGCCTTGAGCTTTCTGAAGGATTAGGCTGCTTCCTTTGGTCATCCCCAGGCGCTCAGCATGGTAGGCCTGAGTGCTAGGCCTACCACTTGCTCACACCAGTGCCAGGCCTGAGTCCGAAGGCCTCTGCTCAGCCCTGAGAAGAAGGCCTGAGAGCCATGTGCCGGGTGCTTGTCCCGTAGGTCCCACAGGTCAGCTGGTGAGGGGGGACGCCAGTGGGAGGAGACATGGGTGAGGGAGGACACTGGCAAGAGACTCCGGGAGGTTGTATTGAGTGTAGATGGGGACAGGTACAGTTCACTGGTCATGCCCCAGAACAGGGACAGGACAGCCCATGGGGACCAGGCCACCAGTGCTGCACAATGCCTGTTATCTCTGCCAAGCTCCCCGTTTATCTCTGCTGGCCCACATCATAGTTATTTGTTAATTCTTTTCTCTCCCTCTCCATTTCAACCCTTTAAGGTCAGGGGCCTTGTTTTTCATTGCCGTTTTTCTTCTTTTTTTTGAGATGGAGTTTCACTCTTGTTGCCCAGGCTGGTGTGCAATGGCGTGATCTCAGCTCACCACAACTTCCGCCTCCCAGGTTCAAGTGATTCTCCTGCCTCAGCCTCCCGAGTAGCTGGGATTACAGGCATGCGCCACCATGCCTGGCTAATTTTGTATTTTTAGTGGAGACGGGATTTCACCATATTGGTCAAGCTGGTCTCAAACTCCTGACCTCAGGTGATCCGCCCGCCTTGGCCTCCCAAAGTGCTGGGATTACAGGCGTGAGCCACCGCGCCCGGCTGCTGTTTCTCTTAACATAGAATCTAGCCCAGCATAGGAACTTAGTGTTCCAATTGGATCAGTCCATGCTCTGTCTCGTTACCTTTCTTTGGGCAACACATAGAAAGTTCTGGTTTGTTTATACCCCCGCCCTGTTCCAGAAAGGATGCAAGGAAGCTTACCATAAGTACACTGGGCCCAAATGACTAAAGCAAATGAAAACGGAGTGGTTAGGAAAAACTGGATAAAGAGGAAATGTTCAAGTTGAAGAGGGAGCTCGTACTCAGCTTTTATTTGGTGAACATTGCTGGGAGTTGGGCGTGGCTCTGGGCCTTTTTAGAACCAGGCAGAATGAGACGTGAAAATCATTTGCATACTCAGTGTGGTCAAGGTTAGCAGCAGCCTGTGGCTCTGAAGAAGTAGAATCACACGTGGTCCTGGAATCTGAGATTTCCTACAGCCCTCAGGAAGAGGGCACAGTATAGTAAGGAAGACCAGGATCGTCCATGAACTCCACAGTGAGTTTCACTGGGCTGTTCCTCCTAGGAGTTCTAATGTAAAATATGATGCCCACTGAAAGTAATTTAGAACAAAGTCTTAACCAGTGGAGAACCAAAATAGTGTTGTTCTGCGAACTCTTCCTCAGCTCTGGGTGGTATTTGGCATTTGTAAGAGCTGTGATTCTTAATTGGTGGTTAGATGCCATGCCAAAATTGTTACTGATTTGCTTTGAAATTTCAGATCATCTTAAAGGTGGGCATGAGAGTCTTTATCACAGAGGGATTAAATATGTGAAGTAGCAGTACTTGAGTAGCACGAATGAAGTGTATGTTCAGCCCACCTTCAGAATCAGGATTGGCCAGGCGTGGTGGCTCACGCCTGTAATCCCAGCACTTTGGGAGGGTGAGGTGGGAAGATCACTTGAGGCCAGGAGTTTGAGACCAGCCTGGCCATCATGGTGAAACCCCCTCTCTACTAAAAATATAAAAATTAGTCGGATGTGGTGGCACACCTGTGGTCCCAGCAACCTGGGAGGCCGAGGCACAAGAATCGCTTGAACCTGGGAGGCAGAGGTTGCAGTTAGCTGAGATTGTGGCATTGCACTTCAACCTGGGCGACAGAGTGAGACTCTATCTCAAAAAAAAAAAAAAAAAAAAAGGAATCAGGATTTTTCTCAGGTTTCTGGTAGGTGTTGTGATGAGTTTGAGGTTATTTTCTCTGAAAAGGACTTGAAGTAGTGCTTCTCTGAATCACTGGTGATGTATGGTGTCACCTGGCTTAACAGCCTGCTGAGGGAGGGAAGTATTAAAATCCTCCAGAAAAGATGAGTTGCCTAACCAGAACACATGTGGACATAGATGCCATCTTCACCCAGAAGGGGAACAAGGGGATCCCCTCAGGAAGAGTTTTGGAATCTGTCTTGGCACACAGGCAAAGGAGTGATTAGGGCCCTGAGTGTCTACACTTGGCTACAGAAGGCAAGTTTTTAGAGATTTATATCCACATGCTTGTTTTGGGCTCTAAAAAAGTTAAATGAGGCTGAGCACAGTTGCTCACGCCTGAGGCTGAGGTGGGCAGATCACTTTACCCCGGGAGTTCAAGACCAGCCTGGGTGTCACGGTGAAACCCCATTTCTACAAAAATTCACCAGATGTGGTAGCACGTGCCTGTGATCTCAGCTACTTGGGAGGCTGAGGTGGGAGGATAGCTTGAGCCCGGGAGGTTGAGGCTTCAGTGAGCCGTGATTGAGCCACTGCACTCCAGCCTGGGCAACAGAGTGAGACCCTGTCTCAAAAACTTTTTTTTTAAAGTTAAAAAAAAAAATCAAATGATAGATTCAGGAAGCCAAGTGAAGCCCAACATGATTAACCCAAAGCAATCCATGCCAAGACACATCATAATTAAACTTCTGGAAACTCAACACAAAGAAAAAAATCTTGAGAGCAATCAGAGAAAAAGGACAACTTACCTGTAGGGAAAAGACAATAAGAATGGTGGTAGATTTCTTTTTTTTTCTTTTTTTTTTTTTTGAGATGGAGTCTTGCTCTGTCGCCCAGGCTGGAGTGCAGTGGCATGATCTCGGCTCACTGCAAGCTCCGCCTCCTGGGTTCACGCCATTCTCCTGCCTCAGTCTCCCGAGTAGCTGGGACTACAGGTGCCCACCACCACACCCGGCTAATTTTTTTTTTTTTTTTTTGAGACGGAGTCTGTCGCTCAGGCTGGAGTACAGTGGTGCGATCTCAGTTCACTGCAAGCTCCGCCTCCCGGGTTCATGCCATTCTCCTGCCTCAGCCTCCCGAGTAGCTGGGACTACAGGCGCCTACCACCAGGCCCGGCTAATTTTTTGTATTTTTTTTTTTGAAACGGAGTCTCTGTCGCCCACTCTGGAGTGCAGTGGCGCAATTTCGGCTCACTGCAAGCTCCGCCTCCCAGGTTCACGCCATTCTCCTGCCTCAGCCTCCCGAGCAGCTGGGACTACAGGTGCCCGCCGCCATGCCCGGCTAATTTTTTGTATTTTTTAGTAGAGACAGGGTTTCACCGTGTTAGCCAGGATGGTCTCGATCTCCCGACCTCGTGATCCGCCCACCTCGGCCTCCCAAAGTGTTGGGATTACAGGCGTGAGCCACGGCGCCTGGCCAATTTTTTGTATTTTTTAGTAGAGACGGGGTTTCACCGTGTTAGCCAGGATGGTCTCGATCTCCTGACCTCGTGATCTGCCCGCCTCGGCCTCCCAAAGTGCTGGGATTACAGGCGTGAGCCACTGCGCCCGGCCAAATGATGGTAGATTTCTCATGAGAAACTGGACGCTAGAGCAAGTGGCAGGATATTTTTCAAGTACTGAAAGAAAAGAACTGTTAATCTAGAATCCTGTACCCAGTGACAGTATTGTTCAGGAATGAACGATATTGGACATTCTTTTTTTTTTTTTTTTGAGACGGAGTTTCCGCTCTTGTTGCCCAGGCTGGAGTGCAGTTGCACAGTCTCAGCTCATCACAACCTCTACCTCCCGGGTTCAAGTGATTCTCCTGCCTCAGCCTCCTGAGTAGCTGGGATTACAGGCATGTGCCACCATACCCGGTTAATTTTTGTATTTTTAGTAGAGAGGGGTTTCTCCATGTTGGTCAGGCTGGCCTTGAACTCCCACCTCAGGTGATCCACCCACCCTCGGCCTCCTAAAGTGCTGGGATTACAGGCGTGAGCCACTGTGCTCGGCCAATTTTTTGTATTTTTTAGTAGAGATGGGGTTTCACCGTGTTAGCCAGGATGGTCTCGATCTCCTGACCTCATGATCTGCCCGCCTTGGCCTCCCAAAGTGCTGGGATTACAGACGTGAGCCACCGCGCCCAGCCAAATGATGGTAGATTTCTCGTGAGAAACTGGACGCTAGAGCAAGTGGCAGGATATTTTTCAAGTACTGAAAGAAAAGAACTGTTAATCTAGAATCCTGTACCCAGTGACAATATTGTTCAGGAATGAACGATATTGGACATTCTTTTTTTTTTTTTTTTTGAGACGGAGTTTCTGCTCTTGTTGCCCAGGCTGGAGTGCAATGGCACAGTCTCAGCTCACCACAACCTCTACCTCCCGGGTTCAAGTGATTCTCCTGCCTCAGTCTCCTGAGTAGCTGGGATTACAGGCATGTGCCACCATACCCGGTTAATTTTTGTATTTTTAGTAGAGAGGGGTTTCTCCATGTTGGTCAGGCTGGCCTTGAACTCCCCACCTCAGGTGATCCGCCCACCTCGGCCTCCCAAAGTGCTGGGATTACAGGCGTGAGCCACTGTGCTCGGCCAATTTTTTGTATTTTTTAGTAGAGACGGGGTTTCACTGTGTTAGCCAGGATGGTCTCGATCTCCTGACCTCGTGTTCCGCCCGCCTTGGCCTCCCAAAGTGCTGGGATTATAGGCATGAGCCACCGCGCCCAGCCGAATGATGGTAGATTTCTCATGAGAAACTGGAGGCTAGAAGAAGTGGCATGATATTTTTCAAGTACTGAAAGAAAAGAACTATTAATCTAGAATCCTGTACCCAGTGACAATATTGTTCAGGAATGAACGATATTGGACATTCTTAGTCAAGACATTCTTAGATGAAAGAAAACTAAGTGCTGGGCGGGGTGGCTCATGCCTGTAATCCCTGCACTTTGGGAGGCCGAGGCGGGCGGATCACGAGGTCAGGAATTGGAGGCCAGCCTGACCAACATGGTGAAACCCCATCTCTACTAAAAATACAAAAACAATTAGCCGGGCGTGGTGGCGCATGCCTATAATCCCAGCTACTTGGGAGGCTGAGGCAGGAGTATCACTTGAACCCGGGAGGCAGAGGTTGCAGTGAGCAGAGATTGCGCCATTGCACTCCAGCCTGGGTGACAGAGCGAGACTCCAACTCAAAAAAAAAAAAGAAAAAGTAAACTATCCCCTGCAGACCTTCCCTAAAAGAGTGGCTAAAAGAAAGGAAATGATTGCCGGCATGGTGGCTCCCACCTGTAATCCCAGCACTTTGGGAGGCCAAGGCAGGCGGATCACAAGGTCAGGAGTTTGAGACCAGCCTGACCAATATGGTGAAACCCCATCTCTACTAAAAATACAAAAACAATTAGCCAGGCATGGTGGCGCACGCCTGTAGTCCCAGCTACTCAGGAGGCTGAGGCAGAAGAGTCACTTGAACCTGGGAGGCGGAGGTTGCAGTGAGCCGAGATCACGCCACTGCACTCCAGCCTGGGCAACAGAGCAAGACTCTGTCTCAAAAAAAAAAAAAAAAAAAAGAAAGAAAGGAAAAGATTAAAGAAGAAACATTGAGACATCAGGAAGGAACAAAAGAAAGCATGATAAGAAAAAATGTAGATAAATAAAATAGACTTTCCTCTCCTCTTGGGTTTAACAAATTATGTTTGACAGTTGAAGCAAAAATTGTAACAGTATCTGATACGGTTCTAAAGGTATGTAGAAAGATTTAAGGCTTTAAGGCTGGGCATGGTGGCTTATGCCTGTAATCGCGGCATTTTGGGAGGCCGAGGCAGGCGGATCACCTGAGGTCAGGAGTTCAAGACCAGCCTGGCTAACATGGCAAAACCCTGTCTCTACTAAAAATACAAAAATTAGCTGGGTGTGGTGGCGGGCGCCTGTAATCCCAGCTACTCGGGAACGGGAAGCTGTGGCAGGGATAATTGCTTGAACCCGGGAGGTGGAGGTTGTGTTGAGCTGAGATGACACCATTGCACTCCAGCCTGGGCGACAGAGCAAGACTGTGTCTCAAAAAAAAAAAAAAAAAAGATGGATAAAGATAAAACGTTAATCAAAGGAAAGCAGGAGTGACAATGTTAGTATCAGTAAGGCAGACTTCAAAGAAAATGACCAGAGACAGAGAAGGACATTAAATAATGGTAAAAAGATAAGTTCATCAAGACATAGCAATCCTAAATATGTATGCAGCAAACGACAGAGCTGGAAAATATGTGAAACAGTATCAGATAGAAATCAGATAGAACCAAAAGGAGAAATAAACAAATTCACAATCATTGGAGACCTCAGCATTCCTCTCTCAACAACCGATGGAACTGGATGGAAAATCAGCAAAACGATGTAAGATCAAAAACACTATCGACCAACAGAATCTGATTAGCATTTATAGAACACTCCAGCACAGCCGAATGCACATTCTTTTCAAGTGCCTGAGCAACATATACCATATAATCCGTATAATGGATCATAAAACAAGTTTTAACAAATTTAAAGAATTGAAACCATACAGAGTGTGTTCTCCAACCACAATTGACTCAAATACTTGTAAGCTAAATAACAGACTTCTAAATAATCTGTGGTTCAAAGAGGAAGTCTGTAGGGAAATTTAAAAACATACACAGACCTAAATGAAAATGCAGCATATCAGAATTTGTGGGATAAAGCTAAACAGTGCAATACAGATTATCTGTAGCACCAGTGCGTACATTGGAAAACAGGAAAAGCTTTCCTCAAGTCGATAATCTAAGCTCTAATCTCAAGAACCAAGAGAAACAAAACCAAAGGAAGCAGAAGGAAGGACATTTGAAGAGCAGAAATCAATGACATTGAAAACAGAAATCAAACAATAGAGAAAATTAATGAAAACTAGCTGGTTTTTTGAAAAATTAATAAAACTGGCAATCTCTAGCAAGGCTGACAAAAAGAATGTAAATTATCAATATCAGGAATGAAATGGGATGTCACCACAGACCCTGCAGATATCAAAAGGAATACTGCAAACAATTCTATAAGTTTGACAGCTTACACAAAATGGATTAATTTCTTGCAAAACACAAAGTACCACAACTCATCCAATGTCAAATAGATAATTTGAGTTGCCCTATAACTATTAAGGAAACAGAATTTGTAATTTAAAAACCCCAAAAAATGGCCAGGCACGGTGGCTCTTACCTGTAATCCCAGCTCTTTGGGAGGCTGAGGTGGGAGGATTACTTGAGGCCAGGAGTTCAAGACCAGCCTGGGCTACATAGCAGGATCCAATCTCTAATTAAATTTTAATATAAAACATTATTTTAAAAAAGGAAAACAATTCTCCCCCCCAAAAAAATCTCTGGGCCCATATGATTTCACTGGAGAATTCTGTCTATCAAATGTTGACGAATGAGTTAACACCAATTCTACACAATCTCTTCCAGAAAATGGAAGAGGAGAACGCACTTCCTGATCAATTTTATAAAGCTCGTATTACCTAGATACCAAACCTAAAGACAGTACCAAAAAAAGAAAAATACAGACCAATATCCTTTATGACTAAAGATGCAAAATCCTTAGCAAAATATTGCGAAATAGAATTCAGCAATATATAGAAATAATTATATACTGTGACCAAGTGGGATTTATTGCAGGGATGGAAGGCTGGGTCAATATTTGAAGCTCAATCAATGTAATCCACCATATTAACACACTAATGAAGAAAAATCACAGGATCAGATCAGTTGATACAGAAAAAGCATTTTGTAGAACTCAACACCTGATGATAAAAATGCTCAGAAAAATAATAGCAGGAAACTTCCTCCATTTAGTAAAGAGCATCTATTTAGTACAAAAAGTCCTGTTGCTATTTTTTTTTTTTTTTTTTAGACGGAGTATTGCTCTGTTGTCTAGGCTGGAGTGCAGTGGCATGATCTCAGCTCACTGCAAACTCTGCCTCCTGGATTCACACCATTCTCCTGCCTCAGCCTCCCTGATAGCTGGGACTACAGGTGCCCTGCCACCACACCCAGCTAACTTTTTGTATTTTTAGTAGAGACGGGGTTTCACAGTGTTAGCCAGGAATGTCTCGAACTCCTGACCATGTGATCCACCCGCCTCGGCCTCCCAAAGTGCTGGGATTACAGGCGTGAGCCACAGAGCCTGGCCTTCTGTTGCTAGCATTTAATAGTGAAAGGTTGCATGCTTTCTGCCAGAGACCAGGAACAAGCCAAATATGTCTGCTGTCACTATTCTTATTCAACATAGTGTTGGAAGTTCTAGCTAATCCAGTAAGCTGAGAAAAGGAAATAAAAGACGTGTAGATTGGAAAGGAAGAAATAAAATCCTATTTGCAGATGACATGATTGTCCGTGTAGAAAATCCCAAGGGATCTACAGAAAACTTGGAGAACTAATAACTGAATTCCCCAGGGTCACAAGATACAAGGGATACAAGGTAAACATGCAGAAATCCATTTTATTTCTATATGCCATTAATGAGTACCTAGACACAAATTAAAAATACATTACCATTTATCATCACTCAATAAAAAAAGGAATACTTAGGTATAAATCCAACAAAACATTTACAGGACTTATATACCAAAAACTATAAAACACTGACGAAAGTAATGAAGGAAGACCTAAATAAGTAGACATATCATATTCATGGATTAAAAGACTCAAGATGATGTCAGTTTTCCCCAAATTGATATACAGATTTAATGCAATTTCTGTGAAAATCCCAGCAAGATTTTTTTTGTAGATAAGATGGTTCTAAGATTTATATGGAAAGGCAAAGAAACTAAAATAGCTAAAGCAATTTATTTATTATTATTATTATTTTTTTTTGAGATGGAGTTTTGCTCTTTTGCCCAGGCTGGAGTGCAGTGGCATGATCTCTGCTCACTGTAACCTCCACCTTCCGGTTTCAAGCGTTTCTCCTGCCTTAGTCTCCCGAGTAGGTGGGATTACAGGTGCCCGCCACCATGCCTGGCTAATTTTTGTATTTTTAGTAGAGACAGGGTATTACCATGTTGGCCAGGTTGGTCTCAAACTCCTGAGCTCAGGCAGTCCGCCTGTCTCAGCCTCCCAAAGTGCTGGGATTACAGGCATGAGCCACCACACCCGGCCAGCAATTTTGAAAAACAGTAAAGTGGGAGTAATCATTCTACCCAATCTCAAGGCTTACTATATAGCTACGATAATCAAGGCTGTGTGGTATTGGTGGAGTGACATACCGTGATGGAACAGAATTGAGAATCCAGAAACAGACCCACACAAACGTGCCCTCCTGATTTTTACAAAGATGCAAATGTGATTCAATGGAGGAAAGACAGCTCATTCAACAAAATGGCACTGGAGCAATTAGACAATCATAGGCAAGTAGGCTGGCACAGTGGCTTACGTCTGTAATCCTAGCACTTCGGGAGGCTGAGGTGGGCAGATCACCTGAGATCACGAGTTCGAGACCAGCCTGACCAAGATGGAGAAACCTCGTCTCTACTAAAAATACACAATTAGCTGGGCGTGGTGGCGCATGCCTGTAACCCCAGCTACTCGGGCGGGTGAGGCAGGAGAATCGCTTGAACCTGGAAGGCAGAGGTTGCTGTGAGCCGAGATCACGCTGTTGCAATCCATCCTGGGCAACAAGAGTGAAACTCTGTCCCAAAAAAGCAACAACAACAAAAAAGGCTGGGCACAGTGGCTCACGCCTGTAATCCCAGCACTTTGGGAGGCTGAGGTGGGCGGATCACCTGAGGTCAGGAGTTTGAGACCAGCTTGACCAACGTGGAGAAACCTCGTCTCTACTAAAAATACAAAATTAGCCGGGCATGGTGGCGCATGCCTGTAATTCCAGCTACTTGGGAGGCTGAGTCAGGAGAATTGCTTGAACCCAGGAGGCCGAGGTTGCTGTGAGCCAAGATCACGCCGTTGCGCTCCAGCCTGGGCAACAAGAGCAAAACTCCGTCTCAAAAAAAAAAAAAAAAGGCAAAAGACAGGAAGAGAAATTTCACTAAAGAAGTTATATAGGTGGCAAATAAACATTGAAAAGCTTTTCCACATTGTTAGCCTTAGGGAAATGCAGATTAAAATTACACTGTTATTCCACATCTTTAAAAAGTGGTGACAGCATCAGATGCTGGCGAGGATGTGGAGGAACTGGGTCACTCACAAGCTGCTGATGGGAATGTAAAGTGGCTGGAAAACTGCCCTAGAAAACAGTGTGGCAATTTCTGTTAAAAACTAAACATGCGGCCAGGCGTGGTGGCTCACACCTGTAATCCCAGCACTTTGGGAGGCCGAGGCGGGCGGATCACGAGGTCAGGAGATCGAGACCATCCTGGTTAACATGGTGAAACCCTGTCTCTTCTAAAAATACAAAAAATTAGCTGGGCGTGGTGGTGGCTGCTTGTAGTCCCAGCTACTCGGGAGGCTGAAGCAGGAGAATGGCGTGAACCCGGGAGGCGGAGCTTGCAGTGAGCCGATATAGCGCCACTGCACTCCATCCTGGGCGACAGAGCGAGACTCCGTCTCAAAACAAACAAAAAACTAAACATGCAACCAGTGTACCTTGAGCATTTATCCTGGAGAAATGAAGACATGTTTATACAATAGCCTACACGTGGATGTTCATAGCAGCTTTATTTATAATAGCGGGAAACTGGAAATGATCTAGATAGCCTTCAGTGAGTGAATAGTTAAAGTGAGGCCCCTTCGTACCACAGAATGTCACTTGGCAGTAAAAGGAAGTGACAATCTGGATGAATCACTGGATACAGATACAGTCCTCTATCTTGTCTTTTTTGGAGGAAACTGGGCGCAGTGTGCATGGAATTTCTCTGTGTTGTTTCTTGCATCTGTACATGAATCTACAATTACTTAAAAATTTTAAAATGCTCTGGGCAGTGTATTCACTGGGTGTTTACCCCGTGCACCTGAGGTTCCTGCTGTTGCTGCCCCGCAGGCTGTTAGGATGCTGGTCTCCAGCGTGTCTTTAGGGCAGGGAGGAGATAGTGGGGCTGTGGTCTGTTAGGCCGACCTGCTTCTTGATGATGGAATCCTACTGTCTGCTCTGAGGCAATTTTTCTTGGCTTTTTCAGCTTATTCCTGCAAGGCGTCTTGTCAGTACGGTCTGGGTGGAGCAGGGAGAGAATGTTGACTGAGAGGACCTTGCTGAGGTCTGGCTGGCCACAGATGGTCCCTGTGAGCTCCCATCTGGTACAATTCCTTTTCCAGGATCCGGGATCTGTAGGGACCTCCACGCTTGTGACCTTGTTGAGGCCCTGCTGCTGCTACTGCAGTCACAGGCCTGGAAATCGCTGTGGCTTGGCACAGTGTGTTTTGCTCACATGAGGCCTGGTATTGGGCCAGCCTCTGTGCCATCACGTCTGCCACCAGTTCAGCACAGAGGGGAGTAGAGAGATGGCACGCAAGCTTTGATGTGCCTTTGCTGGCCTCGCCTGGATCATCTCATTAGTTGGGATAATCTCATGCGCCCACCCAGCTATGAGTGGAATGAGGGAAGTGTTTATGGCCATGACCACCCCCAGGGCATGGAGCAGGAGGTCTGTGCAGGATGAGGGCTGGGGGCCTGCTAGTCATGTGCTTCCTCCTTCCACTCCCAGTTTCCAGGAAGGCCACCCCCAGTGCCCTGGTTGTCCTCTCCTGCATCCGGAGATGTTTGGCTTCAAAGAAGAAGGGGTGAGGGAGGCCGGTCCATGCCCAAGCATGGTGCAATCTCTTGGCATCCCTTCCCTCTCCTGATTTCAGAGAAGTTGATGACGCCTGAGATGTTTTCAGAAATCCTCTGTGACGATCTGGATTTGAACCCGCTGACGTTTGTGCCAGCCATCGCCTCTGCCATCAGACAGCAGATCGAGTCCTACCCCACGGACAGCATCCTGGAGGACCAGTCAGACCAGCGCGTCATCATCAAGGTAGGTGACTTCTCACCCAGCACTGGAGCCTTCCTGGCCCTCAGGGTGGGTGTCATCATGGAGCACTGAGGGTACACCAAGGCCTCAGCAGAAGCCCGTCTTTGGGTTCCATATCATCTGGAAAGTCATAACACCTGGCTTTGCTCCCTGCAATCCCCCAGGAAGGGCATAGGCTGAGTTCTCATAGTAAAGTGTTATATTCCGGACACATTCAGGGGGTGTCTCTGAGGCACTGCCAGGCTCTGAGCAAAGCCCGGAGGTCTAGAGGAGGTGAAGGCAGCTGATTGGCTGGGCCAGGCTGAGTGCTCCAGGGGGGCCTAGTAACCCAATAAGATGCTGCCTTAGTGGCCATATTACAGGTGAAGAGGTGGGCACGTGGAGAGCTGAGATCACCTGCGGAAGTTGCAAACTGGCCAGTTGAGAAATGGTGAGGCTGGCGATTGGGCGCAGGCCTGCACCCTGCAGAGCCTATAGCATAATCCTTGCTGTGCTGAGCCGCCACTGCCAGACTATGCCTTGAGGGTGAGGGGAGCTTTGAAAATAGGAAGATATGAGAAGTAGGTGAAATTGGCACATGTGATGACCCTAAAAAGGTCAGTGGTTTGGTTAGATCTGATGCTGTGCCTTTGGCTTCCATTTTAGGAAAACATTGATGTATAAAAATAAGAGCCATGTTACAAAGGGTTCCTGAAAATAGTCTTTGGGGTCGAGGAGCCTCGGGAGGGATGCCTCCTGTGACTGAGGGATGCCTCTGCCCCGTGCACCAGATGGAGCCTGGGCCGACTTCTTCCCACTGTGGTTCTCCGTGGCACTTTACTAAGATTTTGGAAAATAACGTGGGGGAATCACCAGCAACTTCCTCTGTGGTCCCCCAAGTAACAAACAACTAAATATCTTATTTAGTTAGTCAAGACAGTCTCACTGTGTCGCCCAGGCTGGAGTGCAGTGGCTCGATCTTGACTCATTGCAACCTCCACCTCCCGGGTTCAAGCAATTCTCCTGTCTCAGCCTCCTGAGTAGCTAGGATTACAGTTGCCCGCCACTAAGCCAGGCTAATTTTTGTATTTTTAGTAGAGACAGGGTTTCACCATATTTGTCAGTCTGGTCTCAAACTCCTTACCTCAGGTGATCCACCCACCTCAGCCTCCCAAAGTGCTGGGATTACAGGCATGAGCCACCGCACCTGGCCGAAATACTTTGGGTGTGTGTGTGTGTGTGTGTGTGTGTGTGTGTGTGTGTCGCAGTCTCACTCTGTCGCCCAGGCTGGCTTGCAGTGTGCGATCTCAGCTCACTGCAAGCTCCGCCTCCTGGGTTCACACCATTCTCCTACCTCAGCCTCCCAAGTAGCTGGGACTACAGGCGCTTGCCACCACGCCTGGCTAATTTTTTGTATTTTTTATAGCAGAGACTGGGTTTCACCGCGTTAGCCAGGATGGTCTCGATCTCTGGACCTCGTGATCTGCCCACCTCGACCTCCCAGAGTGCTGGGATTACAGGCATGAGCCACCACACCTGGCCAATACTTTGTTTTCTTGATTAATATTTTAAAATTGTGGTAACATTCATAACATAAAATTTACCATTTTAACCACTTAAGTGTAAATTCAGTGGCAGTATATTCACATCCATGGCTGTGTAATTATCACCACCATCCATCTCCAGAATTCTATCATCATGTAAAACTGAAACTGTCCATCAAACACTAACTCCCCATTCCCCCTCCCCCCACCCCTGGCAAGCACCATTCTGCTTTCTGTCTCTATGAATTTGACTACTCGAGGTGTCTCATTTACATTCCTAAGGGAATCATGCAGTATTTGTCCTTTTGTGACTGGCTTATTTCACTTAGCAGAATGTCTTCAAGGTTCATTTATGTTGCACCATGTCAGAATTTCCTTCCCTTTTTAAAATGTATTTATTTTTAGACAGGGTCTTACTCTGTTGCCCAGGCTGGAGTGCAGTGGCGCAGTTATGGCTCACTGCAACCTCTGCTTCCTGGGCTCAAGTGATCCACCCGGTGCAGCCTCCTGAGTAGCTGGGAAGCTAGGACTACCGGCACACTCCACCACACCCGACTGATTTTTTGTATTTTTTTTGTAGAGATGGGGTTTCGCCATGTTGCCCAGGCTGGTCTCAAACTCCTGGGCTCAAGCCATCTGCCCACCTGAGCCTCCCAAAGTGCTGGGATTACAGGCGTGAGCCACTGCGCCCAGCCTCCTTTCTTATTAAGGCTAAATAATATTCTGTTGTATGGATCTATCACATTTTTATTTATTCATCCCTAAATGGACAGACACTTGGGTTGCTTCCACATTTTGGCTATTGTGAATAATGCTGCTATGAACCTGGGTGTGCAGGTATCTGTTGGTGTCCCTGTTTTCATTTATTCATTCATTCATTCATTCATTCATTTAGATGGAGTCTCACTCTGTTGCTCAGGCTGGAGTGCAGTGGCGCGATCTTGGCTCATGGCACTCCTGCCTCCCAGGTTCAAGCAATCTCCTGCTTCAGCTTCCTGAGTAGCTGGGATTACTGGCACCCACCACCATGCCCAGCTAATTTTTTTGGATTTTTAATAGAGACCGGGTTTCACCATGTTGGCCAGCCTGGTCTCAAACTCCGCCTCAGCCTCCCAAACTCAAATGATCTGCCCACCTCGGCCTCCTAAAGTGCTGGGATTATAGGTGTGAGCCCCTGTGTCTGGCCCCTGCTTTCATTTCTTTTGGGTGTATACCTAGAAATGGAATTCCTGGATCGTACAGTAATTCCATGTTTAGTTTTTTGAGGATCCACTATACTGCCTTTCTCGGTGGCTGCACCTTTTATATTCCTACCAGCAAGGCGCAGGGGTTCCAGTTTCTCCACATCCTCACTCACACTTGTTAGTTTTTCTTTTCTTTTCTTTTTCTAGACAGAGTCTCGCTCTGTTACCCAGGCTGGAGTGCAGTGGCATGATCTTGGCTCACTGCAACTTCCACCTCCTGGATTCAAGCGATTTTCCTGCTTCAGCCTCTCGAGGAGGAGCTGGGACTACAGGCGCATGCCACCACGCCCGGCTAAATTTTGTACTTTTAGTAGAGACGGGGTCTCATCATATTGACCAGGCTGGTCTCGAACTCCCGACCACAGGTGATCCACCTGCCTTGGCCTCCCAAAGGATTATAGACGTGAGCCACTGTGCCCGGCCAGTTTGCCAGCATTTTTTTGAGGATTTTTGCATCAACATTCATAAGGGGTGTAGGTCTGTAGTTTTCCTTTCTTGTAGTATTTTTTGTCTGACTTAGGTATCAGGGCAATGAGTTAAAGAATAGTTTGAGAAGGATTGGTGTTAGCTCCTATTTAAATGTTTGGTAGATGGCCGGGTGCAGTGGCTCACGCCTGTAATCCCAGCACTTTGGGAGACCGAGGCGGGCGGATCACCTGAGGTCGGGAGTTAGAGACTACCTGACCAACATGGTGAAACCCCGTCTCTACTAAAAATACAAAAATTAGCCGGGTATGGTGGCACACACCTGTAATCCCAGCTACTCAGGAGGCTGAGGCAAGAGAATTGCTTGAGCCCGGGAGGCGGAGGTTGCAGTGAGCCGAGATGGTGCCACTGCAGTCCAGCCTGGCTGACAGCGAGACTCTGACTCAGTCAGTCAATCAGTGTTTGGTAGAATTCACCAATGAAGCCATCAGGTCTAAGGCTTTTCTTTGTCAGGAAGATTTTATTATTGATTCAGTCTCTTTACTTGTTAATACCTTTTTGAGAGGAATACAAATTTGTTTCAGTTTCACATTATGGCCAGCTAGGAGGAAAAGAAGGGACAATGGTAGGAGAGAAGTGGGGTGGGGATGGGAGTGGCAGCAAGCACCTGGCCTGTGTCCTGCATACGGTCTGCTGGCTCTGGAGGGCAGCCCTGAGGGCTCCACTCTGTGCTTCTCTTTGTCTTGTAAACATGTGGAGGATGAGGCTGTGTGGGCTAACCCACCCAGCCACGTGGTTCCAAATGACTGGGATTGGCCACACAAGGGGCCTCATGAAGCCTGACTGGTAGCTTCCCTTAACGTTTTTCTCAGAATTGAGCCCATTTTCATTGTTGTTGTCTTGACGGGGCCTGCAGAGGAGCCATACAGGAAGTTGCCCAGCAGCTGTAATCCTCCTGGGGCTGTTCCCTGCCCCACCAGAAGAGGCTTCCCCAGTGACCCTCTGACTTACCTGTGATTCCCACCTGGGGGATGGTGGCAGCTGGCAGGTTGAGAGACTGTCCCCAGCCAGGTGTCCTGCTCTGCCCTTTGGGTCAGACCAGATGTCACAGGGTGGACACAGCTGGCCCAGGGAAGCCTGTGTTATGTGGGACAGACTGCATTTTTCAGGCCAGAGGCCTCCTGGGCACCGTGACCCTGGGAACAGTGTCCTGTCTTGCCCATGAGGAATAGAAGGTCACACCCAGGGTTTCCCATCTATAATTGGGACTCAGAAGAGCTGGGTATTTCTTTCTTCCTTCCTTTTTTTTCATGGCTCACTGCAGCCTTGACCTCCTGGGTTCAAGTTATCCTGCCATCTTGGCCTCCTGAGTAGTTGGAACTATAAGCACGTACCACCATGCCTGGCTAATTTTTAAATTTTCTGTAGGAAATGGAGTCTCGGCTGGGCACCGTGGCTCATGCCTGTAATCCTAAGACTTTGGAGAGCTGAGGTGGGCAGATTGCCTGAGCTCAGGAGTTCGAGACAAGCCTGGGCAACATGGTGAAACCCTGTCTCTACTAAAAATATAAAAAATTAGCTGGGCGTGGTGGCACGTTCCTGTAATCCCAGCTACTCTGGAGGCTGAGGCATGAGAATTGCTTGAACCTGGGAGGCGGAGGTTGCAGTGAGCCAAGATTGCGCCACTACACTCCAGCCTGGGCAACAGGCTCTTCCCATCTCACTGACTCTGTCTCAAAAAAAAAAAAAAGAAAAAAGAGAAAATGGAGTCTCACTTTGTTGTCCAGGCTGGTCTCGAACTCCTGGGCTCAAGCAACTCTTCCACCTTGGCCTCCCAAACTGCTGGGATTACAGACATGAACCACTGTGCCTGGCCAGAGCTGGGTGTTTCTGTAAGGACGTCCTTTGTCTTGATCCTGGAACATGACTGAAGGAAAACAAGAATCTTTGGAGCCATGGCACATGAGGACCATCTCTCTCCTCAGAAAGAGTGCCTTAGGTTAGAGCAGCATCTTCCAGATATTCTTGGCAATGCTGGGACCAAAGCCCAGGCCTGGCTGCCCTTGCCAGGGCACCTGGCCCAAGTCGGCTTTGCCCAGTTCCAGCAGGGGTTGGGGGGCAGGGGAGGAAGCTGGGGACATGGTGCTGCTGCAGTTTGAGCCATCAGACCCTGTGGCACTGTCCAGGCCCCGTCCAGAGAGTGCATGGGGTGAGATGTGAGTCAGGGCTGGGGAGGTGGGCAGGGGCCTGGCCCTGCTGTGCACCTGCTTGGGAGTCCTGGCCCCGTCTTAGCTCTGTGAGTCCACCTGGAGTCCAGCACTCCTCACTACCCCACCAAGGCCACTGCCAGATGGCTCCCTTCCTCCCTCCCCGCCTTCCAGTAGAGGTCTCAGCATGGCAGCTCAGCCCATGTCTCTTGTCTGCCCAAAATACCGCAGAAGCTTCCCACATCCCTCTGTGGAAGCCAAGCCTGTCCAAAGGCCTCAGGGCCCTAACTGCTCTCTGCTACAGTCCCTCGCCACCCTCATCTCCTCCCTTTTCCCCTCACTGGGCAGATCCGGGTACCAGACCTTGGCTCCTCAGTCTTTTACATCTCTGTGTCCCCCACCTGGGACTGTTCTCCCCCAGGGAGCCACATTCCTGCTCCCTGGGCACATTCACTTCTTCCTAAAGGCCACCTTCCTAGAAGCCTTCCTGGCCTCCTGACTTCTGAGGCCAGCCTGGACTTTCTCCCCCTCCCTCCCTTTCCTCCCTGGCACTCCCGTGCTTTCTGGTACACCACATGCTCACTTAACCTACTTAGTGTCTGTCAGTGCCCCCACCAGCATAGCTTTTTTTTTTTTTTTTTTTTTTTTTTTTTTTTTTTTTTTTTGACACAGAGTCTCGCTGTGTTGCCCAGGCTGGACTCAAACACCTGAGCTCCAGTGATCTTCCCACCTCAGCCTCCCAAGTAACTGAGACTACAGACATGTACCACCTCACCTTTCTCAGAACAGCCTTTTGAATGTTTGTCTCTCTTGTGCCTCTCCTTGGTAGACACACAGTCTAGACTTTGGAATAAATGAATGTGTTAGTGACTGAATGGCAGGGGACAGGCAACTCCATCCATGAGCCCAGGGCAGGGAGGGCTTGCTGGGTGGGAGCCATGTGCCTATGGTCCTATGGGGTCCTGTTGGGTGGTTCCATGGGCTGTCTGCTGCTGCACGTTCTTTTTGGACCCAGCACCCACGTGGTTTGCTTGGCATTAGATTCCAGTTGGGAAGGGCCAGTGCCTCCGATTCCATTCATCATCAGGCGTGGGCGTATGTGGAGATAGCAAAGGACATGGGGGCCCGACTGCAGTCCCCATTGCCTGGCTGCATGCCGTGTACAGGACACTGCAGCTCTGCCCTCGGCTTCCTCCCTCTGCGTGAGGATTCCTTCATTCCCAGAACAAATACACCCTGCCTGTGCTAGAATTCCTGGAGGCAAATGATTCAGATTGTTTCAGACAGTCCTAAGTGCTGTGAAGAAAATAGGAGAGGTGCCAGCATGGTGGCCCGCACGTATAGTCGCAGCTACTCAGGAGACTCTCGGGGGAGGATCTTTTGAGGCCAGCCTGGGCCAACACAGAGAGGCAGCAGGGAAGCCTGCGGGGAACAGAAGGCTCAACCACAGGGTCTCTTCTCTGCCCAAAACACTTGATACATTGCCTGGGCCTTGTAGAAACCTTGTCTCTACAAAATATTAGCCAGACATGGTAGTGCATGTCCGTAGTTCCAGCTACTCAGGAGGCTGAGGCAGAAGGGTCTCTTGAGCCCAGGAGTTCAAGGCTGTAGTGAGTCATGATCATGCCATTGCACTCCAGCCTGAGTGACAGAGTGACATCCTGTCTCCAAAGGGGGAGAAAATGGAGAGAAGGGTGTGGAAAGGGGCTGATGGGAAGGGGAGCTCTCAGGAGCTGGCACTTTAGCTTAGACCAGGATGCTGAGAAGAGGCTGGTCCTGCCAGGTGAGGGGAAGAGCATTCTAGCAAGTGGGTGGTGATGTGCAGGGCTCAGAGGCACAGGGCTTTATGAACATGATCGGGGATTGGGGTACCCTAATCTCTAAAAGGAGGCAGAAGTCCCCGGAAGGGCTGGACTCCGAGGCAGTGGTGAGTTTTCCCTGCAGCTGCCCACCCTGATCCTTGACTTAAAAGCTAAGGGCCAACAATGAATGGGCAGGTGCACTGTGACCTGGTTGCCCTGTGGAGCACTGGATAGCAGTGAGGGATGACCCCAGCCCCACACTCTAATGGGAGGAGTCTTGCAAGCATGATGCAGAGTGAATGAACCTGGACCCCGAAGTGTCCATCCTATTCAGAACAGCCACACCTACTCAAGGGGTGAGAAGTCAAAATGGTGCCTCCCCAGGGGGGCAGGTGTAGGTGGGAGCCCCTGGGGTACAGTCTGTGTTCTCTCAGCTGGGTGCTGGCTTCCCAGGTGTCCACTAGTGGAAAACCCCTGACAGCACACCCGGGGCCTGGGCCCTCTGGCTGTGAGTCACGTGCTGCAGGGAGTCCTCTGGGGAATGTGGAGGAGCTGGCCCAGCACTGTGATCCCTGCAGGCTTCCCTGTCCCCTCACCGTGTTGACCCAGAGTGGGGTGCATCTGTGAACACGCTAGGCAGGGTTTTCCGAGAGGGGCAAGCTCTGTAAAGGGCATAGACATTGGCTCAAGACAGGGCTTAGGGATGCCTTAGCTGAGCCCTGCCTTTCTGGTGTAGTCACGTAAGACCGATGGCAGCAGGAGCGAAGGGCAGAAAGGAAGGTCCCCACCAGCACAGGGCACAGGGGAGATGGGATGAAGGTAAGGTGGGACTCAGGTGCCCCCGGGGTCACTTCAGGGCCTCCCGAGGGTGACTGTGCTGGGCCCTGAGCCAGAGCCCCTCATGGCAGACAGGGTTGTGGGGTCAGCCTTGTTTTGGGGATGGGGAACTGGAAGGACAAGGACCACCTGCAGTTCTCAGCTGGTGGACCCTGGTGGGCAGGGCCCACCCCAGGCCTGGCAGGGCCCCGCTCCTCGCGGCCTCCCTGGGCTGCAAAAGCTCTAACTTGTGTCCTTTGGTTGTTGCCTCAGCTGAACATCCATGTGGGAAACATTTCCCTGGTGGACCAGTTTGAGTGGGACATGTCAGAGAAGGAGAACTCACCAGAGAAGTTTGCCCTGAAGCTGTGCTCGGAGCTGGGGTTGGGCGGGGAGTTTGTCACCACCATCGCATACAGCATCCGGGGACAGCTGAGCTGGCATCAGAAGACCTACGCCTTCAGGTAGGATCATGCATGAGTCTCTCCCTCCCTCATCTCCCTGCAAAACTGTTTTGAGAAAGACTTCTCTGTGTGAGCGGTGATACCTTTGAGGCTTTCTCACGCTTCGCAGCACAATCTGGCTGGGGTCTGTGTGTTTGCTCCGTCCTCCTCCTGCCCTATGTATCTCTCCAGGGCTCCGCTGTGCCAGGTAGGGTTAGAAGCACCTAACACAATAGCTGGCAAAGACTTGGAGTTCTGTCAGGGTGAACCTCAAGTCCTTGCCTCCACGGAGCCCTGGCCTGCCCCCACCATCCACCATTCAGTTGTCCTGCCCCACACCCTCTCTCTCTGCTCTTGCCCAGACTGTTATTTTGGTCAGGGTGACCCCTGCCCAGGGTTCTTCATCTGTTGAACTTGAATTATGTCTTAAACACAAAGGCCCGCCCAGCTTTTGAGAGTCAGGGGTCCCTAGCAGCTCCTTCTTACTCTAGTATCTCTGCCTTTGGTCAGTCAGAGAGCATTTGATGAGTACCATGCTGGGCTGGACCCCATCCTGGCTGCCCTGGAAGATAGAGACAGGTCACCTTGATCCCTGCCTGTAGCATTTGGGCTGGCTGAGATGGTGGAAGTGTGAACAGAATATTCCAGTCCAGTGTCCTCTGTGGTAGGGATGGGGATGGACCCGGGAGAGGCCCTCCTGTTCCTGGCAGGAGGTGGGACTCAGAGTTAAAAGTGAGGTCAAGGCCCAGTGCGATGGCTCACACCTGCAGTCCTAGCACTTCGCGGAGCTGAGGTGGATCACCAGAACCCAGTAGTTCAAGACCAGCCTGGGAAAAACATGGTGAGACCCCACCTCTACAAAAAAAAAAAAATAGAAAAAATGAGCCGGGCATGTTGGTACATGCCTGTAGTTTCAGCTACTCAGGAAGCTGAGGTGGGAGGATCGCCTGAGCTCAAGAGGTGGAGGCTGCAGTGAGCCAAGATCACACCACTGCACTCCAGCCTGGGTGACAGAGCGAGACCCTGTCTCCAAAAAAAAAAAAAAAAATAGCGAGGTTGAACTCTCCCGGCTCAGCAGGACTCTAGGACTGGGAAGCCCCGTGGTTCCTCACCCTGTCCTCTGTGTTGGGATGGGGTGGGGGTGCAGCAAGCATCCCTACATCAAAACAGGATGTTCAGATTTAGTCTGCTCATCAGACTATCATCATCCACATCTGCAGTCATCACTCAGGGATGACAGCTTAAAATGCTACATGAGGAGCAAATAGGAAGGTCTGTTTTGCAAAGCCATGACAATTAATGGAGCTCGTTAGGTTTGTGTCTAACTTGTTTTCCCAGACATCCCAAGAGACAGCTTTCTATGACTTCCCATAAATCTGAGCAAGGAAGAAGGAATGAGAGCCACCCACGGGGCTCAAGGGCCCGGGCCTGGGAAACAGCTGAGTCCCTGCCTGAGCGCCATGGTGCTGAGATCCTGTGACCTGCCCCCCAGCAGCCCTGCCAGTCACATGGTTCTGCTTCACAGACAGGGCAGCCCAGAGAGGAGGCTGGGGGGCTGGTGTCTGATGCCTCCCTGTTCCCTCGGGGTGTTGCCTGGGAGTGCAGCTGTAGCGTGCATTCACCCTGCACAGAGCCAAGCCCTATGGCCGGAGAGCCAGTCAAGGGTGGCCTCCCTCCACCAGAGTTGACTCTGAGGCCCCGGGAGGCAGTCATGTTGCGCGCATCAACACTGAGCACCTCCTCCCGCAGAGGCTGATCCAGTCAGAACCCTCGTCTTGGGCTCACAGGTGCAGGTGGTAGGCTGGCTGCCCCCAGCATCCAGCCCCTACGGTGTTGACCTTCACCTAGTCCTGCAGCCGCTGCCAGTGCCCACAGTCCAGGGTCAGGAACTGAAGTCCCCGGGGCCTCTTGACAGGTCCTTGCAACATCCCTTCTTTCAGCCACCATGGCACCATCCCTCCTGCTCTGACCCGAAGGTGACCTGAGCCTAAATTCCTTTCCAAGTTCCGGGCCCTCTGCAGTTTGCAGAGTGGCTCCAGAGCAGACCCCCTGGGGAGTCCCTGGTGGTGGCAGGTCAGGATTTAGAGGCAGAGGCGGGCCCCTTCTTTATCTCATCGACCACTTAGTGCATTCCAGTTGCAGGGCCTGGGGGCATCACAGACCCCCTGCCCCCTGCTCTCTCTTATGCTGAGAATGCAGGTTTCAAATCTTTGGGGTTAAAGGCAAAGGCCATCCCGCTGGGACCAAGGTGAGCACACGTCCCTATCACAGCAGCCAGATGGAGAGGCGGCCTGCCTGGGGAACTGGGAAGTGTCCTGAGTGGGCTTTTAGCATCAGGAGGGCTGCGTGTGTCTTCCCAGTCCCCACACTGGAAGACAGCTGCAAGGATAGGACAGGGCCTTAGGGTTGGGCTGTCATCCCTGACTCCAACTCGCGTTCCCCCCACTGTACCACCCCACCCCATGGGATCTTAGGAGGGACTTCGTTTAACTCTGTCCCCAGGGAGACCAGTGTCAGTCCTGCCTGGCCCTGCCTGGGGAAAGGAGGCTGGGCCACTGAGTCCCCAGGTCCAGGGGCCAGTCAGCCCACAGAGAGCTAGACCAGGAGTCCTGGCCTGGTCTCTGCCACACAGAAAGCTTGGCAACTGCTGTGTCACATGACTTTTTGTTTTGTTTTGAGATGGGGTCTCGCTCTGTCGCCCAGGCTGGAGTGCAGTGGCGTGATCTCGGCTCACTGCAAGCTCTGCCTCCTGGGTTCACGCCATTCTCCTGCCTCAGGCTCCTGAGTAGATGGGACTACAGGTGCCCGCCACCACGCCCAGCTAATTTTTGTGTTTTTAGTAGAGACGGGGTTTCACCGTATTAGCTAGGATGGTCTGGATCTCCTGACCTTGTGATCCACCCATCTCGGCCTCCCAAAGTGCTGGGATTACAGGCGTGAGCCACCGCGCTCGGCCACATGACTTCTTAAGAAGGGTTTTCAGGCTAGGCATGGTGGCTCACGCCTGTAATCCCAGCACTTTGGGAGGCCGAGGTGGGCGGATCACCTGAGGTCAGGAGTTAGAGACAGGCCAACATGGCAAAACCCCGTCTCTACTAGAAGTAGAAAAATTAGCCAGGTGTGGTGGTGGGCACCCGTAATCCCAGCTACTCGGGAGGCTGAGGCAGGAGAATTGCTTGAACCCGTGAGGCGGAGATTGCAGTGAGCTGAGATTGCACCATTGTGCTCCAGCCCGACAGAGCTAGACTCCATCTCAAAAAAAAGGGTTTTCAGCTCTGGACCTAGGTCACTCCATAATGGAAGCACTCGCTGATTCCCCAAGAGCCAGTCCCTCCATCTCTCCCAGCCAGAGCTCAGTGCCTGACTTCCATACCCTCCTCGGCAGTGGGGACATTGATTGGATCCATGGTACAGTGGGGCAAGCTGCTGGCCACAGGACATGTGTGTGCAAGGCCACTATGCCCACACCTCAGGGGAACCAGGGCAGAGAACAGCCTGTTCCCTTTGGCAGTGGGACAGACAGGAGACAAGCATGAAGGGGAAACAGGGGCATGTGACAAACTGGTCAGAAGCCCTAGGCTCCTAGAGGACAGACTGGGACCAGAGTGACACAGGCGTCCCAGAGCCAGTGGAGTGGGATGAAGGGCCAGCGAAAGGAGGGAGACAGGGCTCAAGGGGAAGGAGGCTGGGCTAGGCAGAGCCTCTGAGGAGAGCTGATCCTGCAAAGTTACTGGCACCTCCCCTGGGCCAGCCCTGTGTTCCTGGCCAGGGACGGGAGGAGACAGTGCCCTGTCTGGCAGAGGAAACAGATTCATGTGCATGACTATCAGTGTGCCATGGCCACAGAAAGCACCGGAGGCTGTGGGCATGAGGAAGGGCAGTTGGGGGCATAGAACCTGGGGTGAGGATGGCCAGGGCAGGTGCTGATGGGGGACTGCAGCAGGAAGGACCGAGAGGAGACCAGGGACAGGCAGGTGCTTGAGAAGGAAGGTGGGCCCTGTGGATCAGGCAGGGTATCTGCCCCAGGGGGCTCTGCACACCAGCAGTCCTACACGTACAGGGTGGGGATGAAAAGAGACTAAGGGTCAGGGAGCTTGGTAGCTGGGCCTGCATGAGGGACAGAGAGGCAGTGTCCCTCTGATGGCACAGCATCAGGAATTAGGCTGGGGTATGTCAGGTACACGTTGGGCTGGTTGAGCGTAAGCCTCAGGTTCCTTCCGAAGCTCTGCCCGCCAGCCCTGGCCTGATGTCAGGTTTTGTTTGTTTTTTTAACAGCTTTATTGTGATATAATTCATAAACCATACAATTCACACATTTAGAGTATATAGTGCAGCGGTTTTTGATATATGCAGAGAGCTGTGTAACTATCACCACTGTCAATTTTAGGACTTTTTCATCACCCCACTGCAGGCAGTCCCGTTCCTCCCCGCTGTCTCTCAGCCCTAGGTGTCCACTCATCCACTTTCTATCTGTAGATTTGCCTATTCCGGGTACTTCATAGAAATGGAACCATCTAATATGTGGTCTTTTATGACTGGCTTGTTAGCATAATGTTTTCAAGGATTATCCATGTTGTAGCATCTTTTATCAGGACTTCATTCTTTTTTATGATTGAATATTATCTCATTGCATGGATATACCACATTTTATTCATTCATCAGCAGATTGACTTTTGGGTTGTTTCCATTTTTCAGCTATTGTGAGTACTGCTGCTGAGAACATTTGTGTATGAGTTTTTGTGTGAACATCTGTTTTCAATTTTCTTGGATATATACCCAGGAGTAGAATTGCTGGGTCACGTGACAACTCAGTGGTTAGCATTTTGAAGAATTTCTAGACTGTTTTCCAAAGTGGCTGCACCATTTTGCATTCCCACCAGAAGCGTGCGATTCCCGTTTCTCTGGATCCTGCTGGCATTTGCTGTTCTCTTTTTGATCGTAGCCGTCTGAGGAGGTGTGAAGTAATTGTGGTTTTGATTTGCATTTTTCTAATGACTGATGATATTGAGCATCTTTGCATGTATTTCTGGCTGTTTGTGTATCTTCTTTGGAGAAAGTGCTTTGCTAGTTTCTTAATTGGGTTTTATTTTATTGTTGAGTTGTAATTGTTCTTTATATATTCTACATAGAAGTCCCTCATCAGATAGATACATGATTTGAAGATATTTTCTCTCATTTGGAGGATTGCCTTTTCACTTTCTTGATAGTGTTCTTTGAAGCACAAAAGTTTTCATTTTGATGTAGTCCAATTTATCTTTTTTTTTTTTTTTTTTTTTTTTTTTTTTTTTGAGACAGTCTCGCTGTGTCACCAGGCTGGAGTGTAGTGCTGTGATCTTGGCTCACTGCATCCTCCGCCTCCTGAGTTCAAGTGATTCTCCTACCTCAGCCTCCCAAGTAGCTGGGACTACAGGCACCTGCCACCACACCCAGCTAATTTTTTGTTTTTAGTAGAGACGGGGTTTCACCATGTTGGCCAGGATGGTCTCCATCTCTTGACCTCATAATCCGCCCGCCTCGGCCTCCCAAAGTGCTGGGATTACAGGTGTGAGCCACTGCACCAGGCCTGTAATTTATATATTGTTTTAGTTTGTTGCTAGTGCTTTTGGTTTCATATCTAAGAATCCATTGTCAATCCAGAGTCATGTTGCCCCAGCACCATGTTGAAAACTGCTCTTCCTCCATTGAGTGGACTTGGCACCCTTCTAAAAATCATTTGAGGCTCCTGGCGGCCTCGGAGGTGTGAATTGCAAACATAAGGGTGACACCAAGTTTTGGCATCTCCCCTTCCTGGTCGAGTGGCTGTGGACAGGTCATTTTCCCTTGAAGTCTGTATTTTGTCATTTGTAACTTGGGGATAATACTTGTGTGTTGCATCACATGAGGTCATGAAAGTGAGATCACATTGAAAGTAAACCTCAAGATACTCGACCGGCATCAGTCCTGGCTCCCTCTGTCCCTCAGACGTGAGCATCCCCTGCCTGGGTATCTTTGTCCCCACCTGGACACTTTGGGTGGTAGGAAGGTCTGGGGTCCCTGGCGGCTTCGAAGCCCGTGAACCAGAATTCCCTGGAAGGAATGGGGAGCAGGGTGGCTCCCAGGGTCCCCAGCACTCTTTGGAACTCAGGACAGCATCTCCATGCCCACATGCCCCCAAAACCCAAGGCAGGCTAGTGCTGGCTCTAGGCCCGTTCTTACATGGTTGGTGCGAGCATTTCTTACTTTAGAACAAACCCACTGGAGTGGAATATTCCCAGCATCAAGGGGAGGTAAACAAAGGACCCTCTGGGACCCACTCGCCAGCTCTTGTTTAAGAGGAAAACATGTTTTGCTCCCCTCGTTGTGGGCTTGGTACCTTTCACGTCTGCCCTCCAAGGAAGGCTGCTGGGAGCCCTCACGGTGAGGAATGATGTTTGGGGTCTGAGGCTAGGGTGGTCCCTAGACTGCTAAACCACCCGGTGCTGGCCAGGGACCAGCTGTCAGGAGCTGCTGAGGATGGGTCAGCCCCAGAGGGTGGGGGTGCCGACATTGCCTCTGGCCCTGCCTCTGCGTCACCAGTACGAGCTTGAGCTTCTGCGACTCATGAGCATGGACCTGGTGGGCTGAGCTTCAGCTGTGAGGGGTCAGGCCTGCTGCAGGGAGAGCCAGCTGCAGCCAGTGCCCTGCGCTGTGCCCACAGTCCCTGAGACCCCAGGCTGAGGAGAGCAGCACTGAGCCCAACCTGGAACGGGCTCACGGCTACTGGAGCTGGGTGTGTGCTCACTGGTGTGGATGTGCAGAGCCGGGACTCGCTCTGCAAGCAGGCTGGTCCCACAACCTTGAGCCACCCACTACAGGGAGGCTGTGAGAAGGTCCCTGGCCCCTAGGAAGCTCCCTCAGTGGAGATGTTTTGGCTGCTTTAATAACAGTCATCCTTCCAAAGCCCTTCACAGCAATAAATGTTTCCATATTCCAGATGAGGTTTGCAGGGACCTGTCCTCTCTATCAGTGTCCACCTGGCGCCTCCCCCGAGTCCGGCCTGCCCTTGCTTCTCCCAGAGCTCATGGTGTTTTTCAGGGCCGCAGGCTGGCAGGGTGTCCTTCTCCCAGGGGACTGAGCCTAGGGAGAGCCAAGTGGAGGTGCCCAAGTGGAGGAGAAAGGAAAGGACCACAGAGAGGGGAGGGGAAGTGGGAGAGTCATGGTTAGGACCTCAGGCTGAGGCCTTCTGCCAAGCCAGGGGTCTGGTGTCACTCAACTGGGAAACACTGTCAGCACCCAAAGCTGCTCTCAGAGGTGGGGGTGACGGGACCACTGCATGTGGGAGGCACACGGGCCCTGTGGCATCCACAGCTGTGGTCTCCTTAGTGTCCTGTCACAGACTTGCAAATCAAAGCCCAGAGAGGCGGCAGCCAGCCACCCTCCCACCTCCCCAGCACTCCTGTGCCCACCCCATGCCTGTTTAGCCTCTGCCCTTGCTGCCCCCTTCCTCTGCTGTGTCCTTTTGGCAAGAGGAAGGTACCTCGGGGCAGATTTGGGTGGTCCTTGTGAGACCCAGGGCAGAGTGTGGTCCGGGGATACGGCTTCTGTCCAGCTCCCTGCCAGACAGCTGTCTGATCCTAAGCACAGACCAGCCTCTCGGGGGTTTTGTTCGGCCAGGAGGTGGGCTGAGGGGCAAGTGTGTGGAACATGCAGGAACAGGCTGTGCAGTGGCCCTCAGTAGTGGGGGGCTGGGGACTTCTGGGAGACTCCTTTGCTCCCATTCGCCATCCATCCCCTTTCCCTGATCAGTGGGCCCTGGCTCTGGACACTGAGTGGAGCAGACAGTCCTCCTGCCCCTATAGGTTCCACCTCCTGACTGGCACTGTGGCATCAGCATGGTCCAGCCCGTGCTGTCCTGTCAAGGACCACCTCCACAGCCAGTGGCCCCTTCCTCCATCTCAGAGACAGAGAGACGCTGGGCACAAAAGCCCTGTTGAAAGTTCACTTTGAAGGGAAGCCCATGGGGTCATGGCGACAACACTTGTTATGGAAAGGCCCTGGCGCCTCCAGCAGCTCCCTTGAGGTTCAGGTGACTGGAGCATCCACTGGGTGCCAGCAGTGCTGCTGGGAGGAGCAGGGCACAGACAGGGGCCAAAGCTTTCTGAGGATTCTCCATCTATAGCTGGAAAAGTCATTCCTCTCACTGCCTCCCCTCCTCGTAGCGAGAACCCTCTGCCCACAGTGGAGATTGCCATCCGGAACACGGGCGATGCGGACCAGTGGTGCCCACTGCTGGAGACTCTGACAGACGCTGAGATGGAGAAGAAGATCCGCGACCAGGACAGGAACACGAGGTACCCCTGGCCCTGTGGTCCTGGGCTCTGCCCACAGGCACCTGGCTTTCCAGGCAGAGGCAGGGCCATTGCCTTTCCCAGTCTCCCATGGTCTCTGAGACAGAGTACCTCTAGTGCTGCTAGAGGCAGGCAGGCTTCTGGGTGATAAGGCCCCATCCAAACGCCAGGGTATGTTTCCCTGCATGGAACAAACATAATTCCTCAGGCTGAGGGTCTGACCACAGCCCAGATCCAGGTTTTGGGGTCCCTGGAGTGATGAGCAGGGCCTGAGTGGCAGACAGGCGAGGCTGAGAGAAGGCTGGGTCTGACCCTGCTGGGGGCCCACATCCTGCCTCTGTTCCCACCCCTACACTTGGCTGCCCTGTAGAGCCTTGGGAAGGGCAGCGCCCAGGCTGGGAGCTGGCCCCGACTCATTGCCCTCCCCACTCCTCTTCCAGGCGGATGAGGCGTCTTGCCAACACGGCCCCGGCCTGGTAACCAGCCCATCAGCACACGGCTCCCACGGAGCATCTCAGAAGATTGGGCCGCCTCTCCTCCATCTTCTGGCAAGGACAGAGGCGAGGGGACAGCCCAGCGCCATCCTGAGGATCGGGTGGGGGTGGAGTGGGGGCTTCCAGGTGGCCCTTCCCGGCACACATTCCATTTGTTGAGCCCCAGTCCTGCCCCCCACCCCACCCTCCCTACCCCTCCCCAGTCTCTGGGGTCAGGAAGAAACCTTATTTTAGGTTGTGTTTTGTTTTTGTATAGGAGCCCCAGGCAGGGCTAGTAACAGTTTTTAAATAAAAGGCAACAGGTCATGTTCAATTTCTTCAACAGGTCATGTTCAATTTCTTCAAAGTTTTAACATAAAAATAATGAGAGCCAGGAGTGGGGCCGGGGCCTGGGGGGACGAAGGTGGTATGTGAACAAGGTTGGCACACAGGCCTCACCCTCCTCTGCCTCAGATTCCCAAGTGGGCAGGTGGGGGTGAATGGGGCTCCGGGTAGCACCTCAGCTCCTCTCAGCTCCCCTCAGCCTGTTCTCCTTCCAGACCCAGAGAGCTGAGAAGAGTAGCTGTGAGGCTCAGGGCAAGAGGCTCTCTGCCTTTCAGGAACAGCCCTAACCCTGCTCCCCTTGCTTGGCCTCAGGAAGGTGCCGCGAGCTCTCCTGCCGTCCCTGGGCCGCCCTGGCTCTGCTGTGTCCAGATGGTCAGGCTACTGCCAGCTGGGGCCTTGCTGCTCTGAAGTCCCCTGCGGAGGGCCCAGTCCTGTGTGGGCACTGCTGGGCTGTCGCCAGCCTGGGTGCAGGAGGGCTGTTCTAGCTCCAGTGGCACCCATAGCCAGGTCAGCTGGGGCCCTTTCCCACCCCAGCAGGTGCTGTGGCCTGGGCCAGCTCCTGCCTTACAAGCCAGCTGTGAGGAATATGGGAATAGCCCTCCCGGCCTGGTGCCAGCTCTTGGAGTTGACACGGTACAGGGAGGAGACACAGCCCAGGGTCCCTTCCCAGCCCTGCCTCCAAGGAGTTCATGTCCCCTCTGTTCTCATCTGTAATAGGGAGGTGTCCCCATTCTTCAGAATGGACACAGGATCTGGGAGGGCAGCAAACTGGCTCGCAGCTCCAGCCTTACTGAAGAGAATGGGCACAGATCCGGGCACAGATCCCAGCACAGACTGCTGCCACCCTCAGCTGTTGGCAGGTCCCATGCTGCCAGGGCAGGGCTAGGGTCAGAGGCTGCTGTGCTCCCTGGAAGTGGGGTAGGGCCCCATGTGGGGCAGAGGCAGAGCTCTGATTAGGGATTGGGGTTCTTGGTCGCTGAGATGTGAGAGGAGGGCTCCTTTGAGCACATGTTAGCATGGGACTCTTCCCAGGGAGTTTGCACTCAGGGCCTCTGCCCTCCATCAAAGAGTGGAACTCCCCAGAGCCCCATGCACAGCAAGGGGACAGCTGGGCCTTACTGGAAGGCCTTGAACAAAGGGGAAGATTCCCAGCCCAGCTGCTCTTAGACATGAACAGGTTTCATTGCTGAGGTGTTTGTTCTGTCCATGAGGTAGGAACCTCGGCAATGAAAGGGTGAGGCAGCCCTGTGTCTCCACAACTGGGGGGATGGAAGGAACCTTGGCTGCCTCACCCCACAGGTCGGGCAGGGCCACCTGGCTGGGAGGTGCCGGGAAGGCTGGGCCCTCACTCCTGACCGCCAGCTCACACCGCCGCAAAGCCATCTCCACAAGGTCTGGCTACAACACGGAGGGCAGACTCAACAGAGAACAGTGTTGTTACCATGAAAATGACAACCTGTCTTTGGAGGAGGCCCCGTGCCACTGAGCATCCAGAAATAAACCACAACATGGACAGGCTTAGAACAACAAGGAAAGCTGCCAGGTCAGAAGAGAAAAATGAGCCACAGGGGTCGGATAAGGCTCACACACGTCCTCAGCTAAAAAGGGCAGGAACAGAACCTTCCAGAAGTCCCTGCCTCACCCAGTCTCAGAACTCTGCTAAGGTGAAAACTTAGGCTCTGAGGTCATAGAAAGGGCAGAAGACCTAGTCCTGGCCCTCTTCTGCACCTGAATCCATGGGGCTTTGGCATCACCAGATGAAAAATGAGGCATACGCCCACCTGTCAGGGTGGCTGATGAGAGACAGGAGAGGCTAGATTGGCATCAGCCTGAAGGCACCACTGGCAGGAACATCTGTAGGCTGGTTTGGCACAACCTAGGAGACGCCTGTCCTGGCCCCAGCAGCCGAAATCTGGTGAACTTCCCCGCTGACTGGCAGGTAGCAGAGGCCTATGGTGGGCAGGACTTGCCCAAGGCCCTGGTGGGGCCAGGATGAGAACCCTGAGCCTGTCACCTGTGAGCTCAAAAGCTCTGCCTGGCAACCTGTGAGCTCAAAGCTCTGCCAGGCAACCATGGGCAGTTTCTTTGCCCTCTGTGGGCACCCCTATCCTACCACCTGCAGTTGGGCTGAGAGGCCACACTGAGTGAGGACGGGGCAGGCATAGAAGGATGTGGCCAGGTGAGATGGGGAAGCCAGTGCTGTGGGCCAAGAGACTGCAGCTCATTCTGTTTATTCAGGTGGGCCCTTGCATGGGCCCAGCCTTTAGGATGGGTTTTTTCTGCCCCAAGTAGGGGTCATGGGTAGGATGGAAGCTGCCAGAAGCCTCTTAGGCCTGGCCCTGGGTGGGGGTCACTGCTGCGGGGGTGGCAGATGGGGTCCTGGCTGTTCCTCAGGGAGGGGCAGGTAATTGGGGTCTTCTGCAGGGGCATCCAGGAGCAGCTTTCTGTGGGGAGGGGCCCGTGTTGAGCACAGGCCAGCACAGGTCCCCATCGGTGGGGATCCTTCTGAGGGTGGGGAGAGGGAGGGAGGGCTCTCAACACTCACAGGAAGCCAGGGGTCTGCAGGAGCCTCTTGCCTCCAGGCTGGTTGGGGAAGACGTCCTCCAGGAAGTAGTAGATATGGCCCACCGCAATCCCTGTGAGACAGCCACGGACTGTGGGGTCACCCTCCACAGCCCAGAGTCCTAGACCAGCAGAGCCTGCCCCAGGCCCCCATCCACAGCCTGGTGGCCCTGCAGGCCCCACAGCATGAGTGCCCCAAAGCCTTGCACAGAGTGCCAGCCCCGGGTTGGCCGTGAAGGACAAGCTTAAAAGGCCCAGAAGCAGGCAGGACCCAGGGAGGGGAGGGCCTGAGAATAGTGGAGGAGTGGGAGCCATGGGGCAGGAACCCTGACCCTCCCATCCTCACTCCCATCAGGACCGTGCAAGCATCAGTAGATCCGTCCTGACGATGCAAATTATGTGGGCCGGCTGGCTTGAGGGGCTGTAAGAGCACAGCAGCTGGGAGGGCAGGAAGATGGGGATGGAGCCAGGTGTGAGGAGAACTCCAGCAAGGATGGGAGAGGGGCCCCAGGGCATAAGCAGCGTGTCCTGAGGGGAGTGGCCAGCCTGGGGCGGACTAGATGTACCGGGAGGCTCACCCAGCAGGTCCACGAGGATGGAGTTGCCCAGCAGCAGCGAGAAGCCCATGAGCGCCCAAGGCAGGAACGGTGCCTGGAAAGTGAGCAGGCCGAAGAAGTTGACCCTCACCCGAGGGCTGCGGCGGCTCCACACGTACACCAGCATGGCCATGAGGGCCTGGCCCAGGAAGAACAGGCTGCCCAGGAGTCCCAGCAGCTGGGCCAGAGTCAAGGTGCTCCGGTGCAGGCCTCAGCCCAAGCCCAGGGCCCCTCTGACTTCCCAAGACCCTGGAATTCTTCCCCTCATCTCCCCTATGTGCTATTCCCTCATCAAGATGAGCCAGTCCAATAAAGGCGACACACTCCACGGGCTTCAGGTCCCACGAAATCTGCCCTGCACACCTACAGCCTCATCCCAGGGCCCAACCACTGCCTGTCCCTGCCCCAGTTTCTCCCGGCTACTCGCATTCAGGGCTCAGCTAGTGGCCCTGACAACCCACCTGGCTCTTTTGTGCATGGCTTTGTATTTTGCATACAGCACTGAAGATCTAGCCCTGACCCCTGCAGCTGAGCACAGAGTGGGCCCTCAACACATACTAAGCTGGAGACAGCGACTGTGTCCCTCTCTGGCATGGCTGTGTTGGCCCCAGGACCAACACAGGCTGGACGCCGAGGCGCCCTAGCCCGAGGTTCCAGAGCCTGCGGGAAGGATACGGTCATAAGGACGCCCCCGAAGAGAAACATGAAGACGAAGTCGGCCGTGCGGCCGCGGAAGGAGCCCTCTTCCAGCATGCGGCAGTAGCGGAACCTACGGCGTCGGTATAGGAAGTGCCACCAGGCGGGGCCTCAGTTTCCCCGTCCCGGCCTCTCTCCCAGCCCGGCCGGCCTGCCCTCCACCCAGCCCGTGTCCGCAGGGCGCAGGATACACGAAGAGCATGTTGAAGAAGAAGCTGAATCCCAGGGGCCCGAAGAAGAGGAAGTTGGTGACGAGCCTCCAGACCTACGGGGGACGGGCGGTCAGGTGCGGGGTGGGTGGGTCGGGCCCACAGGTGCGCGGCGCGGGGCGGCCTCACCTGGAACTTCCGGAACACAAGGTGCGGGTTGAAGTAGAGTTGAAAGGGGCTGAGGAGCTCCAGCTGCTGTGGAACCAGGGGCCAGTCAAGAGCTGCCCGGGAGCCACGCCGTAACCATGGCGACCCTCACCCCTCCCGCCAGAGGCTGTAACCAAGGCGACGTCCGGTCCGCCCGGCCGCTTACCACCGCGGCGGTGGTGAGGACACAGGCTGCGGTGTAAGCCCGCGTCACCGCCGGCACCTGCAGGAACTCGGCCGCTAGTCCCTGCCACGCCATTGAACCTTCTCAAGCACGCGTGGCCCAGCCAGCAACGCGCTCTTTAACCCGCCTCCCAGCCCCGCCTTCGGCCAATCCGCATCCGAGGCGCTGCGCGCCCCAGGCTGAAAAGAGAGCCCCTGAGCCCGACAGCCAATGGAAGGAAGAAGAGGGAAATTAGGGGCGGAAAGGGAGAGTGGGCGGGTAGAGGCTGGTGGCCAATGGGCAGGCGCCAAGGTTGAGCACGTGGCGGTTGTTGTGGCTGCGGTGGTGGCGCGGGAGAACGTGTGGCCAATGAGGAACTGGTCATTTCGCGGCTTTCTAGGAGAGGACCAGTAGCGTGGACCCACGACACCACGGGGGCGGGGCTAAGATCGTATGGGTTACAGGAGCGAAGACCCGAGCAGGCGAGGCAAAACTGGAAAGGGCGGGGCGCGTGGGCGGGGCGCGGAGTGTGGCGGCTCAGACCGTGCTGGCTCACTAACTGACGACCTAGCCACAACGTTGTCCTCGCTGCCAGCCCAAGACAGGCCCACCTAACCCACAGCAGGGAGGCATTCGGGAATGTGTCCAAACCTCCCCAAACGTCCAGGGCCCCACTCAAATGTGCCGGCCGCTGTCGGGGTTCTTCCCCGGGGGCCCAAGGAAGGAGAGGCAGGACTGCGGGATTGAGTCCAGGTGGGGCGCGAGGGTTGAGAGGCGCACCAGAGCAAGTGGACAGGCAGGAGAGGTCCTCAATATTTTGGTGGAAAATAGAAACCAACCTACCCACCTTCCTTCCCTCCTTCCCTCCCTCCCTCCCTCCCTTCCTTCCTTCCACCGTTTATTAAACAACTGTTTGCCTGACACTGTTCTAGATGTTGGGGATGTAGCATGCAATAAAAGACACTGTCTCTTAGAGTCCAGCCAGGAGGCAGTCAATACAATAAGCTAGTGCTGACACTTGATGAGAATATTGCCAAGTGAGGGGTGGGGCCACGTGGGCGTCCGCAGTGCCAGGTGGGGTGACCTGGGATACCTCTAAAGTTTGTCACTTTGCAAGCATCCCTGTGTCCATCAGGATGGTAACTGTGAAAAGCAAAACAATAAAACAAAATAAGTGTTGGCGAGGATATGGGGAAATTGGAACCCTTGGGCACCGTTGGTGGGAATATAAAATGGTGCATCCGCTGTGAAAAACAATATGATCATGACTCAAAAAATTAAAAATAGAATTACCGTATGATCCAGCAATGCTGCTTGTGGGTACACATTCAAAAGAATCAAAAGCAGGGACTTGAACAGATGTTCATACACCCATGTTCATGGCCCCATTATTCACAATGGTTCACATCAGTTCACCCACCGATGAGACAGACGAAATGTGCTGTCTACATGCAATGCAATACCATTCAACCTTAAAGGAATGAAATTCGGATACATGATGCAGCATGGATGACCCTTGAAGACATTACACCCAGTAACATAAACCAGTCACAAGGCTGGGCGCAGTGGCTCACACCTGTAATCCCAGCACTTTGGGAGGCCGAGGCGGGTGGATCACCTGAGGTCAGGAGTTCGAGACCAGCCTGGCCAACATGGTGAAACCTCGTCTCTACTAAAAATACAAAAATTAGCTGGGCGTGGTGGCGGGCACCTGTAATCCTGGCTATTCGGGAGGCTGAGGCAGGAGAATTGCTTGAATCCGGGAGATGGAGGTTGTGGTGAGCCGAGATTGCACCACTGCACTCCAGCCTGGGCAACAGAGTGAGACTCCGTCTCAAAAAAAAAAAAACCAGTCACAAAAAGACAAATACTGTATGGTTCCACTTATATGAGAGGGGATCAGGGAGTTATTGTTTAATGAGTGCAGTTCCAGTTTGGGAAAATGAAAAAGTTCTGGAGATGGATGGTGGGGAGGGTTGCATAAGAATGTTTAATACCACTGAACTGAACACTTGAAAATAGTTTGGACAAATTTTATGTTGTGTATATGTTACTAAAATTTAAAAAAAAACAACAAACCTCTGTGTTTGCTGTCAGGGTAGTGGACTGCCAGAGGAATCCTTGAGCAGGGGGAATCCTTAAGGGACAGTGATTACTTTCGGGGCTGGGAGGTGGAACCTGGAGGACAAGGAGGGGTGGGATATGGGTTTGCCTACAGACGGGACAGGGCTGAGAGGGGAGTCCAAGTGGATTCAGAGGCCTGAGCCGCAGAGTGGTTGGATGGTGGTGGTCTTTGTTGAGATGGAGGGCTCGTGGGGAGAAGGTGAGGGGCATAGAGGGTCCTGTTCTGGACTCATCGAATTTGAGGCATCTGTGTGACATCACTTGGAAAAATCTGAGTGTGGTGTTGGGGTAGGGGTTGGAGCAGACAGTCTAAATGTGGGTGCCGTCATCCAGTAGTAGATCAATGGTATTTGTAGCTTTGGGCGTGTGTGAGATGCTCAAGGGGCAAGGGTTGATGGAGAAAAGAGGCCAGGCCTGGGTAGCCTGACCTGCAGTAGCCAGGGAGGGAAGGCAGCCCCAGCTGGGGAGGCCAAGGGAGGCTGAGCCAGGAAAGGGCTTCAGGAGCCAGGCAGTGAGAATCCAGGGAGACGTGGCCCGGGAAGGGACTGTGAATTGCAGCCATGCCAAGGTTCCTGGTAACCAGGATAATGGCAGGCAGGAGGGAGAGGAAGGCACACAAATGGATGTGCCTTAACAAACAAGGGGAGTGCAGCCTTGGAGGGAAGTGTGGAAAACGAGGGATGCTCTGGACAGGGCCCTGAGGTCCCCCGAGGAGACTGGAACTGGCCAAGAGGGAGAACTGGCTGAGAAGGCTCTCAGGTGGATCCCAAGAGCGTGAGGGTCCCACAAGGGCCCTGAGAGGGGTTCCCTGGGGAGTGGGGTGAGACCAGTGCCTAATGACAGTGGGTTCAGGAGCCTTCCTCCCTGCTCTGGAGGGGACGGGGAGAGCCTGGAGTGCTGGAGGGAAGTGCATTTGCTGGAGGGATGTGAGGAGAAGGTCTGGCCTCATACAGCAGGGGTTGGACCAAGACACTGAGGGGTTGGGGGCTGGGAGCAGGGTGAGCGGACCCCCGCAGACAACCTTGGTTTTCCAGCAAAGCAGGCTAAGGTCATGTTGGAAGCATGCCAGGCAGAGCAAATCCCACCCTGGCAGCCACAGTGTGCAGCAGGGCGGGGACCCAGGGCCTCTGACGCCTGGGCGGGCGCCCGGTGGGCACAAAGGAGCCGGTGCAGGAGGTCGGGTTTCATGTCAGCGTGGGGAAGGGGAGATATTCCTCCTCCAGGCACTTAGCAGGCGCTGGCCGGCCCTCAACTCAGGGTCAGGCTGGGGCTAACAGGAGGGGATGTCATTGTCGACAGGGGCGTCTGTCTCCCCTTCGACTGGGGGCCGATAAGGCAGGCGCCCAGATTGGGGGCTGAGAAGCACATTCCTGGGAGGCCAGGAGCCTGGGGCGGGTGGGGGAGGCCAGCCAGGGCTGGGAGGGAGGACATCCAGGGAACAGCAGCTGGGTCCACTGCAGAGGCTCCCTTTCCGGAGCCCCGGGATATCCTCAGATGGGGGAACTGAGGCACGTAAGGATGCAGAACAGGGCCTGGGGCAGACCTCCATTCTTTCTTGTCCAGTCTGAGGCCCAGAACAGGCCACTCTGGAAATACTAGGTCCACTTCTCCTTGGACCCTTGAGCCCCTCCAGATAATTCTTTATAGAGGGAAGCCCTGGGCATCCCAAGTTCCCAGGGTCCTAGAGATGCAGGGTGTGCCTTACCCTAACATCAGGGTGGCAGACCTGTCGGCTGGGCCAGCCTTCTTTCTCCTGTGCTGAGGATGGTGGGTGGGTGGAGACCTGTGGTTCCTCGGCAAGGTGACAATGGGCTCTGCTCCCCATGCCACCTCCCTGGCATTGTGACGCTTCCTGCTGACTCCCAGAGGACACCTAGATCTCCTGTCCAGGCCCTCTCAGTGTCTGTAGGCAGGATAGCGCCCTCTGCATACTCTCCCCACCCAGCTTTCCCCCTCACTGGCCTCACACACTAGGAGGGGCCATCCTCAGCCCCCAAGCCTGGAGTCAGCTCTATACCCTCAGCCCCATGTTGCACTTTTTTTTTTTTTTCCTAGAGACAGGGTCTTGCTCTGTTGCCCAGACTGGAGAGTAGTGGCGTGATCACAGCTCACTGCAGCCTCAACCTCTTGGGCTCAAGTGATCCTCCCACCTCAACCTCCCAAGTAGCTGGGACAACAGGCATATGCCACCATGCCCCGCTAATTTTTTAATTTTTTTGTAGAGATGGCGTCTCACTGTGTTGCTTAGACTGGTCGCAAACCCCTGTCCTCAAGCAATCCTCCCTTGGACTCCCAAAGTGCTGGGATTACAGGCGTGAGCCACCACGCCCGGCCCCCTATGTCACACTTGATGCTCCCATGGAACTCTCTAGTCCTTTCCCTTCTCTCCTATGCCTTACCACCACCACTAACTCTTATTCAGGCCTCAGGTTCTCTCCTCTAATATTGTCCCAGCTCTCTGAACTATTCATTCTGTTAAAAAAAAAAAAAAAAAAAAGAGTAAGGCTGGGTGTGGCGGCTCACGCCTGTAGTCCTAGCACTTTGGGAGGCTGAGGAAGGCGGATTGCCTGAGCTCAGGAGTTCAACACCAGCCTGGGCAACATACAGAAACCCCATCTCTACAAAAAATACAGAAATTAGCCAGACGTGCTGGTGCATGCCTGTAGCCCCAAGTGGGAAGGGGGAGAGAGCCAGGGGGCTGAGGCTGGAGGATCGCTTGAGCCTGGGAGGTCAAGGCTGCAGTGAGCAGAGATTGCACCACTGCACTCCAGCCTGGGTGACAGAGTGAGACCCCGACTCTTAAAAATATTTTTTAAAAAATGTTTCCTGGCTGGGCACATTGGCTCATGCCTGTAATCTCAGAACCCTGGGAGGCCAAGGCCGGTGGATCACCTGAGGTCAGGAGTTGGAGACCAGCCTGGCCAACATGGTGAAACCCTGTCTCTATTAAAGATACAAAAATTAGCCAAGCAAGGTGGTATGCACCTGTAATCCCAGCTACTCAGGAGGCTGAGGCACGAGAATCACCTGAACCCCGGGGGCGGATGTTGCGGTGAGCCAAGATCGTGCCACTGCACTCCAGCCTGGGCGACAGAACAAGACTCTGTCTCAAAAATAATAAAATAATAAAATAAATATGTTTCTTAAAAGCAAAATAAATAAAATTAAAAAAATAAGAGAGGAAGAGCAGAGGGTGAAAGTGCCTCCTACTCCAGGAAGCCCTCCCTGGTCACCTTCAAAGGGACCAGAGCTCACCTACTTCTGTTAGAGTCCTGAGCACTTAATTTTTAAATATATTTTATTCTAAAGGCAGTCCATGCCTGTTGTAACTAACCACAAGAATCAAACAAACTGAACGTTTGTGTACCTGCTGGTGCAGCTGTATTTTCTTCTTGATGACACATAGTGCCTTTTGGGCCCTGAGCACTTGTCCATTGGGGGACCTCTCCCCTCTTTGAGCACGGGGCCCACCCCCTTTGAGCACAGGGACCCCTGCAATTGCTGTGAGTAGGCTTCCAGCTAGCCCCTCCCAGAAACAGCTGTGTCCCCCTTGGCCCTTCCTGTCTGGGCCACAGGCTATTTTTAGCACTGAATCCGGAACCCACATAGCAGCAGCTGCTTGTGGCCGGAGCGCAAGAACAACAAACCATCCAGGTGGGTTGTGTCAGGCTGCAGAGGGAGCGGCCTGGGCCTGGCCCTCTGAACCTGGTAGCAGAATCTGGACTTTCCAGGAATAAGCTGGTCTCTGGGTGGGATGGGGAGGGAGGAAGCAGAATGGGGCAGAGGATGGGTTGCACTAGCTAGGCCAGGATAGGGGAAGGGCCTGTGCAAAGGCCCTGAGGTAACTGGGGGAGAGGAAGGGAGCAGAGGAGAGAAGGTGAAGGAGGCAAGGAAGAAGAGTTGCTTGTGACGGGAGGGAGAAGCGGGGCCAGGCCAGGCAGAGGTGTGTCGGCCGTGGTCTCTGTCCTAATCAGATGAGCCGGGGAGGAGAGCGGTGGCCTGCAGTGGCTTGCATTAACAGCGAGGGAGTGGAAGGGTTAGGATGGCTGAAGCCACAGGCCTTAGTGAATGCTTGGTAGTGGGGGTGAAGGTAGGAGGGGTCCTGGCCTACCCAGCTTGGGGGACAGTGAGCCCCCACTGGGTGGAGACATGGGTGAATGGCCAGTAAGGGAGGGAGACCACTCGTTGAGTCAGGCAGGTGAGCTTGGGGTGCTGTGGGGTGGAAGCCCTCCCTGGCCTCTAGCCCAGTCCTCCCAGCTCCTTCCCTTCCGTGGCCCTGGTCATTCCTGCTTCATGCAGAAGGGCTGCAGTTGTCCACACAATGGCCCCTCTAGGCCTGGTTTCTGCTGCGGAGCTGGCACAGGCAGGGGCTTGGTAAACAGGGAAAAACAGGGAAACTTGTGAAGACAGAGACCTGGACTCCAGGGCTGGAAATGCAGCCTCGGGGCTGGCATTGTGACCTGAGCACTCCCTTCCCTCTCTGGCTCTGTGTCCCTCTCTGTGAGATGCGGGTCAGAAGGGTCCATGTGTAGAGTCTCTTTCAGCTCCAAGGTTGTACTCTGATCTATAATGGGGGTATCAGAGATTTCTGGGTGGAAGCCCCTTCCTGTAACAAACACAGCTGGCCTCCCCATCCAAGGCCCATCTCTGCTATGAATAAGTGAATGCTTATGAGCAAGAATGCACCAACAGAGGAAGCTGGAGGGCCCCTGCCAGTCCTCTCTGCCGGATCTGTTCCTCGCTGTCTCCTCTCAGCCAGGAGCCTTCATGGGCCTATGGTCAGGAACAGCCAGAGAGGCCTGCAGGGCTGGGGAGGGAGTCGCTGTGGGTGCCTTTTTCCTGCAGGAGCTCAGCTTCTGGCCAGGGGAGGAGACACTGAATCCCATACCAAGCAGGGAGTGGAAATGCACTGGTGAGTGGTCCAGGGCAGCCGTGGGGCAGGAGAGCTCCTGATGAGGACAGGAGGAGGAGGGGATGTGCTAGGCAGGGACAAAGGCTTAAGCAAAAGTGGGGAGGCAGGAATGGGCCCGTGTGCTGCTCATGGACTAGGCAAGGACCTGTGAAGTGCGGGAGATAATAGCTGCTCAGTGATCTATAGCCAGACTGCACCATGGCTTTTATTAAACTCACCGAACCCTCATCACCACCTGATGAAGTAGGTTACTATTACGGATGAGAAAATAGGCTCAGAGAGGTTCAGTAAACTGCCTGAGGACACACAGCTAAAGAGGCACAAAATCAGCAGTCCTGGCTTTGCCACCATAACGGGTGATGGAAGGGACCCATGCGGAGGAAGTGAGCTATCCCTGACCCCATCACTGGGGCACAGGGGAGTGAGGGACATCACCAACCAGCTAATGCTGTGCAGCCCCAGACCCTTTTCCAGCTCCGGTTTGGAGGTGAGAACTTTTTGCAGCCTCTGGGCTCCCAGGGAGCGTCTCCAACATGAGACTCCACTCCTGAGCTGCCTCCCTGCTGTCTGGGCCTCGTTTTACTGTCTCTGACCCTTCATGGCTGATGAAACTGTCTCCATTCAGCCCTCAGCTGCGGGACCTGCCTGAGCCTGTGTCCTGACTGTCATGACCCAGAGCAATTGCCAGGAATTCCCACTTCCTGCTGTGGCCGCTGCCAGAATGTCAAAGCCACCTCCGGCCAAGCACCCCAGAGCTCCAGAGCATCTGGTGGGGGCTTCCCCCTCCCCTGCCTCAGCTATTTTCAAGCTCAGCACTGTGGGCGGTGTAGGGGGAGAAGCAGATTATCTGTTTGGCAGAGTCAGCCATATGGCAGGGCCAGGGATATGAGTTCACAGAGACAAAACCTGAGACAGCTCTGTCTTTGACTTCGAAAAAGCCTGGCGGAGTGGCGTGTGGCTGTAGTCCCAGCGGAGGCAGGAGGATTGCTTGAGCCCGGGAGTTCGAGGCCAGCCTGGGCAACAGCGTGACACTCCATCTCTACGAAAACAAAACTAATCTTTAGGGACTGGGGCCACCACTCTGGAAGGCCTTGCCCAGGACTAGTGACTCAGAGCCATGGGTCTGGTGGAAGGAGAGGTTCAGAAAGGCCTGGGTTCAGCCAGGTGCGGTGGCTCACGCCTGTAATCCCAGCACTTTGGGAGGCTGAGGCTGACAGATCACCTGAGGTCGGGAGTTCTAGAGCAACCTGACTAACATGGAGAAACCCGTCTCTACTAAAAATACAAAATTAGCTGGGCATGGTGGTGCATGCCTGTAGTTCCAACTCTTTGGGGGGCTGAGGCAGGAGAATCGCTTGAACACGGGAGGCGGAGGTTGCGGTGAGCTGAGATCGTGCCACTGGACTCCAGCCTGGACAACAAGAGCGAAACTCCGTCTCAAAAAAAAAAAAAGAAAGAAAGGCCTTGGTTCACCCCACCTCCACTGGCTTGCATCCACTGATAGCCCCACCAAGCAGCCAGGCCCTGCTCCCATGAGTGAGGGGCATGCTCCCCGTGCCAGGTGATTGTCCAGCCGCTGGGATGGGAGGCTCCTAACGGTGGGCTGAGATGACAACCCAGGTGACCCATCCTTTCACAGTGACACCACCAGGGCCCCTGCCTCCACGTCCTCCTCCAAACACTCACCCAGCCCTCCAATGCCCTTCACTTTCATGAGACTGGGGGGCCTCTTTAAGAAAATGAATGCAAAACAGCCGGGCGCGGTGGCTCATGCCTGTAATCCCAACACTTTGGGAGGCCGAGGTGGGCGGATCACCTGAGGTCAGTAGTTCAAGACCAGCCTGGCCAACACGGCGAAACCCTATCTGTACTAAAAATACAAAAATTACGAAAATTAGTGGGGTGTGGTGGCAGGCTCCTGTAATAATCCCAGCTACTCGGGAGGCTGAGGCGGGAGAATTGCTTGAACACAGGTGGCGGAGGTTGCAGTGAGCTGAGATCGTGCCATTGCACTCCAGCCTGGGCAACAAGAGTGAAACTCTGTCTCAAAAAAAAAAAAAAATGCAAAACAAATGCAAGATTAGGTCGCAAAGTGAGTATTTGAAATGCAAACAAATGACCAATTTGGTTGCCCCGTTGGAGAGAAGAGAAAACCGAGGCTGCGGCACGGGGAGGGCTTCCTTGGTGAGGGCAGACGCAGGAAGGCACACCTGTCCCACTGCTTGCGCATCCCAAACCTGCAGAAGGTGGTCCAGCCACAGCGGACTGGCTGCTGTGGCATCTCCCCACCCCCTTCCAAGAGGCCCTGCTTAGAGGCCCCCTCCGCCCCAAGGAATGCAGGCATCAGTGCTTCAGACTCTGGCCTAACCACCGTCCCCACCTCCCAGGCCCCCACCCTTTCCCTCCAGATGTGGGCACAGCTGTATTTTTAGAACAGCCGACCACGAGGACATTCTTTCCTTCTAATTAAGATGGCTTCAAATCTCTCATCTGCAATCAGCCCCATTGTTCAGTCCTCAAACATCAAAGGGTGGCCAGGAGGGGCCGCCTCAGCTGGTTGTGGGGTTGGGGCTTGTTTTCTTTCTTTCTTTGTCTTTGAGCCATTACGCTGGAAATGAGACCCAGAACCGGAGTGGATGCCAGCTCTGAGGAGGAAGAAGCAGGCCTTTGGGTAGTTTGCAGGACCTGCCTGTCTGCACCCCTGCACCCTGTCGCCAACCTTGAGTGAGGTTGTCCAGCTAGGCTGCAGCCCCCCAGTGCACCCATCTGAGGTTAGGGTCTGTCTGGGACAACTGCGGGATCAAAAAAGGCCCTGTGTTGGCTGGGCGCGGTGGCTCTCGCGTGTAATCGCAGTGCTTTGGGAGGCCAAGGTGGGCAGATAACCTGAGGTCAGGAGTTCGAGACTAGCCTGGCCAACATGGTGAAACCTCGTCTCTACTAAAAATACAAAAATTAGCCGGGCATGTTGGCTCACGCCTGTAATCCCAGCAAGTCGGGAGGCTGAGGCAGGAGAATCGCTTGAACCCCGGGGGCAGAGGCTTCAGTGATCATCAGGCCTCCTGACCTCCTCCCTCTCCCCCGCAGGAGGCCCCTGGTGTAGGACAGAGATGCCCACCCACGTGGGGGCAATAGGAAAGGCTGCAGGGAGGAATGGCCTCTGGGTAGCCTTGAACCGTGTTACAGTCCTCCGTGCTACAGCGCTCTCAAGCCCACTGACAGATGAGGAAACCGAGGCTCAGAGAGGCCAACAGGCTGGCCTAGAGCTGCTCAGCCCACTAGCAGTGAGGTGCTCAGGAACGCTAGGTCCCCGCAGTCAGCCGTGCCCTGCACCCCTCACTCATCCCCAGGGATGGACCGGGCCTGCTGCTGCCTGAGCCTTGGCTCCAGGTAGGAGGCACCTGTCCCACCCCGCATGGAGCAGAGAGGAGAGCCACGCAGGCGGGCCGAGGCCGGATGGGACTGGCGTCAGGCTTCTCAGCTCCCCAGGGTCCTGGCCCACCCGGCCCCGCGCGGCTGGATGTGAGGACAGGGCAAGTGAAATCGCACCGGGGCGGGTGGCGCAGGGCAGGAGGCTGCAACTCGGTACAACGGCCAGGACTGGAGCGCCCAAGAGCTGAGGGGCAGGGAGGGCAAGGCAGAAAGGGGAGCCTCCCCAGATGAAGTGCCCCCTACCCAGCGGCGCCTGGGCGCAGGCCTCCTTTGTGTCACCGCCACCACTGAACCTTCGCGAGTCGGCGGCAATCGCTGGTGCTGGGTTCCGCAGAGCCCGGGCTCTGTCGCCCCCTCGCGGCCGGAGCCGGTCTGGGCGGCGTCGGGGAAATCCCGAAAAGCCTGCGGGGAAGAAGCTGAACGGGGGCGGGACCCGGGCGCGGTGAGCCCATTCATTCCCCGAGGGCTGGGAAAGTCTCCACCAGGAGACGGAATCCCTGGGATGTCCCCAACGCTGGGCCCTGCCTCCCTAGGCCCAGGTAACAGGCATTTTCTAAGACAGTTCAGGGACACGGAGGCACCCCGCTGGAAGAGCCGGTGGGCTCCCGGGTGGGGTACGGGCCGGGTGGGAGTCAGTATCACCAGCGGGCTTCGCTGGATTGATTGTTTTTATTTATTTATTTTTAAATATTTATTTATTTATTTTTGAGACGGAGTTTCGCTCTGTCGCTCACGCTGGAGTTCAGTGGCACGATCTTGGCTCACTGCAACCTCTGCCTCCCCGGCTCAAGCAAGCCTCCTGCCTCAGCCTCCCCAGTAGCTAAGATTACAGGCGCCCACCACACACCCGGCTAATCTTTGTATTTTTGGTAGAGATGAGGTTTCACCAGGCAGACCTCAGTTGATCCGCCTGCCTCAGCCTTCCGCAGTGCTGCGATAACAGGCAGGAGCCACCGCGCCCGGCCTGTATTGATTGTTTTTAGTTTGAGCTGCGCTCCTCCCTTGGCAATGTGAGGAAGACCAGCTCTGCCAGCCGGGCTGTAGGGCTGGTGCGGGCACCGGCTTGGCCTCACAGAGCCTCAGGGACTCCCCTCGTAAATGAGGCTGACATCCACATATGGGTGGTTGCACCTAGCACTGCACAGGACGGATGTGAGCACCAGGCTGCTACAAATACAGATATGACTTTCACATGCCCAAGGTTAAACTCCCAGTCAATGTTTGCTGAGGCGAAACCTAGAGCTTCCTGGCCAAAGGATAATAATTAATGTCTGGGGAGCCCACACATGGGGACCTGTCTCCAACGAGATGGGGGTGGCTTTAGGGCATCCAAGAGGCATTTCAAGGAGAATCAAGGGGCAGCCAGGTATTGTTAATGGTGGCCAGGTCAGGATCCAGTCTGGCAGGGTCTTGGATTCAAGGTTAAACCCAGTTCTAAATTTGGGACTTATCCCCAGGCTCGCCCCCAGGCTTTTACTATGTAGACATATATATTCCTACACACATTAGGTACGGTTTTGTATATTTCCAAACAATATACAGGCATAATAGTGTAGGCATCTTTCTGCAACTTTGTTCATGCAGCGTTGTGATTCACACATGTTGATACCGTTCCTCTAGTCTAGTCCACTGATTTTCACTGATGCATGGTATTCTATGGTATTCTACAGCTTATATCTCCTTTTTTTGCATGATTGACATTTGGATAGTTTCCAATTTTCCTATGGTACAAAAGATGCTGCATTTGTGAACAGTTCCTGAGCATGGGATTAAGAGTTTCTCCAAGGTAAACCCAGGAGTGGAATTGCTGGGTGGGAGAGGTATGTGAACTTCAACTTCCTTCATCTGCCCAAATTGCTCTCCAGAGTCATTGCACTGATTTACATTTTTCCTTCCTTCCTTCCTTCATTCCTTCCTTCCTTTTTTTGAGATAGGGTCTTAGTCTGTCACTCAGGCTGGAGTGCAGTGGTGTGAACATGGCTCACTGCAGCCTTGACCTCCTGGGCTCAAGCTTTTTTTCCCACCTCAACCTCCTAAGTAACTGGGACCACAGCTGTGTGGTGTGCCACTGTGCCCAGCTAATTAAAAAAAATAAATTATAGAGACAGGGTCTCACCACATTGCCTAGGCTGGTTTGAAACTTCAGCCTCAAATGATCCTCCTATTTTGGCCTCCTAAAGTGGTGGGATTACAGGCATGAGCCACCACACCTAGTTCCAACTGATATTTTCATCAATAGTACGTGGGTGTTCCAGCTGATCAACACCACCACTTGGTATTGCCAGAATTAAGCTGTTAGTCTGTTGAGTGGGAACCAATATGCTGATGTGGATTTAATTTGCATTTCCTGATTACTAATGTAGCTATCTTTTAATTAGGTTTTTTGGTCATTTCAGTTTCCTCTTCTGTAAATTCCTTGTTCATATCTTTTTTTTTTTTGAGACGGAGTTTCACTCTGTCGCCCAGGTTGGAGTGTAGTGGCACGATCTCGGCTCACTGCAAGTTCTGCCTCCTGGGCTCAAGTGATCCTCATGCCTCAGCCTCCTGAGTAGCTGGGACTACAGGCCAAACCACCATGCCAAGCTAATTTTTTGTATTTTTTGGTAGAGATGGGGTTTAATTTTTTGTATTTTTGGTAGAGACGGGGTTTTACCATGTTTCCCAGGCTGGTCTCGAACTCCTGAGATCAAGCGATCTGCCCCGCCTTGGCCTCCCAAGTGCTGAGATTATAGGCATGAGCCACCGTGTCAAGCCTGTTTGCCCATTTTCTTTTCCTTATTGGTATGTGGGTATTCTATATACATTCTGAATACTAATACTGTGTTGGTCATATGTTGTAGTTACCTTCTTCTACTTGGTAGCTTTAGGTTTCAACTTTTTAAAAAATGCGTATTTTTTTATTTAAAAAATCGAGATGTGGTCTCACTATGTTGTCAGGGCTGGTCTCGAACTCTTGAACTCAAGTGATCCTCCCACTTCGGCCTCCCAAAGTGCTAGGATCGCAGGCTGGAGCCACCACACCTGGCCAGGTTTCACCTTTTCATGGCGTCTTTTGTTTGTTTATTTGAGACAGGGTCTTACTCTGTTGCCCCAGTTGGAGTGCAGTGCTGTGATCACCGATTACTGCAGCCTCAACTTCCCTGGCTCAGGTAATCCTCCCTGAGCCTCAGTCTCCTGGGTAGCTGGGACCACAGGCTCAAGCCATCATGCCCGGCTAATTTTTTGTAATTTTTGTAGAGACGGGGTTTTGCCATGCTGCCCGGGCTGTTCTCAAACTCCTGGGCTCAAGCAATCCACCCACCGTGGCCTCCCAAGGTACTTGGATTACAGGCGTAAACCACTGTGCCTGGCCCATTAATGGTGTCTTTTAACACACAGATTTTTAATTTTAATAAGGTTAAATCCTCATAAGAAATCTGCGTGGTTTATCCTTGTTTAACCCGGGGTTATAAAAGTATTATATATTTCCTTTTTATTTTTATTTTTTGAGATGGAGTTTCACTCTGTCATCTAGGCTGGAGTACAGTGGCGCAATCTTGGCTCACTGCAACCTCTGTCTCCTGGGTTCAGGTGACTCTCCTGCCTCAGCCTCCTGAGTAGCTGGGATTACAGGTGCCCGCCACCACACCCAGCTAATTTTTGTATTTTTAGTAGAGACGGGGTTTCGCCATGTTGGCCAGGCTGGTCTGGAACTCCTGACCTCAGGTGATCCACCTGCCTTGGCCTCCCAAAGTGCTCGGATTACAGGCATTAGCCACCTCGCCCGGCCTTTACATTTTTTTTTATAGAGATGGGGGTCTGCCCATGTTGCCCAGGCTGGTCTTGAACTTATGCGCTCAAGTGATCCTCCTGCCTCAGTCTCCCAAAGTGCTGGGATTACAGGTGGGAGCTACTGCGTCCAGCCTAAAATGTTTGAAGTTAGGTTTTTGCATTAGGTTTGTGTGTACCTGGAATGACTTTTGTATATGAAGTGAGACAGAGGTCCACACTTTTTCCCCATATCATCAACTGTCCTAGCGCCATTTATTAGCCCGTCACTTCCCACTTATTTATTATTATTATTTTTTGAGACGGAGTCTCTCTGTCGCCCAGACGGGAGTGCAGTGGCACGACCTTGGCTCACTGCAAGCTCCGCCTCCCGGGTTCACGCCATTCTCTCGCCTCAGCCTCCCGAGTAGCTGGGACTACAGGAGCGTGCCGCCACGCCCGGCTAATTTTTTGTATTTTTAATAGAGACAGGGTTTCACCGTGTTAGCCAGGATGGTCTCGATCTCCTGACCTCGTGATCTGCCTGCCTCGGCCTCCCAAAGTGCTGGGATTACAGGCGTGAGCCACCGCACCCGGCCACTTCCCACTTATTTCTTAAGGGGGAAAAGGCAATGGTTGTTTTGAAAAAAAATTAACCTGCTCTCCCTCTCCCTCTCCCTCTCCCTCTCCCTCTCCCTCCCCCTCCCCCTCCCTCTCCCTCTCCCTCTCCCTCTCCCTCCACGGTCTCCCTCTGATGCCGAGCCAAGGCTGGACGGTACTGCTGCCATCTCGGCTCACTGCAACCTCCCTGCCTGATTCTCCTGCCTCAGCCTGCCGAGTGCCTGCGATTGCAGGCGCGCACCGCCACGCCTGACTGGTTTTCGTTTTTTTTTTGGTGGAGACGGGGTTTCGCTGTGTTGGCCGGGCTGGTCTCCAGCTCCTAGCCGCGAGTGATCCGCCAGCCTCGGCCTCCCGAGGTGCCGGGATTGCAGATGGAGTCTCGTTCACTCAGTGCTCAATGGTGCCCAGGCTGGAGTGCAGTGGCGTGATCTCGGCTCGCTGCAACCACCTCCCAGCCGCCTGCCTTGGCCTCCCGGAGAGCCGAGATTGCAGCCTCTGCCCGGCCGCCACCCCGTATGGGAAGTGAGGAGCGTCTCTGCTTGGCCACCCATCGTCTGGGATGTGAGGAGCCCCTCTGCCTGGCTGCCCAGTCTGGAAAGTGAGGAGCGTCTCTGCCCGGCCGCCATCCCATCTGGGAAGCGAGGAGCGCCTCTTCCCCGCCGCCATCCCATCTAGGAAGTGAGGAGCGTCTCTGCCCGGCCGCCCATCGTCTGAGATGTGGGGAGCACCTCTGCCCCGCCGCCCTGTCTGGGATGTGAGGAGCGCCTCTGCTGGGCCGCAGCCCTGTCTGGGAGGTGGGGAGCGTCTCTGCCCGGCTGCTCCGTCTGAGAAGTGAGGAAACCCTCTGCCTGGCAACCGCCCCGTCTGAGAAGTGAGGAGCCCCTCCGTCCGGCAACCACCCCGTCTGGGAAGTGAGGAGCGTCTCCGCCCAGCAGCCACCCCGTCCGGGAGGGAGGTGGGGGGGGTCAGCCCCCCGCCCGGCCAGCCGCCCCGTCCTGGAGGTGAGGGGCTCCTCTGCCCGGCCGCCCCTACTGGGAAGTGAGGAGCCCCTCTGCCCGGCCAGACGCCCCGTCCAGGAGGGAGGTGGGGGGGTCAGCCCCCCGCCCGGCCAGCCGCCCAGTCCGGGAGGGAGGTGGGGGGTCAGCCCCCCGCCCGGCCAGCCGCCCCGTCTGGGAGGGAGGTGGGGGGATCAGCCCCCCGCCTGGCCAGCCGCCCCATCCGGGAGGTGAGGGGCGCCTCTGCCCGGCCGCCCCTACTGGGAAGTGAGGAGCCCCTCTGCCCGGCCAGCCGCCCCGCCCGGGAGGGAGGTGGGGGGGTCATCCCCCCACCTGGCCAGCCGCCCCATCCGGGAGGGAGGTGGGGGGGTCAGCCCCCTGCCCGGCCAGCCGCCCCGTCCGGGAGGGGGGAGGGGGGGTCAGCCCCCTGCCCGGCCAGCCGCCCCGTCCGGGAGGGAGGTGGGGGGGGTCAGCCCCCCGCCTGGCCAGCCGCCCCGTCCGGGAGGGAGGTGGGGGGATCAGCCCCCCGCCTGGCCAGTCGCCCCGTCCGGGAGGTGAGGGGCGCCTCTGCCCGGCCGCCCCTACTGGAAAGTGAGGAGCCCCTCTGCCCGGCCAGCCGCCCCGTCCGGGAGGGAGGCGGGGTGGGGGGGGGGGGGTCGGCCAGCCGCCCCGTCCGGGAGGGAGGTGGGGGGGGTCAGCCCCCCTTCCGGCCGGCCGCCCCGTCCGGGAGGTGAGGGGCGCCTCTGCCCGGCCGCCCCTACTGGGAAGTGAGGACCCCTCTGCCCGGCCAGCCGCCCCGTCCGGGAGGGAGGTGGGGGGGACAGCCCCCCGCCCAGCCAGCCGCCCTATCCAGGAGGTGAGGGGCGCCTCTGCCCGGCCGTCCCTACTGGGAAGTGAGGAGCCCCTCTGCCTGGCCAGCCGCCCCGTCCGGGAGGGTGGTGGGGGGGTCAGCCCCCCGCCCGGCCAGCCGCCCCATCCGGGAGGTGAGGGGCGCTTCTGCCCGGCCGCCCCTACTGGGAAGTGAGGAGCCCCTCTGCCCGGCCACGACCCCGTCTGGGAGGTGTGCCCAGCGGCTCATTGGGGATGGGCCATGATGACAATGGCGGTTTTGTGGAATAGAAAGGCGGGAAGGGTGGGGAAAAAATTGAGAAATCGGATGGTTGCCGGGTCTCTGTGGATAGAAGTAGACATGGGAGACTTTTCATTTTGTTCTGTACTAAGAAAAATTCTTCTGCCTTGGGATCCTGTTGATCTGTGACCTTATCCCCAACCCTGTGCTCTCTGAAACATGTGCTGTGTCCACTCAGGGTTAAATGGATTAAGGGCGGTGCAAGATGTGCTTTGTTAAACAGATGCTTGAAGGCAGCATGCTCGTTAAGAGTCATCACCACTCCCTAATCTTAAGTACCCAGGGACACAAACACTGCGGAAGGCCAAGGCCGCAGGGTCCTCTGCCTAGGAAAACCAGAGACCTTTGTTCACTTGTTTATCTGCTGACCTTCCCTCCACTATTGTCCTATGACCCTGCCAAATCCCCCTCTGCGAGAAACACCCAAGAATGATCAATAAAAAAAAAATAAATAAATTAAAAAAAAAAAAGAAAAAAATTAACCTATCAAAATAAAATATCAGCAGTTGAAACTAACAATGTATTAATAACAATAATATTATGACCAAGTTGCGTCTACCCCAAGAATTCAAGAATGGTTTACCATTAGAAAGTTTATTGATGTAACTGATCTCATTAACAGATTAAAGGAGAATACCCATATGATCATCTTAATAGATGCACGAAAAGCATGCAATAAAATACCTATTTATTATAACTGCTAATATTTTGTGTTTTTCCTTAAAAATGCAGTGTTTTTAGGAATTAAAGTTCAGAGCAGCAAAAGTCAAACAAAAACCAAGTCTGAGCAATAGAGCTACTACAGTGCCCATCACAGTGTCTGCTCAGGTGACTTCTTAAGGTCATGTCCAGCTCTATGTTTCTGTGACCACAAATAGCATCTTTGGCAAGTCTAGTTTCAGTTGGTCTTTGTCCAGCTCCTGGATTCCTCCATGCAGGGCCTGAGAAGCCCTGAGGGATAAAAGATTAATCCGGTTCAGTGGACTCTGTGGTTCCTCAACTCCAAGTGCCCCCAGCATAAGTCGGACCTGCCTCTCACGCAATGGATCCCCTGGCGGCAACCCGAGACCGGTTCTCCTACCCGCATTCCGCCAAGTCTCTCGCTCTGCCCAGGACGCACAGATGAGAGCGCTCCGAAGACTGGTGGGTCTATCTTTCGGTCTTTCCTAATTTTCCCGTCCTCTGGGGAAAGGTCGGGGATACCTGAACCAAAGTGTGTGTGTGTGGGGGGGGGGGGGTGTAGGTGGGGCGTGCATAGATGTGCACAACCAAGGGCTTGGCCCTCCGGAGAACGCCCAGGGGCAGTGGCCTCCGAGGTTCTGGCGGCCGGCAGTGGCGACCGGCGCAGGGAATCGCGCAGGGTTGCGGCTGAGGTCAGACCAGCGAGAGACAGAGACCCGCAGACATTTAGTCCAGAGACTGTAGCAAAGGAGGGGGACGAGGGGCCAGAGCCGGAATTTCGGGGGAGGACTTGGGAGCGCGGCGACCAGAGTCGCTTGCTGGCACTTGCGAGGGCGAATGCAGGGGCTTGGCCGAGATGACCTTGGACCAGAGCTCCCTTCCGGCCTGCAGAGATGAGCTTGGGGCTTAGCCGAGTAAGGAGTGAGCGGCTTTTCAGCCTCAGTGCTGCGGCAGAGGCGGATGGAGGATGAACTGGAGCCGTCCTTACGGCCTCGGACGCAGGTGAGCTCCCAGCGGCGGCGACAAACCCCGCGGCGGTGACCCCAAACCCCCCCCCCGCGGCGGCGACTCCCCCCCAACACGCTGGGGCGAACTCCCCAGCACCCCCAGCCCTTCTTAAAAACGCTGAGTCCGCGCATGCGCCTCAGGCGCCCTCCGCGACACTCTAGCGGCTCTGCGCTTCACTGCGCCTGAGCTTGAGTCTCAGGCCTTAGTCCCGGCCATCGTTTAGCGTTGCGCGAACCCTCAGCTGGTGCGGCCGCTCTCAATACCCACTGCGCTTGCGCTACAGCTTCGTCTCGACGGGTTTGCTCCTCTCAAACGCTCACTGCGCGTGCGCTAGCGCCTCTTTCACCACTGGGCGCTGCGCGCTGCCCTTCCCTCCGCGCACAGGCTGCCGGCTCACCGCTTGCTAATGGCAGCCGGGGTCTCCCTGGGACAGCAAGACCTCCGCTCAGGCCCCTCTTTCGAATGCTCCACGCCCTCCTGCGATCTAGAATGGTATGAATTCTCATACTTGCCCAGACCAGGCGTTTCAGATGAGGGATTGCGGACCTGAGTGAACTGCGCAGGTGCAGCCACCTGGGAGGCTTAACTAAGTCGTCAAATGTTCAAAAATATCGTGCTTGTATGTACAGTGGCGTTAGGTGCTAGGCTCAGATGTGCATAGGCAGGTGTTTACGCCCAGGGTCGGCCTGTGGGCCAGAGCAAGGTTGCTGGACCCTGGCATCCCAGCCCCCAGAGATGCTAAATCCTCTGCCGATCAGCCCTGACCTCAGAGGCAGTAAGCCCTCCGAGCGCTGCAATCCTGACTGCTCGCCCCCTCCCGAGACTGTTTCCCACCCCCGCCTCTTTCCTCCTCATGCTCCCTCAGCTCTGACCTGACGTCCTGCCTCACAGAGGGAAAGGGCGCAGCCAGAGGAGAGCGCCCGCACTGCACTGCCCACCGCTTCTAGGGGTTCCTTCCCAATCTGGACTGATTTCTTTAGGTATTTGCATGGCACATTCCCTCACCTCCTTTGTCTTGATTTGCACTTGTATTCCTTGACAGCCTTATTTAAAATAGCACCAACTAAGGTGGGAGGATCGCCCAGGAGTTCGAAGCTGCAGGGATCTAATAGGATCTCACCACTGCACTCCAGCGTGGGCGACGTAGCGAGACCTTGTCTCTAAAAAATAAAAATAAAATAAAATAAAATAAAATAGCACCACCTGGTCCAAACACTTCCTACGCCCCTTCACTGCTTTAAGTCTCTGTAGCACCAGCTGATGTACTATATATTTTGCTTGTTCATTTTGCGATTGCTTGTCTTTCTCTGCTGGAAGGAAAGCTCTGACAGCTCATGGATTTTGTCTGTTGTTCACTGCTGTATCCCAACACCTAGAACAGTAGGATTATTGACCATAATAGGGAGGCAATAAATCTTTGTTTGCTGAATTAATGGTCCCTATCGTAGCTAATGTCTGAATGCTTACCATGACCAGGCACGGTATAGGCAATCTCCATGCATGATCTCATTGAATTCAACGATTTCCTGTAGTCTTAGAGACCTGTCAATATCTCCTGCTACATGAGCTCAGCTGCCATCAAGCACTGTGTTCGCTGCTTCCTTCACATCTGCTGTCTTAAGGGAGCTCTCACTTCCATGCGGCCCCCGTGGAGCTGTAATTTGGCCTCAATGGGACCAGATGCCAGGTTTCTCACCTGGCTTCTTCCTAAGGCTTCCAGCCTTAGAGAAAGTTACTTAGGCCTTATTGGAACTATGGGCAGCCAGGGCCCCTGTCACCAACCTGTCTCCAGACCTATGGCAAGGCCTTCAGCAGGATTCTGCCCTCCAGAGCCACTTCCTCTGCTCCCCCAGCCTCCAGTGCAGTATCTCACTGAATGGTGAAAGCACAGCTGTCTCTTTCCCAGCTGTATCTTGCCCCCCAGCACACTTCCTGGCTGAGATAAACATTCAGCATTTTTTTTTTTTTGAGATGGAGTCTCACTCTGTTGCCCAGGCAGGAGGGCAGTGGCGCGATCTGGGCTTACTGCAACCTCCGCCTCCCTCCCGGATTCAAGCAATTCTGCCTCAGCCTTCTGAGTAGCTGGGATTACAGGTGCCCACCACCAAGCCCGGCTAATTTTTGTATTTTTAGTAGAGACAGGGTTTTACCATGTTGGCCAGGCTGGTCTCGAACTCCTGACCTCAAGTGGTCTGCCCACCTCGGCCTCCCAAAGTGCAGGGATTGCAGGTGTGGGCCACGACATCCGGCCAACACTCAGTATTTGACTAATAAATGAATAAATAGTCCGTAGGTTCTGGAAACTTCAGAAAACCTTAGCCAAACATCCTTCTGTCATGAAAATTGTATCAAAGTTTTCAAAAATAATACATTTAATTCTACAGAACAATTTGCCAGAACAAGAAAGGCAGTATTTTTTGGGGGAAGATATCAACGATTCAATTTTTGTAAAGTCAACTACTTTGCAAATATCTAGGAAAATACCTGAGGGAAGGAGTTAATTGTTGTGCCTTTGGAGGAGTGGAGAACTTTCAGTATATACTGAATTTTCAAAAATCTTAACAAACGTGTCATTTTGTAATTAAAAATCACAAAAGAGTGGGCTGGGTATGGTGGCTCACGCCTGTAATCCTACCACTTTGGGAGGCCAAGGCGAGTGTATCGCTTGAGCTCAGGAGTTTGAAACCAGCCTGGGCAATATGGTGAAATCCCATCTCTACAAAAAAATTAGCCCAGCATGATGGTGTGTGCCTGTAGTCCCAGCTACTTGGGGGGCTGAGGTGGGAGGATCGCTTGAGCCCAGGAGGTTGAGGCTGCAGTGAATCAAGATTGCGACACTGCACTCCAGCCTGGGTGACAAAATGAGACCTTGTCTCAAAAAACAAAACAGAAAATCACCAAAGGAGAAAGATAAATACTTCTGTGAATCCCTAAGACGACCTCAACTACAGGTCGGGTGCGGTGGCTCACGTCTGTAATCTCAGCAATTTGGAGGCTGAGGTGGGCAGATCACTTGAGGTCAGGAGTCTCTACTAAAAATACAAAAATTAGCTGGGTGTGGTGGTGCATGCCTGCAATCCCAGCTACTCGGGAGGCTGAGGCAGGAGAATCGCTTGAACTGGGAGGCGGAGATTGCAGTGAGCCAAGATTGCGCCATTGCACTCCAGCCTGGGCGGCAGAGCAAAACTCCGTCTCTTTTTTTTTTTTGAGACGGAGTCTCACTCAACCTCCACCTCCTGGGTTCAAGCAGTTCTCTGCCTCAGCCTCCCGAGTAGCTGGGATTACAGACGCCTGCCAACACGCCCAGCTAATTTTTTTTTTTTTTTGAGACGGAGTCTCGCTCTGTCGCCCAGGCTGGAGTGCAGTGGCGCTATCTCGGCTCACTGCTAGCTCCGCCTCCCGGGTTCACACCATTCTCCTGCCTCAGCCTCCCCAGTAGCTGGGTCTACAGGTGCCCGCCACCACGCCTGGCTAATTTTTTGTATTTTTAGTAGAGGCGGGATTTCACCGTGTTAGCCAGGATGGTCTCAATCTCCTGACCTCGTGATCCGCCCGCCTCGGCCTCCCAAAGTGCTGGGATTACAGGCATGAGCCACTGCGCCCGGCCAATTTTTGTGTTTTTAGTAGAGATGGGGTTTCACCATCTTGGCCAGGTTGGTCTTAAACTTCTGACATTGTGATCCACCCGCCTCGGCCTCCCAAAGTGCTGGGATTACAGGTGTGAGCCACTGCGCCAGGCCAAGACTCAGTCTCAAAAAAAAAAAAAAAAAAAAAAAAAGAAAATCCCAACTATCCCAACTACAAAGGATGAGGCATCAGGGATGCCTTGGGGAATTCTCCCTCCATCTCTAAGGGTGTTTCACTGTCCTTTTGTGTACCAAGTGTGCATGACTCATGGGTACCCAGCCTAGAAGTAGGCTTCATTATCTGCAGGTCCAGGTAAGGAAGTCACTTAGGATGAGAAAGGAAGGGGAGAGCTGGGATAGGGACCAGGCACCTGGGCCATTTATGCTGCCTCTCTACTACTCATATGTCCCCAAGTCCTTGCACCTGCAGGTCCATGTGGCATCTTCTCTTAGCCTCATTGCAGAACATGCTGGTGGGAGGTAAGAGAGGTGGCTCAGCCCAGATTCCTGGAGCCTGGCCACTCTGTTGGAGAAGGTTTTCCTGGGGCAAGTCAGAGGCTCCTGTCCTGCTGGAGGCAGAGCCTTACTCTACTGGGGCCCCAGCTCAGGGGACTGTCTTCCCCAAACACAGCAGACGTGCTCAGGGGCAGCCCAACAAGGAGGGATGGGAACCGCTCTCCAGCTCAGGGAAATGTTGGGGCTATGGGTGGGGTGAGGGTAAAGTGGGGTCCTGGACTCAGAACAGGAGGCTTGGGTTCCTCTGCTACCTGCCAGCCATGTGACCCAGGTAACTCCTCTCTGTGCCTCACTTTCCTCATCTGCAAAGTGGAGACATCACTGCCTGATTCAAATAAATTGCAATGCTGTGATTGGCAGCTCTGGTCCAGGGAGGGGGTGGAGGCTGTTGTTGGTCACTCTGTGTTCTCTCCTCTCTCCTCAGATTCAGGGCAGGATCCTGCTCCTGACCATCTGCGCTGCCGGCATTGGTGGGACTTTTCAGTTTGGCTATAACCTCTCTATCATCAATGCCCCGACCTTGGTATGTATCCTCTCTGGGTGGAGACTGTCCCTGTCTGAGTGGGTACTGGCTAACAGCTGCCCACTGAGGGGCTTCAGCCAGGCATCCACTAGGTGGCACTTTCTGCCACAAGTTTGTCTCCATTGGGTTGGCCCACAGGTTCCTGCAGGTTCAAACTGAGCATACATCTTCCCCAAACCTGCATGTCCTCCTGAGTCCCTAATCTCAGCAGATGACTCCATCTTCCACCTAGTGATGGGGGGTCAGCCTTGACTCTTCTCTTCATCTCTTGGACACTAAGTCCTTCCTAACTACCTCTGGAATCCAGCCACTTCTCCCCATGTTTCCACCACATTCCCAGTTCTGGCCCAGCCTCCTCACTGGCCTCCTTGCCTTCAGCCTCTCCCCACCTTGATCTCTTCAAGTCACTCCCCTGCTCAGAAATTTTTTTTTTTTTTCGAGATGGAGTTTCGCTCTTGTTGCCCAGGCTGGAGTGCAATGGCATGATCTTGGCTCACCACAACCTCCGCCTACCAGGTTCAAGCGATTCTCCTGCCTCAGCCTCCCGAGTAGCTGGGATTGCAGGCATGTGCCACCATGCCCAGCTAATTTTGTATTTTTAGTAGAGACGGGGTTTCTCCCTGTTGGTCAGGCTGGTCTCAAACTCCCAACCTCATGTGATCCGCCTGCCTCAGCCTCCCAAAGTACTGGGATTATAGGCATGAGACACCGTGCCCGGTCTCATCAATGTTATTTATAAAGTAGCCAGTGGAGATTAAGTTTCCGTGTTCAGCGGTGAAGCCTTGAGCTATCACGGCCTCAGCTTCATGGAAAAAGGAAGAAGAAATTTTAAAAAGCAAGCAGGGCAGGCAGACCTGACCAAATGAACCCCTCGGTTTCACTGTCTCACACCTTCGCTCCCCCAACCCTGATACCAAAGCAAGTTAAGTATAGTTCCTCAAATACCTATGACACAGCCCTTCCTCTAAGCCTCCTTCCACGGAGGGGCCCTCTCTCTTCCACCTGTAGAAGCCCACCCCAGATACCACCACCTTCTTGAAACCTTTTTGCCTCTCCAGCCCTTGGTGCAGGCTGTCCTCTCTTAGGCTGTGTGAGGGCTGTTTTGTGTCCATCTCCTCTCTCCTGCTGGTTTGCTCTCAGCATCTGAGTCATCTTTGAATCTCTGGCCCTTGATGGTAGCCTGGCCCGAGCCAATGTTCTGTGAGTGTCTGTGGAAAGGATAGGTCTTTCAGCCCCAGTGATAGAAGCCCACCTCTAACTTGCTTAAGTAAGAAGGGCAAGTACCTAATCATGTAACTGGGAATGATGGGATGTGGGGCTTCACACAGCACTGAGGGAGAGCTGCAGGAACCAGGCCCCAGGACAGAACTGTGGCTGTCCTGCCCCTGTTTTTTCTCTCTCTCTGGTTTTTTTTTTTTTTTTTTTTTTTTTTGGGACAGAGTCTTGCTCTCTCACCCAGGCTGGAGTGCAGTGGTGCAATTTCGGTTCACTGCAACCTCCGCCCCGTCCCGAGCTCAGGCGCTCAAGCGATCCTCCTACCTCAGCCTCCCAAATAATTGGGACCACAGGCATGTACAACAAAGCCCAGCTATTTTATTTGTATTTTTTAGTAGAGATGGGGTCTCATCATGTTGCCCAGGCTGGTCTCAAACTCCTGAGCTGAAGTGGTCCGCCCACCTCGGCCTCTTGAAGTTCTAGGATTACAGGCATGAGCCACCGTGCCCAGCTTGGCCTTGTTTTCATACCCAGATGGGGAGCTGCTGTCACCAGATTCACTTCCTGCCAGCTGAGAACTCACCCCACCAACAAAAGTCTTCCAGGTTAGCTCATGTAGAAAGGCAGGGAAGAGCCTGAGGGGCTGGTTTGGATTACATGTCCACTCCCAGACCAGTAATGTGGTCAGGAGGCTGGGATGCTCAGATTGGCCAGATCTGGGCCAGGTGATCACCTTTATGGGGAACCAAGGGCTGTAGTTGACCATCGAGAGAACTTCCTCCAAAGTAATATTTGCTAGCAGAAGATAGAGGTGGGGATAGAAAGAATGATAGCAGCCCAGCCTCTTAAAGAAAGGATGAGAGTTTAGAAAGGGAGATCTGAGCTGGCTGCGTTGGTTTATTTTTTATTTATTTATTTTCTGAGACAGAGTTTTGCTCTTGTTGCCCAAGCTGGAGTGCGATGGCGTGATCTTGGCTCACTGCAACCTCCACCTCCTGGGTTCAAGCGATTCTGCCTCAGCCTCCCGAGTAGCTGGGATTACAGGCGCCCACCACCACGCCTGGCTAATTTTTTGTATTTGTAGTAGAAATGGGGTTTCACCATGTTAGCCAGGCTGGTCTCAAACTCCTGACCTCAGGCGATCCGCCTGCCTTGGACTCCCAAAGTGCTGGGATTACAGGGGTGATGCATTGGTTTATTTATTCATTAATTCATCAAGCATTTGAGCACCCACTTCAGTGCACACTCAGACTAGAGAGGGGTCCATCCCAGGCCGGGCAGGGCACTCTCAGACCTTACCTCCCACAGCCATCACCAGCCCCTACGAAGGAGACTTTCCTAGGCTCAGAGGCTTCCCCTACCCTGCTGAATGGTGTTAAGTTCTAATTGTTAAAGAAAAAGTTATTCAGGCTGGGCGTGGTGGCTCATGCCTGTAATCCCAGCACTTTGAGAGGCTGAGGCAGGCGGATCATTTGAGGTCAGGAGTTTGAGACCAGCCTGGCCAACATGATTAAACCCTGTCTCCACTAAAAATAGAAATATTAGCTGGGCATGGTGGCATGTGCCGTGATCCCAGCTCCTCCAGAGGCTGAGGCAGGAAAATTGCTTGAACCCAGGAAGCGGAAGTTGCAGTGAGCTGAGATCTCGCCACTGTGCTCCAGCCTGGGCGACAGGGAGACTCCCTCTCAAAAAAAAAAAAAAAAAAACCAGAAAACAAAACTGGGCGCAGTGGCTCACGCCTGTAATCCCAGCACTTTGGGAGTCTGAGGCAGGTGGATCCCCTGAGGTCGGGAGTTCAAGACCAGCGTGACCAACATGGAGAAACCCCGTCTCTACTAAAAATACAAAATTAACCAAGCATGGTGGCGCATGCCTATAATCGCAGCTACTTGGGAGGCTGAGGCAGGAGAATTGCTTGAACCTGGGAAGCAGAGGTTGCAGTGAGCCAAGATTGCATCATTGCACTCCAGCCTGGGCAACAAGAGCAAAACTCCATCTCAAAAACAAAAACAAAAAACTATTCAATGACACTTGTCAAAGCACAGTAATGAAGACTTTATTCAAGAGGTGGCAAGCACTAGTTGTAGGGACCGTGGCAATGGGGTCCTGCCCTGAGGCAGAAAGGTTGGACTCAACTTCAAATACAGCAATGGGCAAGTGAGAACTGATAGCCAAGGAGCAGAGTGGGGTCAGCGGGTGCACAATGACTAAGAGGATCATCAGGCATTTGTGGGGGATTCTGGTTAAATTGTCCTAACAGGATTCTTGTTGAGGGCAGGCCAGGGTAACTAGACATCATGGAGGATGGCAGAGGATAAGGAGGCCGATTAGATTTTGAGAGTGATCAGATGTGGAGGATGAGGATTCTAGCTAAACCAACTTAGCACGATACTTGCTAAAATTGAACAAGGCAGAGATGAACACAGAAGTCCAAAAGTTGAGACCTAGTTGAAAAAGAGCTCAGAAGGCCGGGTGCAGTGGTCCATGCTTCTAATCCGAACACTTTGAGAGGCCGAGGTGGGAGGATTGCTTGAGCCCCGGAGTTTGAGACCAGCCTAAGCAACACAGTGAGACCCAGTATCTACAAAAAAGTAAAAAAAATGCAACAGGGCACAATGGCATGGGCCTGTAGTTGTAGGGATCTGTGAGGCTGAGGTTGGAGGATGGCTCGAGCCCAGGAGTTCGAGGCTACAGTGAGCTATGATCATGCCACTGCACTCTAGCCTGGACAACAGAGGGAGACACTATCTTTAAAAAAAAAAAAAGAAAGAAAAAAGGAAAAAAGAGCTTAGAAAACTCTGAGGAGAATCTTTGTCAATGGTCACTCTTGAGGAGTTCCACCCAATGTCAGGGGAGGCTGGCCCTGGTCCCAGCTCCTGTGGACAGTTCCTCCCCCGAGAGGCAGCTGGTGGGCACTAGGCTGACAGTCATTGCCCTGAGCTGGGCAGGGGAGAGCTGGCCCAGCACCTGAACCCGCTGCTCTCCCTTGTGTTCTGTTCTGTCAGGAGACCTGCAAATGACATTTCATCTCTAACCAAGAGAAGGGTGTCCATGTCTTCCTCATGTCTTTCCTAACCATGTGGCTTCCCTTCACTCACCTGAGGTTTGGAGTCTGGGGAGTCCAAACTACCTGGTACAACTCTGACCTGTGGCTAACGCTGTGAGCAAGTCATTTCACCTCTCCCTGAGCCTAATCCCCAGTCTTGACAGTGACCAAGGCTGGGCATGGTTGCTCATGTCTGTAATCCCGGTGCTTTGGGAGGCTGAAGCAGGAGGATTGCTTGAGGCCAGGAATTGGAGAACAGCCTGGGCAACATAGTGAGACCCTGTCTCTACAAAAAAATTTAAAAATTAGCCTGGCATGCTGGTATGTGCCTGTTAGTTTCAGCTACTCAGGAGGCTGAGGCAGGAGGGTCGCTTGAGCCCAGGAGCTGGAGGCTGCTCTGAGCTATGACCAGTGGATGGAGAGATTACTGAAATTGGAAGGAAAGAGACATAGGTCCCCTTGAGAGGATCGCAGCCAGGCTGAGGCAACCTCCCAGGGAGGGAGCCAGGGAACAGACACTCCTACTTCTCTCTCCTGCCTCCTGATGTCCTGCTGGTGCTCACCATTGGCCAAGTTGGTCAGTAAGGGAGCCTACTGATGTGGGCTGCACAGGTGGCTCCCTGGGGCAAAAGCAGGGTGGGAGGGGACTGCAGTGGATTCCTCGGGTATGGTATAATAAGAAATATAATAGATCTTTGTCCTTGGTTCCAGGCACAGAGCTCCTAAAACTCTTGGAATTTTTTTTTTTTCAGACGTAGTTTTGCTCTTGTCACTGGAGTGCAATGGTGCAATCTTGGCTCACTGCAACCTCCACCTCCCGGGTTCAAGCAATTCTTCTGCCTCAGCCTCCCAAGTAGCTGGGATTACAGGTGCCTGCCATCACACCTGGCTAATTTTTTTTTTTTTGTATTTTTAGTAGAGATGAGGTTTCACCATGTTGGCCAGGCTGGTCTTGAATTCCTGACCTGAGGTGATACGCCCATCTCGGCCTCCCAAAGTGCTGTGATTACAGGTGTGAGCCACCGTGCCTGGCCACGGAATTTCTTGAGTGATAGGAGCATCTTTTGTTATTTGCAATGAGCCCCATTTCATCATACCTGCGCTTATGGTAATGAGATGACAGGGTAGGGCCACTAGATTGCCTCAGGATGGAGCTGGTCACCAAAAAGACCAAGAGATTAGAGGGTCCGAATGTTCAGCCCCACTCACGGAGCTCTAGGAAAGGGAGAGGAGCTGAAGATTAAGGTCTATAAAAACTCTTGAATGACAAGATTTGATGAGCTTCCAGGTTCATGAACACATTGAGGTGCTGGGAAGGTGGTGCTCCTGGAGGGGACATGGAAGCCTCTAGCAACCTACTCTCCCAGGATCAGGCCCAGTGCATCTTTCCCATCTGGCTATTCATGAGTTGTATCCTTCATAACAAACCAGTAAATGTAAGTAAAGGGCCTTCCTGAGTTTCGTGAGCCATTGTTGCAAATTATCAAACCCACAGAAAGGATCCTAGGAATCCCCAATTGATGGCCAGTTGGTCAGAAGTGCAGGAGTTGCACTTGGCATCTGAAGAGGGGACAGTCTTGTGGAATGGAGCCCTTTGACTTGTGGGATTTGATGCTAACTCCAGGTGGATAGTGTCAGAATGGGATTACATTGTAGTACACCCAGCTTGTGTCCGGAGAGTTAGAGAATTGCTTGATGTGGGAAAATATCCACACATTTGCTGTCAGGAGTATTGTGTGAGTAGAGAGAAATAGTGTTTTCGCAGAGAGGGGCAAATGGAGCGAGTCCAGTGCTAGGCTCTGAGAGATATTGCCCATGAAAGAACCAGCATGGTGCCCTGCACAAGGGAGGTGCTCAGGCGAGTTGGTTCCTGCTCCAGGGGGAGCTCAGAAGACACGGTGCCTGTTGTCATTGCCTGTTCTGCAGAGGCATGGAGCCCTGTTGGGGAGAAGGCTTGTTTCATCTAGCACCCCCACGCCACCATCCCCAGAAGGCTGACTGGCATTTCTGTCCACAGCACATTCAGGAATTCACCAATGAGACATGGCAGGCGCGTACTGGAGAGCCACTGCCCGATCACCTAGTCCTGCTTATGTGGTCCCTCATCGTGTCTCTGTATCCCCTGGGAGGCCTCTTTGGAGCACTGCTTGCAGGTCCCTTGGCCATCACGCTGGGAAGGTAAGTGCTTCCTGCATACCCCCTGAATGCCCTTTAATGAGGAGCGCTGCAGCCTGCAGGCTGAGGAATGTGGAAGAAGGAAGAGGCCCGGCAAGCTCCAGGCCCAGATCAGCTCCTCATCCAGCCTCTTACTCTGCCTGGAGTTTCACCTTGCAAGACACGTCTTCAAGGGTTTGGTAGAGCAAACAGTCCTGTGCTACAAGAGAGGGAGGACTCCTGGTTTCTAATTTCATGTCTGCCAACAAGTGCTAACTGACCTTAAACAAGTTATTTTCTTCCTGGGCCTCACTCTCCTCCTGCATATCTAATGCAGTTCTTGGATTTCAAAGAATACAAACTGACTCTGATAACAGAATCAAAAATGTAATAGCTGGAAGGATAGTGGGGCAGCTCATAGCATGAAAGAAGTTCTTAGAAGCCAGGCCTGGTGAGGCATGGTGGCTCACCCACATAATCCCAGCATTTTGGGAGGCTGAGCGGGGCAGATTGCATGGGTCCAGGAGTTTGAGAACAGTCTGGGCAATATGGTGAGACCCCATCTCTACAAAAAATTAGCTAGGAATGGGCTGGGTGCAGTGGCTCATGCCCGTAATCCCAGCACTTTGAGAGGCTGAGGCGGGTGGATCACCTAAGGTCAGGAGCTTGAGACCAGCCTGACCAACATGGTGAAAACCTATCTCTACTAAACATACAAAAATTAGCAGGGCGTGGTGGCACACGCCTGTAGTCCTGGCTACTCGGGAGGCTGAGGCAGGAGAATCGCTTGACCCCGCAAGGCAGAGGTTGCAGTGAGCCAAGATCATACCACTGCACTCCAGCCTGGGCAACAGAACAAGACTCCATCTCAAAAAAAAAAAAATTAACCAGTTATGGTGGTGCATGCCTGTAGACTCAGCTACTCGGGAGGTTGCGGCAGGAAGATCACCTGAGCCCAGGAGATCGAGGCTGCAGTGAGCCTTGATTGTGCCACTGTACTCCAGCCTGGATGACACAGTGAGCCCCTGTCTCAAAACAGCTCGCTTACTAGCAATCTTAGTCTATTTTTGTTGCCATAACAAAATAACTGAGACTGGATAATGTATAAAGAACAGAAATTTACTTTCTCACAGTTCTGGAGGCTGTGAAGTCCAAGATCAAGGCACCCAGCAGATGCAGTGTACCGTGAGGGCTACTCTTTCTGCTTCCAAGATGGTGCCTTGTCCCTGTGTCCTCACATGGCAGAAAGGGCGAATGCTGTGTCCTCATATGGTGAAAGACAAAAGGGCAAAAGGCAAAAAGAGCCTGCCTAGTTCCCTCCAGCCCTTTTATAAAGCACTAGTCCCATCAATGAAGGTGGAGTTCTCATGGCCTAATCAATCTCCCAAAGGCCCACCTCTAAATACCGTTGCATTGGAAATTAAATTTCAACCTGAATTTTGGAAGAGACACAAACCTTCAAACCATAGCACCAGCACTGGATCAGCAAGACTGGATTAGACCACTGGGCTCATATCTGCACCGTGGGGAGTAGGGGAACAGTCGCAAACAAAAGTGGGGCTCTTCCCACGAAGAAGACGGAGGTAATAACTATTGCGCGGCTATCTCATGATACCTGGTACAGTTGGCATAAGCATGAAAGGAAGAAATTAAAAATTCAAGTTTAGCATGTATGCCTATTGTAATTAAAGCAAATGTCTGTTCCCCTCCCCAGGACAGGGGGATGTAGTTCTTCCATTCAGCAGCTGACTGGAGCTCTGAAATGTGTTGCCATTGTTGGGTGCTCAGGGTTGGTTGTGTAGGGGAACACAACCATCTTGGTGACAGGAAGCCCCTATTGTTCAGCCCATGTGCATTTTCTGTCCTTGCTACCCTATTTGCTTTGTTTATCACCCAACTGAGTAAGCACCGGGATGGTCAAGGAAGGCAGTTGAATGCCATCTACAGATAGAGGGTCATATTGTCCATCTGCTTATGAAGAGCCTCTTTGTAGTGGGAGGGGGCTTCTGATAAGCAGAAATATATTTATGTATATTTTCACGTTCTGGGCTAATTTTATTTTATTTTTTATTTTTTATTTTTTATTTTTTTTGAGACGGAGTTTCGCTCTTGTTGCCCAGGCTGGAGTGCAATGGCGTGATCTCGGCTCACCGCAACCTCCGCCTCCCGGGTTCCAGTGATTTTCCTGCCTCAGCCTCCCGAGTAGTTGGAATTACAGGCGCCCACCAGCACGCCTGGCTAATTTTGTATTTTTAGTAGAGATGGGGTTTCTCCATGTTGGTCAGGCTGGTCTCGAACTCCTGACCTCAGGTGATTCACCCACCTCAGCCTCCCAAAGTGCCGGGATTACAGGCGTGAGCCACCGCGCCCAGCTATATTTTCAGGTTCTGGGCTAATTTTAAAAGATTCACCCACTTAGTGTTTCCCCGTACCTCCTTGAAACCAGTCTTCAAATTCTGCTTCATCTAAGACTTTTTGTCCAACCAAATCTTTTGAAAAAGGGACAGGCCGGGTGCAGTGGCTCCTGCCTGTAATCCCAGCACTTTGGTAGACTGAGGCGGGGGGATCACCTGAGGTCAGGAGTTCAAGACCAGCCTGGCCAACATGGTGAAACCCCATCTCTACTAAAACTACAAAAATTAGACGGGCATGGTGGTGGAGACGCCTGTAATCCCAGCTACTCGGCAGGCTGAGGCAGGAGAATCACCTGAACCCAGGAGGCAGAGGTTGCAGTGAGCCAAGATTGTGCCACTGCACTCCAGCCTGGTAGACAAGAGTGAGACTCCATCTCAAAAAAAAAAAAAAAAGGAAAGGAAAAGAGGCAAAAGAAGTCCATGCTAGACCAGGAACGGTGGCTCACGCCTGTAATCCCAGCACTTTGGGAGACCGAGGCGGGCGGATCAGGAGGTCAGGAGATCGAGACCATCCTGGCTAACATGGTGAAACCCCATCTCTACTAAAAAAATACAAAATAATTAGCCGGGCATGGTGGCGGGTGCCTGTAGTCCCAGCTACTCGGCAGACTGAGGCAGGAGAATGGCGTGAACCTGGGAGGCGGAGCTTGCGGTGAGCCGAGATCATGCCACCGCACTCCAGCCTGGGTGACAGAGCAAGACTCTGTCTCAAAAAAAAAAAAGCCCATGCTAAAAAATCTGTCTATAGGATAAGTTTAAGTCCTTCATTACCTTTTGGGTCCAAGCTGATGTGAGTGACCTATTCATGGGAAACTTTGGGGTCCACATTGGGCAAGTTTGGTTTATACCACTTCTATTCAGTGATGGAGTGCTGCAGGGGACACTCAACCTTAGTAGGAGGGTGTCATACAGCACCCAGTTATGATGAGTACATGGCCCTGTGGCATCCCGCAGCCTGGTGTTTATTCCCCACTAGGGCCTAGTGACAAGGCCAGGAGCTCTTTCTCCTTAAGAGGTTAGCAGGCTGGGCATGGTGGCTCATGCTTATAATTCCAGCACTTTAGGAGGCCAAGGCAAGAGGATCTCTTGAGCCCAGGAGTTTGAGACTAGCCTGGGCAACATAGCAGAACCCCATCTCTACAAAAAAACAAAAAATAGAAAAAATTAGCTGGGCATCGTGGCACACACCTATGGTCCCAGCTACTAAAGAGTCTGAGGTGGGAGGATCACTTGAGCCTGGGAGGTCGAGGCTGCAGTGAGCTGTTATAGCACCACTGCACTCAAGCCTAGGTGACATAGTGAGACCCTATCTCTGAATATATATATATATATGTATATGGATAGTAATTTGCTGAAGGAGAGTAGCTCAACTTAAAAAGCTTTGGTTTTGCATTGTGATCCCCTTTTAGGGTATTTTAACTGCCACTTTGAGCACCACAGGCTCTCCTAAAGCTAAAGGGTTGAGTGGCAGAGCTCTTTGAACTTGGCTTGGGGCCACGATCATGTATAGTTGCTAGTACTCTGCGATGTGAATTTGGCTTCGACCCACTAGAGAATATACTTCTCTTGCTTAGCACCACTCAAAGCTACCAGGTTTTCAAGTCACCTGATAAATGTGCCAGGTCACGACACCTGATGTGGTATTCTGCTGCCTCCAAAATGGAAAGAAGCTCTCAGAGGTTTGTCCCTCCTTCTTAGAGGAAGGGGACCAAGGTGCAGCAATTTGTCATGCACTTTGGAGAAAATACGCTGCCACCTCTTAGTCCTCTAGACCTCAGGAACTTCGTTGGAGTGGCAGCCCCCTATCTCGTTATTAATCTTCTACTCTTTGTCACACTGTGCCTTACCAAGACTTCTAGTGCACTTGCTGCTTCCTCTTCTCCAGGTCCTTTCTGTGTGAACTCATCAAAATAGTGGGACAGCAGCATGTCCTGTGGGATGCACAGCTCCCTGTGGAATGGACTGTGGCCTGCAGCTGGGCAGCTGCTATATCCTTTTTATTTTTTTTGCGACGGAGTCTCGCTCTATCACCCAGGCTAGAGTGCAATGGCATGATCTCGGCTCACTGCAACCTCCGCCTCCCGGGTTCAAGAGATTCTCCTGCCTCAGCCTCCTGAGTAGCTGGGATTACAGGCACGTGCCACCACGCCCTGCTAAATTTTGTATTTTTAGTAGAGACGGGGTTTCACTATGTTGGTCAGGCTGGTCCCGAACCCCTGACCTCAGGTGATCCACCCGCCTCGGCCCCCTCAAGCTACTGATTACAGACACGTGTGTGTGTGTGTGTGTGTGTGTGTGCACGCGTGTGTGTAGCATGGTGGGGGGAGCACAGTGCAAGACCTTGAATTTATTTATTATTTATTTATTAGACGGGTTCAAGCGATTCTCCTGCCTCAGCCTCCCCACTACCTGGGATTACAGGTGCCTGCCACCATGCCTGGCTAATTTTTGTATTTTTAGTAGAGATGGGGTTTCACCATGTTGGCCAGGCTGGTCTCGAACTTCTGACCTCGTGATCCCCCCACCTCAGCCTCCAAAAATGCTGGGATTATAGGCGTGAGCTGCTGCACCCAGCTGCTGCTATATACTTAAGGCAGATCGGAGGAGGTATATGACTGTTCCAGCAAGGTGAATGCTAAGTGTTTTTGGCAATGTCTGTGTATTGAAATGGAGCAAAATGCACTCACTAGATTGAAGTACTTAATTATTATTAATGGATTTATTAATTCCAGTGAGGAAAATGTATATTATTGTAATTATAATTATTAGTTACAATTGGAGTTACCACTGGATCGAGTTTGTTATAATCTACTGTCATTTTTCATTCTCTAGACACAAGAGACCTAAGCTTTGGCTCATATTTTATCACCAATGTGCTGGTGACTTTGAGCAGAACACTGGCCACTTCTGGTCTTCAGTTTCCCTCTCAGTACAGTGAGCTATATGATCACAGTGAGCTCTCCTGGGTGATCTGTATGGCAGCACTTCTGAGCTCAATATGAGGAGCCAAAGCTAATGCTTCATCATGATGGAGCAGGTGACATTTCCAATGTCCCCTCCTTGGGTTGGTGTCTGTCCCATTGACCAAGGCATTGAGATATACAGCCATTCTGAGTTGTGAGAAGTGACTCTGTAATACATGGAGGAAAATATAAGGAAACTCTACTTGACTATCTATACGTCTCTTCCTTCACTCTTAAAGTCCCTGTTCTTCCTCCCTGGAGTTTTATTGAATCTGAGAAATTACATATTAGTACCTTCATTGTTGCTGTTGAGACAGGGTCTCACTCTGTCACCGAGGCTGGAGTGCAGTGGCGTGATCATGGCTCACTGCAGCCTCGTACTCTTGGGCTCTAGCAATCCTCCCACCTCAGCCTCCTGAGTAGCTGAAATTACAGGCGTGCGCCATCATGCATGGCTAATTTTTTTTTTTTTTTGAGATGGAATTTTGCTCTTGTTGCCCAGGCTGGAGTGCAATGGCGCAATCTTGGCTCACCACAACCTCTACCTCTCGGGTTCAAGCGACTCTCCTGCCTCAGTCTCGAGTAGCTGGGATTACAGGCATGTGCCACCATGCCTGGCTAATTTTGTATTTTTTTTAGTAGAGACAGGGTTTCTCCATGTTGGTCAAGCTGGTCTCAAACTCCTGACCTTAGGTGATCCACCCACCTCAGCATCCCAAAGTGCTGGGATTACAGGCGTGAGCCACCGCGCCCAGCCTAATTTTTTTTGTATTTTTTGTAGAGATAGGGTTTCATCATGTTGACCTGCCTGGTCTCCTGGGATCAGGTGATCTGCCCGCTTCAACCTCCCAAAGTGTTGGGATTAAAGGCATGAGCCACCATGCCCAGCCCAATTTTTACAGATATTTTAAAAATTATGTGTTACAACAGACGTGTAAGTGTAGGAGCTCTCATCTCATTTGACAGCAAGGATACCAGGACTCAAAGTAGTTAATGGCATACTACATACATTTGTGTGTGTGTCTAATTAAGGCTTGTTACAGTTGCAAAGAGTGGTCCCCAGGGATGGTCCCGCTGGACTGAATCACAGCCTCTCTTTCTGTGTGTTTCACTTCCCCCAAGGAAGAAGTCCCTCCTGGTGAATAACATCTTTGTGGTGTCAGCAGCAATCCTGTTTGGATTCAGCCGCAAAGCAGGCTCCTTTGAGATGATCATGCTGGGAAGACTGCTCGTGGGAGTCAATGCAGGTATGGGGTGGGGGCTTCTCATCCTGCCTCTCTATGCCTATTAATTAATAAATTCATTAATTCCTTTTATTTCATTTCTTCCTTCATTTCCTCCCTTTATTCATTCATTTATTTTTTATTTATGCCTACCTTTGTCACAAAAGGATGTAGTATAGTTTATCTTAAAGGGCTCATATAACTAGATATTTAAAGTAGGTACAGAACAATGGAAAAGTTGTGTAGGGGTGGGGGAATAAGCATCTCCAAACTTAACACTAATACAGGTCCCATGTTTGAGTAACACTCTAAGCCATGAGCTTCCTGGTAGCCAACGTGTAAAGGGATATAGGATGAGTTTTCTGATCTTCTCTCAGAAGCAGAATGGCCTGTTAGGTACTCCTCGATTTCTGGGGCTTTTCATGTGAGAGAGCAGAATTTTGAGCACATCCACCTGGGTTTTTAGGGGCTCCAACCAACAAGTCATCTCTTGACGCCCTACTGTTTATACAGCCCAGTGGTGATGTTATCTATATGATGCTATCTATATTAGTTATCTATTTGTGTGAAACAAATAACCCCAAAATTAAGTGACTTAAAATAATCAACATTTATAATCTCACAGTTTCTGTGGGCCAGGAACCCAGGAATGTCTTAGGTAGGTGGCTCTGGCTTGGGGTCTCTGACGGGGCTGTGCTCAAGCTGTCAGGGCTGCAGACATCAGAAGGGTTGGCTGGGGCTGGAGGATCCACTTCCAAGATGCTCCCTCACGTGCCATTGGCAGGAGGTCTCAGCTGCCCACTTTGGGGGGCTCTCCACAGAGCTGCTTGAGGATCTTCACAACATGGCAGCTGGCTTCTTCCAGAGTGATCTGAGGGGGTGAGGAGGGGAGGGAGAGAGAGGGAGACAGGGAGACAGAGAGAGGGCATGCACAAGGAGAAGTCCAGGTGCTTTTTATGTCCTAATTCCAGAGGTCATACACCATTATTCTGCTCATTAGAAGTGAGTTACTAAGAGTAGCCCACGATCCAGGGGAAAGGAACCAGGTCAGACTTTGTCTTCATGTCCCAAGTACCCATCAGAGAAGGAATCCCCAGCTAAATGTTTGTAGGAAGAGCAGGGGCACCTCCGAGACTCCTTGGCAATCAGCATAGCTGCCTTCCTTCCAGTTATCTTTGCCCAACTCGTAGATAGAGGGGCAGGACCTTGATGGGAGAACCCCTAGGTCAGGGAGGGCATACTGCATTCCCAGGGGCGTGACACCACAACACAGTGGCCTCTTAGCTTTTGCCATTTGTCACCCTCTGGGAGGGCGCTGGGGTGCTCTCCAGCTCTCTGTTTTCCTGAGGGCAGTGTAGGTGCCAGGGTCTTCCCTGGGGGAGCCAGGGTGAGGTGAGAGCAGCTGTAGTGATCAATGAAGGAATTGACATGAGTGCTGGGACAGCTGGTAGGCATCCAGGATGTGGTCCTACCTTCCTCCTCCCACCCCCCCGCACAGCCCCGTCAGAGTCCTTCACACTCGGGTCCCAGTGATGGGACCTAGGAAGAGCCCATGAACATGTGGTACTGTGGCCAGGGACCAGGATGGGAGCGGATCTGAGAAAGCCCTCCCTCAGAAGTTCTGAAGAGTAGAGTTGGGATCCTGTTGGCCCTTCATCAGGTGAAGCAGAACCCCTGAGTGTGGGGGGTGAGGGATCAGCCCTCAGTGCCAGGATCCAGTTGAGTGGCTGGACAGTGCTGAGTGGGGCAGGGGAGACAGGCTGGGTGTCGTGGAGTGGGGGTCCCAGCTGGTGGCTGACGTGCCTCTGCTGTGCACACGTCCAGGTGTGAGCATGAACATCCAGCCCATGTACCTGGGGGAGAGCGCCCCTAAGGAGCTCCGAGGAGCTGTGGCCATGAGCTCAGCCATCTTTACGGCTCTGGGGATCGTGATGGGACAGGTGGTCGGACTCAGGTAAGCACCCCTCCCCCACATGCATTGAGTATTTCGGAGATACCAGTAAAAGCGTTTCTTCACCTAAATGTCTCCCCTACCCACTAGTAGATTAAAGCATTATTGCTTTGCATGAAGGCATCGAATCCTCTATCCACATCTCTGCTGCCAATTCACGAAATGGGTATCAGTCAACACACTGCAATGTGAATCACCTTTTCCCATCCTCTCCAGGTCAGGGAGCAAAGAACAGGTCTTCACAGAGGAGAGGGTGAAGATTTGGGCTTTCAAAGACAAACGTGTTCCAGTCATTCCAGAAAAAAGAGGAGAAGGCAGAGCCTGGACCCTTGGGAAGAGGAGTTGCTAGGGATGAGGTGGGGCAGTGGCCCTGTCCTCTCTTGGTCCCAACCTGGGTGGGAGGGATCTTGATGTTCAGACCCAGACTTGGATAGGAAGAGGCACGGGGCAATTGCAGACTCCCTGCAGGGAGGTGTGTAGGTGGGCAGGAGAGCAGGGTGGTAGGACTCTGGCAAAGAGGCATCTGGCCTGGCCTCTCCTCTGCCTCCTTAGGGAGCTCCTAGGTGGCCCTCAGGCCTGGCCCCTGCTGCTGGCCAGCTGCCTGGTGCCCGGGGCGCTCCAGCTCGCCTCCCTGCCTCTGCTCCCTGAAAGCCCGCGCTACCTCCTCATTGACTGTGGAGACACCGAGGCCTGCCTGGCAGGTGAGTCTCTGTCCTTGGGCTCCCAGACTGCCCTTGACCAAGGGATGCATCTCCCCAGAGTATACGGGTCCCCATTTCATAGGTTTCATTTATCAAGGAAAAGCTATCCCTCTCTTTGTGCCTCAATTTCATGATCTGCCTATACCTGCCTTCAATCAGAACTCTATCAAGTGGTTGTCCTAACTGCCAGGCAGCAGAATGGATCAGACCTAGCCACTGTTACTCAAGAACTCCAGAGCGGTGCGGAGAAACACACGCGCACACACACGGTGAAACACCTGTGCAAGACCTCACCTACCCAGTGCCAACTGGGTGATGGTCATCTTATATCAGTTAACTTTGGCTACAGTAAGAATGCCTAAGGAACAATCGCAACATTTCTGCTTTAAAGCAACAATTATTTACTGCTTCTTTTATTCATGTACTTGCCTGGCTGGCTGCACAGCTCTGCTGATCTCAGCTGGGCTAGTTCACAGTGTGGGGCGGGGGAGGGGGGCAGTGGTGAGGTTCAGCTGCTGGTTGGCCGGTCTAGGCTGGTCTGGACTGGAGCCATTCAGCTTTGCTGCACTTTCTGTCCTCTCACTTTTGGTACCAACGAGTTAGCCTAGGAATAGCATGGTGATGGCAGAGAAACAAGAAAGCAAATCCAGTTGCATAAGCGCTTTCCAAACCTTTGGTTCCCTCGTGCCATTAACATTCCATTGGCCAAAGCGAGTCAGTCATACTGCCAAATCCCAAGTCAAGGGATGGGAAAATTGATGGCATATCCTCTCCCATCGCAAGGGCTGTGGATTTAAGGAGGGGTGAAGACCGGGGCCCATTAGTGTACTCTTCTCTGTCACCATGGCCGCAATTATTACTTATGTCTCTCCTCTGTGCAAAATGTGTTCAGTCCCATCCCAGGATCCCCCAAAGTCTCATCCAATCATGGCATCGGGCTTGAAGTCCCAGATCTTACGCCACATTAAGTCTATATGGGCCTTTTCTTGATCCAGAAACCTAGGATCTAGAAAGATGAGTCTTCTTCCCTTCCCACACTCAGCATGCAATGGTAAAAAGTAAGATGAGGTAACCAAAATTAATGCTCTCATTTCAAAAACGAGGAAGCAAGGCAGGCACAGTGCAGTCACTAATCTATAACAATTCTGAAGCGCCCCTAGGAAAATATGGCCATGTCCCCTGCCTTGGGGGTAGGGAGTATTCTTTGTTCAAGTTCCAGCTCTGTCCCCTACCCCCTATGAAGGGCACCCCAGGCCATGGTTCTTTTATTTTTTTTATTTTTTTTATCTTTTAGAGACAGGTTCTCGCTTGTCCAGGCTGGAGTGCTGTGGCTGTTCATAGGCATGACGCCATTGTTGATCAGCACGGAAGTTTTCTTCTTTTTTGTTCTTGTTTTTTTGGTTTTGTTTGGGACAGGGTCTCACTCTGTCGCCCAGGCTGGAGTGGTGTGATCTCAGCTCACTGCAACCTCCACCTCCCAGGCCCAATCAATTCTCCCACCTCAGCCTCCTGAGTAGCTGGGACTACTGGCCCGTGCCACCACGCTTGGCTAATTTTTTTTTATTATTGTATTTTTTGTAAAGATGGAGTTTCACCTCTTTGCCTGGGCAGGTCTCAAACTCCTGAGATCAAATGATCCTCCCCCCTTGGCCTCCCAAAGTGCGTGGATTATAGGCATGAGCCATTGTATCTGGCTAGCATGGGAGTTTTGAACTGTCCCATTTCCAACCTGGGCCAGTGCATTCCTCCTTAGGCAGCCTGGTGGTCCCTGCTCCTGGGATGTCACTATATTGATGCTGAACTTAGTGCAGACACCTGATCTGCCTAGCGTACTACAACCCAGAGCTCCTGGGCCCAGGCGATCCTCCTGTCTCAGCCTCCTGAGTAGCTGGGACTCTAGGCACACACCACTATGCGTGGCTCTCCATGCTTCTTGGGTCTACCCTCTGAGATGTTTTTCCTTTTCTTTCACCTTCCTTGATTCCTTCTGAAGAGGGCGTTGCACAATGTGCTGCTTTTGATGGTTGAGCAAATTTCTCAGCCTCCTTCCTGCCTATAGAGAGTTGGGGCAGGCTGGGCGCCAGCTCACGCCTGTAATCCCAGGGAGGCTGAGGCGGGCAGATCACGAGGTCAAGACATCAAGACCAGCCTGGCCAACATGGTGAAACCCCATCTCTACTAACAATACAAAAATTAGCTGGGTATGGTGGCACGTACCTGTAGTCCCAGCTACTAGGGAGGCTGAGGCAGGAGAATTGCTTGAACCCGAGAGGCGGAGGTTGCAGTGGCAGGAGAATTGCTTGAACCCGAGAGGCGGAGGTTGCAGTGAGCCAAGATTGTGCCAGTGCACACTGCACTCCAGCCTGGTGACAGAGTGAGACTCCATCTCAAAAAAAAAAAAAAAAAAAAGAAAAGAAAAGAAAACAAAGTTGGGGCACAGAAGTCTTTATATTTCAAATTGTCCTGGTCTTTTTTTTGTCCAAACTGGCAGAGCTTTTGCCAATACAACTTTCTCAAAAATGATGTGAATTTTCTATGTATTCGAGGTTTTTTCATGTGTCAACAAACCACGCTCACAATTATTTTTGAGACAGGCTTCTCTCCCAAGGCCTAATTGCTGGTATTTAGGGTATGTCAGGCTACCGTGAATCAACGCCCTCAAGCCTCCTAAATGCCCCCTTTTCTAGTTGTGAGGGTCTGTGAGGCACTGCTTTAAGCTATACCCTTGATTTGATCTTTACTATGAGTCCATGGCTTCCTGGCAGTGCTCTGGATTTGATCTTTGCTCACAGGCTGTTACTTAATTTGGGATTCTTTTGCTAGCTGGAGAGGATAGAGGCGAGAAAACATTTTTTGTTGTTGTTTTCAACTAACCCAGTGTTTCTGAAATATGCTACGTTTAATTAAATTTTGTTGCCTCTGAATTCTGCTTGCAAACTGGCCAGTTATTTTCTGAGCTAATTCTTCATGTCTTACAGCAAGCTTAGAATATGCATCTAACAGCAACCAGTTCATGCTTTCAACATTTGGAGTTTTCTTTGCTCAAGTCCATAAGTTCACTGAGCCCATTTTCTTTCTTCCGTGTTACTGCACTATATAACATAGCTTTTCATTTCTCCAGCCTCATCGCCGTCCTCTGCCTCGTCTTGGAACTGATACCATATTTCACAGGTCTTTGTTACGGTAGCACCAACTCCTGGTGCCAATTTATTGATCAGCTTTCTATTGCTGACTAATAGATGATCATAACATCTCGGTGGTAAAGAAACAAAAAAAGCAATTATTTAGCCTAAGCCTCTAAGTCCTCTGGGCTGGGCTGATCTAGGATGGTTCTGGCTGATGGCTCTGCTGATCTTGGTCATTCCTGCAACTGCAGCTCAGCTGGGCATTGGCTGGCTGATCTAGAATAGTCCCAGTGAGGGTGGCTTAGCTGGGCCCCTTTGGCTGTCCATGTCTTGTCATCCTCCTGGCTAGCCTGGAATGTTCTCATGAAGGCAGAAGAGCAAGTAGAAGTGAGCAAGGCCTCTTAAGGCTTAGGCTGGAACATGGTACGCCCTCACTGCAGCCTCATCCTATTGGCCGAGCCCAGAGCCAGGAGCAGGGATGTAGGCAGTACTTGCCCCTTTAGTGGGAGGAACTGCAAAATCACACAGCAAGCAGTGTGGGTGCAGGGAGGGGTGAAGAATTGGGTTTGATAATGTGCTGCAATAGTCATGTCCTGTCTGATATGTCCGCAGAACCCTGCGTTTCTTTCTAAAGCCTTTTTTCATCCATGGTGGCAACACCGCAACAGCCCTGAGAAATGTCAGGGCAAGGAAGATCATCTCCATCTGACCAGGGAGGCAAACAGAGACAGAGAGATTGAGAGAGACAGAGGCAGAGAGAGAGAAACACACACACACACAGACAGACACAGAGACAGAGAGATTGAGAGAGACAGAGGCAGAGAGAGAGAGAAACACACACACACACAGACACAGAGACAGAGAGATTGAGAGAGACAGAGGCAGAGAGAGAGAAACACACACACACACAGACACAGAGACAGAGAGATTGAGAGAGACAGAGGCAGAGAGAGAGAGAAACACACACACACACACACACACAGAGACAGAGAGATTGAGAGAGACAGAGGCAGAGAGAGAGAGAAACACACACACAGACACAGAGACAGAGAGATTGAGAGGCAGAGAGAGAAACACACACACACACAGAGACACACACAGAGACAGAGAGATTGAGAAAGACAGGCAGAGAGAGAGAGAAACACACACACACAGACACAGAGACAGAGAGATTGAGAGAGACAGAGGCAGAGAGAGAGAGAAACACACACACACACACAGACACAGAGACAGAGAGATTGAGAGGCAGAGAGAGAAACACACACACACACAGAGACACACACAGAGACAGAGAGATTGAGAGAGACAGAGGCAGAGAGAGAGACACACACACACACAGACAGACTCAGAGACAGAGAGTGAGCCAAGAAGGAAAGGAATGGTGGGATGGAGGGGGGCGTCCCTGTAGGGGGACCAAAGAGGGGCTTGGGGACGGGGAGCTCAGTACCCTCCTCCCTGGCTCAGCACTACGGCGGCTCCGGGGCTCCGGGGACTTGGCAGGGGAGCTGGAGGAGCTGGAGGAGGAGCGCGCTGCCTGCCAGGGCTGCCGTGCCCGGCGCCCATGGGAGCTGTTCCAGCATCGGGCCCTGAGGAGACAGGTGACAAGCCTCGTGGTTCTGGGCAGTGCCATGGAGCTCTGCGGGAATGACTCGGTGAGACCCCTGCCCCGCCGCACACCCTGGGCCCCGGGGGCTTGGTGTTGCAGGCCGCTGGGAGCCATGGGAGGTGGAAGGGAGCCCAGGCCTGAAAGCCACCCTCTCCCAGGTGTACGCCTACGCCTCCTCCGTGTTCCGGAAGGCAGGAGTGCCGGAAGCGAAGATCCAGTACGCGATCATCGGGACTGGGAGCTGCGAGCTGCTCACGGCGGTTGTTAGTGTGAGTCTGGAGGGTGCCCTTCCTCCACCAGCCCTGTGGGGAGGGACCCCCAGGTCCTCTGCATTAAACCAGTTTACACTCCAGCTTATGGTGTTAAAATGCAGTGAGGGGCCAGGTGCGGTGGCTCATGCCTGTAAGCCCAGCACTTTGGGAGGCCGAGGTGGGTGGATCACAAGGTCAGGAGTTCGAGACCAGCCTGGCCAACACAGTGAAACCCCCGTCTCTACTAAAAAATACAAAAAATTATCCCGGCGTGGTGGCGGGCGCCTGTAATCCCAGGTACTTGGGAGGCTGAGGCAGGAGAATCGCATGAACCCAGTAGGTGGAGGTTGCAGTGAGCCGAGATGGTGCCATTGCACTCCAGCCCAGGCAATAGTGCTGAGGTGGGATCAGGAGTTGGAGACCAGCCTGGGCAACATGGTGAAACCCCGTCTCTACAAAAAATACAAAAATTAGCCAGGCGTGGTGGTCTTCGCCTGTAGTGCTAGCTACTGGCGAGGCTGAGGTGGGAGGATCACTTGAGCCTAGGAGGTTGAGACTGCAGTAAACCGAGATTGTGCCACTGCACTCCAGCGTGGGCTGGACCAGTGAGACCCTGTCTCAGCTCAGTGAGACCAGTAAGACCCTGTCTCAATCAATCAATCAATGCAGTGAGTTAGAGAGCATCTATTGAGCATCTACGGTTTGCGGGTCACTTCCAGCACCATTTTGAGATGCGGAAACTGGCTGAAGTTGGGTGATTGATTGACCAAGTTCCTTTGGGAAATTAATAAAGTCACACTGAAGCAATAAACTACCCTCACCTCCACCACCAGCTTTCTCAGGAGACCCCTTCCCATTGCCTGCCCCAGACCTCAGGGACCATGGCTGGGTGTGTGGGTCTGTGCTTTCTGCCTTTGCAGTGTGTGGTAATCGAGAGGGTGGGTCGGCGCGTGCTGCTCATCGGTGGGTACAGCCTGATGACCTGCTGGGGGAGCATCTTCACTGTGGCCCTGTGCCTGCAGGTAGCTGGGGTGGATGAGGGCTGGGGGGTCCAGGCCGGGCTGACTTCCACCTCACCCCCGCCCCGTCCACGGCAGAGCTCCTTCCCCTGGACACTCTACCTGGCCATGGCCTGCATCTTTGCCTTCATCCTCAGCTTTGGCATTGGCCCTGGTGAGTGGGCCCAAGGGGCTCTGGGCATCCATCATCACATAGAAGGAGTGATGGGTGCCTGGGTGCACAGTGGGTGGGTGTGAATGCAATGTCCCCTGCAGGCCCTCAGAGACCACCTCATGCCGGGGCTTCTGGGAGGGAATGGCAGGAGGAGAGCACTGAGGGGCCCCCCATACAGACTGGGCCTGGGCTCCCACTCCCATGTCTGGGCTGGGGTCGGGGAGAGGCAGGCAGGGAACCCTGGCCAGCAGCCCCCTGTCCCTGCCCCTCCTTCTAGCCGGAGTGACGGGGATCCTGGCCACAGAGCTGTTTGACCAGATGGCCAGGCCTGCTGCCTGCATGGTCTGCGGGGCGCTCATGTGGATCATGCTCATCCTGGTCGGCCTGGGATTTCCCTTTATCATGGTAGGCCCGCCCCTCCCGCTGGGGGCCCTGCCTTAGGCTGTGTCCCTGTCATCCTGAGAACCCCAGGGGGAGGCTTCCATCCAGGGAGACTGAGACTGAAAGGGAGGGGTCTTAGGGGAGCAAAGAGGGGGGCAAATGCCTCCTCACGACCTGTCATGGGCCTTCTGTTTAGGGGTTGATGGAGACACACCAGGTCTTGGGGTCTTTTTTAATCCGCAGGAGGCCTTGTCCCACTTCCTCTATGTCCCTTTCCTTGGTGTCTGTGTCTGTGGGGCCATCTACACTGGCCTGTTCCTTCCTGAGACCAAAGGCAAGACCTTCCAAGAGATCTCCAAGGAATTACACAGACTCAACTTCCCCAGGCGGGCCCAGGGCCCCACGTGGAGGAGCCTGGAGGTTATCCAGTCAACAGAACTCTAGTCCCAAAGGGGTGGCCAGAGCCAAAGCCAGCTACTGTCCTGTCCTCTGCTTCCTGCCAGGGCCCTGGTCCTCACTCCCTCCTGCATTCCTCATTTAAGGAGTGTTTATTGAGCACCCTTTGTGTGCAGACATGGCTCCAGGTGCTTAGCAATCAATGGTGAGCGTGGTATTCCAGGCTAAAGGTAATTAACTGACAGAAAATCAGTAACAACATAATTACAGGCTGGTTGTGGCAGCTCATGACTGTAATCCCAGCACTTTGGGAGGCCAAGGTGGGAGGATCAATTGAGGCCAGAGTTTGAAACCAGCCTAGGTAACATAGTGAGACCCCCTATCTCTACAAAAAATTTTAAACATTAGCTGGGCATGGTGGTATGTGCTAACAGCTCTAGCTACTCAGGAGGCTGAGGCAGCAGGATCACTTGAGTCCAAGAGTTCAAGGTAGCAGTAAGCTACAATCACACCACTGCATGCCAGACTGGGTGACAGAGGGAGACTTCATCTCTTTAAAACATAATAATAATAATTACAGACTCAGGAAATGCAGTGAAAGAAAAATACAGGTTGGCCAGGTGAGGTGGCTGATGCCTGTAATCCCAGCACTTTGGGAGGCCAAGATGGGAAGATTGCTTTGAGACCAGAAGTTTGAGACCAGCCTGGGCCACATAGTAAGATCCTGTTTCTACCAAAAAAAAAAAAAAAAAAAATTAGCTGGGTGTGGTGGTACATGCCTGTGGTCCCAGCTACTCAGGAGGCTGAAATGGGAGGATCACTTGAGCCTGGGAGGTCGAGGCTGCAGTGAGTCCTAATTGAGCCACTGCACTCCAGCCTGGACAACAGAAAGAGACCATGTTTCAAAAAAAATAAATACAGGTTGTAGTGGGTATGGGTATGCATACCAGGAGGCCCGACCTCGTCTGAGAGGGGAGTGGTCAGAAAAGAATTTTCTGAGGAATTGATGTTTTTAATCAACTTTATTGAGGTATAATTTATACATAACCAACTGCATCCATTTTAAGTATATATTTGGCGAGTTTTGAGTTCTAAGTATAGTTTTGGTGAGTGTATACACTTGGGAAACACCACCGTGATCAAGATGGAACCTTTACCCTACCCCAAGGCACCCACATGCCCATTTGCTATCAGTAACCCACCCCAGTCCCAGACCTGGGGAACCACTGACCTGCTTTCTGCCTCAATTGGTCAGATTTGCCTTTTTTCAGAATCTGAAGTCATTCCGTACTGTATGTACACATTTGTGTCTGGCTTGGCTCCAGATAAAGTTTTTGGGATTCATGAATGTTGTTGCACGTATTAGGAGAGACTCCTTTGTATTGCTGAGTAGTATTCCCCTCTGTGGTTAGACCATGATTTATTTATCCATCTACCTGTTGGTGAACATTTTGGCTGTTTCTAATTCTTGGCCATCATGAATAAAACTGCTGTGAATGTTCCTACAATAATAATTGTCTAAACATATGTTTTTATTTCTTTTGTGTCTTAGTCCGTCGGGCTGCTATAACTAAGAACCACAGCCTGGGTGGCTTATAAACAACAGAAATTTATTTTTCATGGTTCTGGAGGCTGGGAAGTCCAAGATCAAGGTGCCAGTGGATTCAGTGTCTGTTGAGGGCCCATGTCTTGATTCATAGATGGCGGTCTTCTTGCTGTGTTCTCCTAGACATGGCAGAAGGGGCAAGGGAGCTCTCTGGGGTCTCTTTTATAAGGGCACCAATCCCATTCATGCAGGCTCTGCCCTCATGACCTAATCACCTCCGAGGAGGCCCAAAGGCCCTACCTCCAAGTACCATCATATGAGGGATTAGGTTTCAAGGTATGAACCTGGGGAGGACATAAACAGTCAGTCTAGCTTTTTGGGTAAATGAATTGCTGGGCTTAATAATAAATGTATATTTAACTGTATAAAAATTGTTTTCCAAAGTGGTTGATTATATTGTTTCACATTCTCATTAATAATGTATGAGTTCTGGATACTCCAGATCCTCATCAGCACTTGGTATTGTCAGTCTCTTCAATTTAGCCATTCTAGTGAGTGTGTAGTGGTATCTTGTCATTTAATTGTGGTATTTCCCTAATGACTAATAATGTTTGACATCTTTTCATGTGCTCAGTATGGCCATTTGTGGGTTTTCTTTTATGAATAATTTGTTCAAATATTTTGTCTACTTTTTTTTGTTGTTGTTGTTGAGACAGGGTTCTCTGTCGCCCAGGCTGGAGGGCAGTGGAATGAACTCAGCTCATTGCAACCTCTGCCTCCTGGACTCAAGCGATCCTCCCACCTCAGCCCCCCAAGTAGGTGGGACCACAGGCGTGAGCCACCATGCCCTGCTAATTTTTGTATTTTTGGTAGAGATGGGATTTTGCCATGTTGGCCAGGCAAGTTTCAAACTCCTGACATCAAGTGATCCACCCACCTTGGCTTCCCAAAGTGCTGGGATTACAGGCATGAGCCACCGCACCCAGCCCTTATCTGCTATTTTTATCAGGTTGGTTGTCATTATTTTTTAAATGTGGGCATTTTTTATACATTCTGGAAGCTAGTACTTTGTTAAATATATAGTATTGTAAATATTTTCCTGCAGTCCGTAGCTTGCCTTTTTTATTTTCTTAATGCTACCTAAGAGCAGAATTTTTTTTTTTTTTTTTTTTTTGGAGATGGAATCTCGCTCTGTCACCCAGGCTGGAGTGCAGTGGCGCGATCTCGGCTCACTGCAGCCCTGCCTCCTGGGTTTAAGCAATTCTCCTGCCTCAACCTCCTGAGTAGCTGGGACTACAGGCACGTGCTGCCATGCTCTGCTCATTTTTTTGTATTTTTAGTAGAGACGGGGTTTCACCATGTTGGCCAGGATGGTCTTGATCTCCTGACCTCGTGACCTGCTCGCCTCGGCCTCCCAAAGTGCTGGGATTACAGGCGTGAGCCACCTGGCCCGGCCGAACAGAAATTTTTATTTTGGTAAAGTTTGATTTATCAGTTTTTGGTTTTTGTGATTCATGCTTTTTGTGCCATAAGATATCTTTGCCTATCCCAATGTTGCAAAGATTTTCTTCCAAATGTTGGATAGTTTTAGCTTTTACACTTATGTTGCTGATGATGAATTTCAAGTTAATTTTTGGGTATGGTGTGAGGGGCTGAGGTTCCTTTTTTTTGGGTGGGTGGGGGGAACAGGGTCTCACTGTGTGTTGCCTAGACTGGAGTGCAAGTGACGTGATCTCAGCTCACTGCAACCTCTACCTTCCAGACTCAAGCAATCCTCCCACCTCAGCCTCCTAAGTAGCTGGGACTACAGATGCGTGCCACCATGCCTGGCTAATTTTTTTTTTTTTTTTTTTGAGATGGAGTCTTGCTCTTTCGCCCAGGCAGGACTGCAGTGGCACTATCTCGGCTCACTGCAACCTCTGCCTCCCGGGTTCACGCCATTCTCTTGCCTCAGCCTCCCGAGTAGCTGGGACTGCAGGCGCCCGCCACCGCGCCCGGCTAGCCTGGCTAATTTTTGTTTTGTTTTGTTTTATTGTTTTTCTTTGTTTTTTTGTAGAGACAGGCTTTTGCCATGTTGTTCAGACTGTTCCTGAACTCATGGACTCAAGCCGTTCGTTTGCCAAAGTGCTGGGATTACAGGAATGAGTCACCATGACTGGCCCTTTTTTCTTTTCTTTCTTTTTTTTTGAAATGGCTATCTGGTCGTACCAGTACCATTTGCTTTAAAAAAAGCCATTTTTTCTTCATTATTTTACTTTGGTGCCTAAATAAAGAAAATCAGTGGACTATTGTTGTATAAGAAAGAATTTGGCTTTTGTCAGGAAACAGTGACTGTTAAAGAGAAGTGGTGGGGCTGTGGGTTCTCTGGGGAGAGAGAAATCTCTGGGTCAGGGTGTCAGTAGAGGTCTCAGGGAGAAGGTGACTCTGAGCTGGCTTCCTAAGGATAGGCTCAGCTGGGGGCCTTTTAAAAGCTAGAGCCTTGGTGGCATGTGCCTGTAGTCCCAGCTACTTGGGAGGCTGAGGTGGGAGGATCTCTGGAGCCCAAGAGTTGGAGATTACAGTGAGCTATGATTGCACCAGTGCACTCCAGCCTGGGCCACAGAGCGAGGCCTTGTTTCTACCAAAAAAAGAAAAAAAAAAAAAAAAAAGCTGGAGCCACTGGGAGGCAGCAGCGTTGCAGGATGGGAATGAAGCTACCGTGTCCAGTCACTGTGGAGTCTTCAGGAGGCAGGGGCAGCCCTCCCAGGAGCCCTGTGTGTGGTCACTCTGCCCCTCTGTGTCCATCCACCCTGATCCTGCCTCTGTTGACCTGCTCCCCAGCTTACCTTTGTGCTCCAAATGGCTTCCCTGGCCGCCCTGGCTGCAGACCTCCAACGTGGAGTCATGAGTAAGAATCCATTGACAAGCACCCCTGAGATCCTGGGGTACGTGCCACGAGCAGAGCAGGCATCAGGTGACACCCAGGTCCCGGCCTGCCTCGGACACACATGGTGCCCCGGTCCCCAGCCTGAGCCCTGCCCTCTCACTCACCACCCACCCAGCCGGAATTGGCTCTGGCCACTCTGGGAGGGCGGGGTGGGGGTTGCAAGTCCCTTGTTACGCAGGGAGCCCCTCAGTTAGGGAGAGGAGACAGGGTCTCAGGACAGGACCTTGAAGACAAGGAAGGGCAGTGCAGAGAGGGGTGAGAGAGCCAGACTGGGTTTCTAGGGGGTGGTCCAGGGTGGGAGCTGACCTGCCTCTGCTGAGACTGCGTTCCAGGTGTGAGCATTGATGTCTAGCCCATGTAGCTGGAGAGGAGTCACAGCCATGCTCCCCAGCTCCAGCCCACCTCCCCAGACCCCAGACCCAGTGTGGCCTCTCCCCACCTCCCAGAGCATGTGGTCAAGCCCCTCTCCTAGCCCGAATCCCTCCCTCATTTGCTAATTACCAGGACCTACATGTCCCAGCTTCCCAGGGCCAGGGGACAGGGCCCCGCCCATCTGGCAGGCTCAAGTTGGCTGCCTGGCTGCCGGGATCCAGGCGGCGCTCACAAGGATCTGGGCTTGCACAGCCTCCAAAGGGCTGTTGTCCATTCTCTTGTATTTGTTCTCATCCTCTCCTTTCTTGGACCCTCTGAGTCTCTGGTTCCCTCTTGTTGGGACCCAGATCACTCTGTGCCTCAGCTGAATCATTTTTCCCTTCAGTTTACACATATCCACCTAGGGTCCACTACATCCAGAGGCTTCCGCCTCAGTCCTTGTCCTCAGGCTGTGCCCAGGGTTGTGAGGATGGCGGTGGTCCTTACCTTGCAAAACAGTCTCCCAGTGACAACAATGTTCAGGGATAACATCTATGGAGGGCTTTCTATGTATCAGGACCATTCTGAGTATCTTCCAAGTGTTAGCTCCTTTAATCCTGGAAAGGACCCCATGAAATTAGTACTTTTATTACCCCTGTTGTACATATGAGAGACTGAGTAAAAGCCGGTGGCTTGTCCAGGGTCACACAGCTAACTGGAATGGCCAGGAGTAGACCTGGTGACCATGGACCCCAGACCTTGATCACTGCACACGCTGCGTCTGGGACCTCGCCTGGTACCTGAGGTCCGTGGCGCGCTGGTGCTGATCATTCAGAGTGCTCATGGGAAGTGTAGTCTAGAGTCTGTGTGCTTCCTGATCTCCTTGATCTCCATTTTATTGAGGAGGCCTTTAGGCCACCCGAGGGGTCCAGAGTGACCCTGTGGATTAGCAGTGGAGCTCAGCTTGAGCCAGCGCTCTTCAGGGGTCGTGTTCTGCCCCCATTCTCTGGTTCATTCTGCAGGTAGCAGGGAATCATTGAAGATTAGAGAGAATCAAACACCTGGAGAGAGATGACTCTGCCCGGGGAGCCCAGGCTCCTGTCTGGGTGCACACTCCAGGGCTAGATGGTGACTTCTCAGCTACTCTAGCTTCATAGGCTCATAGTGCATGTGAGCACTCATGTGGACACACGTGCACGCGCACACACATGGACACACACACACACACACACACCGCTGTCTTTGGAATCAGACCATGAAAATGCTTCCTCAGAGGCCTAGGGGTGAGGAAGCTGAGGTGAGTTGTGCCTCCAGCTGGATGTGCTGGGATGGGGTGGGAGATGAGGTGGCCACACCTGGGTGGCAGGAACTCTGGGGCAGTGAACCTTCTAACGAACAGATCTGGGATGCTGCCATGAGGAGGAAGAGGGAGTCAGCAGCCATGCCTGCCAATGCCTCCTAGCGCATTTGTCCATGGTTAGCGGATAATTATTGTGTCCCTATGGGTCCCAAGGTGTATTATTTTTTTTTTGCTCTTATAATAAATCAACACAAATTTTTAGCAGCTTCAAACAACACGCATTTATTATCTCACAGTTTCTGTGGGTCAGTAGTCCGGCGTGACATGACTAGGTCTTCTGTGTAAGGACTCGCATGGCCAAAGTCAAGGTATCTGAAGGGACAAGGGAAAAATCCACTTCCAAGTTCAATCTGGTTGTGAGCAGAATTCAGTTCCTTGTGGTTGTACCATGAGGTCTCTGGTCCCCTTCATCTTCAAAGCCGGTAATGGACATCGAGTGTTTCTCTTGCTTGGAATCTGGCACTCTAGCTGGAGAAAATTATCTGCTTTTAAGAGTTCATGTGATTAGATTGGGTGTACCCAGATGCTCCATGCTAATCTCCCTATTATGCACAGATGCATAATCCTAATTGCATCTGTGAAGTGCTTTTTGCCAGGTAACATGGCATACTTGTAGGTTCCAGGGATTAGTGCTTGTCCTCCCCCTGCTATTCTTTAGTGGGCAGGGGGTCATCTGCCTACCACGGAGGTAAGGGGTCAGGAGGTATGCATACAGCAATGCCCAAAAAGAGACTGTCCCCACTGGGATGGAGTTTACCGCCTAGACATGCAGTCTTAACTCAGAAATATGGAGATAGCCTCGAAGGACAGGACAGGTACTGGGCACGTGTGGGAATGGACCAAGCCAGGTGCTCCGGGGGCTTTCCCAAGGAACTAAGGCTGAGCCAAGAACTGAAGGATGAGTTGGAGTCAGATGAGGGAAAATGTGGGCAAACTGGATTTCAGAACCAACCCCCAACCCTGGAGCCAGGAGCCATGGTACTGAAGGACAGTGCGCCATAACTCAGAGAACCAGGGAGGGTTGGCGGAGGCTCACAGGGACCGGGTTACCCCAGGGCCTTGTGACAGTACTACCCCTAGTATCAGAGGAGACTGTCATTGGCATTTAGGCCACTTGGTGCTCATAACACCTCTATGTCAGGTGAACACTATTGTCATCCCCAAATTACAGATGGGGAAAGTGAGCCAAATGTCCATGCTAGTAAGAGGCAAATCATATCACTTCTTTGGGTACCCTTCTAGAAGGATGAGGCTGACTGCCACTGGAAACAGCTGGGGAGGGTACAAGGAGATGACAAGTGGCTCAGAGGCTGTCCTGGCTATAAGAATTAAAGAGGAAAGAAACACCAAGGGTGGCTCGACAGTCAACAAGGACAGGTTTATTTTGGAAAACAAACTTGAGAGGGGCTTCTGGCCAAGTTAGGTCAGAGCCACACTCTCTTACAAACTAAGGATATTTAAGGGTTTTGGAGGGGGTTCTTATCATAGGTTCTGAATGTTTCTGTGTGAGGGAAAGTTTATTGCGGGGATGGAATGTCTCTGGTCAGAAGGGAGGCTGTCTCCGGGTTGGCATGTTTCTGGTCAGAGAAGGGTTTATCTTAGGGTTGGAATGTTTCTGGTTATGCTGACATTAGCTATTAGGCTGATATTTTCGGGCTGGATTTAGGCGGCTTTTAATTAAGGGGGAACTTAGAATGGTGGTGTTTGTTCAAGATGGCAATGCTCCTGCTCCGTCACTGGCCAGGTAAGGCAACCCTTTGTTATGGTAACAACCTGAGATTGGCAGGGGCTCACCTCCAGGGGCAGCTCATGTGCTTGCTGGCGAGGCTGCACCTTGTCATTCAGGTTCACAGGGCACAGGTCAACCAGGCCCTGGCTCTTCAGTCTTCTGCCTGGAGTGACTTATGTAATTCTGCTCAGCTTTCATAGGGCACAGGGAGTCGGGGCTAACTCTGCTGCCTGGGGCTGGAAACAGACTCCTCCCTTGAGGAGCAGCAGTCCACCATAGGGAAGTCACAGTGGTCCAGGCCAAAGGGGATGCAGGTAGTGTAGACTAGGCGGTAGTTCAGGGAATGGAGAGAAGTGGGAATAAAGGGATAGTGAAAGGAAGCATATTTTACTGGCAGGTGATGAGGTGTAGGAGGACAAGTCATACATTTGGACTTTACAGAGCAGTGGACACTCAGTCAGCTGCTGTCAGCGCCTGGGACTTAGGGGAGTGCCCCTGGCTGGAGACATGGTATGGAGTGCCATCAGTTAGGGAGCCCTGGGCACAGGTAAGAGAAGGTGTGACACCAGGAGGGAAAGAGTCTGGGGCCCAGCTGCAGGAACCAATACCCATAGGCTATTTGTATAAATGGGCCATGGGGCCTCCCAGCTGGAGGCTGGCTGGTGCCACGAGGGTCCCACAGGCATGGGTGTCCTTCCTATATCACATGGCCTTCACTGAGACTGGTATATGGATTGCACCTATCAGAGACCAAGGACAGGACCTCCCTGGAAATCTCTGAGGACCTGGCCTGTGATCCAGTTGCTGCCTTGTCCTCTTCCTGCTATGTCATGGCTTATCTTCTTTCACCCATTCATTCATTCATTCATTCAGCAGTATTAGTCAATGTCTCTTGTATGCCTGGCACCTGCTAGATGGTCCCCGAGTTTACCATTAGTGGAAAAGACATTTAAGAAATTCACCAAGGGCTCTATGAGAGGCCATACACGGTGGACCTGACTAGGGTGTGGCTTCCCTGAGGAGCTGAAGTTGCCCAGAGGCCCAGAGAAGGGGAGCTGAGCACGTTTGAACCACTGAACCTGCTCTGGACCTCGCCTCCTTCCCTTCGGTGCCTCCCAGCATCCTATCCTCTTTAAAGAGCAGGGGTTCAGGGAAGTTCCCTGGATGGTGATTCGCAGGGGCAGCTCCCCTCTCACCTGCCGCGATGACTACCCCGCCCCATCTCAAACACACAAGCTCACGCATGCGGGACTGGAGCCCTTGAGGACATGTGGCCCAAAGACAGGAGGTACAGGGGCTCAGTGCGTGCAGTGGAATGAACTGGGCTTCATCTCTGGAAGGGTAAGGGGCCATCTTCCGGGTTCACCGCCGCATCCCCACCCCCGGCACAGCGCCTCCTGGCGACTAACATCGGTGACTTAGTGAAAGGACTAAGAAAGACCCGAGGCGAGGCCGGAACAGGCCGATTTCTAGCCGCCAAGTGGAGAACAGGTTGGAGCGGTGCGCCGGGCTTAGCGGCGGTTGCTGGAGGAACGGGCGGAGTCGCCCAGGGTCCTGCCCTGCGGGGGTCGAGCCGAGGCAGGCGGTGACTTCCCCACTCGGGGCGGAGCCGCAGCCTCGCGGGGGCGGGGCCTGGCGCCGGCGGTGGCGTCACAAAAGGCGGGACCACAGTGGTGTCCGAGAAGTCAGGCACGTAGCTCAGCGGCGGCCGCGGCGCGTGCGTCTGTGCCTCTGCGCGGGTCTCCTGGTCCTTCTGCCATCATGCCGATGTTCATCGTAAACACCAACGTGCCCCGCGCCTCCGTGCCGGACGGGTTCCTCTCCGAGCTCACCCAGCAGCTGGCGCAGGCCACCGGCAAGCCCCCCCAGGTTTGCCGGGAGGGGACAGGAAGAGGGGGGTGCCCACCGGACGAGGGGTTCCGCGCTGGGAGCTGGGGAGGCGACTCCTGAACGGAGCTGGGGGGCGGGGCGGGGGGAGGACGGTGGCTCGGGCCCGAAGTGGACGTTCGGGGCCCGACGAGGTCGCTGGGGCGGGCTGACCGCGCCCTTTCCTCGCAGTACATCGCGGTGCACGTGGTCCCGGACCAGCTCATGGCCTTCGGCGGCTCCAGCGAGCCGTGCGCGCTCTGCAGCCTGCACAGCATCGGCAAGATCGGCGGCGCGCAGAACCGCTCCTACAGCAAGCTGCTGTGCGGCCTGCTGGCCGAGCGCCTGCGCATCAGCCCGGACAGGTACGCGGAGTCGCGGAGGGGCGGGGGAGGGGCGGCGGCGCGCGGCCAGGCCCGGGACTGAGCCACCCGCTGAGTCCGGCCTCCTCCCCCCGCAGGGTCTACATCAACTATTACGACATGAACGCGGCCAATGTGGGCTGGAACAACTCCACCTTCGCCTAAGAGCCGCAGGGACCCACGCTGTCTGCGCTGGCTCCACCCGGGAACCCGCCGCACGCTGTGTTCTAGGCCCGCCCACCCCAACCTTCTGGTGGGGAGAAATAAACGGTTTAGAGACTAGGAGTGCCTCGGGGTTCCTTGGCTTGCGGGAGGAATTGGTGCAGAGCCGGGATATTGGGGAGCGAGGTCGGGAACGGTGTTGGGGGCGGGGGTCAGGGCCGGGTTGCTCTCCTCCGAACCTGCTGTTCGGGAGCCCTTTTGTCCAGCCTGTCCCTCCTACGCTCCTAACAGAGGAGCCCCAGTGTCTTTCCATTCTATGGCGTACGAAGGGATGAGGAGAAGTTGGCACTCTGCCCTGGGCTGCAGACTCGGGATCTAAGGCGCTCTGCCCGCCGGAATCCGTTGTACCTAGGGCCACCACGTGGGGTGCTGGAGGTGAGCCGACCACGGAAGAGGGGGAGGAGGAGTTGGAGTTGGGAGGAGTCCGAGGTCTTCTAGGCCTAGACCTTTCTCTCAGCCCCACCTTCCCCAGCCTTCTTGTTGGGCAGAGGGTAGCCAGAGGACAGAAAGATCCCACCCAGAGCCACTCACTGCCATCCACTTTGTTAGGTGACTTCAGGAGAGTTTTCAGGCGGGTGGGTGGGGGAGGTGCAGAGTTCTTGGTCATACCGCCCCGTCCACCCCCGAACCCCACGCCTTGGGTTCTGCTCCCCTCAGACACCCACCAAGCCTCCGCCACAGCAGTTCCCTGAGGAAATTGGGCGTGGGGTTTCCATTGGGACCGTTCGTGTTCTGTGGTGCCACAGACATGTCTGTAAAACCTTCAGTTATGTTTGGGCGCAGTGGCACAAGCCTGTGATCCCGGCACTTTGGGAGGTGGAGGTGAGTGGAGTGTGACTCCTCTGCTTCTCTCAGTCTCCAGCCACATCTCGTCTCCAGTCCCCTGTTCACTCGGTCATCCCGCGCAGTACTGGACAGCGAGCTCTCCTTCCAGAAGAGCAATGGGGCTGGGTGGGGTGAAGATTAGGAAGAGGAAGGAGAATAGAAGCTCCAGGGAGTCTGGAAGGGTGGCACCCATCTTGGGATGGGGCACCCCTTCCATGAAGGTCTCTAAAGCAAGGCCCTCCTCAGCTTACTCCCTGCCAGCCGAGGGCCTCAGTCTCATTGTTAACTCAGTGAGAGGGCGGTGGAGCCCCTCGTCTACCTCCCAGCTGGGGGAGACATGGGGGGCATGGGATGGCTCCAGCTGTAGCGGGAAGGTCCCACTCCTCTCAGCCTGGCTTTCAGGCTTGAGGTTTCCTTCTTGGATCTGAGTACCTGTGGTGTAACAGGCACCCTCCTCGGCCCTGGCCTTTATCACATCCCCTCAGCTCCTGGGTGCCCCCAGCCCCAGCCTCCCAAGGCCTGAGGCTGAGCTTTGCCCAGGACCCCCAGTTCCCCCCACAACAAACTCTTTCTGCCTCGGGCCCCACACCCCACCAAGCCCTGGCTGGCCCCCTGGCTCCCACCCCGCCTCAGCGGTCTTTGCTCTCGGCTGTGTCACAGATAGGGAGAGCAGGGGCGCAGTGCCCCATGAGCATCTAATGCAACTCCCTCATTTCACAGATGAGGACACTGACCCCAGGATCCAGGGCATGGTCATACACTCAATGCCATGCCCCCTGCAAGGGCCCTGTGGCCTCACATGAGCAAGTTAGACTCTGAGGGCCGAGGAGATGGGCAGGGCAGGCTGGGCACCTGCTGTGTGAGGGCAGGAGGGTTGGTGAGAGCTGTCCTCCAAAAGCAGGTGAGTGTCTGAGGTTCTGTGGCCCCCTGGGGGCATCCACAAGGTCATGGGTCCTTGGACTCCAGGAACAAAGGGGGTGTCTGTGGGTCAGGGACCTATCCGCTTGCCCTGCCCAAAGTGTTCCTAAGTCCCCTGGGACTAATAACCGGCCTGCCTGCTGGGGAGGTCAGCTGCTACATCCCACCTTCAAGCCACACCTGCCCCCATTGACCCCCATCCCATGGCCAGCTCCATTTCCTCCAAAGCACAGGCTCCACTGCCCACCAGGTGGTGGGTCTCTTCCTCAAACCCCTGTTTGACTGCCCCAGGACCTGCAGGGTCAGCCTTGGAAATGCATTTCCAAGTAACGCCACAAACTCTGAGGTACAGGACAGACAGGTGTGGGGTCCATCTGCCTGTTCTCCATCACTCTGGTGGTACTATGTCATCTGCTGAGAAAGACCCCCGGCCTACAGGGTGACCCTCACTCTCCTCAGGGCCACTGTTTGCAACAGACAGACAGCCTGGCAGGCCTTGAACCTCATTTTGTAGGTTCAAGGCCTGTCCCCCATCTGTCCACTATAAGCCTCACACACACCATTCTTCTGGGATACCTTCCCTGAGGCCACCTGGTCAACACCCACAGGCCCCTTTGCTTCAGCCCAGGTCCTGTTAGCTGAGGTTTCCATTTCTGGACATAGCTCCACCCAGTTCTGTGATCCGTTGGGCTGGTGGCACCAGGGGCCCCTCGGTACTTGTCCATTCTGGACAGCCCAGCAATGTAGGCTTTTCCCAAGACTTCCCACCCTGCATGTGTCCCACCTCATCCCCTCCAGGAATTTTGCTTTGTTGCAGAGACTCCCTCCCCACCACCCCCCACCGCCAGCCTCCAGACCCCACTCCCTTCTGGGAGCCCGATTCCAGCAAGATCAGGATCAGGCTCCCACTCTGCTCCTTCTACTGGCCTCAGTTTTTCCCATCTGTGAAATGAAGGGATTCATCAGAAGTCCTTCCCACATACTCAATCACGGAGGCATGACAGGGACATCTCACATCCTCAGAGGCACGGTTAATCCAAGGAATGCCATGGGAAGGGAGGAGACAGCAGGTGGCCTGTGCCTGCACTCAGGTCTTGATAAATTGTGAAATCTCTCCCTCACCCCTTCCTCGGAGGGCACTATTGTTCCTGATGTGCCAGCCTTGATGGCAGTGGATAGGGAGGCAGGGACAGAGACAATGAGGAAGTGTGGTTAGGTATCTACTTAGAAGTCTCCAGATGGAGCCGGGAAGTGCTAGGAGGCCAGTGAGGCCAGTCTGTGCAGCAGGGCAAACGAGTGGTATCCTGCTGGGATGCAACTCAAATGCCTTCACTGGGAACTGCTCCCCCACCAGCCCCACACTGAAGGGCTGGCTCTACCACTCACAGGAGCTGGCAGGGCAGGCAATGAGACAACCCTACTGCCTCTAATGCAGTAGATAAAATTAATGCAGGGCCAACCCTCATATCAGAGTGGTTTTTCAGTTACCTGGACAAGTGCCAAGGGAGGGGCCCCTGGGGCCACCAGCCCAAAGACCACAGAACTGAGTGGAGCTCTCTATGTGCAGGAGACACACACAGAGATCAACTGATCCTTGGAGCTTGGGAGATTTCCAGGATTTCTGGGCCACTGACACTGTTTCTATAAAGCCCTCTTTGGCCATCTCAGTTCCTTTCCAGGCTAAGCAGTGAAAGCCAAGTCTTAGTTCTCCAGGCCTGGGCCTTCCTGAGTAATTTACAGGACTGGTGTGAGGGACAATGTCAACCCACCAGCCAACTGCCCAGATTTCCCCTCCTGGCGAGTGAGGCCAAGCCACTTCATTTCTATGTTTGAAGCCCATGTAAAAGAAACAGAGATTGTCAGTTTCAGAAACCGACTCTGTCCCTTCAGTCCTGGAACCTCAGGCCTCATCTGGTGACTATGGGGTCTCAACTTACAGTTTAGCTCTCAAAACAGCCAGACAGAGCACCAAATTGAAAGGCTACAAATGAGAAGTATCGTCCCCACCGCCCCAGTGACTTGGCTTCTTGCGTACCTAGTTCTCTTCTCAGTTTAATAGGTAATAGATTTATATGGCTCAAATTCAAAGCATGCCCAGGGGCTCCAGAGAGAAGGCTCCCTCCTGTTGCCTCCCTCCACAGGGTAATCCTTTCTCAAATTCACTAGATCACTGCATCCAGACAGGGAGACACTGGATCCCTCGTTCATCATGGCTGCGTTCTTACCCCTCCCTAACTCCTTCCCAAACATAGCTACATCCCTTCCACTGTTATATAACCCTCCAATTTTGGCCGGTCAGGGAGATGGATTCAAGACTTATCTCCCATTCTCCTTGGCTGCAGCACCTGAATAAAGCCCTTCCTCCCGGCAGTGATTGGCTGTGCAGCATGCAATGGGACCCAGACAAAACCCCTGGTGTTTCAGTAACACATTCAGACTATGGAACAGATTAACCCCGGCTCCCTAGAATTTGTTTTCTGAAGAACAAACAAACAAGGCAATAATGTCTTATGAAAAGACATCAGTAACCTTAAGCCTGTAAACCCCATCCATCTGTAGGGCACCCCATCTCACAGCAAAGCATGGGTGACAGCTGTGTGCTGAGAAGAGTCGGAAAAGGAGCCATGCTTCCAAGAATGTCTCCCTCATAACATGATGAGATGAGTCCTTAGTGAATTGCCAACCAAAACAAAAAACACAGCTGCTAAAAAAGAAGGTTCCTCCTTTGGAATCCTTGTACTACCATATCAAAATATTGAGAAGGAGCATCTCTTGTATTGACAGTAAGGATGCTGATGACTATTAGTGAATAAAAAGCCAGAATGAAGGACATGAACTTACACACATTTAACATTTCGGCACAGGTCAAGTAACTACAATAACCTATATACAAGACAAACAAGACAAAGTATATTTAGAATACATGCGATGAGTATTGATGCAGAAATGGACATTTCTCAGAATAAGATATGACTTTACAGATACCATACAGAGAATATGATTTCATGCAGATGGAGAAGATGTGGTGGGAGTTGTGGGAGAGCAATAGAAAATACATTTCCTGGCTGGGTGCAGTAGCTCACATCTGTAATCCCAGCACTTTGGGATGCCAAGGCCAGGAGTTCAAGACCAGCCTGAGCAACGTGGTGAGACCCTGGTCTATATAAAATATATTTTTAAAAAGTTTCCTGTACCTAGAAACAAATCCAAGATGTACTCTACAGAGAACCTCTACAGAGAAAACTAACACCCTGAACGTTATTGGAGAACTAAATAAATGAAGAGACTGACCATGTCTCTGTGTTGGGAACAGGCCCCCCAAAATCTGGCCATAAACTGGCCCCAAAACCGGCCATAAACAATATCTCTGCAGCACTGTGACATGTTCATGATGGCCATAACACCCATGCTGGAAGGTTGTCGGTTTACCAGAATGAGGGCAAGGAACACCTGGCCCACCCAGGGCGGAAAACTGCTTAAAGGCATTCTTAAACTACAAACAATAGCATGAGTGATCTGTGCCTTAAGGACATGTTCCTGCTGCAGATAACTAGCCCAACCCATCCCTTTATTTTAGCCCATCCCTTTGTTTCCCATAAGGTATACTTTTAGTTAATCTAATATCTATCAATGCTAATGACTGGCTTGCTGTTAATAAATACGTGGGTAAATCTCTGTTTGGGGCTCTCAGCTCTGAAGGCTGTGAGACCCCTGATTTCCCACTTCACACCTCTATATTTCTGTGTGTGTGTCTTTAATTCCTCTAGCGCCGCTGGGTTAGGGTCTCCCCGATCGAGTTGGTCTCAGCATCTCTGTACTGGAGGCAATATTGTGCTCGTAACAGTTCTGTCTGGTTGATGATTCAGCACAGTCCCAATCAAAATTCTAACAGATTTTTCTATGGGAATTGACAACCTAATTCTAACATTTATATGAGACTCTAAATGACCAAGAAGAGTCAAAACATTTTCTTGTAGAAGGCAAGGTGTGAGGATTTGCTTTTTCAATGTTAAGACACATGATCAAGCTACACAATTAAGGCAAAGTGGAATCAGAACATGGCAGACAACAGACCAATGGAAAAAAGAGCAATCCAGAAACAGACCTCTCCACACACATGGACACAATATCAGACTGGGGGAGCATTGAAATCCACATGAAAAGAAGAACTCATTCAACTAGGGGTGCTGGGCAGCTGGCTACCATGTAAGGAGAAACATCAAACTGGGCTCCTATTTAACTCCCACACAAAAGTCAGTTCTACATAGATTACAGCCATAAAGAAAAGGCCACAAAGATCTTAAAAGATGGTGTAGAAGAATATCATCTTTATGATTTAAGTAAGATAAAATGAGTACATACAATAAGGAAAGATTGACACACTATTAGTGAGACACCGTAAGAATGAAAGACATGCTACAATTTCTGCAACTTATCTTAATGCAAGTGAGCCCCAAAACTGGGGCTCAGCCTGAGAGCGTTCTTGGCTTTGCACAGGAAATAATTTGAGAGTGACCCAACAGAAAAGAGTGAAAGCAAAGCAAGTTTATTAGAGCAACAGAGTACAGAAAAGTGGGTTTCATAGAGCATCCATACAGGTGGATGGGGTTTACAGGGCTACCCCATAGGCAGAGCAGCACTCCTGGACTACCAGCTATCTATATGTATAGCTACTTCTTATTATATGCTAAATAAGGGGCAGGTTATTCATGAATTTTCTAGCAAAGGGATCCGGAGTTCCTGGAACTGAGGGTTCCTCCCCCTTTTAAATCACATAAGATAACTTTTGGGTATTGCCGTGGCATGTGTAAACTGTCATGGTGCTGGTGGGAATGTCTTTTAGCATGCATTATCACTAGCATATAATGAGCAGTGAGGGACAAAAGTGAGGTCACTTTTGTTGCCATCTTGGTTCCAGCTGGTTTCAGCTGATTTCTTCACTGCATCCTGTTCCGACCAGATTCTGTTTTGATCAGCGGGATCATGACCAAGGTCTTGACCAGTGCTTGGAAAACAAGTTCTGCTGATCTCCTATCTCAACATTACATTATTAGGAAACCCTATTTAAAAAAATGAGCAAAGGACTTTAGAAGCCACTTCACAAAACAGAATATCCAATGGAAAAGTTGTTCATCGTCAGTAGAAATCAGGGAAATAAGAACCACCATGACACACCACTACTAACCTCCTCAGCTGTAACGTGCCCACAATCCCACTCCTCGATATATTTATCCCGGAGAAACTTGTATCTCGAAGCAACCCAATGTCCATCAATAATTGGATAAATTATGCTTGTTCATTCATGGAATATTCAACAGCAGTGAAATGAACAAGCTATAGGTACAAATATCACCACGGTCAAATCTCATAAACATATTGAGCAAAAGCCACAAGATATATATATATAATGCAGTTCCATTTATATAAAGTTTGAAAACAAGGACCCCCAAACTGTACTGTTCAGAGGACCACGTGTAGGTGGGAAAATTGTGATGAAAGCCAAGAAATGATTTCTATCACTGTCAGGACAGCGGTCCCACTGGCCAGGGGCATTTGGGAGGTGGCAGGGTGCTGCAGTATTTTTCTCTCTGTTCTTACAAGTGCCTATATATATTTATTAAACCTTATGCATTTATGCATTTTTCCATATCTCATACTCCCTGATACAAAAGTTAACATGCACAGTAGAAGGGAGTGAAGAGGAAGTGAAGAGCACCACCACCAGGCCGACCGTTGGGTACCGTGCCATGCAGAAGCACTGCCCAACTGCCCCATCCCACTAAGACCTTGCCAGACACTGGCCCATACGGAGGGCTGTTCCCACTTTGTTGGCCTCTTCCCCAGCCCACCCCCAGCCTCCCTGAGCTTCCCACCACAGTGTTTCTGCTGGGAGTGGGGGCCGTTCTTCCTCACCTCCTTGTTTCCCCATGAGGTGCTTATGTCCCTAAACAAGCACCTCCTTAGCGCCCCCCGTCTAGCTCAGTCTTTCTGGGCCCTGCTTTGCTGTGTGCTCCCTGCCTTCTGGCATGTGCTATGACCCTCACAACTGTGGTGGAGGCCCCAGGATTGGAATGGGAAGAAAGGCGTGTTCTATTTAAGCCCCCTTAAATCCAGCAGAGGCTTTGAGCTTTGAGTCCTCAAGTAACCACATAAAGTCTGAGGCTTTGGGGATGCCTGGTGTGTGCGCGGGGGCTTCACAGGGACCACACTGGCTTCTGGCCTTGGCAGTTCCCCACAGAGCTTTGGAGCCACGAGCTGATCCTTACAGTCTTAGGGTTGGCTTTTAACTAGTGGCCCAGGCCGGAGGTTCCATCTTGCTGGTATAAAGTAAGGTCCATGTGGGGATATGACCTTTGGCAACTCAGGGCAGTGCTTTGGGGATGGTCACAGCTCAGAGCCGTGTTCTCTGACTCCTGCACGGGCCTCCTATTAATCCAAAGAGAGACAGTGCAGAGGAGGCTACAGAAGGGTCCCAACCTCTGAGGCATGAATGGAGGAGGGCAGGCCCAGGCTTGCTGCCTTTACTGTGTTCTCAGCCAGGTCTGAGATCACCACTTCCAACTGCGAAGGCAGCAAGGGGCCGGTGCAACCTGGTATGAGTCTTGTACCACCCACAGTGGAGTTGTGCCAGATGAGCTGTCCTCAAAGCCTCCTGCCAGAACAGGGACTGGGGAGGGTCCCTCCTGAGCCCACGAAACACATCCCTAGGTCTGCTGAGTTAGTCCCCTTGTGCGGCTCAGCTTGGCTCTCGATTTGTGCCTTACATACATTTTGTTTTAATTTGTTGTTTCTTTTTAGAGACAGGGTCTCTCCCTGTTGCCCATGCTGCAATGCAGTGGTGCAATCAAGCTCACAGTAACCTTGAACTCCTGGGATTAAGCCATCTTCCCGCCACAGCTTCTTGAGTGGCTGAGACTACAGTTTTGTGCCACCATGCCCAGCTAATTATATTTTTATTTTTGTAGAGACAGGATTTCACTAGGTTCCCCAGGCTGGCCCTAAGTGATCTTCCCGCCTTGGCATCCCAGAATATTACAGGGATCACAGGTATGAGCCACCGTGCCTGGCTATTACGTACATTTTGACCCAGGAATTGGGAGACTAAAGTCGTGGCTTTGCCCACAGAAAGGTAAGAGTTTGTTAATGGACAACAGCATTAAAAGGAATCAGGGCCCTTCAGAGAATATGCTATTTTCTTGGGTTGAGATAGAGAAACAATGAAATCAATACGCATCCAAAGCTAGCAAGGGCCATACAAATGGCTTGTGCTGAGAACCGTCTGTCCCAGGGAATTGGGTTTACTTGGGAGATCCAGAAGGAACTGGAATGGTTTGAAAAACACACCACAGTCTTACCCTTAGAATGGGAGCAGTGGTGTCAGGAGGCAGGCTGTGCAGAGATGAGGGATCATGGGACCCTGGAGTGGGCCAGACCAACTTAGGGGACAGGAAAGCTCCCTGATGTGAGGGGAGGGCAGACGTTGGGAACAGACAAGGTCACCACCAGGGAACCAGGTGACCCAGAACACTCTTGAGGGGGGGCCATTCAATGCTGCAGACAGCAACTCCGTAAGAATCAGAAGCCATTCCATGAGCCAGGGCAGCCCTCAGAGGCTGTAGGGAATTTGGGCAAATTAAAGGACAGAAGATCAGCATCAAACATTGAAAATATTTTAGGTATACCTGGGGACAGCATAGTTACTGTGGGTGGGTGTCTGGGGTTGCTCAGGACCTAAGGGAATGCATTTTTTAAATGTAGGGATTAGGTGTCAAGGAGGGCTCAGTGGAGTCCTCCCTGAGGAGAGCACAGCCAGTCAGGAGAGAGGGGCTGACGGCAGGGAGGCTGATGGCCATGGCCGCCATCTCTTGGGCGCAGCTGTGGGACTGTTTCAACAGCAATTCTTGTGGCAAACCTGGGATTGCCTGGTTTTGTTTTCTGTTGCCAGGGGAGACCCCCAAGTGACAAAATCTAGAGGAACAGATCAGAAAAAGTAAATATATGGGCCGGAAAGCAAAGAGAAAGTAAAAGGAGGGAAGGCACTGGGGTTGAACACAAATGACCAGCCCTGTGTGTGAAGACTGCCAGCAGCCAGCACAACTGCCAGGGCCCCAGCTGAGCCATGCTGGGGATGCAAGCCAGCAGTCGCATGAGGAAGCACAGCTGTGGACATCTGTCCCCAACTGCTGACAACTGTGCTGCAGAAACAGTGCTGCTCAAGACTGGGAACATCCCCAGTGGAGGACAGCTAGTGTCCTGAGAGCCAGTGGGACACAGCCACTGCTCCCTGGTGCTCAGCTCAGCAACCTGCTGGGCTGTGCTGCACTGACTGGGGCAGGATCTCTTAGGACTGAAGACATCCATGCAATGGGCATACAGAGGGAAATGGAAATGATGAGATTTCACACATATGAAAAGGAGAAGGTATTATAAATAAGACCCAGGCAGGTGATGACTGCTTGTACAGATACGCTCAGGGAGGAGGACAGCAGAAATTGCTTCCTGCTCCACCCCAGCGGGGTCGCCAGGGCTAATGCTAACCCTCCACCTGGTTAGATATGCTGTGGGGTCTAGGGTTTGTCTTCCCTGTCTACTCTCTTTCCATCAGCTGCCAGGGCATTCCTGCTGGAGTACTGAGGTAGCAGGAAGAGAGGGCTACATGGGGCTGGGTCCGGGATCCTGGAGACATCTCATGGCCTGCATGCTGCTCTAAGGACTTCCCTGTGGTTGGCGAGCAGGAGGCTGAGGCTATCACCATCTGCTCATTCCTAGTAACTCTGGGTCTTTTAAAACTGGAGCACATGGCAGGCTAGTGAAAATGCTGAGATGTGGAGAGAAGGATCTCACTTTCCAGGACACCCAGCCCTCCCGTGCCTACTGGGCCACTTTGCTCACTGGGTGAGCACAGAGCCTCGGGGAGGAGGTTAACACCACTGGGCTCTGACGGATCCCTGGGCTCTCTTTGATTGCTTTGGGCTTGAATCCTTTGACCTTAAGACTTTTTTTTCCCTTTGGACTTTAACCTAAAAGGACAAGGGAACTTAATTTTTTGACTTGAATTTGACCCTAGGAAATTTATGAAAGACATTTCTAGGTTGACTTTTTATCTGGGTATCTGGCATCTTATATATCTGCAGAACCTCTGACTCAAATTTGAACTTTGAGGTTGGACCTAATTTAGGATGGGAAAGTAGGAAGAGTAGTAAAAGAATGTGTCGTCTGGAGTCCAGGCTACCCTTGGAATTAAATAGCATTGAATGATGACCCATTCCAAGTCCTGGGTGGGGGGAATCTATGCTGCCCCGAGGTCTCCAAGGGGGAGTGGATAACACAGGGGCAACTGGGCTTAGCAAGTAGCAGCAATATCGCTGACCCCTGAGTTCAGGAGCAGGGGGCAGTTTCAACTCGGCTCCTTGGGTCTTCCCTTGGGATTTGGCCACTTTGCCATGTGGGTGTCCAGCAGTGCCCTCTAATCTGGGGTGAAGCAGAGCAGCCTGCCCAACTTGTGAAGGTCTCTCTCCACCACCCCAGACCCCTAGGAACTCCCAACTGACTGCTGATATCAGACCTCCTGCCTCTGTCTGGGCCCTAAGGAAGTGGTGTCCTATGTGGTCCCCACCCTACTCTGGGACTCCTCCCTCCTTTTTATCCCCAATGCTACAGTCAGCCTTGGTATCACTCCCGATTTCCACAGGCCTGTCCCAGAACCCCTTACACCTGTTTTCTCTTCTGGAAGTGAACCCTGAGCTAACATTTTAGGTAATTTTTTTTAAGGACCCACTCTGTCCATATTGCAAGAGGCAGAATATGTTCTGATAGCGGAGGCCATGGGGAGCGGGAGAGGGAAGAGGAGAGCTTACAACAGATATCACCCACTGTCCATGCTGTGAGCCTGCGGTCCCCTGCTGCTGGGGCCTCTGCAGGGAGTTGGTGAGCCTGATCCCTGGACCTAGAGACTGAAGTGAGGCTTTGCAGTCCCTCGCTGAGTGAGACCCCTTGCTGATCCCTGCCTGGTGGGCTCCCAAGGCCCCCCTGTTGCAGCCCCTGCTGAGCATCCTCCTGCATGCACTTTCCAACCTTGGGGGACCCTTCTCCTGGTCCCCCCAGCCTTAGCTGGTTCTCTTCCCTGAAGGCCCCCGGAGGCGTAGGCTGGGCTACCCCAGCAGCGGGGGCCTGGCTATGTGGGGAAAAGAAAAAGAGATCAGATTGTCACTGTGTCTGTGTAGAAAGAAGTAGACATAGGAGGCTCCATTTTGTTCTGTACTAAGAAAAATTCTTCTGCCTTGAGATGCTGTTAATCTATGATCTTACCCCCAGCCCCGTGCTCTCTGAAACATGTGCTGTGTCCACTCAGGGTTAAATGGATTAAGGGCTGTGCAGGATGTGCTTTGTTAAACAGATGCTTGAAGGCAGCATGCTCGTTAAGCGTCATCACCACTCCCTAATCTCAAGTACCCAGGGACACAAACACTGCGGAAGGCCGCAGGGACCTCTTCCTAAGAAAGCCAGGTATTGTCCAAGGTTTATCCCCATGTGATAGTCTGAAATATGGCCTCATGGGAAGGGAAAGACCTGACCGTACCCCAGCCCGACACCCGTAAAGGGTCCGTGCTGAGGAGGATTAGTATAAGAGGAAGGCATGCCTCTTCGCAGTTGAGACAAGAGGAAGGCATCTGTCTCCTGCCCGTCCCTGGGCAATGGAATGTCTCAGTATAAAACCCGATTGTATATTCCATTTACTGAGATGGGGAAAACCGCCTTAGGGCTGGAGGTGGGACATGCGGGCAACAATACTGCTCTGTAAGGCATTGAGATGTTTATGTATATGCACATCAAAGCACAGCACTTAATTCTTTACCTTGTCTATGATGCAGAGACCTTTGTTCACGTGTTTATCTGCTGACCTTCTCTCCACTATTATCCTATGACCCTGCCACATCCCCCTCTCTGAGAAACACCCAAAAATGATCAATAAATACTAAGGGAACTCAGAGGCTGGCGGGATCCTCCATATGCTGAACGCTGGTCCCCTGGGTCCCCTTATTTCTTTCTCTATACTTTGTCTCTGTGTCTTTTTCTTTTCCAAGTCTCTCGTTCCACCTAACGAGAAACACCCACAGGTGTGGAGGGGCAACCCACCCCTTCAGGCTGCATCAGCAACTCAGTTATCCAGGCGCAGGTTCTAGGGTACCCACGTGTTGAGCTCAGTCCCTCTGACTCCCAAGCCAGGACTCTGTCTGACGGCACCTGCTTCGGTCAGGGCGTGGGAGATTGGCCTGGGCAGGCTCTTCCTCCCAAGGCAGGGTCAGTGTTGAGTAAAGGCCAGGACCATTTCCCCAGACAGGCAAGGCAGGGCCCAGGCCTGGGTCCAGGGCCTCTAAGTCCACGTCCCCACTTTGGCCACATGGGTCATGAGGGGTTTCTGTGTGAGTGGCCTTTTACACTTTCCCAAGCAATTTCCCCAGACATTATCTCATGTTATCCTCATGAGGACCACCCTGTGAGGTAGGAATTAGCAACCCTGTTTTAAAGGGGAAACTGAGGTAAGGTATGACGCTTTCCTGGCAGGGCCAGCCTCTGGCACAGCAACAGGGGGACAGTGAGGATGGCCAGATCTGGGTGCCCCTCCCCACTGCCTTCTCTTCCAAGCTACAGTCTTTTATTCAAATTCTTCTCCTCTTTTTCTCTCTCATTTCCCCTCCCCCGCTGCCATGTTTTTTATGCTTGTGGATGTCTCATGCAAGAGTGTTCAATAGCTCCTCCCAGCAGTCTTAGAAGGGAGTGTAAAGATGACCAGACACGGAACCCCGAGAGTTCACTGGGGGTTCCCAAAGGCATGTATAGGATCCAACGTGTTTTTTCTGCCTCCCACTCTGCCCCCTTTCAAGAAGTGCACCTGTGGTTCAAAGTTCAGCTTTTACTGCCGGTGCATGTGTAGGAGAGGACAGGGCAGGCTAGAGCCCTGCTAAGGGCCAGAGAATCTCATCCCACCCAGAGGAGGGTTCTTTTAGGCGGTGGGTACAAATCTCAGAACATCCCCACTGTATTGTTGAGAGGGTGAGGTGGGACATGTTGGGGGAAGAGCGAGCTGCAACCGGTGCAGCTGCGATTATTCAGAGCAGAGGTGGCTTCAGAGACAACATTAAGCTTAACCCTCAGGGGCCCTCTTTGCCTTGGGAGGAGCCCTATCAATGCTTTTGTCATGTGCTTTTGGAAAATATGTAGAAGACATTTTTACAAGTTGGTTGAGGCCTAGTGTCTCTTTTCAGTTCATATTCTCCCTCTGTCACGCGTCTGTCCTGTTGGAATGGCTGTGGCTATTTTGGATATGGCTAAGGGAGAAGGTAAAATTGGGGATCATTTTGTATGAGTTTAGTGGGACACATTTCTGGGCTTTGAAGTCACTTCTGTATCTACTAAAAATTGCTATAGTTATCTTTGTGCATAAATTACTTCTGGCTGATGTAAGCAAATCCCCGTATCGGGACTCAGCCGGGGAGGGTTTTTGGCTTTGCTCAGGAAGGAATTCAAGAGTGAGCTAACAGACAAAACTGAAAGCAAAGCAAGTTTATTAAAGCAACATTGTACAGCAAAATGGCTGCTCCACAGACAGAGCAGGGCTACCCCACAGGTAGAATAGCACTCCAGGATTGCTGGCTAGCTATATTTATACCCCCTGCTAATTATATGCTAAATAAGAGGCAGGTTATTCATAAACTAGGAACAGGAAGTTCCTGGAACCATATAAGATAATTCCTGGGTTATTGCCGTGGGATCATTTGTAAACTGTCATGGCCCTGGTGGGAGTATCTTATGCAAATGCATTTTAATTCCTATTCCGAGCTGGTTTTGGCCATTCTTTGTTATTGTTATGTTCTGTTTTGATCAGCAGGGTTTTGACAGGTGCTTGGAAAAATCCTGCTGATCTCCTCCCTCACAGGGACATGCCTACTGCCAAAGGAGAGACGGAATTATCTTTCTATTCTCCCCATAGAAAATATTACAAAATCACTGTCACACGAAAATGTGATCAAAGAGTCTGCAGCCAAGAAATATGGGGGGGACAGAGTGTTTTAAAGGCGAAGGTGTGTCTGTCACTTAGTAAAAATGTCAGGATTCTTTTTTTTCTGGAGTTTGTGGTGTTTGTCGGCTTTTCAAAATTTGTCATTCCTTTTCTTAATCTAAATAATCATTTTATAGAGAAAAAAAATTACTCATCAGTGTTGATGATGCCCTGGTTTTCTGTTCAGCTTTGTTTTCCAATCAACTCTTCACCCAAGACTCAATCCTCCACCCTCCAACTCTTCATCCAAGACTCAATTCACCCAACACTCAATCCTCCACCCTCCAACTCTTCACCCAAGACTCAATCCTCCACCCTCCAACTCTTCACCCAAGACTCAATCCTCCACCCTCCTCCAACTCTTCACCCAAGAGTCAATCCTCCCCTCCCAGTGTTTACTGATCAGCCTCCTATCAGCTATTAATGGGACCTCAAACATTCTCTATGGCTCTGTTCTCACGCAATGCAATCTGCTAATCTCTAGGAACTGCAGACCCCACTTAATGCATTTAAAGTATGTATAATGTGACCCAATAGCTTCTTTATCCCAAGCTTATTGATTCCTATAAGAATCATCATCCTCAAGTCACACATGAGGAAACTGAGGCCAAGGCCAATGCTAAGGCTGATGGAAGTGACAGATGTTGAAGATGACACAGCATGACACGAGGGATGAGGTCAAGGCTATTGATGAGGTCAAGACAGCTGTTGTGCTTTGTCCCAAGGCCATTCCAGTTGGTGACAAAATAACTATAACAGATTCCTGGCCAGGGCTTCTCCCTCACAGCAGCTGCCTCCTACTGGAGTCAGAAATGCCTTGGTTTATATAGTTTCATTCATAGGCTGTCTTAACTCTATTTAAGCAGAAAAGGGCTGAAATGTCTTGCCCAAGATCCCTCAGCTAGTAAGTGACAGATGCAGGTTTCAAATCCAGGTCGCTGGACTCAGGGCAGGGCCAGGGGGAATGAGGGCAAACAGACTGGCAGCTGATCAAACTGACACTGCCTTCCTGGTAAAGGGGACAGTGAGGAGAAATTGACAATAGCAGGAGGCTCTGACCACAACAGGCTGCCTCCAGTCTCTTCTCTCACCAGTGGCCCCCAAAGCCACGTGAGTTGGGCTTTCTGACCACACTTTATTGCATTTGCAGACCCTACATGCTTTAAACACACTTTTAGTATCTCACTGGGTCTCTAACAACCCCAGGAGTGGGCAGGGCAATAATTATTTCACAGTTGACAAAGCAGCTTCACGAAAACATTGGGAGCTCAATAACTTCCCTATTGGGATGCACCCCCAGGAGCTGTTCAGTTAATGTCATAGCAGGTTCAGGGAATGGGCTTAAACCCCAAGATATCCTACACCATTTTGTACACAGCAGGTTCTGTAGGGAGAAAACCAACAAGGTCTTCCCGGAGGGAATGGGCTTAAACCACAAGATATCCTATACCATTTTGTAAGCCTCCCTGTGATCATTTCCCATCCAAGTACTAACCAGGCCAGACCCTGCTTAGCTTCTGAGATCAGACGAGATTGGGCGTGTTCAGGGTGGTATGTGAAAGATTCTCCCCGGGGCCTGAAAGTTTGGGGGGATGAATAACTCCTCCCTTCTCAGGCCCAGTCCCAAGGCACAAGACCACTTGTGCTAGCAGCGTGTGTCAGCAAGATAGCAGAAGCAGGAAGAGAGCTGGCCAGGAGACACGTACCCCTGAAGATCAAGAGAGAGGCCATCTGGGTACCATGTAGCAGTTACATCAGACTGGGACACTTCCTGTTTACAGGAGACTATAAAACCCCTGCCCCGTCCTCACCTGGGGCTGACGCCATTTTAGGCCTCAGCCCATCTGCACCCAGGTGCTCATTAAAACAGCGTGTTGCTCCACACTGCCTTGTGTTCTTTGCTGGCAAGCTCTCGGGGTTCGAACCAACACAAGAGCCTTACAGTATGGCCGCAGATGTCTCCCAACATTTCACAGAACCTGGTCAGAATAAAACATTCCATGGGGGTTCAGGTCATAAAAAAATACTGCCTAACCACCTAACCACAGGAACATCTCTATTACATCCTGCTGGATGAAGGGCCCAAGGAACATCTTCAACATCCTGCAGGGGAGCAAGCTATACTGCCCCTTCTCCCCCGGTCCAGACCCATAACTGACAGAGCAGGAGCACTGCCATCTTGAACAAATACCACCATTCTAAGTTCCCCCTTCATTAAAAGCCGCCTAAATCCAGCCCCAAAACATCAGCCTAATGGCTAATGTCAGCATAACCAGAAATATTCCAACCCTAAGATAAACCCCTCTGACCAGAAACATGCCAACCCCGAGACAGCCTCCCTTCCGACCAGAGACATTCCAACCCCGCAATAAACTTTCCCTCACACAGAAACATTCGGAACCTACGATAAGACCCCTTCCAAAACCCTTAAATATCCTTAGTCTGTAACAGAAGTTAGTCTGAGCTAACTCGGCCAGAAGCCCCTCTCAAGTTTATTTTCTAAAATAAACCTGTCCTTGTTGACTGCCCAGCCACCCTTCGTGTTGCTTTCCTCTTCCTTATAGTAAATGTCCCAGTCTGTAAGTGGGACTCGTGCTCTGAGACTAAGCTGGTCCCCCCTCCACAGGTTTGTGCTGGCAATAAACCTGTGTTGCTGTTAAGCTGCCAACTCTTTAACCCTCACCTTCCCTTCAAAACCTAACAAAGATGAATGAGGCATGAACATGAAGACAGAGGGTCAAACCCAAAGAGCAGATTCCGTGAGAAGTCTCCCTATTGACAAGGGTTACTAAGGATGGGGTCTTCTCTGGACCCCCTAGTCTTAGACTTAGTCCACCACATCCAGAAGCCCTTGAAATAAGATTGCAGTGCTTCTGGCATAGCCAAAGACATAGACTTCTCTAAAAATCAGTGCCTAGCTCTCCCCAGGCTGGGCCCTAATTTTTAGTCCAAGCTGTATTATTTTGTAAATCTTCCTGCCATTTCATAGACCCTGGTCACAGTGAAACATTCTGCAGGGGTTTGGGCTGTAAGTAACATCCTCCCCAACTGTCTGACTTCTTTATCACATCTTGTTGGGACAAAGGTTTAAGAAATATTTTTATTAACATCCTCTTGGGCAGTAAGTCCTACCATTCCAGACCCCTCATCCAGGCCTATAATGATTCCAGCCTGTAAGTGCTAGTGGGGCTTTGGCATTAAGTTGGTCCCCACCTCTGTAGGTTGTGTTAATAAACCTGTGTTGTAGAGTGGTCAACTCTCTTGTCTTTAACCCTCGTCTTTTTTCAAAAACCTAACACTCATGTGTCCTCTCCCTCACCTTCTCCTGGCATCCCTTGCCACTGTCCCTCTGTCCCTCTTTCCCCTCCTTAACCCAAAGGGAAATCTCTCCCAAAGGTAAAAGTCTCCCAGGGGTTAAGAGGGAGCTTGAGGCACCAGAAAGAGCTATAGTCACAGCCACCTGTGAAAGCCATCTCTGAGGTCCCTTCCTGTCACAACAGCTGGGCTCCTGACTCAGACCAAGACAGCTTTTGTTTCTTTTCCTTTCTAGCCCCCCACTTCCCACCCACCTTTCTGCTTTCTCATATGGGCTCATTATGGTTTATAGGGCTGGGGAACGTTGCCTCTTCTGCCCTCCATTTCTCCCATCTCCCTTCTTTCCCCTCCACTTTTTCTGAGTCCACTTCTCTTCCCTTCTTCTTCCTTCCCTCTGGGACGCTGCACAGTTCCTTCCACCCGGCACGGCCTGGGACTCTAGACTCCCTCTGAAGGCACGGAAGTATTTCCTTCCCTCCCTCCGACCCGATCTTTCTGCCCTTGATTCAAAACAATCTGAGGTCCCTAGGCCCTTCCCTTTCCGCCTCTGCGCTCCCCATGGGGTCCGGTGTAGTTTTCCCGCCCCTTCCCTGCAGCTCCCGAGACCACCCGGACACAACGGAGCCATCCAGCGCCCTCAGAGGCCCTGGGCACACGGGCAGATGGTCACCGCCTCCTAAGGGAGCAGCGCGCGCCCGTTGCTCGCTGCCCGTTGGTTGTTGCTGGTAGCTCCGGAGGGCGGGGTTGGCGAGGAAAGTGAGTCCGTATGTCCCCAGCATGCTCCGCGCGGGGGCGGGGCTCTAAGGGGGCAGGCGAAGGCGGAACTGGCGTGGTCAAACCAACCTATCAGCCTCCAGCATGCTCCGTGTGGGAGCGGGGTTCCCGGGGGCGGGGCTTGGTTTGTGTGCCCTTCCGGCGTTTCGCCCCTGCGTTCTCTGAGATGCTCCCACGCAGATGTATGGGCCTAATTCGCTAATATCCACTCTATATCCTGTTCCATCCTCTTGTAATGGGCGTTTGGAGTGTTGCCAATTTTTTGCTGTTATAATGATTGTAATAGCATATTAAAAAACTTGAACATAGTTTGATTGTAATAACATTAAATATAGCATCTTAAACATACAGTTTGAGCGTGCCAACCTGATGGGTGTGGAATGTAATATTCATTATAACTTTGATTTTCATTTCCCTACTTTGAGTAAGTTTGAACTTCTCTTTATGTAATTATTGACTACTCTGTTTTCATGTTCTGAGAATTGCCTGTTTGTATTTTATGCCCATTTTTCTATTGGGTTGTGGTTTTTATTGATTGGTAGTTCTTTATAATTTTATGGATACCAGTCTTTTACTAGTTCAGCGCATTAATTGCAAATATTTGCTCCCACTCTGTGGCTTGCTTCCTTTCCACCCCTAATTCCTAGGGTGTCTTTTTGAAGCACAAATCTAAAATTGTAACACAGGCGACTATCAATCTTTTCCTCTATGATTTGAGCATTTTGTGTTTTGCTTAAAAACTCAGCCCTTGTCCCAAGGTCATAGAGATATTCTCCCGTATTTTCTACTGATCCATCCCCCATATTTAGGTCTTTGGTCCATCTGTATTAATGTTTATGTGTAATATGAGATAGGGATCCTACTTTATCTGTATTGTGTTAACCAAAAAATGACTGAGACAGGTGTCTCAATCAATAAAGGTTAATTTAGCCAAAGTTTGAGGACATGCCTGGGAAAAACACAAGTCTCAGTTCCTAATATTAACCGCTTGCATTTAGTAGAAATGACCTTCAAGGTTCTCTGTAGCAGAGATGTGGTTGAAAAAGGAAAGGAAGACATAGGGTTTGTAGATGGCCATAGCTTCACGGAAGAGCGAAAGAAGGGCAGGATATGTGGTTCTCTCCCTATGGAAAACCATAGAGGCCAAAAGCTTCCCTGCCCAAACTTCAGCCCCAAAGACTCAGATAATAGCCTTAACCAGAGCCCTGGCATGAAGAAAGGACAAGGCCTTGACTGTTTATACAGACTTGAGATATGTGCTCACTGTGATCCATGCCCATGGTGCAATCGGGTACGAAAGGGGACTTCTGAATGCCAATAACAAATAAATCAAATATGAAACATAAATATTGGCACTACTGCACAGTGGAAATGACTAGACAGATTGTGGGGGTCATCTAATGGGGGACTTTGAACTAATGAAGGGGAGCAACCTGGCACACACAGGGAGGGAAAGTCCCTGCTTCCTTCAGTACCTCTTTATGAATATAAACCAATAAACCAAGACACTCCCCTGGGGAATTACAGGAAGCCATGCGAGAGGGAGAGCATCAGAGTTCCCTCTCAGAGGGATGGGCCCTAAATAAGAGAGGCAGGATTTGGGTGCCCAGAAATCTGAGTTGGGCTATTATAAAGCCTGCCCATGATCTCTCAATCTATGGCAAGAAGACTATGCACACCTAGCTCCTCAGGATAATAAGGACCCCAAAAGCAAAGAAAATGATGGATAAAGTGGCTGACCAATGTGTCTATTGTCAGAGAAACAATGCTCAAAACAGACCTCCCATATCTCCCTTGGCCAAGGTGGTACAATTCAGGGGAACCATGTGAGGGGAGGACTAGCAAATTGACTCCAGTGTTATGCCTATGTCTTCTAGAGGATTTAAATATCTCCTGGTGCTTTTCTGATGCCTTTGCTGGTTGGATAGAGGCTTTTCCATGCTGGACTGAAAAGGCAGAAGCCATGAAGTCTTTACTAAAGGAATTTATCCCTCCATTCAGTCTCCCTAAGTCAGTCCAGAGTGCTAATGGACCCGCATTCATTTCTAACATAGTAGTAAAAACTTCCCAGGCCTTGGTCATACAGTGGAAGTGGCATGTAGCCTGGAGACCAAACTCCTTGGGAAAGACTGAAAGGTCCCATAGAACTCTCAAAGGTATCCTAGCCAAGTTATGCCAGGAGGCCCAAGATAATTGGTTAAAGCTGTTACCCATAGCCTTGGTCCAAGTATGGGTAGCACTCAGAGAAAGAATGAGACTTAGCTCCTTTGAAATGCTATATGGGGCTGGGCACAGTGGCTCATGCCTGTAATCCCAGCACTTTGGGTGGCTGAGGCAGGTGGATCACTTGAGGTCAGGAGTTTGAGACCAGCCTGGCCACATGGTGAAACACCATGTCTACTAAAAATACAAAAAATTAGCCGGGTGTGGCAGCATGTGCCTGTAATCCCAGCTACTCAGCAGGCTAAAGCATGAGAATCGCTTGAACCTGGGAGGCAGGGGTTGCAGTGAGCCGAGATCACGCCACTGCACTCCAGCCTGGGCGACAGAGCAAGACTCTGTCTCAAAAAAAAAAAAGAGAAAGAAATATTATATGGGGCCGGGTATGGTGACTCACACCTGTATTCCCAGCACTTTGAGAGGCCCACTGGTGAAGAGGATCACTTAAGCCCAGGAGATCGAGACCAGCCTGGGCAACAGAACAAGACTCTGTCTCAAAAAAGGAAAAAAGAAAGAAAGGAAAGGGAAGGGAAGGGGAGGGGAGGGAAGGCGAGGGGAGGGAAGGTAAGATTATATGGGGCCGGGCGTGGTGACTCACACCTGTATTCCCAGCACTTTGAGAGGCCCACCCGTGAAGAGGATCACTTAAGCCCAGGAGTTCGAGACCAGCCTGAGCAACATAGTGAGACTTCCTCCCTATTTAAAAAATAATAATAAAAACCAGGCGTGGTGGTGCGCACCTGTAATCTCAGCTACTTGAGAGGCTGAAGGAGGAACACTGCTTGAATTCAGGGAGGTCAAGGCTGCAGTGAGCTGTGATGACGCCACTGCACTCCAGCCTGGACAACAGACCCAGTCTCCAAAAAAAAAAAGAAATGTTAATATGTAAGGCCTTATCCAGGCGTGGCCAGCCCCTTCTCTTGCCCAGATGAGGAGATAGAAAGGGTGATGAAGCATATTATGTTATTCATCTGGAGTCATTTGTTGCTATTCTCAACCACCTCAGCAACCCCAGCCTCCTGGTCCCCTCTGGGGTAAAACTTCATCTGTACAACCCAGGAGACTGGGTATACCTCAGGACCCAGAAGGCTGAGTACTCCCAGGACCAGCTCAGCCCGCTATGGATGGGGCCCAACCTAACACTTTTAACCACTCATTCTTCTCTTAAACTCCAAGAAGTAACCCCTTGGATCCATCACTCAAGAGTGAAGAGGCCAGGCATGGTGGCTCACGCCTGTAATCCCAGCACTTTGGGAGGCAGATGGGGGAGGATCACTTGAGGCCAGGAATTTAAGACCAGCCTGGGCAACATGGTGAGACCTTGTCTCTACAAAAAGTAAAAGAATTAGCCAGGCACCGCTAATTGGTGGTGCACGGAGGCTGGGGCGGGAAGATCCCATGAGCTTAGGCGTTTGAGGCTGCAGTGAGCTATGATTGAACCCCTGCACTCCAGCCTGAGTGACATAGAGAGACTCTGTCTCAAAAAAAAAAAAAAAAAGAGTGAAAGCCCAGGAGCCCCCAGAAGATGCCTCCCCAGCATACATTTGTGAACCCATCTCAGACCTCAAATTGGTTTTTAGAAGAAAAGGCTCAGATAAGTCAAGTGTGCCCCTTGCCATTCTCTTGCCATAGTAGGCATCTTCTTTATCCCTGCAGGAACCCTCATGCTGTTGCCCTTTTACACTGTGGAGATGCTTAGGTGGTGGCAAATCCCTTCATAAAACACCTAAAAATGGCCCCTATGCTTTTTGGCCTTTTTTTTTTTTTTTTTTTTTTTGAGATTGAGTCTCACTCTTGTCGCCCAGGCTGGAGTGCAGTGGCGCAATCTCGGCTCACTACAACCTCTGCCTCCCAGGTTCAAGTGATTCTCCTGCCTCAGTCTCCCAAGTAGCTGGGTCTACAGATGTGCGCCACCATGCCCAGCTAATTTTTTTATTTTTAGTAGAGACGGGGTTTCACCGTGCTGGCCAGGCTGGTCTCGAACTCCTGACCTTTTGATCCGCCCACCTCAGCCTCCCAAAGTGCTAGGATTACAGGCGTGAGCCATCGCACCCAGCCTGCTTTTTGGCCCTTTTAGTTGCCTTGGCCAGTGATCTCTGGGAGGCCAATATAATAATCAAGGTCTCCTGTATCACAGCTGGTGGGAACAATCTGTTCAAATGTTGGATGTGCCATAGGCTTCCCCACACTTGGATGGGGTGACCTGTTGCTAATCCTTTGAGAGGAGTCATTAACATCACAGGGTTGTGTGGACCTCACCTGCTAAGGGCAATGTCACTAAGAGAATAGGCCAAGTTTATTTAAATTGCTCAGGAAAAGGAGAAAAGAGGCAAACATGCTACAAAAGAGTATTTGCAGTGGCTCACCCTTGTTTCGGCAATGTAATATGCCTAGGACAGTGTACTGTGGGCTTCTGGGGCCTATCAGGGTAACAGCCCATAGTGCAACCAGCCATCATAAGAGACCAAAAAAAAAAAAAAAAAAGGACGGGGGCTATTGGACAAACCATGGAAGCTGCCGGACTTGCTGTGGGGTTGGCTGCCCTTTCTTGCGGGGGGGTTGCCTGTTATGAAGTCACCCTAAGAAATTTAATCTGAATACCCAAGGCTCTGGCAGCTAAAACTGGAGAGGCTCTCTAAAATATATGTATTTCTCTAAATTCACTAGCCAATGTAGTGTCAGAAAAGCGATTGGCCTTAGACTATTTACTAGCAGAACGGGAGGGCTGTGTGTGGCACCAATACCTCCTGTTGCACTTGGGTAAATGCCTCCAGAGGAAATAGAGGCTAATGTAAAAGAAATATTCAACACTTTGGGAGGCCAAGGTGGGTGGATCACTTGAGGTCAGGAGTTCAAGACCAGCCTGGCCAACATAGTGAAACCTGGTCTCTACTAAAAATACAAAAAAATTAGCTGGGCATGGTGGTGCACGCCTGTAGTCCCAGCTACTCAGGAGGCTGAGACAGGAGATCGCTTGAACCCAAGAGACAGAGGTTGCAGTGAGCCAAGATCGTGCCACTATACTCTAGCCTGGGTGACAGAGCGAGACTCTGTCTCAAAAAAAAAAAAAAAAAAAAGAGAGAAAGGGGCCGGGTGCGGTGGCTCAAGCCTGTAAGCCCAGCACTTTGGGAGGCTGAGGCGGGTGGATCACGAGGTCAGGAGATCGAGACCATCCTGGCTAACACAGTGAAACTCCGTCTCTACTAAAAACACAAAAAGTTAGCCGGGCGTGGTGGCGGGCGCCTGTGGTCCCAGCTACTAGGGAGGCTGAGGCAGGAGAATGGTGTGAACCCGGGAGGCGGAGCTTGCAGTGAGCCGAGATCCCGCCACTGCACTCCAGCCTGGGCGACAGAGCGTGACTCATCTCAAAAAAAAGAAAGAAAGAAAAAAAAGAAAGGAAATATTTAAACAAGTAGAACAGCTGCATTCCTTCAACCAGAAGGGTAGCTCAACCAACGAGCTATCTTGGAATGCAGTGAAGTCTGCTGTACCTCACTTCACCTCGTTTCTTCCTCTGCTGTGGCCTCTAGTGGCCTCTGTTCTGTTACTTTTCGGTCCCTGTATTTTAAATTGATAGTACAGTTTGTGTCCTCATTTTGTGTAACAGCAGCAATACCAGCTCCTTTGAGCAACTTCAGATGACTAAAAAACTTATTTGAACTCAGGAGCCTGAGAATTTCACTCCTCTAACTTTAGTAGCCTCACTGTTCCCTGTCAGCATGAAGTAGACAGAGAAGAATGACCTTCATCCCTAACCGCTCAAGAATGAGGGGTGGGGTGTTTCAAGGGGGATTTGTAACTGTGTCCAACCGAATCTGGCTCAGCTTTTCTGTGTGTGTGTGTGTGTGTGTGTGCGCGTGTGTGTGATGGGGTCTTGCTCTGTCAACCAGGCTGGAGTACAATGGTGTGATCACAGCTCACTGCAGCCTTGACCTTCCAGGCTGAAGTGATCCTCCCACCTTAACCTCCCAAGTAGCTGGGACTACATGTGTGTGTCACCATGACTAGCTAATTTTTAAAATTTTTTTGTAGAAATAGGCTTTTGCCATGTTGCCCAGGCTGGTCTTGAACTCCTGGGCTCAAGCAATCCTCCCATCTCAGCCTCCCAAAGTGCTGGGATTATAGGTGTGAGCCACGGTGCCCACTGTGGCTCAACTTTTATGTAACAAAGTCAAAGTTGTGAGTTTTTTTTCAGTTGCTGTGGATCCTCAGGTTGAAGGTCACTTACCCTGACTGTGCCCAGATGAACCAGGTATGCAGCTCACAACTTTGTTACATAAAAGTTGAACCAGATTGATCTGGTATGGTTATACAACTACACTGAGAGGGAGACAGTTAACATGGACTCACACATCTCAGAGACATTGTGAGTCTCCCTCAATATTTTCCTAAGTTCTTAAAGCTGACTTAGATTCTGTAGCCTTGACCCAAGGTTCCACTCTTGCCAATATGTTGATCTTTTACTTTGAAAATATACTAAGCAGGCTAGGTGTGGTGGCTCACGCCTGTAATCCCAGCACTTTGGGAGGCCGAGGCGGGTGGATCACCTGAGGTCAGGAGATCGAGACCATCCTGGCTAACACGGTGAAACCCCATCTCTACTAAAAATACAAAAAATTAGCTGGGTGTGGTGGCGGGCGCTTATAGTCCCAGCTACTCGGGAGGCTGAGGCAGGAGAATGGCGTGAACCCGGGAAGCGGAGCTTGCAGTGAGCTGAGATCGCACCACTGCATTCCAGCCTGGATAGAGCGAGACTCTGTCTCAAAAAAAAAAAAAAAAAAAAGAAAGAAAAAGAAAAAGAAAATATACTAAGCAGGCCAGGCGTAGTGGCTCATGCCTGTAATCCCAGCACTTTGGGAGGCCGAGGCGGGCAGATCACCTGAGGTCAGGAGTTCGAGACCAGCCTGACCAACATGGCAAAACCCCATCTCTACTAAAAATACAAAAAGTAGCTGGGTATGGTGGCACATCCCTGTAGTCCCAGCTACTCAGGAGGCTGAGGCAGGAGAATCGCTTGAACCTGAAAGGCAGAGGTTGCACTGAGCCAAGATCATGCCACTGCACTCCAGCCTGGGTGATAGAGTGTGACTCTGTCTCAAAAAAAAAAAAAAGAAAGAAAGAAAAATAAAAGAAAATATACTAAGCAGGATGCTCTTACAGACTTCCTCCTTCTCCTAAAGGTGCTGGCTGAAGAAGGCCATGAAGCCTTCTAATCTAAACTCAGTGGGTACAAACAACTATTACCTACTTGGGACATGAGCTATCTCAGGGCATTCAGAAGCTCACCCCCAAATGTCTTAAGTCAATTTTGTTTATCTCTCTCCCCAAAACAAAAAAAAAAACAACTTTATACGGCTGGGCGCAGTGGTTTCATGCCTGTAGTTCCAGCACTTTGGAAGGCCAAGGTGGGAGGATTGCTTGAGCCCTGGAGGTTGAGGCTGCAATGAGCCATGATTGCACCACTGCATTCCAGCCTGGTGACAAAGCAAGACCTTGTCTCAAAAACAAACAAATAAGCCAGATGCAGTGGCTCATGCCTGTAATCCCAACACTTTGGGAGGCCGAGGCAGCGGATCACAAGGTCAAGAGATCCAGACCATCCTGGCCAACATGGTGAAACCCTCTCTCTACTAAAAATACAAAAAATTAGCTGGGCGTGGTGGCGGGCACCTGTAGTCTCAGCTACTCGGGCGGCTGAGGAAGGAGGATCGTTTGAACCCAGGAAGCGGAGTTTGCAGTGAGCTGAGATTGCACCACTGCACTCCAGCCTGGCGACAGAACGAGACTCCGTCTCAAAAAACAAACAAACAAAAACTACAAAAATTTCCAGTGACAGCTGGCTATTGTCACCAATGGATTTCTAATTTTGCTGCCCTTGCCAAACCTCTGTATGCCCTCCTTGAAGACACCATCCCAGCACCCATTTTCTGGCCCTGAGAGGCACTAACCTCCTTTGTAGCCTTAAAATTAGCATTTCCCATACCTCTGATGTTGGCTTACTGAATTTTGACTAATCTTTTCACTTCTATTACCATGAAAATAATGGAATTGCTGGAGGTATTCTATGCAACCTTTTGCCTCTCAGATATATCCTATATTTCTCATGCCAATTGAATCCTGTGGCAGCAGGCCTGCCCTCATGCCTGCATGTGATGGCTGCAGCTGACTCTGTAACTGACAAAGCCAGCACTCATGTTAGGCTTATCCATTTTCTGTTATGTTCCCCATGCTGTCCATCTTCCAAGTTCATAAGACATAGTACCTCTCCACATGGCAATAGACCTATGAACAGGTCCTATTAACCAAACCCTCCATTATCTTACATCATTGTGCCACTGTAAATCTGGCTACTCGGCTAGGCATGGTGGCTCATACCTGTAATCTCAGCACTTTGGGAGGCTGAGGCGGGTGGATCACTTGAGCCCAGGAGTTCGAGACCAGCCTGGGCAACATGGCAAAACCCTGTCTCTACACAAAATACAAAAATTAGCTGGGCATGGCGACACATGCCTGTGGTCCCAGCTACTTAGGAGGCAGAGGTGGGAGGATTGCTTGAGCCCAGAGGCAGAGGTTGCAGTGAGCTGAGATTGCATCATTGTACTCCAGTCTGGGCAACAGAGTGAGACTGTCTCAAAACAAAAACAAAAACAAAAACAATCTGGCTACTCTATTAGCCCTCCCTGATGATGGAGAACCCTACTCCATTCCACATGATTGCCTTCCAATGATAGAAATGGTCTCAAGGTCATGAGACCTGTTGTGCACCCTTTAGACAACACAGACTCACTCCTATTTTGTGATGGCTCCCATAAACGAGGTTTCTGGGGGAACACAATAACTGCTATGTCATAGTTTCCCCACAGGAAACACTTGAGGTCCTGTTTGCCCACAGTAGAGTAAACCCCAGGCTGGGGAATTTATAGCTCTTATTAGAGCTTGCGCATTGGCAGAAGGGAAAACTGCCACTATTTATACCAACTCCAGTTGGAGTCTGCTGACCATTGGTGCAATCTGGAAATCCTGAGAATTCTTTTTTTGGAGAGATGGGGGTCTCAGTATGTTGCCCAGGCTGGTCTTGAACTTCTGGCCTAGAGCAATCCTCCTGCCTCAGCCTCCCAATGTACTGGGATTACAGGCATGAGCCACCATTCATGACCAATCCTGAGAATTCTTAAACGCTACTGGTACTCCTGTTACCAATGGGCATATAATTCTTGCCCTACTACAGGCTATTCACCTCCCAAGAAAAATTGCTGTTGCTCATTGTTTAGCCCATACTAAGGAGACTGATGCTATATCTTTTTTTTCTTTTTTTTTGAGATGGAGTCTCGCTCTGTTGCCCAGGCTGGAGTGCAGTGGCACGATCTTGGCTCACTGCAACCTCCACCTCCTGGGTTCAAGCGATTCTCCTGCCTCAGCCTCCCGAGTAGCTGGGATTACAGGCACATGCCACCACACTCGGCTAATTTTTGTATTTTTAGTAGAGACGGGTTTCACCATGTTTGCCAGGATGATCTTGATTTCCTGATCCTGTGATCTGCCCACCTCAGCCTCCCAAAATGCTGAGATTACAGGCGTGAGCCACCACACCTGGCCCTGATGCTGTATCTCTAGAGAATGATAGGGCCAACAAGGCAGCGAAATACACAGCCAGAAATGGATCCCCCCACCATCCTTTTTCCATGCAATTTATCTGTGTCTTTATCCCTGACTGATATTATTGATTATTGTTAGTATTACCAGGCAAATGCCCCACAATCTGAAAAAGACAAATGAATTCAAAAGGACAGCAAATAATTACCAGACAGATGATACATTGGACCAAATAGACTTCCCGTGGCTTCCTTTCTTTTGACCTTTTGGCTTGCACTTATCAAATGGGACATATGGAGATGGAGGATAGCAAAGGAACTAAAATATAATTAGTTCTACCCTGGCATCCACAAAACTTCTGGCCACACTGTTTCCCAGTGCACAACTTATAAATCTCATGGAATCTCTGGAGGAAACCAACATTCCTCGGGGAGTCCTCCAAGGCCCACACTGCCCCTTGCAGGACTCCAGATGGATTTTGTTGATTTACTTCTGGCTTTAGGGCATTCCCACTGTTTGGTTACTGTCTGAATGTTTAGTGGATGGATTGAATGCCACCGGACTGGATGTGCTGATACCACAACACTGGTGAAGAAATTAATAACTCGGCTGGCCAGGGAGGCTCACACCTGTAATCCCAGCACTTTGGAAGGCAGAGGTGGGCAGATCATGAGGTCAGGATTTTGAAACTAGCCTGGCCAACATAGTGAAACTGTGTCTCTACTAAAAATACAAAAAAATTAGCTGGGCGTGGTGGTGGGCTCCTGTAATCCCAGCTACTTGAGGCTGAGGCAAGGAGAATTGCTTGAACGTGGGAGGTGGAGGTTGCAAAGAGCCGAGATCGCACCACTGCACTCCAGCCTGGGCAACAGTGAGAGACCATGTTGGAAAAAAAAAAAGAAATTAATAACTGAGATTATTTCTCATTTTGGCTTTCTGTTACAGATTAAGTCAGACCAAGGAACTCATTTTACAGCAGAAATAAACAATTCGATTGCAAAAAAAAAAAACTCCTTTGGGGTACTCGTTAAAATTTCACACCCCATACCACCCCCAATCCTCAGCTCAAGTGAAATGTAAAAATTTAGACATAAAAAGGACATTAGGCTGTGTAAGATACAATGAATTTCTCTGAGTTTCTCTTCAAAGATTTAGCCTGCTAACTTCCTTGTCCTTTGTTCTCAAACTTAACTTTCCTGTTCCTCCTTGCCCCTAGTTACTGTAAAACAGCTTACCCCCTTCCCACCAGCTCTAATCAATAACTCACATCCTTTCCCTTGGTTATCTGTACGCGTTGTTCCCCCAAAACTGCATGTCTTACATGCTTCACCACTGTACCTCACGTACACTTTCCCTTCCATATTTAGAACAATATTTGCAAGTAGCTAATTGGATCAGCTCAGATTGTGCAGTCCAACCCCAGCCCATGGGGGAGTGACACAGAGGTAAGGACTATGCATCAGAGATAAAAACCCCCTGCTCCCCTTTGTTTGGTGTGCTCTTGCGATCTTGATTGACGGGAGTGGCACCCTTCTGCAGAAGTAAATTGCCTTGCTGTGAAAACTTTTGCCTGAGTGCTGGTTTCACTTTGTGGCACCAAGCATTTATTCCTGGAGCATTTTTATATTCAACAGGCTGGGTGCGGGGCTCACACCTGTAATCCCAGCACTGTGGGAGGCCCAGGTGGGCAGATCACTTGAGGTCAGGAATTCAAGACCAGCCTGGCCAACATGGTGAAACCCTGTCTCTACTAAAAATACAAAAATTAGTTGGGGGTGGTGGCACACCCCTGTAATCCCAGCTACTTGGGAGGCTGAGGCAGGAGAATCACTTGAACCTGGGAGGCAGAGGTTGCAGTGAGCCAGGATTGTGCCACTGCACTCCAGCCTGGGCGACAGTGTGAGACTCTATCTCAAAAAAAAGAAAAAGAAAAAAAGACGTTAGGAAAAATCTGTCAGGAAACTGAATTGAAGGGAGGAAAAACATTACCTCTTGTTGCCTTTTACCCCTTATGAAGTTTAGAATGCTCCAAATGGGAGGCGTGGATTAACTTCTTTTGAAATAGTGCTTGGTTTCCCTTTGCCTATTGGCATCTCTAAACCTTTCATTCCTGCATTGAGTGATCCCTGGATTATGGGGACTTCTTAAGTGAACAATGTGATGCTATGACAGCTACATAAAGGAACTAACTAGTAATCTTGGAGCATATAAATCATCAACAGGTAAAAAGGGCATAGCTTCTGCCAACTAACAAGCCTTGCCATCCTTTTTGACCAGGAGATTAGGTGTAAATCAAGGCTTTTAGAAGAAAGCATGCACTGTCACCAATGTTTTGGTCAACGATGGACCGAATATACAATGGTGTCCCCATCAGATTATAATGCCGGTGAGCCACCGCACCTGTCATCCTAGCACTTTGGTAGGCAGAGGCGGGTAGATCATTGAGCCCAGGAGTTTGAGACCAGTCTGGGCAACATGGTGAAATCCTGTCTCTACAAAAAATACAAAATAAACCAGTCATGGTGATGCGCACCTGTAGTCCCAGCTACTTAGAAGGCTGAGGTGGGAGACTCACCTGAGCCCAGGAAAGTCGAGACTGCGGTGAGCCATGATCATGCTACTGCACTCCAGCCAGGGCAACAGAGTGAGATCCTGTCTCAAAAAAAAAAAAAAAAAAAAGAAAGAAAGAAAAAAAAGATTATAATACCATATTTTTACTGTAGCTTTTCTATGTTTAGATATGTTTACATACAAAAATACTTATCATTGTGTGGGCTGGGTGGGCAGCCGATTGCGCAGTGCGGGGACTGATAGGCGAGCCAGTCTGGACCCCCATCCACTCACCCACCCCTCTGGGGCTACCTGAGGACTCTGACCACCCACCCCCCACCGCCTGGTGCCACCTGATGGAGCAAGATTGTCTAGCTTGGGGCCACCAACGCCGTAGATGAGGCTGCCAGGAAGGGGTTGGGGGCACACGAGCATCCCTCTCTGCCCTCGCCTCCCCCACTCCTCCACCCTGGCCTGCTGTGACTCCCTCCGGAGCCCGACGCGGACTTCCAGTAGTAGTCAGACGTTATCATCCTGTCATATTATGGAGCCATGTTCATCATGAATTTTTCCAAGCCCTGAATTATGCCGAACAAACATTTAAAAAAATGGAAAACTGTTTGAGACATAAACAGTTGTGCGATGTAATTTTAGTTGCTGGTGATGGCAGAATTCCAGCTCACAGATTGGTGCTCTCCTCTGGCTCAGACTATTTTGCTGCCATGTTTACTAATGATGTCAGAGAAGCAAGACAAGAAGACATAAAAATGGAAGGTGTAGAACCAAATTCATCGTGGTCCTTGATCCAATATGCTTATACAACCCGCCTTGAATTAAAAGAAGATAATACTGAGTGCCTGCTATCTACAGCTTGCCTTCTTCAGCTTTCACAGGCTGTAGAAGCATGTTGTAAATTTTTGTTTGTTTGTTTGTTTTGAGACAGAGTTTCGCTCTGCCGCCCAGTGTAGATCTCAGCTCACTGCAACCTCCGCCTCCCAGGTTCAAGCAATTCTCCTACTTCAGCCTCACGAGTAGCTGGGATTATAGGCGCCTGCCACCACGACCAGGTACTTTTTTGTATTTTTAGTAGAGACGGGGTTTCACCATGTTAGCCAGGCTGGTCTTGAACTCCTGACCTCAGGTGATCCGCCTGCCCTGGCCTCCCAAAGTGCTGGGATTACAGACGTGAGCCAGGGCACCAGGCCACATGTCATAAGTTTTTAATGAAACAGCTTCACCCATCCAGCTGTCTTGGAATTTGTTCTTTTGCTGATGCCTAAGGTTGTACAGATTTGCATAAAGTGGCTCACAATTATACTATTGAGCATTTCATGAAAGTAATCAGAAACCAGGAATTTGTATTATTACCAGCCAGCAAAATTGCAAAGTTCTTGACTAGTGATGACATGAACATTCCTGATGAGACAATATTGACTCCACTTCTTACTTGGGTCTGTCATGATTTGGAACAGAGATGGAAAGATCTAAGTAAACTTTTGGCTAATATTAGGCTACCTCTTCTTTCACCACAGTTCCTGGCAGACATGGAAAATAATGTACTTTTTTGGGATAATATAGAATGTCAGAAACTCATTATGGAAGCAATGAAGTACCATGTATTACCAGAGAGATGACCCACGTTACAAAGTCCTCAGGCAAAATCTAGGAAATCAACTGTTGGTACATTATTTGCAGTTGGGAGAATGGATTCAACAAAAGGAGCAACAAGCATTGAAAAGTATGACCTCTGTACAAATACATGAACTCCAGTAGCAAATATGAATGAGAGGAGGCTACAGTTTGGTGTCGCAGTGCTAGATGACAAACCGTATGTGGTTGGAGGAAGAGATGGACTGAAGACTTTGAATACTGTAGAGTGCTACAACCCCAAAACAAAAACAGGGAGTGTGGTGCCACCTATGTCCACACATAGACATGGCCTTGGTGTGGCTGTACTGGAAGGTCCCATGTATGCCGTAGGAGGGCATGAGGGCTGGGGCCATCTGAACACAGCGGAAATTTGGGACCCTCAGGCTCGCCAGTGGAATTTTGTTGCCACTGTGTCTACTCCTAGGAGCACAGTTGGTGTGGCAGTGCTAAGTGGAAAACTTAATGCAGTTGGTGGTGGTGATGCAAGTTCTTGTCTCAAATCAGTAGAATGTTTTGATCCTCATACTAGTGAGTGGACTGTTGGTAGAAGAGCTGAGGCAGGACTGGCTTGTCTGTCATAATGTAAAAGAGTCTTGAAAGATGTCCGGGGTCCACGGCCTAAAACCCCTCATGGCCTTTGGTACACCAAGCTCTGTGCCATAGGGTGGAAGGCTGCCCTGCCGCAACACAAATCTAAGCCCAGGGCATAAAACCCCGTGTGGCTTGGATGGAACCCAGGGCTCAGGGCATAAAACTCCTCATAGCCTCTGGAATGTGCACAGACTTGTTGGTTCCTTGCTTCTTACTCGTAAACATGTCCTCCATTATCTCAAGTAGCAGAGCATATTCTACATGCATCAAAGGAAGTGCTAAGCTGTCACAGCTACGCTTAATGCACCACTAGCTTTCTATCCCCACGTTCTCATGCCCTCACCTGTTTACCCTCACATCCTCACCACCTGCTTCTTTGTTTGATCACCAATAAATAGTGTGGGCTCCCAGAGCTCGGGGCCTTTGCAGCCTTCAATCTAGTGCCGGCCCCCCGGACCCACTTTATGCACTTTTAACTTATCTTTTCACATTCCTCTGACCCCGCCAGACTTTGTAGCCCCCACGGCCTGGTGTTAGGCCTGATCACCCCAACATGGACACTGTGTGCACGGATGTCAAAAAGGAGAGGTGGCATAGGAGTAACGACCCGGAGCGGACTGCTGTATGCTATAGGGGAACATGATGCTCTCACATCCAACTTGACTTCCAGACTCTCAGATTGTGTGGAGACATCTGATCCCAAAACAGACATGTGGACTACAGTAGAATCAATGAGCATCAGCAGAGATGCAGTGGAGGTCTGTTTACTTGTTGATAAGTTTTATGCTGTTGGGAGGTATGATGGACAGGCATACCTGAATACAGTGGAGGCTCATGATCCCAGACAAAGAGTGGACCCGGGTTGCTCCACTGTGCCTAGGAAGAGCTGGAGCTTGTGCTGTGACTGTAAAATTATAATTTAGTGCTCTGTTTTCTACATGAAGACACTCTCTTCCTTTATTAATTTAGTACAATTATTCTACCATCAATGGATGCATTTTTAGTAAACATGCATTGCCACAATCCTGGGCACAAAGTACCTGATCTCAAAGCAAAGATAGTAAAACAACGGAGGAAGGAGTGGATGGACCAGGATTAATTGCTTTCAATTCTTAGTAAATGAAAACCTGCAGCTGGTGGATTGTGAACAAACATTCCTGATGTAACATATTAGGACAGATGCACTGCTCTGGAACATAGCCCAGTGCTAGCTGGGGATCTCATTTATTCAGTCAAGCACATCTTACTCATGCGGGTGGCAAGCCACCCAGGTGCCGAGGCAAGAAACCGAGGGCACGAGCTGTTCCAGTATAATAAAATATATAAAATAAGAATAGTTATACTAGATATAGATCTTAGATATGATTATATATATATCATTAATCATTAGTTTGCAGCAATTATTCTTTATTCCAATATTATAATAATTCTTGCTCTACAATCATAACCTAGGAAAAACCAGGCCATACAGAGATAGGAGCTGAGGGAACATAGTGAGAAGTGACCAGAAGACGAGTGCGAGCTTTCTGTTATGCCCGGACAGGGCCACCAGAGGGCTCCTTTGTCCAGCAGTAGCGCCAGCATCTGGGAAGATGCCCGTTGCCAAGCAGACCCTGGTCTAGCGGTAGCGTCAGTGTCAAGGAAAAACACCTGCTACTTAGCAGACCGGGAAAGGGAGTCTCCCTTTCCCCAGGGGATTTTAGAGAAGACTCTACTCCTCCACCTCTTGTGGAGGGCCTGACATCAGTCAGGCCCGCCTGCAGTTATCCGGAGGCCTAACTGTCTCCCTGTGATGCTGTGCTTCAGTGGTCATGCTCCTAGTCCACCTTCATGTTCCATCCTGTACACCTGGCTCTGCCTTTTGGATAGCAGTAGCAAATTAGTGAAAGTACTAAAAGTCTCTGATAGCAGAAATAATGGTGTAAGCTCTCTCTCTCTTTCTCCTCTCTCTCTCTCTGCCTCGGCTGCCAGGGAGGGAAGGACCCCCTGTCCAGTGGACACATGACCCACGTGACCTTACCTATTATTGGAGATGGCTCACACTCCTTACCCTACCCCTTTGTCTTGTATCCAATAAATATCAACACAGCCTGGCATTTGGGGCCACTACCGGTTTCTGCATCTTGGTGGTAGTGGTCCCCTGGGCCCAGCTGTCTTTTCTCTTATCTCTTTGTCTTGTGTCTTTATTTCTACACTCTCTCATCTCCACACATGAGGAGAAAACTCACTGACCCTGTAGGGCTGGACCCTACATACTCATATCCAGATTTATTTTCTTACAGTGCAAACACACCAGATGGAACTTCTAAAATGTTGCTTTCTATAAGTTTATCATCTATGAGTTGCAGTAATTTGTTTGTTTGCTTGTTTGTTTAACCACAATCACTATTTTAATGATATACTAAACATAATACTATTTAGTTTTTTCAGAAACATCGGCATTGTATGTGTGTTGGTTGTGGATTTTGTTTCTAAAATTGGCTTAGTCCAATAAAGAAAGAAAAGCATTAAAGACTTAAAGCAATGATAACCAAATACAACCTTGATAAAATCTTTGAAGTCTATTTAAATATTCATTCCATTACATCTAGACTCACCAAAAACTGTATGTCATGATATTCTTAAGTCGAAGTTGAAACATGATGTTTCACATTAAATTTAAGATATGCAGCTTGGCGAGGTGGCTCATGCCTGTAATCCCAGCACTTTGGGAGGCCAAGGCAGATGGATCATGAGGTCAGGAGTTGGAGACCAGCCTGGCCAACATGATGAAACCCCATCTCTACTAAAAATGTAAAAATTAGCTGGGCATGGTAGTGCACGCCTGTAATCCCAGCTATTCAGGAGGCTGAGGCAGGAGAATTTCTTGAACCCAGGAGGCAGAGGTTGCAGTGAGCTGAGATTGTGCCACTACACTCTAGCCTGGGTGACAGAGTGAGACTCCATCTCAGGAAAAAATAAAATAAAAACAAATAAATTTAAGATATGCAAATTTAAATAGAGAAAATAAACGTTATATACCCTATAATGTTATTTCACCTAATTAGTACTTAATTATATGGATTTATTTTATATTATAAAAGATGTTTTGATTTTTTCTTTTGATATTGACAACATTGTTTGGATATTCTTATGTTGTCAAGGCTGCACCTGCCTCCCCTGCCTTATTTCTTATGTTTTGCCACAGTTAACCCATTGTGCTTCTTTGTAATCAAACGGTTTGGGGAGGGGGGAGAAAGGGCTTACTGAATGTCTAAAAAAACAAGTTTAAAGTGTTTGTTACCCAAAGTTTGGTGCATTTGTAAACTCTAATTACATATGTGAATGTTAATACCCTCAGTGAATTGTTATTGTTTGCAAAAATGCACTGGGCAGTAACATTTTGTGATAAATCCTACAATGCAAGATATAAGTAAAAGAAAATACTTATCATTGTGTTACACCATGTACATTATTCAGTATACTAACATGCTGTATGGGTTTGTAGCCTAGGAGCAGGTGGGCTACACAATATAGCCTAGGTGTGTAGTAGGCTATATCATCTAGGTCTGTGTAAGTACACTCTGTGATGTCTACACAACGACAAAAGTACCTAAAGATGCATTTCTCAGAATGCATCCCTGTCATTAAGCAATGCCTGACTGCACTGCTAACCACCTACACTGCCATCAAGTTGGGGAAAAGTCCTCCTGGATTCATGTGAATTACACCAAGATAGACCCAGATCAGCACTCTGAGGACAACTGGAAGACCCTCCCTACAGGTGACCTTAAAGTAACGATTTCCCAGACTGGTTCCCAGGCCTCAGAAGCAGATGACATTTTAAAGTAGACAGCTTTCCTCAAGATCATGGATCAAGAAACTTCACTTCCACCTGTTTTCTCACATTGGGCCTCCTTGTCCAAAAAGCAAAAACCAAAAGAACCTCTTCCTTTTAATGAAGCCTCCTTTTTCTCTGGCCATTTATTAAAAAGCTGACTGGAAATTGCTTGTCTCAATCCTGTCCTCTGATTCTCCCTCTGATCCTACACTATGGGTTCTCTTTGAGGTGGTGTCTCATTCTTAGTAACCCTTACTGTTTTCTCAACAGGTCAAAAACAGAGCTGACACCCCGTTACACCAACTCTCCAAATCTTGTCCACTTTAATTAATCTGATTACTGGTTATGTCAACATCTAGATCATGCAGAAGAACTTGAACCGATTTTCATTCCTGCCAATGCCAGGACTCGGTGGGCCAACTATGAAAACTGGGTATGTGACAGGGTGTGGCATCCACAACTGAGAAAACAACATCACTTTACTTCTTCTTTTGATGGATTAATTGGACATGGACAAACCTCTATGGAAGCTCAAGGTCTGTCCTGTGCTCAGGTAGTCATTAAATGAAGGAAATTTGCTGGGTATGGTGGCTCAAGCCTGTAATCTCAACACTTTGGCAGGCAGAGGTGGGCAGATTGCTTAAGCTCAGGAGTTGAGACCAGCTTGACCAACATGGTGAAACCCTATCTCTACACAAAACACACAAAAAATTAGTAGAGTGTGGTGGTGGGCACCTGTGGTCCCAGCTACTCAGGAGGCTGAGGTGGAAGAATCGCTTGAGCCCGGGAGGTGGAGAATGCAGTGAGCTGTGATCACACCACTGCACTTCAGCCTGGGCAACAGAGCAAGACCCTATCTTAAAAAAAAAGAAAATGTTCCCTTTGTTTTAAAAACAAGTATAGTGCTGAATGATTTATAGGTGACATAGCAAGATGATATTACAGTTGAATCCTGTGATTTGGTTCCACAGGTGGCATCCTCAAGCCTCCCATGAAGGTTATAGAAGGTTCTGGCACTGACTCTTATGGTACAAACACTTGTCATATCACTGGATGTTACAGTAAGCTCACAAGCCACCCTTGTATAATATGGGGTAGCTCATCTGCTCTCTTCATTAGGCTGCCAAACACTAGACATTAAATACGGGTAGACCAAAAATCTGGACAAACTTGGTCACATAACAAAACCAAGCCACAGACATGTCAAGGCCAAACTGCAGGCCTCCTATATTAGATATTTTGCAACCCATTCTCCTACAGACTGACAAAGACACATGGAAGATGGATGTGTGCAGATGCCTACATGATAGGTGACAAGACACCAGCCCCCAACCTGGTGGGTCATGAGTTCCACTCTGAACTTATCTGTGAACAACATTGGTCTTTTTATCTTATGTGGCAACAGATTATATAAAGGTTCTCACCTAAATGGTCAGGTCAATGTAGAATTGGATACCCAACACCTTCTATCACCAGGTGTCACTTTAAATGTCAGCCAAATTACAAACTTGGGCTCTTTTATACACAAAGTAATACCACATGAACATACTAGATATGACATCAGGGAAAACCCACTTGTATGTTACAATTCTAAGTTATTTTCAGTATTGAGATCCTTTTTTCCAGGCGTTGGAAATTATGTGACAGAAAGGGCAGTTCTAAATCTTTCCATAATAATAGAACAAGAGTTCAATATTACTCTGCAAAAATTGGTAGCACTCGGCCGGGCGCGGTGGCTCACTCCTGTAATCCCAGCACTTTGGGAGGCCGAGGCAGGTGGATCATGAGGTCAGGAGATCGAGACCATCCTGGCTAACATGGTGAAACCCCGTCTCTCCTAAAAATACAAAAAATTAGCCAGGCGTGGTTGCAGGCACCTGTAGTCCCAGCTACTCGGGAGGCTGAGGTCAGAGAATGGCCTGAATCCGGGAGGTGGAGCTTGCATTGAGCTGAGATCACGCCACTGCACTCCAGACTGGGTGACAGAGTGAAACTCCATCTCAAAAAACAAACGAAAAAAAAATTGGTAGCACTCCAATTAGAAGTTAATAGTTTAGGAATTTATGGCCCAGGTAGGGGCAGTCTCTCTTGGATCAGCAAGTCCTCAGGATGTCAAAGCAGTCCGGGCGCGGTGATCCACACCTGAAATCCTAGCACCTTGGGAGACTGAGATGGGAGACTCACTTAAGGCCAGCACTGGGCAACATGGCAAGACACCAGCTCTACAACAACAACAACAAAAAATTAAAAATTAGATGGGTGTGGTGGTACATGCCTGTAGTTCCAGCTGCTCAGGAGGCTGAGGCAGGAGGATCACTAGAGCCCAGAAGGTCAAGGCTGCAGTGAGCTATAACTGCACCACTGACTCCAGCCTTGGTGACAGAGCGAGACCCTGTCTCAAAAAACAAAACAAAATGTATGAATGAACCTAGGAAATCAATCAACCATAATAAAAAGTTTAATTAAAAGTAATGGCAAATCAGGCGTTGTGGCTCACGCCTGTAATCTCAGCACTTTGGGAGGCCAAGGCAAGTGGATCACTTGAGGCCAGGAGTTCAAGACCAGCCTGGCCAACATGGTGAAATCCTGTCTTTACTAAAAATACAAAAATTAGCTGGGCATGGTGGCCTGCACCTGTACTCCCAGCTACTTGGGAGGTTAAAGCAGGAGAATCGCTTGAAGCCAGGAGGTGGAGGTTGCAGTGAGGTGAGATTGCGCCACTGCACTCCAGCCTGGGTGACAGAGTGAGACCCTGTCTCAAATAAATAAATAAATAAATAAATAAAATAAAAGTAATGGCAAAAACCATGATTACTTTTAGACCAACCTAATATAATTGCACCACTGCACTCCAGCCTGGCAGAGTGAGACCCTGTCTCTACAAAAATGTAAAATAAACTTAAAAAATGTCAAAGCGTGATAAAGTACAGGACATAAAGACCATGATTAATCTAACACCCATCACTCCAATCTTTGCCTCTGTTCTGGCATTCCCCTATGTGTCTTCGCATCACCCTCCTTCTGGGTGACTCCTTTATGTTGTATTTTTTTGTTTTGTTTGGGTTTTTTTGTTAGTTTGTTTTGAGACAGAGTCTTGCTCTGTTGCCCAGGCTGGAGTGTAGTGGTGTGATCTTGGCTCACTGTTACCTCTGCCTCCCAAGTTCGTACCTCAGCCTCCCGAGTAGTTGGGATTACAGGCATGCGCCACCATGCCCTGCTAATTTTTGTATTTTTAGTAGAGACGGGGTTTTGCCATGTTGGCCAGGCTGGTCTCAGACTCCTGGCTCAAGTGACCTGCCCACCTCAGCCTCCTAAAGTGTTGGGAATACAGGCATAAGCCACCCCGCCCGGCCACCCCACTCATTTTGAATGTAAGTAGATTACCAATTCTGAAATGGGTTTTGAGCAGTAGCAACATTGACACAAATTTATAATATTTTCAAGAAGATACTTCCTTCAATATGTAAAATGCAACAGATATCATTTGCAATCATACATATGTACATATATACATACACACATATAATATATATATCTCACCATGGAATAAGTCTGAGCTGAAACATGCATTACTTAAAAAAGAAAAAACTTACAGACAGGATCTTGCTCTGTCATCCAGGCTGAAGTACAGTGGCACGATTGTGGCTCACTGCAGCCTTGACCTCCTGGGCTCAAGTGATCCTCCCACCTCAGCCTCCCAAGTAGCTGGGACTACAGGCATCAGCTACCTCGCCTGGCCTGCATGATCTTTATGAAGAATGTCATAGAAAGTTTTTGAAAGCGATTAAAGTTGACCTAAACAAGCGGGGATCTATGCTGTATGCCATGCTATTATTGGGGAGGAAAAAAATTCTCCTCTACATTCCTAGGGTCTCTGGAGATCTGGGCCTAAGAATAAAACTAAGACAGATTAGCTCTCTCCCTCTCCCTCTCCCTCTCCCTCTCCCCATGGTCTCCCTCTCCCCATGGTCTCCCTCTCCCTCTCTTTCCACCGTCTCCCTCTCATGCCGAGCCGAAGCTGGACTATACTGCTGCCATCTCGGCTCACTGCAACCTCCCTGCCTGATTCTCCTGCCTCAGCCTGCCGAGTGCCTGCAATTGCAGGCACGCACCGCCACGCCTGACTGGTTTTCGTATTTTTTTGGTGGAGACGGGGTTTCGCTGTGTTGGCCGGGCTGGTCTCCAGCTCCTAACCACGAGTGATCCGCCAGCCTCGGCCTCCTGAGGTGCCGGGATTGCAGACGGAGTCTCGTTCACTCAGTGCTCAATGGTGCCCAGGCTGGAGTGCAATGGCGTGATCTCGGCTTGCTACAACCTCCACCTCCCAGCCGCCTGCCTTGGCCTCCCAAAGTGCCGAGATTGCAGCCTCTGCCCGGCCGCCACCCCGTCTGGGAAGTGAGGAGCGTCTCTGCCTGGCCGCCCATCGTCTGGGATGTGAGGAGCCCCTCTGCCTGGCTGCCCAGTCTGGAAAGTGAGGAGCGTCTCTGCCCTGCCGCCATCCCATCTGGGAAGTGAGGAGCGCCTCTTCCCGGCCGCCATCACATCTAGGAAGTGAGGAGCGTCTCTGCCCGGCTGCCCATCGTCTGGGATGTGGGGAGTGGCTCTGCCCCGCCGCCCCGTCTGGGATGTGAGGAGCGCCTCTGCCCGGCCGCCACCCCGTCTGGGAGGTGAGGAGAGTCTCTGCCCGGCCGCCCCATCTGAGAAGTGAGGAGACCCTCTGCCTGGCAACCGCCCCGTCTGTGAAGTGAGGAGCCCCTCTGCCCGGCAGCCGCCCCGTCCGGGAGGGAGGTGGGGGGGTCAGCCCCCCGCCCGGCCAGCCGCCCCGTCCGGGAGGTGAGGGGCACCTCTGCCCGGCCGCCCCTACTGGGAAGTGAGGAGCCCCTCTGCCCGGCCACCACCCCCTCTGGGAGGTGTGCCCAACAGCTCATTGAGAGCGGGCCAGGATGACAATGGCGGCTTTGTGGAATAGAAAGGGGGGAAAGGTGGGGAAAAGATTGAGAAGTCGGATGGTTGCCGTGTCTGTGTAGAGAGAGGTAGACATGGGAGACTTTTCATTTTGTTCTGTACTAAGAAAGGTTCTTCTGCCTTGGGATCCTGTTGATCTGTGACCTTACCCCCAACCCTGTGCTCTCTGAAACATGTGCTGTGTCCACTCAGGGTTAAATGGATTAAGGGCGGTGCAAGATGTGCTTTGTTAAACAGACGCTTGAAGGCAGCATGCTCCTTAAGAGTCATCACCACTCCCTAATCTCAAGTACCCAGGGACACAAACGCTGCGGAAGGCCGCAGGGTCCTCTGCCTAGGAAAACCAGAGACCTTTGTTCACTTGTTTATCTGCTGACCTTCCCTCCACTATTGTCCTATGACCCTGCCAAATCCCCCTCTGTGAGAAACACCCAAGAATGATCAATAATAATAAAAAAAAAAAGACAGATTAACAGAAGAAAATCATTCAAGTTTTGCTAAATTTTCAGTGTACATGGGTACTTTCACAAGAGAATGAAGGCCTAAAGAAGTCACTAAAGTAGAAAAAGTTTCTATCCTTTAAATAGAAAAACAATTTTTTTTAAGACAAGGTCGGGCACGGTGGCTCACGCCTGTAATCCCAGCACTTTGGGAGGCCAAGGCGGGCAGATCACGAGGTCAGGAGATCGAGACCACCCTGGCTAACTCGGTGAAACCCCGTCTCTACTAAAAACACAAAAAAATTAGCTGGGCGCAGTGGCGGGCACCTGTAGTCCCAGCTACTCGGGAGGCTGAGGCAGAAGAATGGCATGAACCCGGGAGGTGGAGCCTGCAGTGAGCAGAGATCGTGCCACTACACTCCAGCCTGGGTGACAGAGCAAGACTCTGCCTCAAAAAAAAAAAAAAAAAAAAAAGACAAGACAAAGCGGTTTGGATTATAGGCAGTAAATTGTGGAGAAGGGACTAGGACATACATGCGGAGCAAAATTGGAAGATAAGGATTATTTTTAGTCGTGTGTTTATACAGATCCATTGGAACCTTGATTCACAGTCACCTGTGATGACAATGTTCTTCTCTTCCTGGTAAAGGGAGGGTGCTTTCTTATGGGAAATTGTGTGGCCTATTCTTAGATAGAAAAGGGCAGGTCAGAGAGTCTTTCCTGCATGTGCTATTTCTCAAGTGCCTTCAACTCAAAATAATTAATACTCCAAAGCAGCATATTTGGGGTGACGTGTCTTTAATTCCTTCATTTCCCCTGCTGCAGACTTTCCTAGAAGTTTCAGATATTAAAAGCTGAGTTGGTGGCTATGGAGATAAGAGCCAGATTCATAACGAGGGATCTACAAATGGGGAGAAGAACATAGATAAGAATAGGAATGAATAAGCTGAAAGGAACAGGTCTGAGCACATTTCCCCTTATCCTGTTAAACACACATCCCATTGCTGGGACAAGGTCAGTACAGCAGAAGGAATGCACCTCTTTTGTTTGATGGAGAGTGTTTAGCTTGTTCTTTAACAGGTGCAGCTTAGGCACTATTTGTCCCAGTGGATTTACACAGACCAGCCTTATCCACCAATGATCACACAAACTCCTCCTTTTGAGGCTGTCAGTGTGTCCAGGGTGCAACAATTTTGGAATACAGCAGAAGCTAAGCTATTAACTTCTTTTGTTGTGGTTGCTGTTGTTGTTTTGAGACAGAATCTCACTTTGTTGAGTGCAGGCTGGAGTGCAGTGGTGCGATCATGGCTCGCTGCATCCCTGGCCTCCTGGGCTCAAGTGATCCTCCCACCTCAGCCCCCAGAGTAGCTGGAACTACTAGTACACCCTGCTAATTTTTAAACTTTTTGTAGAGACAGTCTCACTATGTTGTCCAGGCTGGCCTCGAACTTCTGGGCTCAAGTGATCCTCCCTCCTCAGCCTTCCAAAGTGCTGGGATTAGAGGCCTCAGCCACCATGCCCAGATTGCTTTGACATCTTGAGGCCTTAGTGATCCAAGAGAGACTGCCCCTCCCTGGGCCAGCTAATTCCTACAGAGAATAAATGATTTGCTTATGGTGTGCCTTCGATGGGCCAATCAACCGATTCGTATCTCCAAGATAACTTTACCAGCCACCTTCCAGCAGGTTCCTGCCCCAAATCACTCCAGGGACAGGTACCAGGTAACAAAGGACCACTCCTATAACCTAGAGCCCATCACAGTTATTGAAACTAGCCAGGCCTAAGTCTGTTTACCCTGTCTTGCCTTCTTGCAAAAAACACAGAAAACCCTTTGTCCACCTTTCGCCCTCACTCATTCTGCCACCTGACTGGCCCTGGTGCTTCCCCATGGCCCTGCATGGTGTGGCGTGTCCCCCCTATCATCTTGGGAACTGTGAGTAACAAACTGTCTTTTAAATGGCTATCACCTCTGATCTGTGGCCTCGCCATACCTGAATAAAGCCAAAATCCCGGGTACATTTTAAAACAAGTCTACAAGTCAAGGAATGCCGGGGTGGTTGACGTAGTGGCACTCAGGAAGGCAAGGGCAGTGCCCCTGACCGGCCCCTTCTGCAGCGCGGCCATCCTTTACTACCTGTGCCGCAAGTACAGCGCACCATCGCACTGGTGCCCGCCAGACCCGCACGCACGTGCCCGTGTGGATGAGTTCGTGGCTTGGCAACACACGGCCTTTCAGCTGCCCATGAAGAAGATAGTCTGGCTCAAGGTGAGCAGGGCCACTTCTGGGGCTTGGGGACACGGGCACAGGGAAGTCAGGAAGGCTGGAGGCCAGTTCTGGCCCTGCTGACTGCCGGCGACCTCAAGCAAGTCTCCCTCCCTCTCTGGGCCTCATTTCCTCAGCTCCTTCTCCTGCCCGCCTTACAGAGCCGTCAGGAGTGTGGACTGAAACAATGGGCATGAAAGAGTCTTATTAGGGCGAGGGGAAGGGCATACGGGAGGGGCTGATGTGACTCACCCAGGACAGCATTCGAGGCATTTCATTCTGAACTAGAGAATCTCAGCGTCAAAAGGCCCACAGAAGGCCGGGTACGGTGGCTCACAACTGTAATCCCAGTACTTTGGGAGGCCGAGGCGGGCGGATCACTTGAGGTCAGGAGTTCAAGACCTACCTTGCCAACATTGTGAAACACCATCTCTACTAAAAATACAAAACTATTAGCTGGGTGTGGTGATGGGCACCTGTAATCCCAGCTACTCAGGACGCTGAGGCAGGACAATTGCTTGAACCCAGGAGGTGGAGTTGGCAGTGAGCCAAGATTGTGCCACTGCACTCCAGCCTGGGCGACAGAGTGAGACTCCATCTCAAAAAACAAAAACAAAAAAGAGTAAAGGCCTATAGAAAATTGGAAGATGACAAATAACCAGTACATGTGTCTCTACTTTGAATTCTATGCCTGTGACAGACATCACTAATCAATCACAGGACTTATGCCTGCTGAGCTCCCCAAATCCTTGTGAACACATGGTTCCCGGCAACTTCCACCAATCAGAACTGCTAAAAGAGGTGAAACTGCTTTATATCCTGGGAAGTGTTCAATATCTATCCAGCAGACAAGAGTACAGAGACCTGGCAGGGCAGGTGGCCCTGGAGTGCAGCCTCCTCTTCCCTCCTCTTCCCAACCCTGGCCAGTTGCTGATCCCAAAGATAACAGGGGAGGAAGTTTCAGCTGAGAAGATGGAGCATGCAGTGGAAGAGGTGAAGAACAGCCTGCAGCTCTTCGAGGAGAAGTTTCTGCAGGATAAGATGTTCATCACCGGGAACCAAATCTCACTGGCTGACTTGGTGGCCGTGGTGGAGATGATGCAGGTGTGGAGTGGGTTGGAGGAGGGGTAGACCCTGGGCAGAGGTAGGACTCCTCTGTGACCAATGGGGCCATCACTTGAGGATAGGCTGGTGAGGTGGGAAAGGCAAGCAGAGCTGTCATGGGGGCTGCGGGAGCGAGGTCTGGGGCCCTGGACTCAATCTGGGGGCAACAGGAAGCACAGAATGTTATGAATCAGGAAGGATCACAGTTCTCCACACTTGACAAAGATTCTTCGGTGTGGGAGGACCTGGAGGGTGAGCCTGGGATAGAGAAGAACACTGCATTTCCTGCTCAATCCACCAGCATCCCAGATACCTCCTCCTCTTGCTGGACTCTCCAGGAAATGTTCACTGGCTTCCTGGGTGTCCTTCTGGCCCTGCCTGTTTCCCAGAGCTCCAGACAGACAGCTCTGGAGGACAGCTCTCGTGGCTGGGTCTGAGGGGCATCCACTGTGCATTTGGAGGCACACCTGAGTGTGGGGCATTTATGTGGCCTCTACATGCAGGGGAGGGTGACCAGTTCTGCTTGTCAAGACACTGGCCAGGGTCTCAACTGGCCATCCTGCACACCAGCTAGGGCACTGCACACTGACCAAAGAGACTAATTTGCATATCAGCCAGAGATATGCCCGAGAGGAGGGACCTGGGGTCCTGGTGGATTGACCAGAAAATGCAGTATTCTTTTCCTTATCCCAGAGATCTCTGGCTGATATGAAAATTAGTCTCCTTGGTCTGTTTGCAGGGCAGACCAGCACCAGGAAAAATCATTCTGGCCTGCCCCAAGGGTTCAGCCATATGCTTCGTCCCCACCCCTTACATTTCACCCACACACACCCATTCTTGGCCTTCCCAAAGATCTTGGGTGCAAACCAAACTACAGGGTACACTCTTAGTGAGCCAGCCAAACTGCAGGGTAGACTGCCCGCCAGGTCTCCCATCTTAGCCCCTGAGCTTGATCACAGTGGGAGGCTAAACATGGAGGAAAAAACCTGAGTTCTCTCCCTCATCCACATATACACACCTGGGATAAGGGGTTTCCCTGGAAGAAGGCAGGATTCATGCGAGATCGCAGGCTGGAGAAGTGGGAGGTGCCTGGGCCAGGAGCCCTCTCAGCATGGTTCAGAAGGCTTGGAGCAAGAAGACCGGTGACTAAGGACTCTGAGGGATTCTGGATCCTCCATCCCCACCTACATCTATTACATAGTCTGTGACCCCTTGCTCAGGCCTTGGGGGTCAGCAGCCTAATTCTTTGCATAGGTACATGTTGGGCGCATGGGCCTGAGGCTGTGGGAGAGGACACGGGTGAGGCTGGTCCCCAGACTGACCACGTCTTTGTCTTCGTCTATCCACAGCCCATGGCAGCCAACTATAATGTCTTCCTCAACAGCTCCAAGCTAGCTGAGTGGCGTATGCGGGTGGAGCTCAATATCAGCTCTGGCCTCTTTAGGGAGGCCCATGATCGACTAATGCAGTTGGCCGACTGGGACTTTTCAACACTGGATTCAATGGTCAAGGAGAATATTTCTGAGTTGCTGAAGAAGAGCAGGTGACCCTAGGCGCAGCCTGTCCCGCAGGGCCTGGCTGGCTTAGCAATCTGAGCCACCTTCCTTAAAGGAAATACTAAAACAAAAACAAAAACAAAAACAAAAAACTGTTCTTTGCCTAATAAAGAACTGGAACAACCATCACAGCTGCTGAGCAGCAGACAGTTGGCATATGCATAGGGTCTGATGTGGGAGTGGGTGGTGGTTACAGATCCTTCCAGTTTCCAAAAAGAATTTTAAAAGTAAAGGGTTAAATATGGTTACATTGTGAGTAATAATAGTTGGTGACTTCAATACTCCACTTTCAGTAATAGAAAAACTACAGAAGACCATCAAGGAAATAGGGAATTTGAAAAGCACGATTAACCAATCGCATACACTAGACATGAACAGAACGTTCCACCCGACAGGAGCAGAATAAGCATTCTTCTAAAGAGCACATGGAATATTCTCCAGTATAGAGCATATATTTGGTCCTAAGTCTCAAATTTAAGATGATTGAAATCACACAAAGTATGTTCTCTGGACACAGTGGAATAAAGTGAAAAATCAAGAACAGAAGGAAAACTAGAAAATTCACAAGCACATAGAAATTAAACAGCACACTCTTAAACAAACAATGGGTTAAAGAAGAAATCACAAGGGACATCAAAAAGTATCTTGAGCGAATAAAAATGAAAACACAACATGCCCAGATTTATAGGATGCAGCAGAAGCAGTGCTAAGAGCAAAATTTATAGCTGTAAACACATAAGTTAAAGAACAACGATCTTGAATCAATAACCTAACTTTACACCTTAAGGAACTAGAAAAATAAGAGCAAACCTAACCCAACACCAGTAGAAAACAGGAAATAATAAAGATTAGAATGGAGATAAATGAAATAGAAAATAGAAAAGCAATAAAATCAATAAAACCAAAAATTGGATCTTTGCAAAGATCAACAAAATTGGCAAACCTTTACTTAGAATAGCCAAGTGAAAAAAATAAGGGTCAAATTATTCACCAAGAAAGAAAGTGGAGGCTGGGTGCAATGGCTCACACCTGTAATCCCAGCACTTTGGAAAGCAGAGGCAGAAGGATCACTTGAGGCCAGGAGATTGAGACCAGCCTGGGTAACACAATGAGACTTTTTTCTAAAAAATATATATTTTTAAAAAATTAGCTGGGTGTGGTGGTGCATGCCTGTAGTCTTAGCTAACTGGGTGGATGAGGTGGGAGGATCACTCGCGTCCAAGAGTTCAAGGTTACACCGAGCTATGATTGCACCACTGCACTCCAGCCTGAGCAACATAGAAGAACCTTATCTCAAAAAACAAACAAAAACAAAAATGAAGAAACTAAAAGGAAACCAGAAAGAAAGAAAATGGAGACATCACATTGGTCATAGAGAAATACAAAAGTTTAGAAAGAAATACTATGAATAATTATATGTGGACAATTTAGACAACCTAGATGAAATGGGAAAATTTTAGAAACACACAATCTACCAAAACTGACTTAAGAAGGAAGATAAAATTGTAATAGACCTGTAACAAATAAAGAGATTAAAATATTAATTATTTTTAAAAATTCCACAAAGAAAAGCCCAGGACCAGATGGTTTTACTGGTGAATTCAACCAAAAGCTTGAAGAACTAACACAAAGCCTTCACAAACTCTTCCAAAAAATAGAACAGGAAGAAATATTTTTCAACTCATACTATGAGGCCAGAATTACTCTGATACCAAAGACAGAAAAAGACATTACAAGAAAATAAAGTTACAAAGCAATATCCTTATAAATATAGATGTAAAAATCCTCACAAAATATTAGCAAATCAAATCCAGCCGCATATTAAAAGGATCATACACCTTGACCAGGTAGGATTTATCCCAGGAGTACAAATGCAGTTCAACATACAAAAATCAATCAATGTAGCATACCATGTTAATAAAAAGTCACATGATCATCCTAATGCAGAGAAGGCATTTGACAAAATCTAACATCCTTTTACGATAAAATTACTCAGCAGATGAAGATGAGAAAGGAACTTCCTCAACTTGGCAAAAAGCATCTATGAAAAACCTATAACTAACACCACACTTCACTCATTGTGAAAGATGGAGCATTTCCCCCCTAAGATCAGGAACAGGACAAGAATGTTCATTCACACTACTTCTACTTATTAGGGCAATTAGGCAAGAAAAAGGAACAAGGTGGAATCTAGATCAGAAAGAAAGAAGTAAAACCATCTCTATTCACAGATGACATTATAGGAATTCTTAAGGAACTCACTTAACCATTAGAGCTAATAAACAAGTTCAAGGCTGGGCACAGTGGCTCACACCTGTAATCCCAGCACTTTGGGAGGCTGAGGCAGGCAGATCATGAGGTCAGGAGTTTGAGACCGGCCTGTCCAATATGGTGAAACCCCGTCTCTACTAAAAATACAAAAATTAGCTGGGCGTGGTGGCGCATGCCTGTAGTCCCAGCTACTCGGGAGGTGGAGACAGGAGAATCACTAGAGCCCAGGAGGTGGAGGTTGCAGTGTGCCAAGATTGTGCCACTGCTCTCCAGCCTGGGTGACCGACTGAGATTCCATCTCAATAAAATAAAATAAGTTCAGCAAGGTTGCAGGATACAAGATTAATACACAAAAATCAGTAGTATACATTTGCAATAAAGGATCAAAAACAAAATTAAAACCACACTTCCATTTATAATGGCATCAAAAAGAATAAAATAGTTAGAATAAATTTAACCAAAGAAAAGCAACACTTCAACACAGCAAACTACAATGTGCTGTTGAAAGAAATTAAAGAAGTGCCACCAAGCAATCTGACCTGAGAAAACATGCAGGTTCAACAGAATGAGTCCTGCTCTTCAGCAAGCACCCATCTTGTGTTCAAGCTGGGTCTATGAGGCAAGTTTGGCAACATAGACAAGGACATGCAACCAAATCTGTAATGTAGAAAAGGCCAAGGGAAGGTGGATCAATCATTGGAAACATTCAACAATCCATGGAAGAAATGTTAAAAATAGAATCTCAGGGTCTGATGAAGTTGGAATATCACTCTTCTATGTATTTCGGTTGGAATCTGTTGAATGATTGGATAAAGTAAAAGATAAGTATAGGGAATTATTAGGTAGCATTAAATGTGTAATAAATGTAAAGAGAGGGAGCAAGTGCATACAAGGAAGTGTGCGCTACTGGGTTTCTGTTGAATTGTTCATGGAAGACCATCAGCAGTTCAAATCCAAAAGCCTGTCTTAAAATTAGCTGAGTGTGGTGGCGTGTGCCTGTAATTCCAGCTACTTGGGAGGCTGAGGCAGGAGAATCACTTGAACCCAGGAAGCGGCGATTGCAGTGAGCCAAGATCGCACCACTGTACTCCAGCCTGGTGATAGAGCGATACTCCGACTCAAAAAAAAAAAAAACTTGTCTTGAGGGACTATGCCAGGCTTTACAGCTACAAACATCATGGAGGAAGCTGTCTGCCCATTAGAAGCCCAGAGCCCGGAGGGACAGACTAGAGCAAATCCTCTCCCTCGTTGGAGCTAGATGGGAACACAAATCTATCTGATAACTAACATGCAATTTTACATCTCTTACCTTGTTTAATCCTCACAACCACCCTGATGAGTAGTAGTATTATCCCCATTTTGTAGATGAAGAAACAAGTTCTTCAAGGGGAAGGGATCCTCAGAGTAGCATATGAATGAGAGGCAGAACCAGAGTCAGGACCTATATCTTGTCTTCTCCTTCCTAAAACTAGAAAAGTACCCACAACCAGGCAATGCTTTTGGTGCAGAAAAAGCAGTAGTGAACAAAATAGGCAAAAATGTCTGCCTTTAGTGCTCACATTGTTGTGGAGAAAGACAAACAATAAGCACAGTAGAGAAGTAAAAATTAGAATGTTTTGCTAAAAAGTCCATAAAATTGAATATTATTCAGCCATAAGAAGGGATGAAGTACCGTTATATGCTACAACATGGATGAACCTTGACACCATTATGCTAAATGAAAGAAGCCAGTCATAAAAGGTCACATATTTCATTATTCCATTTGAATGAAATCTCCAGAATAGGCAGCTACTTCCTATCCACAGAGGTAGAAAGTAGATGAATGGTAACCAGGGGCTAGGGGAAGAGGGGAATGGGGAGTGACTCTTTATTGGGTACAGAGTTTCTTTTTTGGGTGATGAAAATGATCTAGAATTAGATAACTGTGATGGTGACAAAACTTTGTTAATATACTAAAAACCACTGAATTGGCTTTAAACCAATTGAATTTTAAAGTATACTTTGAAAGGGTGGATATTATGGTATGGGAATTATATCTGATAATGAAAATATGATTACATTGTTCAAAAGCATAGGGAAGCAGCTACAAAAAATATGAATCATAAATTGTGGCTCTTTTTATTCTGAAGTGTAGAAATTGAATATTATAGCTCAAAATATAAAACAAAAACAAAGAAAGCTAAAAGCCCTTCCATTTGGCCATCTTGGAGTAAGACCTACCACAGTCCAGTGCCTTTTACTCAGCCCCACAGCCTAGCCTATTGTTTACATGAAACCCTGTAGCTTCCACTCCTGTTTGGTGGGTGTAAAGTTATGAGTGACCATATTGGGGGAAGGGAGGAAAACTCCCCATAAACGTGTATCCTGGGGGCCTAAGGAGAGACGATGGCCCAGGTATCAGAACATGATATGCCTACTTGTCCCTATCTCCTTGTCCACACATAAGGCTTGGAAGGCAGCCATGTTGTATATCACGTGATCTCCAACCAATGAGCTGATTGGCTTCTTCAACAAGAGCCCAGGTAGAGATTGGTGTCTAGAGGAGCCCATCAGATTCTAGAGAATCAGGCCTTTGGCAGTGGAAACTCCCCTGGGAGGATGTCATAGGGTCCTCAGGGTCAGACACAGAGAGAAGGAGACATTGGGACAGAGAGAAGAGGCAAGAAAAAAACATATCTTGCAGTCTGTGAGGAACAGAGTGGCCCCCAGGGGCCTCCACCTCAGGTTCTGGATCAAAGCTCCTCAAAGTTTAAGGTGCATTTGGATCACCTGAGGATCTTATGAAAATAAACTCTGTCTGATTCAGTAGGTCTGGGTTTGGGGGTGGGAGCCTGTTAGTATATTTCTAACAAGCTCCCAGGCAAGGCTGCTACTGCTGCTGATCTAATGACCACAGTTTGAGGCTGGACAGAGTGGCTCACACCTGTAATCCCAACACTTTGGGAGGACAAGGCAGGAGGGTCTCTTGAGGGTAGAACTTTGAGACCAGCCTGGGCAACACAGCAGGACCTCGTCTCTAAAAAACAAGAGAGAAGAAGAAAAAGGAAACAACAAGAAGACTCAACTAGAGTAGGAAGCAGTTAGGCCACATATCTCTTCAATGGAGAAAAGAGCTTTTTCTTGAGTAAATTGGAGTGTACCCATGTTCCTTGTCAATGATGGTAACTTTAAATGTCAAGAATGTGAGAGAGGCCAGGGGTGGTGGATCACACCTATAATCCCAGCACTGTGGGGGGCTGAGGTGGGAGGATCACTTGAGCCAAGGAATTCGGGAGCACCCTGGGAAACAAAGTGCGACCCCGTCTCTACAAAGTCAAAAAATTAGCCCAGACTGGTGGCATGCGCATGTGGTCTGAGCTACATGGGAGGGTGAGGCAGAAGGATTGTTTGAGCCCAGGTTGAGGCTGCAGTAAGCTAAGTTTGTACCACTGCACTCATTCCAGCCTGGGCAACAGCAAGACCCTGTCTCGAAAAAAAAAAAAAAAAAAGAATAGTAGAGCCCAGGGGAAGGTGTGGCCCTGGGGTAGGCGCTGGGAGACTGGAGAACAACTGTTAGTGGTCCCATCACTGCCCAGAGCAGACAGTGCCCTGTCCACCCTCATGAGATCTTTGAACTCCTTGGACAGGACTGGCTATAAATGAAAATGTGGGGACCCTTATTTTTAACTTGTTAAGAATGTTAAGATGGCAACAGCAAAGCTTTAAACCAAGTGCATGGCCCTTCTGCGTTGTAGGCCCACAAGGCCGACACTGCTATTCACATCCTTGTATGGTCCCCTACCCTGGAGCGTGGCTGGGGCCTGTGCTCTACTGCTTGGAAGCAAGGCTTATCCCTAAGCCTTATTTTCGGGAAGGTGGATTTGAGAGCTACTATCCCACATCCTTGCTTGGTGCCCTGTGAATAAATCTTTTCTCTTTTGCAAAACTCGTGTCATGGTGATTAATTTACTGTGCAATGCCAGGCACTGTTGGAAACCTCTGGATAGGCCTCACAGGGCCTCAGCCATCTCGGGGAGGCGTTAGCTAGAGTGTAACAAATATGACCCCAGCAACTGGGGAGGGACAGCTCATTCCTTCATGAGGTGTGGGGCTGGCAGCCCCGCAGGCAGTCAGCCACCCTTCCTCTCTGGCCTCCGTCCTGGGCACTGGGCCCAGGCACTGGGCAAGGAGGCTGCTGCACCTCCTTTCTCCTCTTCCTTTTTTTTTATTTTTTGAGACGGAGTATGGCTCTGCCGCCCAGGCTGGAGTGCAGTGGCGTGAGCTCGGCTCACTGCAAGCTCCGCCTCCCGGGTTCACGCCATTCTCCTGCCCCAGCCTCCCGAGTAGCTGGGACTACAGGCGCCCGCCACCCCGCCCGGCTAATTTTTTGTATTTTTAGTAGAGACGGGTTTCACCGTTTTAGCCAGTATGGTCTCGATCTCCTGACCTCGTGATCCGCCCCCCTCGGTATCCCAAAGTGCTGGGATTACAGGCGTGAGCCACCGCGCCCAGCCTCTCCTCTTCCCTTTTAGTGGGAAATATACCTGCAGCCTAGATTCCCAGAAAGGGGTGGTGAGAGAGCAGACACGCCACTGATTGACCCGAAGTTCTAGGAGCCAAGGGATGAGTGAAGAGGGCGTGGCCGGACTCGGGGCTCCTGGTGAGGTGCACCGCTGCAGGCTCGGTGACCCAGCAGTTCCTGCCCAACCCTCACCTACCCCCAGCCGTTCCTGTCCGCCGCCCCCAACCAGCCATTCCTGCCCGCAGTTCCTGTTCCCGGGCCTGTCCCCGGGTTTGTCCCCAGGGCCCGTCCCCTGGGTTTAGGTCTGCCCTCCCACGCCCCACCCCATTGCCCCCGCCATGGGTCTGCTGTCCCAGCCCTGCCGTTCAGTCTACATCTTCGCCAAGAATGGCATCCCCTTCGAGCTTCGCACAGTGGAGCTGACCAAAGCTGGGCTGGGCAGGCAGGCCCAGGGGATATTGGCCGCGGATCCCTGCCTGTCCCCGCTGCTTTGCAGTTGGGCCAAGAATGCAGACTAACACGAAGAATCAGACTCTCCGGTGTGGAAACTATTACATAATTATCTATGTTATTATTTTTACTTTTTGGAGACAGCATCTAACTCTGTCACTCAGGCTGGAGTGCAGTGGCACAATCATGGCTCACTGCAGCCTCGACCTTCCAGGCTTAAGCGATCCTCCCGCCTCAGCCCCTCAAGTAGCTGGGACTACAGGTGCCCACCGACATGCCTGGCCAATTTATTATTATTATTATTATTGAGAGGAGGTCTTGCTGTGTTTCCGAGGCTGGCCTAGAACTCCTGGGCTCAAGTGATCCTCTTGCCTTGGCCTCCCAAAGTGTTGGGATTACAAGCATGAGCCGCCATGCCCCACTGGTTGTCTATTTTAATAGAGGCTTGATCTTTGCTTGTGAATACAAAACATTCTTCAAAATACAGGTTTAGAGAGGGCACAGCAGGCACAGAACGAGGGTAGGGAAATGGAGTGGGGCAAGAATATCTTCACCCCATGTGCTTGGAAAAAACAATGAAACTGCCTCGTTGTTTCCTAAGTAAAATAGTCCCTGTCTACCCCTGCCTGTGTCTCTTCCACTTTTGTATTATTTGTTTGTTTATTTATTTATTTATTTATTTATTTATTTATTTATTTATTTATTACAGTGTCTCAATCTGCAGCCCAGGCTAGAGGGCAGTGGCATGATCCCGGCTCACTGCAGCCTTGACCTCTCAGGATCAAGTGATCCTCCCAACTTACTCCTCCTAAGTAGAATAGTTGGGACTACAGGCACGTCCCCGTGCCCAGCTACTTTTTTCTTTGGTGTGTGTAGACGCATGATTTTGCCATGTAGACCAGGCTGACCTTGAACTCCTGAGCTCAAGTGATCCTCCTGCCTCCTCCTTCTAAAGTGTTGAGATCACAGACATGCACCACCATGTCTGGCCCTGGGTCTCTTCCACTTTTATGTATTTCTTGGCATTCTTCTGCCTTTTCCTTTTCCTGCATCTGACTTGCTCTATCCCATGGGGCTTCTCACCCAGCTGAAGGGGCTACTCCTAGAGGCTAGAGGCTGGAGGGCCCTGTGGCAGGGCAGTGGGGGAGGCCAGCACCCTCACCCTGAGCTCCAGCGTTTGCTGGTCTGGCTGGCATACAGAGATGCAGCTGGAGCACAATTCAGTGGAGGAGGCAGGGCTATAACTAAGCAGTAGGGCAGAGAGCAGAGCCAGAGCCCCCTGGGCAGGCCAGAGGGAGGACCCTGCTCAGCTGACTCTTCCCAACTGCTGCCCTTGGTACAACCAGCTTGAGTCACCTGCTACAGAACAGGGGCTGGACACAGAAGCAGTCTGTGGAGGGAGAATGGGCAGGGGTGTGTATGTCCATTCAGTAGAAGGGCAAAGAGGCCCACATGTAGGCCTATGATCAGACTGGAGCCTGGCTTGACTGAGGTCCTCTGATCCAAACACCAGGCACCTAATGCGGCCTCTAGCACTGGCCTAGAGTGCTAAAGTGAGTCAGACCTGGGAACCCCCACTGGGGAGGGAGCCTTGAGAGTTTGGCATAAGAAAGCAAGAAGAGCTGAGCCACCGGAGGCTAAGTAGCTGAATGGGGCAGGGATTCCCAGCAAGAATGAGGTTGGTCTGAGGGTTGGGAACATGTTTGGCTGGGACTCTGGGGTATTGACAGGTCACCCAGCCTGGCCAGTAGGGCCTAAGTCCCCAGCTGGGATAGGAAGCTGAATCAGAGGGGGCAAGCCTAGAGCCCAGGGAGGAGGCTGGAGGGGTCTGACCTATGGATGGAACTGGCTGGGGGTGGGGTGTGAATTACAGCTCCAGGGAATTGTCCTTGAGCCATGCTTCAAGGAGCTGGACACAGGAAAGATGGCCCTCTGATGGGGTCAAGGTCTGTGACCCAGTGACTAGCAGAGAGGCTTCCTCTTCCCTGATGCCTCCCAGATAGGGGCCTCAGAAAGCTGCTGCTGGGATTTTGGGGTGGGGGTGGGCAGAGACCTCAGAGAACTCTGGGTTATCCCCACTCACCTCTCTGATCTTTCCTGCAGGCCAGCAGCACAGCGATGCCTTTGCCCAGGTGAACCCCCTGAGGAAGGTGCCGGGCCTTGAAGGATGGGGACTTCACCTTGGCTGAGAGGTAACCGGTCCGTGGGCTGCTGCCGGGCCTTGTGGGGCCAGTCGGCTGTCTGTTCACTGTTGATGGCTTGGATCATGGACTGTGGGCCCTGCACCAGCCCCAGGGTGAAGAATGGGTGGAGGCAGGCAGAGGTGCCCAGTGTTGACAAGGGTTATAGAAGTCCCCTCCTGCATTGTACAAGTGAGGAAACTGAGGCTGGAGGAGGGGAGGGACTTGCACAAGGCCACAGGGCCCAGTCTGCTTCCGGGCCTCCTCACCGCCAGCCTTCCCCTCCGAAAAAAGGAGAGTGCTAAGTTTCGAGGAGCGGCTGTACCAGGCATCTTAGTGCTACCATTTTGCCCACAAATCCTGTGGGGCAAGTGCTGTTTCCCTGGAGAGTCGAGGGACCACTCAGCGAGCTTCAGTGGCTATTTGCTAAACATCCACCAGGGCCAGACCCCATTTAAGCCCTGGGGCTTGAGCAGTGAACGTGTCTGCGTCCTTCTCCTCATGGATCTCACATTCCATTAATAGAAGGGGGAGCTGACAGTAACCCATGTAAACATGGAACATATCGGATGTTGATGGATGCCATGGAAAAAATAAACAGGGTAAGAGTGGGGGTGTGTGTCATTATGAGTAGGATGCTGAGGGAAGACTCCCTGGAGGAGGTGGCATCTGAGCAGGGAGCTGTAGGAATGTGCAAGGCATGAGGAGAAGGGTGTTCTCACTGGAGGGAAGAGTGAGGGCGAAGGCTCCAGGTGGGACAATGCATGGGGTTCAGACTGGAGAGCAACGGGCCAGGGTGGGTGCAGTGAGCAGGAAGAGCAGGAGGTCACGACAGAGGGGAGCATGGGACACTGGGAAGGCTTTGGCTCTTACCGCAGGTGGATTGAGTTGTTGGAGAGTTTTGAGCAGAGGAGAACTGTGATCTGACTTACGTCGTAAAGGATCCCCCTGGCAGGGGTGAGAAAGCCACTGCAGTCATCTGGCATGCAGCGCTGGAGCCCCAGACCAAGGTGGTGGTGGTGCAGGGTTGCGGGGGATTGTGGTCAGTTCTGACTTTTATTGAAATCTAACTGCAGGGTTTGCTGAAGGGTTGGAGGTGGGTGGGAAAAATGAAAGCCAAAACCAGCCTCCAGGTTGGTGGCCGCATGGTGGCGTCCTTTACCGAGGCCACATAGTGCCTCCTTGGTGGAGCTGGATTCACATTCAGAGCCTGGGATCACTGGATGGTCCAACACCCATAAAGGCATGATGAGCTCTGAGGGTCAGACTGCACAACCCTTCACCATAGGTGAACGGGAGTTGGGACAGGGTGGGAAGCAATGCTGCCATGTCACCTGGAAGGCTCTGTCCCTGCTGGCCTTGCTCCTGGCCCTGTCCACACTTTGGATATGTTGGGGAGATATCCAACATGCTCTCGTTCTTCAGACTCACACTGGGTGCCCCTTCCTCCTGGAAGCCTTCCCTGAGCCCCTGCTGAAGTTCATGACATTTTGTTTCTTCCTTGCTGCCCTTAGTTGAGATGACAGTCTGGCCCCGTGTAGGGCTGTGTGACCCTGGGTAGTTACCTAACCTCTCTGAGCCTCACATCCCTCCTCTGCATCATGGGGATAGTGAAAATGCCCCAGAAAACGGTTGAAGAGTGTTCAGGGCATGTCTTCTGCCCCTGCCATGTCCCCCCAGTGTGGCTAGCTTGCTCTATATGAGCTGCATGTACAAAGCACCTGACCACTGGTACCTCCAGGACCTGCAGGCCCGCGCCCATGGGGATCAGTACCTGTCATGGCAGCACATGGCCCTGCAGAGTAGCTGCTGCTGGGCCATGTGGCAGACGGTGAGCCATGGAGGGCAGGGACACCTCCCGGGATGCCCAAGGGATGCTGCTTTCACTTTACAAAATTCTGTTTAGACCTGAGACCAAATCCTGGAATGCCAGAGACTGCCTAATTCACCCAACTTGTTTCATAGGAGGGAAACCAAGGACCAGAGCCAAGGAAGGATTCCCCTAATGTGCCTTAATTCCACAGCTACCACCTGCACACTTACACTCACACACTGTTCGACACACAGCCACACTCACACACACATCCACCCACGTCCACCCACAGTCACACGATGTATCACATTCACACGTATACACCCACACACACAATCATAACATTTACACACAGTCACACAGTTAACTCCTATACACACATATACACCCACACAATCACACAACTCACTCATATTCAACAAAGTCACACAACTCACTCACATTGACACACATACACACCAACCCCACACACAATTCACATACATACACACACATATACACCCACATACACAACCACACCATTCACTGACATTAATACAAAGTCATCACACAGTTCACTCCCACACACACACATACACCTCACACACACAGGCACACAATTCACACCAACAAAATCACACAGTTCACTCATTCACACACATACACCCACATACACAAATTCACACTGCTCAGTCACATTTACACACCATTCAAATTCACACACATATACACCTACATACACACAGTTCACTCACATCACACACATATACACCCACATACACACAGTTCACTCACATCACACACATATACACCCACACATAAACACAGTCACACAATTCACTCACGTTCACACACACAGTTCACTGACATTCGCACACATACACACACACCACACACAGGCAATTCAGTCACATGGCCGAAAGCCAGTCCTTACCTTCCTATAGTTCCTTTCCCAGTGTCACCTCAGCCTTTGGCCCTCAGCGTCCCCTTCCCATGCCTGGACTGCGGAAGAGCCCTGAACACACCCCATCTTCATGCCTCCAGCGCTAGCCCGAGCCCTTCCCTCTGCCAAGAGCACTAAGTGCAACTCAAGATCACTTCTAGGGACCCTTCCCTGCCCCTGCTGCCAGGTGACCTGAGGATCCTGCTGGTCCCGCTTGACAATGATGCACAGCATGGTTAGTTCAGCTGAGGTCGCTCTCCCAGACTTACTGCCACCTACACAGCACTAGGACTGACTGTTTAACTTTATTCTTTATTTCGTGTACTTTATTGGAGTGTCTGTTGAAAGCAAAACCATCCAATAAGGAACAATCCCAAGGCAGCCAGCATGGATCAAGAAGGCACAGGCTGTGGCCGCCATCCCCAGTGCCTGATGGGGAGAGGGGGTGGTAATGGAAAAGGCCCAGGAAAGCAGGCCAGAGTGTCCCTCAAAATATGAGAAATCACTGGAAGAGAGAGCCAGAATGGGACCTAAGACAGAAGCCACCACCAGGCACCCTTAAGGCAGGACAGTTGCAATGGTTACTTGGAATACTTCCGGCTAGGAGTGGTGTTGCGGGAAGTCAGGGACCCCAAACAGAGGGACCGGCTGAAGCCATGACAGAAAAACGTGGATTGTGAAGATTTTATGGACATTTATTAGTTCCCCAAATTAATACTTTTATAATTTCTTATACCTGTCTTTACTGCAATCTCTAAACATAAATTGTAAAGATTTCATGGACACTTATCACTTCCCCAATCAATACCGTTGTGATTTCCTATGCCTGTCTTTACTTTAATCTCTTAATCCTGTCAACCAAGGAGGATGTATATGGCCTCAGGACCCTGTAATAATTGCATTAACTGCACACATTGTACAGGATGTGTGTTTGAGCAATATGAAATGTGGGCACCTTGAAAAAAGAACAGGATAACAGCAATTGTTCAGGGAATAAGAGAGATAACCTTAAACTCTGACTGCTGGTGAGCCAGGCGGAACAGAGCCACATTTCTCTTCTTTCAAAAGCAAATAGGAGAAATATCGCTGAATTCTTTTTCTCAGCATGGAACGTCCCTGAGAAAGAGAATACGCACCAGGAGGTATCAGCTTATAAACAGCACCCCTGGGCGTGGCCTGTCTCTTATGGTCGAGACTGCAGAGATGAAATATACTCCAGTCTCCCATAGCACTCCCAGGCTTATTAGGAAGAGGAAATTCCCACCTAATAAATTTTGGTGAGACCGGTTGGTCTCAAAACCCTGTCTCCTGATAAGATGTTATCAATGACAATGGTGCCCGAAACTTCATTAGCAATTTTAATTTTGCCTCGGTCCTGTGGTCCTGTGATCTTGCCCTGCCTCCACTTGCCTTGTGATATTCTATTACCCTCTTAAGTACTTGATGTCTGTCACTCACACCTGTTCGCACACTCCCTCCCCTTTTGAAAATCCCTAATAAAAACTTGCTGGTTTTTGTGGCTTGTGGGGCATCACGGATCCTACCAACGTGTGACGTCTCCCCCGGATGCCCAGCTTTACAATTTCTCTCTTTTGTACTCTCTCCCTTTATTTCTCAAGCCGGCTGACGGTTAGGAAAAATAGGAAAGAACCTACGTGATTATTGGGGCAGGTCCCCCGATAGAGTGGCACATGATGGGCACAGGGCAGGCTTGGGAAATGGGGGGCCGTAAGGCCACAAGACATGTGGGCAGGTAGCCCAGAGTGTGTCTGGAACATCCTGTTTATTGGTCGGCAGTGACATCTACTGTCACATTTGAGAACTGCATCCACAGCCACATGACCTCCTGTGAAGACCTCAGGGCAAACTGGGGAAACCTGCCCTTCTTGGAAGGTGATACTAGGGGGGATGAGCAACACCTTTCTTGGAGGTTTGAATTCTTCAGGGCCCCTCCAGCATCTTGGTCTTCCTAATTCCTCCCTTGATCCCCCAGCCCTAGGGGTGGTAGCTTCTTGCAGTGTTTACCTCCGTGTTAATCTGGATTCTCTCTGTCTTCGGAGTTCTCTAATGCCTGGTTACCAATTCTTTATATCAAGTTCTCTCCGTTAAAATCATTGTGGTGGGGTCCATCCCATGGATATACATGGAGGTCTGTGTGACAATGTATAATCTTACTATTTGCAGTTATTACAAAACTGTCCTAGAAGACATGAATGCTTGTTAAAAGAAATCTTTTAAGTTTCCTAGACTTCAAAGACCGTTGCTATGCCCTGTGAAACATCGCCTATATCCTTTAACAGTTTGCAATTCGAATTGGTTACTTACTTAACATTTTGTTGCCCTGGTGATACAATTATGTTGACTCGTTATTGTGAGGTTACTTTGTTATTAACCATGATGAGGATTACTAGCACATACTTTTACTCCATATGTATAACACAACAATGTAGTAAAACCAATAACTCTTGGTTCTCTATTCAAAGTGTTTGGAATCTTTATTCTGTTTAAAACACTGATGACATTTGCCAATTTTTGAGTGTTCTTCATGTTACTGATTTGTAGGAGCTCTTTATATATTGCAGATTTAGTCTCTTACTGGTTATGTATGCTGCACCTGAGGAGTAGCAGCACTGCCAAGGACACTGAGTGTCTTGTCTGTGCAGAGCTTCACATGAAGCTGGAGAGAAGGGACTGGGGCAAGAGGGAAAGATAAAAAGGGGCAAGTAAGTAACAGAATGAATCCTTGTTGCTAATCTCCTGGCCCCCATCCCAGACCCTTCAGGGGATCCTGGCGATTCGAAGCAGCATAGCCTGATAGGCCTCTGGTGAGGGTGTTGGGAGGGTTTTCTTGGCCGCCTGTTCCAGGATGCTCAAGATGATGCTGTGGGCCTCCTGGCATAGCTCAGCACCCAGGAAAGCCTCCACTCGTCCACGCCATGCTGCCAGTCGTGGCCGTCCCTCAAACAGTTCATAGCCGAGAGCCACCGGCTGTAGGGACAAGGATGAAAAAGTTGTGGGCATACAACTTTCCCAGTTGTCACTGCCGACCCGAATGCTGGAACCATGGGCAGAAGTATCAGAGACATGGTCCATTCCCCAGCCCCTAAGTGAATGGACCACAGGGGCCCAGGCAGTATGTTCAGCCTTAGAGCCCAAGAGCAGCCAGGGTGAGACCCCACACCCAGGCAGGAGGCAGAAGTTCAGGGTTCTGGCCCCAGATCATCCAGAGACTTGCTCTATGATTCTGGGCAAAGTTCTGGCTTTCTCCAGGCCTCAGTGTTTCTGTCTGCCTCATGGGTGTGACACGAAGAGGGACACTGCCCACAGGCTGAGCTCACACCTGCATCAGCTCCTCCAGGGCCATGAGATCAGCCAGTGTCACCTGCTGGCCAGCGAGGAAGGGCCTGTCCCCCAGGAACTTGTCCTCCAGCCATTGCAGGGCCTGGTCCATGGCAGTCCTGTTGCGTTCCACCTTCTCCTCGGGCACCTGGACCCCAATGAGTGGCCCCAACACCTGATGGGGGCAGAGAGTGGGTCAGTCTATGGCCCCGGCCTACTGCCAACTACTCCCTGATGGCCAATCACTCTCCAGATGGCTCTCCTCACCTGGACCCACAGGGGTATACCAAAGGTGCCACGGATGCAGTCGGCATGCCAGCCCAGGTACTCATGAACACGGGCACGAGCCTGCAGGTCAGATGGATACCAGTGGTCCGGCGTCTGGTACTTACAGCTCAGGTAAATCAGGATGGCCGAGCTGGGAACAAATGGGCAGTGGCTATAAGGACACTGGCACCAGGCATTTACCCCTAACTGCTCCCATCTGCCAGTGGGGCCCGGGGGCTTCTCTGCATTTGAAGGACTGCCCTCCAGCCTCGCCCTCCATCTCCAGCTCCCCAACACCACCCCCTCCTCCTACGAGTCTCCTCCTGTCTTTGTTGCCTTGGGCACCGACTCTTGGCTGGACCTTCTGCTTTGCATTTTGAGAACCTCATCTCTGTGATATGCCAGCAGCCGCCCTGTGAGGTAGACACTCCTGTTAGCCTTTTAGCACAAGAGAAAACTCAAGGTCAGAATGGTCAAGTGACTTGTCCGAGGCGGTGCAGCTCAGAATAGGCTCCCTGGACCCCTGGAACCCTGCATGGGGCTGGCACACAGTGGATGCTCCGTGGAGTCCCTTGCATGTCCACGCGCTTGGGTCAGGGATCACGAGGGGAGGAATGTCTTTGGCCCCCGTCTGACAGGCCCCCAGCCATCACTTCTGCAGCCACCTGACCTCTTGTCCTTTTCCTGCCCAGCAGCTGGACCTCACCATGAGCTGTGCCCTTGGGCCATGGCATTGGCCTCTAGGCCCGGCCTGGGTAGATTGGGTAGTCTGCAACAAGTCACTAGAGGCTCTTTTCAGCTAGCATTTGTTGAACAAATGCGCAACAGTGGAAAAATGTTCCCTTGTCTTCTCTTCTAATACCCTTCAGTCTGGGAGTGGAGAGGCCCTGCGGCTCAGAAAAGGCTGGAAGATGAGAGGTGGGGGGACATGTTCTGTCAGCCCCTGCTCATCCCGGTCACACCCCAAGCTGTACCTTCTCCCCAGATACCTCTCCTTTCTTTCTTTCCTTTTTTTTTGAGACGGAGTCTCCCTCTGTCGCCCAGGCTGGAGTGGGCTCCCTCTGTCACCCAGGCTGGAGTGCAGTGGTGCTATCTCTGCTCATTGCAAGCTCCGCCTCCTGGGTTCACGCCATTCTCCTGCCTCAGCCTCCCCAGTAGCTGGGACTACAGGCGGCCGCCACCACGCCCTGCTAATGTTTTGTATTTTTAGTAGAGACAGGGTTTCACCGTGTTACCCAGGATGGTCTCGATCTCCTGACCTCGTGATCCGCCCACCTCGGCCTCCCAAAGTGCTGGGATTACAGGCGTAAACCACCGCGCCCGGCCTTTTTGAGACGGAGTCTAGCTCTGTCGCCCAGGCTGGAGTGCAGTGGCGCGATCTCAGCACACTGCAAGCTCCGCTTCCTGGGTTCACACCATTCTCCTGCCTCAGCCTCCAGAGTAGCTGGGACTACAGACGCCCGCCACCACGCCCGGTTAATTTTTTTTCCATTTTTAGTAGAGACGGTGTTTCACGGTGTTAGCCAGGATGGTCTCGGTCTCCTGACCTCGTGATCCGCCCGCCTTGGCCTCCCGAAGTGCCGGGATGACAGGCGTGAGCCACCGCGCCCGGCCAGATCCCTCGCCTTTCCCCTCCCTCGCTGCCCCATGGGGTATGGGAGGGCCACTGGGGCCCGGGGCCAGTGGGGAGAGCCAAGGTCACATGGGCTCCGGATGCGGTGAGGGGTGAGGGAAGGAGGGCACCTTTCGGTCAAGATGAAATCACCATCCTTGAGCGTCGGCAGTTTCCCCAGGCTGTTGATCTGCAAGAACTCCTTGCTCTTGTGCTGCCCTGAAGAGGAAGAAGTCAGAAAAGGTCTTCAGAATAAAAACGCTGCACCTCTACACCCTCCCTCCTCCTCCCCAAGCGGAGCCCCACAGCCCTGAGAAACAGCAAGGTCTGGGACTAGAGGCCTGGATCAGCCTCACTCCCTGGCTGGGCCTCCCTGCCCTGCCACATTCCGGGGCAGCTGGGGGGCTTTGGTGGGTGGGGCCAGGTGCAGCAGGTGGATAAAGAGAAGTTTTCTAGCCGGACTCTGGTGGGCCAGGGGAGGGGAGGCAAACTGGGGTGGCTCATCTCTTCCCATCTCTTAATTCTCACAACAGCATGTCCTTCTTCCCAAGGTCTTCTGGGCTTTGTGAATTTATATGCGTGCATTCCACGCAAGAACTCTGTCAACTCCATTCAGTATTTTCTTTCCATCCCTACAGAGCAGAAGGTAACATTATCCTCCTTTTCAGAAGGCAAGCTAAGGTTCAGAGAGGCTGTGATCCCTCCAAGGCCACTCAGTCCACAGCATTCTCTGGTGGCAGACGCTGCAGGAGGAGGTGAGGGGGCTGTGCGGGCGGCGAGACGCTCAGGGCAGAGCAGGGCGGGGGCCTGGGGGTGCACTGGGTTTGTGGACACGCGGGGAAACGGGCTGGGCCCACCTTTGACCAAATCCACGGTGCGCAGCTCTAAGGGGATGCCATTCTTCTTGGCGAAGATGTAGACGGCGCGGCTGGGCTGGGACACCAGGTCAAGAAACAGCTCTAGGCCCATGGCGGGGGCGGCAAGGACAGCGGGGATGGCAGTGAAGGCGCTGAGCGCGGTGTGGGCAGCAGCTGTGGCAGGATCCCGGCGCGCCGGGAAATAGGGGATCAGGCCCCACCCCCTGGGGACAGCACCCAATTGGAGCGCACCACCCCCGGACCCGCCTCGCCCCTTCGGTTCCTGTCCAGTCCTGCCGGCCAAGACTCCACCACCAGATCCGTGCGTCCCTACAGGGAGGGCGGTCGCTATGAACGCACAGCTGGGAGGGTGGAGTTGGAGCTGGGGACCCTCGACTGGCAGGGAGGACGCGGATGCAGGGGGCCGACTGCAAGGGGAAGGGGAACCGGCTGGACAGGGAGAAGCAGGTCTGCTTTTCGGGATCCCGGTGCCAGGGACCCTGCCCAGTTCCAGGCGTCGCCCTGACCCAGAAACGACTGGGCGCCGCCGTCCTGGAAAGGCCCCAGCGCACGGACATCTGAGGGTTCGTTCAGAGCTCTGTTTCTCGGCGCTGCATGGTGGCGGAAGGGAGGGAGCGAATGGGATCCCCTAAAAGGGATCTTAGAGTTTCACCCAGTGGGATGTGACACTTGCAGGTGTCCCAAACTGGTGGGAACCTTGACTGGAAGGCTGGGGTTAAGGATGAACTTTCTGCCGTCCAGACTGTCCCCTGCAGAGCAGCTGCTGCCAGACAGCGGGAGCTGCCAGACAGCGGGAGCTCCCACTTCGTGCACAGGATGGGGGCAGGGAGCCCGCAGCCGCGGGAGGCAGGAATGACTGTCCGGGAACCTCCTTTCTTCTCCCTGAATCCCAGCCCTGGCATCTCACCAGGGGGCACAGTGATGGTCCAGGGCTGGGCCCGGGACTCTAGCTGAATCTTTCAGAGTATCCCATCCCTCTGGCCAGTGGCCCAAGCGAGTGAACCAGAATGCTTCCTTGGGAGTTTTGAAACTGGAACTGGAGAGAGGAGCTCCCTATGGGGAGGTAAACGGGAGCTGGGGCCACCTGTAGTGACATTTCCTGAGTTCGAGGAGTAGACGAGACTGAGAGAGAAAAGCTGACTCAGAGAAAGGGAGTGATAACAGGGCATGCTGGCCCACACCTGCAATCCCAGTTACTCTCACGGGATCTGTTTCTCTGATGTCTGGGTATGAAAGGACTTTCTAAGCCTCAGAACAGTGGGAGAACTCAACAAAGAAAAAACCAATACATATACAAGGTTACTTTGTGGAGGAAAAAATGGATTAACCTTAAGCAAAAAACTGGGAAGGATCTCGGTAAAAGATACGTCAGAAGGAAGTAATGTCCTTTAAGATGTTCTTAGAAACCCATCAGACAGGTAGGGTGTGGTGGTTCACGCCTGTAATCCCTGTACTTTGGGAGGCAGAGATGGGCGGATCAGTTGAGGTCAGGAGTTTGAGACCAGCCTGGGCAACACGGTGAAGCCCCGTCTCTACTAAAAATACAAAAATTAGCTGGGTGCGGTGGCACACTCGGGAGGCTGAGACAGGAGAATCACTTGAACCTTGGAGGCAGAGGTTTCAGTGAGCTGAGATCATACCACTGCACTCCAGCCGGGCCACTGAGCGAGACTGTCTCAAAACAAACAAACGAACAAACAAAAAGAAGAGAAACTCATCAGACGAAGACACAGGAAAAAAATGAGCGAAGGAAATCAGCAGAGGTTTCATTGAAGGACAAAGAGAAATGGTCAATACATGGATGAAAACATGTTTAACTTCAGTAATAATCAAGGAAGCACACACCAACACAACATGCACATACTGTTTTTATTTATCAAAGGCACACATATTTTTGAAATGAGTACTCCTAATTAATATGTACAGAGCACTTACCCAGTGCCCAGCACAGGGGTGGCACCCTGTGTGTGAGACAGCATGAAACAGGTAGACACGCGCCCTGCTGAAAGTAAGGGACCGCCTCTCTGGAGGATCCATCGGGCAATAAGGAGGTTTCCACACCTTAACTGTGTCTGCCTTGACCTCTGGGGCCTGGGAGCAGAGCCCCCTCCAGCTGGTGGGGAAGGAAGCGTGGTGTGTTTGAGGACAGAATGGAGAGAAGTTGAGTAGAGCAAGTGTAGACTCTTCCTATCCAAAGTGTGGTCAATGGACTGGGAGTATCAGCATCACCAGGGAGCTTGTTGGAAATGCAGAGGCTCAGGCCCCACTCTGACCTTACTGATTGGGAGCATAAACTGTAACCAGATTCCAGGGAGGATTCATACACACATTCCCGTTTGATAAGTGGGGGGTAGTAGGAGGTGAGGTGAAAAGTGGGGAGGGGATGGCTACCGCACTGGAGAAGGCTGGCTTTGTGTTGAGGCCTTTCTCATGAGGGCAGTGGGGAGCCATGGAAGGCTTTATGCAAGAGAGGGTACGGGCAGATTGAGATTACAGAAGGATCCCACTGGTTGCCTTGTGTGAGGACCCAGGGAGAAGGGGGAGGCTGTCCCTGTTTGAGTAGGAGATGAGAGCTACTGGTGGCTATGAGTGGAAAGAAGTGAGCAGAGGTGAGCAGAAATCCCAAGGACTGGTGATGATAGGATGATGGTGGGAACCAGGATGGGCTTTGGGCAGACCCTGACCCCTCTCTCTGCCTGTCGGCCCACCAGATAATAATCCCTGTGTTCCTGGGCGAGTCAGTGCCACCCGAGATGTTGGCGGCCACTTTGGCTGAGCTGGACGGATGCTTGCAGCTGCTCGAGGACAAGTTCCTGCGGGACCAGGCCTTCCTTACTGGGCCCCGTATCTCTGTGGCTGGCTTGGTGGCAATCACGGAGCTGAGGCATGAGAGTGCCATGGGGTGCGGTGGCCCGCTGGGCAGTGGTGTATCCGGGAAGGGAGCTGACATCCCAGCTCATGTTGTCTTTTCTGGCTGTGGGACCCTGTGTGAGTCACTTCTCCTTCTGAGCCTCAGTGTCCTCATCTATAAAATGGGGCTTTACAAACCCCTCACCGCAGCTATATTAAGAGGCTTCCAAGTGTCCCCAGGGAGGGGGACATCCTAGCCCATCACACACATGGTGGAGGAGGGAAAATCCAATCAGAGAACCCCTAAAGCAGGTCATGCTGCCTTACACTTGGCTATGCCCAGCCCCTCCGCTGACTCTGTCTTCCCCTAGCCCATCAGTGCTGGCTGCTGAGTCTTTGAAAGCGGACCCACGGTGGCAGCATGGTGCCCAACACGTGGAGGCTGCAGTGCGGGAGGACTTCTTCCAGGAGGCCCTCCCAGCTGTCCTGAAGGCCAAGGACCTGCCTCCAGTAGAACCTGCTGTTAAAGAGAATCTGAAGACCTTAATGCAGCTTTTCTTGCTGTGAGTGCGTGTCCCACACTTGCTGAGCCACTGAGGGGATGCTGTGTTGGTAGAATAAAGACATGGAGCTGTCCGTCTCCTTGGTTGAAGAGAAGACATATCTGCAAAGGCTCTGGTCCACAGTTCCTCCAGATATCATGCCTGCATTCCTTTTGTCTCCTACCCCATTCCATTCTAGCTTCCATGTGACCTCTGAAAAGAGCTTGGGCAAACGCTTACTTGACCCTGACCTTCTGTGTGGAACTTTGTATGGTTCCTCACTGCCCAGAAGCTAAAGTACAAGTCATTGAACTTTGCATTCAAGGCCTTGCTCCCACTCCTCCAGGTGGCCCCTTCTGCCTGCACACTCCTAACCCCTCTCTGGGCTCCCACCTTGGCCTCTTGGCCTCCGCTCATGCTGTTCCCTCCTCATCTTCGCCTGGTGCCCTTCCTGGTCTTTTGGCATTTGGCACCCTGTCTCTTCTCCAGGGAGACTTCCCTGACCTCCCCAGCCCCAGTCCAGGTCAGGCGACCTCTCTGGGCTCCTCAGCCCCAGTGTTTCCTTGCGGGGGATACCCCCGGACTGAGCATGTATCATCGATGAGGGGTGACCTGGTGGAAAGATGTCTGAATCAGGATCAGCCTTGGTCTCCTCGGTCTCTCTCCTCACTGTGGGGCGATGTTGTGTTCCACAAGTGGGGTGCAGGGCTGGTTCATGAACCTCCTTGCAGGAAGGGAAGTCCCTGGTTATTTCCTGGCCCTCTCCCATGCCTCCTCATAACCTTGACCACAGTCTTCTCTACACCCCACTCCCGGACCACTGGCTTGTCCATGCCCCACACCTGGTCCCAGACTTGCCACCTGTCCCTGCCCTCTCCCCTTAGGACTGTCATATTTACCTGTCGTGTGTCTCAGACCTTCTGATATCTGAGTCATCTAATAAACAAACTGCTAATAGGACAAGATCATGACAGACAGAGACTCTGTCGGCCTTTCAGTGGAGGCTCCTTTAAGTATGCACACTTATAGAGAATTTTATACACGTAGTTGAAATTGTACATATAAACTTGCAAATTTTTTCTTTCTTTTTTGTGGGGGAGGGGGGAGCCTGGGTCTCACTCTGTCATCTAGGGTGGAGTGCAGTGGCACAGTCATAGCTCCCTGCAGCCTAGATCTCCTGCGCTCAAGCAATCCTCCTGCCTCAGCCGCCCAGGTAGCTAGGACTACAGGCACACACCACAGCACCCAGATTTCTTTCTTTTTTTTTTTTTTTTGTAGAAAATAAAGAAGAGAATCTTGCTATGTTGCCTAGCCTGATCTTTAACTCCTGGGCTCAAGCAATCCTCCCTTCTTAGCCTCCCAAAGTGCTGAGATTACAGGTGTGAGCCACATTGCTCGACCACAACTTCAATCATATTTGTAATGTACAATTCAAGTGATTTTGCCACACTGACCACACTCATGTTTAAGCCACGCCAACAGAGTTCCATGTTTTCTGATGTTTTTTCGAGATGGAGTCTCGCTCTGTCACCCAGGCTGGAGTGCAATGGCGCGATCTCGGCTCACTGCAACCTCCACCTCCCCGGTTCAAGCGATTCTCCTGCCTCAGCCTCCCGAGCAGCTGGGATTACAACGTCTGCCACCACGCCCGGCTAATTTTTGTATCTTTAGTAGAGACGGGGTTTCGTCATGTTGGCCAGGCTGGTCTCAAACTCCTGACCTCAGGTGATCCGCCCGTCTGGACCTCGCAAAGTGCTGGGATTACAGGCGTGAGCTACCGTGCCCGGCCTTTCCATGTTTTAAAGAACATATTTTGCCACCCCCTGGTGGACAGTGGCTCACCACCGGCACAAGAGGCTACACAGGCAGATGTCAATGGGGACCAGGCAGGGACAGGTATTGTCGTGAGCCTAGCCCTACCCGCGCCCCCGCGAGTAACCACATCTCCTGACTGCCCAAGCGCAGATTTCCATACTGAACATGAAATTGCCTGACTTCGAAATGGTGGCAAATCATTCAAAAAAACTTTAAGCTCCCGTTGTATTGGTTATTAGGGTCGAGCCTGGGGAAGACCCCTATAGGTGTGTGTGTGTCCTTGTGTGTCGGGGGTGTGGTGTTCAGACCTCTAATAGGGCTAGGAACCGGGCGACCACAGCGCGGAAGCTTGAGAGGGAAACCCACCTGGCGCCAGGCAGGAGGGTCGGGGGAGACAGGGTGGGTCCACTACCGGGTTAAAGACCTGTAGTGGGTGGGGCTACACGTAGGGCGGAGACGATGGGACTTCCGGAAATCAGCCGGCACACGTGACTTTTGTTTGCAGAAGCGGGAGGTACCCTAGGCAGCCAATCGGGGAGCGCCGAGTCTCTGTCCAGCCAATGAGAAGCCAGGTTGCTGTGGCGCCTCGCCCCTCCTCCCTGGTCCGCGAGCCTTGGGTACCCCCAGCTTTTCTTCCGCCAGAGCTGTTTCCGTTCCTCTGCCCGCCATGCCGTTCCTGGAGCTGGACACGAATTTGCCCGCCAACCGAGTGCCCGCGGGGCTGGAGAAACGACTCTGCGCCGCCGCTGCCTCCATCCTGGGCAAACCTGCGGACGTAAGCGTGGGCCGGGCAGCACGGGGCGAGGGGAGGTTGGTGGGCCAGGGGTCCGGCCCTGTCCCTGCTCCGCCTCCCCGACAGTGACCCCGAATCTTTTCCCCAGGGACCACTCCCCACTCCTTTCCTCACGCCAAGCTCTGACTTTCCGTGCTCCACGATCCCGCGGCTCCCCCTCCGCACGTCTTTCCCTTGTCGCCCTCCCCAGTCATGACCCGGGCGTGACCTTCAGGGACCGCGGCCCGTATCGGGATCCCTGCCCCGCGAACACTGCGCGTTTCGGCTTTCGCGCGCTCGGGTCCCGTCCCCAGAGGTAGCCCGGCCGGCTCCAACTTCGGGCAAAACTTTTCATGTCCCCCTCAGCGCGTGAACGTGACGGTACGGCCGGGCCTGGCCATGGCGCTGAGCGGGTCCACCGAGCCCTGCGCGCAGCTGTCCATCTCCTCCATCGGCGTAGTGGGCACCGCCGAGGACAACCGCAGCCACAGCGCCCACTTCTTTGAGTTTCTCACCAAGGAGCTAGCCCTGGGCCAGGACCGGTGCGTAGGGGTAGTAGGGGATCCATGTGGGACTGCCGCAGACTGGAGCCACTGATCCTGCCTCAGGGGGAAAAACCCATTTCTTGCCCTGCCCAGTAAGGACACATCAGGGTCTGGAGCTTTGGGGCCCCCTGACCCCTTAGGTTCCTGCTGTTAGGACCATCTTCAAAGTGCGAGCAGGATTGAATGAATTTCTGGCTCTGCTCCTCAGTGTGTAAGTCTGTGAACCGGGAAGGCTCTCTTTTAACACCCCCGGGGCAGTGCAAGGGTCATGTGGGATTGTCTGTGTGCTGTACCTGCCTTGGCACCTGACAGGGTAGGTACACGTGGCTGAAGTGTGATTTTCTAGAACTTTTCCAGGCTGGTCAGAAGGAATTCTGGGTATGTTCTGAAGTTACGTATTTTGGACCTGTGTCCCAGCCAGGTTCCAGGTGAAGTTCACGGGAGACTCACAGAGTAGTGAAAGACCATTGGCCTGGATGTCTAGACATCTGCTTTCTGGGTCCTGCATAGCTGGGGGACCCCAGACAAACTTGGAAATGAACCATCTCCAGTTGGCAACCTCCTCTTCTGTGAATACAGGGGAAAAGACCTCCCTCCCCCACAAGAAGCGTCTGCAACCCAAACCTGGCGTTCTGTGACCGAGTTAAAGTTTCCTCTTGGGTAAAAGATATTCTTGAGCCACATCCATGTCTAGGAGGAAGTAAGGGCATGAGAAGCTTGAAAGGACACTGTCCAGGCACGGTGGCTCATGCCTGTAATCCCAGCACTTTGGGAGACCAAGGCGGGAGGTTCATTTGACCCAGGAGTTGTAGACCAGTCTGGGTAACATAGTGAGATGCCATCCCCCAAAACAGTTTTAAAAATTAACCGGACATGGTGGTGTGCACATGTAGTCTCACTTAGTTGGCAGGCTGAAGTGGGAGGATGGTTTCAGCCCAGGAGGTTGAGGCTGCAGTGAGCTATGATTGCGCATTGCACTCCATCCTGTGTGACAGTGAGACCTTGGCTCACAAAAAAAGACCTTCTGAAATGGAGCCTTTGTTAGTCCATGAAGGTCGATGAGGAATGGCTGATCCTGCTGGGTCCTCCCTCAAGCTACAGAGGAATAATACAGTCAGCCCCCTGTATCACTGGGTTACGCATCTGTTGATTCAAACAACCATGGATTGAAATATTAGAGGAAAAAAATTGATAATTGCATCTATACTGAAAATACGTATAGACTTTATTCCTTGTCATTATTCCCTAAACAATACAACTATTTACATAGTACGTACATTATATTAGGTATTATAAGTAACCCAGAGATTATTTAAAGTATATGAGAGGATGTGTGTAGGTTACATGCAAATATTACACCATTTTATGTAAGGGACTTGAGCAAATGTAGATTCTGGTTTCCTCTGGGGATTCTAGAACAAATCTCCCACGGATACTCAGGGAAAACTGTTACTCTAACAACAAGTGTTATACACTTACCATGTGCTAGGTCCTCTACAGGTACTTTACACTCATGATCCCATTTGATCCTTACAATCCCTATCCACTCTCCCTTTGCTCAGACAAGACATGCTATCCCCATGAGGTAGATAATCTCCATTATGCCAATTTTATGATGAGAAGACTAAGGCTCTTCATACTCCCCCGCCCTCAGCCAGGCTGTCCCAAGCTGTGGCGCTCCTCACTGAAAACTGCTGTCACCTCTGAGAGGGGCATGTTGGCTTATGGCACAGACATTAGTGGTGGGGGGGCCACCCTGTGCCCAACCTTTGAGAAAACAGGTGTCTGAGGTACTGTGTCCTTAGGGAGTCTGCAATTAGGAGGAGGCAGATTGCCCCTCAGCCCACAGACTGACAGAGATGATGGAGTGTGCAGCACACACGATGAGGCTACTGTGTTGAGTGTCTGTCCTAGGTGGGTCATGCTGATGTGCAGCCACCATTCCACACCTGAGTGTCCCACTGCCCTGCTGGGGGTTGGGGAATGCTCATTACCGGGATGAGCACTTTTGCAAAATGGGCTGAGGTGGGAGGATCACTTAAGCCCAGGAATTCAAGACCACCCTGGGAAACAAAGTGCGACCCCATCTCTACAAAGTCATACAATTAGCCCAGCATGGTGGCATGAGCCTGTGATCCAAACTACATGGGAGGCTGAGGCAGAAGGTTTGTTTAGGCCCAGGAGGTCGAGGCTGCAATAATCTGAGTTTCCACCACTGCACTCACTCCATGCTGGCTGCCTTTGGATTGTTCCTAATTGGATGGTTTTGCTTTCAACAGACACTCCAATAAAGTACACGAAATAAAGAATAAAGTTAAACAGTCAGTCCCAGTGCTGTGTAGGTGGCAGTAAGTCTGGGAGAGCGACCTCGGCTGAACTAACTGTGGTGTGCATCATTGTTAAGCAGGGCCAGCAGGATCCTCATGTCACCTGGCAGGAGGAGGGACAGGGAAGGGTCCCTAGAAGTGACCTTGAGTTGCACTTAGTGCTCTTGGCAGAGGGAAGGGCTTGGGCTAGTGCTGGAGGCATGAAGATGGGGTGTGTTCAGGGCTCTCCAGCAGTCCAGGCATGGGAAGGGGACGCTGAGGGCCAAAGGCGGAGGTGACACTGGGAAGGGAACTAGCAAGGTGAGGACTGGCTTTTGGCCATGTGACTGAATTGCCTGTGTGGTGCGTGTGTATGTGTGCGAATGTCAGTGAACTGTGTGTGAGTGAATTGTGTGTTTATGTGTGGGTGTATATGTGTGTGATGTGAGTGAACTGTGTACATGGGTGTATACGTGAATTTTAGTGAATTGTGTGTAAATGTGAGCAGTGTGAATTTGAGTATGTGGGTGGATAAGTGAATTGTGATTTTGTTGGTGTGAATTGTGTGCCTGTGTGTGACGGGGAGTATGTGTGTGTGTGAGTGAACTGTGTGATGACTATGAATGTCAGTGAATGCTGTGATTGTGTGTGTGTGTGTACGTGTGTGGGGATTTGGTCTATATGTGTGAATTTGAGTTGTGTGACTTTGTTGGATGTGAGTGAATTATGTGACTGGGTGTATATGTGTGTGTACATGAGTTAACTGTGTGTAAATGGTATGATTGTATATGTGTGTGAATGTGATGAATCGTGACTAGATGCGGGTGGATGTGTGTATGTGCATGGTGTGTCCATGAGTGTGTAAGTGTGCAGGTGGCACAGTTGCAACAGGAGAGAAGACACAGGAAGCCTTACCTGCCATTCATCCCCCCAGCTGTCCTCCCAGCCTGGGGACCCCTGGGCTGGAAAGGTTATGAAAAGTGGTGCTACTGCCAGGAAGGGGTGATGGGGCAGCTGGGAGGACGGTTTGAGTCTTGCCAAAGGGAGGGAGTCGAAGCTTGCAACCCTGGGGAGGAGGAGGGGCAGACTGGGGACCCTGCTTCTGGAAAACCAGCGACCAACCCCCAAAGGGACACAGGCAACCCCTGCCTCCACTCTACAGTGGGGAAAAGGGGAGAGTGGCGTGGCAGGCTGCCCAGCCAGTCATGGAGGGAGTAGACTTCAGGAGGAGTACAGAGGTCTGGTCCCATTTTGGGGCTGAGGACAGGAGCCTCAGGTCAGCAGTCTGCAGGAAGGCCCCAGCTGGACCAGCTGCTCACACCTTCCCACAGGCCTGCAGATGGGTGTGGAGAGCAGAGCCTCCAGGCTGAGTCTCCCAGCCCCAGATCTGAGCAGTCTAAATCATCCCCCTCCAGGTTCCCTACGGTCTTATCCACCAGCCCTGCTGCCCATGGTGGCCCCAGATGCCCAGGAGAGATAATAGAAGGTAAGAAGTCATGTTTGAATGAGGAAGCTCTCTTCATTTATTTCATATGAGGATGAAGAAGAGGATTATGTGATCACAGGAATGTTGCATGCGGGATAATCCAAAGCTGGTTATCTCCAGGCCCTCACTCTGCCAAGAGATCTCTCTGGAAGAAGCAGCCAGTTCACAGATGCCCTGGATCCCTCCGTGCCCAATCATAAAAAAGTCATGACCGTCCCTATCTTGCCAATCTGCCAGGACTCCAAGGGGAAAAAGCGGATAAGTATCCTTCAGGAGACAGAGAAAAAGATATCATCAGCTCCTTGGCTAATACCACATCTTGCAAGACCCCTGCCAGGTACTCCCACTGTGGGTACTCAGGACAGCCTGCCTCAGTCCACCAGGCATTTTGCAAACCTGCTCATCCCAATAATGATTTTCCCCAACCCCCAGCAGGGCAGTGGGACACTCAGGTGTGGGAGGTAGCCGCACATCATGACCCAGCTAGGACAGACACACAATACAGTAGCCTCGGTGTGTGTGCCGTACACTCTATCATCTCCATCAGTTTGTGTACTGAGGGGTACCCTGCCTCCTAATTGCAGGCTCCCTAAGGGCACAGTACCTCAGCCACCTGTTTTCTCAAAGGCTGAGCACAGGGTGACCCCCCACCCCACCAACCCCGCCACTAATGTCTGGGCCATAAGTGAACATGCCCCTCTCAGAGGTAACAGCAAGTTTCCAGTGAGGAAAACCAGAACTTGGGACAGCCTGGTTGGGGCGGGCGGGAGTATGAACAGCCTGTCTTCTCATCATAAAATTGGCATAATGGAGATTATCTACCTCATGGGGATAGCATGTCTTGTCTGAGCAAAGGGAGAGTGGATAGGGATTGTAAGGATCAAATGGGATCATGAGTGTAAAGTACCTGTAGAGGACCTAGCACATGGTAAGTGTATAACACTTGTTGTTAGAGTAACAGTTTTCCCTGAGTATCCGTGGGAGATTTGTTCTAGAATCCCCAGAGGAAACCAGAATCTACATTTGCTCAAGTCCCTTACATAAAATGGTGTAATATTTGCATGTAACCTACACACATCCTCTCATATACTTTAAATAATCTCTGGGTTACTTATAATACCTAATATAATGTACGTACTATGTAAATAGTTGTATTGTTTAGGGAATAATGACAAGGAATAAAGTCTATACGTATTTTCAGTATAGATGCAATTATCAATTTTTTTTCCTCTAATATTTCAATCCATGGTTGTTTGAATCAACAGATGCGTAACCCAGTGATACAGGGGGCTGACTGTATTATTCCTCTGTAGCTTGAGGGAGGACCCAGCAGGATCAGCCATTCCTCATCGACCTTCATGGACTAACAAAGGCTCCATTTCAGAAGGTCTTTTTTTGTGAGCCAAGGTCTCACTGTCACACAGGATGGAGTGCAATGCGCAATCATAGCTCACTGCAGCCTCAACCTCCTGGGCTGAAACCATCCTCCCACTTCAGCCTGCCAACTAAGTGAGACTACATGTGCACACCACCATGTCCGGTTAATTTTTAAAACTGTTTTGGGGGATGGCATCTCACTATGTTACCCAGACTGGTCTACAACTCCTGGGTCAAATGAACCTCCCGCCTTGGTCTCCCAAAGTGCTGGGATTACAGGCATGAGCCACCGTGCCTGGACAGTGTCCTTTCAAGCTTCTCATGCCCTTACTTCCTCCTAGACATGGATGTGGCTCAAGAATATCTTTTACCCAAGAGGAAACTTTAACTCGGTCACAGAACGCCAGGTTTGGGTTGCAGACGCTTCTTGTGGGGGAGGGAGGTCTTTTCCCCTGTATTCACAGAAGAGGAGGTTGCCAACTGGAGATGGTTCATTTCCAAGTTTGTCTGGGGTCCCCCAGCTATGCAGGACCCAGAAAGCAGATGTCTAGACATCCAGGCCAATGGTCTTTCACTACTCTGTGAGTCTCCCGTGAACTTCACCTGGAACCTGGCTGGGACACAGGTCCAAAATACGTAACTTCAGAACATACCCAGAATTCCTTCTGACCAGCCTGGAAAAGTTCTAGAAAATCACACTTCAGCCACGTGTACCTACCCTGTCAGGTGCCAAGGCAGGTACAGCACACAGACAATCCCACATGACCCTTGCACTGCCCCGGGGGTGTTAAAAGAGAGCCTTCCCGGTTCACAGACTTACACACTGAGGAGCAGAGCCAGAAATTCATTCAATCCTGCTCGCACTTTGAAGATGGTCCTAACAGCAGGAACCTAAGGGGTCAGGGGGCCCCAAAGCTCCAGACCCTGATGTGTCCTTACTGGGCAGGGCAAGAAATGGGTTTTTCCCCCTGAGGCAGGATCAGTGGCTCCAGTCTGCGGCAGTCCCACATGGATCCCCTACTACCCCTACGCACCGGTCCTGGCCCAGGGCTAGCTCCTTGGTGAGAAACTCAAAGAAGTGGGCGCTGTGGCTGCGGTTGTCCTCGGCGGTGCCCACTACGCCGATGGAGGAGATGGACAGCTGCGCGCAGGGCTCGGTGGACCCGCTCAGCGCCATGGCCAGGCCCGGCCGTACCGTCACGTTCACGCGCTGAGGGGGACATGAAAAGTTTTGCCCGAAGTTGGAGCCGGCCGGGCTACCTCTGGGGACGGGACCCGAGCGCGCGAAAGCCGAAACGCGCAGTGTTCGCGGGGCAGGGATCCCGATACGGGCCGCGGTCCCTGAAGGTCACGCCCGGGTCATGACTGGGGAGGGCGACAAGGGAAAGACGTGCGGAGGGGGAGCCGCGGGATCGTGGAGCACGGAAAGTCAGAGCTTGGCGTGAGGAAAGGAGTGGGGAGTGGTCCCTGGGGAAAAGATTCGGGGTCACTGTCGGGGAGGCGGAGCAGGGACAGGGCCGGACCCCTGGCCCACCAACCTCCCCTCGCCCCGTGCTGCCCGGCCCACGCTTACGTCCGCAGGTTTGCCCAGGATGGAGGCAGCGGCGGCGCAGAGTCGTTTCTCCAGCCCCGCGGGCACTCGGTTGGCGGGCAAATTCGTGTCCAGCTCCAGGAACGGCATGGCGGGCAGAGGAACGGAAACAGCTCTGGCGGAAGAAAAGCTGGGGGTACCCAAGGCTCGCGGACCAGGGAGGAGGGGCGAGGCGCCACAGCAACCTGGCTTCTCATTGGCTGGACAGAGACTCGGCGCTCCCCGATTGGCTGCCTAGGGTACCTCCCGCTTCTGCAAACAAAAGTCACGTGTGCCGGCTGATTTCCGGAAGTCCCATCGTCTCCGCCCTACGTGTAGCCCCACCCACTACAGGTCTTTAACCCGGTAGTGGACCCACCCTGTCTCCCCCGACCCTCCTGCCTGGCGCCAGGTGGGTTTCCCTCTCAAGCTTCCGCGCTGTGGTCGCCCGGTTCCTAGCCCTATTAGAGGTCTGAACACCACACCCCCGACACACAAGGACACACACACACCTATAGGGGTCTTCCCCAGGCTCGACCCTAATAACCAATACAACGGGAGCTTAAAGTTTTTTTGAATGATTTGCCACCATTTCGAAGTCAGGCAATTTCATGTTCAGTATGGAAATCTGCGCTTGGGCAGTCAGGAGATGTGGTTACTCGCGGGGGCGCGGGTAGGGCTAGGCTCACGACAATACCTGTCCCTGCCTGGTCCCCATTGACATCTGCCTGTGTAGCCTCTTGTGCCGGTGGTGAGCCACTGTCCACCAGGGGGTGGCAAAATATGTTCTTTAAAACATGGAAAGGCCGGGCACGGTAGCTCACGCCTGTAATCCCAGCACTTTGCGAGGTCCAGGCGGGCGGATCACCTGAGGTCAGGAGTTTGAGACCAGCCTGGCCAACATGACGAAACCCCGTCTCTACTAAAGATACAAAAATTAGCCGGGCGTGGTGGCAGACGTTGTAATCCCAGCTGCTCGGGAGGCTGAGGCAGGAGAATCGCTTGAACCGGGGAGGTGGAGGTTGCAGTGAGCCGAGATCGCGCCATTGCACTCCAGCCTGGGTGACAGAGCGAGACTCCATCTCGAAAAAACATCAGAAAACATGGAACTCTGTTGGCGTGGCTTAAACATGAGTGTGGTCAGTGTGGCAAAATCACTTGAATTGTACATTACAAATATGACTGAAGTTGTGGTCGAGCAATGTGGCTCACACCTGTAATCTCAGCACTTTGGGAGGCTAAGAAGGGAGGATTGCTTGAGCCCAGGAGTTAAAGATCAGGCTAGGCAACATAGCAAGATTCTCTTCTTTATTTTCTACAAAAAAAAAAAAAAAAAGAAGAAATCTGGGTGCTGTGGTGTGTGCCTGTAGTCCTAGCTACCTGGGCGGCTGAGGCAGGAGGATTGCTTGAGCGCAGGAGATCTAGGCTGCAGGGAGCTATGACTGTGCCACTGCACTCCACCCTAGATGACAGAGTGAGACCCAGGCTCCCCCCTCCCCCACAAAAAAGAAAGAAAAAATTTGCAAGTTTATATGTACAATTTCAACTACGTGTATAAAATTCTCTATAAGTGTGCATACTTAAAGGAGCCTCCACTGAAAGGCCGACAGAGTCTCTGTCTGTCATGATCTTGTCCTATTAGCAGTTTGTTTATTAGATGACTCAGATATCAGAAGGTCTGAGACACACGACAGGTAAATATGACAGTCCTAAGGGGAGAGGGCAGGGACAGGTGGCAAGTCTGGGACCAGGTGTGGGGCATGGACAAGCCAGTGGTCCGGGAGTGGGGTGTAGAGAAGACTGTGGTCAAGGTTATGAGGAGGCATGGGAGAGGGCCAGGAAATAACCAGGGACTTCCCTTCCTGCAAGGAGGTTCATGAACCAGCCCTGCACCCCACTTGTGGAACACAACATCGCCCCACAGTGAGGAGAGAGACCGAGGAGACCAAGGCTGATCCTGATTCAGACATCTTTCCACCAGGTCACCCCTCATCGATGATACATGCTCAGTCCGGGGGTATCCCCCGCAAGGAAACACTGGGGCTGAGGAGCCCAGAGAGGTCGCCTGACCTGGACTGGGGCTGGGGAGGTCAGGGAAGTCTCCCTGGAGAAGAGACAGGGTGCCAAATGCCAAAAGACCAGGAAGGGCACCAGGCGAAGATGAGGAGGGAACAGCATGAGCGGAGGCCAAGAGGCCAAGGTGGGAGCCCAGAGAGGGGTTAGGAGTGTGCAGGCAGAAGGGGCCACCTGGAGGAGTGGGAGCAAGGCCTTGAATGCAAAGTTCAATGACTTGTACTTTAGCTTCTGGGCAGTGAGGAACCATACAAAGTTCCACACAGAAGGTCAGGGTCAAGTAAGCGTTTGCCCAAGCTCTTTTCAGAGGTCACATGGAAGCTAGAATGGAATGGGGTAGGAGACAAAAGGAATGCAGGCATGATATCTGGAGGAACTGTGGACCAGAGCCTTTGCAGATATGTCTTCTCTTCAACCAAGGAGACGGACAGCTCCATGTCTTTATTCTACCAACACAGCATCCCCTCAGTGGCTCAGCAAGTGTGGGACACGCACTCACAGCAAGAAAAGCTGCATTAAGGTCTTCAGATTCTCTTTAACAGCAGGTTCTACTGGAGGCAGGTCCTTGGCCTTCAGGACAGCTGGGAGGGCCTCCTGGAAGAAGTCCTCCCGCACTGCAGCCTCCACGTGTTGGGCACCATGCTGCCACCGTGGGTCTGCTTTCAAAGACTCAGCAGCCAGCACTGATGGGCTAGGGGAAGACAGAGTCAGCGGAGGGGCTGGGCATAGCCAAGTGTAAGGCAGCATGACCTGCTTTAGGGGTTCTCTGATTGGATTTTCCCTCCTCCACCATGTGTGTGATGGGCTAGGATGTCCCCCTCCCTGGGGACACTTGGAAGCCTCTTAATATAGCTGCGGTGAGGGGTTTGTAAAGCCCCATTTTATAGATGAGGACACTGAGGCTCAGAAGGAGAAGTGACTCACACAGGGTCCCACAGCCAGAAAAGACAACATGAGCTGGGATGTCAGCTCCCTTCCCGGATACACCACTGCCCAGCGGGCCACCGCACCCCATGGCACTCTCATGCCTCAGCTCCGTGATTGCCACCAAGCCAGCCACAGAGATACGGGGCCCAGTAAGGAAGGCCTGGTCCCGCAGGAACTTGTCCTCGAGCAGCTGCAGGCATCCGTCCAGCTCAGCCAAAGTGGCCGCCAACATCTCGGGTGGCACTGACTCGCCCAGGAACACAGGGATTATTATCTGGTGGGCCGACAGGCAGAGAGAGGGGTCAGGGTCTGCCCAAAGCCCATCCTGGTTCCCACCATCATCCTATCATCACCAGTCCTTGGGATTTCTGCTCACCTCTGCTCACTTCTTTCCACTCATAGCCACCAGTAGCTCTCATCTCCTACTCAAACAGGGACAGCCTCCCCCTTCTCCCTGGGTCCTCACACAAGGCAACCAGTGGGATCCTTCTGTAATCTCAATCTGCCCGTACCCTCTCTTGCATAAAGCCTTCCATGGCTCCCCACTGCCCTCATGAGAAAGGCCTCAACACAAAGCCAGCCTTCTCCAGTGCGGTAGCCATCCCCTCCCCACTTTTCACCTCACCTCCTACTACCCCCCACTTATCAAACGGGAATGTGTGTATGAATCCTCCCTGGAATCTGGTTACAGTTTATGCTCCCAATCAGTAAGGTCAGAGTGGGGCCTGAGCCTCTGCATTTCCAACAAGCTCCCTGGTGATGCTGATACTCCCAGTCCATTGACCACACTTTGGATAGGAAGAGTCTACACTTGCTCTACTCAACTTCTCTCCATTCTGTCCTCAAACACACCACGCTTCCTTCCCCACCAGCTGGAGGGGGCTCTGCTCCCAGGCCCCAGAGGTCAAGGCAGACACAGTTAAGGTGTGGAAACCTCCTTATTGCCCGATGGATCCTCCAGAGAGGCGGTCCCTTACTTTCAGCAGGGCGCGTGTCTACCTGTTTCATGCTGTCTCACACACAGGGTGCCACCCCTGTGCTGGGCACTGGGTAAGTGCTCTGTACATATTAATTAGGAGTACTCATTTCAAAAATATGTGTGCCTTTGATAAATAAAAACAGTATGTGCATGTTGTGTTGGTGTGTGCTTCCTTGATTATTACTGAAGTTAAACATGTTTTCATCCATGTATTGACCATTTCTCTTTGTCCTTCAATGAAACCTCTGCTGATTTCCTTCGCTCATTTTTTTCCTGTGTCTTCGTCTGATGAGTTTCTCTTCTTTTTGTTTGTTCGTTTGTTTGTTTTGAGACAGTCTCGCTCAGTGGCCCGGCTGGAGTGCAGTGGTATGATCTCAGCTCACTGAAACCTCTGCCTCCAAGGTTCAAGTGATTCTCCTGTCTCAGCCTCCCGAGTGTGCCACCGCACCCAGCTAATTTTTGTATTTTTAGTAGAGACGGGGCTTCACCGTGTTGCCCAGGCTGGTCTCAAACTCCTGACCTCAACTGATCCGCCCATCTCTGCCTCCCAAAGTACAGGGATTACAGGCGTGAACCACCACACCCTACCTGTCTGATGGGTTTCTAAGAACATCTTAAAGGACATTACTTCCTTCTGACGTATCTTTTACCGAGATCCTTCCCAGTTTTTTGCTTAAGGTTAATCCATTTTTTCCTCCACAAAGTAACCTTGTATATGTATTGGTTTTTTCTTTGTTGAGTTCTCCCACTGTTCTGAGGCTTAGAAAGTCCTTTCATACCCAGACATCAGAGAAACAGATCCCGTGAGAGTAACTGGGATTGCAGGTGTGGGCCAGCATGCCCTGTTATCACTCCCTTTCTCTGAGTCAGCTTTTCTCTCTCAGTCTCGTCTACTCCTCGAACTCAGGAAATGTCACTACAGGTGGCCCCAGCTCCCGTTTACCTCCCCATAGGGAGCTCCTCTCTCCAGTTCCAGTTTCAAAACTCCCAAGGAAGCATTCTGGTTCACTCGCTTGGGCCACTGGCCAGAGGGATGGGATACTCTGAAAGATTCAGCTAGAGTCCCGGGCCCAGCCCTGGACCATCACTGTGCCCCCTGGTGAGATGCCAGGGCTGGGATTCAGGGAGAAGAAAGGAGGTTCCCGGACAGTCATTCCTGCCTCCCGCGGCTGCGGGCTCCCTGCCCCCATCCTGTGCACGAAGTGGGAGCTCCCGCTGTCTGGCAGCTCCCGCTGTCTGGCAGCAGCTGCTCTGCAGGGGACAGTCTGGACGGCAGAAAGTTCATCCTTAACCCCAGCCTTCCAGTCAAGGTTCCCACCAGTTTGGGACACCTGCAAGTGTCACATCCCACTGGGTGAAACTCTAAGATCCCTTTTAGGGGATCCCATTCGCTCCCTCCCTTCCGCCACCATGCAGCGCCGAGAAACAGAGCTCTGAACGAACCCTCAGATGTCCGTGCGCTGGGGCCTTTCCAGGACGGCGGCGCCCAGTCGTTTCTGGGTCAGGGCGACGCCTGGAACTGGGCAGGGTCCCTGGCACCGGGATCCCGAAAAGCAGACCTGCTTCTCCCTGTCCAGCCGGTTCCCCTTCCCCTTGCAGTCGGCCCCCTGCATCCGCGTCCTCCCTGCCAGTCGAGGGTCCCCAGCTCCAACTCCACCCTCCCAGCTGTGCGTTCATAGCGACCGCCCTCCCTGTAGGGACGCACGGATCTGGTGGTGGAGTCTTGGCCGGCAGGACTGGACAGGAACCGAAGGGGCGAGGCGGGTCCGGGGGTGGTGCGCTCCAATTGGGTGCTGTCCCCAGGGGGTGGGGCCTGATCCCCTATTTCCCGGCGCGCCGGGATCCTGCCACAGCTGCTGCCCACACCGCGCTCAGCGCCTTCACTGCCATCCCCGCTGTCCTTGCCGCCCCCGCCATGGGCCTAGAGCTGTTTCTTGACCTGGTGTCCCAGCCCAGCCGCGCCGTCTACATCTTCGCCAAGAAGAATGGCATCCCCTTAGAGCTGCGCACCGTGGATTTGGTCAAAGGTGGGCCCAGCCCGTTTCCCCGCGTGTCCACAAACCCAGTGCACCCCCAGGCCCCCGCCCTGCTCTGCCCTGAGCGTCTCGCCGCCCGCACAGCCCCCTCACCTCCTCCTGCAGCGTCTGCCACCAGAGAATGCTGTGGACTGAGTGGCCTTGAAGGGATCACAGCCTCTCTGAACCTTAGCTTGCCTTCTGAAAAGGAGGATAATGTTACCTTCTGCTCTGTAGGGATGGAAAGAAAATACTGAATGGAGTTGACAGAGTTCTTGCGTGGAATGCACGCATATAAATTCACAAAGCCCAGAAGACCTCGGGAAGAAGGACATACTGTTGTGAGAATTAAGAGATGGGAAGAGATGAGCCACCCCAGTTTGCCTCCCCTCCCCTGGCCCACCAGAGTCCGGCTAGAAAACTTCTCTTTATCCACCTGCTGCACCTGGCCCCACCCACCAAAACCCCCCAGCTGCCCCGGAATGTGGCAGGGCAGGGAGGCCCAGCCAGGGAGTGAGGCTGATCCAGGCCTCTAGTCCCAGACCTTGCTGTTTCTCAGGGCTGTGGGGCTCCGCTTGGGGAGGAGGAGGGAGGGTGTAGAGGTGCAGCGTTTTTACTCTGAAGACCTTTTCTGACTTCTTCTTCTTCAGGGCAGCACAAGAGCAAGGAGTTCTTGCAGATCAACAGCCTGGGGAAACTGCCGACGCTCAAGGATGGTGATTTCATCTTGACCGAAAGATGCCCTCCTTCCCTCACCCCTCACCGCATCCGGAGCCCATGTGACCTTGGCTCTCCCCACTGGCCCCGGGCCCCAATGGCCCTCCCATACCCCATGGGGCAGCGAGGGAGGGGAAAGGCGAGGGATCTGGCCGGGCGCGGTGGCTCACGCCTGTCATCCCGGCACTTCGGGAGGCCAAGGCGGGCGGATCACGAGGTCAGGAGACCGAGACCATCCTGGCTAACACCGTGAAACACCGTCTCTACTAAAAATGGAAAAAAAAATTAACCGGGCGTGGTGGCGGGCGTCTGTAGTCCCAGCTACTCTGGAGGCTGAGGCAGGAGAATGGTGTGAACCCAGGAGGCGGAGCTTGCAGTGTGCTGAGATCGCGCCACTGCACTCCAGCCTGGGCGACAGAGCTAGACTCCGTCTCAAAAAGGCCGGGCGCGGTGGTTTACGCCTGTAATCCCAGCACTTTGGGAGGCCGAGGTGGGCGGATCACGAGGTCAGGAGATCGAGACCATCCTGGCTAACACGGTGAAACCCTGTCTCTACTAAAAATACAAAACATTAGCAGGGCGTGGTGGCGGCCGCCTGTAGTCCCAGCTACTGGGGAGGCTGAGGCAGGAGAATGGCGTGAACTCAGGAGGCGGAGCTTGCAATGAGCAGAGGTCGCGCCACTGCACTCCAGCCTGGGTGACAGAGGGAGCCCACTCCAGCCTGGGCGACAGAGGGAGACTCCGTCTCAAAAAAAAAGGAAAGAAAGAAAGGAGAGGTATCTGGGGAGAAGGTACAGCTTGGGGTGTGTCCGGGATGAGCAGGGGCTGACAGAACATGTCCCCCCACCTCTCATCTTCAGCCTTTTCTGAGCCGCAGGGCCTCTCCACTCCCAGACTGAAGGGTATTAGAAGAGAAGACAAGGGAACATTTTTCCACTGTTGCGCATTTGTTCAACAAATGCTAGCTGAAAAGAGCCTCTAGTGACTTGTCGCAGACTACCCAATCTACCCAGGCCGGGCCTAGAGGCCAATGCCATGGCCCAAGGGCACAGCTCATGGTGAGGTCCAGCTGCTGGGCAGGAAAAGGACAAGAGGTCAGGTGGCTGCAGAGGTGATGGCTGGGGGCCTGTCAGACGGGGGCCAAAGACATTCCTCCCCTCGTGATCCCTGACCCAAGCGCGTGGACATGCAAGGGACTCCACGGAGCATCCACTGTGTGCCAGCCCCATGCAGGGTTCCAGGGGTCCAGGGAGCCTATTCTGAGCTGCACCGCCTCGGACAAGTCACTTGACCATTCTGACCTTGAGTTTTCTCTTGTGCTAAAAGGCTAACAGGAGTGTCTACCTCACAGGGCGGCTGCTGGCATATCACAGAGATGAGGTTCTCAAAATGCAAAGCAGAAGGTCCAGCCAAGAGTCGGTGCCCAAGGCAACAAAGACAGGAGGAGACTCGTAGGAGGAGGGGGTGGTGTTGGGGAGCTGGAGATGGAGGGCGAGGCTGGAGGGCAGTCCTTCAAATGCAGAGAAGCCCCCGGGCCCCACTGGCAGATGGGAGCAGTTAGGGGTAAATGCCTGGTGCCAGTGTCCTTATAGCCACTGCCCATTTGTTCCCAGCTCGGCCATCCTGATTTACCTGAGCTGTAAGTACCAGACGCCGGACCACTGGTATCCATCTGACCTGCAGGCTCGTGCCCGTGTTCATGAGTACCTGGGCTGGCATGCCGACTGCATCCGTGGCACCTTTGGTATACCCCTGTGGGTCCAGGTGAGGAGAGCCATCTGGAGAGTGATTGGCCATCAGGGAGTAGTTGGCAGTAGGCCGGGGCCATAGACTGACCCACTCTCTGCCCCCATCAGATGTTGGGGCCACTCATTGGGGTCCAGGTGCCCGAGGAGAAGGTGGAACGCAACAGGACTGCCATGGACCAGGCCCTGCAATGGCTGGAGGACAAGTTCCTGGGGGACAGGCCCTTCCTCGCTGGCCAGCAGGTGACACTGGCTGATCTCATGGCCCTGGAGGAGCTGATGCAGGTGTGAGCTCAGCCTGTGGGCAGTGTCCCTCTTCGTGTCACACCCATGAGGCAGACAGAAACACTGAGGCCTGGAGAAAGCCAGAACTTTGCCCAGAATCATAGAGCAAGTCTCTGGATGATCTGGGGCCAGAACCCTGAACTTCTGCCTCCTGCCTGGGTGTGGGGTCTCACCCTGGCTGCTCTTGGGCTCTAAGGCTGAACATACTGCCTGGGCCCCTGTGGTCCATTCACTTAGGGGCTGGGGAATGGACCATGTCTCTGATACTTCTGCCCATGGTTCCAGCATTCGGGTCGGCAGTGACAACTGGGAAAGTTGTATGCCCACAACTTTTTCATCCTTGTCCCTACAGCCGGTGGCTCTCGGCTATGAACTGTTTGAGGGACGGCCACGACTGGCAGCATGGCGTGGATGAGTGGAGGCTTTCCTGGGTGCTGAGCTATGCCAGGAGGCCCACAGCATCATCTTGAGCATCCTGGAACAGGCGGCCAAGAAAACCCTCCCAACACCCTCACCAGAGGCCTATCAGGCTATGCTGCTTCGAATCGCCAGGATCCCCTGAAGGGTCTGGGATGGGGGCCAGGAGATTAGCAACAAGGATTCATTCTGTTACTTACTTGCCCCTTTTTATCTTTCCCTCTTGCCCCAGTCCCTTCTCTCCAGCTTCATGTGAAGCTCTGCACAGACAAGACACTCAGTGTCCTTGGCAGTGCTGCTACTCCTCAGGTGCAGCATACATAACCAGTAAGAGACTAAATCTGCAATATATAAAGAGCTCCTACAAATCAGTAACATGAAGAACACTCAAAAATTGGCAAATGTCATCAGTGTTTTAAACAGAATAAAGATTCCAAACACTTTGAATAGAGAACCAAGAGTTATTGGTTTTACTACATTGTTGTGTTATACATATGGAGTAAAAGTATGTGCTAGTAATCCTCATCATGGTTAATAACAAAGTAACCTCACAATAACGAGTCAACATAATTGTATCACCAGGGCAACAAAATGTTAAGTAAGTAACCAATTCGAATTGCAAACTGTTAAAGGATATAGGCGATGTTTCACAGGGCATAGCAACGGTCTTTGAAGTCTAGGAAACTTAAAAGATTTCTTTTAACAAGCATTCATGTCTTCTAGGACAGTTTTGTAATAACTGCAAATAGTAAGATTATACATTGTCACACAGACCTCCATGTATATCCATGGGATGGACCCCACCACAATGATTTTAACGGAGAGAACTTGATATAAAGAATTGGTAACCAGGCATTAGAGAACTCCGAAGACAGAGAGAATCCAGATTAACACGGAGGTAAACACTGCAAGAAGCTACCACCCCTAGGGCTGGGGGATCAAGGGAGGAATTAGGAAGACCAAGATGCTGGAGGGGCCCTGAAGAATTCAAACCTCCAAGAAAGGTGTTGCTCATCCCCCCTAGCATCACCTTCCAAGAAGGGCAGGTTTCCCCAGTTTGCCCTGAGGTCTTCACAGGAGGCCATGTGGCTGTGGATGCAGTTCTCAAATGTGACAGTAGATGTCACTGCTGACCAATAAACAGGATGTTCCAGACACACACTGCGCTACCTGCCCACATGTCTTGTGGCTTTGGGGCCTATTTCCCATGCCTGACCTGTGCCCACCATGTGCCACTCTATTGGGGGACCTGCCCCAATAATCACGTAGATTGTTTCCTATTTTTCCTAAGTGTCGGCCGGCTTGAGAAATAAAGGGACAGAGTACAAAAGAGAGAAATTGTAAAGCTGTGCATCCGGGGGAGACGTCACACGTTGGTAGGATCTGTGATGCCCCACAAGCCACAAAAACCAGCAAGTTTTTATTAGGGATTTTCAAAAGGGGAGGGAGTGTGCAAATAGGTGTGAGTGACAGACATCAAGTACTTAACAGGGTAATAGAATATCACAAGGCAAGTGGAGGCAGGGCGAGATCACAGGATCACAGGACCGAGGCAAAATTAAAATTGCTAATGAAGTTTCGGGCACCATTGTCATTGATAACATCTTATCAGGAGACAGGGTTTTGAGACCAACCGGTCTCACCAAAATTTATTAGGCGGGAATTTCCTCTTCCTAATAAGCCTGGGAGCACTATGGGAGACTGGAGTCTATCTCACCTCTGCAGTCTCGACCATAAGAGAGAGGCCACGCCCGGGGGGCTGTTTATAAGCCGATACCTCCAGGTGCGTATTCTCTTTCTCAGGGACATTCCATGCTGAGAAAAAGAATTCAGCGATATTTCTCCCATTTGCTTTTGAAAGAAGAGAAATATGGCTGTGTTCTGCCCGGCTCACCGGTGGTCAGAGTTTAAGGTTATCTCTCTTATTCCCTGAACAATTGCTGTTATCCTCTTCTTTTTTCAAGGTGCTCAGATTTCATATTGCTCAAACACACATCCTGTACAATTTGTGCAGTTAATGCAATTATTAAAGGGTCCTGAGGCGACATACATCTTCCTCAGCTGACAGGATTAAGAGATTAAAGACAGGTATAGGAAATCATAAGGGTGTTGATTGGGGAAGTGATAAGTGTCCATGAAATCTTTACAATTTATGTTTAGAGATTGCAGTAAAGACAGGCATAAGAAACTATAATAGTATTAATTTGGGGAACTAATAAATGTCCATAAAATCTTCACACTCCACGTTCTTCTGTCATGGCTTCAGCCGGTCCCTCTGTTTGGGGTCACTGACTTCCTGTAACACCACTCCTAGCCGGAAGTATTCCAAGTAACCATTGCAACTGTCCTGCCTTAAGGGTGCCTGGTGATGGCTTCTGTCTTAGGTCCCATTCTGGCTCTCTCTTCCAGTGATTTCTCATACTTTGGGGGACACTCTGGCCTGCTTTCCTGGGCCTTTTCCATTACCACCCCCTCTCCCCATCAGGCACTGGGGATGGCGGCCACAGCCTATGCCTTCTTGATCCATGCTGGCTGCCTTGGGATTGTTCCTTATTGGATGGTTTTGCTTTCAACAGACACTCCAATAAAGTACACGAAATAAAGAATAAAGTTAAACAGTCAGTCCCCGTGCTGTGTAGGTGGCAGTAAGTCTGGGAGAGCGACCTCAGCTGAACTAACCATGCTGTGCATCATTGTCAAGCGGGACCAGCAGGATCCTTAGGTCACCTGGCAGGAGGAGGGGCAGGGAAGGGTCCCTAGAAGTGATCTTGAGTTGCACTTAGTGCTCTTGGCAGAGGGAAGGGCTTGGGCTAGTGCTGGAGGCATGAAGATGGGGTGTGTTCAGGGCTCTCCAGCAGTCCAGGCATGGGAAGGGGACGCTGAGGGCCAAAGGCTAAGGTGACACTGGGAAGGGAACCATAGCAAGGTGAGGAATGGCTTTCGGCCATGTGACTGAATTGCCTGTGTGTGGTGCGTGTGTACGTGTGTGAATGTCAGTGAACTGTGTGTGTGAACGTGAGTGAATTGTGTAACTTTGTTTATGTGTGGGTGTATATGTGTGTGATGTGTGTGAACTGTGTGTATGTGGGTGTATATGTGTGTGATGTGAGTGAACTGTGTGTATGTGGGTGTATATGTGTGTGGTGTGAGTGAACTGTGTGTAAGTAGGTGTATATGTGTGTGAATTTGAATGGTGTGTAAATGTGACTGAGCAGTGTGAATTTGTGTATGTGGGTGTATGTGTGTGAGTGAACTGTGTGATTTTGTTGGTGTGAATTGTGTGCCTGTGTGTGTGAGGTGTGTGTGTGTGTGTGACTGAACTGTGTGATGACTTTGTATTAATGTCAGTGAATGGTGTGGTTGTGTATGTGGGTGTATATGTGTGTGTATGTATGTGAATTGTGTGTGGGGTTGGTGTGTATGTGTGTCAATGTGAGTGAGTTGTGTGACTGTTGAATATGAGTGAATTATGTGATTGTGTGGGTGTATATGTGTGTACAGGAGTTAACTGTGTGACTGTGTGTAAATGTTATGATTGTGTGTGTGGGTGTATATGTGTGAATGTGATACATCGTGTGACTGTGGGTGGACGTGGGTGGATGTGTGTGTGAGTGTGCGTGGCTGTGTGTCGAACAGTGTGTGAGTGTAAGTGTGCAGGTGGTAGCTGTGGAATTAAGGCACATTAGGGGAATCCTTCCTTGGCTCTGGTCCTTGGTTTCCCTCCTATGAAACAAGTTGGGTGAATTAGGCAGTCTCTGGCATTCCAGGATTTGGTCTCAGGTCTAAACAGGATTTTGTAAAGTGAAAGCAGCATCCCTTGGGCATCCCGGGAGGTGTCCCTGCCCTCCATGGCTCACCTTCTGCCACATGGCCCAGCAGCAGCTACTCTGCAGGGCCATGTGCTGCCATGACAGGTACTGATCCCCATGGGCGCGGGCCTGCAGGTCCTGGAGGTACCAGTGGTCAGGTGCTTTGTACATGCAGCTCATATAGAGCAAGCTAGCCACACTGGGGGGACATGGCAGGGGCAGAAGACATGCCCTGAACACTCTTCAGCCATTTTCTGGGGCATTTTCACTATCCCCATGATGCAGAGGAGGGATGTGAGGCTCAGAGAGGTTAGGTAACTGCCCAGGGTCACACAGCCCTACACGGGGCCAGATTATCATCTCAACTAATGGCAGCAAGGAAGAAACAAAATGTCATGAACTTCAGCAGGGGCTCAGGGAAGGCTTCCAGGAGGAAGGGGCACCCAGTGTGAGTCTGAAGAATGAGAGCAAGTTGGGTATCTCCCCAACATATCCAAAGCATGGACAGGGCCAGGAGCAAGGCCAGCAGGGAGAGAGCCTTCCAGGTGACATGGCAGCATTGCTCCCCACCCCGTCCCATCTCCTGTTCACCTATGGTGAAGGGTTGTGCAGTCTGACCCCCAGAGCTCATCATGCCTCTATGGGTGTTGGACCATCCAGTGATCCCAGGCTCTGAATGTGAATCCAGCTCCACCAAGGAGGCACTATGTGGCCTCGGTAAAGGACGCCACCATGCGGCCACCAACCTGGAGGCTGGTTTTGGCTTTCATTTTTCCCACCCACCTCCAACCCTTCAGCACACCCTGCAGTTAGAGTTTCAAGAAAAGTCAGAACCGACCATCACCCCACCAACCCTGCACCACCACCACCTTGGTCTGGGGCTCCAGCGCTGCATGCCAGATGACTGCAGTGGCTTTCTCACCCCTGCCAGGGGGATCCTTTATGACGTAAGTCAGATCACAGTTCTCTGCTCAAAATACTCCAGCGACTCAATCCCCCTGCGGTAAGAGCCAAAGCCTTCCCAGTGTCCCATGCTCCCCTCTGTCGTGACCTCCTGCTCTTCCTGCTCACTACACCCACCCTGGCCCGTTGCTCTCCAGTCTGAACCCCATGCATTGTCCCACCTGGAGCCTTCGCCATCACTCTTCCCTCCAGCCAGAACACCCTTCTCCTCATGCCTTGCACATTCCTACAGCTCTCTGCTCAGATGCCACTTCCTCCAGGGAGTCTTCCCTCAACATCCTACTCACACACCCCCAATCTTACCCTGTTTATTTTTTCCATGGCATCCATCAACATCCGATATGTTCCATGTTTACATGGGTTACTGTCAGCTCCCCCTTCTATTAATGGAATGTGAGATCCATGAGGAGAAGGACGTAGACACGTTCACTGCTCAAGCCCCAGGGCTTAAATGGGGTCTGGCCCTGGTGGATGTTTAGCAAATAGCCACTGAAGCTCGCTGAGTGGTCCCTCGACTCTCCAGGGAAACAGCACTTGCCCCACAGGATTTGTGGGCAAAATGGTAGCACTAAGATGCCTGGTACAGCCGCTCCTCGAAACTTAGCACTCTCCTTTTTTCGGAGGGGAAGGCTGGCGGTGAGGAGGCCCGGAAGCAGACTGGGCCCTCTGGCCTTGTGCAAGTCCCTCCCCTCCTCCAGCCTCAGTTTCCTCACTTGTACAATGCAGGAGGGGACTTCTATAACCCTTGTCAACACTGGGTACCACTGCCTGCCTCCACCCATTCTTCACCCTGGGGCTGGTGCAGGGCCCACAGTCCATGATCCAAGCCATCAACAGTGAACAGACAGCCGACTGGCCCCACAAGGCCCGGCAGCAGCCCACGGACCGGTTACCTCTCAGCCAAGGTGAAGTCCCCATCCTTCAAGGCCCGGCACCTTCCTCAGGGGGTTCACCTGGGCAAAGGCATCGCTGTGCTGCTGGCCTGCAGGAGAGATCAGAGAGGTGAGTGGGGATAACCCAGAGTTCTCTGAGGTCTCTGCCCACCCCCACCCCAAAATCCCAGCAGCAGCTTTCTGAGGCCCCTATCTGGGAGGCATCAGGGAAGAGGAAGCCTCTCTGCTAGTCACTGGGTCACAGACCTTGACCCCATCAGAGGGCCATCTTTCCTGTGTCCAGCTCCTTGAAGCATGGCTCAAGGACAATTCCCTGGAGCTGTAATTCACACCCCACCCCCAGCCAGTTCCATCCATAGGTCAGACCCCTCCAGCCTCCTCCCTGGGCTCTAGGCTTGCCCCCTCTGATTCAGCTTCCTATCCCAGCTGGGGACTTAGGCCCTACTGGCCAGGCTGGGTGACCTGTCAATACCCCAGAGTCCCAGCCAAACATGTTCCCAACCCTCAGACCAACCTCATTCTTGCTGGGAATCCCTGCCCCATTCAGCCACTCAGCCCCCGGTGGCTCAGCTCTTCTTCCTTTCTTATGCCAAACTCTCAAGGCTCCCTCCCCACTGGGGGTTCCCAGGTCTGACTCACTTTAGCATTCTAGGCCAGTGCTAGAGGCCGCATTAGGTGCCTGGTGTTTGGATCAGAGGACCTCAGTCAAGCCAGGCTCCAGTCTGATCATAGGCCTACATGTGGGCCTCTTTGCCCTTCTACTGAATGGACATGCACACCCCTGCCCATTCTCCCTCCACAGACTGCTTCTGTGTCCAGCCCCTGTTCTGTAGCAGGTGACTCAAGCTGGTTGTACCAAGGGCAGCAGTTGGGAAGAGTCAGCTGAGCAGGGTCCTCCCTCTGGCCTGCCCAGGGGGCTCTGGCTCTGCTCTCTGCCCTACTGCTTAGTTATAGCCCTGCCTCCTCCACTGAATTGTGCTCCAGCTGCATCTCTGTATGCCAGCCAGACCAGCAAACGCTGGAGCTCAGGGTGAGGGTGCTGGCCTCCCCCACTGCCCTGCCACAGGGCCCTCCAGCCTCTAGCCTCTAGGAGTAGCCCCTTCAGCTGGGTGAGAAGCCCCATGGGATAGAGCAAGTCAGATGCAGGAAAAAGAAAAGGCAGAAGAATGCCAAGAAATACATAAAAGTGGAAGAGACCCAGGGCCAGACATGGTGGTGCATGTCTGTGATCTCAACACTTTAGAAGGAGGAGGCAGGAGGATCACTTGAGCTCAGGAGCTCAAGGTCAGCCTGGTCTACATGGCAAAATCACGCGTCTACACACACCAAAAAAAAAAAAAAAAAAAGTAGCTGGGCACGGGGACGTGCCTGTAGTCCCAACTATTCTACTTAGGAGGAGTAAGTTGGGAGGATCACTTGATCCTGAGAGGTCAAGGCTGCAGTGAGCCGGGATCATGCCACTGCCCTCTAGCCTGGGCTGCAGATTGAGACACTGTAATAAATAAATAAATAAATAAATAAATAAATAAACAAACAAACAATAAAAAAGTGGAAGAGACACAGGCAGGGGTAGACAGGGACTATTTTACTTAGGAAACAACGAGGCAGTTTGTTTTTTCCAAGCACATGGGGTGAAGATATTCTTGCCCCACTCCATTTCCCTACCCTCGTTCTGTGCCTGCTGTGCCCTCTCTAAACCTGTATTTTGAAGAATGTTTTGTATTCACAAGCAAAGATCAAGCCTCTATTAAAATAGACAACCAGTGGGGCATGGCGGCTCATGCCTGTAATCCCAACACTTTGGGAGGCCAAGGCAAGAGGATCACTTGAGCCCAGGAGTTCTAGGCCAGCCTCGGAAACACAGCAAGACCTCCTCTCAATAATAATAATAATAATAATAAATTGGCCAGGCATGTCGGTGGGCACCTGTAGTCCCAGCTACTTGAGGGGCTGAGGCGGGAGGATCGCTTAAGCCTGGAAGGTCAAGGCTGCAGTGAGCCATGATTGTGCCACTGCACTCCAGCCTGAGTGACAGAGTTAGATGCTGTCTCCAAAAAGTAAAAATAATAACATAGATAATTATGTAATAGTTTCCACACCGGAGAGTCTGATTCTTCGTGTTAGTCTGCATTCTTGGCCCGACTGCAAAGCAGCGGGGACAGGCAGGGATTCGTGGCCAATATCCCCTGGGCCTGCCTGCCCAGCCCAGCTTTGGTCAGCTCCACTGTGCGAAGCTCGAAGGGGATGCCATTCTTGGCGAAGATGTAGACTGAACGGCAGGGCTGGGACAGCAGACCCATGGCGGGGGCAATGGGGTGGGGCGTCGGAGGGCAGACCTAAACCCAGGGGACGGGCCCTGGGGACAAACCCGGGGACAGGCCCGGGAACAGGAACTGCGGGCAGGAATGGCTGGTTGGGGGCGGCGGACAGGAACGGCTGGGGGTAGGTGAGGGATGGGCAGGAACTGCTGGGTCACCGAGCCTGCAGCGGTGCACCTCACCAGGAGCCCCGAGTCCGGCCACGCCCTCTTCACTCATCCCTTGGCTCCTAGAACTTTGGGTCAATCAGTGGCGTGTCTGCTCTCTCACCACCCCTTTCTGGGAATCTAGGCTGCAGGTATATTTCCCACTAAAAGGGAAGAGGAGAGGCTGGGCGCGGTGGCTCACGCCTGTAATCCCAGCACTTTGGGAGACCGAGGGGGGTGGATCACGAGGTCAGGAGATCGAGACCATACTGGCTAAAACGGTGAAACCCGTCTCTACTAAAAATACAAAAAATTAGCCGGGCGGGGTGGCGGGCGCCTGTAGTCCCAGCTACTCGGGAGGCTGGGGCAGGAGAATGGCGTGAACCCGGGAGGCGGAGCTTGCAGTGAGCCGAGCTCACGCCACTGCACTCCAGCCTGGGCGACAGAGCCATACTCCGTCTCAAAAAAAAAAAAAAAAAAAAAGGAAGAGGAGAAAGGAGGTGCAGCAGCCTCCTTGCCCAGTGCCTGGGCCCAGTGCCCAGGACGGAGGCCAGAGAGGAAGGGTGGCTGACTGCCTGCGGGGCTGCCAGCCCCACACCTCATGAAGGAATGAGCTGTCCCTCCCCAGTTGCTGGGGTCATATTTGTTACACTCTAGCTAACGCCTCCCCGAGATGGCTGAGGCCCTGTGAGGCCTATCCAGAGGTTTCCAACAGTGCCTGGCATTGCACAGTAAATTAATCACCATGACACGAGTTTTGCAAAAGAGAAAAGATTTATTCACAGGGCACCAAGCAAGGATGTGGGATAGTAGCTCTCAAATCCACCTTCCCGAAAATAAGGCTTAGGGATAAGCCTTGCTTCCAAGCAGTAGAGCACAGGCCCCAGCCACACTCAAGGGGAGGGGACCATACAAGGATGTGAATAGCAGTGTCGGCCTTGTGGGCCTACAACGCAGAAGGGCCATGCACTTGGTTTAAAGCTTTGCTGTTGCCATCTTAACATTCTTAACAAGTTAAAAATAAGGGTCCCCACATTTTCATTTATAGCCAGTCCTGTCCAAGGAGTTCAAAGATCTCATGAGGGTGGACAGGGCACTGTCTGCTCTGGGCAGTGATGGGACCACTAACAGTTGTTCTCCAGTCTCCCAGCGCCTACCCCAGGGCCACACCTTCCCCTGGTCTCTACTATTCTTTTTTTTTTCGAGACAGGGTCTTGCTGTTGCCCAGGCTGGAATGAGTGCAGTGGTACAAACTTAGCTTACTGCAGCCTCGACCTGGGCTCAAACAATCCTTCTGCCTTACCCTCCCATGTAGCTCAGACCACATGCGCATGCCACCAATCTGGGCTAATTTTTTGACTTTGTAGAGACGGGGTCGCACTTTGTTTCCCAGGGTGCTCTTGAATTCCTTGGCTCAAGTGATCCTCCCACCTCAGCCTCCCACAGTGCTGGGATTATAGGTGTGATCCACCACCCCTGGCCTCTCTCACATTCTTGACATTTAAAGTTACCATCATTGACAAGGAACATGGGTACACTCCAATTTACTCAAGAAAAAGCTCTTTTCTCCATTGAAGACATATGTGGCCTAGCTGCTTCATATTCTAGTTGAGGTCTTCTTGTTGTTTCCTTTTTCTTCTTCTCTCTTGTTTTTTAGAGACGAGGTCCTGCTGCGTTGCCCAGGCTGGTCTCAAAGTTCTAGCCTCAAGAGACCCTCCTGCCTTGTCCTCCCAAAGTGTTGGGATTACAGGTGTGAGCCACTCTGTCCAGCCTCAAACTGTGGTCATTAGATCAGCAGCAGTAGCAGCCTTGCCTGGGAGCTTGTTAGAAATATACTAACAGGCTCCCACCCCCAAACCCAGACCTACTGAATCAGACAGAGTTTATTTTCATAAGATCCTCAGGTGATCCAAATGCACCTTAAACTTTGAGGAGCTTTGATTCAGAACCTGGGCTGGAGGCCCCTAGGGGCCACCTTGTTCCTCACAGACTGCAAGGTATGTTTTTTTCTTGCCTCTTCTCTCTGTCCCAATGTCTCCTTCTCTCTGTGTCTGACCCTGAGGACCCTGTGACATCCTCCCAGGGGAGTTTCCACTGCCAAAGGCCTGATTCTCTAGAAACTGATGGGCTCCTCTAGACACCAATCTCTACCTGGGCTCTTGTTGAAGAAGCCAATCAGCTCATTGGTTGGCGATCACGTGATATACAACATGGCTGCCTTCCAAGCCTTATGTGTGGACAAGGAGATAGGGACAAGTAGGCATATCATGTTCTGATACCTGGGCCATCGTCTCTCCTCAGGCCCCCAGGATACACGTTTATGGGGAGTTTTCCTCCCTTCCCCCAATATGGTCACTCATAACTTTACACCCAACAGTCAAACAGGGGTGGAAGCTACAGGGTTTCATGTAAACAATAGGCTAGGCTGTGGGGCTGAGTAAAAGGCACTGGACTGTGGTAGGTCTTACTCCAAGATGGCCAAATGGAAGGGCTTTTAGCTTTCTTTGTTTTTGTTTTATATTTTGAGATATAATGTTCAAATTTACACTTCAGAATAAAAAAGAGCCACAATTTATGCTTCATATTTTTTGTAGCTTCTTCCCTATGCTTTTGAACAATGTAATCATATTTTCATTATCAGATATAATTCCCATACCATAATATCCACCCTTTCAAAGTATACTTTAAAATTCAATTGGTTTAAAGCCAATTCAGTGGTTTTTAGTATATTAACAAAGTTTTGTCACCATCACAGTTATCTAATTCTAGATCATTTTCATCACCCAAAAAGAAACTCTGTACCCAATAAAGAGTCACTCCCCATTCCCCTCTTCCCCTAGCCCCTGGTTACCATTCATCTACTTTCTACCTCTGTGGATAGGAAGTAGCTGCCTATTCTGGAGATTTCATTCAAATGTAATAATGAAATATGTGGCCTTTTATGACTGGCTTCTTTCATTTAGCATAATGGTGTCAAGGTTCATCCATGTTGTAGCATATAACGGTACTTCATCCCTTCTTATGGCTGAATAATATTCAATTTTATGGACTTTTTAGCAAAACATTCTAATTTTTACTTCTCTACTGTGCTTATTGTTTGTCTTTCTCCACAACAATGTGAGCACTAAAGGCAGACATTTTTGCCTATTTTGTTCACTACTGCTTTTTCTGCACCAAACGCATTGCCTGGTTGTGGGTACTTTTCTAGTTTTAGGAAGGAGAAGACAAGATATAGGTCCTGACTCTGGTTCTGCCTCTCATTCATATGCTACCCTTCCCCTTGAAGAACTTGTTTCTTCATCTACAAAATGGGCATAATACTACTACTCATCAGGGTGGTTGTGAGGATTAAACAAGGTAAGAGATGTAAAATTGCATGTTAGTTATCAGATAGATTTGTGTTCCCATCTAGCTCCAATGAGGGAGAGGATTTGCTCTAGTCTGTCCCTCTGGGCTCTGGGCTTCTAATGGGCAGACAGCTTCCTCCATGATGTTTGTAGCTGTTAAGGCTGGCGTAGTCCCTCAAGACAAGTTTTTTTTTTGTTTGTTTGTTTTTTTTTTGAGTCAGAGTATCGCTCTGTCACCAGGCTGGAGTACAGTGGTGCGATCTTGGCTCACTGCAATCTCTGCTTCCCGGATTCAAGCGATTCTCCTGCCTCAGCCTCCTGAGTAGCTGGGATTACAGGCATACGCCACCACACCCAGCTAATTTTAAGACAAGCTTTTGGAATTGAACTGCTGATGGTCTTCCATGAACAATTCAACAGAAACCCAGTAGCGTACACTTCCTTGTATGCACTTGCACCCTCTCTTTACATTTATTACACATTTAATGCTACCTAATAATTCCCTATACTTTTACTTTATCCAATCGTTCAACAGATTCCAACCGAAATACATAGAAGAGTGATATTCCAACTTCATCAGACCCTGAGATTCTATTTTTAACATTTCTTCCATGGATTGTTGAATGTTTCCAATGATTGATCCACCTTCCCTTGGCCTTTTCTACATTACAGATTTGGTGGCATGTCCATGTCTATGTTGCCAAACTTGCCTCATAGACCCAGCTTGAACACAAGATGGGTGCTTGCTGAAGAGCAGGACTCATTCTGTTGAACCTGCATGTTTTCTCAGGTCAGATTGCTTGGTGGCGCTTCTTTAATTTCTTTCAACAGCACATTGTAGTTTGCTGTGTTGAAATGTTGCTTTTCTTTGGTTAAATTTATTCTATTTTATTCTTTTTGATGGTATTATAAATGGAAGTGTGGTTTTAATTTTGTTTTTCATCCTTTATTGCAAATGTATACTATTGATTTTTGTGTATTAATCTTGTACCCTGCAACCTTGCTGAACTTATTTTATTTTATTGAGATGGAGTCTCAGTCAGTCACCCAGGCTGGAGTGCAGTGGCTTGATCTTGGCACACTGCAACCTCCACCTCCTGGGCTCTGGTGATTCTCCTGCCTTTGCCTCCTGAGTAGCTGGGACTACAGGCATGCGCCACCACGCCCGGCTAATTTTTGTATTTTTAGTAGAGACGGGGTTTCACCATATTGGACAGGCTGGTCTCAAACTTCTGACCTCATGATCTGCCCGCCTTGGCCTCCCAAAGTGCTGGGATTACAGGTGTGAGCCACCGTGCCCAGCCTTGAACTTGTTTATTAGCTCTAATGGTTTTTAAGTGAGTTAAGAATTTCTGTAATGTCATCTGTGAATAGAGATGGTTTTACTTCTTTCTTTCTGATCTAGATTCCACCTTGTTCCTTTTTCTTGCCTAATTGCCCTAATAAGTAGAAGTAGTGTGAATGAACATTCTTGTCCTGTTCCTGATCTTAGGGGGGAAACGCTTGATCTTTCACAATGGATGAAGTATGGTGTTAGTTATAGGTTTTTCATAGATGCTTTTTGTCAAGTTGAGGAAGTTCCTTTCTCGTCTTCATCTGCTGAGTAATTTTATCGTAAAAGGATGTTAGGTTTTGTCAAATGCCTTCTGTGCATTAGGATGATCATGTGACTTTCTATTAACATGGTATGCTACACTGATTGATTTTTGTATGTTGAACTGCATTTGTACTCCTGGGATAAATCCTACCTGGTCAAGGTGTATGATCCTTTTAATATGCTGCTGGATTTGATTTGCTAATATTTTGCTGAGGATTTTTACATCTATATTTATAAGGATATTGCTTTGTAACTTTATTTTCTTGTAATGTCTTTTTCTGTCTTTGGTATCAGAGTAATTCTGGCCTCATAGTATGAGTTGAAAAATATTTCTTCCTGTTTTATTTTTTTGGAAGAGTTTGTGAAGGCTTTGTGTTAGTTCTTCAAGCTTTTGGTTGAATTCACCAGGGAAGCCATCTGGTCCTGGGCTTTTCTTTGTGGAATTTTTAAAAATAATTAATATTTTAATCTCTTTATTTGTTACAGGCCTATTAAAATTTTATCTTTCTTCTTAAGTCAGTTTTGGTAGATTGTGTGTTTCTAAAATTTTCCCATTTCATCTAGGTTGTCTAAATTGTCCACATATAGTTATTCATAGTATTTCTAAACTTTTGAATTTCTCTATGACCAATGTGATGTCTCCATTTTCTTTCTTTCTGGTTTCCATTTCATTTTTTCATTTTTGTTTTTGTTTGTTTTTTGAGATAAGGTTCTTCTATGTGCCCAGGCTGGAGTGCAGTGGTGCAATCATAGCTCGGTGTAACCTTGAACTCTTGGACTCGAGTGATCCTCCCACCTCGGCCACCCAGTTAGCTAAGACTACAGGCTTGCACCACCACACCAAGCTAATTTTTTTAAAAAATATATTTTTTAGAAAAAAGTCTCATTGTGTTACCCAGGCTGTTCTCAATCTCCTGGCCTCAAGTGATCCTTCTGCCTCTGCTTTCCAAAGTGCTGGGATTGCAGGTGTGAGCCATTGCACCCAGCCTCCACTTTCTTTCTTGGTGAATAATTTGACCCTTATTTTTTTCACTTGGCTATTCTAAGTAAAGGTTTGCCAATTTTGTTGATCTTTGCAAAGATCCAATTTTTGGTTTTATTGATTTTATTGCTTTTCTATTTTCTATTTCATTTATCTCCATTCTAATCTTTATTATTTCCTGTTTTCTAGTGGTGTTGGGTTGAGTTTGCTCTTATTTTTCTAGTTCCTTAAGGTGTAAAGTTAGGTTATTGATTCAAGATCATTCTTCTTTAACTTATGTGTTTACAGCTATAAATTTTGCTCTTAGAACTGCTTCTGCTGCATCCTATAAATCTGGGCATGTTGTGTTTTCATTTTTATTTGTTCAGGATACTTTTTGATGTCCCTTGTGATTTCTTCTTTAACCCATTTGTTGTTTAAGAGTGTGCTGTTTAATTTCTATGTGCTTGTGAGTTTTCTAGTTTTCCTTCTGTTCTTGATTTTTAACTTTATTCCACTGTGTCCAGAGAACATACTTTGTGTGATTTCAATCATCTTAAATTTGAGACTTAGGACCAAATATATGCTCTATACTGGAGAATATTCCATGTGCTCTTTAGAAGAATGCTTATTCTGCTCCTGTCGGGTGGAACGTTCTGTTCATGTCTAGTGTATGCGATTGGTTAATCGTGCTTTTCAAATTCCCTATTTCCTTGATGGTCTTCTGTAGTTTTTCTATTACTGAAAGTGGGGTATTGAAGTCACCAACTATTATTACTCACAATGTAACCATATTTAACCCTTTACTTTTAAAATTCTTTTTGGAAACTGGAAGGATCTGTAACCACCACCCACTCCCACATCAGACCCTATGCATATGCCAACTGTCTGCTGCTCAGCAGCTGTGATGGTTGTTCCAGTTCTTTATTAGGCAAAGAACAGTTGTTTTTTTGTTTTTTTGTTTTTTTTTTTTTAACATTTCCTTTAAGGAAGGTGGCTCAGATTGCTAAGCCAGCCAGGCCCTGCGGGACAGGCTGCGCCTAGGGTCACCTGCTCTTCTTCAGCAACTCAGAAATATTCTCCTTGACCATTGAATCCAATGTTGAAAAGTCCCAGTCGGCCAACTGCATTAGTCGATCATGGGCCTCCCTAAAGAGGCCAGAGCCAATATTCAGCTCCACCTGCATACGCCACTCAGCTAGCTTGGAGCTGTTGAGGAAGACATTATAGTTGGCTGCCATGGGCTGTAGATAGACGAAGACAAAGACGTGGTCAGCCTGGGGACCAGCCCCACCTGGGTCCTCTCCCACAGCCTCAGGCCCACGTCCCTAACATCTACCTATGCAAAGAATTAGGCTGCTGACCCCCAAGGCCTGAGCAAGGGGTCACAGACTATGTAATAGATGTAGGTGGGGATGGAGGATCCAGAATCCCTCAGAGTCCTCAGTCACTGGTCTTCTTGCTCCAAGCCTTCTGAACCATGCTGAGAGGGCTCCTGGCCCAGGCACTTCCCACTTCTCCAGCCTGCGACCTCGCATGAATCCTGCCTTCTTCCAGGGAGACCCCTTATCCCAGGTGTGTATATGTGGATGAGGGAGAGAACTCAGGTTTTTTCCTCCATGTTTAGCCTCCCACTGTGATCAAGCTCAGGGGCTAGGATGGGAGACCTGGCGGGCAGTCTACCCTGCAGTTTCGCTGGCTTACTAAGAGTTTGGTTTGCACCCAAGATCTTTGGGAAGCCCAAGAATGGGTGTGTGTGGGTGAAATGTAAGGGGTGGGGACGAAGCATATGGCTGAACCCTTGGGGCAGGCCAGAATGATTTTTCCTGGTGCTGGTCTGCCCTGCAAACAGACCAAGGAGACTAATTTTCATATCAGCCAGAGATCTCTGGGATAAGGAAAAGAATACTGCATTTTCTGGTCAATCCACCAGGACCCCAGGTCCCTCCTCTCGGGCATATCTCTGGCTGATATGCAAATTAGTCTCTTTGGTCAGTGTGCAGTGCCCTAGCTGGTGTGCAGGATGGCCAGTTGAGACCCTGGCCAGTGTCTTGACAAGCAGAACTGGTCACCCTCCCCTGCATGTAGAGGCCACATAAATGCCCCACACTCAGGTGTGCCTCCAAATGCACAGTGGATGCCCCTCAGACCCAGCCACGAGAGCTGTCCTCCAGAGCTGTCTGTCTGGAGCTCTGGGAAACAGGCAGGGCCAGAAGGACACCCAGGAAGCCAGTGAACATTTCCTGGAGAGTCCAGCAAGAGGAGGAGGTATCTGGGATGCCGGTGGATTGAGCAGGAAATGCAGTGTTCTTCTCTATCCCAGGCTCACCCTCCGGGTCCTCCCACACCGAAGAATCTTTGTCAAGTGTGGAGAACTGTGATCCTTCCTGATTCATAACATTCTGTGCTTCCTGTTGCCCCGATTGAGTCCAGGCCCCCAGGCCTGGTTCCCGCAGCCCCCATGGCAGCTCTGCCTGCCTTTCCCGCCTCACCAGCCTATCCTCAAGTGATGGCCCCATTGGTCACAGAGGAGTCCTACCTCTGCCCAGGGTCTAACCCTCCTCCAATCCACTCCACACCTGCATCATCTCCACCACGGCCACCAGGTCAGCCAGTGAGATTTGGTTCCCGGTGATGAACATCTTATCCTGCAGAAAATACTCCTCAAAGAGCTGCAGGCTGTTCTTCACCTCTTCCACTGCATGCTCCATCTTCTCAGCTGAAACTTCCTCCCCTGTTATCTTTGGGATCAGCAACTGGCCAGGGTTGGGAAGAGGAGGGAAGAGGAGGCTGCACTCCAGGGCCACCTGCCCTGCCAGGTCTCTGTACTCTTGTCTGCTGGATAGATATTGAACACTTCCCAGGATATAAAGCAGTTTCACCTCTTTTAGCAGTTCTGATTGGTGGAAGTTGCTGGGAACCATGTGTTCACAAGGATTTGGGGAGCTCAGCAGGCATAAGTCCTGTGATTGATTAGTGATGTCTGTCACAGGCATAGAATTCAAAGTAGAGACACATGTACTGGTTATTTGTCATCTTCTAATTTTCTATAGGCCATACTCTTTTTTGTTTTTGTTTTTTGAGATGGAGTCTCACTCTGTCGCCCAGGCTGGAGTGCAGTGGCACAATCTTGGCTCACTGCCAACTCCAACTCCTGGGTTCAAGCAATTGTCCTGCCTCAGCGTCCTGAGTAGCTGGGATTACAGGTGCCCATCACCACACCCAGCTAATAATTTTGTATTTTTAGTAGAGATGGTGTTTCACAATGTTGGCAAGGTAGGTCTTGAACTCCTGACCTCAAGTGATCTGCCCGCCTCGGCCTCCCAAAGTACTGGGATTACAGTTGTGAGCCACCGTACCCGGCCTTCTGTGGGCCTTTTGACGCTGAGATTCTCTAGTTCAGAATGAAATGCCTCGAATGCTGTCCTGGGTGAGTCACATCAGCCCCTCCCGTATGCCCTTCCCCTCGCCCTAATAAGACTCTTTCATGCCCATTGTTTCAGTCCACACTCCTGACGGCTCTGTAAGGCGGGCAGGAGAAGGAGCTGAGGAAATGAGGCCCAGAGAGGGAGGGAGACTTGCTTGAGGTCGCCGGCAGTCAGCAGGGCCAGAACTGGCCTCCAGCCTTCCTGACTTCCCTGTGCCCGTGTCCCCAAGCCCCAGAAGTGGCCCTGCTCACCTTGAGCCAGACTATCTTCTTCATGGGCAGCTGAAAGGCCGTGTGTTGCCAAGCCACGAACTCATCCACACGGGCACGTGCGTGCGGGTCTGGCGGGCACCAGTGCGATGGTGCGCTGTACTTGCGGCACAGGTAGTAAAGGATGGCCGCGCTGCAGAAGGGGCCGGTCAGGGGCACTGCCCTTGCCTTCCTGAGTGCCACTACATCAACCACCCCGGTGTGGCCTGGGCCCAACTGCTGGGGCTTCCAGAGCAAAGAGGAGCCCAAACGGCCCCGAGAAAGACCTTCACCAGAGCTGTCTGTCTGACAGTCAGTAAGGGCTGGGAAGGAGCCCTGCGGGGTGAGTAGGAGTTGGGGGCTGGTGGTATAACAAAGAGTAGGCCAGCAGGGGGAACAACACGTGTTGAATTGGGATGCTGAGGTGGGAGGATCACTTGATCCCAGGAATTTGGGGCTACTGTGAGCCAAGATCACACCACTGCACTCCAGCTTGGGTGAAAGATCAAGATCCTTTTTCAAAAACAAAAACGGGGGGGCACGATGGCTCACACCTGTAATCCCGGCACTTTGGGAGGCCAATGGGGGCAGATCCCTTGAGGCCAGGAGTTGGAGACCAGCCTGGCCAACATGGTGAAACCCTGTCTCTACTAAAATGAAAATACAAAAATTAGCTAGTTGTGGTGGCACACACCTGTAATCCCAGCTACTTGGGAAGCTGAGGCACGGGAGTCACTTGAACCTGGGAGGCAGAGGTTGTAGTGAGCCAAGATTGTGCCACTGTACTCCAGCCTGGGCCACAGAGCAAGACTCTGTCTCAAAAAACCAACAAAGAAAAACACATGCTGAAATACGAGGGTAAAGGGAGCAAGGTAAATCTGAAGAAAAGAGAGTAGGGGGTTGCAACTGGAAGAAGGGTGGGGGTGATTGGGGAGTGATGAGGCAGCCAGAGACACTGTGGAGTCCACGTAGGGTAGCCCCTGGAGGTGCAGGGAGGTTATGGACTTAATGCTTAAGATTAGGCATTATATAAGCCAGGGCATGAAAGGATCCATCTCTCTGGTGCTGGATGGAGGGTGAGCCCGAGGGGGCAGAATGGACAATGAGGGGGCCAGCAACTATCGGGAAGGTTGTGGTGTCTGGGAATGTTGGAGGCCATGGGGACAGAGGGAAGGGGATGGAGGGGAGACATGCTTCGGAGGGGATGTCCTAGGCCTTGCTGATTGATGGCTGGTGTGGGAACCTCCGCAGAACAAGGGCTCCTTTATCATCACCAGCAGCAACCATGCCAAGGTAAAAAGGTCAGGGCATGGAGAGAGCTATCGGTTAAAAAGTGGCAGGAGAGACAGCAACTGGCTGCAAGACTCAGAACTTCTTGGCTGGGCACGGTGGCTCACGCCTGTAATCCCAGCACTCTGGGAGGCCGAGGCGGGGGGATCATGGGGTCAGGAGATCGAGACCATCCTGGTTAACACAGTGAAACCCCGTCTCTACTAAAAATACAAAAAAATTAGCCAGGCATGGTGGCGGGCACCTGTAGTCCCAGCTACTCAGGAGGCTGAGGCAGGAGAATGGCGTGAACCCGGGAGGCGGAGCTTGCAGTGAGCCAAGATAGCGCCACTGCACTCCAGCCTGGGCAACAGAGCGAGACTCCGTCTCAAAAAAAAAAAAAAAAAAAACTTCTTTGGATCCTGATCCAAACAAACTGCCAAGAAAATGTTTAGGAGATAATCATAGAGTTTTGAACAGGAGCCACATATTAGATGAAATCCAGGAATTATTGTTAATTTTATGAGGTATCTTAATGGTATCGTAGTGATGCTACGCTCTATCCTAGCCCAGGCTGGAGTGCAGTGGCGCAATCAGAGTTCACTGCAGTTCTGAACTTCCTGGCCTCAAGCGATCCTCCCGTGTCAGCCTCTGGAAGTGCTGGGATTATAGGCATGAGCCACCACACCCAGCCTGTTGCTTTTTTTTTGTTTGTTTTAAGAACTCTTATCTCTGAAAAGTATGTTCCTAAACATTTATTGATTTATTTACTTATTTATTTTTATTTTTGAGATGGGATCTCACTCTGTTGCCCACGCTGAAGTGCAACGACGCAGTCTTGGCTCACTGCATCCTCTGCCTCCTGGCTCAAGCAGTCTTTCCGCCTCAGCCTCCCGAGTAGCTGGGACTACAGGTGCAGACCACCATGCTGGCTAATTTTTGTATTTTTTGTAGAGATGGGGTTTTGCCATGTTGTCTAGGCTAGGCTGGTCTTGAACACGTGAGCTCAGGCCATCCCCTCACTTCAGCCTCTCAAAGTGCTAGAATTACAGGCATGAGCTGGCTTCTAAACATTTATGAATGGAATGATGGGGTGTCTGGGAGGCAGGGGAATAGAAATGATGTAAACTGGACCCCAAGTTGGCAAGAGTCAGAGCTGGGCGATGGATTTGTGGGGTTCCTCGTGTCCCTCATTAGTTAGTATTCACTCTCCTTTAGTGCACGTGTGAGATTTTCCATGGTCAAACAGACAAATGCTTGCACTGAACCTCCCAGGAGAAGCAGAGACAGATGGTGCAAGGGCCCCAGGGAAGACTTACCTTTCACTTAAGATAAATTTCCCATCTTTGAGGCTGGGCAGCTTCCTGAGGGGGTTGATGTCAATGTATCCTTTGCTGTGGTGGTGACCTGGGAGGGGCAGGGAAGGTCTGAGGCTGTGGGACTCCAGGGGAGAGAGAACTGAGACTCCCAGAGACCCAAACGCCTCCCTCTCTATTTTCTCAAGAAGAGGGAACTGAGGCCCGGAGGGACATTGCGTCTCACCCCAGGTCACAGGGCAAGGCAGTTGCAGAACCGGACTGCGATCAGAACTGCTGGCTCCCAGCCTGCTCCACCCTAGGTTTGGTGACTCCCGTGCCTCCTACCTGTGTCCCAGGACCAGGACGACCCTTTTACCCAGAAGCTGGAGGCCTCCAGTGCCCACCCCCAAAGCTGGATCTGAAAACACAGCCTTTGAATCACCTGAAGCCCTGAGGGCCTGGGTCCCATCCGCAATCCCATCGCTCTCACTCTGTCTCCACTTTAAGGAAGCCAGGCCCAGCACACAGCTGGACATCCAAAGGGAAGCTTCTCGGACACAATCAGGGTCATCTTAACAGGGAACCTGAGGTGGGGGCAGGAACTGAAACTCTTCCTGGACCAGCCGCCTCCAGTTGGAAACATTTCTGGGGGCTCCACTCGCAGCCCGTTCATTTCCACAGCTTCCCTGTCTCTTCCTCTGTGTTCTAGAGGCTTCTGCTTTTGCAGGCTGAGCTTTTGGAGTCCCTCTGTGCTGGGGATGGAGTTGGAGCCCACCCCTCTGACCCTCACTCAGGGTTAGTGGAGCCCTGAGCCTTTCTCAACACTGGGGAGGATGGGTGTAGACGGACTGTGCACTTCTGCCCCCTTTGCCAACCTGGTGGGCAGGTGCTGAGTTCACAAGGTCCTAGAATCCCACAAGGAAGCCAGGGTGCCTGGTGGGAGCCCAGGGAGTCCCAGCTACTGTTCCTTCCCCCTTCTCCTCGAAAAGCCTGTTCATCTGTGGCGTGGGGACTGTCATTAGTGAGCACTGACTAAGGTAGGCTGGACAAGGATGCAGCCTACAAGCCGCGTGGCATCTTTTCCTTCCCTGTGGACCTCTGGGGTGATTCCCTTGTCTCTGTCTCTGCTCCTCAGAAACGCCCCTATCAGGCTGTGCGCGGTGGCTCACGCCTGTAATCCCAGCACTCTGGAGGCTGAGGTGGGCAGATCACTTGAGGTCAGGAGTTTGAGACCAGCCTGGCCAACATGGTGAAACCCCTGTTAAAAATACAAAAAATTAGCTGGGCGTGGTGGCATGCACCTCTAATCCCAGCTACTTGGGAGGCTGAGGCAGGAGACGCACTTGAACCCAGCAGAGGTTGCAGTGAGCCGAGATAGCACCACCGTACTCCATGCTGGGCAACAGAGCGAGACTCCATCAAAAAACAAGAAAAAAAGAAAAGCCGCAATCTGTGTGTCCTGCCTCCCCCCAGGACCAGGCCTGCCAGGCAGCAGTGGGAGTTGACCTTTCAGCAGATCCACAAACTGAAAGTTGAACTGGATGTCATGCTTCTTCGAGAAGATGTAGACGGCACGGCAGGGTGCTGACAGCAGGTCCATGTAGAGCTCCAGTGCCATGTTGAGACACATGCCAGGCCCCACAGCCGCAGTTGGCCAGCCACAGACCTGGGCCTATGTCTGGCCAGAGTCCCTGGCCCTGTGCCCTCTCCGATCTGGGCCCAGGATCCTGTGTTCCCCAGGGAAACCTCTTGTTTCCCTTTGTGTTGTCATAAGGCCAGGAAGCCTGCAATTCTCACAGCATCAAGGATTCTAAGGAGGCCCAGGAGTAGGCTGGGGAGAGGCCCGTGGCAAAGGTGTGGCAGCCGTGACCCTACTCTCCCCCTTCCACGTGTGCCTGTGCCCCGTGGTGCCACCTCACAGACACCAGTCTGAGAAGGGATTATGCCTGGGAATTCCCACGGCTGGATTTTCATTGCAGAACCTGACGAAAGGGGCTTTGCAGGGTCCAGAATGAAGAGGAGGCAATGAGAATTATCCCTGGAGGATTCTAGAAGTAGAGGCTGGGAGTATCCACAGGTAAATCGAGCCTGAACTATGACTAGAAAGGAATTGGGAGAAAGAGACACAGGTGAATCGAGCCTGAACTATGACTAGAAAGGAACTGGGAGAAAGAGACACAGGAAACTGTGAGCTTTGGGAGCAATGGGGACACCACCACCAGGAAGTCAGGGGGCACTCAGCCGGTGTGTGCCACACAGAGGAGCCTAGAAACTTCCTGGCCTTGGTTGGGGCTGCAGTGGCCAGACTGTGTACCTGGTGGCCAAGGAAGGTAACTAGAGCCCCACGTAGAGGACTGAGTGCCACTCACTCTATGCTGTGATCTAATAGGTCTAGGCTGAGAAATGGGACTGACCCCACTTCTGGTGACAGAGTAAGCCTGGAGACAAGCGAAGAGCATGCAGTGTGTTTATTGCAGACAGCAGGGTGCAGTGGAGTGGGCTGCACCCACTGCACCTGCTTCTGGGCCAGCTGGGGGTCCCGCCAAGCCTCACTGTGGTTCAGAGGCTGGAGTATGAGCTTGTGGGCCTCCAGCAAGAGCTCAGTACCAAGGGCAGCCGCCACACGGGCCTGCCACACTGCCAGCCGGGGCAGTCTTGGAAGAGGTCGCAGCCAACGGCAGTGGGCTGGGAAGACAGGGCAGCTGGGGTTGGGGCTCAGCCCCATGCCCAGAGTCCCCCCAGAGGGCAGGTGGGTAGGAAAGCTTCACCTGCATCACCTCCGTCAGCACCAAGTCTTCCAGGGAGATCTGCTCCATTGCCAGGAAGGGCCTGGCCACCAGCACCCCCCAATCCAGGTGCTGCAGGGCTGGCATCAGCCTCCCCAACAGCCGCTCCAGCTGTGCAGCATCTGCAGGCTGTCCGGAGAAGTGGGGCAGGAGAGACTGGGCTGGGAGGAGAGGAGCAACTTAACCCAGACTCTTGGAAGCCTCTTGGGCCTCCTCTCCATCCCTTCCCGGCTGCCACTCATTAGTGATGTCCTCTGGGGCTCTGTGTTCAGAAGGTTTCTAAGGATTCATTCAGGCTTAGGGGAAGGAGTACTGTGATAGATTAGTTATGTCTGCTGAGGACAGTGGAAGTGAAGCTAATATGTAATATGTACCAACTGGTGCCTTCCATCTCTGGGGGTCCAGGCCCCTGCCCCAGCCTGCATGACAGGGCCTAGGAAGCTCACCTTGCACAGGTAGACATTGGTGGCAGGCAGCTGGATGGTGACATGCTTCCACGCCAAGTACTCATCCACGCAGGTGCGGGCTTGCAGCTCAGGTGGGTACCAGTGTCCCCGTATCTGGTACTTTCGACTCAGGTATAAAACGATGACCATGCTGTGGGCAGGGGGTGTCAGAGATCTTTTCTCCAGCCTGTCAGGGCCAGGTGGCTTCATTGCTCATACTCAGGGTGATTTGACCAGGTTTTCTCCCCACCTTCACCTTCAGGGGAGGACCTCCCCTATACTGCAACTCCCTCCAGGCAGTATCTCCCCACGACCAAACCACTCTGTTTCTCCATTTCCAACTCTGATCCTCCCTGGGCCCATGTTTCCACCTCCCCTCCCAGTTACCATACCATCCTGCCCTCTGTGCCCAGGCCCCACTCCCTGGCATCAGGGTCCCCACTCAGAGTGCCTGCCGTGTGGGCCCTGCCCAAAAGGTCTCCAAGTTCCCTTCCTAGTGCCCCAGAACACTAGGTGCCCATTTTCTATCCTCAGGTAAGCCCTGGGAGGTGGATACATTATTCCTCCCACTCCGTTTTACAGAGGAGAAACCTGGCACACAAAGTTCTGTGATTTCCCCAAGGGCATGGATTGAGGAAGTGGTGAGCTGGGATTGAATGTGGAGTCTCCCCTGGGTCTGCCCAGCTCCTAGGACTCTGAAAGGATGAGCTGGGGACATTTGGGGAGGAGCCAGCCTCAAGCCTGGGCCTTGCCCGCTGGCTTCAGGTTGTCCAGGTTTATCCGGGTGACCTACGTCCTTTCCCCACCTGGGCAGCTCCAGCTGGCTCAGACTCTAGCCAGGTTCCAGCCTCCAGCTTTAGCCCAAAGGTGCCCCTGGGTCCAGCCTCTGCATCGGAGCTACACAGGCTGAAATGAGGAAGGGGCCTCAGTGATTTGGAAAGATCTCCAAGCCAAGGAAAGATCTCCCCTCTCGCCTCTGCCTCCCCCTACAACTCTGAGCCCCAGAACCCAGGCAGATCCTGGCTCTGACCCTGGGTGGGCACCAGGTCACCATTACCTCTTTGCTAGTAGGAAGTCGCCATCTCTGAGGGCAGGCACCTTCCCCAGGGGGTTCACCTTCAGGAACTCAGGCTTCAGGTGCTCCCTTGGTGGGCAGAAAGGAGAGAAGGCTCAGTGTAGGGCCTGGTCCTTGGCACCCACTCCATGGGGCCCAGCCCAGCCACCTGGCTCACCCCAAGCCAACTCCACCATCCACAGCTCAAAAGGGATGTCATTCTGTCTTGCAAAAGTGGATAGTGTGTCAGGTCCAGGAAGAGCTCAAGCCCCATTGCTGCTCCTCTCACCTGCCCTCCCCAGAATTCTGGACCTCCAGGAGTTGCTCAGCCCTTCTCCACTAGTTCTGAGCTGTTTCCTCTCCATAGTCTGCTGTAGTGGGCCAGAGCACAGGGCAGATTTGTCTTCAGGGACTTTCTCTGGGCATTCCTGGGCAGAGAACTTCATCTTCTCTGTTAACTCTTGCTGATAATTCTCTGTAGCTAGGCACCTTGTAAAACCCATGTCCCAGAATGCCAAACCTGGAAATGCAATGTCAGCGCCGAAACTGCATTGAAACTGAATGAATGAGGTCCCCACCCTCTTATCTAAATATCCTATCAGTCTGTTGAATGTCAAAGTATGTAGGGGTGGTGTGGGGGAGCCTATAGGGAGTCTCCATTTCTGTAGCTTTCCACATGTTCCATGCAGAATTTTCCTCTAATGACCCTTGGACACCGTGGTGGTCACTGTTTCCCTGCATAAACCTTTGATGATCCTTATCTTTAGCGTACCAGTGAAACACCAAATTCAGATTTTCAGTCTGTGCAGTCTATGTAGTTAATAAAATCAATTTCTAATGGAATATGCCTGTGCCTGGTGTGTTTGTACCTAACCACTGCTAAGGACTTTCATTGATAGCTAGACCTTGGAGTTCCTTCCCCTGGACCCCTGACCCAAGTATTTTGCACTCATTCCTCTGCCAGTGTGTTTCATGGTGTCCTGCTTCCCAGAGTGCCTCAGGGAATGCTTGCATTGGATATGAATGAATCGTTGCGGTCACCATGGATGGGATTCAGGCCTAACTCTCACCAAGACCATAAGGCCACAGTCTTTGATATAGATTCCCCATGTTAAATCTGCCATCCTCAGTGTAGTGAGAGTGATATTGAGAGAGAAAAGTTAGGTAATTAAGGTGGGTCCTTGGTAAAACTCCTTTAAACAGAGGAACAGCCTGAAAAATCAGGCTTCAGGCACAGATAAGGAAACTTGCACAAACCTCTGGCTCACTCAGATAAAGGAACAATGCCCAACACAGAAACACCTTTGATCTTTGTGCCTAAGGCATGCCCACAGCTACTTTGATAAGGGAACAAGACCCAGCATAGAAATGCCTTTGTCCTTTGTATAACCAGTGGGCTTCCAGGAAATAGTCTCTTCTCCTTTTGTGGACATGTACACGGTGGGCTACAGTGGGTTCCAGTGGGCACTTTCCTTTCTTGGACGTGCTTTAGAATGTGAGCCTCTGATTGGTCCTGGGCCAGGCTATCACTTCAGCTCCTGATTGGTCCCTCAAGGTCCAGGGGCCAAGCTGAGTAGTGCTTTCTCCAAGACCAGTCAGTACATTCCTTCCTTTCCCAGTCCATAAAACCCCCTGACCCAGCCTCATAATGGGCAACCTGCTTGGGCCCCCCGCCAGCTGCAATGAGCTTTCTTCATTTGCTTATTAAACTTTTGCTTCAACCTTACCCTTTGTGTCCACACTCCCTAATTTTCTTGGTCGTGAGACAAAGAATTCTGGGTGATACCCCACAATGAGAGACTGGTACATTGTGGTGCACGGGCAAGACTGCAACAATATGTTTTCTGCTTGCTTGTTTGGACTGGCCTCTTCCTAACTCTCCAGAGTGCTCTCTCCCCACTGTGGCCCTGAGCTTTGCCTCACGGTAACACTGTGCTGCATGACACTCCAGCATGATCTGCATGTTTCTCACCTCCGGACCTTCCCCACACAACTTTCTTGCTGCTTGGACCACCCTTCCCACCTATTTTCAACTGTTTCTCTCCAGCGCATCTTTCATGATAAGGCTTGAGTGGAAGCTGTATCCGAGGCTGAAGGTTATCCATGCAGCTTTGAAACCATCTGTTTATGCTTCTGTTTACCCCCCAAATACTGTTTACCCCAATACTCAAAGTCAAGGTTGGTGACTCAACAATTTTCAGAACTTCTAGCTTATCAGTATAGCTTTATTGTACTGAACTGAGTTTTTCACCATGCTGTTACTGTCTTTGAGGTTAAAAAGCCCCCAACATTCACTCCTATTTGAATCATCTGTGCAAGACTCAAGCAGCTATGAATTCAACCACAGTGTAAAGTTCTTCCCTACAATGCTTTATTGTTATTCTAGCTCCCAAGAGAGTACCATCTTTCAGCCCAAGACCCTTGACAGAACCCCTTCAACTCTGTCGCCTTTTTTCATCTCTGGAATTCTGACACCACCCATGACCCCTCTTCTTGTTCATTTACTAGGTTTTGTTCCTTTTTTTCCTTTTGTTTCAATATCCTATTGTATCTGTTCCTTTTGGGCTTCACATCCTTTTTGGAAAGAGAGGCACAGGTAATATAATGAATGAGGATGCTCCTCCTCCCTGGTTCCCTCTAAGTCAAGTTTCTCCAACGCGCTGGTCTGCTTGGCTTTGAATGCGGCTCAACACAAATTCATAAACTTTCTTACAACATTTTGAGATTTTTTGGTGATTTTTATTTTTATTATTTATTTATTTATTAACTTATCAGCTATCCTTAGTGTTAGTGTATTTTATGTGTGGCCCAAAACAATTCTTCCAACGTGGCCCAGGGAAACCAAAAGATTGGACACCCCGCTCTAAGTGTTCCCCAAGTTTCCACTGTTTTCAGAGCACATGTCCCAGGTAATAACACACAGCCCATCATTTAGTGACTGCTCAGGGTGCAAGCTGTGGAGAAGAGAGTCCGACTACGAGCTGGTGCTCTAAGCCTCCAGCACGCTAGGACTGACGACGGGGATCCGGAAACAACAAGCTCCACTCCCGCAACACACACACACACACACACACACACACACACACACACACACACACGCACACGCACACGCGCACGCGCGCACACACGCGCACACACGCGCGCACGCGCGCGCGCGCCGCCCAAGGGTAGCCGTCTGCAGGGCCCCAGCTAAGCAGCCCGCGGAGAGCGAGCGGCGCGTGCGCCCCCGCTGATTGGCTGGCACAACCGGCACCGGAGCCAATGGGAGCACGCCTTGTTGTCAGGCGCGCAGCCGGACGGCGCGGTGGTCGGGACAGACTGGCCGTTGCTGTGGAGACGCCTGGTGAGTTCCTGGAAGGCTGGTTTGAAGGCGGTGCCGGGGTGGGGGTGAGGCTCAGCAGAGCCCGGGGCACAGGCCGGAGGGGCTGCAGGCGCGAGGCTGGGTTACGTGAGGAAGCTGGGGGTTTCGCGGGCAGCTTTAGAGCCCCAGTCAGGGAAACCGAGGCCGGGCTTCCTGGCTGCCTCGCGAGCCTCTTCATGGCTCTCGCCGCCGCCCTGAGGTGCCTAGAATGGGTTCCGGCCTCCGGGGAGGTTCCCAGTAACCGCAGGAGCCACCATTGATTTGGCGTCTGCTGGGTGCAAAGCCCAGCGCGCTAACCCTTTACTCGCGACCTTTCGCTTCACCTTCACAGCAGCCCTGCGAGGTGAGTGTTGTTATTGGTGCCATTTACAGGGGTGGAAACTGAGGCCGCGGGTAGGTGAAATGATTTGCTCCAAGTCACCCAGTGGGTGAGCGCGACTCCAGACTGAAAATTTTGACCGTTCTGCTTCACTGCCTCCCCGCAAGAGGCGGGCCCTGGCCAGATGGAACTCACCTGGCATTCCCAAGGTATCTGCACAAGTGGCTTTGGGAGTCACTTAACTCTTCAGGACCTGGGTTATTACAGGTTATAAGTGTGGGACCGTCGGATTCCATGTGGCTAAGATTCTTTCTATGTGATTATTGTGGTTAGAAATAGAATATGCTTAGAACAGTCTCGTTCAGCGGTCGGCAAACTTTTGTTGTAAATATATCAGTGTTTACATTGTTATATTGTAAGTATAATGAGTATAATAGTATTCATAATAGTAGTTTAGGCTTGGGGGGTCCATACTCTGTCTACTTAACTGTAGCGATGTAGTGTGGATACAGCCAAAGACAATACATAACAGACTAGCTGCGTCGCAATAAAATTTTAATTATAGGGACCGAAGTTTTAATTTTATATATTGTTAATATAATTTTCACGTGTCATGATTTTTTTTCCCAAATATGAAAAAATGTAAAAACCATTCTTTGCTCGTGGGCTGTACAAAAAGGGTGGGCTGGTTAGCTTGCAGAACCCTCATCTAGTACAAAGCCTCATACATGAGGGGAAACAGACTGAGAGACTGACATCTATGTCAAGTCAGTCACACAGCCAGGGCACTGCCACCACTGAGCTTAAGACATAGGCTTCCCACCTTCCAGGCCAGGAAACATCCCCAGTTATCACTCTGGATCAGGGTGCTGAGGTCTGAAGGTGTGCTACTCTTTATCGTGTTCTGAGGCCATGGAAACTATATTCTAAGGGGTTTGGAAACTTATTAGCTTAGACTAATAAGCCTGGTGAATGTGCTGCTATCTGAGGAAATGCAGCTGCTGGGCTGGGAGTCAGAAATGAATAGATATTTTTCTTTTTCATGATTATTCAATAGCTTTTGTGTGTGTGTGTGTGACGGAGCCTTGGTCTGTCGCCCAGGCTGGAGTGCAGTGGCATGATCTCGGCTCACTGCAATCTCCGCCTCCCGGGTTCAAGCAGTTCTCCTGTCTCGGCCTCCCGAGTAGCTGGGACTACAGACACCCGCCACCATGCTTGGCTAATTTTTGTATTTTTAGTAGAGACGGGGTTTCACCGTATTGGTCAGGCTGCTCTCAAACTCCTGACCTCAGGTGATCCACCCGCCTCGGCCTCTGAAAGTGTTGGGATTACAGGCGTCAGACACCGCGCCCGGCCTCAATAGCTTTTTTTTTTTTAAAAGCTCCTTTTAGTGAGTTTCTTGGATTTATGGTGAACAATACATAAATGGTTACCATCCTCACATTGCTTACAGATGATAAATATATAATCAAAATGGTTATTTCTTTTTAAGCTTTTTTTTTTTTTTTTTTGAGATGGAGTCTCGCCTGTGGCCCAGGCTGGAGTGCAGTGGTGCGATCTCGCCTCACTGCAAGCTCCGCCGCCTGGGTTCACGCCATTCTCCTGCCTCAGCCTCCCTAGTAGCTGGGACTACAGGCGCCTCTCACCATACCCTGCTAGTTTTTTGTATTTTTTAGTAGAGACGGAGTTTCACCGTGTTAGCCAGGATGGTCTTGATCTCCTGACCTCATGATCCGCCCGCCTCGGCCTCCAAAAGTGCTGGGATTATAGGCGTGAGCCACCATGCCCGGCCTCTTTTTAAGCTTTTTAAACTAATTTTAGATTTAGAGAAAAATTGCAACAATACAAAACGCTCTGTTATGTCCTTCACCCTGCTTTCCCTAATGTTAACATCTTACATAATCATACAATTATCAAGAACAGAAATCTAGTGTTGGTACAGTATTATTAACTACATTACAGATGTGATATGAATGTTACCATTTTTTAAATTAAGGTTGTGTTTTCATTCCAGGACCCTATCCAAGATCCCATGTTGCATTTAGTTATTTCTCCTTGGTCCATAACACTTCCTTAGTCTTTTCTTGTTTTCCTTGGCTTTGATGCTTTTAAAGAGTAGTGATCAGTTATTTTGTCTAACGTCTCTCAATTTAAAGGTTTGTCCAGTGTTTTCTAATGATTGGGGTGAGATTATGCATTGTTGGCCAGAACACAAAGACACATTATCTTTGTGTCTTTCTCAGTGCATCACATGGAGTCCAAGATATTGGAATGTCTTATTACTGGTGATATTTACCTTGATCTATTGGTTTACTTGGTGTCTACCAGGTTTCTACACCATAAAATTACTATCCCTTTCTAATTAATAAGTCTCTTGGGAGAGATACATTGAGAGGACACAAATTCTCGTTCTCCACAAATTTGCTCCCTGACTTTAGCATCCATCTGCAGATCTTTGTGGTGTTTGCCTAAAGGTAATTATTTCTCTCTTTCCTTCTACATTATTAAGTCAAGTTCTACTGAAAGGAGAACTACCCTCTCTCTCTTTTATTTATTTATTTGATTATTTATGTGTCAGTGTAGGCCATGGATATGTATTATATTCTATGAGTTAAAATTCATTATCATCATTATTTTGTTGCTTACTGTTCCAGCATTGGCTATTTAGTTAGGATCTCCTTCAGGTTAGCTTCTGTGGCCTATCAACTGGCCCTCATTTTTTTTTTTTTCCTTCAAGCACTTACTTTATGGCACACCACAAGGTGTTCCAGGCTCATCTTGTGTTTTCTCTGACCCAACTCTGGAATCAGTTCTTTTTGTCTTTAGCCTATCCAGTCAAGATACCATTTTCTACAGTTACTTAGGTTAGTTCCTTTCTTCCTCATGCCTTTCAGAGTGGTTATGTTAGTTGTAATAGTTAGGTTCATTGTTAGTGTTTATATTTCATTTTGAGTTCCCCCTGCATCCTAGCTGATTTTAGTTGTTTTTGCGGTATGAATTATGACTGATTTCTGAGAGTCAGAGCTACACACAAAGGTATACTCAGAGAAGTGTCTTTCCCTTCTTATGCCTACTGCCCTGTTCCCATTCACCCCTTCTTTTCACCGCTTTCCCACCTACCCTGTATAGCTAACTTTGGTATCTGGATTATCTCGTGTTTCTTTCGCACAAGTGAACAGTTAGTTGTGTATTTTTTCACATCCTCTTCTTTCTTATACGAAGGTGACATGCTATATAGATAATTGTGTTTGCTTTTTTCACTTAATAGTATGTTTTAGGCCAGGCGTGGTGGCTCATGCCTGTAATCCCAGCACTTTAGGAGGCTGAGGTGGGCAGATTGCCTGAGGTCAGGATTTCAAGACTAGCCTGGCCAACATGGTGAAACCCCGTCTCTACTAAAAATACAAAAAAATTAGCCGGGTGTGGTGGTGGGCACCTGTAATCCCAGCCACTTGGAAGGCTGAGGCTGGAGAATCGCTTGAACCTGGGAGGCAGATGTTGCAGTGAGCCGAGATTGCACCACTGCACTCCAGCCTGGGTGACCGGCCGAGTGAGAATCCATCTCCAAAAAAAAAAAAAAAAAAAAAAAAGAATAGTGTGTCTTGAAAATCACCCCATATCTGTTCATAGAGATCTTCTTCATTCTTTTTTTTTTTTTGAGACGGAGTCTCGCTCTTTTGCCCAGGCCTGAGTGCATTGGCGCTATCTCGGCTCACTGCAAGCTCCGCCTCCCGGGTTCACGCCGTTCTGCTGCCTGAGCCTCCCGAGTAGCTGGGACTACAGGCGCCCACCACCGCGCCTGGCTAATTTTTTGTATTTTTAGTAGAGACGGGGTTTCACCGTGTTAGCCAGGATGGTCTCGATCTTCTGACCTTGTGATCCGCCCGCCTCAGCCTCCCAAAGTGCTAGGATTACAGGCATGAGCCACTGCGCCCGGCCCCTCATTAATTTTTAAAAACATCTTTATTGAGGCCAGGCATGGTGGCTCACGCCTGTAATCCCAGACTTTGGGAGGCTGAGGTGGGCAGATCATTTGAGGTCTGGAGTTTGAGGCCAGCCTGACCAACATGGTGAAACCCCTTTCTACTAAAAATACAAAAAAAATTAGCTGGGCATGGTGGTGCATGCATGTAGTCCCAGCTACCCGGGAAGCTGAGGCAGGAGTATCGCTTGAACCCGGGAGGCAGAGGTTGCAGAGAGCCGAGATCGCGCCACTGCACTCCAGCCAGGGCGACAGGGCGAGACCCGGTCTCAAGAAAACACAAACAAGCAAAAACATCTTTATTGAGATATAATTTACATACCTTACAATTGACCGATTTAAGTATACAATTGAGTGGTTTTTAGTACATACACAGTTATGCAAGCATCATCGCAATACATTTTAGAACATTTTTATCACCCTTAAAAGAAACCCTGATCCATTAGCAATTAGCAGTTACTTCCCATCCTGTCTTCCCCCAGCTCTAGGCAACCACAAATCCACTTTCTGACTTTATAAATTTGCCTGTTTTGGACATTTCATGTAAATGGGATCATACAATATGTGGTATTTTGTTACTGGCTTCTTCCACTTAGGATAATGTTTTCATGGTTCATCCATGTTGTCAGTGTTTCATTATTTTTATGGCTGAATAATATTCCATTTTATGGATATACCACCTTTTGTTTATCCATTTATCAGTTGATGGATTTTGGGTTTCTACTTATGCATTATTTTGAATTATGTTGCTATGAACATTGCCTCATTAATTTTTACAGCTGCATAGTACTTCATTACATGAATGTACCATAGTATGTACCATAGTACGTTATAATAGTTTATTCATCTACTCTCCTATCTATGGCCATTTAAGCTGCTTCCATTATCTTGCAGTTACAAACAGTGCTGCACGGTGAATAATTCTGTGCATATGTATTTTTGTATTGTTGGAGGTACATATTCAGGGTAGTTTCTAGAAGTGGAATTGCTGGGTTGAAAGGTAAATGCATATGTAGTTTTCTCAGATATAGTCAAATTTCCCTCCAGAAGGGTTGTACCAATTTCCAACAGTGTATGAGAATAGCGCCTGTTTCTCCACAACCTCGCCAACAGTGTGTGCTGTCATGCTTTAATTTTTGCAGTGAGAAATAGTGTCTAGTGTTGTTTTGTTTTAATATGCATATCTCTATGAATGATTTGAACATTTTTTCATATGTTTTAGAGCTAGTTGCGTCTTCTTTTGTGATTTATCTGTTCGTATTTTTTCTCCATTTGTCTACCAGGTTTTTGTTTTTCTGTTCTTTAGCTTTTTAAAAAAAATTGTGATAAAATATAAGCAACATACAATTTATCTTTTTTTTTTTTTTTTTTTTGAGATGGAGTCTCCCTCACCAGGCTGGAGTGCAATGGCGCGATCTCGGCTCACTGCAACCTCCACCTCTTGGGTTCAAGCAATTCTCCTGCCTCAGCCTCCCGAGTAGCTGGGACTACAGGCGCGTGCCACCATGCCCAGCCAATTTTTTTGTATTTTTAGCAGAGACAGGGTTTCACTGTGTTAGCCAGGATGGTCTCCATCTCCTGACCTCCTCATCCGCCTGCCTCAGCCTCCCAAAGTGCTGGGATTACAGGCGTGAGCCACTGCGCCTGACCCAATTTATCATTTTAACCATTTTTTAAGTGTGCCATTTTGTGCCATTAAATACATCCACATTGTTATGCAGCCATCACCACCATCCATCTCCGGAACTTTTTTCATCTTTTCAAACTGAAACTCTGTATCCATTAAACAGGAATTCCCATTCTTCCCTCCCCTAGCCCTGTGGCCACTATTCTACTTTCTGTTTCTATGAATTTGACTACTGTAGGTACGTTATATACATGGAATCGTACAATATTTGTCTTTTTATGACTGGCTTATTCGACTTACTGTAATGTCTTCAAGGTTCATCCACGTTGTAGCATATTTCGGAATTGCCTTCTTTTTTGTGACATGTGTCAGGATTACCTTCCTTTTTAAGGCTGAATAATAAATGTTTCATTGTATGTATATACTACATTTTGTTTAGCCATTCATCTGTCATGAACAGTTGGGTTGCTTTCACCATTTTTTTTTTTTTCTTAGCTTCAGCTTAAAGGAGGCCACCTTTCGACTATTGTAAGTAATGCTGTGTCCCTCAGTTGTAAAACGTTATTTATTTATTTAAAATAGTATGGTGCTCTTGTCACCCAGGCTGGAATGCAATGGCGTGATCACAGCTCACTGTAGCCTCAACCTTCTACCTCAACTGCCCTGAGTAGCTGGGACTACAGATGTGTACCACCATGCCCTGGCTAATTTTTAAATTTTTTGTAGAGATGGAGTCTCTCTGTGTTGCCCAGGCTGGTTTTGAACTCCTGGCCTCAAGCAATCCTTTCACCTCGGCTTCCCAAAGTGCTGGGACTAAAGGTGTGAGCCACCATGCCCATCCTGTTTCTCAGTTTTTAAGAGCTGTTTGTATATTAGGGGTATTAGTCCCTTGTCAGTGGTATATGTTGCAAATATTTTCTCCCAATTTGTTAGCTTTTAATTTTTTTTCTGAGTTTTTAAATTTTTTTTTGTCATGCAAAAATTTTTAAATTTTTATGTAGTTAAATGTATCACTCTTTTACTGTTTGTGAATTTTAAATCATATTTGGCCCTTCTCTACTACGTAATACTAAGTGTTAATACAAAGGTTAAAGAGGAATTCACCAGTATCTCCTTTAGTAGTTGTATGGTTTCATTTTTTATCATTTAGATTTCTAATTCATTTGCAAGTTTATTCTTGTGAGTTATCTTTTTCCAACAGTGAATACTGTTCCAGCAGTATTTAATACAAAGTTCATCTTGACTCTAGTGATTTGAGATGCCATCTTTGCCATATTTTTTATTTCCATATGTACTTGAGTCTAATTCTGGACCTCATCTTTTTGTGTACATATGCAGCAGTACCTCACTGTTTCATTATGAAGGCTTTGTACAGTAGGTTTTAATGTCTGTTATACCTATCCCCCCTTACAGTTTTTTTTTCATTGTTTTCCTAGTCTTAAATTTTTGTTTTTCCATATGAATTTTAGTATCAACTTGTCAATATTATCTTGTCAGTATTTGTATTGGGATTGCATTGAATGTATAAATTAACTTGGGAAGAACTGACATCTTTATATTTTTGAATCCTATCCAGGAACAGGGGATGTCATTTCATTTGTTCAAGTTAACTTTAGTGTCTTTTAATAGTGATTTAAACTTTTTCTTGCACAGTTTTAATTAACTTTATTCCTAAGTATTTAATGATCTTGTTGCTATTGCAAATGGGATTTTTCTCTACCATAATGTCTTCTTTTATGGTTTGTATATATGAAGGCTATTGATTTTTATGTATTAATCTTATATTGTGCAACTTCACTGAGTGTTGTTTTTTTTTTTTTTTTTTTTTTTTTTTTGAGAAGGAGTCTCACTCTGTCGCCCAGGCTGGAGTGCAGTGGGGCAATCTTGGCTCACTGCAACCTCCGCCTCCTGAGTTTAAGTGATTCTCCTGCCTCAGCCTCCTGAGTAGCTGGGATTACAGGCATGCGCCACCATGCCCGGCTGATTTTTTGTATTTTTGGTAGAGACAGGGTTTCACCATGTTGGTCAGGCTAGCCTCGAACTCCTGACTTCTTGATCCTCCTGCCTTGGCCTCCCAAAGTGCTGGGATTACAGGCGTGAGCCTGTAATTTTTGTATTTTTGGTAGAGACAGGGTTTCACCGTGTTGGCCAGGATGGTCTCGAACTGCTGACCTCAAGCAATCCACCCACCTCAGCCTCGCAGAGCACTGGGATTACAGGCATGAGCCACCATGCCCCGCCTGCTGAGTTATTATTGAATAAATTTTATCATTGATTTTGGGGTTTTCCAGGTAGTATATCATATTATCTACAATTAGTGATAGCTTTTCTTTACCCTTTTTTTTTTTTTTTTTTTTTTTTGAGACGGAGTTTCGCCCTTGTTGCCCAGGCTGGAGTGCAATGGTGCAATCTTAGCTCACCACAACCTCTGCTTCCTGGGTTCAAGCAATTCTCCTGCTTCACCCTCCCGAGTAGCTGGGATCACAGGCATGCGCCACCATGCCCAGCTAATTTTGTATTTTTAGTAGAGACGGGGTTTCTCCATGTTGGTCAGGCTGGTCTTGAACTCCCGACCTCAGATGATCCACTCACCTCAGCCTCCCAAAGTGCTGGGATTACAGGCGTGAGTCACTGTGCTTGGCCTTTACCCATTTTTATATCTCTAATTGATTTATCTCTTCTAATTTTATTGGCTAATATTGCACAGGTGGATAGTAGCAGAGATAGTGGACATTTTTGCTTTGTTCTTGATATTAATCTCTGAAATTAATGGACATGCCTCTGAAATAAGGTTTGCCCATGAAATAAGATTTTGGCTTTAGGACTAAGGTGTATTTATATATTAAAGTATCTCAATTTCTGTATTTTCCTGAGTATTTTTTATTATGAATAGATATTGAATTTTGTCAGACTTTCCCTTCTGTGGAGATAATCATGTAATTATTTTTCCCTTAGATGATTACATTGTGTTTTCACATGTGATGTGTGTTTTTTTGTTAGTATCTATTTTTTATTTTTTTATTTTTGATACGGGGTCTCACTTTGTCACCCAGGCCGGCATACAGTGGTGCAATTACTGCTTACTGCTGCCTCAACTTCTCAGGCTCAAATGATCCTCCTCCGTCAGCCTCCCAAGTAGCTGGGATTACAGGCATGTGCCACTATACCCAGCTAATTTTAAAATTTTTTTTGTAGAGATGAGGTCTCCCTATGTTGCCCAGACTGGTCTCAAACTCCTGCCTCAGCCTCCCAAAGTGCTGGGATTATAGGCAGATTACAGTCATGAGCCACCATGTCTGTCCGTTAGTATTTCTTTAAATTTCTCCAACATTTTCATTGCATTTCCTTTTATCTGGAAGTTGTTTATCAGGAGATTCTCAAATTTTTAGATAGACACACCTTTCTTCTGTTGGTGGTGATGGTCGTGTTAGTAAATTCTAGTTTTAAGCATTATGATTGGCAAGTGTTGTTTTTAGTATCTTTACTTGATGGAAGGTGTTTTCTTTGTGACATGAGCAGTTTTTGTGTGTGTGTGTGTGTGTGAATGTGCTGTGAGCACTGGAGAAGAATATATCATTTCTGTTATCAAGGTGTGGAGTTTGATATACATCTATATCATCTCCTCTGTTATGTTGTTTAGATCAATCATCTGTCTCCTCATTTTTTCTCCACTTGATTTGTCTTTAAAAAAATTTTTTTTTTTTGAGACAGGGTCTCACTGTGTATCCCAGGCTGGAATGCAGTGGTGTGATCATGGCTCACTGCAGCCTTGAACTCCTGGGTTCAAGTGATCCTCCCACTTCAGTCTGCTCAGTAGCTGGGACTACAGGTGCATATCACCATGCCTGGCTAATTTTTATTTTATTTATTTATTTATTTATTTATTTTAGAGATGGGGGTCTCACTATCTTGCCCAGGGTGGTCTCGGACTCCTGGAGTCAAAGGATCCTCCAACCCCAGCCTCCCAAAGTGCTGGGATTACAGGCATGAGCCACCAAGCCTGGCCATCATTTTAAAATATTTTTGTAGAGACAGGGTCTCACTATGTTGCCCAGGCTAGTCTCGAACTCTTGGGCTCAAGCCATCTTCCTGCCTTGGCCTGCCAAAGTGTTGGGATTACAGGTGTGAGCCACAGTGCCCGATCAATTTGTCTTTTTTAAAAAATTATTTATTTATTATTTTTTCAAGAGATGGGGTCTTGCTGTGTTGCCCAGGCTGGACTTGAACTTCTGGGCCTTAGCCTCCTGAGTAGGTGAAATTACAGGTGCACACTGCCATACTTGGTGCGTGATCTGTCTTGTTTTGAGATTGGTTTGAAGCCTCTAATTTTTAGGGTGTTACTGTTTATGTGTCCTTGCATCTCCTTTGGGTTATTCTTTGTTTTTTGTTTTTGTTTTTGTTTTTGTTTTGGAGACAGAGCCTCACTCTGTTGCCCCAGGCTGGAGTGCAGTGGCTCTGCCTCCCAGGTTCAAGCGATTCTCCTGCCTCAGCTTCCCAAGTAGCTGGGATTATAGGCACATGCCACCATGCCCAGCTATTTTTTGTATTTTTAGTAGAGATGGGGTTTCACCATGTTGGCCAGGCTGGTCTCGAATCCCCGACCTCAGGTGATCTACCCACCTTGGCCTCCCAAAGTGCTGGGATTACAGGTGTGAGCCACCGTGCCCGGCCAGCATATTCTTGACTGTCATATCATCAGTGTGAATTGTGCCTTTGTTACATTTAATACTTTTGGGCTTGAATTCTACTTTGATGTCTATCCCTGTGCTATTTTTTTTAACAAATTGTATTTCCTTTTATTAGAATTTTTTTATACTTATTATGTTTAATTAAATTATTTGACCTTTTTTGGAGTTATAGTTCTGTGACTTTTGACACATGTGTAGACTTGTTACCACCACCATCATTACCACTATCAGGATAAGGAACAGTCCATTGCTTATGGCACCCCTTTACAGACACCTTCCTTTACCCCGGGCTGCCCCTGATGTGTTCTCCATCACTATAGTTTTGTCATTTCAAGAATGTCATGTAAATAGAAATATAATAGTGTACAACCTTTTGAGACTGGCTTTTCTCACTTAGCATAATGCCTTTGAAATTCACCTCAGTTGTTTCATATATCAATTGTTTGTTCCTTCACATTAGTAGTAGTATTCCACTGTATGATATATCACAGTTTATCTACTCACCTAATGAAGGATATTTGAGTTGTTTCCAGTTTTTGGTGATTTGAGTGGAGCTGTAAACATTTTTATACAAGTTTTGTGTGAACATTTCTCTAGGATAAATAACTAGGAGTGAGATTGATGTATCATATGCTAGTGTATGTTGAGTTTTATAAGAAACTGTTTTCTAGCATGGTTGAACCATTTTCCATTCCTATCAGCAGTGTATGATTCTTCCAGTTGCTCTGTGTTGGCATTATCAGTTTTTAAAAAAATACAGCTATTTTAATAGGTGCATATGGTAGCTCATCATGGTTTTAATTCATATTTCTCTAATGATGAATGAGGTTGAGCATCTTTTAATTTATTTACTTGTCTTTGGTGAAGTATCTGTTCAAGTCTTTTGCCCATTTTTTAATTGGTCTTTTTTTATTGTGCCAAAATTTGTATAACATAAAATTTACCATTGTAACCATTTTAAGTGAACAATTCAGTGGCATAAAGAACATTCACAACATTGTATAACTGTGCCACTATCTATTTCCAAAAAATTTTTATCATACCAAACAGAAACTTTGTGTTTATTAGGCAGTAACTCTTGATTCCTCCCTTCTTGCAGGCTGTGGTACTTTCAGTCTCTAGGTACCTTGTATATCAAACAATATTTGTACTTTTGTATATGGCCTATTTTACTTAACATAGTGTTTTCAAGGTTCATTCATGTTATAGAGCATGTATCACAATTTCATTCCTTTTTGTGGCTGAATACTATTTCATTGTATTTGTATACCACATTTTGTTTATCCATCTATTGGTGGACACTTGGTTTGTTTCTACCTTTTGGCTATTGTGAATAATGCTGCAGTGAACATGGGTGAACAAGTATCTGTTCAAGTCCTGTTCTTTCAGGTAAAAACCTGAGTGGAATTGCTGGGTCATGTAGCAATTCCATGTCTGACTTTTTGAGGAACTACTAAACTGTTTTCCACAGGGGCTGGACCATTTTACATTCCTACCAGCAGTACATGAGTGTTTGAGTTTTTCTACATCCTTGCCAACACTTGTTATTTTCCATTTCCTTTCTGTTTTATTTTTTTGATAATAGCCATTCTAGTGGATGGAAATAGTATCTCACTGTAGTTTTGATTTACATTTCCTGGATGACTAATTTACAATTCCCTGATAAGCATCTTATGCACTTACAGGTGTTTTTATATCTTCTTTAGAGAAAATGTCTTTTGAAAGTCATTTACCTGTTTTTTTTTTTTTTGAGATGGAGACTTGCTCTGTCACCCAGGCTGGAGTGCAGTGGTGCGATTTTGGCTCACTGCAAACTCTGCCTCCCGGGCCCAAGCAGTTCTCATGCCTCAGCCTTCTGAGTAGCTGGATTACAGGTGCCTGCCACCATGCCCAGCTAATTTTTTTATTTTTAGTAGAGATGGGGTTTCACCATGTTGGCCAGGCTGGTCTCGAACTTCTGGCCTCAAGTGATCTGCCTGCCTCAGCCTCCCAAAGTGCTAGGATTACAGACGTGAACTACCATGCCCAGTCATTTACCCATTTTTAAATTGACTTGTTTGTCTTTTTGTTGTTGAATTGTAGGAGTTCTTTATATATTCTGGATATTAATCTCTTATTAGGTATATGATTTACAAATATTTTCTTCCATTGTGTGTGTTGTCTTTTCACTTTTTGATAGTGTCCTTTGCATAAAAGTTTTTTTTTTATTATACTTTAAGTTTTAGGGTACATGTGCACATTGTGCAGGTTAGTTACATATGTATACATGTGCTACCTTTGCATAAAAGTTTTACATTTTGATGAAGTCTAATTTATCTATTTTTCCTTTTGTTTCCTGTGCTTTTGGTGTCATGCTTAAGAGGCTATTGCCAGATCCAAGGACATGAAGATTTTTCCATATGTTTTTTCCTAAGAATTGCTTCTCTCTTGCTGCTTTCAAGATCTTCTCTTTGGTTTTGGTCTTAATAAGTTGACTATAATGTGTCTCAATGTGGATGTCTTTGAATGTGTACTTCTTAGAGTTCATTGAACTTCTTGGATATGTATGTTAATGTCTTTAATTGGATTTGAGGAGTTTTCAGCCATTATTTCTTCGAATAATTTTTCTACCCCTTTCTCTCTTCTCCCTCAGATACTCATATGATACATACGTTAGTTTTCTAGATGGTATCCCCCATATGTCCGTATGTCTCTATTCATTTTTCTTTATTCTTTTTATTTTTCTCACACTGGATAATTTCAATTGCCTTTCCTTCACATTCGCTGACCATTTATTTCGCCTGCTCACATTTGTTTTTGAATTTTCAGTTGTATTTTTAGTCTTCAGAATTTTTGTTTGATTTCTTTTTAGAATTTCTGTCTCTTTAGTGATAATCTCATCTTGTTCTTACATTATTTTCCTTATTTCCTTTATTATTTTGTTCATCTATCCTGATTTCCTTTAGTTGATTCAGTGTATTTAGGACAGTTAATATTTTTGACTAGTAATTTCAGTGTCTGGTCAGGAATATTTTCTATCAAATTCAGTTTCTCAGGGATGGTTTCTATCAAATTCCTTTTTCCTGTGAATGTGCCACATTTTCTTTTTTCTTTGTATTCTTTGTAATTTTTTTGTTTAGAATTGTACATTCTAAGTATTATAGTATGGATAATGTTGGAAGTCAGATTTCTGACTTTTTCTTGTTGAGGGCTGCAGCCATCAATTTTTGACTTTTTCAAACTATTTTTGCAAAATGTATTCCTTGTTGTTTGTGGGCACTGTAGATTCTGTTCCATTATTTCTTTGGTCAGCCAGTGACCTGACAACGATTTCCTTAAATGTCTGATTCAAAAGGGGGGAAAAGGTGTTCCATCTCTTTAAATCTTCTGATAGAAGCCACCTGTGAAAACATCGATAGCCTGAGAAGGCCAAAACCAAGGCAAGTATATACCAGTTCTACAGGGATCTGCCAGACCAACCAAAGTGCACAAACCCACATTTTTGTAGGTTTGGAACCAGCCAGCCACTTTAGGAACATGAGCTGCTATCCCTATAGCCGTGAGTGGTGGGGCCGAGGAATGGGGGATGGTAGCTGAGTCAAGTTATTCTTTTACCAAATATCAGCAGCCTCTGCTCATCAAACGCTCTGCTGGTTGTTTTAAGTGTTCAGTCAGGTTGCAAAGTTTTGTTTTGTTTTGTTTTGCTTTGTTTGAGACAGGCTCTCACTCTGTCACCCGGGCTGAAGTGCAGTGGTGCAATCTCAGCTTACTGTAGCCTCGACCTCCCAGGCTGAAGTTATCCTCCCACTCAGCCTCCCAAGTATCTGGGACTACAGGTATGTGCCACCACGCCCAGCTAATTTATTTTTTTGAGACAGGCTTTCACTCTGTTGCCCAGGCTGGAGTGCGGTGGCACAATCTCAGCTTACTGCAGCCTCAACCTCCTGGACTCAAGTGAGCCTCCCAACCTCAGCCCCCTAGTAGCTGGAACAACAGGCATGTGCCTCCACGCCCAGCTAATTTTTTTGTATTTTTTTGTAGAGACAGGTTTTCACTATGTTGCCCAGGCTGGTCTCGAACTCCTGAGCTCAAGTGATCCACCCATCTCTGTCTCCCAAAGTGCTAGGATTATAGACTTGATCCACTGGGCCTGGACTAATTTTTTTTATGTTTTGTAGAAACGAGGTCTCACTCTGTTGCCCAGGCTGGCCTCAAACTCCTGGGCTCAAGCAATCATCCTGTGTTGGCCTCCCAAAGTACTGGGATTATAGGTGTGAACCACCATGCCTGGCCAGGTTCCAGAGTTTGAAACAGTAGATTTTGATGATTATTTTCCTAGTTTACTGGTTGTTTTGGTGGAAGGACTGACCTTTTCATTCTTGTAGCAGTGTCTTTTGTAAAGCAAGAGTTTTTCAATTTGGAAGTTCAGTTTATTGAGTTTTTTGCTTATGGGTTGTGTTTTTTTGTGTTGTCTGAAGGCTTGTCTAACCCTAGGTTTCAAGGATTTTCTCCTGTGTTTTCTTTGTTTTGTATTTTATGTTTAGAAATGATCCATTTTGAGTTATTTTTTGTATTACATGTGAATTTTTGGTCAAGGTTCTTTTTCTTTTTTCTTTTTGAATATGGATGTTCAGTTGTTCCGGAACCATTTGTTGCAAAGAAGATTCTTTCTCCATTGAATTGCCTTTGCACCATAGTCAGTAATAAATTGGCCATTTTCATTTGGGTTCTTATGGACTCTGTATTTTGTTTCATTGATTTATGTGTCTGTTCATTTACTAACACTACGCTGCCTTGATTATTACAGCTTTATTGTAAGTTTTTAAATTGTGTAGTGTGATCCGTCCAATATTACTATTCTTTTCAAAACTGGGTCATTCTAGTACCTCTCTGGCCTTCCATTAAATCTTTCTGTCAGCTTATCTATAATTACAAACAGACCCTGCTGTGATGTTTATTGGGATTGCACTAAATCTGTAGGTCTGTTTGGGGGAAAATTGACATCTTTACTATGTTGAATCTTCCAGTTCTTCAACGTGGTATGTCTTTCCATTTGTTTAGGTCTACTTTGAGTTATTTCACCACTGTTTTCTTGGTTTCAGAATATAGACTTTGTACATATTTTGTTATATTTATACATAATTTTTGGAGCTATTGTAAATGATATTCTTTTTTTCAATTTTGATTTCTAGTGTTTATTGCTAGTATGCCGAAATACAGTTACTTTTATGTGTTGACCTGTACCCTATGACTTTGCTAAACACACTTAGAAGTTCTAGGGCTTTATTTTCTAGATTACTTGAGATTTTCTATGAAAGGCAATCATGCTATCTCTGAAAAGGGACAGTTTTATTTTTTTCTGTGTAATCTCTTTCCACTTAACTTATTTTTCTTGCCTTAACGTAGTAGCTAGGGCTTCCAGTATATTGTGGAATAGGACAGATGACAGTGGATATCCTTGCCTTGTTTCTTGATCTTGGAGGGAAATTAAGTATGCTGTTAGCTGTAAATACCTTTTATCAGATTGCTATGGTTTGAATGTATCCCCCACAGTTTATATGTTGGAAATGTAATCCCCGATGCAACAGTGTTGACAAGTGGAACCTTTAAGAGTTAATTAGGTCATGAGGGATCTGCCTTTATGAGTGGATTAATGTTGTTATTATGGGAATAGGTTCATTATTGCAAGGATGGGCTTGTTACAGAAGTGAGTTCATCCCCCTTTTGCTTTGTCATGCTCTCTCACCCTTCTGCCTTCCACCACGCAGTGATGCAGTAAGGCCTTTGCCAGGTACTGGCACTGGCGCCATGCTCTTTGACTCTCCAGTTTCCAGGACTGTGAGCCAATACATTACTGTTTTTTTATAAATTACCCAGGCTCAGATATTCTGTTATAGCAGCACCAAATTGACTAAGATACAGATTGAGGAGGTCTCTTCCACTTTGGGTCTACTGGCAGGTTTTTTTTTTTTTTAATCATTACAGTCATGCTTCAGAGATATTGTGGGTTTGGTTCCAGACCACTGCAATAAAGTGAATATCTATCACAATAAAGCAAGTCACACAAATTTTTTGGTTTCCCAGTACATATAAAAGTTAATGTTTATACTGTACTATAGTCTATTAAGTGTGCAGCAGCATTATATCTAAAAAAATGTACATACCTTAGTTAAGAAATACTTTATTGCTAAAAAATGCTGACACAGAAACCCAAAGTAAGCACATGCTCTTGGAAAAATGACACTTACCAACTTTCTTGACAAAGGGCTGCCACAGACTTTCAATTAATCAAAAACACAGTACCTGTGAAGCTCAATAAAGTAAAGCACAGAAAAATGAAGTGTGTCAAAAAAACGGGGACTGTTAAAGTCCTATTTCAGCTGAGATGAGAATGCTCCTCCTCGTATGGGAGTGCTACAGTCCATGGTGTTAACAGAACCATCAGTGAGCCATGTCTCTGCAGGCTGCCTCTGCATTGAGGTACTTCTGAAGCTTGCCCTGTCCTTCAAAGGTCATCCTGTGAATGATGGATGCTGGTCGTGGAGAAAGATTTGACTGAAAAGTTAAATGTGTCCTATCCTCCAGTCGTTTTTTTCCAGCCCTTGTTCTGTCTTTGTTATGGAGAGGTGCAGTTGTATGACTATTCCATCCTTAGGAATATGGTTACAGGGCTCAGCTTCCTTATGTCTAATATGAGGATGCACGTTTGTTCTGCACAGGAAGCACTTTGTTTTCTGCTTGACTTGTGGTACTTCTCCCTGTGTGGAGGGTATGACTGAATAACAGGTGAGCTGTCTAGAAACCACTCATGTACTCACTTGTCTCTTCCTTCATGGGATTTGGTACCAGATATAGTGGTACAAAGATAAATAGGACAGGATTGCTGCCTTTGGGAAGTTTACAAGGCTATTAAGAGGGACAGACCCAGAGGCAGGGTGATTTCCACTGAAGAGGTGAGGGCATGTAGAGGGGACATTTAGAAAGAACCATCTCTTGCTGTGCCAAATCAGTGTAAGATTTTTAGTTTTAAAAAGATGTTTTATTTGTATATCTTAGGAAAAATTCTTGCAGGTACTCGATATTTAAAAACTCAAGGCCAGGTACGGTGGCTCATACCTATAACAGCACTTTGGGAGGCCGAGACAGGTGGATCGCTTGAGGCCAGGAGTTTGAAACCAGCCTGGCTAACATGGTGAAACCCTGTTTCTACTAAAAATACAAAAATTAGCCAGACGTGGTGGAGCATGCCTGTAATGCCAGTTACTCAGGAGGCTGAGACATGAGAATCACTTGAACCCAGGAGTTGGAGGTTGCAGTGAGCCTCAAGCCAAGGCCTTAAGCCGAGGCGCTTGAGCTCAAGGGTTCAAGACCAACCTGGACAACATAGTGAAACCCCGTCTCTACAAAAAAACAATTAAAAATTTAGCCAGGCATGGTGCCATGCATTTGCAGTCCCAGCTACTGAGGAAGCTGAGATGGGAAGATTGCCTGAGCCCAGGAGGCTGAGGCTGCAGTGAGCTGAGGTGAGATTGTGCCACTGCACTCCAGCCTGGGCAACAGAGTGAGACCCTGTCTTAAAAAAAAAAAAATGGTAGTTGCTAGTAAAGGGGATTATACAGTACATGTTCAAAGCCCCCACAGTCTTCCCAATGTGTCCATTATTCTGGCTTCTTCTTAATTTTGCTACTGGAAATTTTGGAGTAGCTGAGGAAGAGTGGTAATGATGGAGTGGAAATAGAAGGCAGTGGGCAGAAGGGGTGCTGGTCTCATGGACCTAATGTATGTGATGAGTCTATATGAGAATCATTTTTTAGGTTTTCCTTGATGAAATGTTGTGTAGACAGTAAAACTGTATACCTACAAGTATGCCTCAGTTCAGTATGTGTCTGTGCCCAGGAGACACATTGAAAAGCAGTGCCCAGCTTAAAACTTGGGTTCTGCTGCCCACCAGCTGGGCAGCCTGAGGCAAATCACCTAACGTGGCAAGCCTGAGGTACCTCCCTATAAAATGGGAGCTGGTCTTTGTGAGTTTTTGATTAGCATGTAATACTTGGGCATTGAATAGCTTTTTGCTGGTACTTTTATTAGAGAATTGGAAATTTTGTTTTCTGCTTTATGGAGTGATGTTGATGATGCATAAGTGATGGCCCAACAGCCTGAGCAAATACAATTTATTCTATGGCCATCAGCAAACCTGTTCGGAGCTCTTGCAGGGCATCAGTTGTGGCTCTTAGCTGAAGCATAATAGCTCACAGCTGTGCATGTCCAGGGGCAGGCAGGAGACTCTTTGCTGTCACTTTTTGCTGTGCTAGAAAGAGTACTGGGCTTTGAGTCCTATTTTTGTCTCTTTTTAGCATTATGACTTTGGGCAGGTCAGCTAGTCTCCCTAAGCCTTGGTTTCCTAATCTGGAAAATGGGGATGATAATGCCTATTTTGTAAGGCTGCATTAAATTCAAGTGAGATAATGTGAATGTGCTTTGTAAATGTCTAGGATGGACTGGAGATTTGGAGAGGTGCCAAGTGCTGCTGTTTTTAGATTATGTTAAAGCCAGCACAGGTGCCCTTTTAGTGGGGAGAGTTGACTTGAGTTTTAACATAGAACAATTTTGAAAATAATTAGGAAGCCTGAAATTTGTATTTGTTCTCCTACACTGTGGACTGTTTTCAGGGTGTTTGGGTTCTGCTGATCATGGTACTCAGGGAGCTGTTGCTTCAGGGAATCCAGGTGCCTTCTTTATGGAGGAGGTGGGAGGGATTGGGCTGGGGCAGGGACTCAGACAGCATATGGGGCCAGACACCCCACTCTGGGGTTCCTCACTGTTTTTTTTCTCCAACTTGCCTAGTTATTTAGTCATTCATCTGTCCTGAGAGGCCATCTCCTGTCAGCTCTGCGATTGGACTTGCACCTACCATAGTCCTGGAGACAAAGAAGCATATGCCCCAGAGGAAGGCACAGGCACACCTGGCACCATTCTGGTAGTGGTTGGATGCGTTCCTTTGAGACATTACTTAGGAAGCAGATGAGCTTTCTTCCTTGTGGAATAGGTTGGCCTTGGCATGATGGCTGTATTGATGTTCTCCCACCCATGCACATGGACCCTGCCACCGCCACACAGAGACCTGATCCTTCAGCCATTAATGGGCCCCTCCCTTGTTTTTCCCTAGGAGGATCCAGTTGGCATCTAGGAAGACTTGCCATGACTTAGAGCTAGCACGTGTCCTGCAGAAAGTGGGTTGAGAGGCCTGTGTCTTGGCATAAGTGCCACTCTCTGATTTTTCTCCTGCCTCTGTGGGGTGGCAGGGGGCAGGAGAAAAGTCAGTGTGGGTGTGACATGGGGAATCCCAGCTAAGTCTGCTGGTCTCTGGTCAGAGGAGCTCCACGCTAGTCAAGCTATTGTCGCCATTTTATATACAAGGACACCAAGGGTTGTAAAGGATCAGGGAGTCAAGTATCTGAGACACAACTCAGCCACACTCTAAAATCTTCCTATTCCAAATCCAGTGTCCTTTCCATTTTTCCTTCTTACAACCCCAGGTCTAGGTAGGACAGCTGATTTTTACAGTAAGATAGTGGTGAAAAAAAATCGACCAATGGGTAGTTCCTGAGTGACTGCTCTGTAAGTGAAGGCAGCAGTTCAGACGGAGGCTATGTGATGCTCAGTGGGATTAGAGGTGTTTTCGGATTCAGTGCACAGAGCCCAGTGGGTGAGCAGCAGAGAGTGGCTGTGAAGTGGGGGTTTGAGAGGCTCTCCCACTTCTTCTAATCTCCAGTGGGCTCCATAGCTGGCCCCTGGGGCTATAAGTTCTGCTTACTGGGAGTCATCAGGGTGTGGCTTGAGCTGCAGGTCTGGCCATGGGCTGTCGGCCTGCCTTGAGGATGACCAGAGCCTATCTGAGACTTTATTTGGAGTAATGTCTTTGTATTTTGAAAACAAGTTCAACTTTGTTCCTAATTGGAAACTATTCTATTGATTGTTTACTTCTGGATATTTAAAGAAATGGTAAAATATGGAAACAAAATTTACCATTTTACCCACTTTTTAAGTGTACAGCTCAGTGGCATTATGTACATTCACATTGTTGTGTTACCATCACCACCATCCATCTCCAAAACTCTCTTCATCTTGAAAAGTTGAAATGCTATACCCATTAAACAGTAACTCTCTATTGCCCTCTCCCTCTCTGGCAACCACCATTCTACTTTCTGTCTGTATGAATTTTCCTATTCTATTTTCCACCTATAAGTGGAATCATATAATATTTGTTCTTTTGTGTCTGGCTTATTTTACTTAGTGTAGTTTTTAAAGTTTATTTCATGTTGTAGCATGTGCTAGAGTTTCCTGCCTTGTTAAGTTTGAATAGTATTCTGTTGTATGTATACACCACATTTTGTTCATTCATCTGTTGTTGGACACTTGGGTTGCTTCTTACCTTTTGGCTATTGTGATAATGCTGCTATGAACATGAGTGTACAAGTGTCTGTTCAAGTCCCTGCTTTCATTTATTTTGTGTATATAGCCAGATGTGGAATTTCTGGGTCATGTAGTAATTCTGTACTTAATTTTCTGAGGAACTGCCATACCTTTTTCCATAGTAGCTGCACCATTTTACATTCTCACCAGGAATGTACAAAGACTCCAGTTTCTCCAGGTCCTCATCAATACTTGTTATTTTCTGGCTTTATTTTGCTTTGATAACAGCCTAGATGGAGGGTTTTAATGCTATAGTTTCTACTTTTTTTCATATTGTATAGTGGTCCCAGTGTCCATTTTGGCATAGCTTATGATAAAGTTGCAGTTTCTGGCCAGGCATGGTGGCTCACTGTAATTCCATGCCTGTAATCCCAGCACTTTGGAAGGCCGAGGTGGGTGGATCACCTGAGGTCAGGAATTCGAGACCAGCCTGGCCAACATGGTGAAACCCTGTCTCTACTAAAAATACAAAAAATTAGCCAGGCGTGGTGGCAGATACCTGTAGTCCCAGCTACTCAGGAGGCTGAGGCAGGAGAATCACTTGAACCCGGGAGGTGGAGGTTGCAGTGAGCCGAGATCGCGCCACTGCACTCCAGCCTAGGCAACAGGGAGAGACTCCGTCTCAAAGAAACAAAAACAAACACAAAAACTGCAGTTTCCAAACTTTTGATTAGCAGTATTCTTTTTTTTCTAAATGTGGAACCCAGGAGATAAAACAGCTATCAGTCTAGGAAAGGTTTGAGTCTTCTTTGTCTGTGAGAAAGTACTTCCTTCCTTGCATGAACCCTTAAGAGAACTCAGAGCCTATTGTGAAAGCCTGTGCTAGAAGTCATTGCTGTAAGCACTGGTGACAGTGGCAGTCATTTTAAATTTATTTTATTATTATTTTTAATAGAGACAGGGTCTCACCTTATTGCCCAGGCTGGTCTCAAACTCCTGGGCTCAAGCAGTCCTTCCGCCTCAGCCTCCACAAGTGCTGGGATTACATGAGCCACTGTGTCCAGCCCCTAGCAGTTATTTTAATTGATAAAAGTGGAGCACATGTTCAATCTGTCTGTTTGAGGCTTATCCCACTGCCTGCTGGGCCCTTCCAGCCCCTTCTGCCAGCCTCTCAGCTAGGACTTTTAATGGGTCCTCCTCCTGCCCTCCCTGACGTATTTGGTAGTGTCCATATCCCCATCCCAGTTCCTCGGGCCAGCCTCCCAGGTGTCAGGTCCTGTGAGTCTACCTCCTAGTGGGATTCCCCTTCATCCCTGCTGTCACGGGTCCATCTGGGATCCTGGCATCTTTTTAAAAATAAGAGCTTTGTAATTTACATGCCATGTAGTTTCCCCTAAAGTGTACAAATTCAGTGGTTTTTAGTATATTAACAGAGTTGTGTAACCACCACCACAATCAGTTTTAGAACATTTTTGTCATCCCAGAAAGAAACCCTAAACCCCTTGGTAGTTGCTCCCCAGTTGTCCTTCTCTCCAAGCCCACTAAACCAGCGGTTCCCATCCATTTGGCACCAGGGACTGGTTTCTTGGAAGACAATTTTTCCACGGACCAGAGGCAGAGGGCAGGGATAATTTCTGGATGAAACTTTCACTTCACATCATCAGGCATTAGTTAGATTCTCATAAGGAATGCACAACCGAGATCCCTCGCATGCACAGTTCACAATAGGGTTTGTGCTCCTATGAGAATCTAATGCTGCTGCTAATCCGACAGGAGGCAGAGTTCAGGCAGTAATGCTTGCTCACCTGCCGCTCATCTCCTGTTCTGTGACCCAGTTCCTAACAGCCCATGGACCAGTACTGGTCTGTGGCCTGGGGGCTGGGGACCCCTGCACTAAACTATTTTCTATCTCTATAGATTTGCATATTCTGGACATTTCATATAATTGGAGCCAGAAGATACATGCTATTTTGTATATGACTTCTTTCATTTAGCATAATGTTTTCAAGGTTCTTCTGTGTTGTAGCATGTATCAGAAATTTATTCCTTTTTATGATTGAATAATAAATACCCCTTTATATGGACATACTTCATTTTATTTATCCATTCATCAGTTGGTGGACATTTAGGTTATTTCCACCTTTTAGCTTTTAGAAATAATGCCTCTGTGAACATTCATGAACAAGTTTTGGCGTGGACATGTTTTCATTTCTTTTGGGTAGATACACATAGGAGTGGAATTCCCTGGTCATATGCTAGCTCTGTTTAACATTTTGAGGAACTAGCAGACTGTTTTCCGCAAGGGTTGCACCAGTTTACATTCCCAGCAACAATGCATGAGATTCTAAATCTCCACATCTTTGCCAATCCTGTCATCTTTTGCAGCCTTCAGACTAGTCTGCCTATCTCTAATTATTTTTCTATTATCTTTCTAAAACATAGGCAAAACATTTTGTTCTCCCTAAAACACCCATTGATTCCCTGTTGCCTACAGGTAAAGTTCATGGCCTCTGTGTTGTCACTTGGCCCTCAACTACCTTTCCATCCTCCATTCACATCCCTGCTCTAAGGCCTTGTCTTCTAGTTTTCCCATCACACCTCGCTCTCCCTGCCTCTTTGCTTCACTGTCTTCCACTGCAGTGTATTCCATTCTTCAAGGCTTGATGCAGTAACTTACTCCTTTGCCTTCCTTAATCGCTTTGAATTGTTCTTTGCTGCCTTTAGATGTTGCCTGTGTTTCTTTTCGTATCATTCAGGTTTTGAAAAAAATAATAGGCTTGTTACCTCTGCTAGCAGTGATCCCTGGGGGCAAGGATTGTTCTCACTCTTTTGTGTGCCTGGCACCTGATGCATTGCCAGGAAATGATGAATGCTATCGTAAGGGACCAAGGAGCTCCTTGTGTGTTAGACCACACCGCTGTCCCAAGGCAGCTCTTCACTGGCCTGTCTGCATAGAGCTCAGGGAAGGACTGGTTCCTGGTGGACCTTGGCACTGTGACCTTCCTGGCTCTTCATAGGCCTTGTCTCAGTTTGTCCTATTTCCTTTCTAGGAGAGTTGTGGACTGGGGCAACCTTTGCCAGTGATGAGAAGTGATGCTCGTGGCAGTGCTGAATCTCTCTGAATATGGTAAGGACTGATGCCTGCCTATTTTGCGGACCTCAGTGTTCTTTTGTTACGTTACTCCTGGGGGCGAGGGGCATTTTCCTGTTAGATTCTGAAGGCTCTTATTATGGAGTAGCCTTCCTCCCAGGAAGGCTGTTGGCACCTTTGAGGGTGTGAGATTGCTTGCCTGGTGGTTGAAGCGGCTTGCAGGACCTTGTCACAGTTGCTGGAAAGACATAAAGTTAACATGTTTTGTTGAAATCTGTTGTTCCATTACCTGGGTCTTCTACTGTGTTGAGCTGTTGCTGGGGTGTCCCCAGTGTCTGTTGCTTTTGCAGTGGACAGTACCCAGGACATACTTTCTGCACAGATTGGCATAACCCTCCCCCCTCGGCCCCCCACCCCCCGCCCTTCTTTTTTTTTTTCTTTAGAGGATGATTTTTTTGTTCATTCCCCACATCTGAGAAGGTCATAGCTTTTCAAGGTAGAATAGATCATATGCTGGAGCAGAATTGTATTCATCTGTGGGTATTTGAAGAGATGAGTGACATCTCAAAGCAACTTGTCTCTTCCACCAAACCCCTGTTTCTAGATTCGAATTGCAGCCTTAAATGCCAGCTCCACCATTGAGGATGATCATGAAGGAAGCTTTAAAAGTCACAAAACCCAGACAAAGGAGGCTCAGGTACGTAATGCGAGGTCTTCTCTGTAGGTGGACCTTCTCATTTCTATAGAGGGAACCTCATTTTAAATACATTTAGGCATCTCCTCAGTGGGGCTTTAGGGGGAAATTCCATTTTGAAAGATGGCTAGCTCTCCATCTCCTGTTAAACCTGTTTTACTTAGCAGACGATCATATAGAGGAGAAATTATATTTATTCTATCAGTGTATGTGAAGGCCAGCTCAGCCCCCAGGCCTACTTCCATGCACCCCATTCTTTGTGCAGCCCTCAGGAGTTGGGATACCCAGGGAATGGTAGAATATTAATGGTAGATGGTGTTTCGAGGTTCCCTAGTGTATTGCCCTCACTTTACAGTGTGATGAGACTCTTGAGGGGAGCAGCCTAGACTGGGATCACCCTCCAGGTCAGTGAGGGAGCCAGGTCCAACCTCAACTCCCTAGATTGTTGGTCACTCCTCTTTCCCATGAGGCCTGGCATCTCTTCCATTTCAGCCTTCTTCTTTCCATCCATTCATCTCCATACCCTTCTCCTATCCTAGTGTAATAAGAGTTTGCTCCTGCCTTTGTTTTCCCTGAAATAAACATATGCCTTCCCTTCCACCCCGCTGCATTTTATGGTAGAAATCAGGACAGTTCCAGAGCTGTCTCAGAAGTCTACTAGTCACCTGTCCCTAGTCTGCAAGGCATGTCAGTGAGGCTCAACCTACCCAGTGCCCCCTCCCTCCCACAGGAGATTGTCATCCTCCCCAGGCAATGATCAGGCTATGGCAGAGTGGTGAGTAGAAAAACATGGAAACCAGGCCGGGTGCGGTGGCTCATGCCTGTAATCCCAGCACTTTGGGAGGCTGAGGTGAGTGGATCACTTGAGGTCAGGAGTTCGAGACCAGCCTGGCCAACATGGTGAAACCCCGTCTCTACTCAAAGTATAAAAATTAGCTGGGCGTGGTGGTGCATGTCTGTAGTCCCAGCTACTAGGGAGGCTAAGGCAGGACAATAGCTTGAGCCTGGAAGGCAGAGGTTGCAGCGAGCTGAGATCATGCCACTGCACTCCAGCCTGGGCGACAGAGTGAGACCCCGTCTCAAAAAAAAAAAAAAAAAAAGAAAAGAAAACAATGGAAACCAGCTTTTGTTTGTTTATTTAAGAGATAGGGTCTCACTCTGTTACCCAGGCTGGAGTGTAGTGGCATGGTCACAGCTCATTGTAACCTCTAACTCCTGGGCTCAAGCAGTCTTCCTGTCTCAGCCTCCTGAGTAGTTTAGGACTACAGACACCAGGCCACCATGCTCAGCTGATTTTTAAATTTTTTTGTAGAGACAGGGGTCTCTCTATGTGGCCCAGGTTGGCCATGAACTCCTCGGTTCACACCTTGGTTTCCTAAAGTGCTGGGATTACAGATGTGAGCCACTGTGCCTGGCCTGCAATGGAAACCATTCACACTGAACATTTTACTCACAACCCTTCTGATATCATATGTTTGGGGTATTTTCCCCCCATACCAATTCTCCAACTCTCCATATACCAACTGGGTGTCCTACAATTCAATTCTGACACTAGCTACACAGAGTTAGTGTCAGACTCCACAGCACTAACAGCTCATCCCACAAAACTGCCCTCACTTCAGATGCCAGTTGCAAGCGTTGAGTGCCAGGATACCTACACTTCTGTCCAGCCGGTCTGTAAAATCAGGGATTCTCACCCCCTACCCCTTTTAGATTTGATAATTTGCTAGAATGACTCACAGGACTTAGAAAAACACTTTACATTTACCAATTTATTATGAAGGATACAACTCAGGAACAGCCAAGTGGAGGAGATATTTATGGCAAGGTATGGGGTGGATTCACAGAGCTTCCGTGCCCTCTCCAGGTGCGGCACCCTCCCAGCACCTTGATGTTGTTCACCAACTTAGCAGCTTTCTGAACCCTGCCCTTTAGGGTTTTTAAACAGAGATTCCATCACATAGGCATGATTGATTAAATCATTGGTGATCAGCTCAATCTCCAGCCTCTCTTCCCTTCCTGGAAGTTGGGAGGTGGGGGAGCTGAAAGTTCCAGCTATCTAATCACATGGTTGGTTCCTCTGACTGTAGCCCCGCCTTACACACATTTTTGGCTTAAAAAAGACAGATCTTTATGCTGTATGAAAACATCTCTTGTCTTGATTTGCAGGAAGCAGAGGCTTTTGCATTGTACCACAAGGCCCTTGATCTGCAGAAACATGACCGGTTTGAGGAGTCTGCCAAAGCCTACCATGAGCTCTTGGAGGCGAGCCTGCTGCGGGAGGTGAGGCATCAGCAGGCCAGGCAGTGTGCCGTGGTGGTTAGTGCATGGGCTGTGGGGCTGGGTACTCTGGGCCTTACCTCTGCTCTCCCATTTCTTGGCTGGGGAACCTTGAAAACATTATTTCACCTCTCTGCCCCTATTTCCCCACCTCTAGGTATCTGCCTCATTGAGTTTTTATGAGGGTTGAGTAAATCCAGTGAAGCATGTAAAATGATTCCTGGTGTAAGTGCTTGTTAAAGGCCAGCTATCGTTATTACTTAATCTTCACAACCACTCTGCCCAGTAGCTGGGTTTTACAAATGTGGAAACTGAGGCTTAGTGAGGTCTTGATGGCTCAAAGCCATCCAAGTAAGTGAAGCATTCGAACCAGGTTTGGAGTCCATGGTTTGCTGATACCTAATGATCCTACTGGCAGCACATTTTAGCAAATGCCATTTGAGTAAAAGACCATGAGCTTGGGAAGTCTGTATAGACATGCCATGCAATTTTGAATATAGTCAGAAGGACTGGGGACACTGGTTACAGTAGAGAGGGGCAGGCAGAGCAAGACCTGGTCCCAGCATGGGGACTGTGGTAGTGGTGAGTGAGTTAATCCTCGAGTTGACTGGAGATGTCGACTGGAGGTTTGGGAATTGGTCCCAACCTGAAATTGATTTAGGAAGGTGTATATTTCATTAGGAGGAAAGGCGTTTGTTTTCAAGTTTTCATGTTTGTTTTCGCCCAAACATGCAGATGATGTGCATTAAGGAAGCAGATAAGCTCCATGGGTATTTACTGGACTGCACAGTCCTTGAGTTGAGCAGAGTCTCCTGTAGTGCTAGGCATGCAGACACTTATGACTCAAGCAAAAACCTTGATGGTTTTTGCTGCCGATGAGATAGAATACTGAGTTTTAATTGTGAGAAGAAAGCATCTGTTCCTTCTCTCACCCACGGTTTTTCTTTGTATTCCTAATTATATAGCTTGTCAAGATTCTTTGGTTACTGGTTACAGTGCTTTGGAATTAGTGGTATGGGACTTGTGACCTCCTCCTCTCCTGTTAGTAGGAAGTGGGTGAGGACCCAGAGAGGGAAAATTAGTTTATTCCATGTTTACTGAGCTTTGGTTATGGACCAGTTGGTGGGCATGTTGGTCTTCCCTCTCAGGACGTGGTGGAATGCCAGGTGGGCCCAGCATCCAACAGTTGCTAGGCAGAAACCTTTTACCTAAGGGCACGGTCATGTGTCAGCCTTTTAGTTGTAGGTGTGTGCATCTTTCTGTGCACAGTGTATCACTTTCAGCCTTAAAAGGTTGTTTCAGCCTTAAAAGGGACAACATGCTCATTGTAAACAATGGAGAAGTACAGAAAATACATAGAACAGTTTCTTTTTACACTCATATTGCATTGGCATACTTAATGTTAATTACATAATTACAGTTTTGCAGAAGATTGGCATAGATAGGCCCTGGACCCCAGCTGACTCCTAAGAAGCATTCACCCTGACTGGTGGGTGTCCTAGAGGGACTTGCTCGGGCAAGCCTTTCAGGGTGGATGGAGAGTGGTGCTGAATGTAGGTAGTCTGTTAGGTGGAGGTTAGTTAAAAGCATCCACTGTTATGTGCATGTCCATGTGTATTGCTGATTGTTTAGTTCGAAGTAGACTCACTTAGTCTCTGTAAATTTGTTCCCACTATTCTTTGAAGAGTTCTGTACCTGGAGGGACAGAGGTAGCTGGGATCCAGCCCTGGTCAGCTGGTTCTTGGGGGCCTTTTTGTATGATAAGTCAGATGACGGTAGAAGATAACTGAATGGGGCTTCATTTGAGCTTCTCAGTCTTAAAGAAGTTCCTTAAGACCTCCAAGGTAGGTAGATTCTTGGATTAGTCAAGGGATGCTTCCTGAGGGTGGCATGTCTTCAGATCTTACCTGTTCAGAACATGAAGAGCAATGTGTGGAAGCCACCTGCCCCAGGAAAGAGCTTCTTGGTGCCCGTGAGTTTTTCTGTTAGAAAATGTTTTAGTCTTTGTCCTGTGGTTGGAGCAATAGTTTTCTAATCAGCAGTTTCTTAGAATATAAGGTCATTAAAGCTGTAATGAAATAACTTTTCATATTAAGCATATTTGCAATTCTGATGGTCTTTCAGCTCACTTTAACTTTTGCTATTTAGGGTAGGAATTATTTTTCTTAATTACAGAGGTCAGACACTAACGTTTTAGTTAAATTAGCAATTGTCTATGCTCATGTGATGAGTTATAGAGTTGGGAGCTCAGTCTCTTGATTCCTAATCCTGGAGTGCCTGCAGTGAAGCTCTAGGCCTTCTGCCCCCAGGCAGCCTGCTGATACTTTGTCTTTTATCTTATACCTGGAGCTGCTGACTGGGTCTACCTATGCTGTAAATGTTATTCGCTAGGCTTGAACCCTCAGGCATGGCAGTAGTGGTGGGGCAGTTTCTCTCTGTTGGATGCCCAGACTCTCTGCAAACTATTAATACCTCAGGGTGGTCTGTTCTTCTCTGTGCGCTTGGAGTAGGAGTGGTCTTATAAGAACACATGGTGCAGTGCCTTCATTTTCCAGTGGTGGACAACACTAGACTGGCTCAAGGGCCTGCAGCAGAGGCCAGCCTGGAAGCCAAGTATCCTGCTGGCTGCTTGCTGAGGCTTCAAGGTCTAGTTGTCACTTCTGTTCTGTTTTGTTCACAGGCAGTTTCATCCGGTGATGAGAAAGAGGGGTTGAAACACCCTGGGCTGATACTGAAATATTCCACTTATAAGAACTTGGCCCAGCTGGCAGCCCAGCGGGAGGATCTGGAGACAGCCATGGAGTTCTACTTAGAGGTGTGGTTTTGGCAGTGCTTAGCTACCTTGGTGTTTTGAAAGCTCTTGGTGGAGGGGATGAGGTTGCGGTCTTGTGGGCCAAAAAGAAGAGTTTGTAGTGGTGGATCACCAAGCTATAGTACCCAAGGCTCTAGGGTAGGTCCATAGGTGATAACAATTAGTACTGACCAGGCCTGGAGAGCAGGGGCTGGGGCAGAGCACATGCTTGGATGCAGAGGCCTGCATGTGAATTCTTCCTTTGCTGCTCAGTGCACGTGTGGCTGTGAGTGAGTTATTCAGTCTCTTGGTATCTCTAGGTCTACACCAATATAGTGGTAATAATAAAGAAGAGCATAGTTGTGAAAGTTAAATGAGTTGGTATGCATAATAGTATCAAAAACAAAGTCTGAAACTGAGCATTCAATATATTAATACTTACAGTCATAATAGTATTGCTGTTATTTCATGTTACTATCAGTCTGTCTCTGGGCACCTCTAAAGCACCAGACACTGCGCTGTTTGCTTCCTACGCATACACTAATCCTCATGCCATCTTGCAAGGAAGGAGTCTTTATCCTCACTTTAGTGATGAGGAAATGGAGGCTCAGGATCATTCTGCTAATCAGTGTTGCAGCAGGGATGTGAACCAAGGTTTGTCTTCAAAGTACATGAGTTTTCTTGAATCCCATAAGACTCTCATTTTTTCAAATTGTTTTAAAGACAGGGTCTCAGTCTGTTGCCCATGCTGGAGTGCAGTGGCACAATCAGGGCTCACTGCAGCCTCGACTTCCCAGGCTCAAACGATCCTCCGACCTCATGCCCCCAAGTAGCTGGGACTATAGGCATGCACCACCACCACACCCAGCTAACTTTTTGTATTTTTAGTAGAGATGGAGTTTCGCCATGTTACCCAGGCTGCTCTCGAACTCTTGGACTCAAGCATTCTGCCCACCTCAGCCTCCCAAAGTGGGATTACAGGTGTGAACCACCAGGCCTGGGCATATTTTCTTTTCTTTCTTCTCCTTTTACTTATTAAATATGTAAGGAATACAGATATTCAGATTGACAAAATATATCAAGACAATGGGGAAACTGAGGCAGGAGGATCACTTGAGGCTAGGAGTTTGAGACAAGCCTGGATAACATACTAAGACCGTGTCTCTACAAAAAAATTGAAAATTAGCTAGGTGTGGTGATGTGCCTCTGTAGCCTCAGCTACTCATGGAGCTGAGGTGAGAGGATTGCTTGAGCCCAGAAGTTTGAGGATGCAGTGAGCTATGATCACACCACTGCACTCTTGCCTGGGCAGTAGAGTGAGACCCAGTCTCAAAAAAGAAAAATTTTTTTAAAAAATTCTAAGTTAAATAACTTGGTCCCTGTAACTTTTTATATGCCATTATCACTCTAGATCTTGGAAACGTGCGACTCCAGGAAAGATGAGCTGGCATTACTTGTCAGTTATAAGATAGTCATGGCACTTTTGCCATTTCCCTGGGAAGTTCAAGTGGCTGTGCCAGTGCCGTGCTCCTCCCGTCCCCGGGGTGCATATTCAAGGAGAGATCTGACTGTGTGTGTGTGTGTGTGTGTGTGTGTGTGTGTGTGTGTGTGTGTGTGTGTGTGTGTGTTTGCCCTCTGCTTGTGTCGCTTCCAGGCAGTGATGCTGGACTCCACAGATGTCAACCTCTGGTATAAGATTGGACATGTGGCCCTGAGGCTCATCCGGATCCCCCTGGCTCGCCATGCTTTTGAGGAAGGGCTGCGGTGCAATCCTGACCACTGGCCCTGTTTGGATAACCTAATCACTGTCCTGTACACCCTCAGTGATTACACAAGTGAGTCATGCTTTGATGCTTTCTTCCATGTGCCAGTGGTTTTTGGAACAGCAGAGGAAAGGCAGTTTGGGTAAACTGAAAGCCAAAGTTAACACTGAAGGGGTTTGCCAGACTGTCAGGGAGAATGGCAATGTTCTTAGATTTCTGCTTTATTCTGCATCTCTTTCTTGATTTGTTAAATGCCTTGTAGTAATAAAGTAGCATGTTTTCTGAATGATTTTACTTTTTTTTTTTTTTTTTTTTTTTGCTTTGCAAGGTTTTGTTTGCTTGACAGAAGTGGCTATCTTATTTCCTCCCTGCACTGTCCCATTTTGTGTGTCTTAGTCTGTTTGGGCTGCCATTAAAAAAAAATACCATAGATTGGGTGGCTAAAACAGCAGAAATTGTCTGGGTATGTTGGCTCACGCCTGTAATCCCAGCACTTTAGGGGGCCAAGGCAGGCAGATCACTTGAGCCCAGGAGTTTGAGACCAGCCTGGGCAACATGGTGAAACCCTGTCTCTTCAAAAAATACAAAAATTAACTGGACTTGATGGTGCGTGACTGTCATCCCAGCTACTTGGGAGGCTGAGGTGGGAGGATTGCTTCAGTCTGGGAGGTCGAGGCTGCAGTGAGTCGAGGTTGTGCAATCGCATTCCTGTCTGGGTGACACAGTGAGACCCTGTCTCAAAAACAAAACAAAACAAAAATCAATATTATCTAAATCAGATGTGGGTAAGACTTGAGGTACAATTTGTCCTGAGACAAAATTCCTCTCCAGTTGTAAACTTGTGAATACAGATAAATTAATGTGCTTCCAAAATATAATGGTGGGACAGATATAGGACAAACATTTCCATTCCAACAGGGAGAAATAGGAAAGCAGGAAAGTGTGATGGGTCCCAAAACTTAGCAAACTTAGCAAGGCAAATTTGAGGTCCTGAGGCTCAGGAATAATTCTCTTTGACCTGATGCTCCGCCCTTGATGCCCACTGAGGTGGCAACATCACCCTCATGGTACGTGGGTGGAGGGACAAGCCCCACCCTTTTGGCTGGGCAAGGGCTCTACCCCTAAGATGCTAGGTTGAGACATCCTGGCCTATGCAAACTGGAGAAGTAGCCCCACCCTTTAAGGAACTAGCCCTAGCCTCTTGGTCTGTGATGGGAGTGGCGGCTCAGATGATCTTTGAATCATCTTTGAGGGTTCTTCTTCCCTTTCCTTGAAAGATAACATATATTCTTGACTTTCTTTCATTCTTTCTCATTTTTTTTCTGTTCCCGTTAGTCCCCATTAGCAGTGTTTCTGCCAGTATAATCCCACCTTTCTGGCTTCTGAGATACCTGATTAAATCTGTGGTTCATGCCCACACTGATCTTATAAGAAAATTGTTGGTCAGTCACACTCATAGTGTTCTCAGAACAAACTTTCTCAATTTTTGCAATATGGATAGACAGAATTTTCTAAATCTTTTAAGTTCTGGTTCCTTTTTGCTTAACAATGCCCTCTTATTTTCTCTATTTTAGCATTTCACTATAAGCAGTCAGGAGGAACTGGGCTATGTCTTTAATACTTTGCTTAGAAGTCTCAGCAAAATAGCCAATTTTATTGCTCACAAGTTCTACCTTCTACCAAACACTAGAACATAGACGTAATTCAGCCAAGTGCTTTGCTACTTTATAACAAGGATCACCTTTTCTTCATTGTCCAATAGCATGTTCCTTATTTCCATTTGAGATCTCAGCAGAAATGCCCTTGATGTTTATATTTCTACCAACATTCTGTACATGATTATTTATTCTCTAGTAAGATGGAAGCCGTCTCTGTACCTCTTCTCTTCTTTCTGAGCCCTCATCAGAATCACCTTTTTTTTTTTTTTTTGAGATGGAGTCTCTGTCACCCAGGCTGGAGTGCAGTGGTGCGATCTCGGCTTATCGCAAGGTCCACCTCCCAGGTTCATGCCATTCTCCCGCCTCAGCCTCCAAAGTAGCTGGGACTACAGGCACCCACCACCAAGCCCGGCTAATTTTTTGTTTTTTATTTTTAGTAGAGACAGGGTTTCACCGTGTTAGCCAGGATGTTCTTGATCTCCTGACCTCGTGATCCGCCCGCCTTGGCCTCCCAAAGTGCTGGGCTTATAGGCGTGAGCCACTGCGCCCAGCCCAGTATCACCTTTAACAATCCTTACATACCAATATTCACTTTTTCCAGTGTACACCTCGAAACTCTTTAAGCTTATACCCAGTTCTAAAGCTCTTTCCAACACCAGGTGTGGTAGCTACAGGTAGCATGCCTGTAGTCCCAACACTCTAGGAGGCTGAGATGGGAGGATCGCTTGAGCCCAGAAGTTCAAGAACAGCCTGGGCAAGATAGTGAAACCCCATTTAAAAATACTTTTTTTTTTTTTTTCATTAACTGGGTGGGGTGGTGCACACCTGTAGTCCCAGCTACTTGGAAGGATCACCTGAACCTAGGAGCTAGAGGTTACAATGAGCCATGATTGTGCCACTGCACTCCAGCCTGGGTGACAGAGCGAGACTCTGCCTCAAAAAAAAAAAAAATTTGTTTCCACATATTTAGGTATTTGTTACAACAGCAGCCCACTTGTTGGTACCACTTTCTGTCTTAGTTAGTTCATGCTGCTATAATAAAATATGATAGATTGGGTAGCTTAAACAAGAATTTATTTCTCTCAGCTCTGGAGGCTGGAGAGTCTTTTTTTCTCTTCCTTTTAAAAAGACAAATAGGAACAGGATAGAATGTGTTGAGATAGATGAGGCCTTGCTCAACCTTCTCACCTCCAGTTCTTGTTCTCCATAACCACTTTTTAAATCTTTTTAATTGAGGCAAAACATACATACAATAAGGTACATAAATCTGAGACCTGTCAGTTTGTATATGTGAAAACATGTCAAGATACAGAACATGTGCAGCGCCCCAGAAGGCAGGTTACTTTGGGTCCCTTCCACTTTTTACAACCTCCTAAGGCAACCTTGATTTCTCCTTTTTGTCACCAAAGATGAACTTTGCCTGTTGTTGAACTTTCCCTAGGTAGAGTCAGGAAGCGTGTAGCGTGTGCTTTCCTCAGGCTGGCCCCTTCTGCTTGTCATCCTGTCGGTGAGCGCACCCATGTGGGGCACAGCAGTCTCTATGTCTTGTTATTTTGTGTGGTCTATTATGTGCATTTGCACAATGTAGCCATTCTGTACATGGGCATTTGGGTTATTTCCAGATTTGTGTTCTTAGTCATAACCTGCTATGAACATTCTTGTATATGTCTTTTAGTGAACATATGCACTCGTTCTGTAGGTTGCCCCTCATTTCACTCCCACCAGCAGAATATGATAGTTGTACAGGGCTGTGTTTTGACTCTAGCAGTTTCTTCTTCTGGAGGCTTTGAGTCTCTTCTTGGGTGCTCCTCCCACAGTTTGGGACCATCTTTGGGGTTCAGCCTTCCTTCCTCAACTGACTTCTTTAGTTCTTTGCACCCCTCTCTCATTGTAGAAGAAGTTATGCTTGGTAAACTCAAGTCTTTGTGGGAAGATTTAGGTTGGAGTATTGTATTAGGGTTCTCCAGAGAAACAGAACCAATAGGATGTATGTACATATATAGAAAGAGATTTATTGTAAGGAATTGGCTCATGTGGTATTGGTAGCTGACAAGTTCCAAGATTTACAGGGTGAGTCAGCAAGCTGCAGACCCAGGAGTGATGGTGTATAGTTCTAGTCCAAGTCCAAAGGCCTGAGGACCAGGAGAATTGATGGTATAGTTTCAGTCTGTAGGCTGGCAGGCCCAGGAAGAGCTGATGTCTTGGTTTTAGTGAGAAGGTAGAAAACCCCCCCCACCGCAATGTCCCAGTTCAAAGGTAGTCAGGCAGAAAAATTCTCTTATGCGGGGGAAGGTCAGCCTTTTTGTTCTGTTCAGGCCTTCAACTGATTGGATGAGGCCCCCCCACATTAGGGAGGGCGATCTGCTTTACTCAGTCTACTGATTTAAATGTTAATCTCATGCAAAGACACCCTCACAGACACACCCAAAATAATATTTGGCCAAAGTCTGGATATGCTGTAGCCCAGTCAAATAGACACATACAATTAATCATAACAGGGACTGAACTGATACATACACCTGTGAGAGCCCTGATAGATTTGACAGTCATTTAAAACAAAAAATTAAAGCAGCATGTTAAATTGACTCTCAGTGGCATTTTATGTATTTGATATGAGTAGGGAGGGATGCTGCTGGGTTAAGGCCTGCGGACTGCCTCTTGTTCTGAGATTTCCCAGGCCTTCCCTCTGCAGGACTGTAGGGTGGCTAGTGAGTTTAGCTTAATGCAGCTAATGTGCCTACTGAGAACCAGCATCATCCAAGTGCTCAGTGCCTTCTGGGTTTTCTCTCTGGAAGTCACTGATGGCTACCCTTCAGGTTTCATGTGGTCTCAGAGAAACCATGTCCCTTATTTGTCTGATGCAGGCACCTTTGGACCATCTATTGAGCAGCGTGGACTGTGCTGGGATTGTACAGACCTCTCCTTGCTCACAGGCTGCACAGCCTTTGTGCACCTTGGGGCGTGTGGCCCTGCTGAGCATTGTGGCCAGTCTCTGCTCTCTCCTCCCAAGCACACTAGGAGCGCATCACTTTCTCCTCTCCCAAGGCTTCCATGCGCAGATTTCTACTTCTGCTCTGGTTTTCCTCTGTGTGTTGCTTCTCACTCCTAGGTGCTTCATTTTCTAGTTATTCTTGATAGGAGTGACTTGCAGTCTACCTGCACCAAACTGAGAAGCTGGGCAGGGCATGATAGTGGTCCCAGTGCCCAGGCAGAGCTGGCACCCTGCTGCAGTGTTGTGTTTCTCTGTGTGTTCACTGGTGAGACCTGGACTGTTCCCAATTACAAGTGCTGAAAGCTTTTGTAATTTATATCATAGTTCTGCTTTGTGAATCCATGCCATCCCATTTTTTTCTGTGTGTTTACCTGTTACTGTCTCCATTCCTGGAGGAGCTGGAGTTGGCACAGGCTTTCCAGATCAATAACTTGAGGATGCTCATTATGACATTAACTTGAGTGATGTACATGTCTTAAATTGTAGGCAGTAGCTTTAATAATAGGTTTTTTTTTTAAAAAAAGGAGGAAAATTGGAAAATACAGGTAAACAAAATTCAATAAGTTTTATGTGTATAATGGAGTCACACTATGTGACCTCTTTTGTCTCCTGCTTCTTCCCAGTACTGTATCTTGGCCTTCTTTCTGGTCAGTAAGCACACTCCTTGACCATCTATGTAGTGGCTGCTTGGCAACCTATTGTGTGGAATTGGACATACTTTATTTAACCAGGTGCCATGGTGGGACAGAGTGGTTTTGAGATTTTTTTTTTTCCTTGAAACAGGGTCTCACTCTATTGCCCAGGCTAGAGTACGGTGGTATGATCACAGCTCACTGCAGCCTCTACCTCCTGGGCTCAAACGATTCTCCCACATCAGCCTCCTGAGTAGCTGAGACTGCAGGTGCACACCAACATGCCTGACTAATTTTTGTATTTTTTGTAGAGATGGGGTTTCATCATGGTGCCCAGGCTGGTCTCCAACTCCTGGGCTCAAGCAATCTGCCCAACTCGGCCTCTAGAGTGTTGGGATTATAGGCGTGAGCCCTGTGCCTGGCTATTTCCAGATTTTTTGAAGGCTGTTTTCCAATTAGCCAATAGATAATCACTGTGAGCCCTGTTGGATTTTTGCAGTAGTTTCTAGAGGTGGGATTCCCAGGTCATCGAGGATCTGTGTGTAATTGCCTATGGTCCTCCAAAAAGATCCTACGGTCTGTCCTCTGCCAGAATCTTTGGGTCTGCTCACCTTGCAGTGCCCAGTCTACTCTGGGTCTTATTACTAACCTGACTGAATTAGTTAAAGTGGTATCTCATTATTTTTTACCAGGCATTTCTTTGATTCTAGGAGCAGGATTTTCCTGATGTTAACTGGCAAGGCCAGAGCTTCTGAGTGCGGTCTCAGAAGTCATAAACTGTCTCTTTCCCCGCCAGCATGTCTGTACTTCATCTGCAAAGCTTTGGAGAAGGATTGCCGGTACAGCAAAGGGCTGGTCCTCAAGGAGAAGATTTTTGAGGAGCAGCCTTGTCTCCGGAAGGACTCTCTCAGAATGTTCCTCAAATGGTAAGTCCTGCCTCTTCCCATGCCATGTGTGCACGCTTACTGTGTGGCTGGTGAAGGTCAGGAGCACACCACATTCTCCCCTCAGGTCCCATGGATGGAGCCCCTGTGCTCTGGGGCTTCATGCCCTGCCGCAGCCCCTGATCTAGTGAACTGACCTTGGACTGCCTTGTTGATCACCCACCTCTACCTAATCTTGGCAAGGCCTCCTCAGGCTGCCTGCTGCCCGCCTCTCCTGCTGTCCTGCCAGCTTTCAGTGTTCGCTAGCTGTCCTCTGGATGCTTGGGGCAGCCTGCTGCCCAGCTTGCCTCCTGCCTTTCCCCTTCCCAGGGTTTTGTTCTCAGTGCTGCCCGAGTTCAGTGTCCCAAACATGCCTCTGATCATGTGCCACCCCTGCCTTGCCTCCAGGACATAGCCCATGCTCAGTTGCATTACCAAAGAGGTTCTTTGCAGCCTGACCCCATAGTTCTCCCACGTCACCTCCTGCTTTTCCCTCCCAGGCTCCTTTTGTTAAGACTGCCCCAAGTCCCTTGCAGTTTCCAGGCGTGGTACCATTGTGTGGCATCCTGTCTTCTCAACCTGGCTCCCACTATGCTCTAAACTCTCATGCCATCTTCCCACCTCTCCACCTGTCCCGCCATTGCCCCTCCTTTGCCAGGTGTCTTCCCACAGACACACTTCTGAGGTGACCCAAGAATACCTGCCCCTCCTGCCCAGACTGTCCTGATGCCTGCCAGCAGGGCCACACCTCAGAGCTGCTCACTTACAAACTTATCTGTTTCTCAGGTCACCTCTCTGTTGCTTTCTGAGCTCTAGCTGCCCTTCCCCACAGCCCTCCAGCCCAGCCAACTCCTTTTGCCCTCTGGTCTTCCTTGGCCCTGGAACACACCTGTAGGGGTTGATTAGTAGTGATTTATCTTGGCGTCTATCCCCTGTGAGCCTGTCCCTCTCCTGAAGGAACTACCTGTTGGCAGAGATAGGAACTGAGGGAACATCTGTCATGAGGGAGCTAACCTTGAGGGAGACAGATAAGAAGCACATGAAACAGATAAATTCATGAGTAGCTCTGAGGTGTAACCCTGCTGGGAAGCACCAGGACAGTCTGGGCAGGAGGGCAGGTGAGGTTAGGTCGCCTCAGAAGTGTGTCTGTGAGAGGACACGTAGGGCCTCCAAGCCCCTGCCCTTTCTGTATTTTTGGGTCGTGATACACTTTGGTGAGCTTCACTTTTCCGATGACTTTTTGTTGGCATGGGCAGTATAGGATAGTTACATTCTTTTAAGATTTTCTAATAATAATTGAGAGAAAGATTTTATTTTTCTGTGGCTTTTCAGATATTATTGTGATAGTGTTAATACATATGAAAACTCTTTCTCTGCCCAGTTTTGAATTGTCAAAGGAACAAAGAATATTAGTCATTTCTAGTGTATGTGGGTATTAAGAAGGCTATTTACTGCCCTACCCAGGCCAGACTGAAGTGGTTATTTTATTTATAGGAAGAAAAATACACATTAAAAGGTATTAACCTAAATGCATTTTTGTGTGTAAAATTTCAGCCTCAGTTTTAGTTTGTAACATGATAATTTCTCCCTGTCTCACATGCTTTTAGTGACATGTCGATTCACGATGTTTCGGTGAGTGCAGCTGAGACACAGGCGATTGTAGATGAGGCCTTGGGGCTGCGAAAAAAGAGGCAAGCGCTGATTGTGCGGGAGAAGGAGCCGGACCTGAAACTTGTGCAGCCCATTCCTTTCTTCACGTAGGTTGTCTAGCGTCTCTGGGAGTGCTGGGTCGGCCAGTAGGCCCTGTTGTGGGATGCTGCCCTGCACAGGAGGGAGAGACCTTGAGGCTTGATCCTGGGTTGGTGGTATGAATGGGGGCTGGGTGCACAGTGGCCAAATGGTTGGAGGTGCATGCTTACTTGATTACTAAGAAGCAGGTCAGCTCTCTCTCAAGTACCTCCAGTCTCAGTCCCTTTTTGCTGTTGCTGTTCTTGACCCCAGCCACCTGCCACATTCCTGTAAGGCCCTTCTCAGCCTGCCCTATCTAGAGGGCGAATGGAAACTAACATTTGCCAAGCACTTGCCAGGAGGAAACTGATGTTCAGAGTACTTAAATGGGGAGCCCAGAGACAGTCCCGGGTCTGGGCTTCTCCGCTCTCAAGTCCATGTTTTCTCTCTAGGGCCACGTGGGGAGCCCTGCGAGATGGGCCTCAATATAGTCCTTGCCAGCCCCATGATGTGAGAGTCTCTCTCTCTCCAGGAAGGGCAAATTGGTATCGGCGGTTCCCTGGAGTTGGGATAGTTTAGTCCCTTAGCGAGCTCTGGAATTCAATTTCTGTATTTAAAATTCTGACATTGAATCTTTAAGTTTAGCATGACTTAGCAGTAGCATTCCATTTCTACTCCCCACCCCCTACCTCCACCCCTGTCTGCCTACTCTGAGGGAGCTCTGGCCTGGATCAGACTGACCTGACCTGGGTCCAATCCTGGCACTCCTAATGCTGTGAATTGGATGACTCTGGGGACATTAGGAGCCACTCCCTAGCAACGGGGAGAGCAACATCTCTCTCATAGGGTTGTCATGATAATGACAAAACATGTAGGGCTAGCACAGAGGCAGCACATAGCACCCACTCAGGAAGGGCTGGCTCTGATCCGTATTATTATGACTGGCTGTGAGTTTCAGCATGTAGAATTTCCCAGAAATATTTCCATACCCGAGCACCGAGATGGCCAGGAAGAAAGGGCTGTTCTTCAGGCTGCTCTAGGACTCCTGTCTGGTGCCCTTTCTTGTATTTTGTCAGCTGGATTAGAGTCCTTCTCCCATCTGAGTGTGTGCTCCCCAACTACAGAGGGTTGGGGTTTTGGAAGGGCCCTGGGGTGCCTCCCTGTTACAGTGAAGGAGGAAAAGGCCTGAGAACACTAGAAGGGATTGTGGTGATGTGACTGGAGAACAGAGGGCTGGGAACTGGTGCCGTGGCCACCCTCCATGGTGTAGGGGGAGGGCTAAGTAGAAGCAGGAGGGAGAAGTAGAAGCAAGAGGGAGTTAGGCTCAGTAGTTAAATTTGGGATTTGGTCATTAAAGGAAGAGTGTAGATTCCCTCTCTGGTAGCAGAGGACATGATGCTTTTATAGTAATCTCCATCTATTCCGGGGGTCAGCAAAACTTTTCCTTTAAAGAGCCAGAGAGTAAACATACTAGCCTTTGTGGGCCATGTACAATTTATGTTGTATATTTTCTTCTTTTTCTTTCTTTTTTTTTTTAAACAATGCTTTAAAAATGTGTAAACTAGCTGGGCATGGTGGCTAACGCCTATAATCCCAGTACTTTGGGAGGCTGAGGCAGGAGGATCACTTGAGTCAAGAGTTCAAGACCAGCCTGGGCAGCATAGTGAGACCTCATATCTACAAAAAATAAACAAAATTAGCCAGATATGGTGGCACACACCTGTAGTTCCAGCTACTTGGGAGGCTGAGGGGGAGGATTGCTTGAGCCGGGGAAGTCAAGGCTACAGTGAGCTGTGATGGCACCACTGCATTCCAGCCTGGGTGACAGAGCAAGACCCCCATCTCAAAAAAAAAAAAAAAATTAAAAAATAAAATTTGCTGCAGGGCACAGTTTACCACCCCTGGTTTCCTCAGTGCCTAGTAGGCATGAGCAAGAGCAAGGCACGAGTAAGGGAAATGGTGTATTTAAGGCATTTGACACAACCCAGCCAGTAAGCAAATTCTTCCTGTCTAAATGTAACACTAACTGAAGGCAGGAAAAAGATAGAAGAAATTCCTTCTAGCCCTGGGAGCCTCCATCATTTAGATTCTGGAATTTGAAGCACTGTCCTTTTTTTTCTTTTTTCTTTTTTCTTTTTTTTTTTTTTTTTGAGACAGAGTCTCACTCTGTCGCCCAGGCTGAAGTGCAGTGGCACAATCTCGGCTCACTGCAAGCTCTGCCTCCTGGGTTCACGCCATTCTTCTGCCTCAGACTCCCAAGTAGCTGAGACTACAGGTGCCCACCACCACGCCCGGCTAATTTTTTTATTTTTAGTAGAGATGGGGTTTCACCGTGTTAGCCAGGATGGTCTCGATCTCCTGACCTTGTGATCTGCCCGCCTCGGCCTCCCAAAGTACTGGGATTACAGGCGTGAGCCACCGCACCCAGCCAGCACTGTCCTTTTTTTCTTGAGACAGGGTCTCACTCTGTTGCCCAGGCTGGAGTGCAGTGGTGCGATCTTGGCTCACTGCAACCTCCACCTCCCAGGTTCAAGCGATTCTCCTGCCTCAGCCTCCCAAGTAATTAGAATTACAGACATGCGCCACCACCCCTGGCTAATTTTTGGTATTTCTAGTAGAAACAGGGTTTCACCATGTTGGTCAGGCAGGTCTCGAACTCCTGACCTTAGGTGATCTACCCGCCTCGGCCTCTCAAAGCGTTGGGAGTACAAGCATGAGTCACCGTGCCCAGCCTGAAGCACTGTTCTTTTATTCCTTTCTCAACACTTCCTGGATGCTGGCTCTGTGCAGGGGACTGTGCTCTGTGCTAGGGGCGCAGTGTGGCAGGGCCTGGTCCCTTGCTACAAGTGATACCAGGGGTAATCAGTCACCCAGAGAAAGCAGCACATGCCTCAAGCTGATGGGGGCTGTGAGGAGAGAAGCGCAGTGCTGGAAGGCCTCTGAACAAGGTTCCTGCTGCTCTAGGGGTTGGGGAAGGCTGGGTGGTGGAGCTGGGGTCTGACTGAGGCACAGGCATTGGCTAGGCAGAGGGCTATGCTGTGGGAGGGGACGTTGCATCTGGGCAGAAGGAAGCCAGCCCAAAGGCCCAGTGGCATGTGAGAGTGTGATTTTGTTTAAGGAACTGAAAGAGAGCTAATGTAGCAGGATTGCAGGGGGTGGTGTGAGAGGAGGCTGTGCAGCACCATGAGGCCAGGCTGAGCAGTTGGTCTTTAGCCTGAGGCATTAGAAGCAATTAAGGGATGGATAAATGGATACATTGTAGCATACCACGCAGCATAGTAGACAACACACAACCTTGAACCCAACACAACACACAACACGGAATGTGAAATACAAAACAATAGACAGCACACAATATAACACACCACACCATACCACAACAAAACACACAACAGTCTCCTGTTGCCATCCAGCAGGCTCCAGCCCATTTGGTAATCCACTGAGGTGCTGCTCCCCATAGGCCCTGCCCATGGTCCAAGTTCTTATAGACCATGTCCCTGTTGGCAGTCCCCCACAGGCTCTCCGCATAAAACAGATTCGTGGCAGCAGGGGAGTTCCACAAGTGTTTTAAAGACTTGACCTTCCTGAGGAGGAGTTTTTGAAGTGAGTCAATGGATTTCATACATACCTACTTGAGTCTGAAAGTGCCTCAGGCCAAGATGCTTATGGGGCTTCTGCTGCAGTGAGGGGCAGGTGGATGCCAGGTCCCTGGTCCAGCTTTGGCTGCCGCATCTTCAGTTCAGCTGTGTTAGACAAGATTTCATCAGTTGTGCCAGTGATGAAACCTTGATCACCTCCCCCACCCCCATGGACATGGCAGCTCCAGGAGCAGCTCTGCCGCCTCTGTGCAGGCAGGCCATTTTCCACTATGCTTGGAGTATTCCTCTGACAGGGTGGTGATCAGGTGTTGTGGCCCTCTCCCTTTAGCTGGAAGTGCCTCGGAGAGAGCTTGCTGGCCATGTACAATCATCTCACCACCTGTGAGCCCCCACGTCCCAGCCTTGGCAAAAGGATTGATTTGTCGGACTACCAGGACCCCAGCCAGCCTCTTGAGTCCTCCATGGTGGTGACGCCAGTTAACGTGATCCAGCCAAGCACTGTCAGCACCAACCCAGCTGTGGCTGTCGCCGAGCCTGTGGTCTCCTACACCTCTGTGGCTACAACCAGCTTCCCACTGCACAGTCCTGGTCTGTTGGAGACAGGCGCTCCTGTGGGTAAGCAGGCCCCCTGAATTTGGCTTCCGGGGAGACCCCGTTCACTGAGCCCAGCAGGAATGAGACTGCTGGGGAGCCCTGCCTCCCTAGACAGAAGGGTCATGCTGATGCTCATGACTCAAGTGGAAGTGGGAGCCCCCAGCCCTAGAGGAGCCTCTCAGCCTGCTCACAGTGCCACTGCCCGTCAGGGCCATTTCAGCTCTGAAGCCCTGCAGCTAGGAGGACGGGGGATCAGGGATGCAGCTCCTGGTCCTTGACAGTTCCCCCAGGACCATTTAGTGCCTGGCAGCCACATTCTGGCACGAAGGTTGCTCTTAACCACTTGTAATGTGGAAGCTGGCAGAGGTCCCCTCTTCTGGTCCTGCTCTCTTGCTGACTGTGTACATCCTGAGTTCTTTGATCTTAGAAAACAGTCAGCAAAGTTACCAACCACCATATGTTTTATTGATTTTTATTATTGCTAGAGTTGTCAAAAATTTTTGACAAAAGCTCCCGAGCCTTTTCTTGATTTCTGTGTCACTGAAAAAAAGAATATCTGGCAGATATAGAAGTTTCTGAATAAACATGTACATGGTTGTCTCTTTTTTACTTAATCATACATGACATTCTTCTATTGTCCATATAGTTCACACTGTTCTTTTGCTCTTATCATATTGCTGAGTGCTCAGAGGGTACTGGGTAGGGTCATAGCCACTCACTCTGTCCGTTCTGGGTAACAGAGTGAGACTCCGAAGTTCAGCCGACCAGTGAGGGGATGGGAGGGTAAGGGTGTTGCTTGCTTTGTAGCTGTGGAAAGTAATCTTGAAATCTGGCTTGTGGGTCCTGTGAAGTCAAGAAAGGTGTGAGAGTTAAGGGGTTTCAAATTAATTTTACTCAGGATTCTTTGTTGTTGAAGAAGAGATGGAAGATTTTTTGAATGTCAAAGAGTTTAATGCTAGTAGATTTATAAAAGAGGGAGATTGATGTGTCTGTGTGGTGCATTTTTTTCATCCCTGCCACCGTGTAAGATTTTAATTTGCATTCTTTGTGAAGGTGATATTTCTGGGGGAGATAAATCCAAGAAAGGGGTAAAACGGAAGAAGATTTCAGAAGAGAGTGGAGAAACAGCAAAGCGGCGGTCTGCCCGTGTCCGAAACACCAAGTGCAAAAAAGAAGAGAAAGTAGACTTCCAGGAGCTTCTGATGAAGTTCTTGCCGTCCAGGTACTGTGTATTTTTTCTGATTGTCAGAAACAAACCCACAAAGCTCCAGCATACACCATCAGTAACATTTCTCATTCCATTGCCACCCTCTTCTCTGGTCTCCTCCTCTGTGTTCCCATAACATCTGTGCAGATGTCTGAAGCACAAATCTCACTGGAGTAGGATCTTGGATTTTTCTCGCCTCTTCCCACCTCTGAAATTCCTGAAGTCAGGAGCTGTGACTTGTTCATCTTTTGAGAGCTAGAAGCAACATACTCATGTCCCTGTGTATTTACAAGACATCTATTTGTTGCTGGGAGGCAGAGGGGTGCTGTGCCTTGGGTGCAGATGCCCTGAAAACCCCATGGAAGGGAGCTTCCCTCCTGCTTTCAGGGAGTCCGTGTCTACTTGATTTGCTCCAGGCTCAGCAGGATTCCCTTGCATTCTGAGAAGGTAGAGGAGGAGCTTGTGAAGTATTCCTGGGTTTCACTCATTCTTAGTGCTTCTCAGGAGCCTAGGGGACAAGCAGGAACCAGGCTCCCCAGAGCTGGGAGGGACTTGGTCCCCAGTGCTTCTTACTTAGGTTTTCACCAGTCCTTCTGCCTTTTTTTTTTTGAGACGGAGTCTTGATCTTTCGCCCAGGCCGGAGTGCAGTGGTGCTATCTGGGCTTACTGCAAGCTCCACCTCCCGGGTTCATGCCATTCTCCTGCCTCAGCCTCACGCATAGCTGGGACTACAGGTGCCTGCCACCGCGCCTGGCTAATTTTTTGTATTTTTGGTAGAGACGGGGTTTCACTGTGTTAGCCAGGATGGTCTTGATCTCCTGACCTCGTAATCTGCCCGCCTCAACCTCCCAAAGTGCTGGGATTATAGGCATGAGCCACGGCGCCCGGCCAGTCCTTCTGCTTTTTGTCCTTGCCTGCTCACCTCCTTCAGAGGCTTTAGGATCCTCAATTTCTGAGCCTTCCTGGAGTTTATGGTGCCAGTGGGTTGGTTTCTTAATACTCCCCTTTCTCCTCCCTTAGCTGAGTGGAGAGGCCTCTCTCGGCAGACACCATTCTTCATTTGCACTGGGCCATCTGCCTTCTAACAGTTGGCTGGTACATTTTTTGTCTGCTGGGGCATCCTCGCCTATCTTCTGTCTTTGTGAGTTTATACCTTTTTTACTCCTTCGTTGTTACTGGAATGGAGTTTGGGAGCTAACCATATGTGTTCGATATGCCATCTTTAAACAGGAGTTAAACTATCTAGTTCTTTCCCATGACAGTTTATTTCAGTGGTAACAACATCAAAGTGGTGAAGGAGAAGCCAGAAGCTTTAGGTGGTTTGTAAATTTATTTTACAGCAAGATTCCTAATTTTCTTAATTTGTTGTCTTTCTGAGGTGAAGGTGAAATGCTTAGAAATAATGATTGTTCTCAGTACTTGACGCAGAACCAAAGTGGGGCTGCAGTGCCTTCTGATGAATTTTTCTTAAGGGGTAATACCAGAAGAAAGTTTCTCTTTGGAAGAACTGCAGGATTGTTCTTTGGTTGATGGTGCCAAGAGATTTGAGTGACCCTATATTCCCCTTAGCCCTGCTTTTTACTCCAAGGTCTTGTTCCCTAGTCCCATTTACCTGGATGGTTTCGACTTTCTTTTTAATCTTCATTTTAGTTGTTGGTTTCGTTTGTGGTTTAGTGTCTGCTCCTTTGTTGTTTATTTTTGTTAGAGATGGGGTCTTGCCCTGTTGCCTAGGCTGGAGTACAGTGGCACAATCATAGCTCACTGTGGCCTTGAACTCCTGGACTCAAGGGATCCTCCTGAATACCCAGGACCACAGGTGCACACCACTATGCCCAGCTAATTTTATTTCTTGTTTTTTGTAGAGATGAGGTCTTGCTATATTGCCCAGGCTGATCTTGAACTCCTGGCCTCAAGCCGTCCTTCTGCCTCCACCTCCCAAAATGTTGAGATTACAATCTTGAGCAACCACACTTAACTTAGTTTCTGCTTCTTTGAATGGTCAAGGCAAGAGCAACATGGTAGCTCGCCTGATGGAGTCACCCTGGGAGTGTGTGCAATACGTGAATGAAGACATTCACAAGTGCCCTGAGTGTTTATGCTGCAGGGGTTCTGGGTTGAGGGAACACCACAAGGTTGGCTGAAATGGGTCCTTGGGAGGAGTGCCTGCCAGGAGAGGCATCCCCAGTCCCGAGACTGGGCCCACCCACAGCTTTGTGAGGAGCCACGGAAGGACCAAGTTCAGATGAGCTTGATGTATCCCCCAAACTCCCACCTATCTATCCGCTTTCCACCTTAGTTGTTGGGCTCCCATGAGGTCCTAGAACACACCAGGTGCTCTTCTGGCCTGTGCCTTTGTACCTGTTCTTGTCCTGCATCTTTGTATTGCAAGCCCTTCTCCTCCTCCAGTGTGTCAGCATGAACATTATCCCCTCTCAAAGGCTTTCTCTGACCCTGCTCTCTAAAGCAGGGCCCTTTTGACCCATAGTCTCAAGCACTCTGTTGTGAGGTGGTCCTTATTTGGGTTAGTTTGTGTACCTGCTTATTGGCTGTGTCTCTCTAGAGGGTAAGCTTACTGCAGGCAGGATCTGCCACATTTAGGGCTGCTGTATTTGGTGCCTAGCACAGTGCCTGGCACATAGCTGGTGCTCGGTAATCATCTGTTGATGAGATGAATGACCGAGACAGGATACAGACCAAATGCTGGCTCATGAGGCCCTGGAGAGAGGCAGAGCCTCCTGGAGGCCTGGGTTCTGGACCCCACCACCCACTTATTTTAGCTGCCTTCTTCCTGACTCAGATTTAGTTTCTCTAACAGGAAGAGTTCAGATGCTTGTGTCAGAACGTGTGTTGTGACTTTGTGATTTTGGCATGTTACATGCAGGTTAAGAAAGCTGGACCCTGAGGAGGAAGATGATTCCTTTAATAACTATGAAGTCCAGTCAGAAGCCAAACTGGAAAGCTTCCCAAGCATTGGGCCTCAAAGGCTGTCATTTGACTCAGCCACATTCATGGAATCTGGTAGGAATCGAGCAGTGTGACCATTCACTTTGGGAATTCTTCTTCCCACTATCCTATAACCTGCTTATGTTTTGTTCTGGGAGAATGGTTCTGGGGTGTTTTTTAGTGTGGCCAAGAGTCTGCCTGGATTAGTCTTGGACCTAAGCCCTGTGGTCAGCTTGGAGGTCTTCTGAAATGTCCAGGCTCATACTTGCTATGCTTTCTTATGGCCAAATTCAGAGACTTCGCTTTGCAAATTGAATCTATATAAGCACACCTGTTGAGTGTGTATCAGTGTATAACTGTTGAGTGAGATTAGTGCACATGGCAGCACTTGGAGGTCTGCCCTTTTGATGTCCACCTTAGATACGGAGATTCAGAGAGGCTCAATCATAGCTGCTGAGGGTTGGAGCCAGGCATTGAACCCAGTAGCCTGATCTCAGCACCACAACGTGGTATCATGTCCACCTGGATCAGATGGTAGAGGGAGGGAACAGTCTTTACTGTCCCAAAGTAAATAGGAGACCCTGGCATGGAAGGTACTCTTTATTCAAGTCAGGTTGTTCTTGCTCCCCGGGCAGAAAAGCAGGACGTGCATGAGTTCCTGCTGGAGAACCTAACCAACGGGGGCATCCTGGAGCTGATGATGCGCTACCTGAAAGCCATGGGCCACAAGTTCTTGGTAAGGTGGCCTCCAGGCTTGGCGGAGGTCGTGCTCAGCGTCTACCACAGCTGGAGGAGGCACAGCACCAGCCTGCCCAACCCGCTGCTGAGGGACTGCAGCAACAAGCACATCAAGGTTAGGGGGAGCCTCTCAAGGGCTGGTATTGAACTGGGACCAGGGCATGGGGACAGGGATCTTGCATGGGTGTGGGGCTGCTGTTGTGTTTGGCTGCATCTACTTGTGGGCCTGGAACCTGGTTTTTTTGTGGGTGTCGAAGCAGGAAGTCACTGAACCTAGTTTGTGCCTAGAAAGCTCCCTGATGGCTGAGTGGAGGATACACTTAGGGGTGAGAGTGGGCTCACGGGGCTATCAGGAGGCTGCTGCCATGCCAGGGGAGCAGTGGCTGAGATCCAGTGGTAATAGTGGGGTGCTGGTTTGTGGTTGCAGAGCTGATAGGTTGAACTAGACATGGGATGTGTGAGGGAATGAGAGTCATGGGGAGGGCTTCTCGGGTTGTTTACTGAGTCACAGGAAGCCTTGCCAGGAGAAGCTGGAGGAAAGGGAAACATTTGGTTTGTTTGAGTTGGCAAGGACTGTGACTGAGGCTTTTGTTGTTGTTGTTTGAGACAGGGTCTTGCTCTGTTGCCTAGGCTGGAGTGCAGTGGTGCAGTCACGGCTCACTGCAGCTTCAACCTCCTGGGCTCGGGTAGTCCTCCCACCTCAGCCTTCAAAGTAGCTGGAACCACAGCCGTACACCACCACACCCGGTTATAGTCCCAGCTACTCAGGAGGCTGAGGCAGGAGAATGGTGTGAACCCGGGAGGCGGAGCTTGCAGTGAGCCGAGATGGCGCCACCGCACTCCAGCCTAGGCGACAAGGCGAGACTCTTGTCTCAAAAAAAAAAAATTTGTTTTGTTTTGTAGAGATGGGGGTCTCCTTTTGTTACGATGTTAGGATGTGGTCTTGCCATGTTGCCATGTTGCCCAGACTGGTCTGGAACTCCTGGGCTCAAGTGATCCTGATGCCTTGGCATCCCAAAGCACTGGGATGACAGGCGGGAGCCACCATGCCTGGCCTATGACTATTTTTAACAGATGATAAAACAGCAGAAGCTAAATAGCGTGCTTAGAGAAGCTTTGGGGGCCACCAGCAGTAGGGGGCTGAGCCTCACTGAGCCTTGTCTTCCTGCTGCATTCCACACCCCAGCCTCCTCCACTTGGTGCCTCCTGGAGCTCAAGGGAACACAAGGTGCTCTGGCCCCTTACTCCTGTTGGAGGTGGGACACTGAATGCTGAAGCAGGAGCACCAGGAACATTCAGGGATGCCTGGTGGTCTTTCTGACTTGAGAGCACAGGAGGTAGAAGAGCTTGTAGGTCAGTCATCCCTTGGTGGGCACCCTCCACTGAGTTACCTCAGGGCAACCTCCTGGCAGCTTCTGCCCACCAGGCCATGCTCCCCTGGGGCAGTTGTGAAACAGCAGGAGGAACCAGGGCTTTGATCCCCAGGCAAAGCAGGCTGATGATCACCTTCCAGCTGTGCCCAATGGGCAAGTGCCTTCTCATCACTGAGCCTCAGCTTCCTCAAGTGCCCTGGGAATGGTATACCAGCTGCCCAGAACTTTTAAGGGTTGAGTTCTATAATTTGGATGCAGTGTCCGTCCCAGCACTTGGCAGGTGACAGGGCTGCCTCTTCAACAGGACAAGAACTCTGAAGACCGGTCTCCTGGCCTCTCCCAAGTCTTGTCCCAACATACATCCATGTGGCTCTTTTTATGTTCTGGCGAGTAGCCACTGATTATCACTTATGAAATGGCAAGTGGATAGAAAGAATTATATTTTTATCAAAAAGTATAGTTTTGTTTCCTTCCACAGCCCCCTACCCCCCACACTGTGAAGAGGCTTTGTGATACTGTTCTTGACCTTCCTGTGTCTGTCCTGCAGGACATGATGCTGATGTCTCTCTCCTGCATGGAACTCCAGCTGGACCAGTGGCTGCTGACCAAAGGCAGAAGCTCTGCAGGTAGGAGGCATTATGTGTTCTGTGGCCAGGCTAATATCTGAACCCCCAGCAGCTGGGAGAAAGCTGAGGCGGGAGACTGAGTCATGGAATTTAGCCTTATATCTACAGTAGGCACATTTTTTGGGTTGGCTTGTCAGGGTCCCAGGGAAATCTCCTGGATACTCAAGAAGTGGTTAGCAGTAGCTGAGCCCCCAGAGGGAGCCACCTCCCTGCTTTGCTGTTACACAAGATTGAAGGAAGTGGGATCTCAGTTTTGGTGTGACTGTTCAATGCAGTGCTTTATGTATTATGTAGCTTCAGTAATTTTTCTGGTGATACGGATTTTTTTTTTTTTTTTTTTTTTTTTTGGTAAGACAGCGTCTTGCTCTGTCACCCAGGCTGGAGTGCAGTGGCATGATCTTGGCTCACTGCAACCTCTGCCTCCCAGGCTCAAGTGATTCTCCCATATCAGCCTCCCGAGGAGCTGGGACTACAGGCGTGTGCCACCATGCCTGGCTAATTTTTGTATTTTTTGGCAGAGATGGGGTTTCACCATGTTAGCCAGGCTGGTCTTGAATTCCTGACCTCTAGTAATCCGCCCACCTCAGCCTCCCAAAGTGCTGGGATTACAGGCATGAGCCACTGGGCCCAGCTTCATTCTGACTTTTAAACTACCACCTGGTGGAATGTAGATATACTCAATGCTGTCTGTAAAATTGCTTCCCCTTGCCCTTGCCCCTGACTCTCGGCAGGGGGCAGGGTCTCTGCATATCTTTGTCTTAACTGGTCCAACCTCTCTGATGCCTGCCACTCAGGGAGCTGTAGGGCTCTGAGGGGCTTAGGGTGCCCCTGGAGATAGGGTGGGTGTGGTTAGGGCCAAGTGCAACTTCTGAGAAGCAGAAGGGCATTAGAATGCTACACATGAAGTTGACTCGTTGGCCTGATGGTTTTTAGTGTCTCCTCGGAACTGCCCTGCTGGTATGGTGAATGGCAGATTTGGACCTGACTTCCCAGGGACCCACTGCCTGGGTGACCTCCTACAGCTGTCATTTGCCTCGTCCCAGCGCGACCTGTTCGAGGATGGTTGGCTGGAGTTTGTGGTCCGTGTTTACTGGCTGAAGGCTCGCTTCCTGGCGCTGCAGGTTAGTTCCATGGTCAGCTGCTTGGGGAGCATGCCCTGACACCCAGCAGGGTGGGCAGAAAATTGACCATGTTGAGGGTGTGTGTGTGTATGTGTGTGTGTGTGTGTGTGTGCATGCATGTGTACATGCATAGCACCTGCCCGGGCACTGGGCTTGGCATGAGAAAGTGTGACACAGTGGGGAATTCTCAGCATCTCAGACTTCCAAGCATGATACCAATCTGTAAAGCTCTTTAGCATAACCACAGAGCTCTGGAAGGCATTTGCTCTGCCTCTACCTCCCCCACTCAAGATTGCCTTGGCATCTTGACTCTTTGCTTATGTTTTCCTGAGAGAGCCCGAGCAAGTGAATAAACAGATACAGAGCTTTCTAGGAGGGAATTATTCACCTGTTTTATGAGAGTTCTGGGAAAGCTTCCCTTCAGAGCCTGGTCTGGAAGGCCAGGATGGATTGGCTGTTACCTAGCACCTTGCACATGGTGGTACTGGTACACTGTGGTAGAATGAGTCAAGAGATTGCTAGGGCCCTGTCAGCAACCATTTAGTCTAAAGAAAGCAACACTGTTTGATGTGAAGAACATTAGTTCTGGAATTAGGACAGGCCTGGCTTCTAATTCTGGCTTTGCTCAAGTGTCCTCAGTGTTTTCATCTGCAACATGGGGTTTATGATATCTCCCCTCGCAGAGTTGACATGGACTGTTCATTTAGTCAACAAGTATTTATTGAGCCCAAGCTACATGCCAGGCCTTTCTTAGGGGGGTACAGTGTAATTGGTAAAAAACCCACCCTCATGGCCTCCACAGTCTAGTGAGATAAGTGGTGTAAAGCATCTGGCACATCATAGTCAGTCTTCTGCTTTGGTTCCCTGACCTGTTTTCCGTCTAACCAGGGAGACATGGAGCAGGCCCTGGAGAACTATGACATCTGCACAGAAATGCTCCAGAGTTCCACCGCCATCCAGGTGGAGGCAGGGGCTGAACGAAGAGACATTGTCATCCGGCTGCCCAACCTCCATAATGACTCTGTGGTTTCCCTGGAGGAGGTAAGTGAGAATTTTCGTTTGTTTGTTTGTTTCCTGAGATGGAGTTTCACTTTTGTCGCCTAGGCTGGAGTGTAATAGTGCAATCTCGGCTCACTGCAACCTACACCTCTGGGGTTCAAGGGATTCTCCTGCCTCAGCCTCCTGAGTAGCTGGGATTACGGGTGCCCGCCGCCATGCCTGGCTAATTTTTTGTATCTTTAGTAGAGACGGGGTTTCACCATGTTGGCCAGGCTGGTCTTGAACTCCTGACATCAGGTGATCCACCTGTCTTGGCCTCTCGCAGTGCTGGGATTACAGGTGTGAGCCACTGTGCCCAGCTGAAAGGTTTTTTTTTTTTTTTTTTTTTTTATTGATCATTCTTGGGTGTTTCTCGCAGAGGGGGATTTGGCAGGGTCATAGGACAATAGTGGAGGGAAGGTCAGCAGATAAACAAGTGAACAAAGGTCTCTGGTTTTCCTAGGCAGAGGACCCTGCGGCCTTCCGCAGTGTTTGTGTCCCTGGGTACTTGAGATTAGGGAGTGGTGATGACTCTTAACGAGCATGCTGCCTTCAAGCATCTGTTTGACAAAGCACATCTTTCACCGCCCTTAATCCATTTAACCCTGAGTGGACACAGCACATGTTTCAGAGAGCACAGGGTTGGGGGTAAGGTCATAGATCAACAGGATCCCAAGGCAGAAGAATTTTTCTTAGTACAGAACAAAATGAAAAGTCTCCCATGTCTACTTCTTTCTACACAGACACAGCAACCATCCGATTTCTCAATCTTTTCCCCACCTTTCCCCCTTTTCTATTCCACGAAACTGCCATTGTCATCATGGCCCGTTCTCAATGAGCTGTTGGGTACACCTCCCAGAGGGGGTGGTGGCCGGGCAGAGGGGCTCCTCACTTCCCAGTAGGGGCGGCCGGGCAGAGGCGCCCCTCACCTCCCAGACGGGGCGGCTGGCCGGGCGGGGGCTGACCCCCCACCTCCCTCCCGGACGGGGTGGCTGCCGGGCGGAGACGCTCCTCACTTCCCAGACGGGGCGGCTGCCGGTTGGAGGGGCTCCTCACTTCTCAGACGGGGCGGCTGCCAGGCGGAGGGTCTCCTCACTTCTCAGACGGGGCGGCCGGGCAGAGACGCTCCTCACCTCCCAGACGGGGTCGCGGCCGGGCAGAGGCGCTCCTCACATCTCAGATAATGGGCAGCCGGGCAGAGACACTCCTCACATCCCAGATGGGGCGGCGGGGCAGAGGCGCTCCCCACATCTCAGACGATGGGCGGCCGGGCAGAGACGCTCCTTACTTCCTAGATGGGATGGTGTCCGGGCAGAGACGCTCCTCACTTTCCAGACTGGGCAGCCAGGCAGAGGGGCTCCTCACATCCCAGACGATGGCGGCCAGGCAGAGACGCTCCTCACTTCCCAGACGGGGTGGCGGCCGGGCAGAGGCTGCAATCTCGGCACTTTGGGAGGCCAAGGCAGGCGGCTGGGAGGTGGAGGTTGTAGCAAGCCGAGATCACGCCATTGCACTCTAGCCTGGGCACCATTGAGCACTGAGTGAACGAGACTCCGTCTGCAATCCCGGCACCTCGGGAGGCCGAGGCTGGCGGATCACTCGCGATTAGGAGCTGGAGACCAGCCCGGCCAACACAGCGAAACCCCGTCTCCACCGAAAAAATATGAAAACCAGTCAGGCGTGGCGGCGCACGCCTGCAATCGCAGGCACTCGGCAGGCTGAGGCAGGAGAATCAGGCAGGGAGGTTGCAGTGAGCCGAGATGGCAGCAGTACAGTCCAGCTTCGGCTTGGCATCAGAGGGAGACCGTGGAAAGAGAGGGAGAGAGAGACCATGGAAAGAGATGGAGAGGGAGACCGTAGGGAGAGGGAGAGGGAGTGAAAGGTTTTAAATGGTATTTTTTAGTCAAAGGTTTCTTGTGATTTGGCATAGTTAGCCCAGGGTTGACCTGTTTCTGAGGAACAAGAGAGCTTCCCATATGCTGAGTGGGGCCTCTGTTGGGAAGACAGGAGAGGCCTGGGAAAGGCTGCTGTAGTACACTGGGACACTGCAGATCCTTGGTGGAAAGCAGGTGTGGGAGCTCTCACCAGCACTATTTAGAAGCAGTCATTGCTCTGCTCTCCTGGCTATGTGTGGCAGCCACCCCAGTGGAACTGGAAGGAAATATCAGCTGGAGCAGACCAGTATTGGGCTGGCCATGGGGTTGAGTCAGCAGTGTGTGGCCTATATGCCAAGTTCCACCCAGGTGCCACTTTATTCATTGTGCAGCTCCAGACCCTGCTGCAGTTCTGCATCTGTGACATGTCCACACTGGCTGAAAGTGGCCTTCAGACTCTCCTAGAGTTATTTCAGGGACAAGTACAAGTACAGAGCTGTCTACATGCCAGGGCTTCGTCAGGTCCTGCATGTAGCGTATGACAACCTCTGGTCCAGGCTTGCTGAGTCTCTGACAACCCGATGTTCCGCAGTTCTGCAAGACTGGTTCGCCGAACTGTGACCACAAGGCTGTCCAGCTATCTTGGTGGATGCTTTCCTGGAACTCCTCTGCTTCTGAGTAGTTTTTGGTTTTTGATGTGCTTGTTTTTTAAAGAATTGGATGCCTAGCCATTAATAGAAATACTTTTAACACATACGTTTAGTGTAAACACTGATGTATGAAGGAGGAATCTAATTTTTTTTGGGCTGGAACATAGTCTAATTTTTATTCTCCTCATCCAAGTCTGATAAAAACAAACACTGGCCAGATTTGGTGGGGCAGGGGCTGAGGGGTTTACCCTCATACAGCATTGCCGGGCCTTTTTCAGATTGATAAGAACCTGAAGTCGCTGGAGCGGTGCCAGTCCCTGGAGGAGATTCAGCGGCTGTATGAAGCAGGCGACTACAAGGCTGTTGTGCATCTGCTCCGCCCCACTTTGTGCACCAGTGGGTTTGACCGGGCCAAACACCTGGAGTTTATGACTTCCATTCCTGAGAGGCCAGCCCAGCTGCTTCTTCTGCAGGTGTGTGCTGCCAGTGTCCCTCACACCCACTTGCACCTTCTCTCCTTGCTTGTTTGTGTTTATTCTCTGGAGGTTCTGCGGTAGTTCTTAAGAATGTATAGCTAGAAGAGAGTGGATGTCAAAACCACTAAGCCCCCAGGAAGATGTTAGTCAGAAGATATGGTCAAGACTAATGGAAAGTTAGAACCAAGGAGTGCAGGTTCTAGGGTTCTGCGTGGCTCAGGGTGAACCCCACACTTGACTCAGAACTTCTGTGTGGCAGAGGAGGAAGGAAGAATGGTCAGGTCATCATCTGTCCATCCACTTGTTTATTCATCCATCTTGTTTTGTATTGCTTTTTAAGGTAAATATAAAAGTGGCTAAAATATCTGTACAGTGGAAAGAATCAAGATAAAATAAAGACCAATGTGTTGAAGAAAAATAACACTAGCCTTATGTTTGAAACCTCGTGTGCCCTCCTGAATCCTTCTGTGCTTCTGTTCCTCAGGAGGTAAACTCTTACCAAGAGCCTGCCAGGGAACTGGCAGCTGCTGGGTGCTGGGCAGTTATTCAACCTCTCTGAGCTCAGTTCCTCATTTCTAGGATAGGGATGACCAATGTCCTTAGCTCAGAGTCCTGTTGTAGGGATTACACAAGGTAATGTGTGTTGGCACCATGCCTGGCACTAGCAGGTGCTGTGGAGGTACTGCTGTCATCGTTGCCACCATCCTCAGGAGGGTTGAGTTGGCACCGAGATAAACATGGAAGATAATACGCAAAATATGCTTAGTGGCATTGAGTCCTGGTCCCTTATGCTTCATCCTACTAATCACATTGTGTTTTGTATCTATGGGGTACTTCCCTTTCAATTTGGAAAGAGAGTCCAGTCTTCTCCCAGGCTTTTTGCACAGATTGCACGAAGCATTTTAATCATTAACATTGTTGAACTGGGAAATAGTTAAGAGGTGCGACTATGGGAACAAATGGAAGCACCTCAGTCATGGGGAAAGGGTAAGAAAGAGTTGGTTTGGGGAAGCAGGAGGGAGAAGGGGGTGGAGGGAAGGAGGCTCCAGCTCCTGGCAGAGGAGGTCAGTCAGGCCCAAGCCAAGATCAGCGGATGAGATGTGTGTGACCTGTTACCTGGCAGGCTGCAAGGTGGCCCAGCATGGCTATGTGTGGGAGGGACAGCCAGCATACCAGGAAGGGTGCTGGGTGGGAGAAAGGGGAGAGAGGCCAGTGGTCTCTGCCTCCATAGGATGGCCTCAATGCTCAGATGTGGTCTTGCTCTTATTGTCTTCTAGAACAGCTGGATGTGGCAGGATACCCCATTGATGGGGGAGGAACTGCTGCTTGGGCAGGCGCTGAGCTGTGATAAGGGCTGTGCTTGAGGTCGGAGCCGAATGCTGTGGAAGCTCCTGCTTTTTGTGAATTAAGGTTTCCTGATTATTGCTCAGTTTTGTATTGAGAGTGTTTTCTTATTGATTTGGAGTGCTTTTTTTTGTATATTAAAGATAGTAATCTTTTTCTCAACAAATCTTGCAAATATTTTTTTCCCAATTGTTTGCTTTTAAATTGCAGAGAGGTTCTGAATTTTTATGCTGTCACATCTTTTGATGTTTTCATACATGTGTGATTTTGTTCATGGTTCACTGTGTTTTTTGTTCCTATGCTTAGACAGTCTTTCCAAGAGTGGAGAAATATTCATCCATTTGTTCTACACACATAGCTTGAGCTTTTATGGGGTGCCTGGCACTGGGCCAAGAGGAAGGCTGCTCTGAGGGACCCCATGTTCTCGAGGGGGGGCAGACAAGAGACCCATCAACAGAGAGATAAAAAGAGTATTTGCTTTTGTTTTATTCCCGCAGTGTTAATGTTTTATGTTTTGCATTTAACTTGTTTCATTTAGCTTTTCTCAAGTGGGGCATTGAACTTGCAGTCTTTTCCTGTGGGTGTATAGTGGCGCTTTCTTCCAGTGGGCAAGCTGCCTATTATGTTCTTCAGTCTAATTGGATAGTTTGTGTCTTGTTGAGTTGATTCTTAGTCCTTAATATTTTTGGTTGCTATATTGAGCAGAATCTTTTTGTTGTTCACTATCTTTTCCATGTATTCCTACGTTGCTGGCTTATAGAAACCCTATTGATTTTTTTGTGTTTGAGTCTGGGTGCTTCACTGAGTTCCCATTATTTCTTGTTTTCTGTCTGGCTTGTTTTATTGTGTTTGGGTAGATGATTGTGTTGCCCCCAGTCGATGGTAATTTGGTCTCCTCATTCATTGGTGTTTATTCTACTTTTTTGCTCTGTCTGGCCTTGAGCCCTGGAGATTATGTCATATTTTAGAGCACCGTTAGCAGGTCCTTGTCTTGTCCCTGACTTTCACAATGACTCTGGTTGCATTTAGTAGTCTTTATCATGCTGGAAAATAATCCTCTGGCTCTCACATGTTGGGTGTTTTGACCAGGAGGCATCAGCTCAGGCTTTGGACTCCCACATCAGCACCCTGTAGGCACCCTCGCACCCCAGTGGCCTCCTGGTAAAGGCTGCTGGCTTTCTCTAATGAAACACGGGCCCCATTTTCCTGGCAATTAGGATTTATAAATTGGGGGGGGTTTTGATCTGTGTTCAGATACCACACCACATTCCAAAGGCAGTTCCAGGTATTTCTGACCCCACACCTGTTGGTCTCACCTCAGAGAGTGGCAGCTGCACATGTCAAGGTTGGGAGGAGCCGCTGCCAGGCCTGGGCTGTGGCGAGGTTAGAGCCCAATGGGTCACCGGGCAGCAGGTGCTTCCTGTAGGTGTAACAAGCGTCCCACCAGATCTGTGAATTCACAGACAGGCTGTGTTTCCCCATGCACCAGCACAGTGATGAGAGATCCCAGGCATTTAAATGGGTTGTATTCTAGGCCAAAAAAAAAAAAAAAGGAGCTTTGCGAAAAGCAGTGGTTTCCAAAGAGAAGCTTTTAAAATAGAAGTAACAGTTCAGTGTGGTGTTCTGAGAGTTCTTCCATGTGCCAGGCACTGTGCTGAGTGTAATATGCACATCAGCTCATTTAATGCCCACAGTGCCGCTGAGGGGATGATGTGGTGGCTGAGGCTCAAATGGCTTACACATTGGCCCCATCAGGGCACCTGGGGAGGAGGAGGCTGATAGAGTGATGACTTTAGTGTTGCCTGGCCAGTTGCCCCTGTTGTGGCCTTGGCTCAGGCCCTCCTCCGCTGAGGTAGTCCCTCCCTGGCAGTCTGCCCCTTTGCTGCTGAACCCCCTCCAGAGCCCTGGCACTGGATGGGCACAGTGGCTCTGGGGAGAGCTGACAGGTGTTGGGGTGCCTGTCTCACCTTGGCTGGCTCTGCAGCCTCATTCCCAGCATCCCCACTTTATAAATGGGGAAGTTGAGGTACAGAGGTGAAGCCTTTCTGAAAGCTCCCTGGCTGGTGACATTCTCTGCTGCCATTGCACACAGGCCACTGGACTGCCCTTCTAGGCACCTCCGGGCTGCATGGGGCCTATGTTGTGCTGGGGCTCGTTCTTCCCTTTCTTTTGCTGCCCCTCATCTGTTTTCCTTCAGTTGTCTCTGCTCAGGCCTTGGGCCCAGATGTGCTGAGCTCACCGTGCACTTCACCTGGCTTCTTGCTGTACTAGGACTCCTTGCTCCGGCTGAAGGACTATCGGCAGTGTTTTGAGTGTTCCGATGTGGCTCTGAACGAGGCTGTCCAGCAGATGGTGAACTCAGGTGAGGCTGCCGCCAAGGAGGAGTGGGTGGCCACAGTGACCCAACTGCTGATGGGCATCGAGCAGGCCCTCTCTGCGGACAGCAGTGGTAGCATCCTGAAGGTATCATCCTCCACCACTGGCCTTGTGCGGCTCACCAACAACCTCATCCAGGTAACCCCTGGCTCCTTCTCACCCTGCCCTGCCCCAGCAGGTATGTCTCTGTGACATCCTGCTTCTTCAGTAGTTCATAGCTTTCATTGCTAATTAGGCACCCAAAGGGGACATGATGGCTTCTTTGGTTGGAACTTTCGGGATCTGAGGAGGGGTTTGTGCGCAGGCTGCAAACCTTCCTGGGGCTGGTCGGATCTGGGGATTAGAGACTGTGTAGCACTTGGTGCCATGGGGTTCTTCCAGACCATCCGTCCCAGAGGGGAAGAAATAACCTCACGGGGAGGCCCTGGTCTGCCTGCAGTGAGCCAGAGGCAGAATGGGGGCCAGAGCGCAGGCCGGGATGGCTCCAGCATCCCACGGTATCCTGGCACTTCCAACTGAGGGGTAGTCACAGCACCCTGCATCGTCCAGGAAGTCTTTAAGGCAGAGAATCTTCCTCTGAAGCACTCTGGGCTCTCTCCTCAATTCCCGCTCAGGCCATCAGCAAGTCCTGCCAAATCTATATCCTCACCCCTCCAGCCTTTGTTTCTCCCTCTGTCTTCATCTTTCTGCTGTAGTCCAGGCCACTGCTACTCTTGCTTGAGCTGTGGCAGCACACTTGCCACAGTCTCCTCTGCCCGCTCCAGCCGCTTTCCAGCCACAGAGGCACCTTTCCAAAACAGATATGAATGTGCTTCTCCCTCACTTAAAACCCTTCATGTTCCCTCCAGGTTGTGTGTCACTTAAGGTACACTGAGCTCCAGGCCTGTCTCTCCCCCTGGTCTTGTGCTTCCTTGGCTGCAGCCTTCCTGGGCTACCCCCTGGGGTCCCTGCCTGCATGCCTGTCCTCTGCCCCCACTCCTTGCCCTCCCTGGGTGTTGGACACACCACAGCCACTCACTTGGAAACTTTCTTAATAAGGCTCTCACCTGTCTGCCCCACCCCTCCTCTGTGAGCCATTGTGGCTGCATCTGTTCTCATTGCAGCAGCCATACTGACTCTTTGCACTTGTGTAGCTTGTCCATGGCTCTCTTCTCTCTGGGCTCTCAGCTCCCCCATGCCCTGTTCACAGGACACAGCACATAGTAGGTACTGAGGGTATCAGTAACTGCATGTGGCATGAAGGAGAGTAGTGTGACTATCATTGGACACTATGGGTCTCTGTCCGATGACATGCTGAGGATCTGCTAGGTTACAGTGCCCACATCTGAGCAGTGGGGGTGGGCAGGCAGCACATACCAGCTCCCCAAGAGGCCTCCTGCCTCCCTTCAGTCTGCCCTGAAGGCTTACCCTGCTGTGACACTTCTGCTGTCTCCCACCCCGCACTGTCAGGTCATTGACTGCAGCATGGCTGTGCAGGAGGAGGCCAAGGAGCCCCACGTCTCTTCAGTGCTACCCTGGATCATTCTACACCGGATCATCTGGCAGGAGGAAGACACCTTCCATTCTCTGTGCCACCAGCAGCAGCTCCAAAACCCAGCGGAGGAAGGTGCACAGGCAGTGGGTGCAGTGGGGATGAGCTCTGACTCCCATGTCCTTGCCCCTGTCCTCTGCCCTAGGGTCCTGGACCTTATCCAGACGTTGTGAGTGGGGCTCAGTCCTCTCAATCCCAGGATTTTGCATGCGCTTGGACAGAGGCAGAAGTGTCCTTGGTTTCTCCCTGAGGGAGCTTACTGTGCAGTGGGCACGGGAGGCCTGGATGTGTGAGCATTGTATGTTTGGTGCAGATGGCAGCATGGAGGGAGTGACAAGAGGTGACTACTTATGACAAATGCTGACACTGCTCCAGGAGGCCTTGTATCCACTAGCTCCTTTAATCCCCATGACACCCGAAGGGATGGTAAGCCGAGGGCAGCATGGAGTGAGCACAGGTTCCACATCCCAACTGTCACTTCTTAGATGTGTGACCTTGGGCAAGTCATATAACTTCAGCCTCTATTTCCCCATACCCATATTGGGAATAATAATATCTACCTCAGAAGGTTATTCTGAGGATGAAATGAAATAATAAAGCCATGAATCACCATGGTGGGTCAGTGCCTGGCTCATGGTGGGTGCTGAGTGATGAGAATCCAGGGAGGGCGAGCCCCAGACCCTTAATGGAGATGGCAATGGATCCATAGTCAGTGCAATGGTAGAAAGTGTGCTGGATTGAAGAAACGACAGTACTGCAGCTAAATGACACTTAAAGCAAAGATTGCCTGTAATCTTATCAGATAGATCTTTTTTTTTTTCCATTTTTTGTTTTCTTGCATTTGCTGTCCAGACTTGGCCTAATGCACATCTAGTTTGTGTGCAGTTGTTAGAATAATATGTGTCTATTGATGCTTGTATTCAACTAGCTTAAAATTAAGTTTATTGAAGATTTTTCCTCAATAATTTGTAAAACAAGAAAAGTGGAAAGGAAAGAGTCATCCCTATTCCAACTGCTCAGAGAAAACCAGAGTTAACATGTGGTTTTTCTCCTTCCCTTCACATTCTCTCTATAATTTTATTCACTGCTCAGAAAGTTACCAGCTGCTCACTACATGTCAGGGCTCTGTGGCTAGGATACCTCTGGCCTTGACAGGTTTGTGATAGTGGGAGACAGATCAACTATCTAACACCAGGATGGTGTGGTGGATGGAGAGGAGGGCACCTGATGCTGCCCATGGGTGTGGGTGTGGGTTGAGTTGAGCCCTGAAGGAAGAGCAGGGGCAGAGGAAGACATTGGGGAGGTGGAGTGGGGCCAGGGACTGAGCAAGCCTTAAGTCAGGCAGGAGACCTGGGGCATGGGGATTGGATATGGGAAGAGGGGCCAGATTGCAAAAGGCTTTTATTTTCTGTTTTGTAAAGCTGTTGCTCCATTTTGCTCCATTGTTTTCATCATGCTGATGAGAGGTGCATGCACTATTGAACCATCCCCGCTGCTGAACCCTTAGTTTGGCTGCACTATTTCATTCTTACGGGTCATGCCGTGATGAACACCTCATTCATGCCTTTTTGCTTGTACCCAATTTTTTTTTTAGGATAAATTTCTAGGAATGAATATCTTTAGAGCTCTTGATAATTATTACCTCTGGTACCACATTGTTCTCCAAAAGGATTTTAGTGGTGAAAAAAAACCTAAAGTTTATAACTATAAAAGTTTGTTATTTTTCTTAGAAAAATAACACGAAAAGACTTCTGGACTGAAATTCTCCTTTTCCTCAAAATTAATTATGCAAACAAAAATTAGTTTTCAAAAAACTGCCAGCAAGTAAATGCGGATAGAGGAATAGTCAAATACCTTAAACTTTGAAAAGTACATCAAAGAAAGAGAGAGAGATTGGAAAGGAAAAAGAAAGAAAAGAAAGAAAAAAGAAAGATTCTGGTGGAGTGGCAGTAGATGTGGCTCTGTCTCTGCATGTCCCTCAGCAGGAGAACTGATGGAAGATAGCAAGTTGACCAAATCCTGGGAAATATTATTAATATTCTCATTTGTGGAGAGTGGCATGAGGGGAAACCTCCTCCATCCCACCCTTGGCCTTGGCAGAGGCAGGAAGAGCCACAGGATCCTGCCATCTTCCAGTGTGCAGACTGAGCTGAGGGAAGGGGCCCTGGGATAAAACACACTATGGTTGGGTGGTGAGGGGCCTGGTGAGGATATTATCACCCAGGAAAAATAATAACAGTTATCACATACTGAATTCTCTGGAAGCAGATACTAAGACAGGGTTTATAAGGAAGGCGGAGGAAGCAGAATTGGGCTTTTGAGCTGACAAACAGAATGAAACAAAAAGGAAAATCGTAGAACTGAGGAAAACACTGCAAACTAAATCTCACCATTATAAAGTCATAAATGCAAACAGCATGGAGCAGAATGAATATGACAAATTGGAACAATTGGTTGCATTTAAGAGCCAAAAGTAACAGGGCATGGTGGCTCACTCCTGTAATTCCCACACTTCAGGAGTTTGAGGCAGAAAGATTACATGGGGCCAGGAGTTTGAAGCCAGCCCAGGCAACGTAGTAAGACCCTGTATCTACAAAAAGTAAAATAAAATTTAAAAAATTAGCCAGGTGTGGTGGTGGCACCTAGAGACCTAGCTACTTGGGAGGCTGAGAAAGGAGGATGACTTGAGCCCAGGAGTTGGAGGCTGCATTGAGCTATGACCATGCCATTGTACTCCAGCCTGGGCAAAAGTGAGACCTCATCTTAAAAAAAAGAAGAAAAAGTACAAAACAAATTTCATGAAAGAAAGTTATTACTAGTGGCTTCTGACATGTTCTGTCCTGATCCACTCTAAAAATGCTAGTTATAAGTCGTTAATGGGTTATGGCCCAGAGTTTCAAAAATACTAAGGGACCTTTATAAACAAATAATACTTCTAGTGGTAAACAAATGTGTAACTGGAATTCAGTAGTTCTTTTTCCTCCTGTTTTACTCTTTTTCTTCTGTATTATTCAGGTAGACCTAAATCTAAGAACTTTTAAGGCCAGGCGCCATGGCTCATGCCTGTAGTCTCAACACTTTGGGAGGCCGAGGCAGGCCAGGAGTTCGAGACTAGCTTGAGCAACATAGTGAAACCCTGTCTCTACAAAAAATTAAAAAATTAGCTGGGTGTGGTAGCTCGCGCCTGTAGTCCCAGCTACTCAGGAGACTGAGGCAGGAAGATTGTGTGAGTCCAGGAATTGGAGGCTGCAGTGAGCTATAATTGTGCCAACTGTACTCCAGCCTGGGCAACAGTTAGACCCTATCTCTTAAAAAAAAAAATTTTTTTTTTTAAGTTAAGAAATGGCATGTGTAGTATGGGTTCCATTGTAACAAATTACTTTTCTCTCATTCAAAATGCATCAGATATGCACAGATGGATGCTGTGACTGAGGTTCACCAGATGTCAGCATTGGTTCTCTCTGGGCTGGTATTTTGATGGATAAAGTGTGCTCCTTTATATTTTCCTATATGGCTTGAATTGTGTTTTGATAAGCGTGTATTGCTTTAGTAAAGCCAGTCAAGTCACTACTTATTTAAAAAGGCAAAAAAAAAAAAAAAAGGGAAAGGAAAAGTCTGTAGTCATGTTGATAAAGACAGAAAAGCCCGAAAAGAGGAGACTGAGCCTCGCAGCCCCTGCAGGCACGCAGGTTCCCACACTAACTCTGTGTCTGTCGGCCTGGGCTTTCCCTAGGGATGTCAGAGACGCCCATGCTCCCATCCTCCCTCATGCTGCTGAACACAGCCCACGAGTATTTGGGCAGAAGGTCCTGGTGCTGCAATTCAGATGGGGCTCTGCTGCGATTCTATGTAAGTGCTTCCCCTTGGGCTGCAGACTGCCAGTGCGGGGCAGGGCTGGGGTGGGAGGTGGAATGGGAAGGGGACAGATTCATGTTGGCACGCTGGGCTTGCTTGGCCTTCCCTCAGTGGGCCCACTGTGTGTCTTTGACTTACTGCATTTCTCACTGTAGTTACCGAAGCTTGTCAGAAAGTCTGATAAGACTTTCTTGCCAGAAAGTTCCCTTGTGTACCTGAGGCTCAGGAAGCTCCGGAGCTCTTGAACAGCAGGTGGATTTAGATCTACTAGTCCTTACTGAGTTTCTTCCTAGTCAGGCACGGGGCTAGGCCTTGTAGTTGTAATTTCAGGAGTAATAACCACATGCACCACCACCGCCTTCTATTGAGTCCTGTTTACTAAGCATTACTCACAATGCCAAGTAGTAGTTGCTCATTCAATAGCTATTATTACATCCATTCAGTCACTAAATGATTAGTGAGAGCACATACACTTCCTTGCACTTGTCAGTTGTGATTGACTGGAAGTAGCTCCCTGGGTTTACTAGGGATAAGCAGCACGAACCCTGTCTCCAATCTCACTGTTGAGTAGGAGGCCAAGCAGCATGCAGACCAGTTACAGAGCACCTGGTGTTCTTCATATACCAAGACAGGGACCTCAGACCCAGCCTATAATATTTATTCGTGAAGTTCTATTGGGATATAACCATGCCCATTCATTTACATATTAACTGTGGCTGCTTTTGCAGTAGAGTGGCAGAGTGCAGTAGCTGTGATGGAGGTGTATGGCCAGCAAAGTCTAAAATACTTAGTATCTGGCCCTTTAAGAAAACGTTTGCCATCACCTGCTCTATACCTTCTCTTCAGGGAACAATACCTGCTCTTTCACAACTGCACCCTCCCTCCCAGTACTCCCCATCTTCCTGTGCTTTCCCCTCAGCGCTTAACCTCTAGCATGCTGTGTGATACACTCATTGAGTGTATTGTGTGTCTCTGCTCCACTGAAATTAACTTTAGAGAGAGTAGGGGGTTTTGCTAGTTTTGTTCACTGCTGGATCCAAGTACCTAGTACACACCTGGCACATAGTAGGTGCTTAATAAATATGGGTTAAAGGAGAGTATGCATATGTATAGAGCTCATGTATGTATAGAGCTTGACAGTTTGCAAGACACTTAGGCTGAATATGTGATTTGTCCAGGAGACCCATCTGGCCCAGGTCCCTGTTGCTGGTTAGTGTCTGAGGCAAATTCCAGCCCCAGCTCCAGATGCCTGAATGTCTCCCCTACCCCGTGAGCTCTGAGGGCCTTTGGGATGCTCACCCTGGGTCAGCTCTACTCTCCAAGACTATTTTTGGAAGAGTTTTGCCAGGCTGAGTCTGTAATGCTGCCCAGGACTCAGCCACTCCCTTTTTCTGCCTTCCCTCTGCCAACCAACCCTCTGCAGGGACAGTCTCTGCTTCCATAAGGTCACCTCCACAAGGCCATCCTCCTTATGCTGATTGGGAAGAATGAGTTAATACCTTAGGCTAGCTTGGGTGGGAGTGGTGCTAAGAGTGAAGGGGTGGGCTGAAGGGGCAACAGGATGGTCCTATTTCATTTTTCTTAATCTGTGTCTTTTCTACTGGAGCATGAATTCTAGCTGCTGATATCTGCTAATGAATTTGAGGGAGTAGAAGTGAGTTGAGCACTGTTGTGTTTCATTTTGTAGTTCCTGATTTTCCTGCCCAAGGCCCAGCCTTTACATTTCTCCAACCTTTGCAGCAGCTCTCCTGACCACCCTGTGCCTTCTGCCTGCCATGCTATTCCTCAGCTTCTGCATGACTGGTTTGTTGTTTCCTTCCTGCATTTTCAAAGAGGCTTTTCTCTCTTGCCACATGCTGTCCTGTCTACTGCTGGGGACCCCCACCATTTGTTTCTGTCATGTGCCCCTCCCCCACCAGCTAGCATCCCTGGGACCAGGGACCTTTTCTGTCTTGCTGTTTGAAGCATCCCTGGGGCCTGAGCAATACCTGACAGACTGCTGCCCAGTTGTATTTCTTGAATGAATGAATGAACAAACATAAAGACATTCATTAATTTCCCCAGAAATGCTTGCTGAGCACTCATGATTCTGGGTGCCATGGAGGGTTATGAAGGTTGAATGCTTCATTACTACCTCTTCTTGCCCCAGGCTCATGGTCTGCAGGTAAAAGGATTCCATCTTGAGAGTGATTTGAGGCCAACATCAGGGAGACCTTTTGTGTGGATTATTTTCTTAGATAGAATGGAAATGTTCTCTGAGAGAAATCCTCTTGAGTCTCTTCTTTTCTTGAGTTATTTCTTTTCATATGTTTTACTTGGGTTGATGGATTCTTATCTGTTCATCTCCACACAGCTCAAATGGCCCCTGTGCTATAGAGCCTTTATTAATACCTGGATATTCCCTCTTACATTGTGTGCCCACCCCCCTTCTGTGTACCACACCCAGATTTTATATGTGTTGACAATCTGCTGTATTTGCCACAAATTTGTCTTCTGATAAAAATAAGAGTTAACAAGAAAGCATGCTCTTCACTACCCTACCTCCCTCACTCTCTTGAAGCTGGTTGTGTATCTTTTTGTCCACATTTTTTTATACCTAATTATGTATCTGTATGTCAGTAAATAGTATATAGTTACATGAGTTTTAAAATTTTACATACTAAATATATAGTATGTAACCTCTTGCAGCTTGCTTTTATTTTAGTATACTGAGATACAGTTACATTGATACAAGTACATCTAGTTTATTCATTTTAATTGCTTTACAGGGTTCTATTGTGTGAGTATATCATGCTCTTAAACTTTTTAGTATGGAAAATTCCCAACATTATTAAAATAGAAAGTATAGTGCACTTCCATATACTGAGCACTGGTTAGTCGTTATTATTCATAACGCATGTCCACTCCCCCACCTACCTTCCCAATCATCCCACATTATTCTGAAGCAAATCCTAGACATTTATATCAATTCATCTGTAAGTATTTGTTATTATTTTTTAAAACAATTTTCCTAATATGGCATTAAGGTTGTTTATCCATTTTGGGAGTTACAAATGATATTATGGTTAACGTCCACCAAGAGGTTGTTTTATGTATACATGTGAGAGTTTCTCTTGTGTAGATTCCTGTAAAAGGAACTACTGGATCACAGAGTGTGTACATTGTTAACTTTAAAAATTTTATTTTCAGATTATTCTCCAAAATTATTGAACAGTTTTATACTTTTGATAGCTGTGTGGGAATTCCTGCACATCTGTGTCAGCCCTAGGTACAGTAGACTTAAATGTTGATGCCCATCTGAAAGGCATGAAATGGTATTTCATTGTTCTTTAGATGTTCTTTCTAATAATTTATAATTATTAGTGAGATTGAATATCTTTTTATGCCTGTTTACCCCTTGGGTTTCCTCTTATGCAAATTGCCTGTTCACATGATTTGCCCATCTTTCTAGTGGTTTGTTTTTCTTTTTCCTATTGATTTGCAGTTTTTTTCTTAAGGTACTCTGAATTCCAGTCTTTTATCTGATACATAAGTTTCACCAGTTTTACGTGCACATATTGTGTCTGTGTGCTTAGTTCTATTTCTATTTCTGTGCACCTTTATGTGGGATATCTTTTAACTATGTGTATGGTATTTGTTTTACAGAATTTTAAAATTTGAATGTCAAATTTATTAGTCTTCTCCTTTGAGGTTTGTGATTTTTTGAGGGATGGGGGTACTTTTACTTCCCTCTCACAAAATTATGTAAAGATCTCCTTTACATTAGTCTACTAGTTTGCTCTTGTATTTCATGTGTCTGTATTCCATCTAAATTTTATTTTTGTTAAAAGATAAGGCAGGAATCCAATTTTACATTCCACATGCATGGCCAGTTGGTTTTTACCATTTTTTGAAGAGTCTGTTCTCTGTGCTGACTTGTAAGTCACCTTCTTACATGTTGGCTCTGTTCTTTTTATTGGCATAGGAGTCTTGTCCGTTCCTGACAATACTGAATTGTCTTTGAGAGATTTTGATACCTGGTAGGGTTAACCTACTCACGTACCTCTTAGTCTCTTGGCTATTCTTGGCCTTTTCCTCTTCTGTACCATTGTACGATCACTCTGTAATGTTTTATGATATCCAACCCCCTAACGCAAACCTGCCATTGGAATTTTGATTGGAATAACATTGACCTCACAGATTAATTTGCAAAATAATTGTCATTTTTGTATGATTGAGTCTTTCTAGTCGTAAATGTGGTATATCTCTCTGTTTATTTAGGTCTTATGCTTTCATGTCCCTTAATTCAGCTTAATAATTTTCTCCATAATACTTTTTTTCCTTTCACTCTCATTTTTTCAAAGTATAGCTGTAAAATTGTTGCGTATATTTTGTTAGATTGTTGCCTAGGTTTCATTTGTTTTTATTAGTGTTGTAAATAGATATTTAAATGTTAGTTTTTCTATTTGGTTTTTGTGAGCATGCAGGAGCACTAGTTTTTTGAATAATTTTTTCTTATGCACAGCTCCTTTGCTTATTGCTTCTATTAATTTTAGTGGGTGGTAGACTTGAATTTTCTATGTAGACAGTCATATCATCCACGAATAACTATTTTTTCCTTCCTTTTCAATCCTTATAGTTTTTTTCTTTTTTCCCCCTTGTCTTATACTCTTTGCCAGGGGTCACCAAAGCTTTTCCTGTAAAGGGACAAATAGTAAATCTTTGAGGCTTTGTAGGTTCTAGGGTCTCTGTTGGAACTACTCAGGGCTTCCATTGCCTCAGAAAAGCAGTCGTAGATATTATTTAAATCAGTGGCTGCAGCTTTGTTCCAACAAAACTTGTGGACGCTAAAATTTGAATTTCATATAATCTTCATGTGTTAAAAAATAGTTTTTTTCTGTTAATTTTTTTTCAATCATTTAAAAATGCAGACATCGTTCTTAACTCCCGGCCTACAAAACAGACAAGGGCAGGATTTGGCCCATGGGGTGGTTTGCCACCTGTGGTCTAGAGCTCTCTCTCTCTTTTTGGGGAGTGTTATAATAAATTCTAAACTACTATTTCTTTAGTGATTATAGGTCCAATTAGATTTTCTCTTCTCAAGTCAATTATATTGTTTTAACAGTTTCCACTTAGAGCATAAGGCTGTTCATGGTTTCTGCTTATGCTTTAAAAAGTTCTGTGGTACCTCGAGTTATGCCCCTTTTTCATTGCTAAAATAGTTTGTGCTTTCTCCCCCCACCTTTTAAAAACCAGTCTTTCATGAGGTTTGTATAAATTAGTCTTTTCAAATTACTGACTATTGGTTTATTGATCCATTTTTTCTTTGCTTTCTAGTTCATTACCGCTTTAATATTTCCTTTTACGTTCTTTGAATTTACTCTGTATTGTTTCTAACTTACTGAATTGAATGGTTATTTTAGTATTCACTCTTTTTTTTTCTTTTTTCTATTTTTATTATTTTTAAAAATTTTGGGCCAGGTGCAGTGGCTCACGCCTGTAATCCCAGCACTTTGGGAGGCTGAGGCGGGTGGATCACCTGAGATCAGGAGTTCGAGACCAGCCTGACCAACAAGGTGAAACCCCGTCTCTACTAAAAATAAAAAAATTAGCTGGGCATGGTGGCAGGTGCCTGTAGTCCTAGCTACTTGGGAGGCTGAGACAGGAGAATTGCTTGAACCCAGGAGGTGGAGGTTACAGTGAGCCGAGATTGTTCCACTGCACTCCAGCCTGGGCGACGGAGCGAGACTCCATCTCAAGAAAAAAGAAAGAAAATTTGTTTTCTTCTCAGGTCTTCCTTGATTTTATTCTCTCTCTTTTTTTTTTTTTTTTTTTTTGAGACAGGGTCTCACTCTGTTGCCCATGCTAAGAGTGCAGTGGTACGATCACAGCTCACTGCAGCCTGGACCTCCTGGGCTCGAGCAGTCTTCCTGCCTTAGCCTCCCACGTAGCTGGGACTACAGGTGTGCACCATCATGCCTGGCTAATTTTTAAATTTTTTGTAGAGACAGAGTCTCACTTTGTTGCCCAGGCTGGTTTCAGTCTCCTGGGCTCAAGCGATCCTCCCACCTCGGCCTCCCAAAGTGCTGGAATTACAGGCATGAACTGCTGCATCCAGCCAGTATTCACTTTTCTAATGCCTGTATTGAAGACTGTAAGTTTTCCCAGATACATCTTTGTCTGACTCCCATATATTCTGATATTTGGTGTTTGCTATTTTTATATAATTGATTTCTAATTTTATTGAATTGTGTTCAGCTGAGGATGTGGTATGTATTATATCTAGTTTTTGGTCTTTGTACTTGCTTTTCATCCAGTTTTGGCAAAAATCTCATGAATGCTTGAAAATAATGTGTATTTGCTAATAGTTGGGCATAACAATAGCCGTCGGCTCTCATATTCTTAGATGTAACTTGTTTACTATGTTGTTCACATCCTCTCTGATCCTCATTTATGTTTTGTCTGAGGGAGATTCTCTTAGCCCTAATGAGATTTATCATCTTATGTTATAATTATTTGTTTATAGTTTAACTTTATTCTCTCCACTGGAATCTGAACTTCTAAAAAGCAAGGACTATACCTATTTTAAGAAAGTATTCAGTAAATATTCGTTGAGGAAATCAATGACTAAATAAATGAGTGAAGTTCCCAGGAGGCAAATATCTTCTTCTGGTGGCTGGTAGAAATTGGCTAGGTGTGCTGAAAGAAAGGCAGCTTGGTAAACCCATCAGGAGGCTACTGTTGGGCCCAGAGGTGGGACCAGAATTACTCCTATTAGGATAACAAGACTTTTCCAGGAAACAGGTGTTTTTGGAATCAAGTCATGCAGGAGCCCAACAGACATAGCCACCTCAGGTTAAAAGAGTTGATAGAGTGGTGGTTTCTCTGGGGCCCTGCTGTGACAGGGAGGCAGTGGCTACAGGCCCTCACCTCAGGCCATCTCTTCTGCCCACCACAGGTGCGAGTACTCCAGAAGGAACTGGCTGCATCCACCTCTGAAGACACGCACCCTTACAAGGAGGAGCTGGAGACAGCCTTGGAGCAGTGCTTCTACTGCCTGTACAGCTTCCCCAGCAAGAAGAGTAAGGCCAGGTACCTGGAGGAACACTCGGCCCAGCAGGTGAGGGTGCTGCAATAGGCCCAACAAAGAGGGAAGCAGGAGCTGTAAGCTCTTTTGAAGGATGTCATATTTGTCAACAGTCATCTTGGCAGTCCTGCTTGGAGTTGCATCAGAAGGAGGAGAGAAGACGGTCTGATGAGTGTATCAAAGGACAAGGGTTTTTCTTGCAAAAACTTATTTTCATAAATGTTGACTGACATTCAACTAATGTTGACTAATATGTAGAACCAGATATGGTGGTGCATACCTTTAGTTCTAGCTGCTCTGGAGGGTGAGGGTAGGAGGGTTACTTGAGGCCAGAATTTTAAGGCTGGAGTGCACTGTGATTGCATCTGTGAATAGCCCTGGGTGGCAGAGCAAGGCCCCATCTCTAAAAACAAACAAACAACAAACAAAACTACCCTAAAACCAAAAAATGTAGCATGGCAGTTGTCGATAGTTTATTTCTATTTTGGATATGAATAATTCCTTAGAGGTTTTCCATTTTTGTGTTGTTTTGGTTTTTAGAGCGCTATTGAGTGTATTATCTAATGGCTCCTCAGTACTGTCAGTTATTCTCTGATCTTAGGGATTCCATCCACTAAAATGTAAGCTCCTTAGGACAGAGCCCCTGCTGTGGACCCCAAACCTAGGGCCACTCTCCCTGGAGTCAGCTCTCCTTCAATATTTTGTCTACCAAGTGGAGAGGGTCTGTGGCTGGCCCAAGGTCCCCACCCATGATGGAACCCACCCTCTGGCTCAGCCACGTGGGCTTATAGAGCGCAGCTTGTGGTTTCTAATGTCTGTCTTTCTACAGACTAGGCTTATGCTTTTCAGACACTTGGATTTGGGGATTATAGTGGGCATGCAGATTTTTTTTTTTTTTTTGAGATGGAGTCTCACTCTGTTGCCCAGGCTGGAGTGCAGTGGTGCCATCTCGGCTCACTGCAACCTCTGCCGCTCAGGTTCAAGAGATTCTCCTGCCGCAACCTCCTGAGTAGCTGGGATTACAGGCGCTTGCCACCGTGCCCAGCTAATTTTTGTAGTGCAGATTTTTTTTTTTTAAGTATAATGGGGATTTGTTTTAGGCTCTCCAATATGCCATAACCTCATTTACATTGGACAAAGTGCGTTTCTATGGAGGAATGCAATTTTCCTTCTTCATTTACCCTGAATGTGTTACTAATCTGCCTTCTGTCTTTTTTTCAAGGTGGATCTTATATGGGAGGATGCACTGTTCATGTTTGAGTATTTTAAGCCCAAGACCCTTCCTGAATTTGACAGCTATAAGACCAGCACCGTGTCTGCTGACTTGGCCAACCTACTGAAGAGAATTGCCACCATTGTGCCTCGCACAGAGAGGCCAGCCCTTAGCCTGGACAAAGTCTCTGCCTACATTGAGGGAACTTCAACTGAGGTGGGCCCACAACCTTGAGGACGTGGGGGACAGGGCTGGGTCACACTCTTCCGCTCTGCCACTGCTGTATATGCTCCTTTGCTTCTTTTTCTGCTCTGTACCAGACTGAGGGGCAGGAGAGGCTGGAGAGTCTGTCCTGTGACTAAACAGTCCTGGGTTTACTGGTCACATCTGAGTCCTTGACTCCACCTCCCCTCATACTTTTCCTCTCACCTGCCAGGTACCCTGCCTCCCAGAGGGGGCTGACCCCTCCCCTCCAGTGGTGAACGAGCTTTACTACCTCCTGGCTGATTATCATTTCAAAAACAAGGAGCAGTCCAAGGCCATCAAGTTCTACATGCATGACATCTGCATCTGCCCCAATAGGTCAGTGACCAGATCATGAGGCTAGGCTGGCTGCAGGGATGACTGGGGTGACTCCAGCTCAGCAAGCTCTTCAGTGGGCCACTTTGGGGTTTCCCTGTCCATTGCAAAGAGACCAGGGAAAACGGAATGAGAGGGTGGTTTAGCACTTTGCTGTTGTTAGGAAAGGCAGGTTTTCCATAAAAAGAAGAGCAGAGGAGAAGGCCTCTTTTCCAAAGTCCTCTGGGAGGGTTATTGGTAAAGGGTTATTAGAGAAGGTACGAAGTGTCCATCTGGACCCTGGTGTGCAGGGCAAGGAGGCGCAACCTGGCTCCATCCTGTTGGTTTTGTGCTGCCCCCTTTCACAGCCCCAGAGTGTGTACTCTTGCTGCTTCCACTGCAGGCTTCTTAACTATGGTTGCCTTCTTGGGGACAAGTAATAGAAAAACTCAAGCCAGAGTTCTCTTTTTTGCTCTGATGCAGTGCACTGTTAGCAGTAGCGATTGTCATGATAGTACATGTAGAAGAGCTCATTGCACATGAAGCTCATGCTCTCTTCCTGTGGAACCCTGTTTGGCTTTCTCTTAAAATGTAGTGATTGCCTGGAGCCTCTCAAGGGGCCTTCTACATTTGTAAAGTTTGATGCACTTGATTAAGAGGGAATATTTTTTCCTACCTAGGAGGTAAGCCTTGGGTGAAGGTCAAAAGGAGGCTACCCTCTGTGGCAGACCTGCATCTAAAGGGTTCAGAGTAGCATCTGTAGGCACACTTTCTGGAAGGACTCAGAGGCCAGGCTGTGATAGCTGCCCTTGAGCCATGGGTGAGCACAGAGCCACCCTAACTCAGGGAAAACCAGAGAATTCCACCTTGTCAGGATCCATCTGGCCAAGAAGAGAAGGGACTGGGTGTGAGTGGAAAAGCCAGTTTGCAAGACTTGTGTAGATTGTGTGAAAGGTTCTCACAGAACTTCTTTTGCTTAGCCTGTGGTTTCTTCCAGTCAGGGAGCCATGTGGCAGAGCCCTGGCCGTCCTCTTGGGGTGACTGGGAACCAGTGTGATAGAGCAGACCTATCTATGCTCAGTCTGGCTGAGTGCTTACTGCGCCACAGTTCAGGTTTCCTCGTCTGTTCCCCTACTTCCACATCTGAAAAGTGAGGGTGATAAAACCCACCTGTCTTTGCATGGCACCTCTCACCTGACAGCCCCTTATTCAACAGAATTAAGGCTCATGGCAGCTTAACTGGGCCTCCCTCCAACCTTCATACCTGCCTGTTTAGAGGGTATCAACCCATCAGCCTGGCCCATTAGGCAACCCTGCCACAGAGGCGTGGTCTCCCGTGGGATTGGCCCCAGTGCCAGGAAAGCACTTGATGGCTTGATCCTGGGCTCCAGGCCTTGGCCACTTTCGTTCTGGCCTTAACAGGCAGGTGCTAGGCGAGACTTGGTGCTTAGTCTGCTCTTCTGTGCTAGCAGTGCATTAAGGACGATTGGCATGTGTGAGGGTGGCGTCTGTCCATTTGATTGCTGCCTTTTCTGTTCTTTGTACTAGCATTCAGCAAGTCTCAGACTATCAAGTGCTCAGAGATCATCTTAGTCTTGGTGTCTCTGTGGCCATTCCTCCTCTCAGACAGGTTTCTGTGTTCTCACTATCAGTTTCTTTCGGGTGGTCTCAGAATGGTAGGGTCTCAGCCATCATGTGGTCCCTCACTTTTCATTTTACTGCTGAGAACTGAGCTGGAAGGGGCAGGATCTGCTCAGGGTCCCAGAGAGAGAATGGGGTAGAAGCTGGGTTGCTGGGGTCCAGGGGTCTCTGCTGCCCATGATTCTGGTTGGCAAATGTGCTAATGACAGGCTCTGCCAGCACAGAAGTAGGTAAGATCACACCTGGCTGAGGGTCTTCCTGGTGCTTTAGCTGGACTGCTGCTGCCTTGCCTTGTAGAGCACTCCTTTTCCTCTCCACCAGAGCTGTTCTGTGGGCAACCCCTCAAAGCAGGGGAACAGAGTCCAAGAGCTCATCCATTAGAGTACTTACTGCATGCCTATTAGGCGCTGGGTGATTAAAATACATTTTGTCTCATAATGCCCACAGCTCTTCTCTTGAGGTAGGTCTTCTTAGCCCTGTGTCACAGGTTAGGAATGAAGGCTCAGAGACATGACTGGTCTGGGTCATGGTCATGGCATTAGTGAGTGGCAGAGTTGGGCTCTGAGCCCTGGTGTGGGAAGGGAGTTTCCATGGGGTCCATCTGCCTGTCCACTAGGCTGTCATTATCTTCCATGCTTTTCATGTAGTGTTGTTTTTAGCTGGTGCTTTTGTTACCACCACAGGTTTGATTCCTGGGCAGGCATGGCTCTGGCCCGGGCCAGCCGCATTCAGGACAAGCTGAACTCCAATGAGCTGAAGAGTGATGGGCCCATTTGGAAGCATGCCACGCCCGTCTTGAACTGCTTCCGTCGGGCCCTGGAGATTGACAGCTCCAACTTGTCCCTATGGATTGAGTATGGCACCATGTCCTATGCCTTGCACTCATTCGCCTCACGTCAATTGAAGCAGTGGAGAGGCGAGCTGCCCCCTGAGCTCGTGCAGCAGGTGAGGAGGGGGTGCTGCAGATGGGCTTGCCATCCTTCTGTCCAGACAGAGTGCCCTCAGGTCAACGAAGCTCTGTCTCATTCGTACTTTATTCTTGTCCACACATCCATGCTGGGAGCTCACTGACGAATCTCCCCATGAGGCTTAAGCCATACCATGGTCAGTGACAACTTGGTCCCTGGTCTTTGGACACCCAGTCTAGTGTAGACAAATTAGGGACAGGCTGTTAGACCCAGCTGGTCAGCCATTAGTTATAGTGTAGTTGAGAGATAGGGAGGGGAGAGGTGTTGGCCACCAGAAGTAGCTATTTCTTCCCTGTTCCCTCAAAGGAGCTTGTTGGATCCTTGTAAAATTCTTGAGCTTAGGTTGGGATTTTTGAAGTCTCTCTTGGTAGGGGATTACACTAGTGCAGGATACTGAGTCTGGCCCTTAGGTCTCTGTTCAGTAGGGTACCCTTGGCTCCTTGAGATGGAAGTGAAGGAGCCATACTGACATGTTTAGGCTAGTGCAGCAGTAGCAGTAGTGCAGTAGCACTGCACCCTAGAGAGGATAGGGGAAAGAAGTGTCAGCACCGCCTCCTCTTTAACATTACCGTCTTTAAAAAAATTACTCTTGGCCGGGTGTGGTGGCTCACGCCTGTAATCCCAACACTTTCGGAGACTGAGGCGGGCGGATCACGAGGTCAGGAGTATGAGACCAGCCTGATCAACATAGTGAAACCCCATCTCTACTAAAAATACAAAAATTAGCCAGGCATGGTGGTGCATGCCTGTTATCCCAGCTCCTCGGGAGGCTGAGGCAGGAGAATTGCTTGAACCTGAGAGGCAGAGGTTGCAGGGAGCTGAGATCATGCCATTGCGCTCCAGCCTGGGCGACAGAGTGAGACTCTGTCTAAAAAAAAAAAATTACTCTTAAATCTTACAAGGGACACAGGCTTCTCTAAATCAGTTGCAGTATACAATATTAAGGGCAAAGCTCAAATCCCTCTGGCTGCCCCTACTACCTCAGAAACAGGCTTGTTTCTTTCCAGACTGTAAAAAAAAGTACTTTTTATACATAAATATGTACTCCTAGAAAAAAACACCAATCTAAATGCTATCACACTGTGTATGGTACTCAGCTTCCTTTTTCACTCAGCACCACACTGTTGAGTTCTATCCATGATAATTCCTGTGGATCTAGTACATTCCTTTTAACTGCTGTAACCCTATTTTATTGTAACTGTTCTGCACTAAAGTCCCTTGCGGGATTCTGTTTGTGTTGCAGTGGCCCCAGAGTTGGGCAGGCTGGGGACTGAAGCTGCTGCCCTAGGATGCAGAGCCTGACTCCCCAAGAGGCCTTCCTTGTAACAGCAGGAGCACCATTATCCTCTGCTGGGGCTCAGTGGGCTGAGCTGATCATGGTTCTTGGGATTTTCTCCCTAATCTCCCACCAATGATGGCAAATGAGATTTGGCAGAGTGGGAGTTTTCCAGGAAATAAATAGGGTGAGAAGTCAGAGTTCCCTTTCTGCCATTGGCACTTGTTTGTAGAGCTTTGTTTGTAGAGGTTCCCCCAGGAAGGGAGCAGGGAAGTCAGGGAGTGGGTAAGGAGACTGAGCTCAAGTTTCCACATACTTTTTCCCTTTGCTTTGTTCTTTCCTCTACTTAGGCTCATAACCTTTGGGACTGAACTCAGTGTTGATCTTATGGAAGCCATTGGCCCAGGAAGCTCAGGTCCTGAAACTGGGTTCCCAAGCCATCTTGTTGGAGTGTTAGGGTGGCAGGAGAGAGATGGAAATCCACCAGGAATGCAGATGTCCCGACAGGGAGGGAGGGAAGGTAGGGGGAGGTGTTTCATAGTTGCCGAGGGTGAAAACTACCTTGCAGAGCTGCCTTGTGCCTCCTGGGTTTTTTCCACCTCTGGAGAGACAGCTTCCAACCCTGAAATGTGTCACGAGGACACAGTCCCCTGATTGCTACTTTTCTGTCTGGATTTATTGTGTCTGGAGGATGGGCTGCAGGACACATGTTGGCAGCTGTTCGAGCTGCTGTGTGCTTCAGCTTTTGCCCAGAAACTCCTCAGAGGTGGTGGTGTAGGAGAACAAATGCTTTCCCCATGATGTCAGTTCTCAGGCAAGGGGAAAGGCTTTGGAGCCAGAGCGTTCTAGCTGTATGACCTGGAAGCAGTAACCTGACATTCCTGTTGTGGTTCCTTCTCCAAGGCAGTATTGTGAGAGTTCATTGGGAACACCTGCCATCAGCCATTTCCTGAGCCCCTCTCATGGGCACCCCATATGCAAGGTGAATGAGGTGCCTATTCTGCTCTGAGGATGGCAAGGTAGTGAGATGGTGTCTAGTAGAGCTTCTGAAACACAGCAGGCCCTCAGTGACTGTCCCTCCTTTTCCTGTCTGAGGTATTGTGACCTCCACACCACAAGGACAGGGACATTGGCATTGTGCCCTGTATGGGGAAGGGGTGGGGGCTTAGCCTCTTCCCAAGGGTCTGCATGGTACCAGATGCCAGCCCAGATGGGCCACTTCACAGCTACCCTTTCTTTCTTGGCAGGTGGCTGTTACAGGTGCCAGTGGCAGAACAGGGTGGGCAGGGGGGCTAGTGACTTGGTCCAGGTCACACAGCTACAAAGCAATTCAAGTAGAAGGACATCCTTTTAGCCATTGCCTTTTACTTCAGCACATTTGCCACAGAATCCCATCTTGAAGGGGATGTGATGGAGTCACTTGGTTGGTCCCGTGTTTGACCCTGCACTGTGATGCTTTCCACTGTATTTCACCCATTGATGATCTCCCACTTCCTGTGTGGTCATTTTTTTTTTTTTTTTTTTTTCCTGAGAAGTGTCTAACAGAGCACTGGGTAGCACATTGCTCCCTTATTTCAGTCCTGGGGCCATTGCTACAGGGTTTTCACATAAACAAGCACCCACTGGAGAGACATCCAAGGGCCGGCTCAACCTGGCTGGATGAGAACATGAGGCACTTCCTGCAGGCCACAGCAGCTGCCCTTGCCAGAGACTAGTGCCTGCAGACTCATCCCCTCTCACTGGCCCCTGAGGTCAGGCAAGAAGAGACTTTGGCTTCCCTGCTATCAATCCAGGACCACAGAGAGGAGGGATCAGAGACCTGGGCTGCTCAGAGCAGCTCTGTGGGCTTGCACATGCAGGCTTCTCTCTAGCTTCCAGCCCAGAGTTCTGGAATCAGGGGTCATGAATTTGGCTGGCAGCTGACCAGTATTGGAAAGTAGTGCCTCTTAAAAGGTGACCCTCTTTTCCTTCCTTCCTAGCTAGCTGTTTCCTTCCTTCAGGCTGTGAGAGGGTGGCTGGAGGTGCTTGCTGCAAATGCAGACTCCCAGTCAGTGGCTCTTAAGTGGGGCTCAGGAATTTGCCCTTCTACAAGTACTCCACATCTGTCTTAAAGAGCACAGAGGAGATGGTGGGAAGTCCTCTTGTACCCCAGGGGTACACACCCTCTCCTGTGCAGTGGAACTGGGTGCTAAATACATGCCCTCTTCAGTGCCGTAGGGCTGGGTGCTGAGTGTTAGTAAATGTCCTCTCCAGTGCTGTGGAGCAGGGTGCTAGGTGAATCTGCATTAGATGCTGCAGGGGGAAAGCAGAAAAAAGTACCCTGGTTGACATGGGGTGACCTGAGTTTAAGTCCTGCTCTATGCCTTGCTTGGTGGGCGCTTTTGAGAAACCCCTAGGCCTTTCTACACTTCGGTGTCACCAGCTGTGAAATGGTGAGGGCATTTCTGTGTCTTGGTTGTTAAGAGGAGTATAAACTTGCAAATAGGTCGGCAGAGCTTTGTACAGGAAAAAGTCTGATCCCTGGGCAGGTTCAGGCGTAAGGCCAGCCCAGTCTCATGATCTTCTTACAGATGGAGGGCCGGCGCGACAGCATGCTAGAGACAGCCAAGCACTGTTTCACATCAGCAGCCCGCTGCGAGGGTGATGGTGACGAGGAGGAGTGGCTCATCCACTACATGCTGGGCAAGGTGGCTGAGAAGCAGCAGCAGCCACCCACCGTTTACTTGCTGCACTACAGGCAGGCTGGCCACTACCTGCACGAGGAGGCTGCCCGCTACCCCAAGAAGATCCACTACCACAACCCACCTGAGCTGGCCATGGAGGCCCTGGAGGTGACACCATGCTGGCCCAGGGCGGGGAAGCAGGGCAGGGGCAGGCTGGTTTCTTTATCTCCCTGGGCATGTGGCTCAAGGTTCCAGTGACCGTCCTTCAACCTGCCGCAAACTTATCTGTGTTGAGCAGCTTCATGTGCAATTGAATTAAAACATCATTTCCTCTCTTTTCCCAAGGGGTGTTTATCATCCTTTCTGGGAGAGTGACCATTTTGTTCTTATCTCTCAGAAGAAAATTGTCTTTCCTCACTAACACAGGTTCTAAGAACCTGACCTTGGTGATGACAGTCAGTGCTACATAGCATCTCCCAGGCCCAGGACATTCACACCCTGTAGCCTGGCAGGAGGGAGGGCAGGCACCATTGCCTCCAGGGTGCAAATGAGACATCCAAAGCCCAGCCTGTGCCCAGGCTACCCAGGTTGGCAGGGGCTGAGCTAGGGTGAGCAGCCTGCTCTCTTGACCCCCAGTTTGGAGTCTTCTGATTGTTGTTCAAGAAAAGAGCAGTTCTTTACTCCCTGGATTTTCTCTCATGGTTTCCAGAGTGTTTCTGATGAATGCTGTCACTGTTGCTTATAGCAGTCTTGTGAGGCAGGCTGGGCAGCCACGATTGTCAATTTTGTAGGCAGGAAAACCAAGGACATTGGTAGAGATCCAGATGTCCACCATTTGGTTCAGCCCAGGACTTGAAGCTTCTGAAGGCCCTGTGCACGTTGGCTTTGCCCTTTCTGAGGCTATGTGCCCAGTCTCTACCAGTCTCACGTGCCCAGCAAGCCTCTTGGAGTGTGGACAGAATCTGCTGCTTGCTTTTTTCTGCCTTTGTGATTTTTTTTCCTGATTATAAAAGTGTGTGTGTGTGTGTGTGTGTGTGTGTGTGTGTGTGTTTTAAAGAGATTCAAACAACTCAGAAGTGTACAGTGTGAATGTGAAGGCCCCTAGTGATTCCAGTATGCCCCTCCATAATCCCTAAGAGTTTGCTATGTCCCTGTATGTCCGAATTTTTTCCTATTAACATATAAACATATAGTAACATTTTCTTATGATTTTGCAGCTTGTCTTTTCGCTGGACAAAATTTAATGGAAGGTGTGGTGAGCTTCCCTGCCTGCCCTAGTGCCCTGTAGTTTAGCAGGGCGTTTGTTTATCTGCACGGACCCTTGATAGGTTTGGTTTCCTCTCCACTTCTTGCTATGACAAGGCACAGGCAGTGCATGTCTTTGTACTTGAAGCAGGGAGCACATCATGAGTATTTCCAAGGACTAGAGTCCAAAGGTGGAATTGCCAGGTTGTTTAGCATTCTGATCAACAATGGCTACTTGCCCCAAGGTCGTACTGACTGATGAGAGTGTTTGCTTTCCCTCAGCCATATTGATGAGGTTCTCTTTTTAATATTTGCTAATTTTGTGAGCAAACAAAAATGTCTCATTTTGGCTAGGTATGGTGGCTCACGCCTGTAATCCCAGCACTTTGGGAGGCCGAGGTGGGTGGATCACCTGAGGTCAGGAGTTCGAGATCAGCCTGACCAATATGGTGAAACCTTATCTCTACTAAAAATTAGCCAGGTGTGGTGGTGGAGGCCAGTAGTCCCAACTACTTGGGAGGCTGAGATGGGAGGATCACTTGAGCCTGGGAGGTGGAGGTTGCAGTGAACTGAGATTGTGCCACTGCACTCCAGCCTGGGTGACAGAGTGAGACCCTGTCTCAAAAAAGAAAGGAAAAAAAAAACTCATTTAAAAAAAAATGTTTGGGCCAGGCATGGTGGCTCACACCTATAATCCCACTGCTTTGGGAGGATTGCTTGAGTCCAGGAGTTTGAGATATAGAGCTGGGGATCTCAGAGACTAGCGGGCAACATGATGAGACCCCCCCATCTCTACAAAAAATAAAAGATTAACAAGGCCTGGTGGCACGCACCTGTAGTCTCAGAAACTTGGGAGGCCGAGGTGGGAGGATTGCTTGAGCCCAGGAGGTCGAGGCTGTAGTGAGCTGTGATCACACCACTGCACTCACAGCCTGGGAGACAGAGTGAGACCTTGTCTAAAAAAAAAAAAATTAAATTTGCCTGTTTTGGGGCCATATTCACTGGGCTCATGGAGAAGTGTGGAAACACAGCTTCCTGTTGAACGCTATCTCAGGAGCAGCAGCTTGGCTGCGCTCATTCGCGGCGTTGGATCTCCGTCCTTCCCTGTCATAGTGCTCATACTGTCCACCTGGGGGCAGGTGCCTTGGAAGAACTCCACTTTGGGGGTGAGAAGGGTAAGGCCCAGAGGAGTGATGTGATGACTTGCCTTAAGTCACCTGCAGGAACAGAGAGGAGCTGGGCCAGATGCCCACTGAGCCCAGCATTCTCATATGGCACCTCTGGGAAGCCACTGAACCTACGTGTGGCCCTCAGGAAGATGATGTCAACTCTGTTTTTCCTCCATGTTTTTTTCTTCAAGATTTGGCCTCTACTACTGCCTGATAGAGCAGATGAGCAGGCAGGATGGTAGCCCCAGGGGTACCAGCAGCTTCCATATGAGGAACCAAGGCCTTAGATGTGTGGCCTACCCTCTCCCAGCACACAGTGCTGGCTCCAAGGAGAGCAAGCACACATAGTTAATTTGGGGGGCAACCCATTCCATGCAACCATTGTAGCTATGTAACTTTGAGTCAGCTGGTAAATATGTATATCTTGTGTTAAAAATGACATTTCTGGCCGGGCGCGGTGGCTCACGCCTGTAATTCCAGCACTTTGGGAGGCCGAGGCGGGTGGATCATGAGGTCAGGAGATCGAGACCATCCTGGCTAACAAGGTGAAACCCCGTCTCTACTAAAAATACAAAAAATTAGCCGGGCGCGGTGGCGGGCGCCTGTAGTCCCAGCTACTCGGGAGGCTGAGGCAGGAGAATGGCGTGAACCCGGGAAGCGGAGCTTGCAGTGAGCCGAGATTGCGCCACTGCAGTCCGCAGTCCGGCCTGGGCGACAGAGCGAGACTCCGTCTCAAAAAAAAAAAAAAAAAAAAAAGAAACAAAAATGACATTTCTCTGAAGATTTTTAACTCTGTCCTGACAAAAATTCTCCTCTGCTATTGTGCCTTCATTCAAGAATCTTTACTCGCCACTTGGATGAACTTTACCAGTTGAATGCTTTGCCCTCCCCCAAGTTTGGCCACCTGATTGTGCATGGGTGCCTCGAGTGGTTTCCTACATCTAAAAATGGAGTTGCTGGGCCAATTTCTCTGGGCTCCATAGGTGGGCTAGAGGTGGAGGGGCTCTGGATGTGAGACCCCTCTGTCTGGGATGCCTCCTTGAGAGTGCTGCCAGCAGGTTCTCACCTGGGTGAGGGGGGCCACTTAGCCAGGGCCTGCAATGGCAGTTCTCAGCCCTCATACCACCCACTGTGCCCTCCAAGTGGGAGCCTGCCTCACACCCACTCCTGCATGAGAAGATCAGGGCAGACCTGGTTTTAACCTGGCCCTGGGCATTCCCGGCTGTGGGGCCTTGGGCAGCTCTTCACCCATTTTAAATTGAGGAATGTGGTAAGGACTTGAGGAAATGGAGGAAAGCACAGGGCCCAATGGATGCAATGAGCTGCCTGCCCACCCACCCCCCCACCACACCCACGGGGAAGACGTTTTCGAGGCCTGTGGGTGCCTGGCTTTGCCTGGGGGCTGGGCTATAAACAGAAATCCAACCTAGTCCTTGTTTCAGGGAGTCCAGAGTTCAGTGGGGAGACAGATGTAGAAACTCACTTTCTATGGGTGCCCACTGAAGGGCACAAAGAGAACAGCAGCACTGTGGCGGGAGGCAGTGCCCAGTGAACGGAGCTGAAGGGTTATCATAATGAGTGGTTATTACTCTCATCTCACTACCATGTGCCTGAGTTACTGCGTGAACGTTTAAGCTGGAATGCTGACAGTATACATTTTAATTTTCACAGCTTGTTTTAAATTAGTTGTAGGATGGTTGGTTTAAAAGCTAACAAAAACAAGCAGTGTGTGGCAGCCTGTTGCCCTGGTCATGGGCCCATTTCCAGTGTGGCTGACTGGCCTGTGGAACAAATCTTAGCAACTGGGAAGGCTGCTCACACTAGAGGTGTCGTTCTCCTAGGTGTACTTTCGGCTCCATGCTTCCATCCTGAAGCTCCTGGGGAAGCCCGATTCTGGGGTTGGTGCAGAGGTCCTGGTCAACTTTATGAAGGAGGCTGCAGAAGGACCCTTTGCCAGGGGCGAGGAGAAGAACACACCCAAAGCTTCAGAAAAGTGAGTAGCACCCTTCAGGCGACCCCTAGCAGCTTACCCCATCTGCATCCCAGATGGCTCGTTTACTGCAATGTGTTGTTCAGAGGGTTGCTACACAGTAAACAGTAAACTAGAACTCATGGAGTCCCTAGGACCCATCTGGAAACTCCCATTTGCTGGGCCAAGGTATTTCTGTTGAGTCTGAGAAGGAGAGGGTGAGTGTGAGTCCCCTTACCCTGTGGTCATGTGTGGTGCTACCCCACCCTAAGGGGAAGTCCTGGGGAGAAGCTGATGCCCTCCTGCCCTCTCCACTGGGGCACAGCTCTGTTCTGTGCAGAACACTGTAGAAAGTCAGTTTTTGCTTTGCAGACTCTCACCCCTGGGTCCTTTGCCAAGGCCTTGTCTGCTGCCCATTCTCCTGAGAAGCAGTGGGAAGTGTGGGAAGTGTGGGCTTCTCATGTGGTGCCAGAGAGCTCGGAGAGACTGGGGCTCAGGTGTGGTCCTCTCAGTGGGCCTGGACTGACCCCAGTCTCCCTGTGGTTGTAAGTCATCTCCACAGCCCAGACTTCTTTCACTCCAGGCCCAGGTCCTGGTGCCGCCCCATCCTCAGGGGCAAGTCCTAGGGAGAAAGATGGGTTTGGGGTGACATGGGGAATGTTGCAGCTGCCCATTAACCTGATGGACTCATGCTGATTCTTGTGCTTCTGAGACATGCTCAGGGTCACCACCTGCCAGCTTGCCCACATGGGAGCCAGGGGAGGGCTCAGCTCACCCCATCTCTGAGTCCGCTGCCTAGCTGGGCACTGTGCGAAATTCAGCTGACCCCTGCCTGACTGGGCACTGTGCGGGGTTCAGCTGAGTGCCAGAGAGGCCTGCACCCAGGCCCTGTGCTTGAGGGCTGTCTGCTTCTGACCACAGATAGCCTGTGTGATGTTCACCACAGGTGAGCCAGCTCCACAGTCGGTGTGCCCCTCAGGTTATGGGGAGGTTCACGTCCATGCATGGCAGGCCACTCAGGTGGGCAGCCGCTGTGCTCAGAATTTATAGCTACCCATTTTTTTAGTCACAAAGGGCCCCCAACATACAATGATACTTTCTTTCATTGGTTATAATTCTGTTAAATTTTTTTTAATTATACAAATAATACATGAATACTTTCTTGTTATAGAACATTCAGGTAGTATATAAACATGTAGACTAAAATGTGACAGATCTCCTTCCAAGAGTTAGCTACTATTCACAGTTTAATTTCCTAAATCATTTTCTGTATATTTATAACACTTAAATGCACACATACAATTGTAAGGTTTCATTTATTTTATAAAAATGAACTACAGAAGGTATTGTTTTAGAGTTTGCTTTTTCCCCTGACAGTGGGTCTGGGCAACAGTCCATGGAGATAGTACCCCAGTCACTTCATTCTTTCTAGTGGCTACTTACTATACCATAGTATGGATGTACCATGTTTTATGTAACCACTCCAATGGACATTTAGAGTGTTTCTAATGTTTCTGCTCAACTATGTTGCAGCACATATCCTTGTACATGTGTGAGCATGCAGTAAATGCAGATGTGTTTCTGTCTGCCCATTTGTCAGGTCTTAAGTTTGTCAGGCTGTCACACAGAAGGCATAGACTTTGCATGGAGAGATGCAAGGGTGCTTCTGAAGAAAGACTCTTTGGCTCCTCTATAGAGCCTCTTGGGGCCTGAAATTCAGAGATGCAGGTCGCGCCCTGCCAGAAAGATTAGGCAGTGTCCAGTTAGGAGCCAGAGCCTGTGTGGGTGCTGTAGGGGCAACTATGGGCTCTGTGACACCAGGCAGATGGGGTGGGGGCCACCAGAGGTGCATGGGAGCAGTGGGCCCTGGGAAGGGCATTCACCCTTACCAGTACACATCTGTTTCAATGTGAGGTGGAGACTCTGACCTGTGCCCCAAACCTCTGTTCCCACAGGGAGAAGGCCTGCCTGGTGGACGAGGACTCCCACTCTTCAGCTGGGACACTGCCGGGCCCCGGAGCCTCCCTCCCCTCCTCCTCTGGCCCAGGTCTGACATCCCCACCTTACACAGCCACTCCGATTGACCACGATTACGTCAAATGTAAAAAACCCCACCAGCAGGCAACGCCGGACGGTACAGTCCCTGTTCTCCCTACTGCCAGCCCAGGGCGGCACATCAATCACGGGGGGGTGCTCGGACGACTCATTTTGTCGCTTCGTTTTGGTGAGGGGGGGTGCTGGGTCTGGGGTGACACGGGCAATGTTGCGGCTGCTCATTAACCTCATGGATTCACAGTGATTCTTGTGCTTCCGAGACATGCTCAGGGTCGCCACCTGCCAGCTTGCCCACCTGGGAGCCAGGGGAGGGGGCAGGCCAGGCTATGGCATCTCACATCTTTGAGCCTTCTTTTTCTCGCCTGCAAAATGGGGACATGACATCTACTTTGAAAGGAAGTTAGAAGAGTGTGGCCTCCTGGAGGGGCTCCTGGTGCAGTCAGCTTAGTGATGCCTGCATTGTTCAGCAGCACATTGTTACTGCTCTGTCCTTCTGAAGGTTGAGGGAAGGCCGTGACTAGTTCTAAGTCTGTCACCCCTGAGAATCCAGATAAGTTGTTAATGGGGGTCACCTGGGACCATATGTGTGGCCATGCCATGTGGGATGGGGCAGGTGGCGACTGTTCAACCACATTCCTTACTAACATTAGGAGGCTTGCATGCTGGCCTGTAGCTCGATTTCTTCATGTTCTCTCATTTTTATAGTGATAAGCTAGTGACAAAGTACTTGCTGGGATAAGCCAAATTGGTGATTTAAGAGGACCACTAAAGTGGAGTCCTGGGAGGTAGTGACAATGCTGAAAGACACCTGGGCCCTCACTCCTATGTCACTCATCTCATCTGGGCTTGGGGAAACAGGCCTTGCTCTGCATTCCCCAAGGCATGGGGATGCTAGTAGGTGGGTAGAATTGGTCCCAGGGCTCTGCTTCCTGCCAGATAGTCTTTATAGAGTGGCTCCTTGGAGTAAGAATGGGCACTCTAGGGCACCATGGTAGCCTTGAAGTTCAGTCCCAGTACAGGTCTGGGGGGGGCCACCACCTTCGCTCTAGTGCCCTGCTGAGGCCCTTGCCCAGTGCTCGGGTTCCTGGATATAGCATGGGCATCTGCCTCCAACTTTCTGAACTAAGTGGGTAGGGCTTGAGAGCAGGTTTAAAGAAGTGCTGGAGAAGGATGACAAGGGGGCCAATGCTCCATTTCTCTGGGGGCAGGATTTGCTATTCTCAAGAAAGGAAAGGAGACCTGCAGTGTCCCCTCCTGGGTTTGGTTTGGATCTACAGCATGCGTGTTGAGAGAGGCTGAGGATCTGAGTGTGTGCTGTGTCTCTTACCTCCTGGAAGGTTCATGTCATTACTCCCAGTCTCAGCACTGACACCTCGCTGCCCACCCCAGAGTGTTAAGCAGAGATGGGAAGAACTGACCCACCTGCTCCTCCAATCTTCAGTTCTGCAGACTTTCCCTGTTAAGATCCTCTCTCCCCTTCTTAGTTAAGTTAATCACCCTGTTCCCAAACTTTTACTCTTGAGAATATTGAGAAAACATACTAGCAGCAAACCCCTTCTCAGGGAATTAGTTTTTGCCAGCTGCTTCCTGGGAGGAAGCACTATGCCAAAGTTTTCAGGAGAGGAATGCCTTTCCTGGTTGTCCACATGCCATGTGGCCGTGCTCACATGCACCTGGGCTAGGGAACCCAAGCACTGTCCTCTGCAGCTCTGCAGGCTCCCACTGAGGTCACGCCACATGCGCCACTGTGCTTGGATGTCAGCCCATTAGGGTTGAGTATGCCTCTAGAAGCAGGAAAGGAGGGAGGCAGGAGCGCCTCAGAAAGGGGGCCATGATGCCAGCTGTCCCATGTTGGCACATATGTGTGCATGAAGCTGTTGGTGAGCCACTGCAGATCACTCAGGCATGACAACTGGGCATGACAGGTCCTGGGTGCCAACATGCTAGTTATTTGTTCTGGAAGTTTGCAGAGGGAGCCATACAAATAAGTTCAAATATGGTTTCAGTGGTTGCACAGTTTTGAACATTTGTTTAAAAAAAATGTCTTCAAAGTGATTCCTGTCAAAGACACAAAGCCATCAGGATCCCATGGCCCATCTTTGCCCAGTCCCAGCCCTGCACTGGCCACCTGTGTGCTCTGCCCAGGCCTGGCTGCATAATGCTTTCAGAACTCAGCTGCCTCACCTCTGAGAGAAAGCAGTGTCTGCAACATGAAAATGTTTGGGGTCCTAAAATAGCTGTGATCTTAGAATGTTAAAGTGGCCCTTTCAGCAGCTATACTAGTTCCTAGGGGAAGGCCCAGGTTCCAGGGAGAAGCAGCAGATTGCTGGTGTCAGGGGATGTGCTGGTGGCCTCAAGGGGCCACACTGCCCACCTCTGTTCCTGCTTCTCCTTCCTGGGAGGAGAACATGTAGTTCCTAGTTTCCACTCAGCTTCTTGGCCTGAGACCAGCCTTGGGTCTACTGTGAGAGGAGAGGGGCGTCAGCACTGATTGCAGGCCACCACTGAGCCCTTATACTACCAGGAGGGTGATGGGTGCTTCTAGCCCTGGTACAGCTGAGGAGAAGCAGTCACGGGGAGGTCAGATGGGGAGGTCAGACAGGGAGGCAAGTGCACAGCAGGCCCTGGTCAAAGGATCTGATTTCCAGTCCCAGCTCCATTGCATATGTGCTCTGCAACCTTGGACAAAGGACTTCACTTCTCAATTTCCTCACCTGTTGAATGGGGTAATGTCTTCGTTATGGGTATTAAACAAAAGTGCTTGTACATTGCAGCCACCTCCTGGATGGAGTTCTCCAAGTCATTGGTGGAACTAGGGTAAGACCTAGGTAGCACTGCATAGAGGGAAGAGCCTGGGCTCTGGGGCCAGTCCCCCTCAGTTTGCACCCCACCTCTCTCCAGCTAGTGGCATGGCCTCACAAGAGGTGGAGGTAGTGTCCTCTGAAGCAGCAGCTCCTGAGTGGGCTTGGGCATGGGGCTTTCTGGATCCTGGTTTCCTACCCCCACAGAACAATTAACTTTCCAGCAGTGGGAGAGGGAGCCAGGCGTCAGGACTTTCCTTGGGCATGGTTAGGAGACCTTGCATTGGAGCTGCCTTCCCACATTGGTATGCCTTTGCTTCAAAACCAGAAATCAGCTAGGATCAATTCTGATTTGGTTTAAGATTTAGAAAAGATTTAGAAAAATAGCTCCAGGTACATGTGGGTTGTTTGACATTTGATAATAGCTGCTTCATAGGACCCAAATTTGTTCTCTGAACCACCCTCACCTGCAACCTTGTGTCACCTGCATTAGGGTGGGGAGCATCCTGCAGCCTGTGCATAACTCTGGTTAAAAGCCTTTGGAATCAGCCCCTCAGGTCACTCTGACTCTACCGCAGCCTGGTGTCAAAGCCAGCCCTTCACGGAACAGCCAGGAGGGCATCACAGCTGACCTCTGGCCAAGCTGAGAAAGAGAGCAAGAGAGAGAACAACAGAGAGAGAAGCTTTGTCCTCTGCTGTGCTGCTGGCAGCTCTGGCTGGTTGTGCTCCCCATCTGCCTAACTTCTGCCTTCCGTCAATCTCTTGGAATTTGCCCACAGGGCTGAAATCCCTAATGTTGAAGCTTCCTGACCAGGAAAACGAGGTGACCCGAGGAGCACATTGTGACCTTCAGGGGGTTCCCAGTGATTACTCTTTATACATATTCAAGCAACATAAGGAGATCTTTGAACAAGACCTCTACCCCTACCCTGTGTACAGTATGCGTGTATGTATGTGTGTGTGTGTGTGTGCCCGTGTGTAATTACGCCCTACCACTCAATGCTGTGTGCTTGCTCTGTGCTGGGCTCTGGGCAGGTGCCTGCAGGGTAGTAGCATGTCTCCATCTTCATAACTGCCCTGCAGGCTCGGTCATGCCCTTGTTTCCCCAAGAGGAACCTGAGCTGAGGGCAGGTAGGCACTCATCCAAAACTGCCTGCTGTAGTCAGGGTATAGCCAAGAGATACTGGGTCTGAATCTCCCTCCACCCCTAGCCAGAGGTGAGACTGACACTAGGAAGGCCCTGTGGTTGGCCAGCCTGGCAGAGACTGAATCTGTGTGTGTTTCCCTTGTCCTTCAGCAGAGGGCCCAGAGAGCTTAGCCATTACAGAATGGCTTGGTTCGTCACTTGGCCTGGCTCAGCCCTGCTTTGGGATGTGTTGATAGTGCCTTTCTTGGACTAAAATCCTTGCTCTCTGCCTGTCGTGCTCCATGTCACTTCAGAATGCCAGAGCCAGAAAAGGCCTCAGAGCTCGGAGGCCTTGTGCTGTGGTAAGTCTGGGGCTGAGCCTCTCTATGGTCTTTGGCCAACCTGTAGCCATGCCCATCCAGGTGGTTCCATCAGTGCTGTGCCAGGTGCATAGAACAGCACTGGTCCCTGCTGTAGAGGAGGTTGGTGCAAATCAGTCAGTTACATAGCTGAGGGTTGGGGGTCAACTGATGCCAGCACCAGAGAGGTGGGGTTTGTTCATCCCAGAGAAACCTGGGCCTGTTGGTGGGGTAAGAGGCCTTTCCGAGGAGGCAAAGTTTAGCCAAGATCCGAGGGGTGTGTCGGTGTTTCTCTTGAGGGGTTGGGGAGAGGGAGCAGCCAGGGTCAGAAGAGTGGGAGCCTTGGAGGCTGGTATCCACCAAGGGTGGTGATGCCTACCTAGTCCCACTGACAGCATGCACAGAGCCGCTGAGGAGTCTCAGGCTACCTTGAGCCCCAGGTTGTAGGGTGTGGGCCTCACTGGAGAGCCCAGGGTGCCCTGTGCCAAACCCCCATTGTGGCCATCCATCCTCAACCTCCATGCTGTCACCGTCTGTGTCGTGTGCCGTCTGTGCTCATCTTCGCCTGTTCGCCCCATGCTGCCTCCACCAATATTGCCCGTGCTGCCCCTAACCCTGACCACACTCTGTTCTCCAGGCTTTGTCTTTCTGCTTGCACCTGTCACGGCTCGCTTCAGGGAACAGCGCAGACCCGCATGCTCAGCTCTCAGTCCGGCTCCCTGCTACCCCTGTGACCAGGAGCACCTTCATGTCTGCTCGCCCTGTGATTTGGAGAGTGTGTTTGATGCGCTTGGCTTCTGCTGATGGCCTATCCTCCCAGTTCTGGCCAGAGGCAGATGCGGTGGGGGCCTCTTCTCCACTGCCCCCCTGCCTGCACCTCCAGCAGGTGGCCCAGTCCTATATTTCCATTGCTTTGCTCTTTCTTGCTTTAAAATAAACAACAAAGGCAACAGACTCTAACATACCAAATTATCTTTACAAGGACAAAGGTGTAAAAATGCAAATTGTGCACAGTAGCCTTGATGCTCTGAGGTGGGTCCTGTGTCTTCAGCCCACCAGGGCCAGGCTATGTAGGACGGGGAGCTGTGAATGCCAGTCAGTCCTAAAGGGCAGGCCCACCCTGGCCTCTGCTCAGTGACCTCCCCTCCTAGGGCTAAGGGGAGGTCAGTTTCTGGTTGGAGTGCCATTCCTAAACAGACCTTCTCAAAGTGGGAGAGACTGTAAGTGGAGCTCAGTTTGTTCTGCTTGTTCCTGACGGGCAGGGGACAGGGGAGGCTGTCAGCGAAGAGCCACTCACCTCTTTTGTTCTCTTCTTTCATTCTTAGCTTTTTGAAAACCTTTAGGAGTTAGCTGGTCACGGCATTTATTGAACATCTGTTGTGTGCCAGGCATGGAAAAGGGTGCCATGGGGAAAGTCAAGATGATGGTGCCTTGATTCCTGCTCCCAGGTTGGATCTGATGTCCCATGGTATCATGGGACAGTAGTTGGTGCCAAGGAGGAGTGCCATGAGCTGGCAGACGGGAGCAAGTTCTGGGGTTTGGTGGGTTGGGAAGAATTCCTGGAGAAGGTGAGTCTCTAGAGAGGCCTGCAGGCCCATTTAGACATGGAGCTTGGAGAGTCCTACAGCTTTTGGATACTGAGGTGACTGGGGTGGATGAAAAAGAGACTTTGAGGGGAGAGAGCTTGGGAAAGCAGCTGGGCTCTGAGGGTTGGGCTCTTTCCTGTGGGCAGTAGGGAGAGTGATGTGGTCACAGGATCTCTCTCTCTCTGGGCTCTAAGGAAGGCACAATTTTCCCCCCATCATCCTTTGAAGAGCCTTCCTGGGAAGCTCACTAGATGGCTGGGGGATGCCAGCCTCACACCTTACAGAACTGCTTCGCTTCTTCTGGCATTTGTATCAAGAGGGGCTGTTCACCTGCCTTTGGTCAGGAAAATGTTTAAAGCCTCCCGAGGCCTCCCTGGTCAGTGCCTTTCCTGGCTCAGAGGGCAGGATGAGAGATGCATGATGAGGCCTCCGAGCATCAGGCCCCTTCAGGGCAGCACCATGGTGTCTACACATATCAGGCTTCTGATATGTCTGCCAGGCTTCGAGGTGCCTGGCAGTGCTCAGTTGGCCCTCACCTGTGAGCACTGGCAAAGAATGGACAAGTGGTGCAGCCTGGCCCTCACACAATGCCGTCATGCCCACCTGCTGCCTGCTGTGTATCTTCCTCTCTCTCAGGGGCCCCCAGGTTTCTGGTACCACTTTTCTTTGGCATCCATCCAGTCTTCTCAGCCTGACAATGGGCACCCCGATTTCCCGGGCCAGCCTTGCTTCTGGTGGACGTGTTCTTTTCCTGTGGTTGGCCAGGATTGACTGAGGCAGCTTTTATCTAGTCAGAAAATTTCTCAAAATACTAATTCCACCCAAGTTTACGGTTCTTAGAAACCTGTTGTTTCCTGGTCGGCAGGACATTTGTGGTCTTTTCTGGGGCACTAGTCAGAGCTGTTGCAGTAGCACAAGCATACATCTTCTTCCTCAGGCTTTCACTGCCCCAGGCTGATGGAACAAATGGCCGTGAGCTGTTTCTGGTCTTACTGCTGGAGCAAATGGAGGAAACACACTTAAAGAGACACTGGAAAGTTGCATCTTGTAACTAAAGAGCTCTTTTAGGCTGGCCTGAGAATCCTGGGATTGTCCAAGGGATCTGAGCTGAGTCAGACCTGAACAAGGAGGACTCAGAACACAGAGTCTTTTCTCACACTGAGTGGGGACAGGCAGCCTTTCTGTCACTGAGCCAGGTCTCTTTCCCTCTGCGTTGCCAGCTGTCATTCCTTTACAGTTGATCCTGCAAATCCCACCCTGGAAGTAGAAGGTTCTGGAGCTTAGAGGGAGGCAGTTTAATAAGCACTTGGCTGGCAGACGCACATCCCCCTAAGGATTCAGAGGGAAGGCTGGCGTGGCCCAGATGCATAGACACGAAACATTCCAGTAATTAACAGTAACAATAAAATATTTATAATCTTGCCACAAATATTAATTAGTATGAGCAGGTTTTGTGTGGGCAGATTTTTAAAAGAACATTCTGAAAAAAAGAGCAAGGCCAACCTATAGCCTGCTTGCTAGTGCCATTCTTCTTTCCTGTTGGCCTCCAAGTAGCTCCCTAAAGAAATCAGCTCTCAGCTCCTGAGTCTCAAGGCTAGATACCTGGACTGTGGACAGTCCCTGGAGGTTCCATCCAGGGTGCCTGTTTCCCTGGAAGGCTCTCTCCACCCAGCCCCATAGGAAGTTTAGGCTAAGTCTGGCTCTCCTACATCAAAGAGGCTTTCCATCTGTCTCTTGCTCTGCCTCAGAACCAGGGGGCCCAGAACCCCCTCCTCACCCAAAAGCCCCTCCACAGAAAAACAGCTTGACTCTGACTTCTTCCATCTGGCCTTGCTCTATTAGGCGAGGCAGGAGAACAAAATGCCTCTGCCACCAGGCTTGGCAGCTTTTGTCTATAGAGCACAGGCAGACCCAGCCGGTCCTCTGAGGGCTCAGCACAGGCCATTAGCACACAAAGTTGCATGTCAGCCCATTTGAACCTAGGGCCACAGGATCCCAAAGATCCTGTGGAGGAGGTAGGACTGGAGCCAGGCCTGTAGGCTGTTCCTGAGGCCAGAATTCCCTCTCCACACATACTCAAAGACTCCCCAGTTCACTTGGGCAGCATGAGAGTGGTGCATTATGGTGCTAGGCTGCGTTCAGCTGTCTGGGAAGCGGGTGGAGTATGGCTCAGGGAGTGGTCCTTGCCCAAAGGTACATGGCTGATGGATGGGGGTCCTACCCCAGAGAAGAAGCCTTTGACCTGTGACCTCTTCTCCCAGAAGCCTTCCCTGTGCACACTGGCCCTTCCTTGGCTGCAGGTCTGGTAACCTGAGAGATGACCTTGCAGAGGGGCCTGCTGGGAGTAGAGAGATGACAGTAGTCAGCGGCATCCTTCCTTTTCCTCCTGCCCCTCTTCAGGGGCCTCCCAGAGCAGGGGCTTCCTGCTTCAGGAATGGGGGTGGCTCTGGGTTACACACCACAGTCCAAACAACCCTCCCTGCTGCCTGCCCTGCCAGCTTATCCAACTGCAGGGGTCCTGTTCTCCAAGAGCTTTTTCCCAGCACTGTGGCACATTGTCCTCCCTACCTTGACTCACCCAGCCCCTGGGCTGTCCCATCCACAGCAGCCCAGCTGGTGGCAGGATGAGGGTCCTTTTCACATGCTCTGCGATGTTCCTGGCAAACTTACCCCACTGTTCATGTCTGTCTGTCTGTCTTTCTGTCTGTCTGTGGCCTCTCTGAGGTCTTCAGTCAGCTGTACCAGAGAAAGTTTGCTTCCCCAGAAGAGGAGGAATGGAGGCTGGGGCACTGTCTGCCCAGGTAGATAGAGCCATTCTTTAAGAGCTTTTTCATTCATCCCTTTTGCCCTATTGACGTGAAAGAATTGAAACTTGGTGTTCTTTCAGTCTGACTGGCTTGAAACTTGGTATGAAACCTTGGGTTGACTTTTAGTATTTGAAATCAGGGTCATTTTAAATAGGCTGTGCCAACCCTTTCAGACACACAAGATCTGAAAGGAGCAGAAAATGGGCCTTGGGCCTTGAGTCCCTTTTGGTGGCTCTCATTTGAAGAGATAACACATCCCTGGACTCCTTCCTGTGGTGCTGCCCCCTTGGTAGTGGGCGGGAACCTTGGCAAGCACCTCCCCCACCTGCTTGCTTCACAGGCCAGTTGGGCATCTCATCTCTGTGTACATAGCCCCTGCCTCTCCAGCTCTGCCACAGCAGCCCACCCCAGCATCATGACCTGCAGGTGGCACCCAAGACTGTGGTGAGCCCCATTAGCAGAGCCTTCCTCAGGGCCACTTAGGTACCTTGATTACCCCTTAAACAAGGGTTTGTCTAGAATCACCACAATGCCCCCCAGGGCCAGTACCAATCTCTGCTCTCTGGTTTTTTAGATGGTTGGCAGTTCCAGATTCTCACATCTGTGTCTGAGAGGCTCAGGAAGGGCCTGGCAAAGTGTAGTCAGCAGCCTTTTGTCCCTGCCAGGTCCCTTGGCTTGTGCTTGCCCTGTTCCACTGCTGTGGATGTTATTTTAAGAGTCTCAGCAGAGTCCCCACTCAATTGGTGGTCGTTCTTCAGGGAGCAGAAGCCCCTGCACAGCATGCCGTCCTTTCTTGCCCACACAGTTCCTGGTGAGGTCTGGCCACCTTCACTGCCTGCTGGATGGATCCTGGTTCCTTCACATTGCAGCATCAAGAGGGTGTTAGCACTTTGAGAGTAAATATCTACTTGCCTAAACCAATCCTTAGTTTTCATAATGATCACAGCTGGGATTCCACCAAATTGGCAATTCCTTTAGGCCCAGAGCCCAAAAGAGCCTGTGAGCCGGTGAGCTCGTGGGGCAGCTTGCCAGTCGGTGAAATCATCCTAGCAAGGCTTGCTTCCTGGAGCTTGCCGCAGGATGTGCTGCTGAGCTGTGCAGTGACTTCAGCTAGTCTCAGGCTGGCTGAGGAGACCCAGCCCTAGCTTGTCTTTCAGGGAGACTTCAACTGCGGGGCATGGCCTGCTGTCTTTCAGAGACTCTGAGGCCTCACGAGCATTGTCTAAGCCATCGGTGTTCTCACTGTCAGGGCCAGAGTGAATGCTGCAGGGCTGTCACTTGTGTGCAGGGCACTAGCCACGCCTTTGTGGGATCCCATGTATGTGTCAGGGACAGAGGTAGGAAGACAATGGCAATCGTGTTAAAAAACCTGAAGTGGGGGCCTAGAGCAGCAAAATCATTTGGCCAAGATCACCCAACCCCTAAGTGGCAGATCTGGGATGGGAATGTGGGTCTGGGAGCCCAACCCTTAAGCTCCTACAATGACCCTGCGTGGCCTCTAGAGGGTCCCCATTGCTAATCCTCCCTTTACACACAGCCAGCAAATGGGCTGCCCCACCTCTTCTTGATCCCCTCATGCTGGGGACTCAAGTTTGGGACATTTTGTGAGGGCTGCAGGCCTGCTCATAACTGCCATTCAGTGCTCATGGAGCCTTGTATTCTGGCTTTGTAAGTCAGGGAAGAGCCTTTCACAAGCGTGAGAGAGAGGTTCTGGTCAGGTCTGTGCTCCTCCACTCAGGGGTCTTATACACGTCCCAAGTCCTCATTTCTCATTGTTCTGTCAGCCCAGCTGATACTGATGATCCATCAGTTCCTGGGCAGTGGACATGGCAAAGGCAGCTATGAAGGAAGGGCTATGGCAGGGATGCCTACAAGGTCACTGTCCCCAAACCCTGGTATATGATGAGACATGGGTAAAGAGGCCAGAGCAGCAGGGCACCCTTTGGAGCACAGACCTGATCCTCAGTATCCTCTGTGCAGGCCATCCCACTTTGACAGGCCTGTTGTGTCAATGTTGCCCCCCCATCTACATGGTGCTGCTTAGGTATTGGCTCCAATATGGCATCAGCAAAACCCTCTGCTCATTCAGACCTAAAGCTGTAATGGCACATTTGAGACATAAGAGATAAAACATGCTCAGGTTCTCTGAAATAATAGTATTGATAAACTGACATTTTGTGAACCTTTACTGTTTGTTAGGCACTGATTCAAACACTTTATGTGTATTAACCTAGTTAATCATAACAGTTCTGTGAAGTGGGTGCTTATGTTATCACAGTTTTACATGCATGGAAACTGAAGTATAAATAATTATGGCATTTACAGAGGCTCTCAGAGATAGTAGGTGACAGAGCAGAATTTCAGTTCTATCAGCCTGGATCTTCCAGAGTCCAGGCTTTCAACTTTTTTGAAACAACTTTATATTTTGCTTTTTTTTTTTTTTTTAGACAGGGTCTCGCTCTGTTTTTCCAGGCTAGAGTGGAGTGCAGTGGCACTATCACTGCTCAGTGCAGCCTCAACCTCCTGGGCTCAAGTGATCCTCCCACCTCAGCCTCCCAAGTAACTGCCACGCCTGCCTAATTTTTTTTTTTTTTTAATTTTTTGTACAGACGGGCATCTCCGTATGTTGCCCAGGCTGGTCTTGAACTGCTGGGCTCAAGCAATCCTCCCTCCTTGGCCTCCCAAAGTGCTAGGACTACAGGCATGAGCCACCCAGCCAAAACAAGTTTATATGTTGTTTCAAGTTTGCTTACCAGGCAGCTCATGCCTACCCTACCAGTAGGACCCAGCTGATTAGCACTAAAACATGGACCAATACCAGGCTTTTAAGGTAGCTGAGCAAAGGGTTGGTGGACCCTAGGGGACTGTGTCTGCCTTTCTCCTTGTGTTCCCCAAGAGGCCAGTGTGGCATGGACCTCTGTGAGATGATATGTGGTTGCAGTTTTTAGGTGCGAAAGGGACTTAACTTGCTCATGGTCTCAGCTAGTAAATGGCACAAGAGGAACTTGAACTTAGCTCTCTTGGTTGCTAGTTTATTGAGCTTCACCTTGAGGTATGTAAAGTTCAAGACAAAGTTTTATTTTTTAATAGTTCTCAGCCGGGCGTGGTGGCTCACGCCTGTAATCCCAGCACTTCGGGAGGCTGAGGTGGGTGGATCACCTGAGGTCAGGAGTTTGAGACCAGCCTGTCTAACATGGTGAAATCCCATCTTTACTAAAAATAAAAAAGATTAGCTGGGTGTGGTGGGGCACGCCTGTAGTCCCAGCTACTCAGGAGGCTGAGGCAGGAGGATTGCTTGAACCTGGGAGGTAGAGGTTGCAGTGAGCCAAGATCGTGCAATTGCACTCCAGCCTGGGCAACACAAGACCCTGTCTCAAAAAAAATTTTTTTTAAGTTCTATTTTATCTCTACTATTGGTTTATTATAGTATCATTTTTTTAAAAAAATGTAGTTGTTGCCTTAGGGTTAACAAAATACACCTTTAATTCATTGCAGTCTGCCTTCAGGTGATACTGTACTACTTCGTAGGCAGTGGAAGAGCTGCTCATCTTTTGCACTCGTTTTCATTCATTTCACTTTTACATATGCTCTAAGCCCACAATACATTGCTACTATTTTTGCTTTAGAAAGTAAACAATAATGTTTTAGAAAAATCGAACATAAAAAGATCTTTTATATTTACCATAACTTTAACCATTTCTGGGAAACTCCATTTCTTTATGTAGATCCAAGTTTTATCTGGCTTCATATTCATTCTACCTGAAAAATTACCTTTAACATTTCTTGTAACTCAGATCTGCTGGTAATGAATTCTCTCAGTTTTTGTTTGCCTGGAAAAAAACAAACCTTTTTTTTTCCTGCAATTTTTAGATATTTTCACTGAGTATAGAATCTTGAGTTGATTATTTTATTCTTTCAGCACTTTAAAGATATTGTCAGATATGTGTAATTTCTAATGAGAAGTCTGCTGTAATTCTTAACTTTGTCCCTCTGTATCTGATGTATCTTTCTCTGACTGCCTTCAACATTTTGTATCTTTGGGTTTCAGCAGTTTCAAAATGGCCCACCTAGGTGTGATTTTTTTTTTTTAAATGTGTGTGGAGGGATCTTTCCCTTGCTTGGTGTTTTCTGAGAATCTTGGTGATTTGATGTCTTTTATTATTTTTGGGAAATTCTTAGTTATTATGTCTTTAAATATTTCTACTGTCCTGTTTCACCCTCATCTCCTTTTGTGACTCCGATTAGCATGTTGGATCATTTGGATGCTCTGTTCTGATTCCTCCTGTCCACTCTTTTTCTCTGGGTTTGGATTACAGATGCTCCTCAACTTACAATGGGGTTATTTCCTGATAAAACAAAAGTAGGTTGAAATTAAGTCAGAAATGCATTTAATATACCTGACCTACCAACATCATAGTTTAGCCCAGCCTCATCTAAACATGCTCAGAACACTTGCGTTAGCCTACAGTTGGGCAAAATCATCTAACACGGGGGTCCCCAACCCCCAGGTCACAGACTGGTACCAGTCCGTGGCCTGTTAGGAACTGGGCTGCACAGCAGGAGGTGAGCAGCAGGCAGGCGAGCACTACCACCTGAGCCCTGGCTCCTGTCCAATCAGTGGCAGGCATCCTTAGATTCTTATAGGAGCGTGAACCCTATTGTGAACTGCACATGTGAGGGATCTAGGTTGTGCGCTCCTCGTGAGAATCTAATGCCAGAGAATAGTTTCATCCTGAAACTATCCCCTCCAGCCCCCACAGTCTGTGGAAAATTGTCTTCCATGAAACTGGCCCCTGGTGCCAAAAAGGTTGGGGACTGCTGATTTAACACAAAGCCTATTTTATGATAAAGTGTTGAATATCTCATGCAAGAATATTGTACTGCATATCACTAGCTCAGGAAAAGATCAAAATTCAAAATTTGAAGTGTAGTTTCTACTGAATGCATATCACTTTTGCATCATTGTAAAGTCAAAAAAATTTTAAGTTGAACCATTGTAAGTTGGAGATTGTCGGTATGTCTAGTGACCTGTTTTCAAGTTTTGATTTCCTTTTGCTCCTCAGCTGTGTCAGGTTGGCTGCAATGTCTGGGAAAGGCATTCGTCATCTCTGTTACTGTGTTTTTTATTTCTAGCCTTTGCATTTGACTCTTGCTTTTTTTTATCTCACTGCTGAAATTTCCTGTCTCTTCATGCATATTGTTCAGCTTTTCCACTACAGCCTTTGACATACTAATCATATTTATGAATCATATTAATCTTAGTTATTTTAAATTCCCTGACATGTAGTACCAATATCTGGGTTATCTGTGAGTCTGGTTCTGCTGATTGATTTGTCTCTTGACGATGTACTTTTTTCTTTCTTTCTTTGTGTGTCTTACAATTTTTACATTGAATACCAGATATCACGTGTAGGACAGAAGAAACTGAAATAAGTAATATTTATGCCTGGAATAGGCTTCCCTCTTTTGTTTCTAGGCTTTTAGTAGGGAAAGTTGAGTTAGGCTAGTCAGAAATTGAGCTGGCTTGGGTTTTGTTGTTGCTATGGTTACCTTTAGTGCCCCAGTGGTGCAATCATAGCTCACTGCAGCCTTAACCTCCCAAGCTCAAATTCCTTTCATGTTACCTTGTGCTTAGTAGGGGAGCTGGTTTGCCACAAGGTTTTTCTCAACATTCCAGTTCCACCTTCAGCCTTAGGCCTTTGGGAGTACCTCAGGGAGGGTACTCCTCCATGTTCTTGCCTTCTCCCTGCAGTAGACTCCCTTGCTTGTTACTCAGTGCATGCCAGCCTAGGGTTGGGGACATGGGGTAGTTCTCTGTTGTCTTGGTCCCAGCCTCAGACTTAGGTGGGCTCTGTGTTCCTGCATCTCAGGGGTGGTGCTTTCTCAGTGATTCTGCCCGTCCTTCAGTGGTAGGAGACCTCTAATGTTTGGACCCTAGATGATTTCCTGCCCCTCCCTTAGAATAGAAGGTTTTTCCTTTTCCCTTCCCCAGCTGCAGTGGGTCTTCACCTGTACCCTGAAAGCAACAAGGTTTCCTCCCCCACCTCCATGCCTGAAGGCTTCTGTTCCTCCAGGTAGGCTTTGTACCTTTTCCATAGCATCAACTACTCCTCCCCTCCAGATCTGCACTACTCCCAGGAAGGTTTCCTCAACTTCCCTCTTTGCCCCGCCCCTTTTCTTTCTCATGAGCACCTGTGAAGGTCCGAAGAAGGCAGCCAGTGAGTGAGTACAAACTCCTTTTACATCTGTGGCTCCCAGAGATCTAGAGTTCTTCCAGATCACACCTGGCTTTTACTAACAGGTTAAAAATGTTTCCTGAATTCTTTCCCACTTCATTTGTTTCTGTTATATTTATATGGTAGAAAAACTACATAGTGGTGGCTACTGTGCATCTCTTCCTAACTCCACATTTGACAACAGCACGTTGGTAACTTGAAAATTGCCATGGTGGGAATATTTACACTCCAGAAATCAGTAAGTGCTATTAATCAGGGCTTTCTTTTTCCCTGAGAGCCAGTTGTTAAACATTTACCAGAATACCACTGTTTGGGGGAACCCCAGGAGGGTTGACCATGGAGATTGGTGCATTTGGTGAGTTGCTCCGTGGCCTCTGGGATGGGTTGGGCCCAGCAGTGTCGAATGGCTGTGTTCAGGCCATCTCCTGCAAAGCAGTCCCCAGGCCACCGGCAGGGAGACTCACCATAGGAAGGCCCCCTGTGTTGGAGGTGGTGTAGGTTAATGCTCTCGCCCTCTCTTCCTCCTTCTCCCCTCAGACCGAAGCCAGGACAGCACAGCCGTAGCACTCTCAGACTCTAGCTCAACGCAGGACTTCTTTAATGAGCCCACCAGCTTACTGGAAGGCTCCAGGAAATCCTACACAGAGAAGAGGCTGCCCATTCTCAGTTCCCAAGCAGGAGCGACGGGTAAAGATCTTCAGGGGGCCACAGAAGAAAGAGGTATGAAGCCCTAACTCGGTGAATTAGAACCACTTTGATGTCCTGTGGCAATCTGGGCAAAGCCGAAGGCTTCGTGGCCCAGGGACCTTGGCTGGGCAAGTCACTTACTCCCTGGGCCTCCATTTTTCTCCCTGTAGGATGAGAATGGTCCCAGTGCCCGCCCTGGGGTTGTGAGGGTTGAGTGAGGCAGCTCCTGAGGGTGCACACAGAGCCCAGCACCACATGTGCTCAGGGATGCTGCCTGTTGTTGTTATGACCCTCACAACCCAGCCCGGGAAAGCCATGTCTGTGATATCAGTGTGCTCTGTTTTTGTTGTTGTTGTTGTTGTTGTTGTTGTTGTTGGTAAATGGTTATTTTAAAAGTCTTTGGATCCTAAATGTCACAAATGTGTTTTCCTTTTAGTTTGAATCATATGAGGTCTTCAGGAAAAATCTCTCTTTTTTGGGGAGGGGGGCAGAGAGCCCTGATTTAAGCCTGGGGGTGTGCCCAACTCTCCTGGGGGGTCCAGGCCCCCTTTATAGAAATCAGTTGGCAGAGCCCCACATCTGGGCTTACTGGGAGATCACAGGCAGGCTGGGGCTTTCCTGGCCCCACTCTGAGGTGTGGCTGGTCAGCTATAGATTTGAGAGCTTTCCCACTCTGGCCAGGGCCAGGGCTTACACGTGTTCCTCAAACAGTAATAACAACAACCCAGCCCCGTACTCTTTTCTGTGCTGGGCACTGTGTTAATTCATTTGGTTCTCCCAAGCACCCTAGAAAAAAAGCACAATGACTATTCCCATTTTATAGCTGAAGAATATGAGATTCAGAGAAGGTCTGGAATTTGCCCTGTCAGTGTACACCCTTAACCATTACCCCACGCTACCTCTCCGGGTGGGATGGATGGATGGATGGGGAAAAACGCTGGTGATAAACTGCCTCCCTGAGGGACCCAGGCCTTGTCCCAGGAAGTCTCAGAGCAAGCCCTGGATGGGAGCTCACACATAGGTGTGGCAGTGGGGCCAGAGCCATTTACACTAAGAAGACCTCTCCTAGCTCTCTGCTCCCTGCCAGCCTCCCCTGGCTGGACTTAGAAGGGCATGAGACCACATCTCCAGTAGATTGGAAGTATCCCCATTAGGGGACACCTGATAGAGACACTAGAGAAGAGGGCACAGAATGGAGGACTTACTATGTGGATTTACTTGTATCTGGTCCTCATCAAGAGATGAGGCCACCACCCCACTCTCTAACCAGGCAGTCACTATGCAGTCGCCAGCCAGTGTTGACATTCTGTAACTGACATAAACACACTGTAGGAAGTTTGGAATGGGAAGGAAAAAGGTAACTTACACTCTTAACACTATAATACAGCATTTCTGTTTTTAAAAATAAGATTTTTAAAACTTATCAGACAAGTAAGACCTACCATGTGTGCTCTGTGGCCTGTCAAGCCGTGACTGCTGTAGGTGCCATTGTGTCATCATGAGCTTCTTTCCCACTTAAATGGGGAAGGGGACATGGGTGTTGGGGGAACGAAGCAGAGAGTGAGTTGGCTTTGGTCTGGCACAGCCTATACAGGCCCTTCTAGACTCATGAAGAGTGTCCTGCCTCTTCCCTCCTTCCATTAGAGCCAGTGGTTTAAGCAGACAGTTTGTGGGGCTGGCCATTGGTGAAGAAAGTTAGGGTAGGACCAAAGGTCACCACAATAGCTGATAAGCATGAAATGAAACCTCTTGCTTCCATGGCCATGTTGCTCCTCTCTAAGCCCAGCTTTTCTTGGTAACCATGGTGGTGAAGTTGATCAACTTCCTGTTGTAAGAGCAGGTATGGCAGGGAATGCTTCCCAAGCCCACAGCCAGCAGATAGTTCTGGGAGCAGAGCACTCATCCAGGCCTAGTCTTGGTCAGTGGTGGTCTCTAACACGCACTCCCCTGATCTCCCATTGGGTAGCAGCCTGGCCATCACAGTCTGCAGTACTTGAGCAGCCTTTGGCCTCCCTGCAGAAAGCTGGGACAGCAGTGCCTAGGCAGTGTTGAGTGCGGGCCCCAAGTGTGCTCCACACCACTTGCCTTCCCAGCACACCCTCATGGAGAGTCCTACCACCAGCCTGCTGCTTCCTCCATCATTAATGTTGTGGGGTACAGGCCCTCACTCACGCGTATTTGTTATCAAGCAGCAGGGCACAACAGGTCCAGATCTGCACCATGCACTGGGTACCGAGGGAAAGCAGAAACAGATCTGACTGCCACATCCTGCCTGGCATGAGATGCGCTCCCTCCCACCGTGTCTAGCAGGCACAAGCTGTCACACTGCCCGAGGACCAGCCTCCTTCCTTTAATTCTCCAGAAGCTGTCTTTCTCCACTCTGGCCTTGACCGAGGTGCCTTGAGGAAAGAGCCTTTCCCAGAAGTGACTGTTGCAGCTAGCGGAAGCTCACCTTTGCAGGGGGCAGAGCTTCAAAAAAAAAAGTCTAAAATATGAAGGTCGCAAGAGTAGAGATTTATTTATTTGATCTAGGGAGAAAGTTGTCCACAGTTTCATCACTTAAACACAAGCCCACTCTATCATATCGTTCTGAGGGCAAGAGGGTAAAACCCAAAGCAGAGTTGACAAGCACCTGTTGTGATCCAGGCAGTGGACACAAGGACATGCCAGAGTGGCCACATCTGCCCCTTCCTGGTCAACTAGAGGCCTAGTGACAATGCCCATGCACCACATGCAGGATAGGGTGATAAATGGTTGTCGGTGGGGGGAGGCCACCCTGGGGGCAGTTGACCTGCCAATGCCCAGCTTCCTTCCCATCTTGCCTGCCCACCCTTTGTGGAAAGCATCCTCACTGGGCTCTTTTCTCAGGCCAGTAGAGTTTGAGTAAGACGATCTCAGAAGTCAAAAGAGACAGACTTGAGGTCCTTGCTGGGGCATATTTTGGTCTGGGCCTCTCAGCTGTTGGTGTCTTGCCAAGATGTGTAGCCACCTGAGGGCCAGGCTTTTCCATAATGAGGCCCCCTGAGTTCACTAGGCCATCAGTACACATCAGTCCAGAGGCTCAGCTGGGGGCATGTCTGTGCCTTATTCTTCTTAGGACCTCCATGGGCTGATGTGGATCAGATGGCTCCTGTGCTCTGTTGGCCTTGGCATATGCACCACAGGCATTCCAAGCCAGTCTTCCCTGCCTGCGGCAGGCACCAGCCTAGGCTAGAGCAGCCAGAACACACATTTTACTTGCTTTTTCTTGGTAGAAGGAAGTTTTCTCATCTTCACGCAGCTAGGGTTAGAATTGGACATCCTGGCCGGGAAACGTGGTGTAGTCCTGTTGGCATTTCTGACCCTCTTTCTTCCAGTAAGGAAATGGAGGGCTCTAGTGACCTGTGAGGCCTGTTCAGCAGTGGGAGTGGATGCTGTGTGTAAGGCAGCTCGCCCCATCTCTCCGGGGCCCCTTAGGCCACCCAGACCCCTAGGCAACTGATTGTTGTTGTTGTTGTTGTTTCTGAGACAGGGTCTTGTCCTTGTTACCCATGCTGGAATGCAGTGATGCAATCATGGCTCACTATAGCCTCAACCTCCTGAGCTCAAGGATCCTCCTGCCTCAGCCTCCCGAGTAGCTGGAACTACAGGTGCCACCACACCTGCCTAATTTTTTAATTTTTTTGTAGAAATGAGATCTTGCTGTGTTGCCCCAGGCTAGTCTCAAACTCTTGGCCTCAAGCAATCCTCTCACCTTAGCCTCCCAAAGTGCTGGGATTACAGGCGTGAGCCACCACGCCCAGCCTAAAACTGGGTTCTTGTTTCTCAGGGGTTTTTTTGTTTGTTTTTTTGGGGGGGGGGTTAGGTTTAATAGGCAAAAGAAATAGAAAAGAGAATAGCTGTCTCTCTGAGAGAGGGGCGGCTGAGCGGGTCTTCCCTGAAGCTGGGTTTCTGACTCAGTCTAGGATTGCTGTTTTCTTCCTCTTTATGTGTTCTAAGGACTCTGGCTGAATTCTTGACCCTCTGCCTGCTTTCCATAAAAATTGTGCTCTGTGTGTCTTTGTGTCCAAGCTCTCAGTGCCTGATGTGAACCGCTGAGAGGCCTGCATCATCATCTGATTCCTCTGTCTCCCCCGTGCCTAGCACAGGGCTGATCCCAGCATTATGGCTTACCCTGTTTGGTGAGCCACATTTTGAACACATTAGAAACCTGGCACATTTTTTAATAAAGTGATGGTATCCCCTGTAAGATGGGTGCCAGCCCTAAGCTGTGGGACGCAGGCAACTTCTTGAGCTCACATGAGAAGACAGTGTAGTGTGGAAGGAGCTAGGACCTCCTGGCATTCAGTCATTAGGGCCACCTCAAAGGGTAGGGGGAGGGGGCAGCCCATGGTAGGCTCTGGGCCTGGGGGAGGGGAGATGCTCTTATGGCTTTTCTTTGCCAACACCACTGGGGGCAGCGATGCAGGGGAGGGAGAAGGGCAATGGCTCCAGGAGAAGGAGTGATGGTGGAGAGGCAAGGACACTGAGGGAGAGCAGTGGGGTGGGCTGCAGGGGAGCAGGGAGGGAAGGTCAGACTAATAGCAGGTGGCTGAGGGGAACATAGGGAGTGAATGCTCAGATTCTTTCCTCAACGAGAATAGTGATGGTGGGCAACCTGGCCACACACCTGATGTCTGCAGATAGGCTTCGACTTAGCATGCGGAGAACTGGGGGCCTTGGTTGTTGCTGACTCGGCCCTGCCCCAGCAGGCCCCAGCTATCTCCAGGCTGCTACTACAGTAGGGAGAGGGCTCAGCCATCGCATACCACCTCAGAGCTGGTGCTGCTGGCTGCTTCTCTGGCCTCCTCCAGGCAGGCTGTGCAGGGCGTGCCGTGCTCCTGAGTGCCTAAGGAGCCACAGACCACAGGACCCCTTGCCTTTATCCCTTGCTCCCCAGCCCTTTCCATCTGTCCCACCCTCCCGGGCCAGATAGCTTTCTTCTTCTGTAGCCAAGGAGCCTGCACCTCAGGGTCTAGCCCAAGGTCATCCAGGCCACTGTCATCATCCTGGGGCCAGCCGTGCAGCACCACCACCCAGCCTGGGCTATCCTGATGTGAACTGCTGCCCCATGGCCCCTGGTGGAGCAAGGCTGGGTGTTCAGGAGCTGGGCTCATGTCACATGAGGGCCCATGTGGGAGCACTTGGCTCACATATAGCAGCGGCAACCCTGGAGAGGGAGTTGGGGCAGGCAGTGGGCTGAGCACTGAGCAGGGGAGCAGGTATGATACTTCGTGAACCCTGGCTGTGTTTTATGCGATGCTGGTGGTGGCAACACCTGCCCTTTGTGGGCTGCTTCCCCATACCCCAGCCCCAGAGGTGGGACAGCCTGTGCCACCGTTCAGAGGGGAAGACCCAGAGCCCAGCCCATAACTTCCCCTCTCTGTAGCCTCTGGGTCCCTCACTGCATGCCAGCTGGGACAGCCTGTTTCATGGAGCGGGAGACCTCGGTTGGGGCAGAGCCAGCACTGGGCCCTGTGCCTCCTGCTGCTGGGTCCAGCATCCACTCAGCAAGGGCATTGATCCAGCCGTGCTGATCACTTCACCAAGGCGCCTCCGTTACTGGTGGTAGACCACTGCATGGACAGGGCCTAAAACCAGGGTGACTTTCTTTCCCTTCTTCTCAACTGTAGGAAAAAACGAGGAGTCATTGGAGAGTACAGAAGGCTTCCGGGCTGCAGAGCAAGGTGTCCAGAAGCCTGCTGCAGAAACCCCAGCCTCTGCTTGCATCCCTGGCAAGCCCTCAGCATCCACACCCACCCTGTGGGATGGGAAGAAGAGAGGGGACCTCCCAGGGGAGCCAGTGGCCTTCCCCCAGGGGCTGCCGGCTGGTGCTGAGGAGCAGCGGCAGTTTCTCACAGAGCAGTGCATCGCCTCCTTCCGCCTGTGCCTGAGCCGCTTCCCCCAGCACTATAAGAGTCTCTACCGTCTGGCCTTCCTCTACACCTACAGCAAGACCCACCGGGTGAGTGGCTGCCGGGCCAAGGGGGCTTGGATCTTCCCAGGGCAGCTGGGCATCTTTGAAGGTTGGTGGGCAGAGCTAAGACAGATTGGAGCTTCACGGTAGCAGCACATGGGAGGGATGGGCGAGGAGAGCTGCAGGAGGCAGGGCCAGCCCCAGGAGTGGGCCAGCTTGCCAGGGAACCTGGTGGTGAGGGCCCAGGGTCACAGCCAGGAATGGAGGGAGGAGTGTAGGGGGTCTCACAGTCTCAGGGATAGGCTATGGGGTGAGGGATAAGGGTCCATAGGCTCAACTACTCTTTCCTGTGAGGGCTGTGCAGCAACTCAAACTCTGATGTCGTGCTCCCTCACCCCTGCCATTCACCCATCGTCTCAGTGACAGCAAGCCCGTCTTCCAGGTGCCCTAGGGGCCCTGCTTACTCTCTGTTCTGGCCTTGCTTGCCCTAGGCCCCATCTCTCCAGCTGCATATTGCAGGGGCCTCCTCACCATACCCTGCCCCTGGGCTCTTGTCGCTGGTGCAGCTGCCAAAACCATCTTCACAGCCTCTGCTTCATGGGGGTTGGGTGCTGACAGCCTCCTCCAGCTCTTTTTGGAAAGCGGATGATGTAGCGATCCTTAACAGCTGTGCCCCAGGCTTAAGTGCTTCCAGGGGCTTCCCAGCCAGACCTCTTCTGCTGGCGTTTAGATTTGGGGAGGTAATGTGGCCTGGGCAGGACGTAAATAATAGGGGTGACTTTATTTTCCTTTAGTCTCTCACCCAGGAGGTGTTGGGGAGTGTCCTGGTCGTTGTCCTGCACCATGTAGCTACATTCTAAGGGGGAGGCAGACTTAAAAACATACAGATGGCCAGGCGTGGTGGCTCACGCCTGTAATCCCAGCACTTTGGGAGGCTGAGGCAGGGGGATCACCTGAGGTCAGGAGTTGAAGACCAACCTGGTGAATCCCCGTCTCTACTAAAAATACAAAAGTTAGCCAGGCATGCTGGCATATGCCTGTAGTCCCAGCTACTCGGGAGGCTGAGTCATGAGAATTGCTCGAACCCGGGAGGCAGAGGTTGCAGTGAGCCAAGATTGGGCCACTGCACTTCAGCCTGGGCAACAGAGCGAGACTCATCTGAAAAACAAAAATAATAAATAAAAAATAAAAACATGCAGATGAGTAAAGCAAGTCTCATTTGAACAATACCACAGAGAAAATAACGGGGGGCATAGAGGGGTGAGGGTGCTGTTGTGCCTCTGCAAAGACACCTTTTGTGCTGAGACCTGTATTGTAGGGGACAGCATTGGTCTGGAAGGAAGGGAGAGCACCCAGACAGAGCAAGCAGCCCAGGAAGGTGGCCATTCTGGGCTGGCATTGGTGTAGGCGAGGGCCAGAGAGGGCCAGGTATGCTGGGCAAGCAGGGGTGACCTTTAGGGCCTAGCTGTGAGGACTCAGTCAGGTCCTCCTCCTAGAGGTCTCCTGCTGGCTCCCCCCAGCATCCTCAGTGGAATGTTTGAAGAACCAGAATGGACAGTTGGCCAAGAGATGGGCCCTGGCTTGGCACTGGCTATGTGCAGGAAGTGGCACTTCACAGAATTCTGTTTGGGGGACTAGATACAGGGGTCCAAGAAGGTAAGTGCTGTGTCCCCACAGTGACCGGTATGCTCATGTGACTTGGTTGATTTCCTCAGGGCACAGCAGGTGACACAGGTCTGGGAGGGAGGGAGTCTCATCATCTGGGGCTTTGGTCTGTAGTTCAAGGTGCAGTGCATGCTAGCAAACGATGGCCAGCTCCGGCTTCCCTGGCTGTTGGTGCCACACTGGAGCCTGGCTTGCTCACTGCTCAGCCTCCACTTGGCAGTGGACCTTACCTCTGTATCCCAGGCCTTCTGCACCCAGGTGGACCTGGGTCTTAATAAACCCCAACCAGCATGTCCTCACTGCTGAAGCCGTCTTTGGGCCTGAGGGGCAATGGCTGATATGAACTCTGTTGGGCTCACCATTGCTTTGGGAACTTTCCCCTTTCCCTCTTTTGGGAGCAGCAGAGCCCACTGCAAGAGCCCACACACACATCAGTGGAACGGACACTAGTAACCATTGTCCTGTCCTCCCCCACCTCTGGTGTCCTTCTGTTCAAGTGCCTCCTCAGGCAGCCATGCAGCCCCCTCCAGCTGTGGTCAGCTCTGACCAGGATCTGGTGTTCCCTAGTAGTGAGCTCAGACCCTTCCTCATCCTGTTACAGGGTACCTTCTCAAGAGGCAGATGTCGAGATGGAATTTCGGGTACAAAATATGTATTAGGAATTGGCACCTGTGCAAGGGAAGTGGGGAAGGACAGCAGGTTTGGGTGGGAGGAGAGTTGAGTAGCGATACGGGCCCCACCCACCCACCCTCCACTTCCCTGCTAAATGGCTTTATGTTGAATTTGAAGGAGCCAGTGCATATAAAGTGCTTAGCTCAGCACTAGACACAAAATGCTGTTATTACAGCCTGCCCCTTCTCTTGATGATTTTTTTAGAAGTAGAAAACAGTATTTATGTCAAAATTAAAAGTTGGAGGGAGGTAACCACAATTCTGCCACCCTAAAACTAGCTCTCTTGGGTCTAGTACAGGTTGAATATCCTTTATACAAAATGCTTGGGACCAGAAGAGTTTTGGATTTTGGCTTTTTTCAGATCTTAGAATATTTGCATTATACTTCTGGCTGAGCCATCGCTAAGCCAAAAATCTGAAATCCAAAATGCTCCAATGAGGCTGGGCACGGTGGTTCACGCCTGTAATCCTAGCACTTTGGGAGGCTGAGGCGGGTGAATCACCTGAGGTCAGGAGTTCAAGACCACCTTGGCCAACATGGCGAAATCTTGTCTATACTAAAAATACAAAAATTATCCAGGCGTGATGGTGCACACCTGTAATCCCAGTTAATCAGGAGGTTGAGGCAGGAGAATCGCTTGAACTGGGGAGGCGGAGGTTGCAGTGAGCCGAGATCACGTCATTTCACTCCAGCCTGGGCGAAAGACCAAAACTCCCTCTAAAAAAAAACAAAAACAAAAAACCAAAATGCTCCAATGAGCATTTCGTTTAAGCACCAAAGTTTCAGATTTTGGAACAATTTGGATTTTAGATATTCAGACTTAGGATGCCCTACCTGTATTTCTTCTCAACTCCAATACACATGCCCTGTTGATTGTGTGCTTTCGAGACACCAGGTACACCAGGTCCCAGAGGTGGGATCATACCCCTTCTACTTTGCATCTGGGAACCTGTTCTGAGGGTCACACAGAGCTGAGTGACAGAGCCAGACATCAGCCCCAGGCAATCTCATGCTGGCCCAGTTGCTGCACCATTCCCCACACCCTGTCCACACTCATAGTTTGCCATTTTGCTCTTACCATGAATGCCCCCTCGCCAGGTCATTTTGGTCATCTGTGATGGTCCAGGGTAGGCGGGCCAGTTGACCCAGCCATCCCCACCCAGTAGCAGGGATGGAGGCTGCCTTGGGCTGTCTGCACCATTGATGTCAGTATCCCCAGACAACCCCCAGTAGCCATTAGCCTCAGTTTCTGCCAGCTTTTCTGTTCGTTGCATTCCCAGGCTGAGTTCCTTGGTTCTCAGAAATGGAATGCTATCTTGAATCTTAGACCCCTTAAGCAGCAGACACTCCCTACCCACAGCCACACTGCCTACCCACAGATCTGCTTCCAGGAGGCAGCTCTGCAGGTGCCAAGTGTGCCTCAGGTAGCCTCGGGCCACTGAGCTCATTCTAGACCTTGCATATGCTGGGTCTAGGGTGGTTCCCATTGGCTTCTGTGTTTGCTTCACCCAGAAACCTTTGCTGAGCACCAGTTACCACCACCAAATTGAATGCAGGTTGTTAACACCTAGCTCCCCTGAGAGCCTGAGTTAAGACCTTCCTGCTGCTCTGGGGCATGCCATCCTGGGGGCTGCATGTGGCTCTGCCCAGACCTGGGGTGTCAGCTCTGCTGGCAGCAGCTTGTTCACAGATCTGGGGGACACAACTCCATGTTGTCACTGACTAATGTGGAACCATTAACTGGGAAGTAGTTACCACTTTCCAAACACAGCTGTTTGTTAACAAACACTTCCCGCTGTGTATATTTGACAGCAGCACATTTCTTCATAAAATCCTGCCTGTGGGCTTGGCAGTGCCTTTTTCTTGTTGCCATCTCACAGCTCACTGGTGGACTGGAGCATCCGATGTCTGCCTCTTCAAAGGGGCCCACAAGCAGAGCCTGCCTGGAGCTGTGTGGTTGACTCCTGAACCCTCAGGTCTTTCACAGACACCTCCAGGTGAGGCTCTGCCTGCCCAGGCCTTGGAAAGAAACCGCCTTCAGGGCACAGTGTGCCACTTGCTTAGTTGCTGACAGCAGGGCTTTTGGGGGAGGAGGAGAGAATGTGGGCTCTGAAGCTGGCCTCACCTGGGTTCAGATCCTCGCTCCGCATGGGAACTCTTGGAGGTCCAGGGCTCTTCTTTCCTCGATGAGAATGATAGTGATATGAAAGCAGAATTATTGTGTTAATGAGGTGAGGGATGCAGTGCTGGGGCAATGTCCAACATACCCTGCACTGCCCTCAGCCAACAATCCTTCTCACCCATATAGTGAGACCCATTTCTTCAGTGTCAGCATCTCCCATGGCTCCTTACTCCTCTGCCAGGCCCTCTGAGGGCTCCCTGCCTGGGGCATAGTGGCCAAGGGCTAGGTCTGTCCTGAGAGACCTTTGTTGCCTGCCTGAGGCTGCCCTCCCTCCCAAGGTTGGCACTGCTGCACACAGGCTGCCCCTGGACCCCCCAAGGCAGTCCACCTGTTGCCCTGCACACTGTGCACACCTTAGATGGGGATGATCATTTATGCTGATAGCCATAAGGGCCCTAATTCTAGCTACCGTATCACTTACTCTCTGGATCACAATCTTCACCAAGATTTTGAGGCCTGAGTCTACACTCATAGAAACCTGGCTCTTTGAGCCCATATAGGCACCCCAGGAGAGAGAGCACATGGCATCAGACACCTCTTGTCATGAAGGTTCTGGCCTTTACTGATGGGTGTCCAGGAAAAAGGCCAAGGCATAGACACCCCTGCCCTGCTCTCCCAGTTGCCTCCTGCTCAGCTGGGAGCTGAGCCCCTTCACCTCCTGCTACTTCTGCTGCAAGGGGTTCAAGGCAGAGGGGGTTGGTTATAAGATGTTCCCTGGAGCCAATAATCTTGAATGAAAACAAAGCTGGAGGACTCATACTTCCCAGTTTCAAAACATACTACAAATCTATAATATACTAATCAAAACAGTATGGAATATTAGCCTTAAAAAGGGGGGAAATTCGGTCACATCAGACAGCATGGGAAACCTAGAGGACATAATGCTAAGTGAAATAGCCAGTCACAAAAGACAAATACTGGATGATTCCACTCAGATGAGGTATGAGGAGTAGCAGCCTGGCAGCGCTAGCCCAATCAGACCCCATTTCTTTGGCCCGGTACCTATATGGGATGAGCCCAGGCCCAGGGTTTGGTTAGAGACAGACTCCTGCCAGGGGGGCCCCACAGGGGTGCTGTGTGCTCAGCTGAAGGATCACCAGGGAATCTGCTGACTTTTGACTTCAGGGTCAGCTGGTGCTCTGGTGTGAGCCTGGGTAAAGGACAGGTCAGCTGGGTGTGAACCCCCACCCCTTGCCCCCCTGTTGTGAGTACAGTATCCCCACCTGCCTGTGCTGCTGGCTCATGTGGGGGACCCGTAGAAGCCAGGACTATCGTGCAGGTTAAACGAGAGGGCCTCTGAAGTGGGCCCTGCACCATTAGACTGGAGCAGGTGTGAGGGCCTGCTGTTGAGACCCTGCTTTTTGCTCACAGGCAAGTGTTCGGGGGGAGCTGGTGAGCTTTGAGTTGACACTGACTGAGCCAGGACCACACAGATAGTAGAACCAGGCATCAGGAGGGCATGCTGGCCACAAAGCAGGGTGTTCGCCTGCCTTTAACCTTTGCTCCCTTTCTGTGGACATAAAAGTGGCCCCTTCCACAAAATGGTGGTGTGCCCTGCATCCTCACATGGATGTCCTAGGCTGCTGCAGCTCCCAACCAGCCAGGTTCTTGTCAAGCTTTAGTTTGTATAGTTTGCAAAAGGAGAACTTGATATTTTTCTGAACTTAGGAATCTTGATTTTGTATTTCAGTCTGTCTGCCTCATGGTTTGAAGATTCTACTGGGCCCTTAGGTGCCAGAGGAGGTGGGACAGGTTGCCCCCATACTGGCTGCTGCTTTCCTGGTCCTCTCTCCTGCAAAGAAATGCAGATTCCAGCAGTTTGAATAGGTTTGAGCACTCTGCCAGCAGCTTTTATTACCAATAATATTGTTTAAGCTTGGAAAAGAGAATGAAACTACCCACAACTGTCCCACAAGCCATGACATGGCAGAAGTGTTTGTGTTTCGTGTGCTCCCCCCAGTGTGTTTTCTGTGCATCTCTGCAGGTTCACTCATTCAGCAGCTGTCTACTGAGTGGTTGTCACGCAGGAGGTTCCTGTTTGAGGTGCTGGGGATATAGCATTGTGTACTCACTGGGAGAATAGTGTGGGCAGCTAGTGATGAGTAGGAAGAAAAACAAAGCTTGGTAAGGGGTTCGAGGTGTGATTGTGACTATTTAGACAGGGAGATTGGGAAGACCTGTCTAAGCAAGGACCTGAATCAAGTGAGGGAGCCCTGATGGCCACGAGGATATTGGGGAAGAGGCTTCCAGATGGACACACACCCAAAACACATGCCTAGAGACAGAAACAGTCTTGGTGTGACTAGAATCTGCTGGAAGCTGGTGTGACTAGAATCTGCTGGAAGCTGGTGTGACTAGAATCTGCTGGAAGCTGGTGTGACTAGAATCTGCTGGAAGCTGGTGTGACTAGAATCTGCTGGAAGCTGGTGTGACTAGATGGGCAAGGAGGAGAGAGGAAGAAGATGAGGTCAGAGGCTTTCAGGGCAAGTTTTGGCAGGGGAGGATTTGAGGGGACATCATCCTGAATTAGGTTAAAGCTGTCGCAAGGGCTGGGCATGGTGGCTCCCGCCTGTAATCCCAGCTCTTTGGGAGGCCAAGGCGGGCAAATCACTTGAGGTCAGGAGTTTGAGACCAGCCTGGCCAACATGGCAAAACCCCGTCTCAACTAAAAGTACAAAACTTAGCCTGGTGTGGTGGTGTGTGCCTGAAATCCCAGCTACTCAGTAGGCTAAGGAAGGAGAATCGCTTGAACCTGGGAGGCAGAGGTTGCAGTGAGCCAAGGTCGTGCCACTGCCCTCCAGCCTGGGTAACACAGCAAGACTCTGTCTCAAAAAAAAAAAAAAAAGCTAAACTAAAAAAACAAAAAACTGTCGCAAGGTTGTGGAAGAAGACAGGCTCCATGTGGCCTGAGTGTGTCAGAGACACTACTGGGCTGATATGTAAAGAGTGAGTTGGGGGTGGCCTGTCAGAGGCCTAGCAGGACACAGATGGCCCCATCTAACAGGAAAGTCTGAAGAGCACTTAATGAAGGAGCAACTTACACAGGCCCAGGCAGAGAGTAGGAATTCACAAGGGAGGAGGAGTGTGGTACCCTGGACCAGCCGCGGTGCCTGTCGGGGCTGGCCATTGATGGCTGCCCCTCATCAACTCCACAGGGAGGGAATTCAAGGAGTGAGTGCTCTGATCAAATTCCCTCAGTCAAACCCACCCAGTAGTCAGAGGCCCAGGAGCTTGAGAATGTGTCCACACAGGTGGAGAAGAAGTCAGTGTGGCAGCAGAGATGGGAGGAGGCCACAGCAGGATATCAGGAAGTAGTCTGATTCTAGATGGATTCAGACAGAAGAGCTGAATCAATGGATCAGACAACATGGGAAACCTAGAGGACATAATACTAAGTGAAATAGCCAGTCACAAAAGGCAAATACTGAATGATTCCACTTAGATGAGGTATGACGAGTAGCAGCCTGGCAGCGCTAGCCCAATCAGACCCCATTTCTTTGGCCCAGGACCTGTGGGGTGTGAAGGAAAGAGAAAAGTCAAGGTCAATCCACAGATAGTCATTCATCCTGCTTCTGTTCTGATTCTCTAATGTTGTGAATCAGGTGAGAAAGTTTGCACATCTATCATCTTCAACAACTGTATTTAACTTTTCATATATATATATATATGAGTGATCTAGAACAGTTGTATATATATGAGTATATATGAATAACGTAGAACAGAGTTCCCTCCTGAGGCACTATTGACATTTGGGACCAAATAATTCTCTGTTGTGGGGATGTTGTGTGTGCACTGCAGGACTTTCAGCAATATCCCTGGTCTCTACCCACTAGATACCAGTAGCCTTCCTCTAGCTGTGATGACCAAAGATGTTTCCAGATATTGCCAGATGCCTCCTTGGGGACAGACCCCCACCCCCATTGAGAACTATTGCCATGAGTCTCCCTCCCCAGGCAACTCTCAGGAATGTTGGGTGCATTTCCTTTCCATCTTCTGCCTACTTTCTTTACACACAAACAGACACACACTCACAGAAATGTATGCAAATGTGGTTCTGCTTTTTTTTGCTTCTCGTGTACTCATAAACTCTTTGATTGCATGACTTCTAATGCCTACACAGGATTCTCGGGGCGGGGGGAGGGTGGGCACAGCTTTTACACTAACTCCTTAATATTTGGCTTTATCCAAACAGACATTCTAATTATAATTTTTCATGATTAGAAGTATCAGGAATGGTTGGCTTTAAGTCTACCAGGTCTAGCTATGGGGATATTCATGTCCTAGGTTGCTGGGGTGAGTTTGCAGTAGGTATGTGCCCGCAGCTTATGGGTGTCCCCAGCAGCCCACTGAGTCTCCCATCAGCAGGTAGCCACACACTCCTCTTCCTCTGGCCTATAGAACACTACTCCAAGGGCTCCCAGCCAATTCCCCTTCACACAGGGCAAGAGGTCCTGGGTGGCTCCAAAGGCTGCAGAAGGTCTTCCCTGGCCAAGCCCTCCACCACTCCTGTTTCCTCCATTTGTCATGGAACCCGTGAGCACCATCTGTGCCCCCGTGCCAATGCCTGAGGTATGGCTAGGTGAAGGGCTGAACACAGCTGAGGTCCATAGCCACCTTCCTGGCAGCCCTGTGGAGCCCTACTGGTCTTGCAGATAGGCTGGCACTGCTCCAGGATCCCCACCAGACAGTTTGCACACCTGGAGTCACCATGTAGGAGTTGTAGAGCCTGACCTCTCTGAGCCCCACCATCTGTCCCTTGTGGATTCGTGAGGCAGGAGGTAGTTAAGTGGTGAGTGGATCATCATCATTGGTTGTGGCAGGGAGACAGCCCCTGGGGGCAGAGACCCTGGGTGACACAGGCAGAGCACATCCTCCAGGCCACCATACAATAGTGACAGATGGCACCTGGGATCAGGTCTGCCTTACGGCTTTGCACATCTTGGGACAGCAGGTGTCCCCAGAGGGTAGTAGTTGTTTTCCCATCTCCAGCTGTCAACAGGCTTTGCCAAGCCCCCACTACATGCAGGGCCCATGGAAGGCTACAGGTAGGGATGCAAGCCACCTCACCCCAAGCTTTTGCTTCCTGTGTGAAGAGAAAGGGAGCGTGGGGAGTTCCAGGAGCTATGACAGTCAGCCCAATGTGTGCTGTAGTGAAACGATTGCTGGCAGAGTAGTGCGAGTTAGTGGGCGGGGGCTGGCATTGAAATTTAGCCTCAAGGGCATGGACTGTTGCTTAGCTGGCCCCAGGGAGCATAGTGCTGGCACCCTGGCCTTGGGAAGGACCCAAGCAGCCCCACTCACGCCCCATGGCTGTTGCCCTCCTCCCTCAACCTGACATACGCTTCCTTCCCATTTTATGAAAGGTCAGACTGCTCAGCTTCTTTTCATTCTTCCTGTGGGCAACTATTGCACCCTTTTCTGTGAGCTTCAAACTAGACTTGTCCTGGAGGAGCCATCAGTGAAGTCAGACTGTGTCCCTGCCCTTATAGGGCTGATAGAGAAGTAGGGGCAGACAGCAGACCCATCTGCGAGTCAGTGGAAAGGCTATTTAAGGTGGCCATGGGGCTGTGGGAATAGTATTCCAGGGGAGCATCAGGGGGAAAGGTGAGGTGGCACCAGGTAGAGAGACCTCCAGGGACCAAGGTGGGAACAAGTGTGGCTGGAGGGCTGTTCACAAAGAGGGGTTGGAGGGTATGGGGGAGATGAGCCAGCGGGTAGGCAGGTAGACTGAGGCATGGAGCTGACTCTTGCCCTGAGGCAGGTGCAGCCCAAAGGCCTTTAAGCAGAGGAGTTAGATGTCCCCTCTGCCTTCTGCTGTGAAGCAGGGATGGTCCAGATAGTAGGCAAGGGAGGACATAAGGTGCCTGTATGCTTCTACGATTCTTTGCCCTACTTCTCTTCAGGACCTTACAGCCCTCCATCTGCCCTCTGTCACAGGAGGGTCTATGTGCACAAGCCTCAGGGCCAATGCAGCCAAGGAAAATGTGCCGTTATCTGGCAAGTGGCTCCATGGGCCTCCTCCCATTCTCAGAGGTGCCTATGAGCCAGCAGTGTGACAGGTTGCATGAGGCCTGAGAGAGGGCTGGCCATGATGGCTGGCTCAGTGTTCAGCACACAGCACATGCCCAGGCGGATTTGTAAAGTAACTTGCCCACCTATAGTGGATAGGTCAGGGGGCAGGGGAAGAGCCCAGGCCTCAGAGTCCTTGCAGCCTGGACCAGAGTCCAGGGATGGTTCTGCCACTTCCTGGCTCTGGGACCTTGGGCAAGCTCTTGAATTTCTCTGAGCCTCTATTTCCTCATTGGTAATTCTGTGAGGTGAGGGGTTATGGCACTGTGCTCAACCCAGGAGGCATCATGTTGCCTTACCTCACTACACCACGAAGCTACAGGGCAGGTTCTATGCTGCAGGTGCACCGTGCAAGTCAGATCCCCTTCCCCCTTGCAGAGGTTCAGCAAGGGCCCAATACAGTCTCTGCCCCCTCCCCTACCCCACCAGCCTGGCACCCATGATTCCCCAGACAGGTCTCAGCCCTCCCTGTCAGCACCTATCTGGGGCCTCAGGCATGAATCAGCTAAGGGCCCCCATAAGCTGTCTGGACACTTTGTGCCTTAGCATTGATCAGCTCTCTTTCTCTGGTGGGCCTGGGAGACAGCTGGAGAAACACACTCTCCACCAGTACACAGTAGCCAGGTCTGCAGGAAGCTAATTTATAATCCAGGTTGGGTTTGACAGGCTAGTGCTTTCTGCACCCTTTGCCCCAGAAACCTCTCCCACTGCCTTCTCCCTTTCTGCTCCAATCTGGGGGACAAACTGGCTTGGTGCAGGTGGAGTGGTGGAAAACAAACCAGAGAGGAATGTCCATTCCCGTCCCATGGCCACAGGGCCTGCAACAAGGCAGCTGGGCAGGGAAGCAGAGTCTATGTGACTCCATCCTGGCCTCTGTGCTTTCTCTTGTGTCCCCAGCCAGAAGGAAGTCTTTGTCGAGGCTTTACTTTCTTGGTATTCTTAGGAAAATGATGGCTACTGGAGATGCTTCTTCAAGTCAGGGTCTCACATCTCCTCCTGCTGGCCTCAAGTGCTGCCACTTAAAGAGGTCTTCCGGACACTTTTCCAAGTTCCGGAGGAGCCCCAGAAGCAGCTCTGGGGTCATGACTCTTGGGTAACTTTTCTCAGGCCAGGCCTGTGCCCTGGGTCATGAAGTCACAGCTGGAGGAGTGGTCTGCCACAGCATTGAGGCCAGGGCCATAGAGGAGAGCAAGGGTATACACAGGCTCAGTCCCCTAGGCAGCCTGCCTCTGCTCTGGGCCCTGCAGCCCATGGTCTTAGCACTTACTCCCTGCCTCATAGCACCCTGGCTCCCCACTGGCCTTATGGGCAGCCACATCTGATCCCCTCCACCTCCTTGGCTAGGCCCTGACTGCCCCAGGTGTCTGGGCACTTGCTTCAGTGAGTCCCTTATCCCCATAACAGCTTTGTGCAAACCACAGCCCAGGTATCACCTTCTCCCAGAGCCTCCCTGACCTTCTCAGACTGGGTAAAAGGGAGGTCCCCTTTGCAGCCTACCTCCATGGTCAGATGTGCTCAACTGTGGTATTAGAAGTGCAGGTGATGGACCAGGCACGGTGGCTCGCGCCTGTAATTCCAACACTTTGGGAGGCCAAGGCGGGCAGATCACTTGACGTCAGGAGTTCGAGACCAGCCTGGGCAACGTGGTGAAACCCCATCTCTACTAAAAATACAAAAATTAGCCAGGCATGGTGGCAGGCACCTGTAGTCCCAGCTACTCAGGAGGCTGAAGCAGGAGAATCACTTGAATCACTTGGAGGTTTCAGTGAGCTGAGAGCACACCACTATACTCCACCCTGGGTTACGGAGTGACACTCTGTCTCCAAAAAAAAAAAAAAAAAATACAGTGTCCTACATCACCTTCTTGAGTCCACCTATGGCTGATTAGACCAGGATGGACACCTGCCTGGGCTGAGCCTCTCAGATCTCCTTTGGGAAATACTTTGAACCAAGTGTCGCAGTGGGTCATGGCTGAGCACTGATGCAGGTTGTGAGCCCCTTTCTTGGGCTTCCTGAGACCTGAGTCTTCCTCTTGGAGCCCTGCTCTACTCACTAATCTTTGAGCTAATCTTTGGTTTTATTCCTTTTAATGAAGCATACCTGAAGCCCCACCCCTTTCTCCCCACCCTGTACTCAGTTTCTCTGCAGCTGACCCTCCCTCCTTGGACCTGCTGTGGAGCAGGGGCATGTGGCCTGGGATAGGGTGGGGTGGAGTGCAGAGGTGGGAAGCATTATGTGAGAACTTGGAACCAGCCTCAAGAGGCTTCTGAATGAGTGGCCCGGGAAGCAGGCTTTCCAAAGCCTGGCTGCCAGGCATTGCTGGGGACGTTTTTCTGTTTGTTTTGCTTTGTTATTTTTTTGTTTTTTGAGACGGAGTCTCACTCTGTCACCCAGGCTGGAGTGCAGTGGCATAATCTCGGCTCACTGCAACCTCCACCTCCCAGGTTCAAGTGATTCTCCTGCCTCAGCCTGTTGAGTAGCTGGGATTAGAGGCGTGTGCCACCATGCCAGGCTAATTCTTGTATTTTTAGTAGAGATGGGGCTTCTCCATGTTGGTCAGGCTGGTCTCGAACTCCCGATCTCAGGTGATCCACCCACCTTGGCCTCCCAAAGTGCTGGGATTACAGGCGTGAGCCACCGCGCCCAGCTGCTGGGGACACTTGAAAGTAAACTACAGGTTGTTCCTCCTAGGGTGCTAGAGCTCAGAAGTTGAAGGTCAGGACTGGGTATTTTACTGTTTTCTGTGAGTTTGAGCAAAGTGGCCTCTGTTCTCAGTTGGGAGCCTGCCTCCAGGGTCTGAGGACCCTTTTGCTGCCCAGGTTGTTCCCTCCTCTGCCTGTCTCTCCTTCCCCTCAGGGTGGGGCAGGCAGGGGGTCCCTCAGCAGACGGGAAGCTCACAGTGAATGGAGCCTCCTACATACAGCCACAGGGCCCTCCCTGCCCAGTGTTCAGGAGCAGCCCTCAGTCCCTACAGCATCCCGGTGGGGGCAGAAGGGTAGCCCTCATAGGAGCAAAGGCTTAGAGGCAGGCTAGCATGGGCCCCACAGCCAGCGAGTCAGGGAGCTGGAGTTGCACTTTTGCCTCATGATGATTAGGGGAATGGTTCAGTATGCTCAGCCTGGCCAGCAGTGGGCAGAATGGGACCAGGTGGGACAAGCTTGCAGGCCAAGAAGTGAGAGGGCTTTCGGAGCAGCTGGAGTGCAAGGTGATGAAGGCCTGCGCCCAGCGCTGGGAAAGGCGAGCAAGGGACCTGAGCGGGAGGGGAGGACAGATTGGCTGGGACAGTGGGTGCCGTGGAAAGGGTAGAGGGTCTGGCATTGTGCAGTCCCAGGTGCCAAGCCCAGCTCTGCCCATTGCCAGCCCTTTTCCTTTAGGACAGCATGGTCCTGAGGTGGAGTGAGATGGCCAGTGCAAGGTGCTTGGCTGCTGTGGTGAAGACCAGAGAGGGAGGAGTGGCTGGCCAGGCAGCTGGTGGGAAGGCCTGCTCTATGGGCCAGTGAGAAGGCCCCAGAGAAGGCAGAGGCAGCCAGGCCCACACTCACCCTCTTACCCTACACCATTCTCCCCTGGGCCTGGATTCCACCAAGAGGCTCTTTGCCCAGAGATCACTGACCTAAGCACTGTGGCCAGAGTCCAGCCCTCCGAGCCTAAAGCAGCTGTACCACTGGCCGTGAATAAGGAACGCTACTGATTCCTGACAAATAAGTCAGGGCTGCTATTTGGGCTTGTGGGGGCCCCCTGACAGAAGGCGGGTACTGGGTACATGTGGCAGGTTTGTAGGGTTGGTCAGGCCAGGGGTCTGTCAGTCTCCACCTTGAGGAGTCAAAGACTACACTCCTAAACCAGTGGTGCTGGGCCAGAGATCAGTTCTGAAAATGCATCCCACAGCCTGATGATCAAAGCCCATGGCCAGAGCAGCCTGGAGCTGTGGAATCGATGTCTGCAGGAACTGCTGCTCATCGTGGTTTGCCATGCAGCCAGGAAGGAGGGGACCGCCTGCCTTCCCTGTGGGCGCCCTGAGCAGCCCACACACTCACTTTCAACCTACTTCTTGTTTCCCCAGAACCTCCAGTGGGCCCGCGACGTGTTGCTAGGCAGCAGTATCCCGTGGCAACAACTGCAGCACATGCCGGCACAGGGGCTCTTCTGCGAGAGGAACAAGACCAATTTCTTCAACGTGAGTACTTTGCCTTGTTGATTTCCAAGGCTGTTTGTTGCCACTGCTTTTCACTGAAGGCGCATGAATTGACCCCCTAGGTGGGTGTTCCCAGGGCCTCAAGTTTGCGGCATCCTCAGAGGGCAGGCAGGGTGGTACAGTCGAGAGTGAGCCAGACTCCGGTGTGGGGCTGTGATTGCTGAGCGACTTCTGGCAAGTCACTGCCCCCTCCTGTGGGGAGATGCATGGATGAGCTTGGTATGTTCTCCAAAGCCCCAGGTATTCTGGGGCCACACAGGCAGTGATGACAGGGGTACAGGCCCAGGTTTCCTCCTCCTGCTGGAGCAGCTCCTGTGGTCTCAAGCACGTAGGAGATTCTGACTGCTTAAAAAACAAGTGTGGGCCGGGCGCGGTGGCTCACGCCTGTAGTCCCAGCACTTTTGGAGGCCGAGGCGGGCAGATCATCTGAGGTCAGGAGTTCGAGACCAGCCTGGCCAACATGGCAAAACCCCATCTTTACTAAATATACAAAAATTAGCTGGGCGTGGTGGCGGGCGCCATAATCCCAGCTACTCAGGAAGCTGAGGCAGGAGAATTGCTTGAGCCCGGGAGGTGGAGGTTGCGGTGAGCCGAGATCATGCCATTGCACTCCAGCCTGGGGGACCAGAGCAAGACTCTGTCTCAAACAAACAAACAAACAAAAAAACAAATGTGGCTTAGGCACAGTGGCTCACGCCTGTAATCCCAGCACTTTGGGAGGCCAAGGCGGGCAGATCATCTGAGGTCAGGAGTTCAAGACCAGCCTGGCCAACATGGTGAAACCCTGTCTCTACTAAAATACAAAAATTAGCTGGGCATGGTGGCAGGCACCTGTAATCCCAGCTACTCAGGAAGCTGAGGCAGGAGAATTGCTTGAACCCAGGAGGTGGAGGTTGCAGTGAGCCGAGATGGTGCCATTGCACTCCAGCCGGGGAGACAGAGTGAGACTCCCTCTTAAAAAAAAAAAGAGTGTGACCAATATTGGGCTTTTAGTGAACTTCAGCCCTGATATTGCGTGTCAGGTGGAGACTTACTCCTTGAGCAGGGCAGGGCCAATCACCTAGGCCTGCCTGCCTCTCATCCCAAAGGCCTACATATGCTCCTCTTGATACCCCACCTGGATCTACCCTCCCCCATTTCCTCTGTCCTGCATGGAGACAGCTGGCCCCTCACTCCCCTCTACCTCCAAGTCCTTACCTATCCACCGCCCCTCCCAGCATGGCCAGCTCCCAGCTGGATGACTTTGGCAGGTCATACACCCCCTCTGAGCTTTGGTTTCTTCTGTATTTTCCTTGATTCCCTCTTACTCATGGAGAAACTGAAGGGCAGAGGTGGCCTGAACAGGAGCTGAGGAGAGCAGGTTTCAGGTCTGGAGGGGTGTAACAGGCCAATTCTCAGGGTACGTGGGCAGGCAGGTCCCCGCTGAGAGCCAGCCAGCTGGTGGGAGTGTCTGGATCCATGGCTCCTCCTCTCCCAGGGTGTGGTCTTCTGGGGTCAGAGTAGGAGCTTGAGATCCTGAAAGCCCTGCATCTGCCCACCCTCTCTGTTTTGGTATTTTATAGACAAGTAGGGGTGTTATTGGTAATCAATCTACATGATACCAAGGGATTTGCTGCAAAAGAGAGGTGCTCTCTTATCTGCATGCCCAGGCCACAGCCACCTCCCCACAGCAGAAACTGTTTCTTGTCTCATGTGTGTCCTTCTAGAGGGCATCTGCCCATTTACAAGCTAGTGCACATAGATGCGCATAAAAGGCAAAAGTGCACACACTTCTGCCCCTTGTATTTTTTCGCTAAACAATATCTCTAACAGTATCTCTTGGAGATACTGTTAGAACCCACCCATTCTTTTTGATAGCTACTGCATAGTAGTCCCAACATAGGGATGTCCCACAGTTTACCTAGCCATCCCTCCTTTTTTTTTTTTTTTTTTTTTTTGAGACAGAGTCTTGCTCTGTCACCCAGGCTTGAGTGCAGTGGCGTAATCTTGGGTCACTGCAACCTCCGCCTCCTGGGTTCAAGCAATTCTGCTTCAGCCTCACAAGTAGCTGGGACTACGGGTCCACACTGCCACGCCCAGCTAATTTTTGTATTTTTTTTTTTTTTTTTTTTTTTTAGAGACAAGGTTTCACCATGTTGGCCAGGATGGTCTCGAACTCCTGGCCTCAAGTGATCCGCCCTCCTTGGCCTCCCAAAGTGCTGGGATTACAGGCGTGAGTCACTGTGCCCGGCCTCCCATCCCTTATTGATGGACACTTAGATTAGTTTGTCTTTTTTACTACAAACAATACATCACACACACACACGCACACACACACACACACACACACACACAGAAAGGCTCAGTGCTTCACCTATGAAGCACTGCCTTGACTGTGACATTACGTTAATTTTAACTTCTATGCAAATTTCTTGTCCTTCATGTTCATTTTCTAGTGGATTATTGGTCCTTTTCCTATTGATTAATAAGAACTCTTTATATATCAATGAAGTGAGCCCTTTGTCAGTGTTTTGAAAATCTGTTTTTCTGCAGTTGATAGGCGAGTTGGAGCTAGACAAGTTGCTTAATTTCCCTGTCCTGGGTTCCTCACCTTGAAAGTGGGCTTCTATTACCTGGCTTGAAGAGTAACTGTAGGAATCAAGTTAGATACCGGGGTAATATTTCTAACACAGGATCTGGCACATGGCAGGTACTTAAGAAAATAGTTTCCCTCCCTCCCTCTCTTCCTCTCTCCTTTTGGTGCTTTGCCCTTAAAGCCTGTGCAGTGATATTGGAAGGAAGGAGCCAACCTCCATGTCTTCCTCACAGGGGAAGACCTCAGCCTTTCTAATGATAAAGCTGGGGAAGCCGGCCCCTCAGATGCCTGCCCCGCAGAGCACATCCAAGTTGGCAGCCACATGCTCCAGGCCCCTTTCCCACTGGGCTCACTCCCTGCACCTCCTCCTTAGTTTCTGGGACCTTCCAAAATGAGTCTTGCAGAAAAGCAGTCTGAGGTTGTGTGCCTGTGGGAGGGAAGGCTGGTACAGCCTCATGTAGGCCTGGCACATAGGCAATGCCATCCCTGCACCTGGAAGCCCCTGAAGATCAGGGCCACCCCAGCCCAGACTGGGTGTTTTGGTGGTTTTGCCACTTCCAGGACAGTTGTTTGTTCCTCCATGCTTCCCAGTGACCTGCTGCTTTTACCATCGTTTGGGGCCTCTGTCCTCCTCTGCTTTCTTACCTCTTCTCTTTAGAGATAGGTTTGGGCTACTTGTGCTCCTTGAGCTATGCCTAGTGTCCAGTATGTCAAGAAATGCTGGGCAGTTCCTGAATGCTTTCAGCAAATGAGTCTATCTGGCATATTCCCAAGTCTGGGGAAACTGCATACTAACGTGTTTATGAAGGAGCATTTAGGGCAGCCCTTGGCTGACTCTGCTGGGATGGGGCCATGTCTCTGGTAGATAGCCTTTAGGCTGGGATGAGCAGACTGGCTCACCTCTCTTCTAGCCTGCACTGGGGTTTACTGCTTAGTCTAGTGGGAAGCAAAGGCAGTAGGTGGGTGCTGGCCCTTGAGAGGAGATAAAGGGAGGTTGAGACTGGGGACATCAGCACCCTAATCCCTATCCCTCTCAACCCACTGTCCTGGGCCATCCACACTGCCCAGCCTTTGTGTTGCTCAGCCTGTCATCCTTAGAGCTTGGGTGGGGGGCACGTGCCTTCTGTTATTTTTTAATGATAATTTTTGAAAATTGTGAGAGTTGTAGTTTAGGAAAAATTCAAACCCCTTTTCCTTTGTTCTCACACCAACACAGCAGTCAACACAAACAGAAGACTTCTGTGACCAAATGGGGGGCAGATTTAAGAGACAGCATCGTGCTGTGTCACCTAGGCCCTTGGGGGCCCTACCTCAGCCTGCCAGATAGCTGGGACTACAGACATGCACCACCATGCCCAGCCAATTTTTAAGTTTTTTATAGAGACAGAGTCTTGCTATATTGCCCAGGCTCAATTTCAACACCTGGAGATGGTGTCAGATCCCACAGGTTGAGGGCTTAGTCCTCAAAACATCCCCCACATCAGTCACTAGTCACAAGTCTGGGCCTCCGAAATGTCTAACTGACTGGCTTCAAGTTGATGTTCCTACAACCCCCTTTGGGTTTAATTTGCCGAAGTGGCTCACAGAACTCAGAGAAACACATTTCCCAGTTTATTATAAGGGATGTTATAGGAGGGTACAGGGAAGGCTCTATCCTCCTGTAATTGTTTCTCTCCAGGCATACCACCCACCAGGAGCTTCCATGTATTTAGTTATCTGGAAGCTCAGGAACCTGTCCTCTTTGGCCTTTTATGGAGACTTCACAGGCATGATTGAAACATGGACAACTATGTCAAAATGTTATTGGACAAAAAGATTATGATCTAAACCCAACAAGGCCTGTCTGTTCAGATTCTTCTTGCCCTCTCTGCAGCATTCCTTCCTCCAGGATGTGGGGCAGGACTCTTATCTGGAATGAAGGTCTTATGGCCCACAATCAAATTAGAGTCCTGTCTTGGGCAAGTGGAAAGAAGGGCAGGAGAAGGTCAGAAAAAGAGAGATTCTCTTTACAGTAACAAGGGCTATGGGAGTTAGGAGCCAGCAACCATGGATGAACAAACATATATATATCTTGTCATATATATCATAATATCACAGTGATATAAGACCACATTTTCACTGCCAACAGTTCAGACACATAGAGTCCACATACCTTTGTTTGCCCATCGCCAGGCACTGTGCCCTTCTCAGAGGTGCTTCTGTGATCAGCCAAGCTGTTATCTTTTTCTGGGTCTGTGTGTACAAAAACAGATGTGTCGTGCGGCTTTTTAAAAAGTGCGTGTGTGGCTGGGTGCAGTGGCTCACGCCTGTAATCCCAGCACTTTGGTAGGCAGAGGTGGGTGGACCACCTGAGGTCAGAAGTTCGAGACCAGCCTGGCGAAACCCCATCTCTACTAAAAATACAAAAATTAGCCGGGCGTGGTGGTGCATGCCTGTAGTCCCAGCTAGTCAGGAGGCTGAGGCAGAAGAATCCCTTCAACTCAGGAGGCGGAGGTTGTAGTGAGCTGAGATTGCACCACTGCGCTCCAGCCTGGGCGACAGAGCAAGACTCCGTGTCAAAAAAAAAAAAAAAGTGTGCGTGTGTGCTTTTTAGCGACTTTGCTTTTTCCATGACACCAAGTCTTGGAGAAGTTTCCATGTGAGAAGGTCAGGTCATTTTGCTCTCTGCAGCTGCTGCCCAGTCTCCTTGGGTGGACACATGTATGGGCCCAGTGTCTGCTCTCACAGTCTCCTGGTTTGTGCGTCTTTGTGCTGTTGCTGTGTTCCTAAGTCCCCTGGCCTGGCCCAGAGGAGATGCCCACATGAATATTTGTGGATTAATTTCATTCATCCCTTTCCCCTCAGCAGTTGGTCTCCAAGCTCATTCTCCTGGATCAGCCAGTGCTGGATGTTGTAGGAGTCAGGCAAAGCCTTGGCCCTGGCCACAGGATGCTCAAGGCTGACAGTAGAGCACTGCCTGCATGTCTCCATGCGGGGCCTTCATAACGTGCTACAGGGCATGTAGGAGGGACAGGGAGCTGGGCTCTCCCATGCAGGGTGGGGTGCTGCTCAGCCAGAAAGGGGGCAGGAGAGGAAGGCTAGGATTAGAGGCACCCTCGGGGGAACTCCTTAGGCTGGGCTGCTGACAGAACCTTCCTGGGGAGTTTAAGGGACCAGAGAATGGGATGGGTGCTAAGGATCGAGTGAGTGGGACCTTGGGTTCCTATGTCAGCTTTGCTGACAGGAACTCCTTGCAAATGGGAACTGCCCCATGACTGGCTGGCCCCCACAGCAGCACAGATGGACGTGTAGCAGGGCTCAGCACTGTGGTTGAACATGAGGAGGAGTGAAGATGGCATGTCTTGGGTCCCACTGTTCCACACACCGTCCTCCCTGAGCAGAGGGGACCAGGAAAGCAGGCACCAAGCTAGGTGGTAGGTGCTGCTGGGGTGGCTACCCACACCATGGAGGCTGAGGGTTTGTGTCTGGGTGCCCAGAAGCTTCTGGGGCTCCCCCCGCAGGCATACACACCTCTGGCAGGCAAGCCTGCATGGGCCAGAGCCAGGCTGCTTTGTCCAGGGTGAACTTCTCTCCCTGTCTTGTAGTTGATTCAGAAACGTTCCCATAGTAACCAAACCAGACAGAGATGGTTCTCCTTCCTTCCCCAAAATGTTTGCTTATTTTAGCAGGCAGGGTTTTTTCTTGTTTCAACCCAGTTTCCAGCCTCTGAAAGAAGCAAAGGGAGCTCAGGGCCAGGCTGGTACTGCCTCCTGCTTCTGAGGCCGTGTGGGGCAGGCAGCAATGGTGGCCTGAGTGTGAGTGGAAGGGAGGTGCCGGCCTACTGTGGCCTCCCTGAGTGTGGTGTCTCCCCTAAAGCTGCTCCTGCCGCTGCTCAGGTGGGCAGCCCCCAGGTCCCAAGATCACTGAGAAGAGCACAGATTTTGGGCACAGGCAGGCACAGCTCCCAGCCACTCTACCCCTTACTCAGCTTGGGCTACCCGTAAGCAGAGTGGTCCCGACAGGTGGATGAAAGCTATCATCACACACTTGGCATGCCACACAAATCACCCTTAGGTCTGGAGATGGGCCTGCATGGAGGCCTTGGGGCTTATCTGTGGATCCTAGAGGCCAGTGCTAGGATGTGACTGAAGCACGGAGCAGGAGGAGCTCCAACTCACACCTGGCTGGGGCCTCCATAAGCTCAAGGCCCTGCCCTGGCTTGAATGGAGCAGCCTGAGATGTGGATGGTGGCCTTAGCCGTCACACCCACCACACAGGTCTCTTTCTGTGAGGCCTGGCCCAGTCTTTGGTGCCTGTGGATGGTGGTCAAACTTCCTGTTCTTGGTCACTGCTGCATAGCACTCCACTGTCTGGTTGTCCTGGTGGTCTACCTCCCCTCTTCCTAGCGGATAGGTGGCTTTTGGTTTTCCACTATTAGAAAAAGAATGCTGCTATCTCTGATCTCCTTTCTCACCTGTGCCGGGGTCTCCAGGACAAATGCCTGGAAGTTGGAGGCCAGGACACAGGTCCCCACAGCCAAGCGCTTCCACACCTTGCCAGGTGTTTTGGCAGAGCCAGGCCAGATGCCCTCCCACCAGCCCTTGCCCCACCCCCTCCCAGGACTCAGAACCACAGATGACTTTCATTTTGGCCTATCTGTGGAGTGTGCCAAAAAACCCCAGGTGGTTTCAGTGTGTGTCTCCCATGTGAGTGGGGAGGCTGAGCCTCTTCCCACACCGGTAGCCAGTCCCCTTTGTCTACCCAGGGTCTGCCATGTTCTCTCCTACTTGGCGGCTGCCACAGGTGGTTCTGTTTGTCCTGACTGTGTTGCTTAAACTGATGGGAGGTACAGTCATCATGAGCTGTCTTTGTTTCTTGAAAACATTTATGCCCTGTGCTGTCCCAGCCCTGGAGCCTGAGTGCTCACTGAAGGCCTTGATGTGGTCTGGTAGGGAGGAAGGGCCTCCCCACCCAATTTCTGGTACCCCATACCTGCCAGAGTTGGGGGGAAGGAGAGAAAGTCTCCAAAGCCCAGGGTACTGTCCTTCTCAGCAAGAATCAGTCATGCCCATTGTACTTTAATTCGCCACCAGTTGGTTGTGTAACCTTGGAGGAACCCCCTCCCTGCACCCAGTGAGCAGATGTGAGGTATATGTTAGGGGTGGGTACAGTGGACCCACCTTCCAGAGCAGGTCTCAGCCAGTGCCTCTCTCCTCAGAGAGAGCCAGTAGTCCAGAAGGAGGCTGTTGGAGCCCAGCAGACCTGGACACCCCAAGGCAGGGACCTCATCTAGGACAGCATTGCCATTGCCCTCCCAAAACCTCTCCTAGCTCAGCAGGCAGGGAGTGCCTAGTGACTGAATTCCTCTCATCCTCAAGAATTCCCTAGGACGAATGACTGGGAATTAGCAGCCCCAGAGCAAGGGGAACAGGTATATCCTGACTCAGTCACCCAGGAACCCAGCTGTGGCCAGGCCCCAAGGTCTGTGCCTGAGACATCTGTCTCCTGTTGCAGGGCCAGACCTGACATCACCTCCCTGACCAGCCCCAGCCTGACTTGCCCCTTCTCTCTCTCCATCCCTCTGGCTTGTAAGAGAGGTACCTTCCCTGGTGGGCCTGTGGTCAGCCCCTGCCCCCAGGCGCCAGCCCCAGGTTCAGAGCCTGTTGCAGGCAGACATCAGTGAAGACCAAAGCACAACCTAGGGAAGAAGTGTTGGTCTCCACTCAATTCCTGGTGCCCCACACCACTCCAGGCTGCAAGCAGATCTGAGTTGCCTCCCAGCAGGTAAACAAGCCCCAGGACTGTCCACACAGGGTGTTCCTGCCTACCTTCTCTCATCAGGGCCAGGGAACATGGGGATAGGAAGAGCTGGTTTGTAATAGCCTCACTCCTTCCCCCAAGTCAGTCCCATATCACCTTCTCCCCTCTCAGGACCAGTTGTGACCAATTTTCATGCCACCGCTGCTTGTCCCTTTGCTCACACTTCAAGGAGCATAATACCTGCTGTGTGCCAGGCCCTGGGCCAGCTGTGTGGTCCAAAAGGGCTCAGGTCCACAGGCCAGCCTGCAAGCCTGGATTAGTAGTCACCTTTCAAAGAGGTGCTAGGAAGTAAAGTGACTTGGCCATGGTCCTATCACTAGTCTGTGCTGGAGGAGGGGTGTGTACTTCACTATGTATAGTGTGGAAGCCCATGCGTTGTGACTGGTAGCCTCAAGTCAGGGGCCCCCTGGTTCCTACACCGGGATTGGCCCAGCTGTCCTAGACAGGAGTGTTATCTGAATGGCCCATTGGCTGGATGGGGAGGATGGAATTAGGTAGCAGTGGGCAGGGGGATGTGGGCATCTAGCCCTACCATAGGAGGTGAGGCTGGGATTCCAGACTGAGAGGGAACCAGTGCTAGGCTGTGGCATCAAGCAGGGATTCCCTTGGGTTGCGGGACTACACTGTCTGCTAGCCTGAGCCCCCACCCCCTTTTGGTGTGGCTCCAACTGGCTGGCTAGCTGGGTTGTACCATTTTTCCTTGGTAGCCTACAGGCGTGTCCTGGGCTGGGGCTCTTGAGGCTGAGAGCAGTGACAATGGAGGATGCTACCCTGCCTGCAGTGCCACAGCAGCTGGGCCTGGCTGTGCCTGGCCTTGTTGGGGGCCTGGCAGAGAGTAGCGGCCCATAGTAGCAGTGGCAGGACCAGCACTTATTGGGGGCTTGATCGGGGGGTGCCTCCTTAGGTGACATAGCATGTCCGTGAGGCTTAGGTACTATTATCATCCTCATTGTACAGACGGGGAAGTTGTTACCAATAGGCTCTGCAGGCTGGGAAAACCAAAGCCCTTTTCTACCCTCTGCCCCCTGGGCCATCAGAGGCCTCGCTCTTCCCCTTGGACAGCAGTGCTTATGGCTGTTTTCAGGCCCTGGGCCAGCTGTGTGGTCAAAAGGGGCTCAGGTCAGTGCCACTCCCCAACTGGTTGGCTGCTCTGGGTGCCGGGAGAGAATGCTGCCAAAGGGATGCTTGTCAAGTGCTTGTCTTCTGCAGCAGCAATTGCCAGTATTCCTGACACAGTGGGCCAGGGCCCCATGGGAGCCTGGTGCTATTGTGTCCCTTTGAACAAGGTGCAGAAGCCTAGGGAATAATGGCCCAAGATCACAAGCTAGCAAGTGGCCAGGCTACCATTCAAGGTCTGTCTGAATCCAAGGCCTGCACTCTCAGCCACTATGTCGTTGGAAATTCAGAGGTCACATCTAAGCTCTCTGTTCCAGCAGTGATGTCTGCTGTGGACATGTGATGGGGAGGGACAGCAAGAGTGTCAGACTGTGTCCTTGCTCCTCCTTGCCTCTCCAGGAGGTGGACTCTCTTGTCCCTCCCTTGCTTTCACCATCAGAGAGCAGGGCTGAGACCTCCTGGTGGTGAAGCATTCTGCCCAGCCCTTGGTCACCTGATGGTGCATGTCATCTTCCACTAAGCCATTAGAGAGGCCCACTCTCAAGGGGTGCCCAGGTCCCTAGGGGAGATGATCAGGTAAACAGAGCACATGATCCAGCAGCCATGGAACCCAGAGCTCACAGTGTCTTTTGAGAAGGCCTGTGGTAGATGGGAAGATCATGGGCACAGGGGCAGCTGGGCTGCACTGGCCCCAATTTGTAGAAACCACAAGTAAATCTCCTCCACATTTGACTTCCCTCTTTGGGGCCTCACCTGGCACTCTGTTGCCCCTCCTGCCCACCTCTCCCTCAAGGCCATCCTAGGCCTGTTCAGACTGTTGGTGGAGGCCATTTCCAGTCAGGGCTTTCCTGCCAGGTGTTGCTGTGCTCCGTGTTGCTGTGCTCAATGTGACTGCACAGCCCAGCCTTCCCCAAGCTTATCTCCAGCCCTGCCCAGGCTAGTGTTGGATCCTGCCTGAGCCCCTATGGGAGTCACTTTTGCACATGTGCTTTTGGAGACAGGCCTGCCCCTCCTGGAGCACAGGCCCCATCACCTAAGTGAGCAGACAGTGTGAGAATGACAGGAGAGTGACGTTAGAGGACATGCCTGTGAAGGACAGAACAGGGCCAGGCTTCTGAGCAGAAGATGCAGCATGAGGCACAGTGTGGGGCACAGACAGTGCCACATGCACATCAGGGAGGGCCTCGCAGAGTTGCATGCTATACGCAGTGGTGGGTGGCCAGCTGGCCACCACTGGACCCTGTTTTCCTGGGCCAGGTGCAGTTTGGTCTTTCTCACAAAGAAAGGGGGACTGAATTGAGGAGCGTCTTCCAGGTGTTGCACTAGCTGCCCTGAATGCACTGGAGGGGCTGGGCTGGGGCTGGGGCTGGGGCAGAGGCAGCAGGAGCACTGTCAACCCACCATTCCTCAGGGCTCCAAAGTGCTGTGTTTGGCACTTCTACATACAATGGCTTGTTGAATTCTCATAATTCATGAGATGTAGGTAGTGCCATTGTCCCTGCCTCGCAAATTAAGAAAACGAGACAGGCACACAGCAAGTTTGCACCTGAGCCAGGATTTAGGTGTTCTGAGCCAGGACCCAGACTGCCTGTGGACTGATGGGATGAGGGGAAGCGGAGTACAAGAGGGCCGAGGAGGTGGGCTTGGGGGACCTGGTGCTCAGCCCTGGCACTCTGATGCTCAGATCTGTCGTCCCGTGTGTCTCTGCCTGGTGTGCCAGGCATGTGGCCCTGGGTCTGCGTGCATGCATATGTCTGTCCTCCAATGGACAGGGCGCTAGGATGCCTCTGAGGGCAAGCAGTGTCCTCAGTGGAGGATGGACGCAACACAGTAGAGATGCCACTCAAGGCCGTGCTAGGATGGAAGGGTGCTGCTTATTATCCCACTCTTTCCCCAAGGGTAGTCTCAGCTCCTAATGCGCAATGTCATCTGGTTTTCAGAAGAAATTGGGATTGATTGTGGCTTTTCCTGGGGTATCCCCATGATAACAAGTCACCAGTGGCTGTAGACATCCCACCCTGGCTGGTGAGGAAATGGGCTGGGCTTCTGCCTCTGGCTCTGCCCTTGGCTGTGACCTAGGCAGGTCATCTGGCCTCTCTGAGTACCTCCTCTATCACTAAGATTAACTGAGGTATGCAGCAGCCCTTAGGACTGTCAGGGGATCAAAGGAAACCCAGTCACATAACAGTGGGAATCATAGGACAGAAAAGAAAGAAAAAAGTTTAAATTGAGGAAATAAGAGCTACTTGGCTGTAGTAGGAATTGCTGCACTAGCACTATTTTTAGCATTGCTGAGATGATCTATGGGCCAGTTGCACAAGCAGAGTAAACAAAAGAAACACTTCAAGTTCTCCAGGGAAAAAAGGTCCTGTTTTTAAGAGTCTTAAAAGAGTTAGCAAACTTGTGTGGATTCTAAATGTATCCCCGAGCTCTCCTTCCTTCCCACATCCTGGGCTCTGCAAGCTTTGTGGAACTTCACAGCTTCCGGCTTGCACAGCCCCCGTGTTCAGCCTGGAGCAGGTCTGAAGGCCGCCCTGTCTGGGGAGGGGCAAGCCTGAGAGGCAGCAGGTGGAGAGGGGGTGCTTCCTGCCTGAGAAGCTACAGTGTGTCCTCACCAGTAGGAGAGGTCAGTAGGAGGAAGTACACACAGAGGAGTGGCAGGGACAAGGCCACAGGTTACCCAGGCCCCTGCCCTGACAGGACCACAGCAAAAGCCAGGCCACCTGCATTCACAGTTAGAATTTTTAAAAAAATAATTAAATAAATAAAATGTAAGCAGCCTTTAGACCATCGTTCCTGGTATAAATTATTTTCTGGCTATCCGGAGACAGTTTTCATCTCCAGATGTGGATTCAAAATTCTGGCAAAGCCAGGATGCTTGGGCAGAGGAAGATGATCTTGTTAAGCCCTTAGCATTCATGATCCCATGGAATCCCCATGACCATCCTGCTAGGAGGTGCAGAATCTCTGCAGACAGCGCACTCATGACTTGCCTAAGGTCATATAGCCAGTAAGTGGCAGAGCCCAGACTGGGAACCCATGTCCCTTGGGCCAGCCTCCATGCCGGAGTTTCTGCCCAGCCTATCAGAAGCAGCTGCTATTTTTTCCCTAGTGGGATGCCAGTGTTTGTATATACATCCACCACCTCAGCCCACAGCCCCCTCTGCCCCCAGCTGCCCTGGGTATTCAGTCAGGAGCTCGCTGTTTAACATTCCTGAATAGAGGAGCATTTTTCAGCATGAACTTCATTTCCCACCACAAGTTATTTTTCAGAGGTTTGTTCTTGGAATGTATCCCAGCAGCACCTCCCTCCCTCCCTCTCTCCCTGCCTCCCTCCCTCCGTCCCTGCCTCCCTCCCTCCCTCCCTGCCTCCCTGCCTCTCTGCCTCCCTCCCTCCCTCCCTCCTCTCCTCCCTCCCTCCCTGCCTCCCTCCCTCCCTGCTTCCCTGCCTCCCTCCCTCCGTTCCTCCCTTCCTTCCTTCCCTCCACCTCTCCTTCCCTCCTCTTTCTTTTCTTTTCTTTCTTTCTTTCTTTTTTTTTTGAGACAGGGCTTCACTGTGTCATCCAGGCTGAAGTGCAGTGGCTTGCGTGATCACAGCTCACTAAATCTCGACCTCCCATGCTCAAGTGATCCTGCTGCCCTAGCCTCCCAAGTAGCTGGGGCTGCAGATGTGCCCCACCACACCCAGCGCACATCTTTTTTTGAGGGACAGGTCTCATTATGTTGCCCAGGATGGTGTCAAACTCCTGGGCTCAAGCAATACTTCTTCCTTAGCCTCCCAAAGTGCTGGGATTACAGGCATGAGCCAGTGTGCCTGGCCCTAGCTGCATCTTTCTCAGGCCTGTGTGTGGCGGTCTCAGCTTGGGCAGAGCTTCCTGTTCTACATGCTTTGTCCTCGTAGGACACTGCTCTGGGCCCAGGTGCACTGTCTGCAGGGGGAGGTACACTTGCAAGCGGAGGTGTGGGACCTTCAGCAAGGCTTTGGAAAGTAGACTGAGCAGGTGGCCCACTCACATTCAGGAAAGCCTGGGCAAAGGCAGAGTCTGGGTGTGAGCAGGCAGGAAGAGGCTGAGGGAGGGCTGTGGCCACAAGAAGCTGCAGGACCTGGCAGGGGCAGGGACTACAAGCACCCCATCTTGGGACCAAAAGGAGGAGGGGGTTGCTGTTAGAAGTTTCCCTCTTGAGAGAAGACTTGGCAGTGCCACCACTACACTGTCCTCTCAGCCCACAGAGCACTGGGTGCTCACTCCACATGGGTATTGCCCGTGGAAGTCCAAGCAAGGGGCCCAGGTGGTACCTCCCATGGCCCAGAGATGGACAATGTTTGAGCTGTTCCAATAGAAGAGTGTGTCTTTATGGCAGGGCCATATGGATTCATTCTCATGGCAGCCAAGAGCCTGGGGCTACCCCAGACTCTCTAAGGGCCCTGGCTGACTTTTGAGCCCCAGAGTTAAAGGGCACAAGCAGTCCTGAGGGCTCCCATCCTTTGCTGTGCATGTCATTAGGGTTGCCCTCTGTGGCAGGAGCCTCAGTAGGTGTGGCTGGGACTTGTAGACAGCAGGAGGGGCTCTGAAGACCATAGCACCTGGTCGAAGTCCAGCATAATCCTCTGATCTTCCCTGTTTGCCTGCTCCCAGTGTGGACACTGCCCTGTCCTCAGAATTTAGTCCTGCTGTGACTTCCTGGTCTTGGCCCCTTTTACCTTAGTTTCTCCATTTCCAAAGGTGGGCCAGTTGGATGATATCAGTGGTTTTCCAGTCCTTTTTCCAAAAGAAGCCTTTCTGTCATGCCCAAATGGAAAACAGATGAAAGGGCAGCTGTTCCAGCAGAGGCAGGAAGGGCCAGGCCCCACCCGCTCAGGCTGCACCCCCCTGCAGCCTAGGCTCCTGAGCAGGCCGGGTGTGAGCCCAGCGGAGGCTGTGGGCTCTCCTCTGCCCTGCCACCAGCGGCCATCCCAGAGAAGTCAACCCTTAGGTCAGTGGCCAGCCTCCTTTCTGGGGTGGCTTCAGTCTGGAAATTTGCCCTCTTTCCCTTTCTCTTCCCTTTTTCCTCCCTCTGCTTTCCCCCAACCCCACACACAACTTTTTTCCTATTTGGCAAGTTTGACCAAGTTGCATCTGAGAGAGCTGCATTGGGATTGAAATCCAAAAGCAGAGCTTGGTGCCTGATTACCATGATGACAGGCTGCAGCTGACAAGTGCTCCTGGGGACCAAGAGGAACAGACCAAGGACTCCCTCACACATGGGCCTCTGTGATGGGTGTCCTATACCCACCTGTGAGCCCGGTGAGGATCACCCCAGCCAGCCTCAGGCTCCAATCCTGACCTGAGTGGCTTTGAGCAAGCTGGTCAGTGTTTGTCAGCCTCAGTTTCTTTATCTGCAAAGTGGGGTTGACCAGACCCACCTCTTAGAGTTATGGGGAGGGTCACGTGAGAACACTCTGGGAAAGCATGTTACTACCATGGGCCCCCAGGGCCTGCCCGGCACACAACACTGCCATTGTGTCCAGGGGACTTGTGATAGGGAAAAGGACCATGGATAAAGGCAGACATGCTACAGATAGGCTCACTGAGGTCAGTGGGGGAGAAGGTGAGATGGATCAGGGCCAATTGAGAAGGCCACATGAAGGAATCGTAGGAATTTGATTTATTCAAAATACAAGTTTTGAAATGCTGATCTCTAAATATGAGTAAATAGTCTAGAATTAAGTTAGGTCAGAGCAGGTAGAGCCTCATGGCTCTTCCCCGTGGACTCCACCCCATCACTGGGCACATCACTGGAGAACTATAGAGTTCTCCAAACTCCCTTGCTGCATAGGGATATTGAGTCATTTGTTTAGACTGCTCAGAGCCTGCTATTGGGAACCCCAGGCTGGAGAAAGCACACAGCAAGAACTGGCCACCATAGGTCCAGCTCTGAGCTTTATTTCCAGGGAGGAGCCTACCTGGCTATATTCAGAGGAGGGGTGGAGGAGCCTTGGACTCCAGGCCATGCCTCGGCTTAGGCCCAGACTCCATACAGCCCAGCCAGGCAGGCACATGAGGCCTCGGCCTGATGGGGAAGGAACCTGGCCCTGCCTCACGGGTGTGGGGCACCAAAAGAGGCTGCGTTGTGGAGGCCTTTGACATGGAAGGCTGGCTCCCAAGGGCTACAGATGAGGAGCTCCTCTCCTGGGAGACAGGAGATAACTGTGCTTCGGGAAACAGTGGTAAGAGGGAGGGCTCCAACTGCTGGGAGCCCACCGCCCTTAGCTTTACTTTTTGTGAGGCTGGTTATGAGCACCACTTCCAGCTCTTAGCAGGTGCCCTGAGTGTACTACTGTGTGAGTCTCAGGGCGCTGCAGGTACAGGAAAGAGGTGGCTGCCAGTCCTCAGCAAGTGTGCTTGGGAGCTCTCCTGGAGGCCTGCGCTGACCTTGCAGTTGGCCAGATTGTCAGACAGACTCAGTAGAAGGCATTCCAGGAGGGAAAACCAAGAGAGGCAGTTTGCAGCGTGAGGGTCCCTCATGGGGTGGAGGGAGGCAGCAGTGGGGAGGGCAGACTAGGCCAGTCCTGAAGGGCTGCCTGCCACCACCATCAGCAGGCCGGCTCTGTTCTAGGCAGTGAAACCACCTCGGGGTGTGGAGGCCCGAGTGCTGTGGCTGCTGGAGGGAGCTCTGAGAGCAGCGGACTGCATAGCTTAGAGTGCAAGCCTAGGACAGGACAGGGGGCTAGAGAGACCAAGAGAGTGCTGAGGTGGGATTGAGAAGACCCCAAACCCTGGTGGCTGAGAGAGTACGTTTTGGCCACAGATAATCAGAGGCACTTCTGGCTCCGCTGGTGGAAGAGTGCTGGGTTTGGAGTTAGACCTAGGCTAAATTCTGCTATTCTCCAGTGGGAGCATCTTGTCAGTGTGGGAGCTGGTCCGAACCAGTGACCCTCTTCCTGGCAGATGGACCCTGTCCCATTCCCTCACATAAGGGGTGGGAGGCCTTGGTGCCGTAATGGAGGGTGCTATGCTTGGGTCAAGTCTTTCTGGTCACATCTCAAATTTGTCCCTCTAGTTTGGGGGTGACTCTGTAGGGCAAGCATGGGCAAGTTTGTTCCCTTTCTGAGGCAACACAGGGGATTGAAGGATTTCTCCCTAGAGCTGTCATGAGGCAGTAAGAGGTAGTGGGATGTGAGCCTACTTGGGAACCCGAACGCCCTTGGAGGTACCAGCTCTGCCTAGGACCTCACCTCTGGCTCGTGGTCAGGCTAACCCATGCTACCAGAGTGCCTGTTCCCGCTACCTGTTCAGCTTGGCCCCCTCCCTGCACAAAGGGGGTCTATCTGACAAAGATCCTGTGCAGGCCGTCCAGGGAGGACACCTGGCACAGACCATGGCAACTGCCACCATTCATGGCCTGAAACCACAGTTTGGTTCCAAGGAATTCTCCCTGCCCCCATTGCTTCCCCATGACCTTCCCTACCTTGCAGCCTAGCCAGAGGAGCCAGATCCCCACAAGCCCACAAAAGCCATTTTTTAGGGACCAGGGGTCAGAAGATGGATCGACTGCCCTACTTTTCTCCATGTGAATGTCAGATGTGGCTTTTCTAAGATCCGGGCTCCCCTCCTGAGATGAAACAGAAGCAGCTCAGCAGTCTTCCAAAGAGTGGGCTATTCTAGAAGCCTGGGCAGCAAGGTGGGGGTGGGGCTCAGAGGGGCCCAGTATAAGCATCCTATTGCCTCAGGGAGGCTCTTGATTCCATCAGATCACACTTCAGGCCTCAGCTCACACCAAGAGGCCTTGGAGCCTGCTGGCCAGTCTTCTCTGCCCAATCTGTTCCCCAGATTCCCTGCAACCCCTCTCTCTCCACAAAGGTCCTCACCCAGATATGGTACCCACTGCCACACGCACCCCCTTTGCATGCACTGCCTACCCACCTCTTGCCCTCCTCATTCTCCTGTCTGTCCTAGGCCCCTGCCATCCTCACCTTCCTCCAGTGGCCCATCCTTCCTCCACTCAGTCCTCCAGGCTGTGGCTGGGTCACTGCCCATCCACAAGAGCCCTGGTATTGGTGACTAAGATCCCAGTTCTGCCTCCTGGTGATGGAGAACTGTGGGGACAGCCATCTTGGGGCATCTTTTCCCCTTCAGTAGGGCACTGGTAGCAACAACAGCCCTGTGCACACCAGGTGCCGCATGTGCCGTCCCCGTGGATGTGCACGTGATCCAGGCACAGCTGTCCACTGAGATGGAGGCAGCCCCAGACTGAGGGACAGGGATCCTTGAGTCGATCCCTGCTGTGGCTGACCCAGGAAGGTCATTTCTGTCTTCCTCATCTCTGCGTCCTCACTCATGGCTCACACAGAGCATTTGGACTCAGTGACATCTAAAGTTCAGCACAGGCTGGACAATTTCTGAGTAGCAGAAGCTCTAGCCTGCAAGAATCAAGTGGAGCTGTGGGCATCTGGACAGGATGGTTTTTGGGGGTCTGTGGGTCTAGGGAGGAGAAACGCACTTCACTCTGTCTCGACCGTTGGGGAAAGGAGAGGAAACTGGCTGACTCGGAACTGTAAGGCTCAGCAGTCTCTGCTGTCACACTCTAGGTAGAAAAATTGCCAGACACAGGTCACACAGAGCCAGTGTCCCACAGCAGGGAGGCAGGTAAGCAGCAGCAAGGCCTTGTGCCTCCAAACCAACTGGAAGCTTCAAAGCTCCCAGGCTGAGAACGGGGACTGTTAACACTGAGGAACATTCTTGCCACGGCAAGAAAGGAGCCAGGGCCAGGCACGGTGGCTCACGCCTGTAATCCCAGCACTTTGGGAGGCTGAGGCAGGTGGATCATTTGAGATTAGGAGTTTGAGACCAGCCTGGCTAACATGGTGAGACCCCATCTCTACTAAAAATATAAAAATTAGCTGGGCGTGGTGGTGTGTGCCTGTAATCCCAGCAACTTGGGCGGCTGAGGCAGGAGAATTGCTTGAACCCACGAGACAGAGGTTGCAGTGAGCCAAGATTGCACCACTGCACTCCAGCTTGGGCGACAGAGCAGAGAAAAAAAAAGAAAGGAGCCAGGAGAAATCTACAGGTCTGCACCCACTCAGGCCTTGGAAGGGATGGCTATAGGGTGCCACTGGGGCTATGAGGTCCCCTGGGCAGCTCAGCCGACAGCACCTTTGGCAGCAGCCTAGCTCTGGGATCTGGGCCTTGGATTTGCAGGACCAGAAGCCCACCACCACTGGGGTGGGGGGTGTGAAGGTACTTACTTGGACCAGCCACGTGAGCCAAAGGCCAAGCATATATTTCCAAGGAGGGTGTGACCACTTAAGCAGGCTCCTGCTGGCCTGTGGGTGAGCATGGCTGGGGTGGCCTGGTCTCCTGGGCTCCTTAGGTTGGCAGAGAGCTGCAACTTCATAGGCCTTCAGGAGTGGCCCTGAGGTGGGTAAGCAGTTCTCTCTCTGGGGCAGTGGTCAGAGGCTTGTGTCCTGGACATCCAGGTGCTTTGTGGGTAATTAGGTCCCACAGGGTTTTCCTGCATAGGGTGCTGACAGTGCCAGTAAGCGCAGCTCTTTGAGCCCAGAGAATCCTCAAGGATCAGGGCAGGCAGTCTCACCAGCCTCTGATTGTCATAGCACTATCACATGACGCTCCAGGGACCTCTTGGTATGTACACAAGCACTTCCTGGGGGGTTGGGGGGTGACAGGGTAAGGCTCAGCTTAGTGAGGAACCTCCATGCTCAGGGCCTGAGTGTTTTTACCTGTCAGACATGGCAGTATCCATCTGATGGGGCTTTGGAGAGGGCTGGCACAGATACAGGCACAGAGTGCAGGACATCGTGTGGTGCTGGGAGGGGGACCAAGGAAGCTGGAACCCACAAGGCCTCGGAGCCCAGCTGGGAGCAACATTCTCCCAGGGAAGTCTCCCCAGAGGCTTTACTCAGCAGAGGCTTAGCACAGAAGCCCTGAGCTCCCCTCTTCCACCACAGGACTCCCTCCTGCTGTGATAGCCAGGCACTGGGACCCCAAGCTGCCCAGCCCATTCTGAGCCTCAGTGTGTTCATCTGTGCTGGTAGGTGGAGTGGTGCCTGCAGATCCCTTCTTTGGCAATGTGTCTGAGAGAGCACCTATCCACTCTACTCTTTCTGTGGGAAGGCATGCGCGCTGGGGAGAGCTAGGTGCTGCCCGTGATGGACCTGGAGGCCTCTGGGATGCAGGGGACTAGTTTCCAGAGAGCCACACACTCACCACAGACAACACACAGTTTCTTCCTGGCCTGGGTGTGATGAGCAGATGTTCTCAGCTTCCTTTGGTCCAACTTGATCTTACAGGAAGTAGATAAGGTATGAAGTAAGGTCATGAGCTGTGCAAGGTGTGAGTGTCGCTTTGGTCCTCGTGTCTGCTACAGCCCTGTGGACAGCCGGGAAGAGTGGCCCAACTAGCTCTGGAGCTAGTCGGGCCTTGGGGACAGGTCCCAGCCATAGTGGCCTTATTGCTGTGTGACTGCACCAGTGTCCAGTGTTTCTGAACCTGTCCCTATGTGTGTCTGTCAAATGACTATATGAATGTAGGTAGATGGCAAGGGGCTGTTGTGGCTTGAGCAACATGCAGATTTAGAACTCCTTGCTTAAGACCCTGACCATGGTGAGGAGCCCCTTGTCCTCACACAGCCTTGAGGTAGCTTGTGCTCATTGTGACTCCCCTGCAAGTGAATGATCTCTAGGTAACCCAGCCTCCTTCTTCTGTGTCCCCAGCAGCAAGTCCAGTGCCTGGCAGGGAGCAGTATCCCTCGAGGAGATCCTGAGGCACTGCCTCTTGAGTTCCTCCTGGAGGGAAGGAAGGAGGGCAGAGAGTGTGACATTACCCAGGCTGAAGGGGCAGGTTGGACCTGGGGCTGATTTGGACTAGGGGTACCTGGAAGGGGCACAGAGTAAGCCTTGGACCGCTGGCTCCAGGAACCAGCCCAGGGGTAGGCCAGGTGGAAACCAGCCAGCTCAGAGAGGAGATGTCACTAGGACAGGTGTCACCAGGATAGGGGCTAAATGGGTCTGAGGCCCCTGGGTGTCTGTGGAGGGAGGAACGGCGCTATGTGATAAGAGAGAAGCTCGCTATGTGATAAGAGAGAAGCTCATGGGGGCAAAGGGTTGGGGGTGGGTAAGCCAGGGCTTGGGGCAGCATCTCTCTCACCTAGCCCGTGCAGGTTGGCCCATCCCTGCCTTTCCTTGGCCTCCCCTCAGCTGGAGTGGGAGGAGCAGCCAGGAGTTGGTAGACTGTCCCAGTGCAGCCTACCTTCATGGGAAATCAGGAAGATGCTGTGTGCACACTGGAGCTGTGAGTACCAGGGGCATTGGCCAGACGCTGTGAGTGAGGCCCTCCCCTCCTGAGCCTGTTTCTCATCTGTAGCAGGGTACAGTACCCGCTTCCAGGCCGGAGAGCGACCCTCCCTGAGCTCTGCAAAGCTGCTCATGTCCTGGGGATGGGGTACTGTTGCTGTTCTTGGAATACTGAAACTGGGGGAAGGGGTGTCCTGAGAGCTGCCTACTACTCCCAACCCTACCCCTCAAACCCAGTGCTTTCTCTGTGGGCCTCACAGCCTAGCTGGAAGATGAGGCCCCTTCCAGCTGTAAAACCCACTTACCATGGCATCTCTTTTTTGCCCTCCGCCCTGAGGACATTACTCCAGCGGTCTTCACTGCAGCCCCCCTGCCCAACTGTAACAGCAAGGACAGCTCGGCTGTGGCCAGTCGTTTCCCCCACACACCTACACTTCTGCCTGCCACAGGGCACTACTGGCACAACTCCAGGGGGCGCCATTCACATAGGCACCGCCTGCAGAGGGGGGATATAACCCTCACACACAGTTGGCCAATGCCATCCCGGCCTGCCGCACTCCTGGCCACCCCTACACCATGCTCTCTGGGGCCCCACAGCTTCCTGCAGTGAGAGCTGCACCCACTTTGCCCGGCAGCGGTCCACAGCCCGCCACCAGCGGCCAGTCCAGGGAACCGGAGAGGATTGGCCGGCAAAAGTCAGTTGCGCTCCTGGGCCCGCTTCCAGTAGAGTGCCGGCGCCCCGTCCGGCCGCGCCTGCCCCGCCCCGGCCCGCCGCGAGCGAGAGAGCGAACGAGCCTCCGCGGCCATGGCCCGGCGCTCGCCCTAGCTCCACTGCACAGATGCCACGGCGGAGCCGGCGGGTAGGAACTTGGCGGGGGCGGGGGCCGGGACTGGGGCCGGGACTGGGGCCGGGGCTGGGGCTGCGCAACCGCTTCGCCTCCGCTGCCCGTCTGGGTCTCCACTTTGCTGGCGCTTTTGCTCAATCGTCCCCTGGTGGGCTCTGGCGGCCGCCCCCCGCCTCGGCGCACCAGGCGCAGCAGGAAGCCCGTGGGCTGTGGTTTCCCCGGCGCCCCCGCGGAGGAAATCGGCCGGCGGCGGGGTGCTGCGCCCCCATGCCCAGGGCGGGCTGGCACCCGGTTCAGCGTCAGGTGGGCGGCCAAGCCGGCTTGGGCGGCGGCGCGCGGGGGCGGCAGGCGCTGGTGAAGCCCGCACACGCGCCAGCGCATCCAGCCCTACCAAGCCCCGGGCTGGGAGCTGGCTCGTGGGGGCGTGCGCTGCGCGAAAGCGAAAGCCGCCCGCCAGAGCAACTTTGCGGCGGAAGGCGCCGACGAGGAGCTGTGCCGTGCCGCTCTTGGGGATGGTGAGCTGGCCGCCCGGCCGGGTGGGCAGCGCGTCCGGGCGCGGTGCTTCGCTAGCTATAAATAGGTGCTGTGCGGGGACAGGAAGATGGTTCCAGCCCTTTACAAGCACCGGCCCGTTATGTGCGCTGGGCTAGGACCTTGCCCCGCAGCGGAGTGGGAGGAGTGAGGTTAGGGGTAACGGTTGCATGGGATGGGGGGTGGGCACATAGAGCCTACAGCAGAGTTGGCGGCGGGGCTCTCCCATGCACTTGGTTGTTTGTCGTTTCTGCTTTTCCCGGGAGGGGGAAGGGAGGAACAGCCCGGCAGTTCTGGGGACCTTAGCGCTCCACGTCTTATTTGGCAGGAGAGGCTGGAAACGAGCGGGCGCCAGCTGCAGGCAAATTGCAGGCTTTCCCAGCCCTTGTCTGCAGAGAGAATCATTACCTGTGGATGGCGCGGGGAATCCCTTGCCCTCAGTAGCCCCGCCTGGAGAGACAGGACCGCGTTGTGGGGGGTGGGGTGTAGGAGTGGGCGGAGGCCAGGGCGCCCCTGGTGGCCTGTGTACAACCCTGCGGCCAGAGAGGCCCGCCCTGATAGGTTTGTGGTAGAAGCTGCAGGAACTTCCTGTCCCTAGGGGTGTTCAACCTGGCCTGCTTCTGGGGCCCCTTTCCTCCCAACCTTAGGGGAGGAACAGGACTGCGGGAGGGGCCAGACCCTCAGCTCCTCAGGGCATCAGGAAGATAGGGAGCTGCTGGTCTGGAAACTCAGTCCTGCCTCTAAAGGCTTCGGGACTCCTGAGTAGGGAGGCTCCAGAAGGGGCAATCTGGGCCAGGGCTCGGAGGGGTGCTGCCCAGCCGGCCTGGCTCTGTCTGTGATGCTCATCTTCCTTAGGGACAAGCCGGGTAGAGTGCAAAGAGCATGATAGGCTTAGTTCAGCTGTAGTCTTGGCTCCCTGCAGGCTGGCTGCCCTGGAACAAGTCTCTCCCCCAGCAAGGTGTAAGTGAAATCATGTGTTAAAGGAGCTGGGCAGGCAGCCTGTGAAGACGGTTGGCCCCAGGAGATGAAGTTTGCCCTACACGCCCCACGCCATCCCCTCCTTTTCCTCCAAGCTGTTTCGCCGCTTTGGTGACTTGTGTGGGTTTGTGGGTAACAGGGGTCTCCCCAGGACTGTAGAGGATTTTGGTATTTTCCCCACAGCTGCTCCTGACCTCAGGGCCAGATTCCATCCCCTTCCTGGCTCCGCTTGAGGTGCTTAAGAATAGGCTGGAACCAGGAGGAAGTTTTTATGCTTTTCTGGGGGGGCGGGGAGGCCCCTAATCTCCTCTCCCAGCAGCCCTCTCTGCTGAGAGGCTCCATCGCTCTCTAGCTGCAGCCACCCACTCAGCAGCTGGCCCTCAGCTCAATGCAGTCTGCTCCTACACCCTGTGCCCACTGCTCTTGGGAATGGGATGCCAACAGGCTCCCCGCCCTCGCCTGTTCCGAGCACTGAGTCACCACGACACCCGTGCCACGGGGGATGCTGGAGGAATCCCTCCACCAGGGGAACGGGCTCTCCCTTGGTTGCTCACAGTGTCGTGTTTTCTGTGAACAGAGCTGGCAGAGCTGAGCTCCTCCAGGAAGCCTTGCCCACCCATCTTACCACGGGCATACAGGGCTGGCTTGGGGCTAGGAGGGCCCAGGAAGACAGAACACTCACCCACTGTGTCAGCTCAGGCACCCAGGACCTGCTTCCTGGAGACCAGCCTGCTGCTGCGTGCCCACTCTCGTGGTCCCCTCTGGGTGATCTATCTTGAAGAGAGGGAGAAAAGCTTTGTGGAGAAGTATGTTCAGCCCAGCATTCTTCATCAGAATCCTTAAGTCCCAGAGCCAGATGCTCACCAGTAGCCCACTTCACTGTGCAGTGAAGGGCTCTGTGGTCATTTTGAATGATGTTTTTGGTGATGTGGGAAAATACATGTACTGTATTTGCTGAGTTAAAAGTCAGGATTAAAATTACCCACTTTCCGCTCAGGACGCTGCGGGTGATGGGGAAGACTCTGAGGGAGTCACTGCTATACCCCTGACTCGGCTGCCCATTTCCTCATCTGCTTGGCCGACGCTTCTTCTCTGGCACCAGCTGCATCCTGGTTTTTTTCTGGCTTTCTTCAAAAACCCCCCACATCCCTTGCTCTCCTAGCCCATTACTTCTTGTTCCAGCTTCTCTCCTGTCCCCTCACCCTGGATCACTGGGAAGTTGGGCTTCCCCAGCATCCTTGAAAGGGATTTATCTGTGGCATAAACTCTCCAATGCCTACTCAGGGGTAGCCTGGATGTGGCGCTAGGAACATGAGGGAGGACAAGACACTTTTCCAGCCCTCTTGGGAATCAGAGTCACCTTAGGGCTACACCAAGGGCAAAGGGATGTGGAGGCCAGGATTTGTGGGTTTTACCTGGAATACTACTTTTCTGGGCAGTCTGCAGGCAGGACCCAGGGGCCCCTGTCTGTCCTGACTCTCTCTGCCTGTGGGCTTCTCTTCCCCCCAGGGGCTTCAGGAGTTCTCTGAGATTTCATCTTGGCTCACAGATCTTGAGTCTCCCAGGAGGCCAGGCTCTGCTCAAAGGCCTTGAGGTATAGGTGTGAGCCAGAGAGATGCAGCCCTCCTGCCTGCACCACCCATCTGCTCCACCCTGGGGAGCCCAGAGTCCAGGGGACTGTGGCAGGGCAGCTATTCCCGTTCAAGACTCAGGCCCTTGAAACTGGCTGCTGACGTCAGAAGCTGGGGGCAACCCTGCAGGCAGTGCCTGACCAGGCCGGGCCAAGCCCAAGAAGGCCCCTAGCAGACTCAGGCTAGTTTGGATTGGACAACCTGGGTGAGCTGGAGAGGAAAGAGACTGCTGTGTGAAGTAGATGACCACCTGCCCAGCTGCCTGCTTGCTCCCTTGTCAGGCCAGGTGCCCTGGGTCTCCCAGGTGGCTCCTGGCACCTCATGGCCTGTTCCTTCCTCAGCACCCCTGTGCAGCGCCCAGGCAGCTCCTTCACAGCCATTCTGTCTACTCCCAAGTATGGTTCCTCCCTCTTCTGCCCTCTTGCTTGAGCCTCACGTGGCATCCCAGCTGGGCATGGCCCTGGGAATGACAGAATGGGGCAGGGGGTTGCATCTGAATCCTGTGGGTGTGGCAGCAGGGGACAGCTGGAAAAGGCCAGCAGAGAGCTTGCTTAGAGGCCATTTCCTGCAACATTGCCCAAGGGACTTAATTATGACACCCTGAGGCACCCATGGTGCTGGTGGAAGACACTGGCCACCTGCCAGCCACCCCGTCCACAGGCAGGCATTCCAGTGGCAGCCTGCCCCTGCAATGGGCCTTTGCAAGTCTTAAGAGGCACCTTTTCAAAACCGAGGTGAACTGGCATCACTGCATTCTCCATGCTTCCATTTCTACATCTGTAAAACAGGGAGGCTGCCAATTTCTTGTTCCTCTGAGTGTTAAGCAGGGGTGTAGGAAGAGACTTGAGGTGGGCGAGTCTGGCCCCTGGGTCCTGTCCCACTTTGCATCACTAGGCAGCCTTGGCAGGTCACCTGAACTCAGTTTCCCTCTCTGGAAAATGAGGGGTGAGTTGATTACATACTCAGGTTGTCCCTCCCAGTGTAGACATAGGATGAATCTCTATGTCCCTACTCAGCCCACACCTGACCCTCGTCCACTCTGTGACAAGCTCGTGCCTTGGGTCTGAGTACTGTTCTGACTGGCCTGCTCCTCTTGCTTACCCTTCTTTCTTGCCTTGGAATTTCCAGGGGCACTTGATTTCCTGAAGAGCCTTTGCCTGTGCCCTAGAAGTGGAGGAAGCTCTAGAAGGAGTCATGACTGAAAGGTGGGGTCCGCCAAGGTGACAGATAGAGCTGGGAACCCTCAGCTCAGGGAGCCTCAGAACAGCCTTGGGCTGTGCCACTAAAAATGGCCCAAGCAGTGACCCAGCAGCCAGCAGTGGGGTTTACAATGAGAATCAGAACAGTGTTTGAATTTGTGGCATCAGGCTGTCGAGCCCCGGGTTGGCCCTGGCTGAGTGAAAGGCTGTGTCTGGCAGAAAAGAGAGCCCCTGCCCCTCCAGGAGTAAGCTCCCCTGAGACCACAGTGTGCTGGAGACAGCATGAGCCATGAGCCATGGGCCTGGGCATGGCCTTGGCCTGTTGGCCGGGAATAGCAGTGTTCTATAACTTCAGGGACACTTGTCACCTCGAAGTGGTGCCACCTGCCAAGACTGCACAGCCCTCCTGCCCCCAGGCACTTCACCCTGCTTCCCAGCCCCCTCATAAATGGACAGGGCAAGAGCACAGGCTGGCCCGGCAGCATCCTACCACCTCCACTTAACCAGCTCTCAGTTCCCCCAGGAAAGTCTTCGTGGGTTCCCAAATCATAGCAGTCATGCCCTCCCTCTGTGGACCCCTAGGCTCACTCTACCATGGGACTCAGTGTTTGAGGCTCTGTTTCCTCAAGAGCAGAGGGAAGACCACCAAAGTCTTAAGGCTGTAGGCAGGGTTTGGTAACTTGTATCAGGCACTCAGCTTAGAGTCTGGGGCTTCATAAATTATTCAGATTGTTAAAATCTCTCTCTGTGACCTCATCTGCCAGTGAGGAGCCTAGAGCCGTTCTGAAGGGTTGGGGGATTGACTGAGATGCCTGGAAAGAGATGCTTGGCATGGAGGGGAAGCCTCAAGCACAATCTCAGTGTCTTTAAGTCCTCTGAGGCTATTGGTGTGCACCCCCAGCTGCCCTCAACTCTATAAGCAAGCATTATCCCAGCCACTGTGGCCATCAGGGAACCCAGCCCTGGTGACACCAGGGCCCAGGAATCAAGTGGGGCAAATCTGAAGACAGCAAGTGTGCCTGTGGAACTGGGAGAGGCGAGGCAAGGGGTACGGCCAGAGCAGCGGGACCCAGGGCTGAGGGAGAACTAGGAGAGGGCCAGAGGAGACCCTCCTCGCGGCGACCCTGCTTCTCTCAGCTGCTACTTATGGCCCCTGCCCATCTATGATCCTGCCTCTGCCTTTCCCTCAGATGCCGTGGGGGTGTTGGCCTGGTGCTGGCTCCCTCCACCTGCCCTCAGCCAGGCCTCTTGGTCACTGCTGCCTATGCCCTTCTTTTCTGGCCCTGACTTAGCTTTATCCAAGCTCACCCCTGGCACATTCTCCACACCCTCCCTGAGGCCCGAACGTGAGTCCCTGGGCTGAATGCAGTGGGGCTTCTGCTGTGGCAGTTGGAACCTGGCCATGCCCCTTCCTCCTGTGTGGGCCGTGGTGAGGAAAACCAGGTGAAGCAGGGGCTGTCCCTTGTACCTGTCCCACTCCAGGAGACCCTCCTCAGCACCTTGGTTCTCTAGGAGCTTCATAGCCCTCCACAGGCCCGGTGTTAGAGGGACAGTGGAGGGAGAGGGCTGCTGTGGCTACTGCCCCTCTGTGGGGAACCGCTGTGTCCAGGTCATCCTGGGGCTGCCAGTATCATCCTTCTCATGGGTCTCTTGCTGCAAACACAGAAGCCCAGCTCCACCTGGTGTAGGCAGAAAGCCAGTTGGCTTGCTACCACCCTGCTGGCTCGTGACTCTGCCTGGTGGCTTCACTCTTCAGACCAGCTTTCTCTGGAGGCCAGCCTCATGGCCATAGGAAGTCCCCTCACCGTTCGGGAGGTATGTCCATCTGCACACCGCCCCAGGCCACAGAGAAGAGGGGTTATTCCTAAAGGCTCTCATTAGGAGGGGAAGCCTGACTGGGATCCTGGGGCCCATCTGCTGGCTGAATTCCCATGGCTGGTGGTGGGTCTTAGGCCTGGCCGAGCAGGCAAGGGGGCCAATCCTGGGGGCAGGGAAAGGACAAGCCCACAACAGAAGGGGCTTCTGGGAATAGTGCCCAGTGCAAGGTAAATAAACATAGGAGCCCCCATACTGGGGCATGTGAATGAAGATACAGTAAAGAGATGAACAAGGGCACACTAGCTGGCCTGACCCTGCCCGGGAAACGTGCCCTTCAGCACACTGTTACCAGAAAAAGGCCAAGCAAGATGCCAGAATGAAACCAGAGCACATGCAAATGTAAAATGCTGCCTTTCAAGCCTCTCAGGGCTGGCTGGGGAAGTTTTGAGAGTCACAATAGCATGGGGGTGGCCAAGCGGGCGGCGGTGTCTATGGTTCCCTTCTGATTTTCCATGGACTCACTGCCTGATTTGTTTGGTCTTCCATCCTTTCTGAAATCAGCAGTGTTATGTTACAAAAGGAAACGGAAAGGAGATAGGGATCCAAACTGTGCTGGTGTGTGTGATGCAAACTAGACCCGTCCTCACGGGTGTGTCTGTTGGTGTCTATGTGCCCTGGGAGGTGCAGGGATGGGAGGGTCTTCAGCGGGACGTACTGCTGCAGCACAGCGGATGGAGACCCAGGAGACAGTGTCTGCCCATTCTGGTGCCTACTGTAGATAGACCCTGTCTGTTGGAAAGCAGGTGTCTTTTCATAAGCTGCTTCAGGATCCACATCTGCATGGTAGGAAGATGCAGCATTGATGTTTGCTGCCCTGGATGTGGATAGCCTCAGTACCCTGGTTTTGTCCTTTTCAGGCACTGCCAGGAAGTAGAAGGTGGCTGCTGGCCTCCACATAGTCCCCCAGCCTGCAGGTGGACCCTCCATGTCACAACAGGAGCCAGTGTAGAGGCCACAGGGTCTCAAGGCTGCGAGTTTTAAACTCCTCTCAGGCCTTAACAGCTCAGGGCTGGAGGTGCCCTGGCTTTCCTCCCAGGGCTGCTAGAGCAGGGTGGGCCCACACCTGTGTACAGATACTGTGGATAATCAGCAAGGACCCACAGGGACAGGGCCCTGAGAGGGGTACCACCTAGACATCCTGCAGTGGTCCCTGTAGCTGGGGGCCCAAGTCCCCAGAATCCTATACTGCAGCATGATGTGGGCCAGGCCCCATGCCAAGGAGAAAGCAATGTCACTCATAACCTTGGTCCATTCTGGGCAGCAGTTTCTTCAGCGTGTTGGCTGCAGGGACCCATCTAGGAGCCAGTTCACTTATTCCAGGCCCCTGAGGTCCCACCCCAGAGATGGGCCTCCTTAATGCCTGTTTCCTCATCACTCACTCCCTGCTTTCCCCACACCCTGCCTGGACCCCGAGTAGGTGTCAGATGCCATGCTGGTCACTAGGACACTGCAGGGAACCAGGCCCTGGAGCTAGTGATAGGTAGGGGGTGCCCAGTGCTGCAGCAGGTAAAGCAAGGACCAAGGGAGATAATGGGGGGTGCTCCCCAAAGTCAACTTTGCCCTGGTTAAGCCTTCAAAGAGGAGTGGGGTAGGATGGCAAGAAGTGGGAAGAGGGAGGGGGACCCCAGGCATCCCAGGAGCTGCAGATGATTCTCTGGGCACTGCTGGAGAGAGTGGGTGAGGGCAGAGCCTAGCCAGAGCTTCCCTGCAGCCTGCTTTGACTCAGCAGTTCCACCTCTAACAAATGGTCTGGTGGCTGGGTAAGCACCTGTGCAGGGAGGTGTACACACTGGGCCTCTCACTGTCTGTCCTCACGTTTGATCAGGCCCCACCTGAGTGCATCCCATAGGGGACAGGTCCAGCAAACATATGAGATGCAGCCATACAAAAGAGGAGGCTGCAGAGCAGTGGGTCTGTCTGTCATTTGCTGCCACTCATGAGAAGGAAGGGGGTGGGGATACACTTCTGTCTCCTTGGGACAGTGAGAGGGGTCCAAGAAGCCCCTGGCTGGGCAGTGTCCCCTTTGGCACTGTGGCAGTTTCCAGGGGATACCAGACAGGGTGTCCCCGAGGCTCCTGCCACAACCACCCCCCTCACACACCTGTGCCATCCATCCCACAGGGCATCTGGCGGATCCCCGTGGACGAGATTGACCGGCCGGGCAGCTTTGCCTGGCACATGAACCGCTCCATCGTGCTGCTGCTCAAGGTGCTGGCCCAGCTGCGGGACCACAGCACCCTGCTGAAGGTGTCCTCCATGCTTCAGCGGACCCCAGACCAGGGCAAGTGAGTGCAGCCACCCTGGACACAGCCTGGCATGCTGTGTGGGTCAGGGGCACACACACCCCAGGAAGCCTCTCCACTGCTCTGGCCCAGCTGTGAGGACCACTGGCTGGGAGCCTGGACCAGCTCTTCATTCTCCTTGGGGGCCTCTCTGTCCCAGTGTCTAGAACCTAAACAACACTTCCCACCCCCAGGCACCCTAGGGCAGACACAGCCTGTCCCCACTGATCCTGGTTCCACGTTGAGACTCTGGACTACCCAGCCTTTCCTTTCCTCCTGCTTCCCCCAACTCAGGGCTCTCGGGGTGCTGTCAGGTTGTAGGGAAAACAGATGTTCAGAAGATAGCTGTGGTTCCCCAGACAAAGGCCAGTAACAGTGGGGTGAGCGACAGGGGTGCCTGGGCCTCAGTGGTAAACAGGGAGCTCTCCGCCAGAAAGGGCAGGACAGATAACAGAGCCATCTGTTACAGCTGCCATTTACAGGGGGTGTTGGGGGGATCCTGGAAGAGACGCAGCTCAGATGTAGATGGGCCTGGCCTGGAGGCCTCACTCCGTCAGCTGGACTGGGCCTCCTCCCATGCCTGCACTGTCTCACCCTCTGGCTGTCTCACTCACCTACCACTTGCCAGGCGATGTGCCAGGAGTTCAGGGGCCTCCAGCTGGGGCCTGGGGCACCCTGGAGCCAGACCTGAGGGAGCAGCTATAGGCTGCTGAGCACAGCACACAGGGTGGGCCCACTGCAGAGGGCCTAAGGGCAACAGGCTGGTGCCGGGTCAGAGGCCTACTGGCTCTGGATAGAGGGAGCTCAGGGGAAGCTTCTAGGGGAGCAGCCCCAAACAGGTGGTTAGGTGGAACACTGAGGAACAAACAGGCATCCTCAAGGCAGGGATGGGCAGTGGCCACCATCCAGCAGTGCCATGTGGTGTCAGATGCCCTCCTGTCCTCTCTGACTACCCCTGTATGACCGCAGGAAGTATCTGCGAGATGCTGACCGCCAGGTCCTGGCGCAGCGGGCCTTCATCCTCACTGTGAAGGTGCTCGAAGACACGCTGAGCGAGCTCGCAGAGGTATGCCACCTGTGTCCTCCTCTCCTCCACGGCCCATGAACACGCTTCCAAGCCCTTCCCAGGTGGTGGGCCCGATCCCTCTATTTGCATACCCTTAGGCAGGATGTGCCTAAGGGTCCCCATCTGTGAGGTAGCACCCATCCTGTCTTCCTAGGCAGGGAAGGTCAGCCGTGGTAATGAATGCACATGAATTCAGTGAGTCATGGATGCACTTGGTGATTAGTAAGAGCCATAGTGACTCCATGAAACTGAGCTCCCCAAGGGCTGCACCACCCAGGGCGGGGTCCCAAGCCCTCTCCCTGGCAGGCTGACCAAGGCCTATGAGAACACCATGTGTGTGCATCGTCCCTTTTCAGCCTTGAGGCAGGTGCAGCAGTACCTCCTTCTCACAGCTGAGCACCTGGAGGAGGCCAGGGAGGTTAAGCAGCCAGCCTACGAGGTGGGGCTGTTGGGAGTTGAGCCAGGACTGCCTCCAAAGCTTATGCCTGGTAGGGCTGGCTGTGGCTTGGTAGAGGGCATCAACTTGAGGCTGTTGGGGAGGAGTCCTTGCCAGCCCCCAACCCCAGGCCTCGTGCATTAAGGGCCAGGAAGACTTGGCTCTGCAGCAAACATGCTTGGTGGCCCTGGGCAGGTCCCCTCCCATAAAATGCCCAGAGCTGCCCGGAGTTCACGTCATGGAGTCAAAGGGGAGCTGGGCAATGCTGCCCCAGCTCAGCCCAGGCCTGTTATTCAGGAGCAGTGCCACCTCCAGAGTCCCGTCAGCCCCTTGCTACCTGGAAGAGTGTGGTGGGGTAGCCAGAGGTGCAGAGGAGGGAAGGCCTTTCTCAGGCAGGTCTCTGGGCCCAGTGTCCTTCTCTGATAACTGAAACACAGCCCTGGCCAGCTGGCAGATGTCCGGAGCCACACAGATGTCAGGTGGGAGAGGCCCAGGTTGGGCTCACCAGCCCCCAGAGGTGACTCATTGCAGTGGAGACACCAGCGACACAGCTTCTTACCTTTGGTTTCTTTGTAGGGGTCAGAACGCCCAGGGCCCAAGGTCTGTGGCCTCCCCGGAGCCAGGATGACCACCGATGTCTCACACAAGGCCAGTCCTGAGGATGGCCAGGAGGGCCTCCCCCAGCCGAAGAAGCCCCCTCTGGCTGATGGCTCAGGGCCAGGGCCCGAGCCAGGAGGCAAAGTGGGCCTCCTCAACCACCGGCCTGTGGCCATGGATGCAGGAGACAGTGCAGACCAAAGCGGGGAGCGGAAGGATAAAGAGAGCCCACGGGCAGGGCCCACTGAGCCCATGGACACGAGTGAGGCCACTGTTTGCCACTCAGACTTGGAGCGGACACCACCCCTGCTGCCAGGTCGCCCCGCAAGGGACCGGGGCCCCGAGAGCCGGCCCACTGAGCTGTCCCTGGAGGAGCTGAGCATCAGTGCCCGGCAGCAGCCCACCCCGCTCACCCCAGCCCAGCCAGCCCCCGCCCCCGCCCCCGCCACCACCACAGGGACCAGGGCAGGGGGCCACCCGGAGGAGCCGCTCTCCCGGCTCAGCCGCAAGAGGAAGCTCCTGGAGGACACAGAGTCAGGCAAGACACTTCTGTTGGATGCCTACCGTGTGTGGCAGCAGGGCCAGAAGGGTGTGGCCTATGACCTGGGCCGTGTGGAGAGGATCATGTCGGAGACCTACATGCTCATCAAGCAGGTGGGTGGCAGGCAGAGGCCTGGGGGCACTAGTCTGCTGGCAGCATCCCCACTCTTGCCTTTCTATCCTCAAGGAGGGTCTCCCAGGCCTGCCCTTGGGGCGGGTTTTAGGTGTTGTTCCCACACCATCCCTGCTGTTCACTTTCTGCAATGAGCTTTAAAAAGTCAATATTCAACCTGGAAGGAAGTGAGAGCCCGTCACAGAAACCTTATCACAACCAGCGCGGGGAGTCTGGACCGCTGCTCCCACCGCTGCGCTGGGCCTCTGGGTACATCTTAGGGCATTTCCTTCAAGACTTCTGTGGCTGTCATCTAAAGATGGCTGCAGTGACCAGAGATCCCCTTGTCATTTTGCCTTCTTTTTTTAAACATTTTATTTTAATGTATCAAGCACTTTCCTTTTTCTCCATTTAAAATTATTCCCATAGGAAGAATCTCCAAAACTTTAGTGACTGGTTCAGATGGGATGACCATCCCTGACATACAGTATTCCCTCTAATCATGTCAGTTTGCAATGCATCCTACCCCCAACTGCCCCATATCATATGGACCTTGGGCACTGAATCCCTAGACACACTTGACACAGCATGGGGCTATCACCATCAGGCCTGGGATTCCGAAAGGCCTCTCCCACTCTAATCATGGCCCTCCATCCTGCCCACTTAAAGGGCAGGTTCTAGCTCAGAAGACTCCCCTCTTCCCCTAGCAACTGAGCCTCAGCTGAATTTGAAGGCTTGGTTGGAGCCCTTGAGTCTGCCTGCCAGCCTCAGCTTGTGAGGATGTAAGTAACTCAGCCATAGAAATGAACTTGGTATAGCCAGATGGGCTCAGAGGAACAGCTGGGTCCAATTCTGGCACCAGTACCTGGTGGTGTGGCACCTGAGCAGGCACCCCCACCTGGGAGATGGATGGGCATCTGCCCCTGCTACCCACGAAGAGCTGGGACGTAGGGGTCTAGATGCGGACAGCAGTGGGGACGGCTGGCTATTCAGCAGAGTCTGGGGTGTTGGGGGGCACCCGAGCCACAGGGCATGCCCCCTACCTAGGCTGGTCTGTGCTACATACACAGACAGGGCTGGGGGAGGCTAACCACAATGGCCTGCGCCCCCTGACTTCCAGCATCTCCCTGTTAAGGTGGATGAGGAGGCTGCGCTGGAGCAGGCTGTGAAGTTCTGCCAGGTCCATCTTGGGGCTGCCGCCCAGAGACAGGTAAGCCCAATTTAGCCTGTGCCAGCCTCATCTTGCGGAGCCTGCTCCATATCAAGGCCCTAGGATGCAGGCTGAGAAGCAGATCCACTCTTGGGACTGTTCTTGTGGTCAGCTTGGGCTGAGGGGAGATGAGCAGGGGGCAGCTGAGCCTCCAGCACGTGGCCATAGTGGGCAGGAACTTGACGGCCCAGACCCCAGTTCAGACATGCTGAGGGGTCCCCTCACCTCAGCCACCTTTTCTGTAACAAGGAGGATGGCCCCTAGCCAGCTGACCTCAACTGGGAAGGTCATTCCGTTTGGAACAGAAGTAGAAGCAGCAATGTTAGAGCCAGTCTGGTTAGGAGCCAGGTGGCAGGGGAAGGTGGAGATGCAGCCTATACAGGGACTGCCCCCCGCCCCACCGCCCCAGGGGAGGACTTGTAGGGAGCAAGGTGTCCTAAGACAGGGTAGGCAGGAGTCCTGGAGTTTATTAAGCAGGGAGGAAGCAAGGCAGCAACACTCCTGAGTAGGGAAGATGGGGTTAGTGCAAGGTCCAGGCCAGGGCTGGGGAGGGGGGGGCGGGGTCCAAGATATGGCAGGGAGTAGGGAGTTGGGGAGGCCCCTCCTGGGAGGACCCCAAGCTAGAGGTGGGAGGGCTGGGATCAGAATTCAACAAGAGGATGTGGCAGGGAGGGGCAGACATGGCAGGCAGAGAGAGCAGGTGTGCCCTGTCTAAAACATAAGCCTCCAAGCCAGAGGGTAGGTGGCATGCCATTTGAGTAGGTGCAGTCTTTTGTCCCCAGGGGTGTCCCGATGCCCCCGGTAGCCTCGTCCCAGGTCCCTTTGTTCCAGGTCCCCTAGCAGAGGGCTGGTAGCTGCCTTTGGGGTCCAGACGGGCTTCCTTCTCAGTGGAATGGAGCCTCAGGCCCCCACCACCTGCCTGGGCTATTACGTCTGCGGAAGCCCTCGAGGTTCAGCTTTGACCAAGCAGGCTGTGGGCCAGACGAGGCATGCTGTGGGGAGTAGGTGGGCCTGGTCCCCAGCTAAGGGCCAGAGTCCTTGACAGGGAGTGCCCCAACCCCCAGCAGTCCCCACCATTTCATTGTCCAGCTAGGCAGAGTGCATAGCACAGCTGTCTGGGCCCCAGTGCTGGGCGCAGGCCCAGGCCCAGGTCCACCAGGGTGCCCCTGCCTCCTCCACTGGCCCAGGTGGAGCAGGTGGACATGGGAGTGGTGATCACTCAGGAGATAGGAGGGCTGTTTCTGCTTTTGACGTCCTTAAAAGATAGACCCACACAGGAAACCCCCCCACAACCCCACACTGTAGCGTGAGAAGAAAGGGCTACTGAGTTGGCAGGAGCCAGGGCTGGGCCAGACCCCATTTTGCCGAGGCACATGCATATTGGGGCCCCTGAGGGCTGGGTGAGCAGAGATTTCCGTCAGAGACCTCGGAAGACACAGCCTGGGTTATGGGGGTGGCCAGAGCCAGGGGACCCAGGTCCTTACCTTTCAGGTTGCCTGCTGCTGGGCGACGCCAGGCCAGGCCCCAGCAGTCTCCTCCCAGTTTGTGGAGGGGAGTGGCAGGGAGGAGGCCCTAATGACCCTCAGACCTACCTGCCTGCTTCCCAGACCCTGGTGCGGTGGGGGCGCCTTGGTATCTGCCGTGGGCAGATTTGCGTTTCCTACCTAGGATTCTTACCCTGGGCCCAGAGAAGATGCCACTGTAGGGGCTAGCTGCCATCCTCTGGTTCTCTCCTCCCTTAAGCCCAATCTTGGAGGCCATTTCCTGCCATCAGAGCCCATAGCTCCCGCCCCTCAGGGAGTGTCCATTTTGCTCACGGCATGTCCTTGTTGCCATGGCAGCCCTGAACCCGCCTGGAGGGTGCTCTGGACATAATTAGAGGCTCAGTGCCCACGGCTGAGGCCCGCTCCTGAGCGAGCACAGGGACACTGCACTCACCTTCCTCCAGCGTGTCTGCTCACGCTGCCAGCTAGGCTGCTACAACACCACTGGTATTGCCGCAGGCCCGCAGGGCCCGAGAGACAGGTCTGTCCTCCTGCCCCGCACTCCCACAGGATGGGCTGCCCACAGGACAAGGCTAGGCCCCAGAGCACCGGCCTGGGGCACATCCCAGACACCCAGTATGTGGCAGAGTCCACAGGGGCCCGTCCTGAACCATGTGGAATTGAGGAACAGGGCATTTTAGCAAAACCAATGTCAGAAGAGACAGGGTCATCGGTGGTAGCAAACTGCCCCCCCCCCCGCCCCCATGCACTGAGGTACCTACCTGCAGGCGTGTGACTCTCCCACACTCGAGGGGGTGGGGATGGGGGTGCTGTCAGCCTCATGTGGGCCAGCTCCCACAGTACAGTCAGCCTGGTGCTGGGGAGGGTTGAAGGGTGGACCCACTCCTCTGCTCAGCTGTGAGAGGCTGCCTCAGGGCTGCCTCACATCACCTCAAGACATGCTGTCAGGGCACTGGAGCCTTCACACCTGTCCCAGGAGGGCTGGCTGGGGGTGGGAGCAAAAGTAGCCCTGTGAAAAGAACCCCAAAAGGGCCTCATGGCAGAGGGAATTGTGTGGATGAAGACTCGGAGGCCCCTAGGGCCCGGCTCACCTGGAAATCGAAGGCCCATGGTGGGAGCAGTTGCCAAGGCCAGGCTGCAGGGAGAGGCCAAGCTGGGGGCAGCACTGGGTGCCGTGGCAGTAGGTCACAGTGGGTTGTGGTATCAAGCCCAGGAAGCAAACTCTTGCAGCATCCCACTAGCTCCCTCAGGACTCTCCCATGAGTGGCCATTGGGAAGTCACCCTCCAAGACTGACCACCTGTTCCTGCATTCCCTGGGTTGGGAGCTGCACCCATGCCTAGGGTCCTGCAGGACATAATCCTCCCAGACTGGCACCCTGTGGTGTGAGGGCAAGGCCAGCTGGAGGTCCTTCCACTGAGTCCCCACCAGTACGGCCTGGACATTCTCCCAGGGAGGGGTTCTGGGTCTCCAGCTGTGTCCTAGCATCAGCAGGATCCTGATGGGGTGCCTCTCTGATGGACCTTGTTGGCAGCATTGTGGGGGCTCAGTGGTGCCATATGGGCAGTGTTGGCAGCCCCAGGCGCACAGGATGTCCTGTGGGACAGCACTGGTCGGCTGGCGGGCAGAGCAGCGTGGGCTCAGGGCTGCCTAGCCAGCCTTTCTCACCTCTTGTTTGTCCTCACAGGCCTCGGGGGACACCCCCACCACTCCAAAGCACCCCAAAGACAGCCGAGAGAACTTCTTTCCTGTGACAGTGGTGCCCACAGCCCCTGACCCTGTGCCAGCTGACTCTGTCCAGCGGCCCAGTGATGCTCACACCAAGCCTCGCCCTGCACTAGCTGCCGCCACAACTATTATCACCTGCCCTCCGTCAGCATCAGCTTCCACCCTGGACCAGTCCAAGGACCCTGGGCCTCCCCGGCCACACAGGCCTGAAGCTACCCCCAGCATGGCCTCTCTGGGCCCAGGTGAGTCCCATCCCAGTCCAGAGCTGGGCCCAGGCCCCTGCCACCATCAAGTCCTCCCTGCGGGGAGAGTGTGAGTATGGGTAAGGGAGGCAAGCAGTGCCCTCCCGCCCAGTCGATCCCACAGGGTGGCGGGGCAGGTGACCGCGGGTCCACTCACCAGTCACTGGCAGCCTCGGTGGCCCTGGTCAGCACATCCTACATCTACCACTCTTAACCTAACCCTGGGTGCCTCAGTCTGTGAAAGGGGGTGGTGAGGAGGGAGGGAGCAAACACCATCACGGACGTGTTTGCTACTGTTTCCTCCCCACAAAGCCTTATAGTAAGTAGGAAGGATGGCTTGGTCAGGTAGGAAAAGGATACTAGCCCACACCAGGCCTCCCTCAGGGCACTGGGAGGGGTCCTGACCTTCAGCATGCTGCAAGGCCACTGGTATCCGGCCTCAGTTACCTGTGAGCAGTTCCTGGGTACCAGGCCCTACTGGGTGTGGGGCCAGCAGATCTGCTCAAACCCCATCTTGCCTCATGGGCAAGACAGAAGCCAGCCAGGATGAGGGCAGGGGCAGGTCAGGGGGCTTGTGAAGGAAAACAGAGAGGACAAAGGTGCGGGCAGTAGAGGGCCCTGCTGGCCTCATCGGTGAAAGCTCCTGTTCCTTCTAAAACCCAGGATCCATTGGAATGGCAGCCTGCAGACAGCTAAGCCACAGATCCTTCCTTTGGGGAGGGGATGTAGAGGCAGCGCTGCTACAGCCAGTGAGTGAGAGGGGAGTAGACAAGGCACCATCCCCCTCGCTGGTCCTGACACCAGCAGCTCTGGCAGCTGCAATTCTGCCAGACTGGGTTCAGCTCAGGCCTGGGCCAGGTTCCACCTGCCACCCAGGGCAGGGAGCCCTTCCCTGTTGGTTCCCAGGACTCTAGGACCATGTGGCCAGGCTCTGAAGGCCCTATAATAGGACAGGGATATTCCCTAACTAATTTGTCTCCCCAGCTGGTGGGGCCCCAGGAGAGACCAGCGTGGTCAGAGGGTTCCCTGTGCCCCTGGGGACATCCAGCGATGGACCAGTTTCCCCAACCCTCCCTTTCAGGCCCTCCCCTGCTTCTCCCTCCCTGCCTCAAGGACCCAGCCTGTTTCCTTGCCGCAGACCCTGCACTGGCCCACAGCCTGTGTCACCCCTGGAGGCTCACCTGTCTTCCCAGTTGAATTTCCTACCCATCTGAAAAACGAGACAGCCACTCTGCAGAAGTGCCCAGCAGAAGGCAGGCCTAAGAGCCCCCACAGACTGTGCGCCTGAGTGGAGGTTGAGTTGAGAAGTCTTCCTCAGCTCTTTCCCACGGTGGCTCAAGCAGCAAGCAGGTGCTGATGTTTTCACCTGATGCCATCCACACTGCTTTGAGGATTGTGAACATGTAGGCATCCTCTAGCCCAGTCAGCCTCGGTTGCACTGGTCGTGGCCCTGTGAGACAAAGAATTACTTCCCTTTGGGTCAGAACCTGTGGCCATTTGTTCCCAGAGGAGCCTGTGAAGGCTTCAGGACAAAGAGCCGTAAAAGAAGTGTAGTGCTGGCCAGGCGCGGTGGCTCACGCCTGTAATCCCAGCACAGTGGGAGGCCGAGGTGGGCGGATCACGAGGTCAAGAGATGGAGACCATCCTGGCCAACATGGTGAAACCCCATCTCTACTAAAAATACAAAAATTAGCTGGGTGTGGTGGTGGGTACCTGTAATCCCACCTACTCGGGAGGCTGAAGCAGGAGAATCGCTTGAACCCAGGAGGCAGAGGTTGCAATGAGCTGACATCACGCCACTGCACTCCAGCCTGGGCGACAGAGCTAGACTCCATCTAAAAAAAACGAACTGCAGTGGTTCTACCAGCATGTGACCTTGGCCATCCCTTTTCTTCTTTCTGCCTCAGTTTCCTGCATAAAATGGATAAGATGAAGATAATAGCACTGCAGGATTTGGAATGCTGCTTGGCGTTAAGCAGAGACTTGGTATGGGTTTTTTTTTTTTTTTTAATTTTTATTTTTTATTTTTAGTGGAGACAGGGTTTCCCCATGTTGGCCAAGCTGGTCTTGAACTCCTGACCTCAGGTGATCCGCCTGCCTCAGCCTCCCAAAGTGCTGGGATTACAGGAATGAGCCACCAAGCCTGGCCTGTTTGTTTTCCTCACTCTGTTGCCCAGGCTGGAGTGCAGCAGTGCGATCATGGCTCACTGCAGCTTCAACCTCCCTGGGCTCAGGTGATCCTCCTACCTCAGCCTCCCAAGTAGCTGAGACTACAAGCATGGGCCACTACGCCTGGGTAATTTTTGTATTTTTTGTAGAGATGGGGTTTCACCATGTTGCCCAAGCTGGTCTTAAACTCCTGGGCTCAGGAGATCCACTCGCCTCAGCCTCCCAAAGTGCTGGGATTACAGGTGTGAACCACCATACCCCGCCTGAGGATGGTGACGTCAAGGTGTGGGGGTGATGGGAGCCCAGTGCCGTAATCAGTTGGTCAGTGTTGGTAGCTGACTTACTCCCACGAAGACCCAGCTCCTGTCCCTCTGCCTGGGGCTGTCTTGCCTTGTACCAGTCCCATGCTCTCGTCTTGTAGTTTTTGAGGGTCAGGAATTTACAGTGGCTTTGTGGGGTAAAGTTGGCTCAGGGTCTCCCACGTGGTTGCAGTCAAGCTATCATCAGTGCATCTGAGCTCCCTTGGGGTGTTGGCAGCCTCAGGTCCTCACTGGTTATTGGCCAGAGGCCTCAGCTCCTCCTGTGGGCCTTTCTATAAACAGCTGAGTGTCCCCGGATCATGGTGACTGGTTCTCCCCAGAGCCATTGACCCCACCGAGAGAACACAGAGGAAGCCATGGTGTCTTTTATAACCTAATCTCAGCAGCAACTGAGATCTCTGTAGGCCACACACACCTCCCTGGGGTGTGGGAAGGCCTGGTGGATGCCAGGGCCAGGGGTAGCGGAGTAGGGGGCTAGAGACTGCCTGCTTTCCCTCTGCCTGCCTGTCCCACCATCAAGCAGGCCAAAGCTGTAATTCATGTCCTTCTCTCCTCTGTTAGATCTAAGAAAGAGGATCTGTTTCCTAGCATACCTTCTTCAGCCTGGAGAGTTGATCCTTTTCTATTCCCATTCCCAAAACCAAATTAAATGGCCTTTTGCCAGGATGGAACTGTTGAATGACACTGGGGGCAGGGGGCGAGGGGGTGGAGGCTTGAGACAAGGCCTCAGCCAGCCTGGGGCAGGAGCCTCAGGCAGAGCAGCTGGATGGGGATGGCCATGGCCGCTGAGGCCTCTGCCTAGCCCAGCAGTCGCCTGCTGGCCCCAGCTTTGTACCGGGAGCTGTCACTCCTGCTGACCAAGGAGGGGAGCTGGCTCCCCCTGCTGGAGAGGATGGAGGGCCTCCTGGCAGAGGAGCGGGATGGGGAGGCGGTGGGGTGGCTGGAAAGGCAGTGGTTGATGACCAGTGTGGTGGGAGAGTCCAGACCTGAGTGAGAAGGTGGGGAGCAGCAAGGGAAGTGAGGGCCTGGAGGCCTGGGAACCGGGGACCGATGCTGAGTAGTCACCTGGCCAGCAGCCACAGGCACAGCATTTGCCCCTCAGGCCCATCCCGGCCTTGGCCCAACTGAGCCCAATTCCTGGCCCCTGCCTCAGGCCAGGGAAGGTGTGGCTGGCTGGGCAGGAGCCATAGTGCCAGCGTCTACTTTGGTCTTAGTTGGGTTGTTTGGATTTTGGTCCTGACCTCGTTTCTGAATGCTGCTTATGTGAGCTGGAGGGAGAGTGGACACTGCCCCCCCATCCCCTCTCACTGCCTTGTGATGGGATCTTAAGAGAGGCTGGGCCTCGAAGACTCAGGTGTGGCCCCACTGGGTCAGGTGTATAGCCCTCTCGGGAGGCGGAGGAGCCCTCTGGGGGTGGGGAGCCAGCCCCTACCAGTGTCCTCTTGGGTGGTGAGTGGTTTCTTGGCAGCACCAACCTGGACTGCCTCAGCCAGGACCCCAGCATTGGCCACACTCCCCTGCCCAGTGTCCCAGGGCACAACCTGGGCCCATAGGACCTGACACAGATGCGTTGGAGCCTGCGGGGTGGATGAGTCTATTACCTGCAGTGAGCCCATGTCCCCACAGAGGGAGAAGAGCTGGCGAGAGTGGCAGAGGGCACCAGCTTCCCGCCTCAGGAGCCACGGCACAGTCCGCAGGTGAAGATGGCCCCCACAAGTTCCCCGGCAGAGCCACACTGCTGGCCGGCAGAGGCTGCCCTGGGCACAGGCGCTGAGCCCACCTGCAGCCAGGGTAAGGCGAGTTGGGAGCAGCCCAGCACCAGCCCCCAGGAGGCTGCCTCACAGCTGGCAGCCAGGGTGGGTTTCCCGGCCTGGCCTTGAAGGGCAGGGCCTGGGGATGCCCCATGGAATGAGATGGGGAGGAAATGGGGGTAGTGCAGGCTGGACAGGGGAGCCAAGGGAGAGGCCCAGGCTGAAGAGTTTAATGCGTGGCCCATTGTGTCAGGGGCTGGGTAGAGAGGGACCCCAGAGGCTTATTCCACCCCTGGCATCACGGAGGGGTACTAGCGAGGGCAGGCGGCCTGCTTGGGCCCACTGCAGAACCCAGGCTGAGCCCAGAGTGGGGAAAGAGGAGTAGGCATGGACAGGGCGGAGCATGGGCCTGGTGACAGACACTTGAGGGACATCAGCAGCAGGCAGAAGGGTGGACAGGTTGGGCTGGGCCAAGCAGGCGTCCCCGTCGACAGCCACGTCAGATTCTAGCCCTGGCCTCAGTCCGGCCTGTTCCCACCAGCTGCCCCAACCAGCCAGACCCCTTGGGGACTCCTCCTGGCCTGGGCCTCCCACAGACCACTTGGGATGGCAGGACCTGGCGCCAGCCCCTGGGGGCCAGGCATGGGCTCTGTGTAAACCCCATTCCTTTTAAAGCCATGGGGCTGCAGAGGAATGTGGAGACGAGCCAGGCCAGCCGGGTCCTCCCAGCTCGTGCAGCTCCCTAGAGGCTGCCAGGCCTGCAACTGGCCCAGCCTTCAGGCTCTGGGCAAACTCAGCCCCTTGCTCCCACTGGAGGATGAGGCGAAAGTGGATGCCCTGGGGCCAGCTCAGTGACCATGCCTGGCTGAGCGACCAGCTCTGGGCTTCAGTGTCCTCCCTGGGGCATAGACACCAATAGGACATGCATCCTAGGATGGTTGTGGAAATACGACAGTTCATGCAAGCATGATGCCTGGAGGTCTTACAGAACCCAGCAAGGCTCAGGGAGTCTCAGGTCCTGGGCTTTGAGTTCATGGTGTTACTGGGTAAGGTTCACAGTCCCAGCACCCCACAGCTCAGAGCCAGAGTTGGGTCCCTGCAGGCCTGAGCCAAGTATTTGCCCAGGGTAGAAGCCTTGGAGCCTGCCAGCCAGCACAAACTACACAGCATAAAGGCCCAGGACCTGGGGGGAGCGGGTGGGGGCGAGATAAAGTGCTCACTGTGTGATGCGGCAGGCAGGAAGTGCTCTTGGTACCTTTGTCTTCCAGAGGGGAAACTGAGGCCTGAGCCGAGAAGGGATGGGGAGGCTCAGGAGGCTGCGAGTGAGACTCAGCCCCTGAGCTCTCCCCCAACAGCTGCCAGCTCCAAGGCCCCCAGCAGTGGGAGTGCCCAGCCACCAGAGGGTCACCCAGGCAAGCCTGAGCCCAGCCGGGCTAAGTCCCGCCCCCTGCCCAACATGCCAAAGCTGGTCATCCCCTCCGCCGCCACCAAGTTCCCCCCTGAGATCACCGTCACGCCACCCACCCCAACCCTGCTCTCCCCCAAAGGCAGCATCTCGGAGGAGACCAAGCAGAAGCTGAAGGTGACCTCAGGGGCTGGGCTGGAGCCATGTGTGGGTGGGAGGCATAGGTTACAAAGGGGGCCTAGGATGGGGGTGGGGGTGGCAGGAGGGCCTGGGGTGTGGGTGAGGATGGCATAGGGGCCTGGGGCAGGGGTGAGGGTGGGAGGGGGGCCTGGGGCAGGGGTGAAGGTGGCAGAGGGGCTTGGGGCAGAGCCCAGCCATCCTTGACCAGTGCCCCGCCCGGCCCTCTCCGCAGTCAGCCATCCTTTCTGCCCAGTCTGCTGCCAACGTGAGGAAGGAGAGCCTATGCCAGCCAGCCCTGGAGGTCCTGGAGACATCCAGCCAGGAGTCCTCGCTGGAGAGCGAGACAGACGAGGACGACGACTACATGGACATTTGAGGGGCCACTGCAGCCCCACCGCCACGCCCCAGGGGACCAGCCAGGCCTGGAATGCCCCCTGGGCAGGACCCTGGGCAGGACCAGAGGCCCACATGGATGCCACTCCCCACACAGCCCCCAGGCCTGCCCAGCCCACCTCCTCATGGCATCCTCCCTGTACCCAGGTCAGGCTGTCCACACCACATGGGAGCCCAGAGGAGGAGGGGCCCGCCTTAGCCATGTGAAGGTGGATTGGTCGCCATCTGCACGCCAGGCGGCATCCTTTTCTATGAAGTGTTGACTTTGTAAATCTGCCCACACCCAGCTGGCCATATCCACCCCTCGACGCCGGGATGAGCCGGCTCTGCCTGTGTCACAGTGGAGGGGTCCTTTAGGGCCAGGCTCACCCCTCACCCTTTTTTTGGTTGCTTTTCTAATAAAGATGGAACAGTTGTCTTTGCCTCTTTGCTCACCTCTAGGGGGCAATCTGGCAGAGTCTCTGGCGGAGAGTTGCTGTCCCCAGGGATTCTGGGCCTTTACTGCCATAGTCCATAGGGCAGGGCCTAGCCCCCCTCCTTCTCCAGCATCTCAGGGACCAGCCAGGCAACCAAAGCAGCGGCTGGGGGTGCCCAGTGGGGTAAGGAGAGAGCCGACTCGGGGCTGGGCCAGGCAGACGCCTCTAGTGCAGCTGGAGCCAGGCTTCAAAGGGGAGTTAGGTGCATCCCCAGAACGCACCTGGGTGCCAGTGGGTGGGAGGCTGTACGGTGGGAGGGCAGGCAGGGCTGGGGCAGCTGAGAGGCTGGGAGGAGGGGGCTGTCAGGGAGGGAAAGGGGGGATGGGGCCGGCAGGGAGGGTACTTAACTCCCATCACAGTCGCCCTAATGGGGCCAGTCACAGAATAGCTGGGCTCAGTGCAAGACATAAATATGAAGCTCCTTGATCAAAAAGGATTAAGGATTTTTTTTTTTTTTTTTTTTTTTTTTTGATATGGAGTCTCACTCTGTCTCCCAGGCTGGAATGCAGTGGCACGATCTGCAGTGGCACGATCTCAGCTCACTGCAACCCCCGCCTTCTGGATTCAAGCGATTCTCTTGCCTCAGCCTCCCGAGTAGCTGAGATCACAGGCACACGCCAACACGCCCAGCTAATTTTTGTATTTTTAGTATAGACGGAGTTTCACCATGTTGGCCAGGCTGGTTTCAAACTCCTGACCTCAAGTGATCCACCCACCTTGGCCTCCCAAAGTGCTGGGATTACAGGCCTGAGCCACCACCATGTCTGACCAAAAATGATTAAGGATTTTAAGGCAGGCCCCACAGAGCATTAAGCCCCTAGAGCTGGCACCCTTCACAACTCTCTTCCCCTCCCAGCACCGCAGGGGCCCTCCTGGCCCTGGGACCTCCCATGGAGCAGGCTCTCTGTCCAGGATGGAGATGGGGACCCTCCTCACTGCCCTGTGCCCCTCATGGGCTGGACATGCCCACCACCCAGGAGGAAAGGCGTAAAGGGCTGGGCACCGCCCTTTTGGAACCAGAGGCTTGGTGGCCCCAGATGGGTCTGGCTGAACCCGCCTTTCGGGGGGCTGAGATAAGCCAGCCCCAGTTACTCAGCTGACGCCCCCTCCCTGCAGGGCCTGGGGTATGGAGCTTCCCAGACTGCACACCTAGCCCCTACCGCACTTCCATTGTCTCCAGACACGCGCAGCAACGGTGCCCAGGCCAAAAACAGGAAGCAGCAGCTCTCCCTCCTCCAGTTCCCGGGAACTGTCTCAGCCGATCCCCCAGCACCCCTCCCTGGAGCCTCACCTATAGGAGGACGGACACCTCGGACCCTCCCCTGCACCCAGTGCTGTAGGGAGCAACTTCAGCCCTGGGCCTGGGATGAATGCCCTCGCCAGCCTGGGGCCAGGAGACAGGCTCTCCCTGGCTCAGCACCTGAGCGTCCACTTACAGGACACTCACCTGCAGAGGTGCCCTGAGCGCCATTGTGGGTTAAGGGACTTTCTCCCCTCTGGAGACAGTCCCTGAGAAGCTGAAGGTCTTGGGGGCCTCTCACCAAATGTCTTTGGGAGGTGGGAAAACATCAAATGCGGGTGTGGCTTCCCTGGAACAGCTCTGTGTGGGGACTCAGGAGCCAAGTCCCCCAGCACACGCCTCTAACACTTTCAGTAGGGGCCACCTCTCTGGAGCCACGGGTGGCTGCCAACACCCTGTGGTTCCCAGCAGGCACCACCCAGGCAAGAGAGAGAACAGGCCGGGGAACAATGGGCTGGCCTGGCCGCAAGCGCTGGGGCAGATCACAGACCGGATGGCCTAAGCTCATGCCCTGGGGCCACCTCTGACTCCCTGCAAGTGTGGCAAGGGTCCCTTTTGGACACCTTGAGAAGCTGCAGCTGGGAGAGGACCACCCGCCTGTCTGGATGTCCAGCCCAGGTGTCAGGGTCCAAATGACCAGTCCCAGGCCGCAGCCCTTACCACCCGCCCTGGCTGCAGGGGCTCCCAGAAGCCACCAAGGGCCTGGCTCGGCCTTGCCTATCCGCATCTGAGCTTCAGTTTCCTCATCTGCTCAAGAAGGGAGGTGAATACTGATTAAATTATGCAAACTCTTAGCGGCAGGATTAGGTGTGGCTGGGACAGCCAAGGCTCCCCAGGGTGGTGGCATCTCTGGAGCCCGGGGATGGGCCCTGTCTCCCTTCCGGGCCCCCCGCTGGGCTTGGGTACCTTCTCTCCCCTTCCTCCTTCCTCCCTCCAGAGGGGACCCCTGCAGAGCTGCCTCCGCCCCAGGGCTCAGCCTGTGTCTGACCCAAACAGCTCCTGCCTCCCCCTGAGGATGAGTTGGGTGCACCTCCTTCCTGCAGGAAGATGAGGGCTAGAGATGGAGGTCTATGTCAGGGCCACAGAGTCTGGAATCCTCCCTGGAGCTAAAACAGCCCTGCCTTATTCACCCTGCGCATCCCATCCTCTGCTTCAGCCCCGCCGGGCTCGCCCTGCATGCAAGGCGGGGCTGGGACCCAGGGTCTGAGCTTCGCCCTCTGGACATCCGGCTCATCGCCTGCCAAAGGTCCTGTGGCTGGAGGCTCCGGCCTCCTCACCCTCCCACAGGGTCCCAGGGCCGATCCAGGCCTGCGGGCCAGGAATGTGCTAACGGGGCAACTTGGGCCTTGCTGGTCCACGCAGGCACCTGTGGACTTTGAGAGGGGACTGGGTGGGGAGGGGCGGGGAGGGGCGGGGCGGGGCGGTGCCGCAGAGTGCAGGGCGGGCGGGGCCAGGCCAGCAGGGAGTGAGCTTGTCTGGCCGCCTCGCCTCGGAGCCACTGCACTGCTGGCTGCAGACACAGGCTGCACCATGAAGCCAGCCCTCCTGCCCTGGGCCCTGCTGCTGCTGGCGACAGCCCTCGGCCCGGGCCCCGGACCCACAGCAGGTATGCCTCCCTGCCCTTCTGTGTCCCCGTCTGTCTGTCCATCTGTCTGCAGCCAGGCCTGGGCTGACATCCCTCTGGGCTCAGCCTCTGTCCATCTGTCAGGCCATCTGTGGCTGTGCTAGGGGTGATGGGAAGAAATTCTGAGGGTCCATGTGGAGGGGCAGCCCATGGGGATGGGAGGTCTGAGCCGGGCCCACCCTAAACCTGCTGGTAGCTAGGAGGGAGGCGGGGGAGACCAGCAGAGGCCTCCGCCTGTGTCCCCAGCCCTGACAGGGCGGGATCACGGAGGGGGAGCCAGGATTGTGGGTCCTCATCAGGGTGGGGCTGAATCCAGGAAAGTCTAGGGAAAGCCCCGAACTCCAGAACCAGGACACTGGTCCCAGGCTGCCCCCCGTCCCCCACCCCATTTCCCATCGACCCTCTTGCCACTTATCTCACTTGCAAGCATCTCTCGGCCTCCTCCCCCGACCCCTGTGCGCCACCAAATCCTTGGCCAGTACATATTTATTGTTGCTTTTAAGTGCCAGGCACTGCACTTGGTGAAGTGGGGCCAGCGGGGTGGCTCAGGCCCAGGCCTGGCCCTCGACTGGCCTCTTTTGATGGGGGATGGGGAAGGGCCAGGGAAGTGCAATTCCAGCCTGGGTGCATGCACCTGCCCCAGTCCCTCCCTGCAACCCTTCCTTCATGCCAGCCCCTGGAAATATGGCCTTGCCCACCGGTCTTATGGCCCATAGGAGAAGTTTTGGGCCCGGCGCCCACAGCCCCTTGTGGTGTGCACCCCCACTTCCCTTTCCCCACTGCTGGGACCCCTGCTTGAAATGTCCCTCCTCTCCCCAGAAAGGAGGGGAGCGGCCCTGGCCTTCTGCCCTGAGCACGGAGCTCTCTTTGGGGTCTCAATTGCAGCCCCTGGGAGAGCGAGAAGTGTCACGTTCAGACCCTGCACCATTCCCTACCAGGCCTCAAATGAGACTCTTGGCAGCCATATCCCCCACCCCAGTCCAGGCAAGCAAGAGGGGTTCTTCTGCAGGCTTCAGGGCCCCCAGAAGGCGTGCTGACCACAGACACCCTGGGGAGCCAAGAGAGGTCGAGGGCTCCAGCTACCGTGGCCCACTGAGGACCCCTGCCTGTGGGATAGAGGACTTGGTGGCTGAAGGGCAGTCATGCCCAGGGGCTTCTCCTGACCCTGCAGGGCTGAGCGGATGCAGCTTTTTGCCTCTTCTCGCTGCATTCTAGCCCGTCAGTCAGGGCAACAGCCAGATGGTCTGTGCTAAGATTCATCCCATCCCCACGGGCCCTGTGGCTTTCTACTGTGTCCACCTGGTGGCCTGTGCAGTTCCTGGCCAGCGTTCTCCTGGGGATGCTGCTGTCTAATGGGCTGTGGGAGAAACAGAGACAGGCCCTGCACATGGGGCAGCCAGTCCAGTACCCGCCGGGCCAGGCCCTCAGCATCCTCTCCTCCAGATGCCCAAGAGAGCTGCTCCATGCGCTGTGGCGCCCTGGACGGGCCATGTTCCTGCCACCCGACGTGCTCTGGCCTTGGCACCTGCTGCTTGGATTTCCGGGACTTCTGCCTGGAGATATTGCCCTACTCAGGATCCATGATGGGCGGCAAGGACTTTGTGGTGCGGCACTTCAAGATGTCCAGCCCCACAGACGCCAGTGTGATCTGCAGGTTGGGAGGCCCAGGAGGCCGGGCACTGGGGCCCCACGCCCCCATCCCTGTGCATGCTGAGGGCTCAGACCCACTGACTGGCTGAGTGGAGCCCCTCGGACCCAGGACAGGCAGGAGGGCACAGGGACAGCTGGCTGGTTGGGTTCCCCAGGGAGGTTGGGGGCCCAGACCATCGAGAGGCTCAGCCTGCAATGACCCAGCCCCTCCCACCACCACCACGCCCACAGGTTTAAGGACAGCATCCAGACCCTCGGCCATGTGGACTCCTCCGGGCAAGTGCACTGTGTGTCACCTCTGCTCTATGAGAGCGGCCGCATCCCCTTCACTGTGTCACTGGACAACGGCCACTCCTTCCCTCGTGCGGGCACCTGGCTGGCTGGTGAGCCCTCCTCCCTGCCCACAGCCTGCCCCCACGGGGACTTTCCCCAGCGCTAATCTATGCACACCGAGACTTGGCCTGTCCGTGCCCTGCCTCTCTGGCTGAACCAGTCCCTTGGGAGGCCTGCCCGCCTGCGAGAGTTCCTTCAGCTCCTTTCCACTCCCTGGCATCCAGACCGCGGTCCCAGCCCAGAGTGAGTGGGAGCTGCAGGGGTCCCTAGAGAGGTGGGCCAGTGCCTATCCACTGAGCTCCGCCATGCCAGGGCAGGGGAGAAGCCAGGTCGAGGCTAGAGGCGTGGGCAGTGGAGGGAGGGCAGGCCCCTGCCTCTGCGGCCTCAGCGTCCTTTTCTGCTGTGCGGGCCAGAGAGACCATCACCCAGCTGCTGCCATGCATTGGCCCTGGAGGCTCCCACAGCCCTTGAAGCCTCAGGGCCTCCTCCCTGCTTCCCTGGGCCCAGGCCCTCACTCACCCCTCACCTCCCCTGCCCAGTGCACCCCAACAAAGTGTCAATGATGGAGAAGAGCGAGTTGGTGAACGAGACGCGTTGGCAATACTACGGCACCGCCAACACCTCAGGCAACCTCAGCCTGACCTGGCATGTCAAGTCGCTGCCCACGCAGACCATCACCATCGAACTGTGGGGCTACGAGGAGACAGGTGAGGCCAGCTGAGGGCTGGGGTGGCATCAGAGCTTTGGGCCCCCAGAGGGGGAGAAAGGGGGTCCCAGCTGTGTGGGAGGAGGAAGGGAGTTTCCAGGTGGGGTTGAGGAGGGAAGGGAATTCCAGGCAGAGATTGAGGATTCGGATGGAGGGAAGTGCAGGTCAGGGGGGTCAGGCAGGTGGGAGGGGGCAGCTCATGGGGCCTGGCTCCAGGGGAGGAGGCTCATGAGGAACCCCTGCACGGCTGGCATGGCCCTGGGCCCAGCTTCCAGCAGGGACAGGGATCCTGGAGTGTGGCAGGAGGTGATGGTCACCCAAGCCGGGGTCCCTGCTAGAACAGCCCCTCCTAAGGGGACCGCCTGGCGGTCCATCCACCCATCTGTCAGGCTGCTGTAGGTGGCAAGGCCTGGGGCCAGGCCTCGAAGGAACCCCAGGGCTAACCAGGCATCCTCTCCCTCAGGAATGCCCTACTCACAGGAGTGGACTGCAAAGTGGTCGTACCTGTACCCCCTGGCCACACACATCCCCAACTCCGGCTCTTTCACTTTCACCCCAAAACCTGCTCCTCCCAGCTACCAGAGATGGCGAGTGGGTGCACTTCGGATCATCGACAGCAAAAATTACGCAGGGCAGAAGTAAGAAGGCATGGATGTGCAGGTGATGGCTGGAGGGCCTCGCCGCCCGAGGCCCATCATGCTTGCCTGGGCAGCCCAGGCTGGGGGTGGGGAGAGTGGGGCGACCATGGGGTGGTGTGGGCTGGCCCAGCTCCAGCATCATCACCTCCACAGGGACGTGCAGGCGCTCTGGACCAACGACCACGCACTGGCCTGGCACCTGAGCGATGACTTCCGAGAGGACCCTGTGGCCTGGGCACGAACTCAGTGCCAGGCCTGGGAGGAGCTGGAGGATCAGCTGCCCAACTTCCTGGAGGAGCTGCCGGACTGCCCCTGCACCCTGACCCAGGCCCGGGCTGACTCCGGCCGCTTCTTCGTGAGCCTCCCATCAGGGCCCAGGAGAGGGGATGAGGGGTTAGCCTCCCCACTGAGGACAGCACCAGGGGAGGCAGACAGAGGTGTCCTGGAGGGTGGGGCTGGGGTCTCAGGACCCCTGCAGGGTTGGCCTCAGGGAGGGGATGACAGAACCCGAGGCCACTGGGTGACAGCCACCTGCTGCTCTGCAGACGGACTACGGCTGTGACATGGAGCAGGGCAGCGTGTGCACCTACCACCCCGGGGCCGTGCACTGTGTGCGTTCTGTGCAGGCCAGGTGAGCCCCCAGGCTGGGGCCGGTATGGGGATTGGGGTCAGGGGTGGGCTCCCAACAGTGGCCTGGCCCTGACTCACTGGCTCCTGCAGCCTCCGGTACGGCTCAGGTCAGCAGTGCTGCTACACAGCGGACGGGACGCAGCTCCTGACAGCTGACTCCAGCGGCGGCAGCACTCCCGACCGCGGCCATGACTGGGGCGCACCCCCGTTCCGCACGCCACCCCGAGTGCCCAGCATGTCCCACTGGCTCTACGATGTCCTCAGCTTCTATTACTGCTGCCTCTGGGCACCCGACTGCCCCCGCTACATGCAACGGCGGCCCTCCAATGACTGCCGCAACTACCGGCCCCCAAGACTGGGTGGGTGCCATCCCGTGCCCCAGACCCTGGGAAAGATCGGGCTGGGCTGGGGTGCACCCCCACGTGACCCTCCACTCTCACCCTAGCCTCCGCCTTCGGAGACCCACACTTTGTGACCTTCGACGGCACCAACTTCACATTCAATGGGCGCGGAGAGTACGTGCTGCTGGAGGCAGCGCTGACCGACCTGAGGGTGCAGGCGCGGGCCCAGCCCGGGACGATGTCCAACGGTGAGGCCAGGGCTAGGGGCTGCTCTGGTTGGCATGGGGTAGAACCAAGGTGGGAGGCTGGAGCCAAGTGGCTCCCGTTCTGCTCCCACCACCGCAGGCACGGAGACCCGTGGCACTGGGCTGACCGCAGTGGCCGTCCAGGAGGGCAACTCAGATGTGGTGGAAGTCAGGCTGGCCAACAGGACCGGAGGTCTGGAGGTGCTGCTGAACCAGGAGGTGCTGAGCTTCACCGAGCAGAGCTGGATGGACCTGAAAGGTGAGCAGTCCAGCCACGCGAGGCTGCGGGCTGCCCTCACCTCCTCCCCATTCCTGCAGGGAGACTGAGGGGAAGCCCTGGGCCTTCATGCCTCTCCCAGTCCTGGCTAGAGGCCTGGGTGGTCCGACCTCAGGCCTTCACACCCACCGAGGTGCCCCCGTCGTACCCACCTGGTCAAAAGCCGAGAGGCCGTGACGGTGGGACATGTCCTCCCTACGGAGGATCCCGGGAGCCTTCTGGAGGGGAACTCACCCTGGTAACGTTCACCGCTGGCCTGCACAGAGCCACTCCTGTGCTCCTGTCACTCCCTCAGTCCTCAAAAGCCACTGCAAGGTCTCCAGCCCTGCACGGTTAAGGATGCCCCTGGCAAGTGGTAGCTCCACATCTGAACCCCTTGCCTCAGGGAACTGAGTCAATGAAAGGATTCCTGGTTGGGATGGGTGAGGACCTGGGAGGGGCCTGTCAGCACTGAGGGTTCAGGGACCCTCGGGACGTGCCCAGGCAGGTGTGGCTGCTGCAGCCAAGGCCAGAGGGACCCACACGTGCATCTCAACATGGGGGATTCACTGCAGGGGCTGCACCTCAGGTGCCGCTGGGAGTTCCACCGCAAGCATGGCAGGGGTGGCGGAGGGTCATGGTCAGCAGAATTGGCCCCGGGAACGCCCTCCCTTCCCCTGCAGGTGCCCTCACCCACAGCCCCTGGGTGCCGACCACCCTGTCCTGGGGCTGCGGGAGGGGACAAGATGCTCACAGCGGGTGACCCTAATGCATCCCCCTTGAGCCCAGGAATGTTCCTGTCGGTGGCTGCCGGGGACAGGGTCTCCATCATGCTGGCATCAGGGGCCGGCCTGGAGGTCAGCGTGCAGGGCCCGTTCCTGAGTGTGTCCGTCCTGCTGCCTGAGAAGTTCCTCACCCACACCCACGGCCTCCTCGGGACACTCAACAACGACCCCACCGACGACTTCACCCTGCACAGCGGGCGCGTCCTGCCCCCAGGCACCAGTCCCCAGGAGCTGTTCCTGTTTGGGGCCAACTGTGAGTGACCGTGGAGTATATGGGGCAGACGGGGTGGGGGTTACTGGAAACATGGCACGGGCAGGGCTTGGGGACCAAAGGGAGCCATGCCCAGCCAGGCCCCGGTCATGTATCTTCCAGGGACCGTGCACAATGCGTCCTCCCTGCTCACCTACGATTCCTGGTTCCTGGTCCACAACTTCCTGTACCAACCCAAGCACGACCCCACCTTCGAGCCCCTCTTCCCCAGTGAGACCACCCTCAACCCCAGCCTGGCACAAGAGGCAGCCAAACTATGTGGGGACGATCATTTCTGCAACTTTGATGTGGCAGCCACTGGGAGCCTGAGCACGGGCACTGCCACTCGGGTGGCCCACCAGCTGCACCAGCGTCGCATGCAGAGCCTGCAGCCAGGTGAGGGCGGGCAGGTGGGGGTGGGCGGGGAGCTGGGACAGGACCCCCCGGGGTGGCCAGATGTGTGTATGCATGGCAGCTCAGGCCTGTTGTCTGCACTCTGTCCCCATCCCAGTGGTGTCCTGTGGCTGGCTGGCCCCACCTCCCAACGGACAAAAGGAGGGCAACAGGTACCTGGCGGGTTCCACCATCTACTTCCACTGTGACAACGGCTACAGCCTGGCCGGGGCAGAGACCAGCACCTGCCAGGCTGACGGCACCTGGTCCTCACCCACCCCGAAGTGCCAGCCAGGTGAGGACACTCTGCTCATACACCTGCCTGCACCTGTCCCCACTCACCACCCCAGAGAGCCCCCTCACTGACACTCGCTCCCTCACCAGGACGCAGCTACGCGGTGCTGTTGGGCATCATCTTTGGGGGCCTCGCGGTGGTGGCGGCGGTTGCGCTCGTCTATGTGCTGCTGCGCCGCAGGAAGGGCAACACGTGAGACCCCCCAGCCCCTCTCCCAAGACCCCGAGACAGCCGGTGGGACCACCGAGGCTACTTCTAACTGCGTTTCTGTTGCAGGCACGTCTGGGGTGCACAGCCCTGATGGGAGCAGCTTGGCTGTGAGCACCAGGCCAAGACTCCTGAGAACAGGCAGCCCAGTCCTGCGACTCCCGCATCCCCAGGACCAGACACCTGGGACCTGGATACTTGATACCTGGGCATTTAACCCCCTACTCTGTCATCTCAGACCCCAGGCAGGAGGCCCAGTGTTCCAACACCCAAGCCCCGTGCTAGCAGCGCTCCGTGCTCTTCCCCAAATACTCACGGCTCTAATTCCCCAAACCTGAAACTTCATACCCTGGGATTCTAATACCTATGTCCTGAGCCCTGACACTCCCACACCTGAGCCTCAGATTCCAATAGCTCACTCCCTAGAGCCTGACGCCGGGGCCCCTGACCCCTGAGCCTCAGATTCCAATACCTCACTCCCCAGAGCCTGATGCCGGGGCCCCTGACCCCTGATCTACGGAGGCCTGCTCCCGGACCGTGCGGGCACCAGTGCAGTGCTGCCTTGGTTCCTGGACCCCTGGGCCCATCCTGGGACCCCAGATGGGGTAAGGAGAGGCCCCAGAACCCCAAAGCAGACAGCGAGACCCCCAGCGGCAGAGGCCTCCCTCGGCACTCCAGGCTTATAATTTCGAACTCTTCTGGAAGGTCACTCAGGAACACCCTCCCTGCCTGTGCAAAGAGAAAACAAGCGCCTTGTTTCCTTCCCTGGTCTCCTGGTGTTCATGCTGCGCCCTGGTTCTGGAGAGTTCCATGACCGCCTCCCGGGGTCACCACCAACAGTATCCAGAGTGAGGCAGGTCTGAGCCCTGCCTGCTTCCTCCACGAGGTTGCCGGGGATGCTCCCTCCCCAGGCTCTCTCTCCATGTATGCAGTGGGATGGAGAACTGTGGCCGCCTCGTGGGGTGGGGAGGCCGCCAACACAGCACAGGGCTCACTTGGGTCACTCAGGAGATGGAGAAGGACAACCCCTCCCTCAACAGAGGTGCCACCCCCTCACCACGCCCTGGCGTGCTCTGGCAAGCACTGCCCTGCAGCCTCGGCTCCTTGGCTGGGTGCAGTCGCTGGCAGGATCAGTTCCAAGTCCTCAGGAGACCAGCGCCCAGGCTCCTTAGCCCAGGAATGTCCAGAATCTGGGCACAGAGCCCAGGCCTCAGGCCACGGTGGCCCACCTGAGCAGCTCTTTGTCGGCGCTTCCTGTGGGGCCTGGCATGGAGGCACAGACCTGGAAGCAGCTGGAGGATGACCAGGGTCCATCAACCTTTGTGGAGAGGGTCCCGAATGGGGACTCAGGCAGGGTAGCATTGGTCGGGTTTGCCCCTTAGGTCTCAGAGAAAGTGCTGGAGAGGGTGAGGCTGGAAGTTGGGGGCCAGGTAGAGAACACTGGGTGGGGAGTTGAGCCGCCTCAGTGTGACCTGCAGCGCTGGGAGTGGCCATATAGGGGCAGCAGAGGATAGGAACAGCGAGTCTGGGTGGCAGGAGGTTGGGAGGGCAGTCAGCCCTGCCCTGCAGCTGGGTCAGCCGACTTGGTCACAACCGCAGCCAAGGTCTGCGCACAGCCCACCCCTCCGCCTCCCCGCACCTGGGTCATCCCCGCATCTCAGGAGTGTTGAAGAGGTTGCACAGGTCTCCCCAGGTCATTCAGCGGGCACTGACCATGGGGTGGGAGTCCAGGCCTCTCACCTGCTCAGCCTTGCCCTTGGTGAATGGGAGAGCTGGGGAGGCAGAGACATGTCTCATCTGAGGCCTTCCTGGAGGAGGTGAATGTGCATGATGGGGCACGTGTGCGGGAACCGAGCTGAGGGTTGCAGGGCAGGGGTGGCGGGAGGCTAGCGGAGGGGAATGGGGTCTGGCCTTCTCTCTTTCTAGAGCTCACTCCGTTGCTTCCCCATTCCCCTGGGTTTGCACCTCCAGGCATGGTGGGGCTGAGGGTCAGCCCCTTGGCGGGCTGGGCAGGTACTTTCCTCCCTACAGATGAGGTAAGGCAGGGCTCCCCTCCCACTGTCTGAATCCCCAGCGCACCCCTGTGCCACGCCAGGCCTGGGCCGGCCACGTGTCAGTGGGTGAGAGGTCAGTTTCCGGGTCAAGGCCTGGACATGAGGGAGCGGGCACAGGTTTTCAGGGGGCCCAAGAGCGGCAGGGGCAGCTTGGCAGCTCATCAGGTCCACTAGAGGGTGTCCCAGACAAGAGCAGCCCCCGAACTGAGGTCAAGAAACAGGTTGGATTCTCAGAGCTCTGATTGGTTGGACAGGGGTTCCAGATGGACAGGGGTTCTGGGTAGAGGAGCAGTCTATGCAAAGGCTCAGAGAAAGAGAAGTGCAGTCATGTCTGCGGAATGACAGGGGTGGGGGCCAGCCAAGGCCTCCCCTGCCAGGCCAAGGCATTTAGATTTCATCCTAAGAGCAAAGTGTGGCCTGCCTCGGGCTCCCCCACCCCCACCAGTCTCCCTCCAGGATGGGCCCTTGGTCTGCCCCCCCACCTCCCCTTTCCAGCAGGAGAAAGGGTGCCCTGTCTGTGGCCCCAGTCCCAGACATCAGATGTTCCCAGTGCCAGGGGCAGGCCAGGCTGGGAAGCCCCACCACCTGCCAGGGGCTTTTCCTGGGGCCCGAAAGAGATAGAGACAGGGCCTGTGCAAAGGCAGAAGGCCTGGAGCCGGTGCAGACTCTCTAGAGACATCAAAGGCAGGGACCGCTGCCTCAGGGAGATGGTCTCCCAAATAGCAGCCCAGGGCTTGCAGGACGGGCAGCCATGGGAGCTTGCGGGTGGCTTACAGTAGGGTTGAAATGATGGAGTATCAGAGTCACCCAATGGCCGGTACCATCGTGGTGGTACCAGTCAGAGTGGGGCAGATGGTAATCCAGGGCTTTGGAGACACAGGTGATGAGAGAGCTGGGGGGGTCAAACAGGAGCCGATGAGGTACCAGCAGGATCCTAAGACCCACCTTGGGCAGAAGGGCAAAGGGAGGAAGGAATGTGCTATGGGAGCCAGGCCCAGATCCCATGGAAGCGGGCGTCACGCAGGCCTGTGGGCCAAGGGGAGTCACAGAGGTGACAGCCCAGCTGCAGGTCCCCTGCTGGCTAGAGTAGGGAAGCCCGGCTTCTCTGTGCCCCCTGCCCTCCAGCCTCCCACTAGGTCTCCTGTTGGCTGAGCACAGTGGGTGCGGCTGATCTGGGGGCCAGGGAGGGCTCTGACTCGGTACAGTACAGTACAGGCACAGCTGGGGAGCAAGGGACCCCTTCTTCTGCCAAGCTGCTTCCTTCTGCAAGCCCCAGGGTGGCCGAGTGCCTGCTGTGGGCCAGACCTCTGCTAGGCCCATCAGGACACCCCTGTCCTCAGGGTCCAATGCTGCCAAGGAGGAGGCGGGGGGGTCGGTGCAGCGCACTGTAGGAGTGGGAAGTCAAGGAGGCATCGTGGAGGAGTGCGGCTTCCCACAGGCACCCCTTCAGGCTTTCACCAGCTCCCTTTGTTGCAAGGATGTGAGGATGACTGACTTTGGAAGTCATGCCAACCAAGTCCCTGCTGACCTGATCACCCACCCACTACTCTTCCAGGACCAGGAAATAAACTTCTTTTGTGATTAAGCCTTAATATGTTTCAGGGACCATTTGTTGAAGCAGTTAGTTGGTGCTGAGATGGGAAAGAAACTTTTCTTCTGTGAGACAGGGTCTCACTCTGTCACCCAGGCTGGAGTGCAGTGGTGCGATCATAGCTCATTGCCGCCTCAACCTCCCAGGCTGAGGTGATCCTCCTGCCTCAGCCTCACAAGTAGCTGGGGCCACAGGCACGCTCAGGCTGGTCTTGAACTCCTGGGGTCAAGCAATCCTCCTGCCTCGGCCTCCCTAAGTGCTGGGATTACAGGCATGATCCACTGTGCCCGGCCAAAAAGAAATTTTTATCTGAGGAACGAGAGCCCCCTTTAATTATCAGGCCCAGAGAGGCACTGAAATGTGATGGGGTGTCACAGCAGTCACGCCTCACTCCCACCTTGACGCCACTTGCTAGGTGGGTTCTAGACTAACCGATGTCAAGTAGCCATAAAATGTCATATGCTGGACACCATAATGTAGGGGCCAAGGGAAAACTTCCCCTTTACCCTCTGAAAGTTCAAGGAAAAATCAACTCACAAAAGGCAGATTAATTGGAAAACAAGGTGTACCAAGTTATTAGCATGCGTTGGGGGAGAATCACAGAGTCATTGCCGAATATCCCAGTGGGATAAAGATGCTGATATACCCTGCTTCTTAGGGGAAAGGGCGATGGGAATCTCTCCTTTGATACTCAGCTGGAGCCAGACTCCTCCAGGAAGCCCCCCCTGACTTCCCACTCCTACAACGCACTACACTGGCCACTCCCTCCTCCTCGGCAGCACTGGACCCTGAGGAGAGGCGTCTCCCGATGGGCCACAGCAGGCACTTGATCACCCCAGGGCTAGCAGGAGATAGGGAGTGTGGATGATTTCAAGAGGACAGTGCATGATTTGGGGTGGGGAGGATTTTTTTTTTTTTTCTTTTTTTGAGACAGAGTCTCCGTCTGTCCCTAGGCTGAAGTGCAGTGGTGCAATCTCAGGTCACTGCAACCTCCGCCTCCCAGGTTCAAGCTATTTTCCTGCCTCAGCCTCCCTAGTAGCTGGGACCACAGGCGCCCACCACCACACCCAGCTAATTTTTGTATTTTTAGTAGAGATGGGGTTTCACCATGTTGGCCAGGCTGGTCTTGAACTCTTGACCTCAGATGATCCTTGTGCCTTGGCCTCCCAAAGTGCTGGGATTACAGACATGAGCCACTGCCCCTGGCCTGGGTGGGGAAGATTTAATGGGCTTAAAGAACATACAATGGCTCTGTTCTGTTCCATTGATCTATATCTCTGTTTTGGTACCAGTACCATGCTGTTTTGGTTACTGTAGCCTTGTAGTATAGTTTGAAGTCAGGTAGTGTGACGCCTCCAGCTTTGTTCTTTTGGCTTAGGATTGACTTGGCGATGCGGGCTCTTTTTTGGTTCCATATGAACTTTAAAGTAGTTTTTTCCAATTCTGTGAAGAAAGTCATTGGTAGCTTGATGGGGATGGCATTGAATCTGTAAATTACCTTGGGCAGTATGGCCATTTTCATGATATTGATTCTTCCTACCCATGAGCATGGAATGTTCTTCCATTTGTTTGTATCCTCTTTTATTTCCTTGAGCAGTGGTTTGTAGTTCTCCTTGAAGAGGTCCTTCACATCCCTTGTAAGTTGGATTCCTAGGTATTTTATTCTCTTTGAAGCAATTATGAATGGGAGTTCACTCATGATTTGGCTCTCTGTTTGTCTGTTGTTGGTGTATAAGAATGCTTGTGATTTTTGTACATTGATTTTGTATCCTGAGACTTTGCTGAAGTTGCTTATCAGCTTAAGGAGATTTTGGGCTGAGACAATGGGGTTTTCTAGATATACAATCATGTCATCTGCAAATAGGGACAATTTGACTTCCTCTTTTCCTAATTGAATACCCTTTATTTCCTTCTCCTGCCTAATTGCCCTGGCCAGAACTTCCAACTTTATGTTGAATAGGAGTGGTGAGAGAGGGCATCCCTGTCTTGTGCCAGTTTTCAAAGGGAATGCTTCCAGTTTTTGCCCATTCAGTATGATATTGGCTGTGGGTTTGTCATAGATAGCGAACAGAGCCCTCAGAATAACGCCACATGTCTACAACTATCTGATCTTTGACAAACCTGAGAAAAGCAATGGGGAAAGGATTCCCTATTTAATAAATGGTGCTGGGAAAACTGGCTAGCCATATGTAGAAAGCTGAAACTGGATGCCTTCCTTACACCTTATACAAAAATCAATTCAAGATGGATTAAAGACTTAAAACGTTCGACCTAAAACCATAAAAACCCTAGAAGAAAACCTAGGCAATACCATTCAGGACATAGGCACGGGCAAGGACTTCATGTCTAAAACACCAAAAGCAATGGCAACAAAAGCCAAAATTGACAAATGGGATCTAATTAAAGAGCTTCTGCACAGCAAAAGAAACTACCATCAGAGTGAACAGGCAACCTACAAAATGGGAGAAAATTTTCACAACCTACTCATCTGACAAAGGGCTAATATCCAGAATCTACAATGAACTCAAACAAATTTACAAGAAAAAAACAAACAACCCCATCAAAAAGTGGGCGAAGGACATGAACAGACACTTCTCAAAAGAAGACATTTATGCAGCCAAAAAACACATGAAAAAATGCTCATCATCACTGGCCATCAGAGAAATGCAAATCAAAACCACAATGAGATACCATCTCACACCAGTTAGAATGGCGATCATTAAAAAGTCAGGAAATAACAGGTGCTGGAGAGGATGTGGAGAAATAGGAACACTTTTACACTGTTGGTGGGACTGTGAACTAGTTCAACCACTGTGGAAGTCAGTGTGGCGATTCCTCAGGGATCTAGAACTAGAAATACCATTTGACCCAGCCATCCCATTACTGGGTATATACCCAAAGGACTATAAATCATGCTGCTATAAAGACACATGCACACGTATGTTTATTGCGGCATTATTCACAATAGCAAAGACTTGGAACCAACCCAAATGTCCAACAATGATAGACTGGATTAAGAAAATGTGGCACATATACACCATGGAATACTATGCAGCCATAAAAAATGATGAGTTCATGTCCTTTGTAGGGACATGGATGAAATTGGAAATCATCATTCTCAGTAAACTATCGCAAGAACAAAAAACCAAACACCGCATATTCTCACTCATAGGTGGGAATTGAACAATGAGAACACATGGACACAGGAAGGGGAACATCACACTCTGGTGACTGTTGTGGGGTGGCGGGAGGGGAGAGGGATAGCATTGGGAGATATACCTAATGCTAGGTGACAAGTTAGTGGGTGCAGCGCACCAGCATGGCACATGTATACATATGTAACTAACCTGCACATTGTGCACATGTACCCTAAAACTTAAAGTATAATTAAAAAAAAAAAAAAAAAACATACAATGGGCTGGGCCACGTGGCTCATGCCTATAATCCCAGCACTTCAGGAGGGCGAGGCAGGCAGATTATGAGATCCAGAGATCGAGACCATCCTGGCCAATATGGTGAAACCCCATCTCTACTAAAAATACAAAAATTATCTGGGCGTGGTGGCGAGCGCCTATAATCCCAGCTACTCGGGAGGCTGAGGCAGGATAATCACTTGAACCCGGGAGGCAGAGGTTGCAGTGAGTCGAGATTGCACAACTGCACTCCAGCCTGGGCGACAGAGTGAAACTCCATCTCAAAAAATAAAATTAAATACAATAAAACAAACAAGGAAACCATACAATGCCCTGGGACAAAGTCTGTTGGGCCTGAAGAGCAAACAGTAGATTGTGACAAGTCTGTCCAGGTGTGCTGACAGATTTCAGTCTTTCTTCCTGTGATAAGAGTTCAGTTAAGGAAGACTCACAGGAGGGACCAGAGCTCATTGTTTTCTTCTTTGGCAGGTCCAGACTTCAGGCAGATAGAGAACTTCAGAGAACAACTTCATCCTGAGCTCTGGCTGACAGATTGACACAGAGGCAGGGAGAGGTCATAGAGACCTTGTGGCTTCTTCTTCAGTTCAGTGCTATATTTTGGGGTATCAGTTTCTGATCCCCAGCAATAACTCATACTCTATAGTTCAACAGTAACCAGCCAGGCAAGGAGCAGTGGCTCACATCTGTAATCCTAGCACTTTGGGAGGCTGAGGCAAGAGGATCACTTGAGGCCAGGAGTTCGAGACCAGTCTGGGCAACATAGTGGAGCCTGTCTACACACACATACACACACACACACACACACACACATTTAGCCATGGCAGCATGCACCTGTAGTCCCAGCTACTCGGGAGACTGAGGCAAGAGGATCATTGGAGCCCTGGAGGTTGAGACTGCAGTGAGCCGTGATGGCACCACTGCACTCCAGCCCAGGCAACAGAGCAAGATCTCATCTCTAAAAAAAAAAAAAAAAAAAAGTATAGCCAATCACTAACACATGTTATTGAAACTGCATTTGCAAAAGTATAACCAAGGAAATTATGACAGTGAAAGAAATCAGAGGTAACCGACTCCATCTTGCTTCTAACCTTTAAGCTGTTCTTCTTCATTCCTGGGTGTAGGCTGAACTAACTTTGGGAAGGAACTCAGTTCATGGTTTGACTCTGAAACAAAATTGGTAACAGCCCTTTCCTGAAAAGACCCCCTTCTTGCCTAGGGACCAGTCCGCATTTGCAGGACTAACAAGATTAAAAATTACAGTTTAGGGGTCATGCTGCCTCTGGCTCCAAGAGTCTGAACCTCCCCAAATTGCTCCTGGGAATAACATCACTGTTGTAAAACTTAAGATCAGTGCTGGAGATATTTGGCAGTCCCTGCACTCCATGGATCAGCTGACACCACCCAGACTGCTAATCTGGTTCAACCAGTTGTGCCATCGCAGCCAGGAACAGAAGACAGCAAAAAAAAAAAAAAAAAAAAAAAAAAAAAACAACAACTAAAAACTCACTGCGGGCTGGGCACGGTGGCTCACGCCTGTAATCCCAGCACTTTGGGAGGCTGAGGCAGGCGGATCACCTGAGGTCAGGAGTTCGAGACCAGCCTGACCAACATGGAGAAACCTTGTCTCTACTAAAAATACAAAAATTAGCCAGATGTGGTGGTGCATGCCTGTAATCCCAGCTACTTAGGAGGCTGAGGCAGAAGAACGCTTGAACCCGGGATGTGGAGGTTGCAGTAAGCCGAGATTGCGCCATTGCACTCCAGCCTGGGCAACAAGAGTGAAACTCCATCTCGAAAAAAAAAAGAAAAAGAAAAACTCACTTCAACCCCCTGTGATTCCACCTCCAACCTGACCAATCAGCACTCCCCACTTCCCAAGCTCCTACCCGCCAAATTATCTTTAAAAATTCTGGGCCGGGCGCGGTGGCTCACACCTGTAATCCCAGCACTTTGGGAGGCCGAGGCGGGTGGATCACGAGGTCGGGAGATCGAGACCATCCTGGCTAACACGGTGAAACCCCGTCTCTACTAAAAATACAAAAAATTAGCCAGGCGTGGTGGTGGGTGCCTGTAGTCCCAGCTACTCGGGAGGCTGAGGCAGGAGAACAGCGTGAACCCAGGAGGCAGACCTTGAAATGAGCCGAGATCGCGCCACTGCACTCCAGCCTGGGCCTTCCAAGTAGCTGGGATTACAGGAGCGTGCCACCACGCCTGGCTAATTTTTGTATTTTTAGTAGAGATGGGATTTCATCATATTGGTCATGCTGGTCTTGAACTCCTGACCTCAGGTGATCCGCCCACCTCAGCCTCCCAAAGTGCTGGGATTACTGGCATGAGCCACTGCACCCAGCCAGTGTCTTTCTTTAGGTCGACAGTCCCTGTAACAATACACCAGAGGCATAGGTATAAAAATATGGTCTTACCTTTTTCATTAGTGTGGAAAATAAAGTGTGTGTGCAAGGTGAAAAAAAATCTAAACAATTCAGGGAACTAGCTGCTGGCTAGGGGACATTGAAGCTGTGCTCAGCCTTTTGCTTCTTTAAACACTTGTACTGTGTAAATAAGTTCAGATTAACCTGGAGGAGAAATTCACAGAAGTAGATTGGCTGGTTAAATGGCACAAGCATTTTCTATCTAGAGTTGTACCAGTTGACGCCGCCACCAACCTACAACAGAGCCTGGGTCCCCATGCAGTCACTGGCGTTTGGAGCCTTCACCTTTTTTGCTCTTTGCCAGATAGACAGAGCCTTCACCATGTTGCTGGGTGGTGTGACGTTTCCCAGAACTCCCTCCTGCGTGTTTCTGGTTAGGGTGAGCCACAAGAGATTCCCATGCAAGATTTGGCAGAAGTGAAACTTAAGTCATTTTCTTAGCTCGCTCTCCAGTCACGGCCACAGGCAGAGCCCAGGCCTGCAACTGTTCTGCCTTCCCTTGGATCTGCCTTCAACTGTGCCGACTCCTGGGCCAGATGTGTGACAAAAGGTCTCAGCTTTTCAGGAAACCCTTGTCACCCATGGCAACAAGATAGGACCACTCGTGGTGGCTCACACTCGTAGTCCCAGCTATTTGGGGGGCTGAGGTAGGAGGATCACTTGAGGCCAGGAGTTTCAGACCAGCCTGGCCAACATAGTAAGACCCCGTCTCTACTGAAAATACAAAATTAGCTCGGCGCAGTGGCACATGCCTGTAATCCCAGCACTTTGGGAGGCTGAGGCGGGTGGATCACCTGAGGTCAGGAGTTTGAGACCAGCATGACCAACATGGTGAAATCCCGACTCTACTAAAAATATTAGCTGGGCATGGTGGCGACGCCTGTAGTCCCAGCTACTCGGGAAGCTGAGGCAGGAGAATCGCTTGAACCCACTGGAGGTTTTGGTGAGCTGAGATTGCACCACTGTACTCCAGCCTGGGTAACAGAGCCAGACTCTGTCTCTAAATAAATAAATAGCCAGGCACACTGGTGCACGCCTGCAGTTCCAGCTACTCTAGGAGGCAGGGTGGGAGGATTGATTTAGCCTGGGATGTCAAAGCTGCAGTGAGCAGTGATCACAACACTGCATTCCACCCTGGGTGACAGAGTGGGACCCTGTCTTTAAAAAAAAAAAAAAGAAAGAAAAAGAAAATGCCAGTTTTTCTTTCTTTCTTTTTTTTTTTTTTTTTGAGACGGAGTTTCGCTCTTCTTGCCCAGGCTGGAGTGCAGTGGCACCATCTCAGCTCACTGCAACCTCCACCTCCTGGGTTCAAGCGATTCTCCTGCCTCAGCCTCCCGAGTAGCTGGGATTACAGGCATGTGCCACCATGCCCGGCTGATTTTTGTATTTTTAGTAGAGACGGGGTTTCACCATGTTGGTCAGGCTGGTCTTGAACTCCTGACTTCAAGTGATCCATCCACCTCAGCTTCCCAAAGTGCTGGGATTACAGGCAGGAGCCACCGTGCCCAGCTGAAAATGCCAGTTTTTCCTTTCTTTCTTTTTTTTTTTTTTGAGATGGAGTTTCGCTGGTCGGCCAGGCTGGAGTGCAATGGTGCAATCTCAGCTCACTGCAACCTCTGCCTCCTGGGTTCAAGCAATTCTCCCATCTCAGCCTCCTAAGTAGCTAGGATTACAGGTGCCCACCACCATGCCCAGCTATTTTTTGTATTTTTAGTAGAGATGGGGTTTCACCATGTTGGCCAGGCTGGTCTCGGAACTCCTGACCTCAGGTGATCCGCCCGTCTTGGCCTCCCAAAGTGCTGGGATTACAGGCGTAAGCCACTGTGCCCAACCCCAAATGCCAGTTTTTCAAAGTGGTTTTACAATTGACATTTGCACCAACAGCATGTGAGAGTTCTGTTGTGCCAGATTCTTTCCAACATTTGTTATTGTTGGTCTTTTTCTTTTTTTTTTTTTTTTTTTCTGAGACAGAGTTTTACTCTTGCTGCCCAGGCTGGAGTGCCATGGCATGATCTCGGCTCACTGCAACTTCCGCTTCCCAGGTTCAAATGATTCTCTTGCCTCGGCCTCCTGAGTAGCTAGGATTACAGGCGCGTGCCATCACGCCCGGCTAATTTTTGTATTTTTAGTAGAGATGAGGTTTCGCCATGTTGGTCAGGCTGGTCAGGAACTGCTGGCCTCAGGTGATCTGCTCGCCTCGGCCTCCCAAAGTGCTGGGATGACAGGTGTGAGCCACCACGCCTGGCTGGTCTCTTTCATTTTAGCCATTCTGATGGGTGTGCAATGATAGCACGTTATTGAATTAATTTGAGCTTTTCTTACAAGGCTGAGCCAGTGAAGTTGTGCACCCTTTCAGACGTTCATTGGCCACCTAGACCTCCTCTTTTGTGAGACATCTATTCAAGTCTTTTGCCCATTTTCTATTGGCTGGATTTTTCTAATTGATTTGTAGGAGTTTTTGGATAAGAGTTCGTTGTCAGCTGCAGATATTCACCCATTCTGAGAGTTGCCTTTTCACTGTTTCAGTGATGTCTTTTGTTGAACAGAATTTCTTAATTTTCATATAGTCTGATTTATTAATTTTTTCTTCTATAATTAGTACTTTTTGTGTCCTGTTTAAGAAAAATTTTTGGTATGCAACAAAATAAAAAAAAACAAAGAGAAGCATTTGCCTACTCTAAAGTCACAAAGATATTCTCTTTCTTTCTGTAAACACTGCTTAATATTTTATTTGATTATTTGTTTATTTATTTTTAGAGATGGGGTCTCACTATGTTGCCCAAGCTGGTTTCGAACTCCTTGGCTCAAGTGATCCACCCACCTCAGCCTCCCAAGCAGTTGGGATTATAGGCATGAACCACTGTGCCCGGCAAATTGCTTAATATTTTATAATTAGATTAGCAAACCAAATAGAATAGATTTTTGTGGGTGGTGTGAGGTTGGCTCAAGGTACGCTTTTTTCCTATGGATAGCCAAATGACTCAGCTCCACACACCGAAGCCGCATTCCTTCCCCACTGCACTGGTATGTCCCCTCTGTCAGAAGTCAGGTGACCCTCTGTCCCATTCCACTGGCCAGTTTGTTCATCTTTGCACCGATACCAAATTGTCTTCATTACCATAGTTTGTTCTTGAGTATGTTCTTGTAGTATGAGTTTGAGTATGTTTAGGAGTTTGAGTAGTATGAGTTGTAGTATGAGTTTGTAGTTTGAGTTTGTTCTTGTAGTATGAGTTCACCATTAGAATGCCCTCTTCCTCAGGATTTCCTGGGCTAGTTCTGGTCCTTGACATTTTCAGATGAAATTTACAATCAGCTTGCTGATTTAAAAAAACGAACTGTTAGGATTTTGATTAGATTTGCATTGAATCTGTAACCCAGCAGCATGGCTTCAAATTGCATTTTAAAGCTTTGTTTTCCAGTAGGGACAGTGGCTCACGCCTGTGATCCCGGCACTTTGGGAGGCCAAGGTGGGCGCATTACTTGAGGTCAGGAGTTTGAGACCAGCCTGGCCAACATGGTGAAACCCCATCTCTACAAAAAATACAAAAATTAGCCTAGTGTGGTGGTGGGCGCCTGTAATCCCAGTTACTTTGGAGGCTGAGGCAGGAGAATCACTTGAACCTGGGAGGCGGAGGTTGCAGTGACCTGAGATTGCGCCACTGCACTCCAGCCTGGGTGACAGAGCAAGACTCTGTCTCAAAAACAAAACAAAACAAAAAAAAAAACCCAAAAACAACTTTGTTTTCTTTCCTCCTTTTTTCCCAATCTTAAGGTGTAACTTTGAAACAAAGTGCAGATGTGTTTCTACCTTGGAATGTTCAGAATGTGAACCTCCTCTCCCTTTCTTTTCCCGGTTTTTTTTTTTTTTGGATAGAGAGTCTCACTTTGTCACCTAGTCTGGAGTGCGGTGGCATGATCTCTGTTCACTGCAACCTCCACCTCCCGGGCTCAAGCGATCCTCCTGCCTCAGCCTCTTGAGTAGCTGGGATTACAGGCTCACGTCACCACGCCCAACTAATTTTTTGTAGAGGCGGGGTTTCGCCATGTTGGCCAGGCTGGTCTCAAACTCCTGTTCTTAACTGTTCTAGCCGCCTTGGTGTGATGGTTACTACGGGAATGAACGAAGGGGGATGAACATAGAAATGAAAACAAATACAAAAGGATTTTTTAAAGAGGGAGTCGGGGGCTCCTTGCTTCTAGTAGGCAAAGGCAGCCCTGAGCTTCTAGAGTCCTTCACTTTTATTGGGTAGAAAGAGCTGGGAGGAGGAGGTAATGATTGGTCAGCTCCTTGATTGATCACAGTATTGTTAACAGGCTTCAGATGTGCAGCCTGCAACACCTTGGCCTTCCAAAGTGCTGGGATTACAGGCATGATCCACCGCACCTGGCCTCTTTTCCCATTCTATGCCCCCATGCCTTATGCACTATTTACTTACCTAGCCGCTTGCTAAGAACACACCACACTCACTTATCTGGTCATATATTTCCTTAGAAGCTTCAGAGGCCAGATCCTGATACGGACCAGACACCTCTAGCCATGACGGCACCGGCCCTTTCACCAGATGAAACAATAATTCAAGACAAGCCATTGGAGTGAGTCACGCCACCTGATACCTCCCAGCCCCTCTGCCTTTTCTGCATTCCAAATCCTCTCTTAAAATACCCCCGCATTCGGGGCCAGGCGCGGTGGCTCACGCCTGTAATCCTAGCATTTTGGGAGGCCGAGGTGGATCACGAGGCCAGGAGATCGAGACCATCCTGGCTAACACGGTGAAACCCCGTCTCTACTGAAAATACAGAAAAAAAAAAAAAAAAAATTAGCCAGGCTTGGTGGCGGGCACCTGTAGTCCCAGCTACTCAGGAGGCTGAGGCAGTGGAATGGCATGAACCCAGGAGGCAGAGCTTGCAATGAGCAGAAATCGTGCTACTGCACTCCGGCCTGGGTGACAGAGCGAGACTCCCTCTCAAAAAACAAACAGAAACACCTGCATTCTCTCCACAAACTGAAGAGTGTAAATTTTTGGAAAGAATTACACTCACTCCTCCCTTGCTAGCATGGATAATCACATCTCACTCTCTCTTCTTATCACACCTCACTCTTGTTACATGGGCTTCTTTTTACAAGTAAGCAGCGGACCCTTTTGCCGGTTGCAAATCAGGGTATGAATGTGGCGAGAAATGGAGTATACCCTCTGTTTATTTAGGTTTTCCTTAATTTCTCTCAATTATGCTTTGCAGTGGTCAGTGCAGAAGTCTTGCATATCTTTGTTAGTTTTACATCTAGGTTTTTAACTTTTTTATGCTATTGTGAAAGGAAAATAAAAACTCAGGACCCCAGTTCACTATACCAAAAAAAAATTAAGTTGAATGCTGAGCCATGCAAGCAGCTACCTTTCCCTTTGTTCCTAAGCAGATAGCTACAGATAAAAGGTTCCAGGCTCAGCTGGGCGCGCTGGCTCACGCCTGTAATCCCAGCACTTTGAGAGGCCAAGGTGGGTTGATTACCTGAGGTCAGGGGTTCGAGACCAGCCTGGCGAACATGGTGAAATCCCATCTCGACTAAAAATACAAAAAAAAGTAGCCAGGCGTGGTGGTAGGCGCCTGTAATCCCAGCTACTTGGGAGGCTGAGGCAGGAGAATCACTTGAACCCAGGAGGTGGAGGTTGCTGTGAGCCAAAATTGTGCCACTGCACTCCAGCCTGGGTGACAGAGTGTCTCAAAACACCACCACCACCAACAACAACAATGCCCAAATCTGACTGGGTGCATGGCACACGGCTGTGATCCCGGCACTTTGGGAGGCAGAGGTGGGCATATCTGAGTTCAGGGGTTCGAGACCAGCCTGGCCAATATGGTGAAACCCCATCTCTACTGAAAATACAAAAATTAGCCAGGAGTGGTGGCATGTTCCTGTAATCCCAGCTACTCGGGAGGCTAAGGTAGGAGAATCGCTTGAACCCAGGAGGCAGAGGATGCAGTGAGCCAAGATAGCACCACTGCTCTCCAGCCTGGGTGAAGGAGTGAGACTGTCTCAAAAAAAAAAAAAAAAAAAAGGTTCAATACCTCCAGTCTATGTTCACCTTATCTTGAGTTCAATATCTCCACTCGATGTTCACCTAATCTTGTGTAAAGTGCTGATTTACTGATTTACTGAGCACAAGTATCAGAGGCGTGTGAACCAGAGCAACTCCATCTTGAATAGGGGCTGGGTAAAATGAGGATGAGACCTACTGGGCTGCATTCCCAAGAGGTCAAGTCATTCTTAGTCACAGGATGAGATAGGAGGTCGGCACAAGATACACGTCATAAAGACCTTGCTGATAAAACAGGTTGCAGTAAAGAAGCCAGCTAAAACCCACCAAAACCAAGATGGCAACGAGAGTGACCTCAGGTCTTCCTCAGTACTACACTCTCACTGGCGCCATGACAGTTTACAAATGCTGTGGCAATGTCAGGAAGTTAACCTATGTGGTCTAAAAAGGGGAGGCATAAATAATCTATCCCTTGTTTCACATATAATAAAAAATAACCATAAAAATGGGCAACCAGCTGCCCTCCACACTGCTCTGTCTATGGAGTAGCCATTCTTTTATTCCTTTACTGTCTTAATCAACTTACTATGGACTTGCCCTGAATTCTTTCTTGCTGGAGATCCAAGAACCTTCTTTGGGGTCTGGATTGGGACCTCTTTCTGGTAATGCAAGAGGAATACGTAATTTACTCTTCCCCTACCTGCTCCTTTGTGCTTTCTTTCTCTCTCTCTCTCTCTCTCTCTCTCTCTCTCTATATATATATATATATATATATGGCTGTTTGTAAGAAAGAGCGCCCAACTGAAATCAGCCAGAAGCCCCTCTCAGGTTTATTCTCTAGAATAAACCTGTCTTTAACTGTTGAGCCACTTTTCATGTTTCCTTCCTCTTTCTTTAACTGTTATAGTCATTATCTGTAGATACTCGAGAAACTGTTAGAAATAGGTGAATTGAGCTATATATATAGAGAGAGAGAGAGAAAGAAGGAGAGAGAGAGAGGGAGAGAGAGAGAGAGACACTGGGTCTTGCTCTGTCACCCAGGGTGGAGTACAGTGGGGCAATCATGGCTCACAGTAGCCTGGACCTCCTGGGCTCAATCGATCCTTGTGCTTCAGCCTGCTGAGTAGCAGGGACTGCAGGCATGCACCACCATATCTGGCCAATTTTTGTATTTTTTTGTAGAGATGGGGTTTCACGATGTTCCTCAGGCTGGTCTTGAACTCCTGGGCTCAAGCAATCTTCTCACCTCACTCTTCTTTTTTAAATTTTGAAGCCCTCAAAGTCACCTTTGGGGAAAGGCACAGACCATAGGCTGCTTCTGTGATTCCATTTTTTTTCCCCTCCTGGGCATTGTCCTTAACCTTGGCAAAATAAACTCTTAAGTTGATTGAGACCTGTTTCAGATGCTTTTTGATTCACACTACTACAAGCGATTTTACTTCAAAAAAGGTTTTTTTGTTTATGGCTGGTACGTAGAAATAACATTGATTTTTGCATATATTCCTTGATTCCAATTGATGCGGCTTTGATGACTGGAGGAACACCAGGGTTTTGGTTTTGTACTGATAGGATTAATGACACCGACACATGTGGAATGGTTTTTTGTTTGTTTTTAGCTTTTTATTTTTTTGAGACGGAGTTTCACTCTTGTTGCCCAGGCTGGAGTGCGATGGCACCATCTCAGCTCACTGCAACCTCCGCCTCCCAGTTTCAAGCAGTTCTCTTGGCTCAGCCTCCTGAGTAGCTGGGATTACAGACATGTGCTGCCACACCTGGCTAATATGTGTATTTTTAGTACAGACGGGGTTTCACTATGTTGGTCAGGCTGGTGGAGTGGTTTTAAGGAGCAAAATGTTTAATAGGCAAGAAAGAAGGAAGAAGAAAACAGCTTCCCCTTACAGAGACAGAGCAGGGGGATTTGAATAAAGAGAAACCCCATGTGAGTCAGAAAAGTGGTTGCTTTTATTGGGATGCTGGAGGAGTTGGTGTTTGATCTGCATAAGGCCCAGGGGATTGGTTTGACCAGGTGTGTTATTTACCCAGCCAGTGAAAAACCTGGCCCTTTTACTTTAGTCCTTTAATATGCAAATGCAGATTGCAATGTTTTGAACACATGATGTTATCTGGAGGTGGCCATGACACTTGGGATACCTGGTGACAAGGAGATGATGGTGGGAATTGCCATATTGGGTGAACCCAGTTTTTAAAGGCCGACATTTGCATATTAAAGCTTGCTGGCCCCGCCCTTCGAGCTGCCTTTTTTGTTAGAAAAGAGATGGTTTGGGGGTTGTTTTTTATTACAGGAAAATTTTTACCGAGAACCTTTACCTTTATTATTTGTCTAAAAATTATTTTTAATAACTTCTGTATTACAATGACCTTGCTCAATTCACCTATTTCTTTATTTTATTTTATTTTTATTTATTTATTTATTTTTTTATTTTTTTTGAGACGGAGTCTGGCTGTGTCTCCCAGGCTGGAGTGCAGTGGCGCGATCTCGGCTCACTGCAAGCTCCGCCTCCTGGGTTAACACCATTCTCCTGCCTCAGCCTCCTGAGTAGCTGGGACTACAGGCGCCTGCCACCGCACCCGGCTAATTTTTTGTATTTTTAGTAGAGACGGAGTTTCACCGTGTTAGCCAGGATCGTCTCGATCTCCTGACCTTGTGATCCACCCGTCTCGGCCTCCCAAAGTGCTGGGATTACAGGCCTGAGCCACCGCGCCCGGCCCAATTCACCTATTTCTAACCGTTTCTTGAGTATCTACAGATAATGACTGTAAGAGTTAAAGAAAGAGGAAGGAAACATGAAAAGTGGCTCAACAGTCAAAGACAGGTTTATTCTCCAGAGGGGCTTCTGGCTGATTTCAGTCAGGGGCACTCTCTCTTACAAACAGTCATTTGTAGTTTTCTTTCTGTGAACAGTGAATCACATCCCTGTGCATATTTCTACTGGATACTTGGTCTTTAATACTAATAGTATTTATTGGTTTTTTAGGGTTAGAGGGCTTATCACAAGCTTGGAATGTTTCTGTGTGGGGGAGAAGTTTATGGGGGGGTTGGAATGTCTCTGGTCCCAGGGGAGGTTATCTTGGGGCTAATGTCTCTCTGGCCGGAGGGGAGGTTATCTCGGGGCTGGCATGTCTCTGGTCAGGGAGGGCTTTAGAATGTTTCTGGTTGGAGATGTTATTTGTGGTTTATGGTCATGCTGACCTTAGCCATTAGGCTGATGCCCTTTGGATTTAGGCAGTTTTTGATCAAGGTGAACTTTAAAATGATGGTGCTTGTCCAAGATGGCAATGCTCCTGCTCTGTCAATGACAGTCTTATGTCCTCCTTTCCAACCTTTATGGCTTTTGTTTTTCTCACCTTATTACATTGGCTAAAACTTCCCCTGTAATACTGGAAGGAAATAATGAAATAATTCTTAGCTTGGTTTCAATCTCAAAAGGGAGGCTTTTTATGTTGTACCTTTAAGCATGACATTTACTGTAGGTTTTTGTAGCCACGATTTATCAGATTAAGGAAGTTTCCTTTCATTCCTAGTTGCTGAGAGTTTTTATTGTAACTGAATGTTGGCAAATTTTATCAAATGCTTTTCTGCATCTACTGAGATGGTGAGTGACTTTTCTTCTTTATTCTGTGAGTGTGGTGAATTGTGTTGCTTGATTTTCTTTTTTCTTTTCTTTTTGTTTTGTGACAGGGTCAGGCCCTGTCATCCAGGCTCGGGGGCAGTGGTGTGATCATGGCTCACTATAGCTTTCCACCTCCCAGGCTCAAGTGATCCCCCAACCTCAGCCTCCCGAGTAGCTGGGACTACAGGCGCATGCCACCATGCCCAGCTAATTTTTGCATTTTCTGATAGAGACAGGGTTTTACCATGTTGGCTCGGCTGGTCTCGAACTTCTGGGCTCAAGCGATCCATAGGCTTCAGCCTCCTAAAGTGCTGGAATTACAGGTGTGAGGCTTCATTTTCTAATGTTCAGCCAATCTTGCATTCCTGGAACAAACCTAAATTGGTGGTGACGCATATTTTTTCCTTTCAAGCCCTGGTTTCTTCATGTTTTAAGGGCTATGCATCTCTGTTCATGAATCAAATAGCCCTAGACTTTTCCTTCTTGACATTTTTTTGGCCAGGTTTTGCTTTCAAGGTTATGCTAGCTTCTTCAAAGACGTTGAGCAACCTTTCCTCTTTTCTGTTCTCTGGAAGTTTGTGTAAGACTGGTATTTTTTCTTTCATCAGGGTTTCAAAGAATTCACTGAGGAAGTTCTGGGCTCGGAGTCACTTCCTCTGGCCCTGTGGGATCTCACTGTTGTTTGAATTGGCAATGTTTATTTATGAGTAGGCTTGAGAACTTTTTGTCTGTTGAAACAGCCATTTGTAGTTTTCTTTCTGCAAACAATGAGTCACATCCCTGTTCATATTTCTACTGGATACTTGGTCTCTAATATTAAATATTTAAGTATTTAAATATTTCAAAAACCAGCCCCACATCATGTATTGAAACTGTTTTTCTCCAGGTTTTTCACTGGTCTTTTGTTGTTGTTGTTGTTGTTGTTGATAATAGAGATGAGATCTTACTGTGTTGCTCAGGCTGGTCTCAAACTCCTGGGCTCAAGTGATCCACCTACCTGAGGCACCCAAAGTGCTGAGATCACAGGTGGGAACCATTGTGTTCAGCTTTATGTAAAAAAAAAAAAATTCTGAAAAGACCAGTGAAGGCTGGGCACAGTGGCTCACACCTGAGATCCCAGCACTTTGAAAGGCTTAGGTGGGTGGATTGCTTCAATCCAGGAGTTTGAGACCAGCCTGAGCAACATGGCAAAACCCCATCTCTATTTTTAAAATTATTTTTAAATCAAAAATTTTTGGCTGGGGGCGGTGGCTCACACCTGTAATCCCAACACTTTGTGGGGCTGAGGCAGGTGGATCACCTGAGGTCAGGAGTTCGAGACCAGCCTGACCAAGATGGTGAAACCCTGCCTCTACTAAAAATACAAAAATTAGCCGGATGTGGTGGTGGACGCCTGTAATCCCAACTACTTGGGAGGCTGAGGCAGGAGAATCGCTTGAACCCGGGAGGCGGAGATTCCAGTGAGCTGAGATTGTGCCACTGCACTCCAGCCTGAGCAACAGAGTGAGACTCCATCTCAAAAAAACTTTTAATATTTAAATAAAAATAAAAATTAAACTAAATTTAAATTTTTAATTTTTACATGTTCATATTTATTAGCTTTTTTCTTTTATGGCTTTTTGGTTTTATGACATGCCTAAAAAGGCCTGCCCCACTCTAAGAACATAAACAAAATTTGCCCATGTGTTCTTGTGATATTCATATGGTTTCATTTTGGTTTGTTTGTTTGTTTTGAGACAGAATCTTGCTCTGGAGTGCAGTGGCACAACCTCGACTCACTGCAACCTCCACCTCCCAGGTTCAAGTGATTCTCCCACCTCAGCCTCCCAAGCAGCTGGGATTACAGGCGCCCACCACCATGCCCAGCTAATTTTTACATTTGGAACGTTAGTACTTTAGTCTCCCCATCTATAAAACTGGTATAATCACAGCTCCCCTTCTGGAGAGAATTACATAAATTAACGCATGTAAAGGAATAGAATAGCACCCAGCCCAACTCATGCCGTTTCTGTTGTATTAAGATATATATTCGGGTTAAGGGAAGTTCTGTGAAAGGACCATATGTGCAAAGAGACCCCCACATGCTGAAGGAGCCAAGAAACCAAAGAAGGAGGCCGACAAATCAAGTTTGTTGGTGTGGCACAATTCATTACGGGAAACTTACAGACAGAAGCATGGTCTTGGGCAGCCACAAGACAAGTAATCGTGCACACGGCAAATCCCCAGACCCAGGACTTGTATCTTGGGGAAAATATATGTACCCTGTTAGGAATGTGTAAGTGGCCACAGTTGTCACAGCCTGTGATTTCTGCAACAGCATCGAGGGTGATTTTGGAGGAAATGTACAGTGATTAGGTGTTTCTGCATAATGAGTAAAATACATCAACTACACATTTTGGAGGCATTCCCAGACTCAGGGTTAGTTAGAAGTTATATGGTGAATTAGCATTTAAGATACAGTCACTTTTGTCCTCACAAAGGCGTATCCATCCATTCCCATTTTATTCAGTGTTTTTTTTTTTTTTAAATCTGTTTGTTTTTATCAAGAATGTGTGTTAATGGCTGGGTGCAGTGTCTCACGCCTGTAATCCCAGCACTTTGGGAGGCCAAGGCAGGTGGATCACCTGAGGTCAGAAGTTCGAGACCAGTCTGGCCAACATGGTGAAACTCCGTCTCTACTAAAAATATAATAATTAGCTGGACATGATGGAAGGCACCTGTAATCCCAGCTACTTGGGAGGCTGAGGCAGGAGAGTTACTTGAACCCGGGAGGCGGAGGCTGCAGGGAGTCAAGATTGCACCATTGCACGCCAGCTTAGGGGACAAGAGCGAAACTCAATCTCAAAAAAAAAAAAACACACACAACAACAAAAACAAATGTGTGTTAATGTGCTGGGCACGGTGGCTCACACCTATAATCCTAACGCTTTGAGAGGCCAAGGTGGGAGGATCATTTGAGCTCAGGATTGAAGATCAGCCTAGGCAACATGGTGAAACGCCATCTCTACAAAATATTAGCTGGGCATGGTGATGTGTGCCTGTAGTTTCAGCTACTCAAGAAGCTGAGGCAAAGGCTGGGCGTGGTGACTCATGCCTGTAATCCCAGCACTTTGGAAGGCCAGGGTGGGCGGATCACCTGAGGTCAGGAGTTCGAGACCAGCCTGACCAACATGGTAAAACCCTGTCTCTACTAAAAATACAAAATTAGCTGGGCATGGTGGCGCATGCCTGTAATCCCAGCTACTCGGGTGGCCGAGGTAGGAGAATCGCTTGAACCCGGGAGGTGGAGGTTGCAATGAGCCGAGATCGCACCACTGCACTCCAGCCTGGGCAACAAGAGCAGAACTCAGTCTCAAAAAAAGCAAAAACAAAACTGAAGGGGTGGGTTGCCCCTCCACACTTGTGGGTGTTTCTCGTAAGGTGGAACGAGAGACTTGGAAAAGAAAAAGACACAGAGACAAAGTATAGAGAAATAAGGGGACCCGGGGAACCAGCGTTCAGCATATGGAGGATCCCGCCAGCCTCTGAGTTCTCTTAGTATTTATTGATCATTCGTGGGTGTTTCTCCGAGAGGGGGATGTGTTAAGGTCACAAGACAATTGTGGGGAGAGGGTCAGCAGACAAACACGTGAACAAAGGTCTTTGCATCATAGACAAGGTAAAGGATTAAGTGCTGTGCTTTTAGATATGCATACACATAAACATCTTAATGCTTTACAAAGCGGTATTGCTGCCCGCAGGTCCCACCTCCAGCCCTAAGGCGGTTTTTCCCTATCTCAGTAGATGGAACGTACAATCGGGTTTTATACCGAGACATTCCATTGCCCAGGGACGGGCAGGAGACAGATGCCTTCCTCTTGTCTCAACTGCAAAGAGGCATGCCTTCCTCTTATACTAATCCTCCTCAGCACAGACCCTTTACGGGTGTCGGGCTGGGGGATGGTCAGGTCTTTCCCTTCCCACAAGGCCATATTTCAGACTGTCACATGGGGAGAAACCTTGGACAATACCTGGCTTTCCTAGGCAGAGGTCCCTGCGGCCTTCCGCAGTTTTTGTGTCCCTGGGTACTTGAGATTAGGGAGTGGTGATGACTCTTAAGGAGCGTGCTGCCTTCAAGCATCTGTTTAACAAAGCACATCTTGCACCGCCCTTAATCCATTTAACCCTGAGTTTGACACAGCACATGTTTCAGAGAGCACGGGGTTGGGGGTAAGGTCACAGAATCTCAAGGCAGAAGAATTTTTCTTAGTACATAACAAAATGGAGTCTCCCATGTCTACTTCTTTCTACACAGACACAGTGACAATCTGATCTCTCTTGCTTTTCCCCACACAAAACAAAACAAAAGCTGAGGCAGGAGGATCTCTTGAGCCTAGGAGGTCAAGGCTGCAGTGAGCTGTGATCGCACCACTCCACTCCAGCATGGGCAACAGAGTGAGACCTGTCTTTAAAAAAAAAAAAAAAAAAGAATGGGTGTTAAATATTGTCAAATGCGTCTTCAGTCTCGATGGAGTGATTTTTTTCTCCTCTGGTGAAAGGTAAGAGCTAAGAGTCACGGTCAGGGACATACTGAGAAGATCTTCCTTGCAATATTAGCGTTGGCTCCACTAGGGTAGGTAAGTCATGTTGTTCTTTTTAATGTACTACTGGATTCTCTTTTTTAATTATATATTCTCCAATTTTGTTAGGATTTTGCTTTGCATCATAAACACAATTAGTCTGCGGTTTTCTTTGCCAAGTTTGGGGTCAGTGCTACGCTGGCTTCATAAAGCAGATGTGCAAATTTTCCTCCTTATTCTATGGTGTGGGAGCTTAATTGGCAGAAGAGATCTCAGGTCCTGACAACACGACACACTTAACCTGTGGAACTTTCCAGAAGAGTGTTTAAGGCAGGACAGTGTTCTGACAATGTTCTCAATTCCTTTTTATGATCACTGATGTGTTTAGACCTTTGCCCATTATTTTTGGTTTCATTTGTCACTTATATTTAAGGTTGCCAGAGTTAGAATATAAAAATATAGGATGCCGGCCGGGCACGGTGGCTCACACCTGTAATCCCAGCACTTTGGGAAGCTGAGGCCGGCAGATCATTTGAGGTTAGGAGTTCGAGACCAGCCTGGCCAACGTGGTGAAACCTTGTCTCTACTAAAAATACAAAAATTAGCCAGATGCAGTGGCGGGTGCTTGTAATCCCATTTACTCGGGAGGCTGAGGCACAAGAATCCCTTGAACCTGGGAGGCGGAGGTTGCAGTGAGCCAAGATTGCACCACTGCACTCCAGCCTAGGTGACAGAGTGAGACTCCATCTCAGAAAAATAAATAAATAAATAAATAAAAATATAGGATGCCCAATTAAATCTGAATGTCAGATAAATGACAATTTGTTTTTAGCCTAAGTATGTCCTAAGTATTGCAACTCAACTCCATTTATATTGTCCTAGAAAGGCTTTTATTATGTCCAAGTTTTCAAATTTATTAAAATAAAGATGAGTAATCTTTTAAGTTCCCCTATAGATGTGATTATTTCTTCATTCTCATTTCTTATTTTGTGTATTCATTTGTACCAATTCACTAGCTAATAGCCTATCTTTTTTTTTTTCAAAGACCTATTATTCTGATTTCAAATTTATCAGTTTCTGCTTCAGTTGTTCCTGAGTTCTTTCGCTTTCTTTATTTTTCCTTTACTGACTTTTTTATTCTTTTTTTTTTTTTTTTTTTTGTGATGAAGTCTCGCTCTGTCGCCCAGGTTGTAGTGAAGTGGCATGATCTCGGCTCGCCGAAACCTCTGCCTGCTGGGTTCAGGTGATTCTCCTGCCTCAGCCTCTTGAATAAATGGGATTACAGGCGCCCGCCACCATGCCTGGCTAATGTTTGTATTTTTAGTAGAGATGGGATTTCACCATGTTGGTCAGGCTGATCTCAAACTCCTGACGTCAAATGATTGGCCTGCCTCAGCCTCCCAAAGTGTTGGGATTACAAGTGTGAGCCACCATGCCCAGCCTACTTTACTAACTTCTTAAATAATATACTTTATTTATTTTTGTTGGTTTGTTTGTTCGTTTGTTTTTCAGACCGAGTCTCGTTCTGTCACCCAGGCTGGAGTGCAGTGGCACGATCTCAGCTCATTGCAACCTCCACCTCCCGGGTTCAAGCGATTCTCCTGCCTCAACCTCCCGAGTACCTGGGACTACAGGCACACGCCACCATGCCTGGTAATTTTTTTTTTTTAGTAGAGATGGGGTTTCACCATGCTGGCCAGGCTGGTCTTGAACTCCTGACCTCGTGATCCGCCTGCCTTGGCCTCCCAAAGTGCTGGGGTTACAGGCATGAGCCACAGCGCCTGGCCTGTTTGTTTTTGAGACAGAGTCTCGCTCTGTCACCCAGGCTGCAGTGCAGTGGCACGATCTCAGCTCACTGCAACCTCTGCCTCCCAGGTTCAAGCAATTATCCTCCCTCAGCCTCCCAATCAGCTGCGATCACAGGTGCCCGCCACCACACCTGGCTAATTTTTTTGTATTTTTAGTAGAGACGGGGTTTCACCATGTTAGCCAGGCTGGTCTTGAACTTCTGACCTCAAGTAATCCACCTGCCTTGGCCTCCCAAAGTGCTGGGATTGCAGGCATGAGCCACCGCACCTGGCCTATTTATTTTGATTCTTATTTTTTATGTAATATTTAAGCAAATGAATTTTCCTCCGAGCCCTGCATTAGCTGTATCCTGAAGGGTCAGATCTGTATTGATTACAGTGTTAGTTGAAGATGTCGCCCTTTTGGTATTGATTTCCTCTGTGTAACAAGATGTTTCAAAAGCCAGCTGTAAGAGTCTCTGGCTGGGCTGGGAATGCACACTGGCTGGCACTGCTGGTGGTGCAGAATGGATGTAGGGGCAGGGCCTGGGCAAGTCTCCCAGGGTGGGATGAGCAGGGAGGGAGAGGAATGGGCTTCCTCCAGGGCCTCAGGAACCAAGGAAGTCTCTGCACTACCTCCAGGCAGGGTCAGATGTGCATTTTCCAAAGCTTATTGCATTAGGAGTGGGGAGTAGACTGTGGTGGTGCCAGCAGCAAAAAGATGGAAAAGAGAGAAGGAGGTGGAGTCAGGGCTGAACCACACAGCTGGAGGGAAGAGGGGGGTTCTACGAGTAGCGCAGGAGGGAGGCGAGGCAGGCACCGCAGAGCTTCCAGCTGCCTCAGGGCCGACTTCCATTTGGCACTTTGAGTCCAAGGTGCCTGTGCACCTTGTCCAGATGCTCTGGAGGTGGTTGCTCGGGTATGTGGGTCTGAGACTCCAAACAGCTCGGCCAAAGCCGACATGGAGATCCATCAGTTCACAAGTAGTGAATGAGCCTTCTCAGGTGGGTGGCAGTCCCAGGGTGGCCAAGGGTCCAGGGAGTGCACCCTCACTCTGCAGGTGAGTCAGAATCAGGCACCACAGAGCCAGGGTTGCACCCCTGCTGGGGGGAACAGGAGCCCCTTTTCCTCTCCCCGACACACAGGGACAAAGTTATCATGCTCTTTGGGTGCCACTGGGAGGCACTGATGGGAGAGACTGGCCAGGCCTTCCCAAGCAAGCTCCAGGCAGCCTCCCAGCACCCCGGCCCAGGCGCAGGTGTGGTCTGGGAGCACAGAGCCAGGTTCCCACCGTGGGGCACCTGAGGTTTGTGCCTAGCAGCCTTCTCCTCCTTTGGTTCCCTTTTCCTTTTTGGTCCACAGGGTTTGGGACAGGTGGCTGCTACCAACAGCTCTCAAGGTGGCCCCACAGACCTGAGCCAACCACTTCTCCTCAGCCCTCCCCTGCCCATGAAGACTGCTCAGAGGGGCCCCATTGAGAGCTGGATCTGGGACTTTGTTTAAACTGCAAGGAGAGAAGCTCTGTCACCCTGCAGGGCGTGAAGTTCAGCTGAAGCCATTGAGATCATGGCCTGGGAGCCTATCTAGCAGGAGGCTACCACACGGAGGGCCCTGACGGTGTGAGTTCGGCCTCTGGATCCCACCACACTGAAGCACTCCAGAGACTCCCTTCTCTCTAAACCCACCAGTTCTGCTCCCTGGACCCCTGACCCAGCCGTGCTGCTTTCAAAGATCTGTCTTCCACTGCCTCCCAAAGCCAGATCGCAGGAGAAGCTGGTGGTCTCGCATCTGCCTGAATTCTGACAGCGGCCCACGAGAGTCGGTGATGATGGCAGGTCTGCCCAAGTGGTGGGCCGGCTTGGCCCCCTCATCTCAAAGTGAGCCATGTTTTGCTCCCAGACCTTCCTCCTAGTCTGCCAGACCACCTCTTCTAGCCATGCAGTCAAGCCCAGATTAGGAATTAGCCCCATCCAGCCCCTCTCCCACATACAACCTCCAAATATATCCACATCCCAATCCCTAGAACCCAAGATTAGACCTTATATGGCAAAAGTGACTTTGAAGATGTGATTCAATTTTTTGAGATGGGGAGATTATCCTGGACCATCCAGGTGGACCCACTATGCCCCCAAAATTCACGTGTTGAAAGCTAATCACCAATGTGATAGCGTTAGCAGGTGGGGCCTTTGGGATGTGGTTAGGTCATGAGGGTAGAGCCCTCATGAATGGGATTAGTGCCCTATAAAAGAGACCCCAGAAGCCAGGCATAGTGGGCTGCACCTACAGTCCCAGCTACTGAGGAGGCTGAGGCAGGAAGATCTCTTGGGTACAGGAGTGAGCTATGATCACGCCATTGTACTCCAGCCTTGGTGACAGAGTGAGACCCTGTCTCTAAAGTAATTAAATAAAAGAGACCCCAGAGAGCTAGCTAGCTTCTTCCACTATGTCAGTTAGAAGGTGCCATGTATGAGGACATGGGCCCTCACAGGACATCAAATCTGCCAGTACCTTGATCTTGGACTTCCCAGCCTCCAGAGCTGTGAGCAATAAATTTCTGGAAAATGCTATAAGCCACCCACTTTCCAGTATTTTTGTTATGGCAGCCCAGGCAGACTAAAACAACCTCTGTGGCACATTTGGGGTGATGGAGGAACAGCCGATGTTCCTAGGAACCAGTGAGGCGCAGGAGTCCCAGATCCCTCTAGTGAGATCCCCAGAGAGCACCACGTACCCACCCTGCAGCTGGCAAAGCTATTTATGGAAGTTAGGGGCCTGTTGGTTTAGAGCGGCCATTCTCAACCAGGGGGATGTGGCACTGTCTTGAGACAGTTTTGGTTGTCATGAGTGGGTGTGTGCGGTGGGGAGTGCTACTGCATCACACAGGCTGAGGCACGGGATGCTGCTCAACATCCTACAGTGTGGGGACAGCCCCCCACAACAAAGAATCATTTCATTCGAAACATGGATGAGGACCAAGCGCAGTGACTCACACCTGTAATCCCAGCACTTTGGGAGGCCGAAGCAGGAAGATTGCTTGAAGCCAGGAGTTTGAGACCAGCCTGGGCAACATGGTGAAACCCCATCTTTACAAAAAAAGCAAAAAATCAGCCGGATGTGGTGACACACACCTGTACTCCCAGCTACTTGGGGGCCTGAGGTGGGAGGATTGCTTGAGCCCAGGAGGTCGAGGCTGCAGTGGGCTGAGACTGCACCACTCCACACCAGCCTGGGTGATAAAGTGAGACCCTGTCTCAAAAAAAAAAAAATTAGCTGAGCACGGCAGCGTGCATGGTGGTTTGTGCCTGTAGTCCCAGCTACCTGAGAGGCTGAGTTGAGAAGATGGCTTAAGCCAGGGAGGTGAAGGCTGCAGTGAGCCAAGATCATGCCACTGCATTCCAGCCTGGGTGACAGAGCCAGACCCTGTCTCAAAAAAAATGACAGAACAGACTCTGTGGCAACAAGATACCAAATTATAAAGAGGACCCAAGGCCAAGCCAGGCAGGGGTTAATTCATGGACCCTGCACTTAAAGAATAAACTATGTTCTAACAGCAATGAGGCTTTCCTTTTCCTCCAGCAGCAACAAGCACCGGCCTGAAGCAACATTAATACACTTTGCAGCTCATCCAGCTCACGGATGCCAACTTATTGACCCCCTGTTTTTCCAGGCATAACTACAGCTCCGACTGGACAAGAGACTGATTTCAGTAACTTTCTCCTGATAAGAGACCATTGACCATGAACTGGCTCTGGCTGGTTTTCAGAAGTTGCTCACTTGCAGGCCTTCAGGCCCTGAAAAGATGTTTTGACAGATGGGGCCTAATTGTAATACATTTTATTTTATTTTATTTATTTTATTGAGATGGAGTCTCACTCTGTTGCCCAGGCTGGAGTCCAGTGGCACCATCTTGGCTCACTGCAACCTCCGCCTCCTGAGTTCAAGCAATTCTTCTGCCTTGGCCTCCTGAGTAGCTGGGATTACAGGCGCCCGCCACTGTGCCCGGCTAATTTTTATATTTTTAGTAGAGTTGGGGTTTCACCATGTTGGCCAGGCTGCTCTTGAACTCCTGACCTCATGTGATCCACCCGCCTCGGCTCCACAAAGTGCTAGGATTATAGGCGTGAGCTACCGTGCCTGACCTTGTAATACATTTTAATGTTAAGTCTCCACCGTCTTCATCCTACAGCAAACATGAGTCCTATGTTACATGCATGTTCGTTCAATACACATGTGTCAAGACTGCCTTCATGAATATTCATAGCTCTCCCTGTAACATGTTGAATATGTATGTTTAGCCAACCCCTTCAGCATACAGCTCCTGCCCCAACCTCTCCTCCTTAGAAGTGCCTATCTCCGGATCACGAGATCAGGAGATCGAGACCATCCTGCCTAACACAGTGAAACCCCGTCTCTACTAAAAATACAAAAAAAATTAGCCGGGCGTGGTGGCGGGCGCCTGCAGTCCCAGCTACTCGGGAGGCTGAGGCAGGAGAATGGCGTGAACCTGGGAGGTGGAGCTTGCAGTGAGCCGAGATCGTGCCACTGCACTCCAGCCTGGGCAAGAGAGCGAGACTCCATCTCGAAAAAAAAAAGAAGTGCCTGTCTCTGGTCTCTGCCAGAGGCTATGCTTTTGAAAGTGGCGGATGGCCACCCTGCAGTCTGTAACCCTTTATGAAAAATAAAGTTGCCGCTGTGGCTCACACCTGTAATCCCAGCACTTTGGGAGGACAAGGCAGGCGGATCACTTGAAGTCAGGATTTCAAGATGAACCTGGCTACATGGTGAAACCCCATCTCCACAAAAAATACAAAATGAGCCGAGTGTGGTGGCACGCACCTGTAATCCCAGCTACTCAGGAGGCTGAGGCAGGAGAATCGCTTGAAGCTGGGAGGCAGAAGTTGCAGTGAGCTGAGATTTTGCCACTGCACTCCAGCTTGGGCAACAGAGTGAGACTTTGTTTCACAGAAAAAAAAAAAAAAAGAAAGTAAGTTGGGGGATGGGGGAGAGCTTCAGGAAGAATAGCTAATGGATGCTGAGCTTAATACCTAGGTGATGGGTTGATCTCTGCAACAAACCACCAAGGCACATGTTTATCTATGTAACAAACTTGCACATCCTACGTATGGGCCCCTGAACTCAAAACACAAGTTGAAGGAAAAAAAAAAAAGAAAGTCTTGTCGGGCATAGTGGCTCACACCTTAATCCCAGCACTTTGGAAGGCCGAGGAGGGAGGATGGCTTGAGACCAGGAGTTCAAGACCAGCCTGGGCAACATAGCGAGACCCTGTCTCTACAAAAAAAATTTTAAAAATTGGCCAGGTGTGGTGTTGCACACCCGTAGTCCCAGCTACTTGGGAGGCTGAGGCAGGAGGATGGCTTGAGCCCAGGAGGTTGAGGGTGCAGTGAGCCGTGATTGCACCACTGCACTCCAGCCTGAATGACAGAGCAAGACCCCATCTCAAAGAAAAAAGAAAGAAAGAAAAAATGAAAGGAAAGAAGAAAGAAAAAAGTCTCTTTTCCAAATTTGTGAATTGTGTGATTTTTCAGTTAACCAGCTCTCAGGTCTGGGGCCAGTCACGCTGCTGAGTCCTGGCCACCAGAGTGGTGAGGTGTTGGGAGGCAGAGGTGGTGCTTGTCTCTGTCCAGGGGTGGCCTGGCTGAGGTTCGGCTGGTCCACGAGCATCAGTTTCCCCACCTCCATGGTGGTGGAATGTGGAGAGCCATAGGAGCCTGGTGCATGCACCCCTCTGTGCACTGTCCGAGGGTCCCCTCCCCACTTAGAACCATGGAATCAGGCCACAGTCCGCCTCTTTAATCTTGGACTGGAGGATATACAGATCGAGAGGGTGGGAGAGTGGCCCCAGGCAAGAGGCCTGCGGAGGGATAGAGGGGCCGGTTCAGGACCACCAGGGGCTCTGGGAAAGGGGGTTAGGGATGAGGCTCAGCCTCTCATCTGCCCAGCTGGTCCCCGCCACCTCTTCCACTCTCAGCTGGACTCCCCTGCCAGGGGTCCAGATCCTGCCAGAGTAGTTGGTCCCCCAGCCATGTCCGGCCTGGACACAGGACTCATGGTGGGGCCAGACTTCAGCTCTGGGCAGAGCAGTGTCTTAGTAGCCTGCGGCCTCCCCACTCTTCCTCAGGTCCGAGACGGCGTACACACAGGCCCCCTCCTGGGACACAGCCTGGACCACGTTCAGGAAGAAGGGCCTCTGGGTCTGGTTCTGGCCACGGTCTTGGAGTCCCCTCTGCACCTCCTGGAGAGGAGAGAAAGCAGGTTCACAGGGGAGGGCAGCTCAGCCCATCTCCAGGAGGGAGAGGCCTCTGCAAGAAATGAGAAAAATGATCAAAAGGCAAGACGGAGAGGAAGAGGGCCTGAAGACACAGGAAGAGGGGAGGACCAGATGGGAGCATGGAAGAGATCCAAAGGCCCATAGAGGACAAGCTCAGCCTCCAGGGACTATGTACGAAGGACACCACCCAGGCCCGAAGACCTCCAAATGCAAGTTCATGTCTGTTCTGGATCCAAGGACACCAGGGCCTTGAGGTGCAAATCTGAGTTCAGGGGGCCTTCGATGGAGGATGTGGCTTCTCAAGATTTAGACACTGAGGCCAGACACAGTGGTTCACACCTGTAATGCCAGCAATTTGGGAGGCTGAGGAAGGAGGATCACTTGAGGCCAGGAGTTTGAGACCAGCCTGGGCAATGCAGCAAGATCCTGTTTCTAAAAAATAAAAAATAAGAAATAAAAAAAAGCCAGGCGTGGTGGCACATACCTACAGTCTTAGCCACTTGGGAGCCAAGGTGGCAGGATCACTTGAGGCCAGGAGTTTGAGAACAGCCAGGGCAACAAAGCAAGACACCGTCTCTAAAAGAAAATCAAAAATTGGGCTGGGCGTGGTGGCTCACACCTGTAATCCCAGCACTTTGGGAGGCCGGCGCAGGAGGATCTTTTGAGCTCAGGAGTTCAAGACCAGCCTGGGCAATGTAGCAAGATCACGTCTTTATTAAAAAATAAAAGAAAAGAAAAAAGAAAAAATTAGTCGGATGTGGTGGCCCTGTGCTTATAGTCCCAGCTACTCAGGAGGCTGAAGCAGGAGGATCCCTTGAGGCTAGGAGTTTGAGGCTGCAGTGAGCTTTGATCATGACACTGCACTCCAGCCTGGGCAAAACAGCAAGACTGAAACCGCCTTTGCAAAATTATGACTGAGACAGGGAAAGAGATCTAACTTAATCGACTCCATCTTGCTTCTAACCTCCCAGTTGTCCTTGCTCATTCCTGGGTGTAGGCTGAACTAACTTTGAGAGAAACTTAGTTTATAGTTTAAAACAAAGACGGTAACAGCCCTTTCCCAAAGCAGACTTCCTTCTTGCCTGGGCACCAGACTGCCTTCGTAGGACTCACATTAGCCACAAGATTAGAAATTATGGTTTAGGAGTCACGCAGCTGAAGGCTAAAGATTCTGACCCTCCCTAAACTGCTCTTAAGATCAGTGCTTGAGAAATTTTGCAGACCCTGCACTTGATGGATCAGCTGGCACCATCCAGATCGATTAACTGGCTCATCTGACCTTGTGGCCCCCACCCAGGAACGGACTCAGCTCAAGAAGAAAGCTTCAACTCCCTATGATTCTATGATTTCCAGGGGTTTTTTGTGTGTGTCTGTTTCTGAGATGGAGTCCCGCTCTGTCACCCATGCTGGCGTGCAATGGCACGACCTTGGCTCACTGCAACTTCCCCTCCCAGGTTCAAGTGATTCTCTTGCCTCAGCCTCCCCAGTAGCTGGGATTACAGATGCCTGCCACTTTGCCCAGCTAATTTTTGTAATTTTAGTAGAGACAGGTTTTCGCCATGTTGGCCAGGCTGGTCTCCTGACCTCAGGTGAACCACCCACCTCAGCCTCCCAAAGTGCTGGGATTGTAGGCGGGAGCCACCGCGCGCAGCCAACTCCCTATGATTTCATCCCTGACCTATCAGCACTCCTGGCTCATTGGCTTCCCCCAACCCGCCAAGTTGTCCTTAAAAACACTGCTCCCTAGCCAGGCGCGGTGGTCATGCCTGTAATCCCAGCACTTTGGGAGGCCAAGGTGGGCAGATCACCTGAGGTCAGGAGTTTGAGACCAGCCTGGCCAACATGGAGAAACGCTGTTTCTGCTAAAAATACAAAAATTAGCCAGGCTTGGTGGCACACACTTGTAATCCCAGCTACTTGGGAGGCTGAGACATGAGAATTGCTTGAACCCAGGAGGTGGAGGTTGCAATAAGCTGAGATCGCGCCACTGCACTCCAGCCTGGGTGACAGAGTGAAACTTTGTCTCAACAACAACAAGCCAAAAAAACAAAACAAAACAAAACAAAAAAAACTAATGGCCCGAGAACCTCACCCTGCAGGGCCTGAGATTCCGGAGACATCTAGATGCATCGGGTGATGCCACATGGCCTGAGCTGCTGACAGGGCAAATGAGGTCTTTGGAGCCCTGCACGTTTGGCTATGAGTTCCCCATGCCTGACCTACTAATTGCCCACTGTCCTTAGACTTGAAGGCCAAGATCCTTTACTGCTGAAGCCAAAGTTGGACCTTCAGTGCTCAGAGACTCCATTCCTCAGAGTCCACTGGCCAAACTCCAAGACTCTGAGGATCAAAGACTCTCCTCGCCCTAGTCCCTGGGCCTTAGCTGTGAAGGTCCTTGGAGGCTTAAAGTCTCCAACCCAGAGTTTAGGATTTACTCCATGGAAAGCCCTAGACCTGAATAGCTGACATTCCAACTCCCCAAGGGAGCTGAGAACCTTAGGTTTGTGGGTCACTGGATTCCATTAATCCCAGTCCCCAGACTGTCATCTCCCAAATTCTCAGCATTTCACGTCCCCAGGGTGAAAGGTCCTGAGAATTGATGTTCACAAAGACAAAGGTCCTTCAGTCAAGAGTCAAGGGAGGGGCCGGGCGCGGTGGCTCACGCCTATAATCCCAGCACTTTGGGAGGCCAAGGCGGGCGGATCACAAGGTCAGGAGATCGAGACCATCCTGGCTAACACGGTGAAACCCTGTCTCTACTAAAAATACAAAAAATTAGCCGAGCGTGGTGGTGGGTGCCTGTAGTCCCAGCTACTTGGGAGGATGAGGCGGGAGGATGAGGCAGGGGAATGGCGTGAACTCGGGAGGCAGAGCTTGCAGTGAGCCAAGATCGTGCCACTGCACGCCAGCCTGGGCAACAGAGCGAGACTCCGTCTCAAAAAAAAGAAAAAAAAAGAGTCAAGGGAGGGCCAGGCACAGTGGCTCATGCCTATAAGCCCAGCACTTTGGGAGGCCAAGGTGGACAGATCACTTGAGATTGGGAGCTCAAGACCAGCCTGGCCAACATGGGGAAACCCCATCTTTACTAAAAATACAAAAATTAGCCAGGTGTGGTGGCGCACATGTGTAGTCCCAGCTACTCAGAGGCTGAGGCAGGAGAATTGCTTGAACCTGGGAAGCGGAGGTTGTGGTGAGGCAAGATCATGCCACTGCACTCCAGCCTGAGTGACAGAGTGAGACTGTCTAAAAAAATAAAAATAAAAAAAGAGTCAAGGGAGGAGGGCTCCAAAGGATGTGCCCTGGATCTTGAAATCCTCCATATCTAAGATCCCTGGAACCCGAGAGCCCTGAGAGGGTCTTCCTGTCATGCGAAGGACCCTACATGCGGAGGGAGGCCTGCAAACTCCAAGAGTTTGAGCCTAACAGGCTGAGGTCCTTAGTCTCAAGGTCTGAAAACTAAGGCTCTTGGGACTACACTCTGTTCCTGGACTAAGGCCATGGTTCTCAGGTTCTAAGGGCTTTGGAAGGTGGACTTGAGACCGAAGAAGTCTCATAACAGGAGAGGCAGCTTTGACGATCTGGAACCTCAGCTGCTATCAATCTTTTTTTTTTTTTTTTTTTTTTTTTGAGATGGAGTTTTGTTCTTGTCACCCAGGCTGGAGTGCAATGTCACGATCTTGGCTCACTGCAACCTCTACCTCCTGGGTTCAAGTGTTTCTCCTGCTTCAGCCTCCCGAGTAGCTGGGATTACAGGTGTGTGCCACCACGCCTGGCTAATTTTTGTATTTTTAGTTGAGGCAGGGTTTTACCATGTTGGCCAGGCTGGCCTGGAAGTCCTGACCTCAGGTGATCCACCCGCCTCGGCCTCCCAAAGTGCTGGGATTACAGGCATGAGCCACCATGCCCGGCCACTATCAATCTTTTAAATAGGTCCTAACAAAGGGCATCCATCAACCCAAAGATGCTCCAAGGAAGCTGAGTCTCTGTCTAAGGATAGAGGGGGAGTCAGCCAGAAGAATTCAGCCCCTGGAGCTGCACCATGGGCTTCTGTGGGGAATCAAAAAAAATGTTTGTAGGCTGGGCATGGTGGCTCACGCCTATAATCCCAGCATTTTGGGAGGCCAAGGCGGGAAGATTGCTTGAGCTCAGGAGTTCAAGACCAGCCTAGGCAACATGGTGAGAGACCCTGTTTCTACGAAAAACAAAAAAATAAAAACTATCCAGGTGTGGTGGCACACACCTGTAGTCCTAGTTCCTTGGGAGCCTGAGGAGGAAGGATCACTTGAGCCCAGGATGTCAAGGCTGTAGTGAGCTGTGATCGCAACACTGCACTCCAGCCTGGGCAACAGAGTGAGATGCTGTCTCAAAAAAAAAAAAAATTATATATATAGTAAAAATTACCACCAATGCCCTAGTGCCCCAGAAGAAAATCACTTTACAGACTGTCACAGGAAAAACAACCTCTTTCACAAATAAAGTTGCAAATATTAGTTACAAATCACACAAGGAAAAAGTCACCATGAGGGAGAGTCTGAGAGGCCCCAGCCAGGAAAACTCACTTCTGAAAAATGGCATCAACCACAGACCAGAGACCAAGGTGCTGAGATCCTCAGCCTGGGAGCAGCATAGACAATACCCTGCTCTCTGTCTTGGAGGCCACAGAACTGGCCTGGAGGCCACTGACAGCCTCACCCATCAAGGTCCCCAACTCCTATGGCCCCCAAAGTTGAAGTGTACCTGGCCTAAGAATCTCAGTGACTGAGTTCCTCCCAGGTGGCTTTGAGCAGCACGGATTTGGGGAGTGGGCTCTGCCCTAGGCATCCAGCTCGGACCTCAGCCTCACCTGGCTGAAGTTGGGCTCGTACTCCACACAGCCCTTGCTGTTGACATGCAGGATGGGGGCTGCAATGGCCGCTCTCAGGTCAAAGCCAAGCCACAGCTTGCTCATGATGGCCTGGGGGAGAGATGAGGGTTTCAGGGAGAAAGGGGGCACCCTGCTACCCTACATCAGCCCTCACATCCCCACTCCAGAGACAGTCAGACAGTATGCTGCCCAGAGAGGAGACACTCGAGCCAGGAGCCCCAGACTCACCTGGGCCACAGCAGAGATGATGAGCTCCCCGCCAGCCCCGCCAATCACTAGCTTCGACCCCTGGGCTTTGTTGATCAAGATGGAGGGCACCATGGAGGATGGGGAACGCTCGCCTGGAACTGGGGGCCAGCACCTTCCGGGAGCTCCACCCACCCTGTCTCCACTCACTGCTGAGCAAACAGCGTCTTGGCAAGTGCAGTGACCCATCCAGGGGTTAGCATGCAACCCCAGCCCAGCCCCCTCCCTCCTCTCCCCTGGTGGGGGGCCCTTGTGGACCCCGGGTGGGAAGCTTTGTTCTCACCAGGTGAGGGGGTGGTGCCGGAACCCCGGGGGCATCGCTCGCATAAGTCCAGGAGCTCGTTGTTGAGGATGATGCCTGTCCGTGGTGAATACACCATCGCTCCAAAGCTGCAGCCGTGGAGGCAGAAGAGCCTGGGCTAGGACCCGGGGCTCCCACCAGACACCACTTACCCTGCACGCTTTGCAGGACCCCCTCGTTTTACAGCTGCCCCGAAGCATGCTGAAGCCGCTATTCTCTCCCTGGCACCACCCAGGAGGGGTCCCCAAAGACCCACCTGTGCCCCCACATCAGGGCACCCTTCTGAGTGAGGCTACCCATTCCCAGGTAAATCTTGGGTCGGGGCCACCCCAGCAGCAGCCTTTCCAGCCAGAGATGTCAGGGGTGGGGGCCTCTTTTGAAATAGAGGAGGAGAAAAAGGGCAAAAGCAAGGTGCTGCCCCGTGGGGACAAGTGAGGGGACATGGGGCTGGGGGTGTGCAGGTCTAGGAGAGGAGGAGTGAAGCCATCCGCCTTCCCCCAGGCCCTACGCACGGTGTGTTGATGGTGCTGGTGGCAGCCACGGCGCTGCCATCCTCCCCCAGCACAGACACATGGGACGTGCCTGTCCCGTGGCCCCAGGCCTCGGCCAAGCTGTAGTGGCTGAGCTGGTGGTCCCCCCGGCCATCGATCTGTTGGCGGATGAGCTGGGCCAGGGTCTCCCCCAGCAGGTCCCGGGAGGCATTCTGGGGTGGGTGGGCAGGTGGCAGGGTCAGTGAGGGGCCAGGCAGAATCCGCAGAACCAAGGGCAGGATGAGATCAGCCCCCATGGGGGCCACCTCCAGTCTGTCCTCTACCTTGTGGCCAGGTCTCCCTCAAGCCCAGCTAGGTCTAGACTCTGCTCACCCTCCAGGTCCTTTGAGATATGGTGCCACTCCTGCACCTGACCCCTGTACCTGCCACCCCGGGATCCCTTTCAGTCCTGCCCTGGCCTAGAACCACATACATATCCCTCCAACTTCCCCCTACCAGGCCTGACCCTCATTTCATGCCAAGTCCTGAGCCAGGGAGGAGGACGGCCCACCAGCCCAGCAACCTCAGCAACCTCACCTGGAGCTTCGGGTGGCTTCGAGGGTCCCCCAGCCTCCACCTCTGCCCCTTGGCAAACTTGAGCGTCTCTACAAGGTGGTGGTACACGTTCACCCTCCCTTCAGGCCTGGCCATAGACTCTGTTGAGAAGTTGAACCCTGGAGAGAGGTTGGGGCACAGGTTGGTTGGGGTCACCCTATGTAATGGGTTGAATGTTGCCCCCACCCCCCACCACAGAAAGATCCACCCACATCCTAATTCCCAAAACCTGTGGATATTACCTTATACAGCACAAGAGTGACTAATACCTTAAGTGGAAAAGTAAGTTAAGGATTTTTTTTTTTTTTTTTTTTTTTTTAGACAGAGTCTCACTCTATTGCCCAGGCTGGAGTGCAATGGCGCAGTCTCAGCTCACTGCAATCTCTGCCTCCTGGGTTCAAGTGATTCTTGGTCCTTAGTCTCCTGAGTAGCTGAGACTACATGTGTTCGCCACCACGTACAGCTAATTATTTTTGTATTTTTAGTAGACAGGATTTCGCCATGTTGTTCAGGCTGGTATTGAACTCCTGGCCTCAAGTGATCTGCCTGCCTTGGCCTCCCAAAGTGCTAGGATTACAGGCGTAAGCCATCATGCCCCGCCTTTTTTGTGTTTTTTGGAGAGGAAGTCTTGTTCTGTCACCCAGGCTGGAGTGTGTGGCACGATCTCAGCTTACTGCAATCTCCACCTCCTGGGTTGAAGTGATTCTCCCGCCTCAGCCTCCCAAGTAGCTAGGACTTCAGGCACAGGCCATCATGCCCGGCTAATTTTTGTATTTTTAGTAGAGATGGTGTTTTACTGTGTTGGCCAGGCTGGTCTCCAACTCCTGACCTCAAGTGATCCACCCTCCTTAGCCTCCCAAAGTGCTGGGATTACAGGCATGAGCCACCACACCCGGCCTAAAGTACGTTAAAGATTTTGAGAGGAGGAGATGATCCTGGATTATCTAGATGTGCCCTGAATGTGACCACAGTGTCCTTGTAAGACAGACACATAGAGGAGAGGACACACAGCAGAGGAGAAACCAGTATGATCATGGAGACAGAGACTGGAGTGAGGCAGCCACAAGCCAAGGAATGCTGGCAGCCACCGGAAGTGGGAAGAGGCTGTGAAAATTTTCAAAATAGAGCGGCAGCCAGCCACAGTGGCTCACACCTGTAGTCCCAGCACTTTGGGAGGCCGAGGCTGAGGTCAGGAGTTCAAGACCAGCCTGACTAACATGGTGAAACCCCATCTCTACAAAAATACAAAAATTATCCAGGCATGATGGTGGGTGCCTGTAACCCCAGCTACTAGGGAGGCTGAGGAGGGAGAATTGCTTGAACCCGGGAGGAGGAGGTTGCAGTGAGGCAGGATTGCACCACTGCACTCCAGCCTAGTAAACAGAGCAAGACTCTGTCTCAAAAAAAAAAAAAAAAAACAAAACAAAAAAAAAAAAACTCTGAAAAATAGAGCCAGGGAAAGGCCATGAAGACAGGACTCTCGTGCACAAGTGCCCCGTTCTCGGCTGGGTGCAGTGGCTCATGCCTGTAATCCCAAAACTTTGGGAGGCTGAGGTGAGAGGATTGCTTGAGTCCAGGAGGTTGAGGCTGCAGTGAGCCTTGACAGTGCCACTGCACTCCAGCCCAGGTGACAGAGCAAGACCCTGCCTCAAAAACACAACAGCTCACAACCTTACAAGAAGGCCATCACAATCTTACACAAAAAATACTTCTGCAAAGACATCTGCCCATGAGTGGCCTGTCCAGTGCCACCCTTATCACTTTTCCATGCATCCTACTAGCCAAGGATGATCATTTCAAAACAGTTTTTTTTTTTTTTTGAGACAGAGTCTCACTCTGTTGCCCAGGCTGGAGTGCAGTGGTGTGATCTCAGCTCACTGCAAGCTCTGTCTCCTGGGTTCACACCATTCTCCTGCCTCAGCCTCCCAAGCAACTGGGACTACAGGTGCCCGCCACCACGCCTGGCTAATTTTTTGTATTTTTAGTAGAGACAGGGTTTCACTGTGTTAGGCAGGATGGTCTCGATCTCCTGAACTCATGATCCGCCTGCCTTGGCCTCCCAAAGTGCTGGGATTACAGGCGTGAGCCACCATGCCAGGCCCGAAACAGTTATATACCAAAGCTAAGCTATGAGGACGCAAAGGAATAAAAATGATATAATGGGCCAGGCATGGTGGCTTATGCCTATAATCCCAACACTTTGGGAGGCCGAGGCAGGTGGATCACCTGAGGTCAGGAGTTCAAGAGCAGTCTGGCCAACATGATGAAACCCTGTCTCTAATAATACAAAAATTAGCCGGGCATGGTAGCACACATGGGTAGTCCTAGCTACTCGGGAGGCTGAGGCAGGAGAATCGCTTGAACCGGGAGGCAGAGGTTGCAGTGAGCTGAGATCGCGCAATTGCACTCCACTCCAGCCTGGGTGACAAGAGCAAAACTCCATCTCCAGAAAAAAGAAGGAATGATATAATGGGGCCCAGCATGGTGGCTCACACCTGTAATCCCAGCAATTTGGGAGGCCAAGGCAGGCAGATCACCTGAGGTCAGGAGTTCAAGAGCAGCCTGGTCAACACGGTGAAACCCCATCTTTACTAATAATACAAAAAAAAAAAATTAGTTGTGGTGGCAGGCGCCTGTAATCCCAGCTACGTGGGAGGCTGAGGCAGGAAAATCGCTTGAACCCAGGAGGCAGAGTTTGTAGTGAACCGAGACGCACCATTGCACTCCAGCCTTGGCGACAGAGCGAGACTCTGTCTCAGAGGAAAAGAAAAATGCTCTAATGGACTCTGGGAACTCAAGGGGAAGGGTGGGAGGGGAATGAGGGATAAAAGACTACACACTAGGAACAGTGTACACTGCTTGTGTGATGGGTGCATCAAGATCTCAGAAATCACCACTAAAGACCAGATGCGGTGGCTCATGCCTGTAATTCCAGCACTTTGGGAGGCTGAGGCAGGCAGATCACTTGAAGTCAGGAGTTTAAGACCAGCCTGGCCAACATGGTGAAACCCCATCTCTACTAAAAAAATAAAATAAATAAATAAATTAATTAATTAACCAGGCTTGGTAGCGTGCACCTGTAATCCCAGCTACTCAGGAGGCTGAGACTGGAGAATTGCTTGAACCTCAGAGGCAGAGGTTGCAGTGAGCTAAGATCATGCCACTGCTCTCCAGCCTGGGCCACAGAGTGAGATTCCATCTCAAAAAAAAAAAGAAAAAAAAAAGAAATCACCACTAAATAACTTTTCCATGCAACCGAACACCACTTGTTCCCCAAAAACTAATGAAATAAAAATAAAATAGCCAGGCAGAGGTGGCTCACGCCTGGAATCCCAGCACTTTGGGAGGCTGAGGCAAGTGGGTCAGTTAAGGTCAAGAGTTCAAGACCAGCCCGGCCAACATGGTAAAACCCCGTCTCTACTAAAAAGATAAAAATCATCTGGGCGCGGTGGCTCATGCCTGTAATCCCAGCACTTTGGGATGCCGAGGTGGGCGGATCACCTGACATCAGAAGTTCAAGACCAGCCTGACCAACGTGGCAAAACCCCATCTCTACCAAAAATACAAAAATTAACTCGGTGTCGTGGCAAGCGCCTGTAATCCCAGCTACTTGGGAGACTGAGGCAGGAGAATTGCTTGTACCTGGGAGGCAGAGGTTGCAGTGAGCTGAGATCGTGCCATTGCACTCTAGCCTGGGTGACAGATTGAGACTCTGTCTAAAAAGAAAAAAAAAAAAAAGGAAAAAAAGAAAAGATAAAAATCAGCGGCGTGTGGTGGCCCATGCCTGTAATCCCAGCTACTTGGGAGGCTGAGTCAGGAGAATCACTTGAACCCAGGAAGCAGAGTTTGCAATGAACCGAGATTGTGCCACTGTGCTCTACCCTAGGCGACAGAGCAAGACACCGTCTCAATAATTAATAATAATAATAATAATAATGCAATGAAAAAAATAAAATGTACAATAAATTATCATTGATTGTAAACAAAAAAGTTATATAATCTTCCTCATTTTCTCTTTGAAAACTTTTGTCTTCCTTCACCTCCCTGAATACACACATAGTTTACCCTAGCATGGGTATTCCTACCGCGATGCCTACTCTGGAACAAACATCATTTTCTTTGAGAGCCTTGTTCTGTTTTTTATTTAGGTCAACAAGGCAAAGAACAGATTCTCCCCTGGAGCCCCCAATGGAATGCAGCCCTGTGGACACCTAGATATCGGGCTTCTGGCTTCCAGAACTGTGAGAGGACACATTTCTGTTATTTTAAGCCACCAAGCTTGTGGTGATTTGTAATGGCAGACACAGGACACTAATATTAAGCCAGCGCAGGCAGCCCCAGGCCTCAGCACTGCCAGAACCCCCCTGCAGGCTGCCTTGGGCTAGGCTGGCTTCGCTCCCCCAGGTGCACGCCCCTGACAGGCAGCTCACCACCCACACAGCCCACCTGCTTCTGTGTCTGGGACTGGTCACCCAGTGGGAGGAGGACTCTGGACGAATGATATCACGCCCTTCAGCAAAGCCTCACGTATGGGTCGAGCTGGAGGCCAGCTCTAAAACCCACCATCCTGATTGGTTTCCACAGCTCTGTCTTCATATTGTGCATCTGTGAACCCGGTTTATGGAGGAGGAGGCTGAGCTGGGCCTTGGCTGGGCTTGGGCTTGGAGTCTGAGTTCCCGGGGGCCGGGGGTGCGGGGGAGGGGGTGGGCGCCAGGGCTCTGGGCAGGGGCTTTACCTCTTAGCACGTTGAGGATAAAGCTGAGAATGGCACCCCCTGCAGGCGGCGGTGGTGAGTACAGGGTATAGTCCCCCAGGGGCACCTCCAGGGCATCCACCACCTCGGGCTGGAACTTGGCCAGGTCCTGCAGCGTCAGCTGGCTCCCTGGGATGAGAAGGAGAGGGCTCCATGAACAGATGGGAAACTGAGGCGGGGAGGAATAGCCACTGCTGTCAGGTCACACAATGGGATTCCACTCATGCTTTTGCCTTGTGGACACAGGATGATGGTAGGTCTGTAGGCAGTGGCCTCAGGACTGGCCCCTTGGGGCCAGGCGTGGAGGGGTGGACAGAGACCAGAGGCAGGGAGGCTGGGGAAAAGAAAGGGAAGATGGGAGAGGGAGCTGGCTTATGAGAGCCTGTGAGAATGGTCAGCTCGGCTACCCAGACCTGCCGTGACCATCGGTAACGCCCCTCTGCTGGCCCTAACCCGCAGGCTCTGCTCTCTGAGGTCCTGGACCACAGGGGTCCTTGGGCCGGCAGAGCTAGGTGCATGGCCTCTCGGGGTCCCGGGCACTGCCTGCACTCCCTCAGGGCCTGGGAAGGAGCCTGCCCTCAACCCCCAGTGCCCAGAACTTGGCTCTTCCTCCAGCAGGGATGGGGTATGGAACCTCAGGGAGGCTGACCTTCCTTGGCAATGTCCTCCACCAGCATCTGGCCCAGCCTCCCCGTGTAGAAGACCTCCACGCCCTCTGTGGCCACGGTCTCCAGGGTGGTGGCCAGTGCAGGCCATGGGAGTGGGTCCTGAGGCCTCAGGGGTTCTGTCCCGTTGAAGAAGAGCTGGCTGGGGGGTGGGGGGAGCCTCAGGGTGGGGCCAGGTCCCAGAGGCAGCCACACTCTTCCGGGGCTCTCATGGGTGGAGTCCTCAGGACCCTACAGTGGGGGGCGCCCTGGCCCAGGGTCCCGAGGCACTGGGGTGGACACCGGGGAACTGATTCTCTAGGAGGTGGTGGGACTGACACCACTCACCCAGCTCATGGCCCTGGTCCAGGGAAGGCAAATTTCCCAGTGGGGCCTGGGTCCACCTAGGGCCTGTCATCTCACTCCTGGGAGGGCCTGTCAGTGGGCTGGGTGGGGCAGGTGAGAGTGGCAGTTGAAGCCCTCCTGCCATGCCAGAGAGAGGAAGAAGGAGGCCGGGGCCCCAGGGCGGGTGGCAGAGCCCAAATCCACACCTTGGAGTCCTATCACTTGGGCAATAAACTCCCCGCAGCCTAACCCCAAGTTAGGCTCTGCCACGGGGAGCTGGAAGGGCCATGAAAAGTACTCTTTGTCCTGGCCAGCACCCCGAGGGTCAATCCTCCAGTGTAAGAGGGACTGAGGCAGAGCTGGGGTGTGGACTGGGCCCAGACAGGATATGGCCTTGAACCCAGGAACCCAGGGCCACCATGTGGGGCTCACCGCAGGGTTGACGCCTGCAAGGAAGGCCGCAGGATGCTGTTGTGCAGGAAACGGCTGAGGACAGGGGCCACCACATGCCCCCCTCGGAGCAGCGCGATGGTGGGCTGGAACAGCTGCGCCCAGGGCAGGCGGCCATGGCGGCGGTGGGCCTCGGCATAGCCACGGAGCTCCCCGGGCACCCCGATCCACTGGGCCCCTGCATGGCACATCCCAGCTCTCAACCCTGTGGCTTCCAGGCCTTCCCAGGTTTGCCATCACCCCTACATGTGGCCCCCCAGTTACAGCAGCCAGAGTGAGCTTTCTGGAGCCCACACCCGACCACGTCCCTCCCTGCTCAAATCACCTGTGGCTCCCCACAAAGTCCATGGCCAAGCCCAAGGGGCCCTACACAAACTGGCCCCAGGAGCCCCACCCTGCCCCGCCAACCCATCTCCACTGAACCCTCCAGGCCTTTGTCCAGCCTGGTCCCTCTCCCTGGATCACCTCAGAGAGCCCGTTCCCAAGGGGGACCTTCTCAATCCCTGCAGGTTGGGGCTGGGGGTTCCCCACAGGCTCCGTGTCCCCCCGTGCCAGGGAGTCACAGCCTGTCCGTGAGGCGCTGCTCCTTTGCGGGGGTGTTCTGATTAGTCCTAGTGGCCTGGGGGGTGGGAGTGGGGGACCTCCATGGGGCGTCACCTGTGCCCAGTGGCAGAGCCTGTGCACACTGGTCCAGCAGGCTCGGGGCGTGGCTGGCCGGCACCGTCTCCCGGGCATTGATGACCTCCACCTTCCCTGGAGTAGGGCAGGGCAGGTGAGTGGTCATGGACCCTGCAGACAGCCCCTGGCCTGCTCTAGGCCTCAGTTTCCATCTCTGCATTATGAGATGGACTCTGGGCTAACACAGGGACAGGAGTTGACACAAGGGCTTTGCACAGCTGAGGCAAATGGGGCAGGGCAGGGGGCCCAAGAACACCCAGAAACGGGCTTGAGTTGATGGGACTGGCTGGAGAAGGGGTTACGCAGTGGTGTGGACAAGCCCATCTTCCCCATGGCAGTTCACATGTGGGCCCACCTGTTGTCACATTGTAGATGGTGAAGATGACCCCTCCGCCCAGGCCCATGCTCTGAGGGTTGACGACGCTGGTGCAGACCAGAGCCGCGATGGTGGCATCCACGGGTGAGCCCTGCTGCTGGAGGATGGCTCTAGGGGACATGGCACAGAGTCGCTGTGGGGCTCCCCTCCCCCTGCCTCCCCACCAGGCTTGCTCAGCTGGCACTCATTGGAGAATGGTGACGGAGGCGGCACGTCGGCTGCCACCAAACCGCAGATTAGGTTGCAGAACACAACCAGGCTTCCCCATCAAATCCAGCTGCTCACAGGTCCACAACACACTACGGTTGCAAAGTGTGATGCCATTTACACTGACCTTTGCCATATACAAGGTGCTTCTCAGTTTGCAAAGTACTTCTGTTGCCATTGTTCCCAGCAGCACCAGCTCATATGCTACAGGCAGAACGAGGCCTCGGCCACCTCTCAGTCCCTCACAGTGGCCTCAGGAGCCCACCCTGGGACTCCACTCCCCATCTCACTGGGGACACTCTGGCCACAACTACTTCAAGGCTGGCCTTTGGCAGGTGATCCCAGGATCCTTCCCTGCCAGCAGGGCATAGGGCTTGAGCTGATGGACCCCAAAACTTCTCTTGGGACTCTGAGCCTATGGAAATTCTCTGGCCTAGGCTGGGTGTGGTGGCTCATGCCTATAATCCCTGCACTTTGGGAGGCCGAGGCGGATAGATCACTTGAGGTCAGGAGTTCAAGACCAGCTTGGCCAACATGGTGAAACCCCGTCTCTACTAAAAATACAAAAATTAGCTGAATGTGATGGCGGGCACCTGTAATCCCAGCTACGCAGGAGGCTGAGGCAGGAGAATTGCTTGAACCCAGCAGGCAGAGGTTGCAGTGAGCTGAAATCATGCCACTGCACTCCAGCCTGGGCAACAAAGCAAGACTGCCTCAAAAAAGAAAAAAAAAGAAAAGAAAAGAAAGAAAGAAAATAAATGCTCTGGCCTACCCCTCCCCATCTGTCCATGGGCAGCAAGAGGTGGGCCCTTTAGCACTGAGGGCTGGTCAGCCTGGCCTACATTATGATGATCCCTGTCCCTGGGGCACAGGCCTGCACAGCTCACTGAGGTCAACCTCTTCCCTAACACCCAGGAATCCTTCCTCCCCAGCACCTCAAGAAGCCAGCTTTTTTTTTTTTTTTTTTTTTTTTTTGAGACAGAGTTTCAATCTTCTTGCCCAGGCTGGAGTGCAATGACACTATCTTGGCTCATTGCAACCTCGCCTCCCGGATTCAAGCGATTCTCCTGCTTCAGCCTGCCGAGTAGCTGGGATTACAGGCATGCACCACCACGCCTGACTAATTTTGTATTTTTAGTAGAGACGAGGTTTCTCCATGTTGGTCAGGCTGGTCTCAAACTCCCGACATCAGATGATCTGCTCACCTCGGCCTCCCAAAGTGCTGGGATTACAGGCGTGAGCCACTGTGCCCGGCCAGAAGCCAGCATTTAAGCCCCAGTTGCAGATGGGGAAACCAAGGCCCAAAGAGGGAATGGACCTGGGTCCCTGCACCCACCCCGTGGGACCTCTGGCCCTAGCACCCTCCTTTGGCTCAGGTGTCTGTCCTGACCTAGCATGTCCATCTGGACACAAACCCACCCCAGCTCCTGAGCCACATGTCCCTCTCTGGGCCCACACGTGGCACACATGGGCACCACAGGGACACATGTAATCTTGGAACAGGAAAGAGAGCACAAAGCCAGAAAATGAAATAAACAAGTCAGGCATAAACACTAATTTTTATAAGAATAAAACACCATAAACAAAGCCAAATGACAAACTGGGGGAAAAAACACTTTAAACTCCCATCCCAGACAAAGGCCTCACTTCCTAACTAAATGGAGTGCACCCTTGCTTCCCCAACCTGTCTGCTTCCAGCCTAGTCAGTTGTCTTGGCTTCCAGGGCAAAATGGGGTAAATGGTTACAGATGGGGAAACCAAAGCCCCAAGAGGGAATGGGCCAGGTCCCTGCACCCACCTCGCCCACCCTGCCAGGCTTTGGTTTTCGTCCCACCTCCCTGGTCTCCTGATGTTGGGGGCCCCAGGCTTGGTCCATGGTCCTTGTGCATCTATATCTTCTCCCTGGGTGAGTCCATCCAGGCTCATGGCATGAGATGCAACCTGTGTGATGGTAACTCCCCGACTTTAACTCCGCCAGTCCTCTCCCTACACTCGAGACACTTATACCCAGCTATGCACAAGGTACCCACTCTGGGTGTCTAAGAAACATTTCAAACATACCATGACCTAAACTGTACTTTTGATTTTCCTTCCAACCGTCCCTGCGAAATGGCTCCTCTCCTAGTCCTCGTTGTCTTAGAAATTGACACAACCACTCCCCCTTTTGCTCAGCGCCTACACCCTGGAGCCATCCTGGATTGGTCACTTTCTTCCTTCCCCACATCCAACCCACCAGTGACTCTGGATGCAGGTTCTACCTCCATCTCCACCACACTGGTCCAAGCCACCAACCTCTCTCAGCTGGGTTATTGCAATGGCCTCCTACCCAGGCCCCAGCGTTGGCCTTGCTCCCTTACATTTTAAAAAAATAATCTGTTAAGGCCGGGCGCGGTGGCTCATGCCTGTAATCCCAGCACTTTGGGAGGCCCAGGCAGGCAGATCATGAGGTCAGGAGATTGAGACCATCCTGGCTAACACGGTGAAACCCCATCTCTATTAAAAATACAAAAAATTAGCTGGGCATGGTGGCGGGTGCCTGTAGTCCCAGCTACTCAGGAGGCTGAGGCAGGAGAATGGTGTGAACCTGGAAGTCGGAGCTTGCAGTGAGCCAAGGTTGTACCACTGCACTCCAGCCTGGGCAACGGAGAGAGACTCCATCTCAAAAAAAAAAAAAAAATCTGTTAAACGTAAATCAGACTTCCTGGTAATGGGAGACTGTAATTCAGACCACACTTCCCTCAGAGAACTAGAAAAGCCCAGCAAATAGAAAACATGTGCTTAAAGGCATAGGAGGCAGAGAAGTACAGGGCTGGAGACAGGCAAGGCCAGCATTCCCCTCAAGGTGACGGCCAATCCTGAAGAGGAGGCTGAGAAATAGATCAGGGATTCTTTTTTTCTTTTCTCTCTTTTTTTTTTTTTTTTTGCTTTTTATTTTTCTGAGACAGGGTCACCATTACTTTTAATGGCAAAAACCGCAATTACTTTTGTACCAACCTAATATATTGCTCTGGCTGGTCTCAAATTCTTGGCCTGAAGCAATCCTCCTGCCTCAGTCTCCTGAGTAGCTGGGACTATAGGCGTGAGCCACCACACCTGGTCTAGAGCAGTGCTGTTGACCTACTCATGTGCTGAGGGAGGGGATGCCATAATGCCCCACACGTGGGGTGCAGGTTTCTTACTCTAGGAGTCAACTAGAAATAGAGCAGCCCTCAGGAGCACTGGATCCAGCTTCAAATCATCTCAGTCACTCAAATGCATAAAGGAGATCCCAGAATTTCAGATCCCTAGGCCTCAAATTATTTTATATTTATTTATTTATTTATTTGAGACAGCATCTCACTCTGTTGTCCAGGCTGGAGTGCAGTGCCTCGATCTCGGCTCACTGCAACCTTCACCTCCTGGGTTCAAGCAATTCTCCTGTCTCAGCCTCCCAAGTAGCTGGGATTACAGCCACCAGCCATCACGCAGAGCTAATTTTTGTATTTTCAGTAGAGACAGGGTTTCACTGTGTTGGCCAGGCTGGTCTTGTACTCCTGACCTCGTGATCTGCCTGCCTTGGCCTCCCAAAGTGCTGGGATTACAAGCGTGAGCCACCGCACCCGGCCTCTAACAATTTTTATACATACTCTCCAGTGCCAAATTAAAAACAACCAAGCAAACAAGGAAATAAGACAGCAGGAACAAAGCTCATGAGAAAGCACAGACAACTTTTAAAAAGGTCCATAGGATCTCCAGATTATGAAATTGGCAGACCATGTACTTTAAAATAAGTACTTTGTATCTATATTCAAGGATATAAAGAAATAAGAATTTTATCAAAGAACTGTCATCTATTAAAAATGGAGGCTGGGAGTGGTGGCTCACGCCTGTAATCCCATCACTTTGGAAGGCCAAGGTGGGTAGGTCACCTGAGGTCAGGAGTTCGAGACCAGCCTGGCCAACGTGGTTAAAACCCCATCTCTACCAAAAATACAAAAATTAGCCAGGTGTGGTTGTGGGCACCTGTAATCCCATCTACTTGGGAGGCTGAGGCACAAGAAACATTTGAACCCAGCAGGTGGAGGTTGCAGGAAGCCGAGATCTTCCCACCACACCCCAGCCTGGGGGACAGAGTGAGGCTCCGTCTCAAAAAAAAAAAAAAAAAAAGGCCAGGCGCGGTGACTCACGCCTGTAATCTCAGCACTTTGGGAGGCCAAGGCAGGCAAATTGCTTGAGGTCAGGAGTTTGAGACCAGTCTGGCGAATATGGTGAAACTCTGTCTCTACTACAAATACAAAAAAATTAGCAGGGCATGGTGTCATGCGCCTGTTGTAATCCCAGCTACTTGGGAGACTGAGGCAGGGGAACTGCTTGAACCAGGGAGGTGGAGGTTGCAGTGAGCAGATATCGTGCCATTGCACTTCAGCCTGGGCGACACAGTGAGACCCCATCTCAAAAAAAAAAAATACAAAAATTAGCCAGGCGTGGTGGCTCATGCCTGGAATCCCAGCTACTCAGGTGGCTGAGACAGGAGAATCACTTGAACCCGGGAGGCAGAAGTTGCAGTGAGCTGAGATCACGCCACTATACTCCAGCCTGGGCGACAGAGCAAGACACCGTCTCAAAAAAAAAAAAAAAGTGAAAGTGGAATATATATATATGTGTGTGTATATATATGGAATATATATATATATATATAATATATATTATATATTTATATATATATAATATATTATATATATATATATATATTTATATATATATATTATATATATTATATATATAATATATATAATATATATTATATATTTTATATATATATATATTATATATATTATATATATAATATATATTATATAATATATATATATATATATAATATATATATAGCCCATGACACAGTCCTCAGGAGATCCTTGACCATGTGCCCAAAGATATTTTTTCCCAAAGATATTTTTATAAATAAAAATAAAGGGTGGCCAGGCGTGGTGGCTCACGCCTGTAATCCCAGCACTTTGGGAGGCCGAGGCGGGTGTATCATGAGGTTAGGAGATCGAGACCATCCTGGCTAACACAGTGAAACCCGTCTCTACTAAAAAATACAAAAAATTAGCCAGGCGTGGTGGCGGGTGACTGTAGTCCCAGCTACTCGGGAGGCTGAAGCAGGAGAATGGCGTGAACCCAGGAGGCAGAGCTTGCAGTGAGCCGAGATTGTGCCACTGCACTCCAGCCTGGGCGACAGAGCGAGACTCTGTCTCAAAAAAAAAAGGGTAACAGAAGAGGTAAACGTGTGGGTAAATCTAAATGAACGTTATTGGTATAAAATTATAGTAGTATAGAAAATGATATCTTGTGGGGCTTAAAATAAAACATACTGAAATATGTATGGGTAAAGTTATATATCTGGGATTTGCACTGAAATAATGTAGGGTAGAGGGAAGCAGGAAAGAGTATACATGAAATGAGCTTGGCCATAAGATTGTTGTTGAAATTGAATGGATACTCGGGGCTTCATTACACAATTCTCTTTACTCTTACATAGCTCTACACTCTCAACATAAATAAGAATAAAAACACAAAAAACACACAGATACATCTATGCACACACATATATTTAAAATACACAAAAATATTAGCATATAAGTCACTGGGGGTAAATTTAGTTCCTGTTCCAAGGTTCTTCTACTGACTAGGAAGAGGATAGAAGTACTAACTCATAGGCTGGGCGTGGTGGCTCACGCCTGTAATCCCAACACTTTAGGACGCCGAGGTAAGCAGATCTCTTAAGGTGAGGAGTTCAAGACCAGCCTGGCCAACATGGTGAAACCCTGTCTCTACTAAAAAAGAATACAAAAATTAGCCGGGCATAGTGGTGCACACCAGTGGTCCCAGCTACTCAGGAGACTGAGACAGGAGAATTGCTTGAACCCAAGAGGTGGAGGTTGCAGTGAACCAAGATTGCTCCACTGCACTCCAGCCTGGGCAGCAGAGCAAGACTCCCTCTATCTCAAGAAAAAACAAATAAACAAAAAAAAGTACTAGCTCATGTTAGACTTTGATAAGTGAAGGATGCATGTTGTAAGCTCTAAAATAATCTACTGTCATCTTTTAAAATAACCCCAAGACTGCACAGTTAGGAAACTAATAGAGAAAAAGGAAATTGAATAATAAAAATAATAAATGCAAAACAAGATGTGAAAGGAGATAAGAAGAAACAGAATAGGCATGGAAAACAAGTTGGTGGTGGGTTTCAACCCAAATAAATCATCACCTACTTTTAAAAGGACAATCAATAAAAATTAAAGTAATTGGAAATAAAGTAAAACCCAATGCCTTTTATGTAAGGATACAGAAAGGTGGAAAATAATGAAAAATATATCATGCATGCACTAACCAAGAAAGCTGTATAACTTTTTTTTTTTTTTTGAGATAGAGCCTCACTCTGTCTCCCAGGCCGGAGTGCAGCGACGTGATCTTGGCTCACAGCAATCTCTCCCTTCTAGCATCATGCGATTCTCCCCGCTCAGCCTCCCAAGTAGCTGGGACTACAAGTGTGCCAACTTAGAATTATATTAGCCACACCCAGCTAATTTTTGTACTTTTTGTCTCACCATGTTGCCCAGGCTGGTCTTGAACTCCTGGGCTTCAGCGACCCACTCACCTTGACCTCCCAAAGTGCCAATTACAGGCATGAGCCACCATGCCCAGCATAACTATTTTTAATGAAGTAGACTTTAAGAAGAAAAGTATTATTAGAGATAAGAGACACATCATGGAAAAGAAGAAATTACTAGGAGACGGGTGCAGTAGTTCATGCCTGTAATCCCAGCACTTTGGGAGGCCAAAGCGGGCAGATCACCTGAGGTCGGGAGTTTGAGACCAGCCTGACCCACATGGAGAAACCCTGTCTCTACCAAAAATACAAAATTAGCCAGGTGTGGTGGCGCATGCCTGTAATCCCAGCTACTCAGGAGGCTGAGGCAGGAGAATCGCTTGAACCCAGGAGGTGGAGGTTGCGGTGAGCCAAGATCGTGCTATTGTACTCCAGCCTGTGCAACAAGAACAAAACTCCATCTCAAAAAAAAAAAAAAAAAAAAACACGAGGTTACTAGCTAGTTTCAGTATTACTTAACATCCAGGAAACTGGATATAGAAGTTTTTTTAGAGAAACTAAACCAATAGGTTATACATAGAGATTTATTTAGGAATTGGCTCACATGATTTTGGGGACTGGCAAGTTTAAAATCTGTAGGGCAAGCCAGCAGGCTATAAATTCAGGTAAGAGTTGATCTCGAAGTCTGGAACCTAACATCTGTAGAGCAGTCAGCAGGCCAGAAACTCAGGCAGGGTTTGTGTGTTATAGTGTTGAAGCAGAATTCCTGCTTCTCTGGGAAACCTCAGTTTTTGTTCTTACGGCCTTCAACTGATTGGAGGTGGCCCACCCATATTATGGTGGGTAATCTGTTTTACCTAAAGTCAACTGACTGTCAGTGTTAATCACATCTATGAAATAACCTCCCAGCAAGATATTGACAAGTATTTGACCAAACAACGGGGCACCAGAGCTTAGCCAAGTTGACACATAAATTAACCATCAGGAACGAGTAGAATATCCAAAAAACAACATACTAGGGGTATTATATCTTATATAGCTATTATAATTATATAAAACATATAATTATAGAATGAAGATATTAAGATAACCATTAGAACAAAAATATAAACTTTTCTTTCTTTCTTTTTTTTTTTTTCCTGAGACCAAGTCTTGCTCTGTCACCCAGGCTGGAGTGCAGTGGTGCAATCTTGGCTTACTGCAACCTTTGCCTCCTGGGTTCAAGTGATTCTCCTGTCTCAGCCTCCCAAGTAGCTGGGATTACAGGCACCCGCTACCATGCCCAGCTAATTTTTGTATTTTTAGTAGAGACGTGGTTTCACCATGTTGCCCAGGCTGGTCTCCAACTCCTGACCTTAAATGATCCACCCGCCTCAGCCTCCCAAAGTGCTGGGATCACAGGTGTGAGCCACCACACCCAGCCAAAAATCACCTTTTTTACAAGGATCAAAACAGTCATTATGCTGGAGATAACAGACCTCACTGTCACCATGCTCCTTTTGTATGTCTACTAGGCACGGTGCTGGGTCCACACTCACAGAAAGCTTAGGAGCTTGCACCCAGGGGCTCCGGCTGTAGCAGAATCCCAAGAATAAAACCTAGTGCTGAAAGAGTAGGAGATGGGGCTGGGTGCCGTGACTCACTCCTGTAATCCCAGCACTTTGGGAGGCGGAGGTGGGCAAAGCACGAGGTCTAGAGTTGGAGACCATCCTGGCTAACATGGTGAAACCCCATCTCTACTAAAAATACAAAAATTAGCTGGGCGTGGTGGCTAGCACCTGTAGTCCCAGCTACTCAGGAGGCTGAGGCAGGAGAATCATTTGAACCAAGGAGGCAGAGGTTGCAGCGAGCCGAGATCATGCCACTGCACTCCAGCCTGGTGACAGAGCGAAACAGCATCTCAAAAACAAAACAGAAAAAAGAGCAGGAGACTGGACTCTGGGAGGGCCTCCTGGTGAGAGGTGAGCACAGAGGGGAGAGATGATGGAGTCAGGAGCATGGGCTTCTGGTGGCCCCAGCAGACCCTGTGGCAGTGTGGCCAGGGGCCTCTGCAAGGAGGGATCTTGGCCAGGATGACGCTGCAGCAGGCCTCTTCCTGAGGCCCCCCAGCCAGTCCGGCCAGGGTCCCAGTGTCCAATGACCCCTGTTCCGCAGCAGCAGCTGGGGCCAGCCCCAGGCTCTCTTCCACTCCCAGCTTCTTAAGACAGGAAGTGGAGAGAGTTGTTTGACAAAACACTGGGGCAAACCACATCCTCTCTCTTCAAGGGACAGTTTGAGGGGATGCCAGCAGAGGGAGCTTTAGAGTAGAGACCCCTACCCAACCAGTGACCGTCACGCACACAGCAGGGCACGCTATGGAGACCCCCAGACAGTCACTCAGGGAGACCCAGCAGGTCCAGACTCCACCTAGAAATTTGTGGCAGCAGGTCCCCACTCCCAAAGGCCACATGCCCACGGGTGGTCTCTGGTGCCTGAGACTCCAGTCTCATTTGCATCTTTGCAACTTCGAGTTTAAGTGGGTGTCGCATCCTGAATGTCCTCCTGAGCAGAGGAGGGGCACAGCCTGGGGTGGCGGCTGGCGTCAATCCCTCAAATCCCCTGAGAGCCACTGGGGAGACTAAGCAGTCCCCAGCCCCGACTTGTCCCTGAGCTGCCATTCTCAGCCCTGTGGGAGGAGACAGAAAGACCTGAAGAGAAACCAAAGGACCAGGTCAGGAGGGGCGGGGGGTGGCATGAGAAATCAGGGCAGGGAAGGATGGACAGATGGGGGAATGGAGGGAAGAAGGAATGAATGAAAAGGTGAATGAATGAACAGAGAGAGAGAGCAGCCACTCCTCCCTTGCTTTAATTTACAAAGCACTGGGATCCTCCCAACAGCCTGCAAGACAGAACTTCTGGGAAGCAGACCAGGTGGCTGGCAGGGAGGGGAGGCTTGCCCTGGCTTTTGTGGGCCCAGTGGGAGGCAGGGAGCAGGAAGGGGCATCCTGTATGTGTCCTCTGCAGCAGCAGCAGCGGAGGCCTCCCTTGGGCTGGGCTTCCTGGAAGAGGGTCAGGAAACACCCGCTGTGGCCCCTCTCCACCACGCCCTCATCCAGGACACCAAGTATCAGTCACTCAGCTCACGAGACCCAGGCCCTGACTCAGGGAGAGAGGATGTGAGGGGTGGGGCACCGGGCTCCTCAGGACTGAGAGACCCGAGATGTGGCCCCAGGCTGGGTGTTGGGGCAGACTGGCTATGGCAGCATTGTGTGTACCCCAGCAGGCCAGTACCCACGCAGGGAGCCTCCAAACCCCTTCACCCATGACCCTGGGAGAAGACCGCAGCCTTGGAGAATTGGCCTCACTGAAGGGGCCTGCACCGGCCAGCAGGGTCAGGCGGGGCCAGACAGGTTCCCACCTGGGATATGCAAATGGGCCTCCTGAATCCTGGAGCCAGGCGTGGACTCACACACCACCATTGTCCCCAAGTCCCCATCTGCCCCACGAGCACACCCTGCCACCTGTTCTGTGCAAGGGCCCTGAGGCTGCCTCCTTGCGCCCAAGACCTGCAGGTGCTGAAGCCCACACACACACGGCTCCTGCTTCCTGGGCCAGTGCACGTGCACACACACACACACACACACCCACCCACACATACACATACCCACACACAATCACACACATTCACACACACCCACACTCCCCACACTCACACTCACATACACTCACACACACCCACACATGCATGCAATCACACATACCCAGACACTCACACACACACCCACACATACATTCACTCACACACACACACACACACACGCCTTCTCCAGGAGGGGCTGGCTGCCAAGGGCCACCCAGCTTCCTCCCACGTCTCACTCACCGTCCAATATCCGAGCAGACCTTGGAGTCGGCGGCAACAGCAGCGTGGGCAAAGGCCTGGGGGCCACATGGGGCCTGGTGTCGAGAGAGGACCACAGCCAGCACAATGACAGCCAGCGCCAGCCCCAGACCCAGCAGGACTAGGCTGACCGTGGCCCCGTAGCCCCGGGCCATGGCTCTGCAGCCCAGGAGGAGAGGGGCGGCTGGTGGGCAGACGGAGGGACGGATGGGTGGGCAGATGAATGGACAAGAAGATGCACAGAGTCACAGGTAATTGGACAGATGGACAAACAGGTGGGGGCTGAAGACAGACACGAAGATGGATCGACAGATAGGCCAGATAGCTAGACAAAGAGGACAGTAAGAGAAAGATGGTCAGATAGACAATGGGACAGAGATGGGCTTACAGATGGGCGGACAGACAGACAGGTCTGAACAGCGGGCTGCCAGATGGACAGATGGGTGAATGGACAGATGGCTGGCAGCTGTGGCGAGCTGCTGCCCTCACCAAGTGCACACTACGGAGTGGCCAAACTCACGCCTCAACTTCTGGTTTTCAGCTCCTGCTTGTTGCTGGCAGGAGGCCAGGCAGCAAAGCGTCTGAGGGGAGTTTTCCTTGCCTAGAGGAGTCAGCTGCTGTGTTAACTCCCTCACTGCTAGTAGGTCCAAAGGCCCCACCTACCGCCCGCCAGAGCCCAGGGTCACACTGTCGCAATGTGCAGGAGAACTTGGTGCCTGCTGCACTGCGGTTGCCAGGTAGGGGCAGGGCTCCCTGGAACCTCCACACCATTCCCCGGGTTCCCGGCAGCTCTGGGAAAGCAGAGCTGGGGCCGCTCAACTCTCTCCCCTGGATCCGGCAAGGCTGCCCCCCTCCCAGAGTGGAGCCCTGCTCCCCAGCTCCCATCTCTATCCCCTAACCCTCTCCTCATGGCCCAGCCTAGTCAGCATCAAGGTGGAGCTGAACAGAGGCAGAGGGAGGGGGACACAAGGTGGTGTCACTTAAAACTTGGGTTCAAGTCCTTATGCTTCTGCAGCCTGGCCTGGGTCCCACAACTCCCCAGGGTGGCCAAGGGCTTCCCAGTCTGCACAGAGGACAGGGGGACTTGACAGCATCAAATGCTGGTGACTACAAGACGCCCATGTGGGGAATGCAGACAGACCATGCCTCTAGCCCTTGGCATCCGGGACCATTTGTCCAGGACTTGCTGTCCTGGAAATGCAGCATGGACCTCCAGGGAGGGAGGCTGTGTGGAGGCCACGCCCTGCCTGTAGCTCTTTCCCACCCTAGCTGCGGGTCTGCTTCCCTGAATCCAAATCCGCTATTACTGTGCTGGCAGCGCAGCCTCTCTAGGGACACTGGCCTGGCTCTGTTCTCCCCAGGCCTCAGGGTGCCTAAATGGGAGGCAGCCAGGAGAGTGAGGACCCACTGAGGGGCTCTGTTGACCAGGCTCAGCAGGGGTGCAGGTGATGTGGGCTGGACTTCTTCCCACGTGGCCCCCACAGTCCTCCCCGCTTCCTCCCCAGCTGAACACTGCCTGCTCCAGATGTCTACACCTGGAAGCCGGGCCCCCCCATCTGGGCAGCAGAGAAACTGAGGCACAGAGACAGACTGTGTCCTTACAGGCCACACAGCCTGCCAGGCCCCTATGTCCAGCCAGAGCCCCTGGTCAGCCTGGACTGGAATGATTGTTTAGAGGCAGGCTGTTCCCACGGCTGCCTCTCGCGGTGGGGGGCCTGTGGATGCCTCCTCCCGCCCCCACCCGACTCCCAAGCCTCAGTGACATTGCTCAACCAGGAGCTGAAGTGCATTCCTGGGCTTAGGCCAGCCCACCCACCCACCCGCTGCAGTCCTGGAAGCTCAGAGGCCTGGGCAGCAGGAACAGTGGAGACAGCAGCGTGGGGGACGTCCCCCCTCCTCTCCCCACCATCCTGGTCAGGCAGAGGCCAGGGTGCAGGGACCGCCTGAGCAAAGGCCCAGGGAAAGGAATGGGTGTCATTCTGGTCCTGACCCGAGGCACAGCCAGGAAGGTCCCTGAATGTCCTTCCTCAGGAAATGATGGGGGAAGGGGCGATGAGAATGAAGGAGAGGATTTAAGTCCCTCACCCCCCGAGGTAGTCCTGGGCTGAGCCCCACGGGACCTGGAGAACCAGGGTGTACCCCACCAGCGTGTCGGGTCCAGGAAGCCTCGTGGCCAGCTCCCACTTCTCTTCCTGCTGTGCAACCCAGAGCAAGGCCTGCCCCTCCAGCTTCAGTCTTCTCCCCTGCAAATGGGGCCACGGCCTTTCCTCTCAGGCCGAAATAAGGATTGAGGCCGGGTGCAGTGGCTCACCCCTGTAATCCTAGCACTTTGGGAGACTGAGATGGGGGGACTGCTTGAAGTCAGGAGTTTAAGTCCAGCCTGGTCAACATAGTGAGACCCCATCTCTATTTGTTTAAATAATTTTTTAAATTAAATAAATAAAATAAGGATTGAGGAGTGACTCGTACATCACTCAACTGGGAGCCCCAGAGACACAGCCCTCCAGGGCTCAGAACCGGTGGTACTCTACTCTGCAGGCACAAAACCCTGTTTGTGGGCCCTTTGGTATCACCAGGTTTTCGGGGCTCCTGAAGGATAGCCCCGACCTGGCCTCACCTGGGCCCTGGCCAGAGTGCCCCTGGTGATATCCAGAGTGCCCCTGGTGCTGGGCTGTGACCACCACCCCTCACCAGCCTATCTCCACCAGCCTTTCCCAGAATCCTGCCCCAGGTGTTGGAACTGTGCCTGGAGGAGGGAGCAGGCCCCGAGGGAGGCCTGGAGGGGCTGCTGATGGTGAAGGCTGCTGTGTCTAGTTGTTCCCTTCCAAACCCACTCCCTCTGGGCTGCATCCCCGGCTGGTCCAAGCCCTGATCCCTGGGATCTGGGGACCTCTTCCAGTTTGCTGTTCCCTGAGAACCAGGCCTCCCTCTGGAGAGGATCACAAGCTTGGGTTTCACTCTGGGCTTAAACTTGGAAACCCCCCAGGGGCTTGGCTCTGACTGAGATGTTTTCCTCCAGCCTCTTGCCCAATCCCCACTCCTCAGACCTCAGCTTCACCTCCCATGTCCTCGGCAGGGTGAGCTGGACGCCTACGGGTCTGAGAAGGCACCCGGGTTCCCGGCATCAGCTGGCCACTCTCTGCCTAAGAAAGGGCCGGGGTCGCTGCACCCTCTGGTGGCTGGTCCTAGGTGGTGTTGCTGCCCAGCCCAGGGAAGGGAGGGCCTGGCCCCAAGTCTGAGGGATCAGGGTGGGAAGGGGCAGGGCTTGGCATGGACCTTCCCCTGGCCCCCAGCCACGTGCCTGGCTTTCCCCATGCTGAAGATGCTGAGGCTAGTTCCAGCGACCGCAGCGTGAAGATCTCCGAATCCCGCCTCTCCAGTGCCTCATTTATTGTGCTGCTCTGCTGCTCACAGGGGAAGCCGGTCCCCCAGAGTCCCCTTCCTGGTCCTAGTGAGTATCTTGTCCCTAGATTGCTTGTCAGCCTTGTCCGCCTGGAGCACTCAGTAGCCAGCAGGCTCCCCGCCTTTCCTGGAGTCCGAGGCAGCTGCCCAGCCACCAGCCGTGTGGACGATGGCTTGCACCACAGCGATGAAAGTGGATGCGATCTGGGTGTGATGGTGCCGGGTCTCCAGGGCTGCAGTCACTGCCTGGGGGTGGGAGGAGAGGGGAAGCCTGAGCAAGGCTCCAGATGCCACCTGAACCACATCTGTGTGGTCACAGGCCTCAGCCCAGGTGGTGCCATTTCGGGCCAGGTCATCAGGAAGAGCAGGTTGGGGCCTGCTGGGTCTCACTGGAGCAGGGGGTTTGGCCTTCATGTCACAGGGGCTCCAGATGGCCCAGGCACTAGAGAGAGGACACCAACCATTGTCCACTCTGTGATGATCCAGGCCTCCAGCCCAGGATGCCCTGGGGCCCCACACCGTGACTCAGTTTCTCCAACCCCCGGCCCACCTGGTCAATGTTTCTCTCCACTGTCGTGACGTTGGGCAGAAGCTGGTTGTGCAGCCGGGGCTCCTCCACGGCCCGCTTCACGTCATAGCCGAACCAGAGGTTGTAGATGATGGCCTGGGGCATGGGAGTGTGATCAGCGTGGCTTGGGGGCTGTGCAGGGTGGGCACGGCCAGGGAGAAAAGCTGTGACACATATCAGTGCAGTGGCTGTGGTGATCTGTGTGCCCCCAGCAGCTCCCACAACCATCCGGACCTGGCCGTCCTGGCCCACCATGATCGTCGGGCACATGGACGAGAGCGGCTGCTTCCCTATGGCCGATGGGAGAAGACAGGGATGCCCGTCAGCTGCCTGCCCAGGACACCCGCCCCTCTCCACCCCAGTCCCCCACCCCCGGACCTCCACCCCATACCTGGCTGGATGAAATTGGCAGGTGAGGGGGCACCCCAAACTCGTTGGTGATGTTGGGAGAGCTGAAGTCGTCCATTTCATCATTGAACAGGATCCCGCTGACCGGGGAGCGGACCTTGGAGCCAAAGCTACCGCCCAGCCAGGTCAGACAGTGCCCGACCTTGCCTGGCCCAGCCTGGTCCCTATCCACCCACTGAGGCTCAAACATACTCACTGAGAGGCCCAGGATAAGCTACCAAGGTTGGGCCTCAGTTTCCCACCAGGAAAAGAGGTGACGGAGCCACCTTACTGGATAAGTGGGCAGTCCCTGGGCCACCCGCCCCTGGCCCTTTCCCACCCAGGCGGCCCAGCAGCCCCTACTAGAGGTTGATGGTGCTGGTGGTGGACACAGCACTGCCGTCTTCTGCGACGACAGACAGGTGAGCAGTGCCCCCATCAACTGGCGTGTAGAACTCGGGCTTGTAGTAGGAGATCGGGTGAGTGGTGTCGTCAGAGATCTGGGCCCGGAGCTGGGCAGCGAAGAACTCAGAGGTCATGTTGCGGACCACCTGCCGAGACCCCAGAGCTGGCCTGAGGAGGTGGGGAGGGAGGGTGGGGAGGGGGCACAGGTCTCAAAAGGCCCCTGACTGTGGCTCTGATCACAACCCTCTGGCACCCACAACCTTCCGTGGCTCCCCAGGACCCAAGGGCAGGCCCAGGATCTTGCAAGACCAGTCTGACTCCCTGTCTCTGTCGCGTTCCAGCAACTCTGAATGTCTGTCTGCCTGGTCCTCAGCCTCCAGACCCTTGCTGCATTCAATCACTCATTCCTTCATGCAAAAAATATTTCTAGAGTTTGCACTGCATGCCTGGCACTGGGGAATCAACAGGGAACAGACACTTAGGTCCTGCCCTCATGCCAAGAAAAACAAACACACACAGGGAAAGTGCTGAAACCACAAGCCAGGTAAGGGGAATCAAGAGGCATGAGGTATGGGCAGAGTGGTCAGGGAGGGCTTCTCAGAGGAGGCAACGTGTGAAAAGAGCCTGGAATGTGGCCTAAATGGTCAGTGCAAAGGCCCTGAGGCAGGTGGTATAGGCTGGTGAGCGATAGGCAAAGAGTGAATGGAGTGGGGTGGGGAGAAGAGGATGAAGATGCAGGCTGGGGCCCATCCCACAAGACCTCCTAGGTCCCATAACAACTGGCTTTTGCTCTGTGCCATGCAGGCTTAGGGCAGAGGAATGAGCAGGCTGGGGAGTGTTTTCACAGGGTCCCTCTGGCAGCTATGACGGGGATAAGGATAAAGCCCAAAGGGGAGGCTGTGGGTATCAACCAGGCAAGAGATGATGGCCTGGGTGGGAGAAAGAGAAGAATCAAGGATGGTGCCGACTAGCGAGGTAAACCCTGCAGAAAGGGCAGGTTTGGGGATGGTCAGGAGCTTGATTCTGGATACTTCATCAGACCTGAAGAGCATGGGTGCACGTATAAAAAAATAAATAAATAAGCATGGGTTCACGGGCAAGGGCGGGCTGAGAGATGAACATGGAGGTATTGACATTGAGTGGCTGCTGGATGCCATGAGCCTGGCCAAGGTCCCCAAGGCAGTGGCGAGGAGGAGATGAGGAGGTCAAGGAGGAGACAGAGGATGGACCCGAAGGCCGAAGAAAATGCCTCAAGGGAGTTTCAACACCGGGCGCGGTGGCTCACGCCTGTAATCCCAGCACTTTGGGAGGGGGATCACGACGTCAGGAGATGGAGATCATCCTGGCTAACACGGTGAAACCCCGTCTCTACTAAAAATACAAAACATTAGCCGGGTGTGGTGGCGGGCGCCTGCAGTCCCAACTACTCCAGAGGCTGAGGCAGGAGAATGGCGTGAACCCGGTAGGCGGAGCTTGCGGTGAGCTGAGATCAGGCCACTGGAATCCAGCCTGGGCGATAGAGGGAGACTCCATCTCAAAAAAAAAAAAAAAAAAAGAGAGAGAGTCTGGCTCTGTTGCCCAGGCTGGAGTGCAGTGGCGCGATCTCGGCGCATCACAATCCCTTCCCCGCCCGCCCCCGGGTTCAAGTGATTCTCCTGTCTCAGCCGCCGGAGCAGCTGGGACTACAGGCGCGTGCCACCATGTCTGACTAAATTTGTATTTTTACTAGAGACGGGGTTTCACTATGTTGGCCAGGCTGGTCTCCAACTCCTGATCTCGTGATCCGTCTGCCCCGACCTCCCAAAGTGCTAGGATTATAGGCATAAGCCACCACGCCCGGCCTCTTTTTTTTCTTTTTCTTTTTTTTATCTGGAGACTGAGTTTTGCACTTGTTGCCCAGGCTGGAGTGCAATGGTGCGATCTCAGCTCACTGCAATCTCCACCTCAGCAGGAGAGCAGGAATCTTCAGTGATCCACGGGCAGATCTGCCACCATTGTGGGCACCTGTTCCTCCCGCAACCTTTGTGCCCGCCTCTCTCCTTCCAGTACCTATTGCATGACCCCCCACGTCCGCCTCCCGCCATTGCCAGCAAGTGCCTCGCGCGGGTACCTGGCTGCGCTTATTAATCCGTTAAGCTCGCTCTGTCACGGGCGCCGTGATGTGCTCACGCGCCCACTCCCTCAGGTTTAAAAGGCGCGTTGCCCGGCAACAGAAGAAACTGCTGGCTTAGCCTTTGGCGGAGTTGGCGGCTGGACGAGGACGCTCAGAGCCCAGCTCTCGAGAGTTCAAGCAACCGACGGTTCCCCACTGCTCCCAGGAGCGGTTACCTGGGCACTCTGTGCCCCTCCTTCCTGTTCGGGCCCAGGCCGAGGACCTGCCAGTAGGGCTCAGTTGCCTGGAGCCCGTTCAGCCCATCCCCCAGTTCACTTTGCCTGTGGGATCTCCCCGTTGCTCCTGCCCGTGGACTGAGTGGCAGGCCATCCTACAAGCACCCGGACACTTGACATCAGTGGTGTCAAGACAACTCTAAGAAGGTTTTCCGTGATCCTGCAAGCCCTGCGTTCCTTCCTGGGATCCTGCCTTCAATTTGATTGCACAGGTACCACAGCAAGCCAGTGCTGTGTGCTCCGAGTTCCAGGGCGTCCTCCAGCTCAGCCACTGCACTGAGAACATGGACTCTCTGTGGGGCCCAGGAGCCGGGAGTCACCCCTTTGGGGTCCACAACACCCGGCTGTCCCCAGACTTGTGTCCAGGGAAGATAGTGTTGAGGGCCCTCAAGGAGAGCGGGGCAGGGATGCCTGAGCAGGACAAGGACCCTAGAGTCCAAGAGAATCCTGGTGATCAGAGAAGGGTCCCCGAGGTCACCGGGGATGCACCGTCTGCATTTCGGCCCCTGCGGGACAATGGAGGCCTCTCTCCCTTTGTGCCCGGGCCCGGGCCTCTGCAGACAGACCTCCATGCCCAGAGGTCAGAAATCAGATATAACCCGACATCCCAGACCTCCTGGACGAGCTCCTGCACCAACCGAAATGCCATCTCCAGCTCCTACAGCTCCACGGGAGGCTTGCCGGGGCTAAAGCGGAGGAGGGGGCCAGCCTCATCCCACTGCCAGCTGACCCTCAGTTCCTCAAAGACAGTGAGTGAGGACAGGCCTCAGGCTGTCTCTTCAGGTCACACCCAGTGTGAAAAGGCAGCAGATATAGCACCAGGGCAGACACTCACCCTCAGGAATGACTCCTCCACATCCGAGGCCTCTAGGCCCAGTACACACAAGTTTCCCCTGCTGCCACGCAGGCGAGGGGAGCCTTTGATGCTGCCACCTCCCTTAGAGCTGGGGTACCGGGTCACTGTTGAAGACCTGGACCGGGAGAAGGAGGCGGCCTTCCAGCGCATCAACAGTGCACTGCAGGTTGAGGACAAGGCCATCTCGGACTGCAGACCCTCACGGCCTTCCCACACTTTGTCCTCACTTGCAACAGGGGCTTCTGGTCTGCCTGCCGTTTCTAAAGCACCCAGTATGGATGCACAGCAGGAGACACACAAGTCCCAAGACTGCCTGGGCCTACTGGACCCCTTAGCATCTGCTGCAGGGGTCCCCTCTACAGCTCCCATGTCTGGGAAGAAGCACAGACCACCAGGCCCCCTGTTCTCCTCCTCAGATCCCCTTCCTGCCACCTCTTCTGATTCCCAGGACTCAGCCCAGGTCACCTCGCTGATTCCTGCCCCCTTCCCAGCTGCAAGCATGGATGCGGGCATGAGAAGAACAAGGCATGGCACTTCTGCTCCTGCAGCTGCCGCAGCAGCCCCTCCCCGCTCCACATTGAACCCCACGTTGGGGTCACTACTGGAGTGGATGGAGGCCCTTCACATTTCTGGGCCTCAGCCACAGCTGCAGCAGGTGCCCAGAGGTCAGAACCAGAGATCCCAGACCTCCTGGACCAGCTCGTGCCCCAAATGAAATGCCATCTCGAGCCCCTACAGCTCTACGGGAGGCCTCCCGGAACAAAAGCGGAAGAGGGGCCAGCCTCATCCCACTGCCAGCTGACCCTCAGTTCCTCAAACACAGTGAGTGAGGACGGACCTCAGGCTGTCTCTTCGGGTCACACCCAGTGTGAAAAGACGGCAGATACAGCACCAGGGCAGACACTCGCCTCCAGGGGTGGCTCCCCCAGATCCCAGGCCTCTAGGCCCCGTATATGCAAGTTTCCCCTGCTGCCACGCAGGCGAGGGGAGCCTTTGATGCTGCCACCTCCCTTAGAGATGGGGTACCGGGTCACTGCTGAAGACCTGGACCGGGAGAAGGAGGAGGCATTCCAGCGCATCAACAGTGCACTGCAGGTTGAGGACCAGGCCATCTAGGACTGCAGACCCTCACGGCCTTCCCACACTTTGTCCTCACTTGCAACAGGGGCTTCTGGTCTGCCTGCCGTTTCTAAAGCACCCAGTATGGATGCACAGCAGGAGACACACAAGTCCCAAGACTGCCTGGGCCTAGTGGCCCCCCTGCATCTGCTGCACAGGCCTGTAGTCCCAGCTACTTGGGAGGCTGAGGCAGGAGAACGGCATAAACCCGGGAGGCAGAGCTTGCAGTGAGCTGAGATCGCGCCACTGCAATCCAGCCTGGGTGACAGAGCGAGACTCCGTCTCAAAAAAAAAGAAAAAGAAAAAAAGTTCTTGTGACATTTGTGTATGAAATCAGCCTTCACTACATGGATAGGACCAGCACGCTTCCGCGGCACGACTCTGCAATCTTACTACATTTTTTTTATTTTGTATTTTTTTTATTCCTTTTGAGACAGTCTCACTCTGTCACCCAGGCTGAAGTGCAGCCGAGATCTCGGCTCACTGCAACCTCCACCTCTTGGGTTCAAGCAATTCTCCTGTCTCAGCCTCCCAAGTAGCTGGGACTACAGGCACACGTCAAAACGCCTGGCTAATTTTTGTATTTTTAGTAGAGATGGAGTTTTGCCATATTGGTCAGGCTGGTCTCGAACTCCTGACCTCAGGTGATCGACCTGTCTTAGCCTCCCGAACTGCTAGGATTACAGGTGTATATTTATTTATTTAAGATGGAATCTTGCTCTGTATTTATTAATTTATTTATTTGAGATGGAGTCTTGCTCCATCGCCCAGGCTAGAGTGCAGTGGTGCAATCTCGGCTCCCTGAAACCTCTGACTTCCAGTTTCAAGTGATTCTCCTGCCTCAGTGTCCCAAGTAGCTGGGATTACAGGTGCCTGCCACCACAGCTGGCTAATTTTTGTATTTTTAGTAGAGACAGTGTTTCACCATCTTGGCCAGGCTGGTCTCGGGCTCCTGACCTCATGAACCACCTGCCTCAGCCTCCCAAAGTGTTGGGAATACAGGCCTAAGGCACCATGCTCGGCCATATTTATTTATTTAATTATTTAGAGACAAAGTCTTCCTCTGTCACCCAGGCTGGAGTGCAGTGGCGCCATCTCAGCTCACTGCAGCCTCCGCCTCCGAGGTTTAAGCGATTCTCATGCCTCAGCCTCCTGAGTAACTGGGACTACGGGTACTCACCACCATGCAGGGATATTTTTTTCTATTTTTTTTAGAGACACGGTTTCACCATGTTGGCCAGGCTGGTCTCGAACTCCTGACCTTAGGTGATCTGACAGCCTCGTCCCCTCAAAGTACTGGGATTACAGGCATGAGCCACTGTGCCCGGCCTCTCACTACATTTAAGTGACGCCATGGCTCATGCCTGTAATCCTGGCACTTTGGGAGGCCAAGGCAGGTGGATCACTTGAGGTCAGGAGTTCGACATGAGCCTGGCCAACATGGGGAAACCCTGTCTCTAGTAAAAATGCACAAATTAGTCAGGCATGGTGGTACAAGCCTGTAGGCCCAGCTACTTGGAAGGCTGAGGCAGGAGAATCACTTTAACCGGGAGGCAGAGGTTGCAGTGAGCCAATATCATGCCACTGCACTCCAGCTTGGGGGACAGAGTGAGACACCGTCTCAAAAAAAAAAAAAAGAAAATAGAAAAACATATGATGCCGGGGCGTCTCGGCCTCAATACCTGCATGAGCACAGTCATGTCCAGGCCAGGGCTGCTGGTCAAGGTCCGGCCCCATCTCTTTCAGCAGAAAGGGAGTAAGGTTGCAGGGAGGCTGAGGGACAAGATCCCAGGATCTCAGCCTCCGCTCATGGATCAGCTCTGAGACCCCAAGTGAGCTGGGGGTGCTCTGTGCGCATTGGTTTCCCCAGCTGTCAAGTAAAGGGATTGGATGAGGAAGTCTTGTCAAGGTGGAATGATCTCAGATTTGGGGCAGCAGTGAATGATCCCGTTCCCTGGGCCATGCCAGTGGCCCGGCCTCGGCTCAACACAGCCCCAACACTCTGGAATGGGGATGAGGGGGCAGTCAGCTCTTGCTCCTAGTAAGAGAGATGCAATAGGGCTCTGTGGCTGAGCTGGGTGCCTTGCCTCACACCTGTAATCCCAACCTTTGAGAGGCCGAGGCGGGAGGATTGCTTGAGGCCGGGAATTTTGAGAATAGCCTGGACAACATAGCCAGACCCCATGTCTACAAAATAATAATAAAACACACAGCTATAGTCCAAGCTACTTGGCAGGCTGAGGCAGGAAGGTCCATTGAGTCCGGGAATTGGAGGCTGCATTGAGCTATAATCGCACCATTGCACTCCAGCTTGGGTGACAAAGTGAGACCCTGTCTCTAAAAGAAAAAAAAATTGGCCTGTGAGCATGGGTTTGATTTTCAAACAGGACTCGGAGGGTAGGGACAAACAGTGCTGTCACCCTTAGGTGCTGAACACTCAGAAATGGGCCAGCGGCAGCCCTTCCCTCACCTGCAGACACCAGATTGGGCAGAACAGCACGTGGCACTTGCAGCTCTTGCAGTGAGGGCAGAACCCAGTGTCAACCCTTCTGCCTGTGGGAGGGGCTGCTGAGGCCTGCGGAGAGGCCAGGGTGGAGGCTCGTTCCCTTGTCCAGCCCTTGGCGTGGTCTCCACCAGGTCCCCAGCCCACCAGTGTAGGCCGCCCCTGAGCCTGCTGCTGCCACGGGCCCTGTCTCTACCCAGGACGCCCCCCGACCCTCGCAGTGTCAGGGAAATGATCATGGTGGTGGTGACACTCCGCAGGCAGGGCTGCTGAGAGAAGCTGAGAAGGGTCACACTGCAGGCAGGGGCCCGTGTGACAAGCCCCTCTCACCCCGAGAGAGCTGACCAGGCAGCTCACGAGCAGAGCCACATCCCGGGAGTCCGAGAAAGGTCCTGGCTGGGCTCAGCCACCTCATTGGCCACGGGCAGCCTTTGTCGTGTGAGCCTTGCTCTCCTGGGGAGGCTCAGGCTGACGGCTGATGTGGGCATTGCCGAGGGTAACCTGTGGCCCAGTGTATATGGCCGGGTCTCCTCAAGCTGCATTCATTCAAGTAGGACCCAGGGTGCATGCCCATCTCCAGCCCAGGGCAGCTCCCCTGTAAGCTGGGTGAGCTACTGAAGCCAAGGTGGGAGGCAGCTGACAACACCACCCACGGCCCATGCAGAGGTGGTAGAAAGGCTGGACTCAGCAGGAACACCAAATCCCGGACCAGGCAGAAACCACCCAAGACTGAGGGGCTCGTGCCAGAGCGGTGGCCACAGGTAAGAACCCCGGCCCAGGCTGTGTGGCAGGAAACCTCCATGTCCCAGGGCTTAGCATAGCAAAGGAAGACCAGCCGGGTCACCCTGGTGGCCATCTGTCCCTGTCCCACCTGCAGAGTCAGAACAGCCTCTCCCCAGTGGGGATCATCTCTCTCTGCCAAAGCAACAGCGGTCCCTGCCCCAACCAGACTACCCCACTCAGTGGGGTTACGGATGCTGCTCCAGCATCCTAACACTGCCCAGCTGGTGCCTGCCTGTGCTCACCCACAACCCCCAGGCCGGCCTTCCCTGCAGCCTGGGCTTGGCCACCTTGGCCTGATTGAGCACTGAGGCCTCCTGGGCACCCAGCCCCATCACTGCACCTGCTGCTTCCAGCCCCACCCCACCGGCTCAGGGGTTCTTCCCAGCGGCGCTGATCATGAAGTCAACATGCACGCAAGTCGTCTCAGGAAACTTTTTAATGAAAGTGTCGGCCACGGTGGTGTGTAGGTGGCTGAGCTCAGATTGCAGCTGCTAAGACACCAGCCACTTACCAAGAGAAAGCCAGGCTGCTTCAAACCCAGGGCCGGAGGCAAAAAAGCATCACTTCCAGCCGGGGAGTCTGGAAGCCACGCCTTGTGGGAGGTCACACTGGCATCTAGGCCTTCGCCTGCACTGCAGAAGGAGAGCCGGGTCCCCCTCCTGGAGAACGCTGCGTTCCCCAGCCCCACACCGGCTTTGCCACCACACAGGCTGTTGAGGCAGGAGGCGGGTAAGACGTAGCTGTAGACCCAAAGCAACCACCAGCCCTGGGACCCTGCGGGAGAGGAGCACTTTTAGAACATGGAAAAATGTGGTCATCCCATCATTAGACAGCACACATCCTACATAAATAAAAAGTCGTATGGGGAAGGAGGTTGGGGAGGGAATAAAAAATTGGCACAGACATTGATAGACTGGTTTCCAGTTTCAAGGTAACAGATGCACATCATGAGACCAGAGGAGGCAGAGACAAGGGCTGAATTTGGCTTTTCTAAGCAACATGTGTTCCTGCGCAGGGCTGAATGGTCGCTGAGACAGAGATGGAAGCCAGGACAAGGGAGCCCACCGGGCCCAGATAGGTACAGAGAGCAGAGGCTCCTGTTCTGTCCTCGCCACCCATGAGGGTGACACTGCTTGTAAATGGTGGCTGTGCTCTCCCAGCAAGAAAAAAGCACAACTAAATCCACACTGCACACAGACGCAGACAGAAAGCCTTCAAGTGGCTCTGTTTTCTGCTCCCTGCCTTGCCAGGTCCACAAGCAGAGAGGAGTGTCAGGCACATGGCCCCGCTGTCAGGCTCCCCAGTGAGCTGTAGGCTCAGCAGGAGCTGCCCACTGACACACAGGGGACACCCACTCCTGCCACCTTGGGAGCGGTTGCCAGACAGAGCCGCACTGGGTGCTGGTGTCATCCAGGGACCCCACACACTTCCTTAAATGTGATCCTGCTTCCCTCTGGGCAGCTGCATCCTCTCCTCCTGCAGGACCGTCTGGAAACTTGGCTCTCAGTTTGATCTCCCTTCTCTCCTCTGCCTGCCCCAAGCCCCTCTTTCTAAAAAAGTGATGCCATGTTCATGGGATTATTTCTTGAAAATACTTGGCGGCCTCCATGCTTCTGTTTTCTTTGAGCCAGGTGGTCAGGAGGGCTTACAAAGAATGCCTGGGCTCCCCCGCAGCTGCCGGCAGATGGGGTAGCGAATGGTCCTGTGCCTCCACCTGCTCCGGGAGGGAGTCTCCCGTCTCTAGGCCTGGCCCCTTCCTAACCCTCCACGTATCCTGTTCTCCAGAGACTTCAGAACCCACTCCTGAGAACAGCGGAGCCAGGCGCTTAGAGGAAGACCAAATGCTGCCAGGACACGGATTGTCCAGGGATTACATTCCAGCATCTTATTAGGTATCTGGATCTGTTGGGAAAAAAATTAGAAACTATGTATAAAACTTAAAAATATTCAAGTATCAAAAGGTTATTTAGGATGAAAGTTTTAAAACAAGTCATCAGCAAGCTGCTGCCACCAAGTGGAGACTTATACAAAAGTTGAGCGAGTCCACTGAGCTGAGAGGACAGAAATGAAGTCACCTGTGCTGGGGCAGGGGCAGGGACACTGGGGGCAGGGAGTGTGTGGGCAGAGAAGCCAGAGAAGTCCAGGCCTGTGGAAGCCAAACAGGAGAGCGTGGGCCGGAAGGGCGGTCAGGATCGGGGGACGAGGTCGCTCTCCCTGGAGAACGAACCCTAAAGTGCGTAGCCTGGGGTTCCCTCCCTGGGGGTCCTGTCCCCCGACGTTTCACGGGCCTTCTGAGCTGCCTTCCAAGGAGGACTAACACGGCAACAAAAGACCCATTTCTGCACAAAAATCCTTCTGGGAAGAAAAAGAAGAAAGCCAAGAATGGAGTCAAAACGCTACCCAGTGCTGACTAAGCCTCTCAAACCCTGTTCTAAGTGGAGTGTGGTTTCTAAGTCAGGGAAATGGAAGAGGCCCCACCCACACAGGGACAGGGCCACGGCCCCCACAGGATGAAGCAGCAGCGTTTATTCAAGATACAACAGTGAGGGAATCCGGTCACGTTCCCTTCTCCCCAGAGAGGGCACTTCTTGACAAGTGATTCAGTAGAAATCTTTTAGACTCTATAAGTTAAGTTCATAAAAACCATTGCTTTCACCCTGTCTCCGAGGGCCAGGCCTGGACTCAGAGATGAACTGGCTTGGGGCGCCCTCGGGTGGCCGCATAAAAAACCCACAGTCTGAGGCCAGCCTGGGGCTTTCAGACCTGGGCGGGATCTGCCCAGGCCACCTGTCCTTCTGCTTTGGGCCGCTGTCTCTTGGCAGATGGCCTGACACCTGGGGGTGGCCCAAGGATGCCTCAGAAAATCTTGATTCCCACTCTACAGATGGCCCGATTAGCCAGAGGTTTCCAGGCCATCTGTCCGCCTCCAGGAGATGGACTGGGACCTTTAGACATCGGTGGAGAACAGGATGCTCTGTCTCTTGCTGTCCAGGGCAGGGATGGCCTCCAGCCGCAAGAAGTACAGCAGCACCTCGACCTGCCCTCGCAGAGTGGGGAAGAGGAGAGTGGCTCAGAGCGGGGCTCACAGCTGCTGGTGGGGAGGTCTTTGGGGCCCAAGTCCCCAAGTCCACCTCAGGTGCTAGAAACCCCTGCTGGTGTCATGAACCCCTTACAGTGAGACGGGGGTGGGGTGGGGTCCTGACAAGGCATGACTTGTTGGGTGGGGGGTGGTTATTTATTTTAGAGATGCACAGGGCCTTGCTCTGTCCCCCAGGCTGGAGTACAGTGGCTCCATCATGGATCACTGCAGCCTCTAACTCCTGGGCTCAAGCAATCCTCCTGTGTCAGCCTCCCAGATACCTAGGATTACAGATGTGTGCCACAATGCCTGCCTAATTTTTCTTTGTATTTTTTCTGGAGATGGGGTTTGCTACATTGCCCAGACTGGTCTCAAACACCTGGGTTCAGTTGTCCTGCCTCGGCCTCCCAAAGTGCTGGGATTACAGGCATGAGCCACCACACCCGAACACTTGGGGTGGTTTTAAGCCCCCAGCAAGGTGCACCAGCAGGACCAGGAGGTGGCCTGGGCACCCCCTATCACTCCCATCCATGCAAACCTAGGCAAGTCCCTCTCTCTGAATCTCAGCCACCACCACATACAATGCAAGTCGGAAGATGGGCAGGACTGGGGGTGGGGCAGGCAGAGACCACCTCTGTCAGGCTGGGGTTGCATGGGCTGGAGACTGTCTTCCCATACCTGAGACATGACCTCCAAGGACCTGCTGTCAGTCATGGTGATGGGCTGGCTGGGGTTGGCAGGGAGCTTGCTCTCCTTCTCGGAGGGCCGGAGCAGCGTGGGGCCAAAGACAGTGGCGAGGTTGTGCAGGGACATCTTATTGACTGCTTCCTTCTCTGCCACCCTGTAGAGGACGGAAGCAGAGGGTGCTGTTTCAACGCCACCACCAGGAGAGAGGCAGAGGGGCTGTGCCGTGCTAGAGTCCTCAGGGAGGGAGTGACCTCGACCCTGGCTGTGCTGCAAGCTGACTCCAGCCTTGGTACTTCTGGGTCTCAGTGGCCCAGGACAAGGGGCCAGCTCTGGGCTGATGGGGAGGTCTTCATGATGTGCTTGGGAGGGAAGAGGCGGGTCCAAGTGCACTGCTGGCCACGGCCAAAGCTCTGAGCTCTTTGTTAAGGCCACAGTGCAGAGGGAGGCGGGTGGCAAAGAGGAGAGGCAGGGGCGGGGGTGGCAGTGGTGCTAGTCCTTAGAAGCAGTGAGTTACTGCAGACAGGGGTCGGGGGAAAAGGTCCTTGGTGCTGGGGGTCTGGTGGGAGCAGAGGGGCACCCCAACGGCCTGGAGACCTGGAGTCCTGGGCAGCCACAAGAGAGCTGGGCTACCTTTCCAGGCGGTCTAGAAGGAAAAGGAAGGTGAGCAGGTTGGCCTCCGGCAGGGACAACAACAGGTTGAGCATGCAGCTCTTCCTTGCAACTGGGTCTGAAAGAGCTGCAGGAGGCAGTGGGTGACTCCCCTGGGTTACGACAAGCCGGAGACCTCTCCCGAGGTGGTCACATGGAGCGCCCGGGACACGAGTCCTTGCGCAGTTTAGGCTTGTCATCATCGTCACACCCACAGCGCTGGCCGCCAGTGAGGACCCTGTGAGGGGCACCTGTGTGGGGTGTGAACCACCTGAACGCCTTTTCTCTACCTCGCAGGGCTCAGCAGCACCCGGTGAACAGCAGCAGGAGGAGCCGCTAGAGCAGCTGCTCATGGGCAGAGCAGCCCTTGGGCAACTCCTGCCACCACCCCCTCCCCAGGGAGCCCAAGGCAGGGGAGGCTCAGCATGGAATGAAACAGGGGAGTGAGGGACACAAGGAGGTGGGAAGTGGGAGGGTCCCAGCCCCACCAAGTACGCAGAGACCCCCTTGTCGTCCTGGACACCACAGGGGCACCTGCAGGCTGGGAGACCAGGTCCTCTGTGCATGGGCCCGGGAGGCAGACCTGCCCCAAGGGTGATGCAGAGGCCACAGGTGCTGCACGCTCCAGCGCCCACTCTAGACATCAGCCTCCAGGTTGACTAAGGGTCAGGTCATGTTTGAAACCATGCTTGGCTGGACCGGGACCCATGGCAAGAGCACCTGGGCACCAGTGTTTAGCCCTGGTCTGCAGGAAGGAGGACAGCAGACTTTAGGACCCCACAGCATGGCAGTGCTGACCATTTCACCCACTTGGCCTCCTTGAGGAATAGGGATGGGGAGCCCTCTGGGGATGAGCAAGGCCTTCCAGGACAGGCTCGGTTCTGGTCCCCTGCTTTTTGAGGTTGGGTTAAAATGCCGACCATGGCAGAGGGGTCACAGCTCAGGTTCCCACACCTCACTTTTCACAGCCTCCAAGGGCAGCAGTGCACATGGAGGAGACGTCTCCCACGAGGCCAAGGCCTCCAATGCTCACCGATGCCCTCTGCGAAGCTGGGGTAGAACTCGTCAGTGAAGAGGGGCTCAGGCAGCTCACGGAAGTACAGCTTCAGCGTGCCTGCGATGGCGTTCATGTCCGTCTCGCTCATCATCACCGACATGTCCTTCTTATCTGGAAAGAGCACGGAAATGCAGCGGCCTCCTTGAAGATCCTGAGTGAGTCACCTGCCATCCCTGCCTTGGCTAAAGCACCGTCCCTGCTATGCTGACCACTGTGTGGGTCCCTCCCGGGCTTTGAGCAGCTCATCTGACTCCTCCCAAGAGCTGTGCATGGTTCTGTGTCTGCAGAGTTGATAGGGGTGCATGGGCATTCCCATTCCTCTCCCCTGCTTGGCCTGATGTGATGGCCAGGAGGAGGCCAGCATGGCAGGACACAGCTCCTGCGTGGGGATTGGGTGGCTCTGCCCTGTACATAGCAACCACCCCTGCACCAGTGTCGTCTGATGGCAGGAAGGCCGTGGGAGAATCTGATTGGTTTCAGTGTTTGAACCGGTGTCTTCCTTTGGACCCAATTGGCCATTGGTGCTTACATCCTCACCACAGGCCAGGTTCATTCTGGGCCCCCAGAGGGAGCTGAAACTACCACAGGGCCCTCCCAGGGATGCTGGGCATTCTAGGGGTCCTGGTCAGGGTGGGTGGTGTGTGCTGCAAAGAAGGATCTGCAGGCACAAAATCCTGTTGCTTTGAAGATGCTGGGAGGGACCCTCTGGGGTCTCAGTGCCCTCCCCTGGCATTTGAGGCAGGTCCGGGTCCTTCAAAGCCTGTGAGGGTTGGTGAGATGGAGGCGGAGAGGCTGCAGCCCCGGCCTGCGCTGAATTTCATCAGTGCCCTCTGCCCACCACATCCTCATACAGGGCAGTGGACAGACCGCACTGAGTCCTGGGCTTCCACCTCCTGTCCACCCCCAAGGCAGGAAGGCCAAGTCCCCACAGAAGCCCCTGGTCCACTCCACCAAGTGGCATGAGTGGGTACGATGGTGTAAAAACTGGCTTCTATAGAAGCTGTTTGTACAACTCTTGTTTTCTCTTTTTTTAAAATAATAAAACAGTAAATGAAGAAAAGACACAGAGAAGGATGTGACATGCCTGGGCCATGGAGCACTCTGAGATCTCATCGCGGACACCACTGCCCACACCTCCATCCCGTCCTGCGCAGGCCAACACTCACTGACATCGAAGGCTGCCTTCAGTGCCTGGATGTCTGCGGCCACACCGGCCGGACACGTGGTAGATGCCCACCTCCTCCATGCCTCGGCGCTCGATCTCCTCCACGCACTGGCGCACGATGTAGGGCACCTTGGACCTCTCTCTCCTGTGGGAGGGGGGAATGTTCTCAGTGTCCTAACAGCCCTGCTTGGGCCATAACACAGGAGACCTGCTCCCTATCTGCGCACCCGGAGGTGGGGTGAGGACGGTGACGAAGGTACCCAGGTCTGGGGCTGCACACAGAGCCTTCTGCATGCCTGTCCTCCCTCTGCAAGCTCTGTCTTCACGGCATGTGCTTTCTCAGGAACCTTTCAAGCGGCCAGAACCCCTGCGAATCACACATGACCTTTGCGGGAAGGTCAGGAGGCCTGTCTAAGTCAAGTCAGCACGGGAAGGGCATCTGACAGATTCCAGGCCTGGGGTTAGCAGCCTGTGCCCCCGGCTGGGAGATCAGACCCGGTGTTGGTCCTGCCACCCACGTGCTGTGTGAGAGGAGAATCCCTGACCCCTGCCCTGGGCCTTAACACACATCCGACGAATGAATGAAGGGTTGCCTCAGTACCGGTGCTCCAAGTCCTGCGATGCTAAGTGCTTTTCTCCTCTGAGTCTTAGCAATGGACAATTCCAATACCTCCACACAGGACACTAGAGTAAGAAACCTTCACAGTTAGAACGCAGTGCTGTGCGGAGGCCTTAACTTGAGTTCTGTTTTGCACCTGGATTTACCAGCACATCAAAGCTGCTTCGCAAGCCCCCTCATTAGCAGGGCTTATCTGGGGGAGCTGCTGATGGAGTCCTCGCTGCTCATGCCCACAGCCCTCCCAGAGTGCTATGCGAGTGGCTGCCGTGCAGTTGGGGGTGGGGCGTGGTGTTTAGACACAGATAGGAGTCCAGGGTATGACTGATGGAGGCCCCGGCCCACGTGACCAGCAAGGTCAGAGGCCCAGCCAGATTCCATCCTGGGGAAGCAAATGAATTCTCAGAGGAAGTGGTCTGTGTCTGCATGAACTGCTCTCAAACCAACAAACAGGCTTCTCTTGGCAACAGACTCATGACAAAGGATTCAAGATTGTTTGAAAAAAAAAAAAGGGGAGCAGGGAGGCAGAAAGTCCTGGAAAAGTAAATTGTTTATTTTACAATAAGAAAGTGATTACATATTTTTTTTTTTACAATGGTGGAAAATTAGAAGTCATTGTGAAAATGATGTCTACCTGCCTTGCTGATGAGTAGGATGTGATTTGGCTCTTTAGGAAACTGAATTTGCAGAACTTAAGAATATTGATTTATAAAGGGCATGGCCATTGACCCAGTCCATCTTATGCAAATCTGGATGCCATAAATAATATTTAAAAATGAAAGTATTGGGGTGGAGGTTGCAGTGAGCAGAGATTGCCCCCGCTACACTCCAGCCTGGTCGACAGAGTGAACTCTGTCTCAAAAAAAAAAAAAAAAGAAAAGAAAGAAGAAGCCATTCCCAACGTTGCTCATCAAATTATGACCATAAATTTCCAGGATCAGACTAACGGCTAAAGAGACTGATGCATCAACACCAGGCAGAGAATAAAGCAGATTTTTTTGTTGTTGTTCTGGAGAGCTTCTAGGAACTTGAAAAATACATATGCCACACTCTTAAGACCCGGTGGTTCTTAATCAGGGATGTTCATTAAAATGCTGGAAAACTGTAAAGACTTCCAGGTCCCATCCAAGGAGATTTTGCTTCTGATTGACTGGCTAGTGGCCTGGCCATTGGTATTTTGAAAAATCCCTCCAAGTGATTCTTTTACATCCCAGATAGAAAACCCTAAATTAAAGGTGAAAAAACCAGACACCAAGTGGCATTTAAATAAATGTCAACTTTAACTCCACAAAGCATCTGGTTGCATGTGGACAGAAAGAGAAGGAAAGAGGGCCCTATATCTGGATAACTTAGAAATGTGCTCCCCCTAGCAAGATATCTACCAAAATTAAAACCATATTTGAGGATGCTGGCACTGCGAGTAATATATAAATGATGCATGTAACGTCATTTAATATGATCTTATTTTTAAAAATGAGTAGAGTGGTGTTTTCTAGCTGTTAGTTTTTCCAAATATCAATATAGAAATTTGCCTTCTGCAGCTGCAGAGGCAATTCAGTTTGCAGCTTGCTTGCATGTGGCCTAGAGCCATAACATGGCCCAGGGCATCTCTGATCCACCCCTCCCACAACCACCAAAGCCAGAGACAACCAAATGCCTTGGGCCATCTGGTGAGAGAGGTAGCTGCATGGCAGTAAGAGTCCTGCTCTGAAGTAACAAGAGCCTTAAGGCCTAGTTTTGACTTACTGCTAACTTGCTGACACTGCACACTTGCTGAGTGATCTTGGGTGAATCCTTTCACCTCTCTGAGGTTCACTATGAAATGAGAGGTCAATGGTCAAACTTAAACACCTTCAGAGGTTGGGTAATATCAGTGAGTAAAATGGACCAGGCAGAGCACAAAGCGGAATGGTGCAGACTGTGGCAAGTTGAGAACTTATGCCTCTGTAAAGGGGGCAGCCACCACTCATTTACTGCCGATTACTCTATCTTTGCTGAGGACAGTTGCACAGGTAGTGCACTGCAGAAGGGTAACACCTTAGAGGGGTGTCATTTGCATCATAGATGCAAAATTCACAGGCGAAGACTGATGTAGTTTGTCCCTAAAGTTTTGCTTTGATTTGCAGATATTTATCCATGGCAGTTTCCTGAAAGATGTCTATAGAAGGTTTTGAGGAATGGGCACCTTTTAATTTGCTACTAAACTAAACCCCAAGGGCCCATTATATGCCAGCACGGTCCTAGAGATTCCACACTCATTCAGTTCCTTTTCATCATAGGAAGTGGGCATTATAATATCAGGTCCACTGTAAGAGGTGGAGCCTGGGCATGGTGGCTCATGCCTATAATCCCAGCACTTTGGGAGGCCTACCTGTGCAGATCGCGGGAGCCCAGGAGTTTGAGACCAGCCTGGGCAACACGGTGAAACTCTGCCTTTACAACACATATAAAACGTTAGCTGGGCTTGGTGGCATGTCCCTGTAGTCCTAGCTATTCGGGAGGCTGAGATGGGAGGATCGCTTGAGCCTGGGAGGTCAAGGCTGCAGTGAGCCCAGATTGCACAACTATACTCCAGCTTAGGCCACAGAGCAAGACCTTGTCTCAAAAAATACAGTAAAATAATAAAAAGAAAGAAAGAGAAAGGAACAGATCAATAGGTACAATAAAGTAACGTTTGTATAAAAAAAGCAAAAGAACATATTTGTTTATTTGGATATTTGTTTATATTCATAAACTATCTCTAGAAAGATACCAAGAAACTGAATCTATTTGGTTGTATCTGAGAAACTACAGGAATAGGGATGGGGTTGAGATGGTGCCTTCTGAATTTTGAAATATACAAATGTATTGTCTATTTAGAAATAAATGGGCCAGGTGTGGTGGCTAGGCTGGGTGCGGTGGCTCTCGCTTGTAATCCTGGCACTTTGGGAGGTCGAGACTGACAGATCACTTGAGGTCAGGAGTTTGAGACCAGCCTGGCCAACATGGTGAAACTCCGTCTCTACTAAAAATATGAAAATGGCCAGGTGTGGTGGCTCACCCTGGTAATCCCAGCACTTTGGGAGGCTGAGGCGGGCGGATCACCTGAGGTCAGGAGTTCGAGAACAGCATGACCAACATGGAGAAACCCCATCTCTACTAAGAATATAAAATTAGCCTGGTGTAGTGGCGCATGCCTGTCATCCCAGCCACTCAGGAGGCTGAGGCAGGAGAATTGCTTGAACCCGGGAGATGGAGGTTGTGCCGAGCCGAGATTGCGCCATTATACTCCAGCCTGGGCAACAACAGCAAAACTTTGTCTCACAAAAAGAAACAACAACAACAGCAACAACAAAACACACACACAAAAATTAGCTGGGTGTGGTGGTGGGTGCCTATAATCCCAGTTACTCAGGAGGCTGAGGCACGAGAATTGCTTGAACCTGAGAGGCGGAGGTCGCAGTGAGCCAAGATCAGGCCACTGCACTCCAGCCTGGGCAATAGAGCAAGACTCAATCTCTAAATAAATATATAAAATAAATAAACAGTATTAAGACAAAAATCATAAGGACATTACATAAACCACGTTATGCCAGTGATTTTTTAAAATATCAAAACAGGCAGTTTTATAGAAAAATACAACTTCAGGCCAGGTGGGGTGCTTGTAATCCCAGCACTTTGGGAGGCCGAGGTTGGTGGATCACCTGATCTCAGGAGTTCGAGACCAGCCTGGCCAGCATAGCAAAACCCCAACTCTACCAAAAATACAAAAATTAGCTGGGCGTGGTGGCACATGCTTGTAACCCTAGCTACTTGGGAGGCTGAGGCGGGAGAATCACTTGAACCTGGGAGGAGGAGGTTGCAGTGAGCCAAGATCACGTGACTGCAACAGAGAAATTCTGTCTCAAAAGAAAAATATAACTTCATAAAAACGAAGTAGGGAGAAACAGAAAAGTTTGTCTAGATCTAGAACCATCAAAGGAATTGAATGTTTATTTTAAAATCTGTATCCCGGCCGGGCGCAGTGGCTCAAGCCTGTAATCCCAGCACTTTGGGAGGACGAGGTGGGCGGATCACAAGGTCAGAAGATCGAGACCATCCTGGCTAACATGGTGAAACCCCATCTCTACTAAAAATACAAAAAATTAGCCGGGCCTGGTGGTGGGTGCCTGTAGTCCCAGCTACTCGGGAGCCTGAGGCAGGAGAATGGCGTGAACCCGGGAGGCGGAGCTGGCAGTGAGCCGAGATGGTGCCACTGCACTCCAGCCTGGGCGACAGAGCGAGACTCCGTCTCAAAAAAAAAAAAAAAAAAAAAAAAATCTGTATCCCATCCCCTCAAAAATCTCACAAAAAAACAAAACCAAAGAAAAGTACCTGGCCCAGATGATTTTATGGACAGCAAACATTAAAAAGAACATAAAGTTTTTATCTTCTACATAATTTTTAAAAATTAATTATTTATTTTTGACAGAAAGTCTCGCTTTGTAGCCCAGACTGGAGTGCAGTGGCGTGATCTCTGCTCACTGCAACCTCTGCCTCCCAGGTTCAAGCAATTATCCTGCCTCAGCCTCCAGAGTAGCTGGGATTACAGGTGTGCCCGGCTAATTTTTTGTATTTTTAGTAGAGATGGGGTTTCACCATGTTGGCCAGGCTGTTCTTGAACTCCCGACCTCCGGTAATCCGCCCACCTCGGCCTCCCAAAATGCTAGTTTTACAAGCGTAGGCCACAGTGCCCAGCCTAGATAATCTTTCAGAAAAAGAAGCAAATGGAATTCTCCCCAACTCACTGTGAATTTAGTATAGGCTTAAAACCAAACCAGACATAAATAGTACAAGGAGGCAAAAGTATGGACTAACTTCTTATGGACATATATGCAAAAACGCTAAATAAAATATTAGCAAATAATCCAGCAATGGATTAAACATGTATCACGACCAAGTTGGGGTTTTCCTAGGAAACTAAGATTATGTAATAAAAGAAAAAACTATTAAAGTAGTACAAACTATCAAAGGAAAAAACCTGTATGATCATTGCAACAGGTTCATTTGCGACATAATACAATTTTTTTCTTTTTTTTTTTTTAAGTCTTTTTGGCTGTAAGTTTATTCAATGCAAAATAATCCTCTCCAATTCTACTGAGGTGGCTGACGGTGTCCACGACCAAATTTGCCTCTAAACTGGAATTCGGTTGCTGACCCAGCCCCAGCCTCGGCTTTCTTGTCGGCACCAGGGGGCACAGCACTCCTTCTGTAGGTATCTCTGTCGGCTTCTCCTCTTGTGAGTCTTGCAGGTCGCTCACCCTCCAGACCTTTAGACCGAGGCCTGCCAGTCCCTGGACGGCTGCGGCGTAGGGTGGCAGGCACAATCTCCAGGGGCAGATGAAGGTAATCACGGAGATACTGGATATCCTCATTGGTAAGGTACCAGTAGACATGTCTCCAGGCAAACTGTTCCTTCACGTAGTAGCCTCGGGACTACATGACAGGAAGGTTGGGCACACACATTCTTTTTTTTTTGAGAGGAGTCTCACTCTGTCGCCCAGGCTGGAGTGCAGGGGCGCGATCTCGGCTCACTGCAACCTCCGCCCCCTGGGTTCAAGCAATTCTCCTGCCTTGGCCTCCCGACTAGCTGGGATTACAGGTGTCTGCCACCGCGCCTGGCTAATATTTTTGTATTTTTAGTAGACACGGGTTTCACCATCTTGGCCAGGCTGGTCTTGAACTCCTGACCTCGTGATCCGCCCGCCTCGGCCTCCCAAAGTGCTGGGATTACAGGCCTAAGCCACCGCGCCCGGCCGGGCACATTCTTGTCTGCCAACTCCAGGTGCTTAGGCATGTGGACATCCTTCTTGACCACCGTGACTTCCTCTTTAAAAAGGAGTTCATAAATGGCAATCCGGTTTTTCTTAGGCATCAGCATTCTGGGGAGGAGCAGCCGCTAAGGTGGCAGGGTGGCCCGGATGGGGGCCGATGGAACTCGAACTCCCCCAGAATTTCTTTAATATTTTATATATATATATATATATATATACATATATATATGTATATATATACACATATATATACATATATATATACGTATATATATATGTATATATATACATATATATATACGTATATATATATACGTATATATATATGTATATACATATATATATACATATATGTTGCTCGCTTATTCTTTTTGTCTGTTCCCTTATGTACCGGGAGTGCCAGGAGGACAGGGCTTTGTGTTTTCCTCACTGCTGTCTGGCTCATGCATAGCACAGTCCTTGGCACACGGTAAACACGCTGAGGAGAACTTTTGGGACTAGCGGACTCTGAGCATCATTCCGCTGGGCCCAGTGGGGCCTCTGAAGGGACCCGCCTTGCCCGGCTCCAGCCCAAGACCTGAGGCATGCGCACCGGCTGGCCGGCTACTTTCTTGACCGGCCAAGTGGCAGAGCGGCTGCGCGACCCAGTGCCGAGACGGACGCGAGCCGGAGATGGGGGAAGGGGAGGGGGTGGTGGTGGGGGACGGCGGCGCCTGCGCAGTGAAGGAATGTAGGCGGGGCCTCCACGACGCCTGCGCAGACGGCCGCAGCCCTGCTGGGCGCGAAGGGGCTGGCCAAGGGCGGGGCCCGCGAGGGAGGCCGGGCGGCCCGGCAAGCGGCGCTGCGGGGTAGGCTGCTTTCCTGAGGCCGGACTCAACGGGTCTCGGCTGAGCCACCGGGTGAGCTCACCGCCCAGCCCAAACCAGGAGATTGCGAGGGAGCGATGCGGTGCAGCGCGGTAAGAGCAGCAGCCGGGTTCCCGCAGTGTTCGCTGGCGGGTTGGTTTATCGCCTCAGCGCCGCCCGCGCTGCCGCGCCCGGGCGTCCCCGCAGACCCCGGCAGGCCCAGCGCCTGCGCCGTCTCTGCTCCTGGGCCCCTCCAGTGTGTCCCGCGCCTGCGCCTTTCCCTTCCCGCGCCGTCCTCGTTCTGGGCTTCGGGGCTTCTGGAACAACCCGCAGGCTTCGCCGCCGAGACCCACTGGCCTTCGTCCGTTGGTGTTGGGGTTCAGCTGGTTCTGGGACCCCGCTTGCGGCTTGACTGTGTGCAGACAGGCCGGGTGCGACCCTCGTGCTTGCCTTTCCGCCGCTCCGGGAGAGGCTGGGGCTGCCGCCCCATCGCCCGGGTCCCTTGCCTGGGGCGGGGACAGCGTTGTTCAGTGGCCCCGAGGGCGCAGAGCGGAGGAGCAGGGGCCACAGGCGGCGGACCCCGGGCCTGCTGCCGGTGCTGCTTCTGCTGTGGCCGGCGCCCGAGGCGGACGGAACGTCCTTTTTTCTTGAGACGTGGTTAATTGCATCAGGTTGGATGTGAATAATCCGGTACCTGTCTGAGGAAATTTTGCGTTTCCAGGAATTTGGTAATTGTATTACCTTAAGTAGTTAAGTCTAAGACATCATAGTCGCGGCACGTTGGGCAAGCTGCCCTGGAGATGACGAAAAGAAATCAGTTTCCAGTAGTTTTAGCCCATTTACAGAACACGCAAAAATTCTGTGATCATTCAAATGCGGGGAACCTTGATTTGTTGATATCCTTGATCATTTGTCCAAGTACCAGAAGGGCGAGGAAAAGATTCCCGTGAACAGCCCAGGTGATTTCAGGGAACAGTGTTTTCTTTTGTCAAAAGAGCCTCTTAAGCCATGATAATATTTCCCAAGCTTATAACAGATACAAGCCTTTAAAAAATGGCATTTGCTGTCACCCAGTAGGACACATCTTGAGATGAAATCAGAGCTGTAGGCTTTGTAGACAACAGCAGTCATTTCTGGTGGCTTCAGGGAGTGGAGGGGGACTGCAATTTTGCCAATGTAGGTGATACCAAAGGGACTATAGTAATTTTTTCTTCGTAATTAAAAACCAGGCCAGGCGCGGTGCCTCATGCCTGTAATCCCAGCACTTTGGGAGGCCGGGGCGGGCGGATCACCTGAAGTCAGGAGTTCAAGACCAGCCTGACCAACATGGTGAAATCCTGTCTCTACTAAAAATACAAAAAGCGCGCGCCTGTAATCCCAGCTACTCAGGAGGGTGAGGCAGGAGAATCGCTTGAACCCGGGAGGCGGAGGTTGCAGTGAGCCGAGTTCGCGCCACTGTACCCCAGCCTGGGCTACAGAGCGAGGCTCCGTCTCAAAAAAACAAAAACCAGATATAACAAGGCCGAGCTCCCTGGCTCACGCCTGTAATCACAGTAGTTTGGGAGGCCGAGGCGGGTGGATCACCTGAGGTTAGGAGTTCGATACCAGCCTGGCCAACATGGTGAAACCCCGTCTCTACAAAAAATATAAAAATTAGTCGGGCGTGGTGGCACACGCTTGTGATCCCAGCGGCTCGGGAGGCCGAGACAGGAGAATTGCTTAGGAGGCAGAGGGTGCAGTGAACCGAGGTCTCGCCACTGCACTCCAGCCTGGGCGACAGAGTGAGACTCTGTCTCAAAAAAAAAAAAAAACAGCTATTACAATATACATGTATGTTGTAAAATAACCAAACCAACATAGAAGGGTATATAGTGAAAGGAGAAGTATTGTTGTGGGTAAAATTGTTTCAATAAATGGCTAATCCAGTATTTTTTTCCTCCAAAAAAACACCTTTTCCCCTTTGATTTAGTGTATACCACACAGAGTCGCTTAGCCGATTCAGTGACTTTTTTGATAGCTGGAGAATGCTTCCTAATGGTTGCAGGTGTGTAGGGGTTTTCTTGACATTTTCAGTAAGAAAGTGAATGTTGTGCCATAGGAAAGCTTTATCACAGGTGCACGTTGGTAGCCAACTAAATAACGTGAGTGTCAAGTACAGTATCTAGTGAGTGGAGAATAACTGTAATAATTACAATTACAGTTGTAGTTAAAGTGAAGTTTGTATCAAAATTTCTGTTTCAAAGGTGAACTTTTAGGAGGTGTATCTGCGGTGTTTCTTCCTCAGATGTGATTTCTCTGAAGCAGTGGTTCTCTATAACTGACTTGACACACAGTGCATCTGATATTTCGAATGACTTAAGTGATAGTATCAAAATTACTATCATATACATATTTAAATCACATGACTAACCTGTGTGTGGTATTATGCAAACTGCTCAGCTCAGTAAGGGAACAGAAATAAGAAAAAAAGGACAATATTGGGAGTCTTTTATACAATTCAATTTATTCAATTGAAGGACTATCTTTTCTTTAAAAAAGTTCTGCTTTCTTGGTGTTAAAATAAAGCATCTTTTATGAAATGATGGTGATAGTAAATGGTGATATATGGTAAACGTAAATAGTAAATGCAAGGGTAGTTATTGTGATTTTTAAAAATAAAGAGAGCCGAGAATCTCTTGTTTTCCTGCTGCTGTTAGGGAGTTCAGGAAAAAGTTCCTGGGGCTTTTGCTGTTAAGAAGATTCAAATATAGAGTATTTCTTAAGAGTAAATATGAGTTTATTTTGAGATCATTGGTCACAGTCTACTGAGAAATCCACTGAGAAAGCTGTTAAATTTGCATGGCATTAAAGATGTTCCTATTCTGATCATTGTTAAATAGATCTTTTTTATTAGATATAATTGTTTTTGAGACAGTTTCGCTCTTGTTGCCCAGGCTGGAGTCTAATGGCATGATCTCCGCTCACCGCAACCTACGCCTCCCAGGTTCAAGCGATTCTCCTGCCTCAGCCTCCCAAGTAGGTGGGATTACAGGCATGTGCCACCACCCCTGGCTGATTTTGTATTTTTAGTAGAGACAGGGTTTTTCCATGTTGGTCAGGCTGGTCTGGAACTCCCGACCTCAGGTGATCCGCCTGCCTTGGCCTCCCAAAGTGCTGAGATTACAGGCACTAGCCACCTCACCCAGCCCCAGGAGATTTTTTTGTGTTGTGCCAACAAATAAGCCTAGGCAGGGAAATTCTTTCTGGTGGTTGGAATTGTTAGTACTGAATAGACTAGATGCGAGGTAAAGAACCCCCATGGGGTTTTCTGTCAGCTCAGAAATCATTGTGACCTCAGTCTTTTACTGTGAAATAACATGACCATTAGGAAAGTAGCCTTAAACAACGTATTTTGGGTATGTTGAGAGGGAGGGACAATTATGATCTGTTCCAAAGTGAACATAACAGATGATCCCTGTGTCTGTGAAGCCTTTAAAATTTATAGTGCTCTTCTATTAATTTCAAGTAAGATTTAGAGTTATTGTGACATACTCTTAAAAAACCTGCAGTGTATCAAAAGGCACGTTTTTAAAGCATCTTGAAATGAAATTAATAATGTAATATCTACTTCTTCAGAATAGTAGTTTTTACATTCTGAAGACTGACTGACTGCTCTCAGCCACTTCTGAGTTCTCTATTTTCAAAGAATAATTTGGTATTCCATAAAGGAAATCTGTAAATAAGAGAAGAGAGTGAATATCTTTTAACAGTGTTTTTCCTGATCTTTTCCAAACATCTTCATTGTGGTTCTGTCCTTTATTTTTTGGTTAAATCCAGAGGTTTACTTCTGCCTGTATCTTTCCAAACTATTAATCTGTTCACAATCACTTTCCCATTTAAACCCTTCAGCAGCCCCAGTACCTTCGTAATAAGGTCTCCTTAGCTTGGTATCCAGAACACTTCAATACTGGGCTTTGACCCCTGTTCTCCTTCCCCTACCTCTGTTTAGGTGCTTCACTGAGCTGCACTGAACAGCTCTTGGCCCCTTGAAATCTCTGCAGTCTCCTTGTCTCCCTCTGCTGGAATATTCTTCTCTCACTTCATCTGATCATTGCCTTCAAAACTCAGCTCATTTTCTTATTTCCTTGCCCTTTTCATGTCCCTTGTTTTCCTCCGATTAAATTAATGTTCCAAACTCAAAAGAAAAACAACTCAGCTCAGGCATCACCTTGCCTGGAAGGCTTCCCTAGTCCTCCTGCCTCCTGCAGACTTGTCTGGCACCCTGTGCATTTGGGATTTGGCACACTATGTCTCGTCTGCGGCCTCCACTGGACAATGAGACCGTAAGTGTGTGGCTTGACAGAAAGTTGTTGACTCTGCTGGGGTGCTGGTACAGTGCTGGGCACGGCAGTGTTACAGAGGAAGTGAGCCACTTAGTTTCTGCCCTTAGGAGCTTTTATTCTAGTTGCACTTGACCCTGACAGCTGTGAGACACCTCCCAGTAGTGCGTACCAACTTTTCAAAGTCTGTTTAATTGTACCTTAGTGTCTGATTCCAATTTTATTTCTTGAAGGAGGGGAGTGTCTCTAATGTCTTATTTTGGCACCCAGAGACCAGGTAGGCATCATTTTTATCCCAAATTGTGGAAGGAATGTACATTTGACACAGATCACTTCCCTTTTTTCTCTTGTACACCTTTCACCTTTTTTTTTTTTTTTTGAGTTTGATGTGTTTGGACAGTAAGGGTTTAAGAGATTAAGATTAAATTTCAACTTTGTCTATTGTGCATATAGCCTAAGGAAAACAAAAAGTTAAAGAGGAAAAATACATTGCCTCTAAAAAGAAGACTCATTATTCAACTTTTTTTATTTTTAGTTGTTTTCAGAGACTGAGTCTCACCCTATCACCCAGGCTGGAGAGGTGATCACAGCTCACCGTAGCCTTGAACTCCTGGGTTCAAGGGTTCCTCTTGCCTTAGTCTTCTCACTAGCTGAGACTGCAGGCCCGCACCAGCACACCTGGCTAATTTTACAAAAATTGTTTTTGAGAGACGTGGTCTTGCCATCTTGCCTAGGCTGGTGTGGAACTCCTGGGTTCAAGCAAACCTCCCGCCTTGGCCACCCTAAGTGTTGGGATTACAGGTGTGACCCATTGTGCCCAGCCTAAACTTTTTTTTTTCAATGCTGAGCTGTACACAGAAGAAAGTAAAGGTCTTGGTCAAGCCTAGGAAAGAAGTATGCAAAGAAACTGGTGGCAGGCTGGATGTGGGCATATTTCAGGGCTTTGGAAGGTGAAGAGGAGAGGACTGCTTGAGGCCGAGAGTTCGAGACCAGCCTGGGCGACATAACGGGACCCTGTCTGTACAGATAAACATTTTATAATTAGCCAGGTGTATGTACCCTAGAACTTAAAGTATAATAAAAAAAAATAAAATTCGCCAGGTGTGGTGGTGCGCACCTGTGGTCTCAGGTACTTGAGAGGCTGAGGCAGGGGGATCTCCTGAGTCCAGGTGTTTGAGGCTGCAGTGAGCTAGGGATCACACCACTGTTCTCCAGCCTGGGCTACGAAGCGAGACTCTGTCTCTAAAGAAAAACATACTGGTGGCATTGTCAAGATTTGTCAAGAAATAGCCATTATGCTGGACCCAGTGGTGCGCACCTGTAGTGCCAGCTTTTCAGGAGGCTGAAGTGGGAGAATCTCTTGAGCCTAGGAGTTTGAGTTCAGCTTGGGCAGCATTGCAAGAGCCCAGTCTCAAAAATATTAGGTCAATAAGGTTTATTTTAATTAAACAAGAAAAAGAAATATCTGCTAAAATTTAAAGCTATTCTATTCTTCCTCTCTCTCTTCTAGTGTTCTTGGGGAAGATCCCGACTAAGCCATTTTCCAGTGGCACCTCTTCCATCATGAGTTCCTGAGGCAGTCCGATGGGGCTACTTTATTCCAGAACAATCACAGTGAGACCTTTTCTCCCAATAAATGCCCCTTTTCTCTCCTTAATATATTCTCTTGCTTACAAAACACTGGTGTCTCCTTATCATGGTTTGGTTCTACCCCACTGGGCCCAAGAATTCTTGCCCAGGAGCAACTGAATTTTCTTCTTGCTTGCTTTTTAAAACTTTGGTGGGGTAGAGCCAATTTTAAATCTTCTGATCCATTTTTTCATTGTTTTTCTCGCCCTTCTGCATTTTCTGCAAATTCTGTTGAATCATTGCAGTTACTTAGGTTTGCTTCGTCTCCCCCATTACAAACTACTTACTGGGTTTTTCAACCCTAGTTCCCTCATTTTTATGATTTATGCTCATTTCTTTGTACACTTCGTCTTGCTCCATCTCCCAACTCATGGCCCCTGGCTTTGGATTATTGTTTTGGTCTTTTATTTTTTGTCTTCTTCTACCTCAACACTTATCTTCCTCTCCCAGTCTCCGGTACCCTATCACCAAGGTTGTCATTAACCTTTCATATTATTCCTCATTATCCATGTATTCATTTGCAAATAAGCGTATATTAACAAAATCACAGGTTTATGGAGATATAATTCACATACCTTAAAATTCAGGCTTTTAAAGTGTACCTTTCATGTGGTTTTTGGTATATTCACAAAGTTATGCATTGATCACCACCATCTGATTCCATAACATGTTCAATACCTCAAAAAGAAGTCTGTACTCATTAGTAGTCATTTCACATTCACCACTCCCTCTGGCTCTGGGCAGTCACTGATCTTTGTGTCTCTATGGATTTGCCTAGTCTAGGTATTTTTATGTAAATGGCATCATACAACATGTGACCTTTTGTTTGGCTTTTTTCATTTAGCAAAATGTTATCAAGGTCTGTCCCTGTTGTAGCATGTATTAGCACTTCATTTCTTATATGCTGAATGATATACTTTATTTGTCCATCAGTTGTTCATGCTTTATTTGTCCATCAGTTGATGAACATTTGCGTTTTTGCCACTTTGGGCTATTAAGAATAATGCTACTGTGAACAAGTGTGTACAAGTTCCTCTACAAATTTTTGTGTGGACATATCCTTTCAGTTCTCTCAGGTGTATATCTGGGAATTGAATTGCTGGGTCGTGTAGTAGCTATGTTAAACACTTTGAGAAACTGCTATAATGTTCTCCAGAGCTGTACCATTTTAAATTCTGTGTATGAGGATTCCACGTTCTCCACTTCCTCACCAGTGTATGGATTTGGGGGTATACTTTTTAAAAAGTGGGATTAGGCTGGGCACAGTGGCTCACACCTGTAATCCCAACACTTCAGGAAGCTGAGGTGGGAGGATCACTTGAGCCTAGTAGTTTGAGACCAGCCTGGGCAACATAGGGAGACCCTGTCTCTACAAAAAATAATTTAAAATAAATTAGCTGGGCGTTGTGGCACACACCTGTAGTCCCAGCTACATGGGAGGCTGAGGTGGAAGGATTCCCTGAGCCCAGAAGTTTGAGGTTGCAGTGAGCCATGATGGCAGCACTATACTGTAGCCTGGGTGTCAGAGCAAGACTCCGTTTCAGGGAAGAAAAAAAAAAGTGGGATGATATTTTTGACACTTTTCTTCTTGTTTTCTTAATTTCATACTTCTGGAAATTCCATTAAATTAGCTGGTACCACTCTAACTCATTGTGTTTCATGGCTGCATAGTAATATTGCATAATATAAATATACCATTCATTCATCAAAGTTAGCAGATATTGACTGTTAGGTGCCAGGCACTGCTCTAAGCGTTAAAGAAAAACACACAAAAACTTTTGCATTCTTAGAGTTTATTTTCCAATGGAGGGGGTGGAGGGAGGTAAGAATTTAGGAAATAAATTAATTACATATATAGCATAGGGTTTCACCAGTGAGTGCAGCTTGAATCGTTGGCAGCTTTCTTAGTAGTATAAATACAGTACTAAAGATGAAATTACTCTAAATGGTGTTACTTAAATTACTGGAATAGGTATTACTATTAGTCACTTTGCAGGTGAAAGTGGAAACACCATCGTAAAATGTAAAATAGGAAACAGCTGGTTAATGTGGATCTGGAGTTTTTCTAGGACATAAACTGATGAGCCAGAAAAGTAAATGTGTCAGTCCTTGGTAGCACAGTTTGTACGTTTATAAATTTTATCCAAATCCTCTTAATCTAGTGATTAATAGACACTCTTCACAAAAGGATGAGGGAGGTATATGTATATGTGTTGAAAGGTTCCGAAGGATGCAACCGAGAGTACTTCGGGGGACGTGGCAAAACTTCCAGGCCCATTCAAGAGTCTTGTTTTCTCCCTGAGCTTTTATGTATTTATTATATTGCCCTATTAATTATTGAGATTGTGCCTTACAGTAAAAGCTGCTTTAAATTGTTGACGCTATAATTTAAAATAATCTGGGTCACCTAGAGTGGTTAAACCTGGAAGAAAAGGATATCCTTCCTGCCAGGGCAGATTGTATGTAGATATGCAACCTGGTTGCGCCTGTGCTGACCTCTACTCTGTTGGGCCTGGAAGTATGCAGTTCAACGTTTCTCTTCTGATTTTTAAAAAAAATTTGACTTTGTTTACTTTTTATTTTATTTTAATTTAGAGACAAGGTTTCACTATTTTGCACAGGCTGGTCTCAAATTCCTGGGCTCAAGTGATCCCCTTGCCTCGGCCTCCCAAATACTGGGATTACAGGCATGAGCCACTGCACCTGGCCTTAACTTTGAAATGAAGTTAGAAATGTACATTTTATTTTTTTAATTATTATTATTATTATTTATTATTTTAGAAACAGGTCTAGCTCTGTTGCCCAGGTTGTAGGGCAACAATGGTGCAATCACAGCTCACTGCAGCCTCCACCTCCTGGGCTCAAGTGATTTTCATGCCTCAGCCTTCCGAGTAGCTGGGATTACAGGCATGTGCCACCATGCCCGGCTAATTTTTTGTATTTTTAGTAGAGACCAGGTTTCACCATGTTGCTCAGGCTGGTCTTCTGACCTCAAGTGATCTGCCCGCCTCAGCCTCCCAAAGTGCTGGGATTATAGGCGTGAGACACCACGCCCAGGTGAACAGAATAGTTTTCCATTCACCACAGTTTGTGACAGTCTCTACATTGTGAAGTGACAAGTTCTCTTCTATTTTCCTTCTGCCCCTCATCACCTTTTTCTTCCTCATTTCTTTTTTGAATTTTGCTGTCTTGAATTGATGTCTAAAGGATGACATAGCAGACAAGGGGACTGACACATGAACTCTCATGAGTTACTGAGGAGTTTCTCAGTGCTCTGTCTGCATCATCTGCTCACTCTCTCCTTCCTAGGTGCTAGCCTGCCAACCTGCTTTGAGAAATTGGAAATGAATTGGGGGGTAATCAGCCTCCCCTTGTACATGTAGGGACCGCATCTCCAATGCCTTGCTTTACATAATGACGAATGGTGTTTTGCTTACCTACTTCCACACAAACTGCTGATATGGTTAGGATTTGGGAAAGGGGAAGAAGGGAATTTTGGGTTTTGAGGAGTAGCTGGGGCTTGAACAAAGAAGAGGTAGTAATGAACATTCCTGGGGTGAGGCAATTAGTTAGCTGAGGGAGAAGAAGGCATATAATAAATTAGGGATTGACAGACTGTCTGTAAAGGGCCAGACAGTAAATGTTTTAGTCATTGAAGACCTTAAGGTCTCTGTTGCATCTAATCAACTCCATCATTGTAGTGCAAAAGTAACCACAGCCACTACAGATGTGAATGAATGTGACTATGTTTCAATAACATTTTTTTTTTTTTTTTTTTTGAGACAGTGTCACTCTGTTGCTCAGGCTGGAGGGCAGCAGTATGACCACAGCTTATTACAGCCCTGACTTCCCAGGCTCAAGTGATCCTCCCACCTCAGCCTTCCAGGTAGCTGGGACTATAGGCATTTGCCACCGCCCCCCATTAGTTTTTGTATTTTTTTGTAGAGGCGGCGTTTCACCATGTTGGCCAGGCTGGTCTTGAACTCCTGAACTTCTGGGCTCACGCTCTCCACCCTACTCGGCCACCGAAAGTGTTGGGATTACAGGCATGAGCCAGTGTCCAGCCCAAAATAGTCTTTTGATTTTTTTTCCCCCAACCATTTAAAAATGCAAAACATTCTTAGTTTTTGGGCTGAAAAAAGACAAGTGATGGGTCAGATTTGGCCCCGGATTGTGGTTTGTTTACCCCTGTTACAGAGGAACAGGAAGCAGAGAGGACTGGTTATAGGGCCTGGGAAGCCAAGCCAGGGAGTTAGACTTAAGGTAGTATGTAAGAGGAAACCATTTTTGTAATGTAATGAAAATTTTAAAGGAAGGATGTTTTGTATTTATATGTGTTCCTGGAAGCATCTGAGTTTTTATTCAAAACATGTTTTCACTATGGAAAATTTCAAACATTTACAAAGTAGAGAGAAAAATGTAGTGAAATACCAAGTGATGTATTTATCACCTACCTTCAACAATTATCAGTCCTAGGTCCTTTGCATTTCTGTGTTTTAGAATCAACTTGTCACATTCTACAAAAAAGCTCCTGGAATTTCTGTTGGGATTGTTTTGATTCTGTAGATAATTTCAGGGGAAGAATTGACTTCTTAATAAAATTGAATCTCCTAACCCATGACCATGGTATACTTCTCAATTTATTTAGTTTTTCTTTAATTTTTCTCAACAATATTTTGTAGTTTTCAGTGTACAAATCTTTCCAGTTTTTTGAAGGGATGTGGTCAGATTTACTTCTATTTCATATATTTTGATACTGTGAATTTCAACTTCCCATTATTCATTGCTAATATATAAAAATAATACTTGGTTTTTGTGTATTAATCTTGTATCCTGAGACCTTAATGTAATTCGTTTTCAAAGCTTTTTGATGGATTCCATTGGCTATTCTGTCAATGTTGTCTGTGAATAAAGACAGTTGTACTTTTTTCTTCCCACTCTGAATGCCTTTTATTTGTTTTTCCTTCCTTTACTGCACTGGCTAGAACTTCTAAGTACATAATGAATAGAAGTGTAACTGCCCAATGGGTTCACCTTGCCCATTGCCTAGACAGAGCGGAATCATCAAGACGGGAATTGTAATAGAGAAAGAGTAATTCAGGCAGAGCCTGCTGGGTGGGAGACTGGAGTTTTATGATTACTCAAATCAGTCTCCCTGAGCATTTGAGGAGCAGAGTTTTTAAGGACAGCTTGGTAGGTGGGGGGAAGCCGATGGGCCAGGAGTGCTGATTGGTCAGGGGTGAAATCAAAAGGAGTTGAAACTTTCTTCTTGAGCTGAGTCCGTTCCTGGGTGGGGGCCACAAGATCAGATGAGCCAGTTAATCGATCTGGATGGTGCCAGCTGATCCATCAAGTGCAGGGTCTGCAAAATTTCTCAAGCACTGATCTCAAGAGCAGTTTAGGGAGGGTCAGAATCTTTAGCCTTCAGCTGCGTGACTCCTAAACCATAATTTCTAATCTTGTGTCTAATGTGAGTCCTACGAAGGCAGTCTGGTGCCCAGGCAAGAAGGAGGTCTGCTTTGGGAAAGGGCTGTTACCATCTTTGTTTTAAACTATAAACTATAAGTTTCTCCCGAAGTTAGTTCAGTCTACACCCAGGAATGAGCAAGGACAACTGGGAGGTTAGAAGCAAGATGGAGTCAGTTAAGTTAGATCTCTCACTGTCTCAGTCATAATTTTGTAAAGGCAGTTTCAATCGTGGTAAAAGTGGATTTCCTTGTCTCATTTTTGATCCTATGGGGAAAATATTCAGTCTTACGTCATTCAGTATGATATTAGCTACAGGTATTTCATATATGCTGTTTGTCAGGTTTAGTAGGTTATCCTCTGTGTGGAGTTTTGTATTTTTTTAATAAGGAATGAATGTTGGGTTTTGTTTAGTGTTTTTCTGTGTGTATTGAGAAGATCATACAGCTTTTCTGTTTTAGTTTACAATGTGGTGAGTTACATTGAGTTTTGAATTTTTTTTTTTTTTTTTAAGACGGGGTCGCACCCTGTCACCCAGGCTGGAGTGCAGTGGCATAATCCCAGCTTACTGCAACCTCTGCCTCCTGGGTGCAAGCAATTCTCCTGCCGTAGCCTCCCAAATAGCTGTGATTACAGGTGTGCACCACCATGCCTGGCTAATTTTTGTATTATTAGTAGAGGCGGGGTTTCACCATGTTGGCCAGGCTGGTCTCGAACTCTTGACCTCAGGTGATCCACCCACCTCATCCTCCCAAAGTGCTGGGATTACAGGCGTGAGTCACTGTGCCTGGCCGATAACTTTGTTTTTTTTTGAGATGGGGTCTTGTACTGCTGCCCAGGCTGGAGTGCAGTAGTTCTACCTCGGCTCACTGCAAGCTCCTCTTCCTGGGTTCACACCATTCTCCTGCGTCAGCCTCAGGAGTAGCTGGGACTACTGGCGCTGGCCACCATGCCCGGCTAATTTTTTGTCTTTTTAGTAGATATGGGGTTTCACCGTGTTAGCCAGGATGGTCTCGATCTCCTGACCTGGTGATCCGCCCACCTCGGCCTCCCAAAGTGCTGGGATTACAGGCGTGAGCCACCGCGCCCAGCCTGCCTTGCCGATTTTTGAATGTTAAACTAACCTTGCATTTGTGGGATAAACCCTACTTGGTTATGATATATTATCCTTTTTTTCTAGATTGTTAGACTCAATTTGCTAAAATTTTGTTTGTAATTTTTACATTTATTTTCACGAGAGATATGGGTCTGTAGGTTTCTTTTTTTGTAATGTCTTTGTCAGATTTTGGTATCAAAGTAATGCTGGCTTCATAGAATGAGTTGAGAAATATTCTTCTCAGTTTTCTGGAAGAGTTTGTAAAGAATTTGTTTTATTTCTTCTTTAGTGGAATTCCTGAGTGAATGCATCTACGCCTGGGGTTTTCTTTGTAGGAAAGTTTTTAACTACAAATCCAATTTCTTCAATAACTATAGAGCTATTCAAGTTATTTATCACTGTTTGAGCTTCGATAGTTTGTCTTTCAAGAAATTCATTTATTTTATGATAGTTTGTCTTTCAAGAAATTCATTTATTTTATCTAGGTTCTTGAATTTACTGGCATAAAGTGGTTTCTAACAGTCTCTTATTTTCCTCTGATAGCTGTAGAATCTGTAGTGTTGTTACCCTTTCCATTCTTAATGCTGGTAATTTGTGTCCTCTCTTTTTTATGAGTGTGGCTAGAGGTTTATCAGTTTTCTTGATCCTCTCAACCCATTTTTTGTTTCATTGATCTCTGTTTTACGTTTTCTATTTCATTGATTTTTGCTTAGATGTTTATTCTTTTCTTCTCCATACTTTGTGTTTCATTGCTCTTCTTTTTCATGTTTCTTAAAGTAGGAGCTGATTTGAGTCTTTTCTTCTTTTCCAACATAGGTGTTTAGTGTTATAAATTTCCCTTTACTGCTTTAAGTTTTTAAAGGTAATTTAAGGATAGCCCACAAATTTTGATATGTTATGTTTTCATTTTAAGTTCAAAACACATTCTGATTTCCCTTTTGGTTTCTTCTTTAGTTCATAGACGTAGAAGTATGTGAGTTCCCAAGTATTTCAGAATTTTCCAGAGATATTCCATTATTTTGTAATTTAATTAATAGAGAATCTTTTATTTTATTTTATTTTATTTTATTTTGAGACAGAGTCTTGCTCTGTCGCCCAGGCTGGAGTGCAGTGGCGTGATCTCGGCTCACTGCAAGCTCTGCCTCCCGGGTTCATGCCATTCTCCTGCCTCAGCCTCCCGAGTAGCTGGGACTACAGGCACCCACTACCACATCCGGCTAATTTTTTTGTATTTTTAGTAGAGACGGGATTTCACCGCGTTAGCCAGGATGGTCTCGATCTCCTGACCTCGTGTTCTGCCTGCCTTGGCCTCTGAAAGTGCTGGGATTACATGCGTGAACCACAACACCCAGCTGAGAATCTTTAAAATTAAAAACACCACCACAATACTATTATCCCATCTTTAAAAAGCAACAGTTCAGAAAGAAGGAGGACAATTTGAAAGAATACAGAAAGGATCAGAGAGATCGGTGTCAGTCAAGAAAGCCTGATAAAAGGCCAGTGGAGTGACTCATGCAGAGTAGAGGGAGTGGATGAGAAGAGAAAGGGAGAGACACATAGTCACCAGGGACAATCAAAGGAAAAGTAAGTGTAATTTTGTAGTTGATTGAAGAGGAAGATGGAGGAAGGTAAAAGAAAGCTGTGTTGAATTAAACTCTAGAGTGATCAAAGCTGTGGTGGTTAGGATTGGAAGAGGGTGGCACACACTTAGATTGGGTGACAAAGTTTGTAGTTGTCTAGAAGAACCTCTGAAGTTTCTCTGCTTAAGTCGGAGTGGAAGCAGCCCTGGGGATTGTAGTGGAAAGGGAGAGCTATATGTCTACTAGTACTGTGACAAGATAGAAGAAAGTAAGTTTAGGATAAAGGGAAATTTGTCCTTCTGGTTGTAGTGGGAAGGAAAGGAGATGGATGCTTACTGTAATTCTGTGGGCTGAGCATTTTCCTTGTTAGTTTCCACACATCGTTTGATGTGGTTCTTATAGCATCCTATGTGTTAGCTGTTTCTACTTAAAGATGAAAGACCGAAATTTGGAGATGAGTAATATGCCCAGAGCCAGATAACTAATAAGTAGTGGAGTTGTTAGCATTTGAACGCATATTCTACCCAACCAGTCTGAGTTCTTTCCACTTGGTATGTAAATTCATGAATACAAGCCAGCAAATGTCCCAGGCTGCTCCTATTCAAAGAGCTGCCTTCTGTGTATCACGTGGTCTATGTTAAGTGTTATGATCTAAAACAATACTGCTGTTTTTTTTTTTGTTGTTTTGTTTTGTTTTTTTTGAGACGGAGTCTTGCTCTGTCGCCCAGGCTGGAGTGCAGTGTCGCGGTCTCAGCTCACTGCGACCTCCGCTTCCTGGGTTCAAGTGATTCTCCTGCCTCAGCCTTGAGTAGCTGGGATTACAGGCACCCACCACCAAGCCCGGCTAATTTTTGTATTTTTGGTAGAGACGGGGTTTCACTATGTTGGCCAGGCTAATCTTGAACTCCTGACCTCATGATCCGCCCGCCTCAGCCTCCCAAAGTTCTGGGATTACAGGCGTGAGCTACCGCGCCTGGCGCGCTGTTCTTTTTTGAAAAGAAAATCTTGATTTTGTGTTTTGAAGTCCTTAAAAGCGATTGTTTATTTAAGCTAAAATAATCAAGTTACTCATTTATTCAGTAAATCAGATTCGACAGGCAACATTCTCAGAGGCATGTATATGTGTGTAGGGCTTTGGTGATTTTTTGGTGATGTTTGTAACCTAGAATATAGTTTCGAAGGCTTAGATTTAAGACTTCCATCTGATAAAGTGGGGGTAAGCTGCAGTGAAATCTGCATGGTAGTCTATTCTTGACACTTGCTGTTAGTAGTAACCTTTTACTGAAAGTCAAAGTTTGCTTATGTCTTACAGTACTGTTCTGAAAGTTTACTTTTTAAAAATGAGAATGAAATATTGGGAAGAAACATCATAGTTATTTTACATATTCTGTTTTTTTAGTACCTGATTGGTTATGTTATATTGACATTCTCGCATGTAATTACACTTTATTGCTTGAACTTGCAATACATTGCTCCTGAGATAAAGACATAGGTGAAGCTTATCCTAAGTTGGTAACAGCAAAATTATTGTATTAATAATTGAGTCATATGGTGTGTTTCGGCATTTTAACAAGGAAGTATGGACCATGACATTTTGAATTTGAAAGGAAGTACTTTTTACTGCTTTCCTCTTTTTCTGTCTTATATCTTTGTCCTACCACTAAGAAGTGAGTAAAGTTCTAGACTCAGTTATAGGATATCTTAATAACAGGCCGTGAACTGTGTCACTGATTAACTGACCTATCTAGTAAGAGTTAGGATTTACTTCTGACATTCATGTACTTTTTGCAGTAATTCAGGCTATTCACATCATAGCTTTGCTTTTGTCTGTTTTTCAAGTAAGAGGCTGAGGCAGAAGAATCATTTGAACCCTGCAGGCAGAGGTTACAGTGAGCTGAGATCGCGCCACTGCACTCCAGCCTGGGCTACAAAGCGAGACCCTGTCTCCAAAAAAATGAAAATTAAAAATAAGTAAATGTGAATTTCAGATAAATAGTGATGACTTTTTTGGTCTAAGTATACCCTAAATGTTGTCTGGATAAAAGACACTTAGGTGAGTGCTGTGGCCAGAAAGGTAAGAGGGATGGGGGGCCAACCAACTAGAGACAAGGGAAGGTATCACTAAGGACACGGCAGTGGAGCTGAGTCCTGAAGTGATGCACGAGCAGTTATTTCTCAGGGAGGAAAGTGGTAAGGGGTTTTCAGGGGTAGGAACAGTAGGAGCCAAAGTGTGGGTATGTGAGAGTGTGTGACTATGTGTGCACGTAAAATGGAAATGAGATGGAGGGATGGGTTGGAGCCTGGATTTGAAGAAGCAGGTATCGGCGCTGGGGTATTTGGCCTGGGACAGTGAGGCATTATTTTACAGGAGAGTGGCCTGGTGGGATGTGTGCTTTAGAGTGTGGACACACAGCTGTGGCACAGAAGGATTGCTGGCAGGGGAGGGCGACAGGAGGCTGCCAGAGTTGTCCAGCTGGACTTCTTCCCTGACACAGACAGGCTGGCATAGGATTGGTGTGGTAGTGGGGATGGGAAGGAGGGAATGCCGCGAGGTCAGGAACTTCTTCCAGTCGCCAAGAGGCGTCTTGACCGTTTAAAAATGTCTCTGAAGATTTAGCACACCAAGGCCCCCTATAGTCCCAGGGTATAGGCCACCCTTGAGATTAGAAAGAAACCCCTGGGAGCTGTGGTGGGGTGGATGTGGCTGTTGGAGGTGCCCCTATTCAGACTCCTGCTCTACCATTTGCTTCGGGATCACCTTTTACAGTGGATCTGATATTATAATACCCACTTCTTATGATGTAAAGGAACTGAATGAGTGTGGAATCCCTAGGACCCCGCTGGAATATAATGGGCCCTCGGGGTTTAGTTTCTTTCCTTCTTGCCGGTGAGGTTTGAGAGGGACTGGAGAACAGTGGATTTCGACCATCCATTTGGGGTTGTCAGTCTGTGCCAGGCCAGCTGGAAACTACAAAAAGGAGGTACAGGTAAGCAATAAGGCCCTGTGGTTCATCTCAGATTTCATTCCGGGAGATCAGAGAGAGCCCTTCCTGGAACTGTATCCTTTCCTGGGGAATATGGGTGGAAATCCAAGGGCCCTGTGCATAGATTTTCCCTTCTCTTTCAGCTCTGCCAGCTGCCAGAACTGTGGCTTTCTCAGCAGATTGTCTGTACACATGAGACCTTTTTTACGGAACGATTTACAGAAAGACAAACCCTTCCTTCCAAGTTTAACCAGTCCCCTTATACCAAGGTTTCCCAGCCTTGACTGTATTGATATTTTAGGCTGTATAATTCTTTGTCGTGGGGGGCTGTCCAGTGTGTTGTAGGGAGTTTACTAGGATTCCTGGCCTCTTACACACTCACTGTCTGTAGCACCTTGCCTCCCACCCAGTTGTGACAACGAAAAATGTGTACAGGAAGTGCCAAATATCCCCTAGGGTACAAAATTGTCCCCTACCCCTCATTAAGTACCACTGCTTTATACTCACTAGACACAGGGAAAAAGAACTTCTTAGCATTTTTTATTAATTTCTTTTTAACCTAACCAGTGAAATGCTTGTTGAAAAAAAGACTTAGTTTTTACTACACTGAATTTGAATTCTATTTTAACTTATTTAGTTTAGAAAGACTTCTCAAATCCAAAATTTTAAGCTTTTTTTTTTTTTTTTTTTTTTTTTTTTTGGACATATCCTTGCTCTGTTGCCCAGGCTGGAGTGCAATGGCGTGATCTTGGCTCACTGCAACTTCTGCCTCCTGGGTTCAAGCGATTCTCCTGCCTCAGCTTCCTCAGTAGCTGGAATTACAGGTGTCTGCCACCACACTTGGCTAATTTTTGTACTTTTAGTAGAGACGGGTTTTCACCATGTTGGTCAGGCTGGTCTTGAACTCCTGACCTTGTGATCCGCCTGCCTTGGCCTCCCAAAGTGCTGGGATTACAGGCGTGAGCCATTGCTCCCAGCCAATTATAAGCTTTTTAGAAAGGATTTTTTACATTGTTATATTTGAACCATTAATGAAGTGCAAAATGAAATGTTTCATTTAGTATTTCACATCAGAGGTTGTTATAAATGTACAAATAGATTGATGTTTTGAATTAAAACTATGGCTGACAGTTAATTTTATCGATACCAAATTGTGCAAGTTTAAACTGCCTGCCAAGAGTCTGAGCATAAAGCTGTGGTTTGAAAGGATCCTGAATAAACGTTTTCTTTTTGTAAATATTCAGAAACTTTGGCTAAGGAGGTAGTGGCCAGAGGAGACGCAAAATTTTTTGCATTCTGGCAGTTTGAACTTTGGGAACGAATGTGTTTTGGACTAAATCTGGAAAAATCACTTATGTACTGTTGCCAGACATTCTTTTAGGCTGTCCTTTTCCAGGCTTGTCACTTGTCTGGAATGTTAAGTGTTGTCAGTAGTTTAACGTCCTTTCCAGCAGCTTGCATTAAAGTGAGAGAAGATCTCCAGAAATGGATCTGAAGAGGTCTTGGCATAAGATTAGGACTTTTATTTCATTATTTTTTAAAAAGTAGAAAGAAGGAGAAGACTTACATGGTTCTAAGTTTAAAAAAATCCAGGAAGCTTCTAATCGTTTCTAATTATTTTCTTGGGTTAAGCCTCATAGAATAATAGAAATCATAAGTTAGTGTGAGTGAGCTTTTCGTTGGCCAAAACAAGTGGGAATACAGTTGTGCTGTTTAGTGGCCATTTGAGTTGGTATTACTGATAACTACCTCCTTTTTTTTTTTTTTTAGCATCCTATGTGTAGTTGTGGTTGGTCTAGCATCCTATATGTAGTTGTGCTTGCTTTCCTCTCTAACCAAAGTTTGTTTTTCCTTTCTGTCCACGTGGGGTTATTATGAGAATCAGTGCCCTAGTATTTGTGCAGTGTGGGCTTTCCACATTGTCTGGCTGGTGCTTTCCAGGCAGCTTACTTTCATAGTTAAACGACAATGGCAACATCAACAAAGTGTCTCTGCCTCCTCATTACCCCCGGCTCTCTCCCCTTCACACATTTTTGAGATGTTCTTTATCCTTTTCTTTCCTACTCAGCTTTTTATTCCACTCCACTGCAGCATGACTTGGCCTCCATCCCTCCACTGGGGATTCATTGGCCCTGCTCACCATCACCTCCTTATCTTGATTAAAGTGGCCACTCAGGCGTGACTGAGCAGTCTTTCTCCTGTGGATTCACCTTGAGACTTTCTTAACTGGTTGGACAGGCAGAAAGGAGGGAATTGTGAGAAGAACTGGGTTAAAGCAGAAAGGAGCTGCATTTTCCTTCCGTGGCCATGAGGCTGTTTAAGGGGGAGTGCCTACCTGGAGTGGGGAGAGGACATAGAGTACAGTTTCTTTCGTCCTGGAGTTGGAGGTAGAAACAGGGGAGGTAGATCTGGATGCCATCTTTCCTCATAAGTCATAACCGATATCGTTGATTCCTGGAAATGGGAAACTACCCTGTTAAATGTACTACATGTTACAATTTTAGGCATAGTATAAAATCTGTCTTTAAAAATTAAGAAAGTACTGTCTTATAAAAACAAGCATTTAAAAGTTGTGCCTCAGTCAGTAAGCATTGAAGTTTTTTGAGCAGTACTGGACTTCTGTCTGGATTCAGACTGAGCAGAGAATCACATATCTGAAGGCATCTTACCCCTGCTTCTCTCTCCCTCCTGTCTGTTTCATGCACCTTGAATATATGCCAACTTGCACATGTGCAGTTTTTTGACATGACAAGGCTCAGACTTTCCCTCTTAGTAGTCCTTGACTTTTTCAGTGGAGTCTCACTCCAAGTCTTTAAAATGTGTACATAAAATGCACCTTTCTGAATGTGTGTCATAATTCACCATAAGAAAGGTTATGTATATGTTGAAGAATATAGGATCAATCCATTACATTATGATTTATTTGATTTAAACACTTCTTACTGGGTTTCTTTTGAAAGTTTTGATTGGCTTTTGGTAAGACACATGTTTTATCAAATCGATTGTTGATTTTGCTTCATTTAGCAGCATTCACTTTCTGACTCTGAAGTGGCCCTTTCCCTGAGTTATAGTTTCCCTTGACTGTGTGATTCTTTCTTCTCAGTGTTTTAAGTCTGTTCTTAATTTACAATTTTAATATGATCTCTACATTTTGAAAATGAAGTTTGTGAAATAAGAGAGATAAATATATTTAGATTGCTTAGGTTAAAAACCCTTTTTGGATTTTCAGTGGGTATTGATAGGCATAAAAAGTCATAATTAATAAGCAGTTCCTCTTAAATTGTTTGATTCCGTGTTCTGAAAGTACAGATTATGAAATGAAATTTTCGAACTTCTGAAAGCTACTAATCCACTCTCCTTTATAAACAAGGCTCACAGAGTGTGGGTGACTTGCACAAGGTCACATAGATGGTGCCAGACCTGGGACTGCAATCCAGGTCTCTTGATTTTTGTTCCAGTGTACTCCATACTATGTATTTTCATAATATGTAATTTTCAGTGGGAAAAACCCATAAGCTAATGTTGTTTGTTGACATCTGTGGGCCATGGTATATAATCTAATATAAGTAGTAGGTAAAAACAATCTTTAGTCATTCCTTATAAAGGGTTTCTTTTACAAAGTGTCTTTTGAATTGCTGCTTTTATTTTAATAAGGCAGTAGTCATACATGGGGCATGCAATATATTCTTCTGTAAATTATGATAGCTCATGTTATCTGGTCTTTACTGTGGGCTGCCAGCCTGCTAACCACTTTAGGCTCATTATTTCATTGAATCCTCTCAACATCCTTATAAGGAAGGTACATAGTATTACCAGCCCCCTTTTAAAATGAAGAAACAGATTTCAGAGAGGTTAACTTACCCAGGGATATAGAAGGATACAGATTTGATCATACGTGGTTGGGCAGTCTCCTGGATAGTAGTGTTTTCTTTTTGTTGTTGTTGTTGTTTTTGAATAAGCACAGAGAATTATTAATTAAATAGGAAATTTAAATGGTTTTAAATAGCAGTACATTTTGGAAACATTTGAGGGGAAAAGATTCTAATGGAGGTGAATAGGAGGAACTGAAAGAAGAAAGTAGTGACAGCAATCAAGATCCTGGTGTAACTACAGAATGGAGAGATTGGGGACTGTCCCTGTAGTTGCCAAGAGGGGTTCCCGTCCCACCCTGTGCCAGGGCTGAAGGTGCTTCTCAGCCAGGGAACGGCCTTGGAGCTCTCTTGTGGTATCCAGGACAATTTGTGTTGTCCTCTAATCAGGGTGGATCCTTCTGGATGCAGTATGACAATAAGATAAATTTACAATGTCCTTTTGGTATATTTCTGAAACTTGATTGGTGTGTTTTTCATGGGTGGATGGTTGGTGAGGGTGGGGTTTCTGAACCACTGAAATAAGTTGCTGTCCCTAACCTTGGACTGTTACACCATTTTTCCTTTGACCTTTGATCTGTGATGAAGTAACTTCTGGAAGTGGGATATCAGGAGTTATGTTCTTGTTGGTTTACACATGTTATTTTTTACAAGAACTCTATAAACTAGATTTTATCAGTTCTTTTTTATAGGAGAAGAAACAGATTTGCAGATACATAAAGTGATTAAGTGATTTGTCCAGAGTCACACAACTTGGATGGCAGAACTGGAGCTTGAACTCAGGTCTCTTGACCTTTAAGTTCAGTTCTCTACTCACTGTATGGGAGACCCGGAAGGAGATTCTTTTGGTGTGTCACATAGCCTTACCATTGCTTTGTCCTATGTAACGTCATCAATTATGTGAATTATCTGACATTACAAGAGTCAGAAGGTGTCGTAGAGATGCCTTAGAGTCCAACTTCCTTTTTATTGTAGATGAGAATACTGGGTGGCCAAGTGACTTAGATTGAAGACAGCACTTGTTAGAAGGAAGACTAATGGGTTTCAAGTCAAAGTCAGAATTTAAAAGTATCCTAAAGGCTGGAACCTTGGGCTGATTTACCAAATAAAAATTTTAACAGATAAAGGTTTAGATTTTTTAGAATACAGATTACACAGCAATGAAGAGGATGAGCTGGGCATGGTGGTGTGCTCCTGTAATGCCAGCAACTTGGGAGGCTGAGGCGGAGCTCAGGCTGTAGTGTGCTATGATAGAGAAAAAAAATTAAGAAGAAAAGGAAAGAAGTGGGATGTTGCTTACTATACAGTTTTTTCAACATTTCTGCATGTTTGTAAAATTTCATAATAAAACATTAGGGGAGGCTGGGCACAGTGGCTCATGCCTGTAATCTCAGCACTTTGGGAGGCCGAGGCAGTCGAATCATGAGGTCAGGAGATCGAGACTATCCTGGCCAACATAGTTAAACCCGTCTCTACTACAAGTACAAAAATTAACGGGGCGTGGTGGTACGCACCTGTAGTCCCAGCTACTCGGGAGGCTGAGGCAGGAGAATTGCTTGAACCCGGGAGGCGGAGGTTGCAGTGAGCCGAGGTCGTGCCACTGTACTCCAGCCTGGCGACAGAGCGAGACTCCATCTCCAAAACAAAAAATAAAAGGGGGGAAAAAGAGAACAGTAGCTTAGCAGCAGTTTGTGTGGTAAAAGACTTGAAAATATTAGATAACCATGAACTTATTATGAGCCTCTGGAAGCTCCTAGAAAAGCAGATTTTTTTTTTCTTAGATTAAGGTAGGAGCAGCTCAGTTTCTAGATCGAGGGAAATAATAGTCTTGCTGAGCTCTGTGCTTGCCAGACCAGATCTGTCTTGTATCTGTGCCCACTTCCGAGGTGCCTGTCATACTTTGATGCCAGTGGACACAGGGTACTGAAATCTGGAGGAGTGGATGGGGAATGTGTGGTGCTGACTTGGAAGGAGGGCCAATTTAGGGAATCGCCATGGTGGTCTTCAGATACTGGGGGAGTTGTGGAGTGAGAGTGGTACTTTTATTTTGAACATAAAGCTTAGATTAAGGGAGAGCAAAGACATTACAGGGAATTAGATGCCCATTCTGTTTTCCTCATCCCTGACCCTCCCATTCTGTATCTTCAGTACAGCAGCGCAGGTTAGTCTTTGGGAACTGCAAGTCAGGTTATAGGACTGCACGGCTTTTATTCACCGTCCTGTGTCACATGAAGCCCAGGGCTTGACTGGTCTTCTGGCCCTTGCCGACAAGTCCTCATTTTGACATTTCTGTATTCTAGCCATACTGTATTCTAGCCAAGTCATTAGAGTTCTTCAGTTGAACCTGTGTTTACTCTCATACCTTCGAGGTGTACCTCCTACTTTGTTGCCCAAAGTAAGGCAGAATTGGGGATCTTTCTGCTTCCATTGTATCCTGTACATATACTTGCCCTGTTTTTTGTTTTTTAAAGTAGGTTCATAAAGGATGGGGACCTATTTTGTTCATTTACATGTCCTGTTTATTCCTGTAGACTGTGAACTCCTTGAAAGTAGGTATTTTTGTCCTAGTCCTTTTTTTTTTTTTTTGAGATGGAGTCTCACTTTGTTGCCCAGGCTGGAGTGCAGCGGCACGATATCGGCTCATTGCAACCTCTGCCTCCCGGGTTCAAGCGATTCTTCTGCCTCAGCCTCCCAATTAGCTGGGATTACAGGCACGCACCACCACACCCAGCTAATTTTTTATATTTTTGGTAGAGACAGGGTTTCACCATGTTGGCTAGGCTGGTCTCAAACTTCTGACCTCACTTGATCCACCTGCCTCGGCCTCCCAAAGTGCTGGGATTAGAGGCATGAGCCACTGGGGCCGGCCTGTCCTAGTCTTTATATGCCCATATATTTGAGTCCTCCTTGACTAGGTTCCCAGAGAATTGGTGCTTGGCTTGCCTGGACATGGAATAAACGTTTATTGATAAATAAATGTTGTGCCCACAATGACTTGCCTCATAACTTTTTAGTAGTCAGGATCCTCCCACAGTAGACTCTTGTAACTACAAGAATATTTTTTTGTCGATGTTGCACGTAGAGTTTCCTGTAAAATGGCTTCCAAGATATTTTTCATTTCTAGTAAAGAGTCTATGAGTTGATTTTTAAATAGTATTATGTCTACCTTATATGGTAGGTAAGAGATAGCCCTTTGTTTTCCTCAGGAGGTTTTAATTATATGATCTCCTTGTAGAAGTAAAGGAAACTCTGGAGCTTCCTGTGTGGCTGTGAATGTGTAATTAGCTTTGGGCAGGGCTCCCAGAGCTGTGAACCCTGTCCTGAGGAGCACTGGGACATTCTAGTGAGCGTTCAGGCCACCCAGATTGCAGCCTTGTAAATGAAGGGTTTATTTCTCTAATGAGAGTGGTTTGTGTCTTCACTCAATTAATATTTTAATATTAAATTATGGCAAATATTTTAAATTTAAAAGTAGATATATATAAATTAGTATGATTTTTAAAATAATTTCAATAATTGTTTTAAAAAGTAATTTTAATACATGTCAATAATTTATTTTAGACTCAAGGGGTACACGCACAGGTTTGTTGCATGGGTATGTTGCACGATGCTGAGGTTTGGGGTACGGATCCCGTCACCCAGGTAGTGAGCATAGTTTTTCAACTCATGCCCATCCCTCATTCCCTTCTTCCAATTAGTATGATTACAACTAAGAATTTTACTTTTACAGCTCTAATTTAATACATATTGATCTAGACCTGGCAATAAATATTCTGCTCTAAGAAAGGTTTTATGTTAAATAACATGGTAGTTAGTCCCTTCAAAATAAAAAATGTTGATTAAGAATACCAGCACGGGCCCGGCGCGGTGGCTCACACTTGTAATCTCAGCACTTTGGGAGGCCGAGGGTGGATCATCTGAGGTCAGGAGTTCAAGACCAGCCTGGCCAACATGGTGAAACCTGTCTCTAGTAAAAATACAAAAATTAGCCAAGCGTGGTGGCAGGCGCCCATAATCCCACCTACTCGGGAGGCTGAGGGAGGAGAATCACTTGAACCCGGGAGGCAGATGTTGCAGTGAGCCAAGGTCGTGCCGTCGCACTCCAGACTGGGGGAGAAGAGCAAGACTTCATCTCAAAAACAAAAAGTATACCAGCACTGATGACAACATTGGACAAGTAGACAAATCTAGAAGGGGCAGGTTGAGCTGTGTAGTTTTAGTGTTGTCACGGTTTGTTTATATGTTGTGAAATATTCATTGAGATCAAAAGCTGGCATTCCTAACTTGTGTTATATGTATATTGGAGGCCATATGGAGTGGCAGAAGTGAAGTGAGGTTTGAATTCAGACCGTTGTTCCTCAAGAATGAATTGACCTGGAGAGAATTACTTGCAATCTCTGATCCTTAGTTCCTTCATCTAGACATACCCACCTGGGATCATGTGAGGATCCAGTGAACTGTACAAGGTACCGCACAGGACATGGTGCTTGCTGTCGGGGAGAGGCTCAAGGCCTTCAGTGCCTTTCCCTGTTATTTTTGGGAGCAGTGCATCTATTTTGGTGTTTTTAAGAAACACTGTTTGACAAATACATGAGGCATACTTCATGGACTATTGTTTCAGATTATTCTTAGAACACAGAGGCAGGATCCACAATGTTTTTATGAGGAGAGCTACTTTTTATTCCCCCAAACCTTGACTTTCCTGGACTAGAGGTCTCAGTGATGTGTGCTGATGTGACACCCTTGAGCAAAGTTGGAGAAGAGAGAGTGGTAATTTCCACCACTTCCCCTTCTCCAAGACACTGGAAGTGCTGTGAACTGTGCTCCTTCGCTCCTCTGCTCTGTAATCTCTGCCTGGGGGGGCTCTAGAGGGGCTCTAGGGAGGAGTGTCAGCCAGTGATTTCTCCATCTCGACCAGGTAGGGACCCAGGACCTTCTGGTGAATTCTAATTTGTTTTTTTATGAGCCTGAGGGTCATTTAAGGAATTTGTGGAAGCATTTGTGATTGTCTCAGTGGTTGGTGGGTGCTATAGGCATTTATTTAATAGGTAGGGCCCATGGAATTCAAGGCTTAGTGTGGTGACAGTTCTGTAAAATAGAACTTTTCCTATGATCTGCACAGCTTTAGAATATCTTTTTTTTTTTTTTCTGAGACCAAATCTTACTCTGTCACCCAGGACAGAGTGTAGTGGTGTGATCCCAGCTCACTGCAACCCGGGTTCAAGCGATTGTCCTGCCTCAGCCTCCCAAGTAGCTGGAATTAAGAGATGTGCCACCACGCTCGGCTAATTTTTGTATTTTTAGTAGAGGCGGAGTTTTACCATGTTGACCAGGCTGTTCTCGAACTCCTGACCTCAGGGGATCCATCCACGGCCTCCCAAAGTGCTGGGATTACAAGCATGAGCCACTGCGCCTGGCCTAGAATATCTTGATGAATAATTTATGTAGATAGAAAAAAACTGTTTAAGGCCGAACCTATAACTGAATTCCATTTTACATAAAGGGTTTTTTTAAATGTAATTTTAGTAGAAATGGAAATTTCAGGAAATGGAATTAGTCTAGACTTTGAAGGGAAATTATCTCATTTTGTTCTTAGTTTTATTAAGTGTATTACTAGTCTTGGTTCTCTCAAGAAACAGAACCGATAGCATATATATATATCTCTCCAGTAGGACAGAGAGCGAGATGTTTATATATATAGTATATTTAACTATATTTAACCAATATATATGATTGTGTCATGCGCATCCTATTGGTTCTGTTTCTCTGGAGAAAATATAAGTATTCACCAGTTGCCCTTTATCTATGGTTTTGCTTTCCATGCTTTGAGTACCTCATGGTCAACCAAGGTCTGAAAATATTGAATGGAAAAATTCCTGAAACAAACAGTTGGTACGTTTTAAATTGTGGACTGTTCTGAATGACATGATGAAATCTTGTGCGGTCTCATTGTCACACCTGGAAGATGAGTCCTCACTTTGTCCGATGTATCCATGCTGTGTGTGCTGCCTGCCCATTAGTCCCTTAGTCTTGGTTATCAGATTAACTGTCTGGTATCACAGTGCTTGTAACCCTTAGTTCACTTAATAATGGACCCACAGTGCAGGAGTAGTGATGCTAGCATATTGTATTATTGCTTACTTTATTATTAGTTATTGTTGTTAATCTCCTACTGTGCCTAATTTATCAACTTAACTTTATCATAGGTGGTATGTATACATGGTCCCCAACTTACTGTGGTTCGACCTAAGATTTTTCAACTTTATGATGGCATGAAACTGTCACATTTTGAATGTAATGTATAATATTCAATAAATTACATGAGGTGTTCAATACTTTATTATAAAATAGGCTTCATGTTAGATGATTTTTGTCCACCTATAGGTTAATGTAAGTGGTCTGAGCATGTTTAAGATAGGCTAGGCTAAGCTATGACGTTCAGTAGGTAAAGTGTATTAAATGCATTTTTGATTCATGATATTTTCAACTTACGATATTTTTATTCCATCATAAGTTGAGCAGCGTCTTTATGTATAGGCAAAAACATAGTATATATGGAGTTGGGCAATATCTGCATTTTTAGGCATCCGTAGGGGTTCTTGAAACATATCCCCCTCGGATAAAGGGGAAGCATTCTATATATAACAAGATCCTTATTAAAGGAATTGGCTCATGCAATTATGGAGGCTGAGAAGTCCCAAGATCTGCAGTTGGCCAGCTAGAGATCCAGGAAAGCTGATGGTGTCATTCTGATCTGGCTCTGAAGGCCTGAAAACCAGGAGAGCCACCGATGTAAGTTTCTGTCTGAAATCCAGCAGGCTTTAGACCCAAGGAAAACCAATGTTTGTTTCAGTTTGAGTCAGACGGCAAGCAGAGATGTCCCAGCTCAGCAGTCAGGTGGGAGGGGCTCCCTCTTACTTAGCCTTTTTGTTTTATTCAGGTCTACAGTTGATGAGATGAGGCCCACCCACATTAGGGAAGTTAATCTGCTTTAGACAGTCCACTGAATAAAACGTTAATTTCATCCAGAAACACCCTCACAGAAACACGCAGAATAATATTTGACCAAATGTCTGGGCACCCCATGATGCAGTCAGATTGACACATAAATTAACCATCACACTGAGAGTGATTCACCTTTTTAGGTAAATGAAGAATCAATCACATTATTGATAGCATTCATGATAGGTAGGGTGATATCTGAGTTGCCAAAATGACATACCCAAATGAAGAGTATTTGTAGCTGTGAAATTCAGTGATTCAACTTAGAGATGTGGATTTCTGACCATTTTAGTCCTAATATAGTCCTGCCTGAAAATTTACATATTGAAATTTATATTTATTTTATTAAAAATTGTTTTTATATTATAGTTGCTGTGTTAAGTAGATATTTTTGGAATATATATGTAATAAGTTATTTCTGAATTTTATTTCAGGATAGTAAAGGTATATTTTCAATAGTTTTTAAAGAACGGGGGTGAGGCATGGTGGTTCACACTTGTAATCCCAGCTATTCGGGAGGCTGAGGTGGCAGGATCCATTGAGCTTGGAAGGTCAAGACTGCAGTGAGCCGTGACTGCACCACTGCACTCCAGCATGGGTGACAGAGTAAGACCCTGTCTCAAAAAAACGGTGAACAGGGGGTATTTGGGTCTGATATGGCTAAGAACCAGCCGGTCTAAGTGATCTCAAGCTGCCAGCCTCCTTGAACAGTCTGCATCTCAGCATCTTTAAAGGTTTGACTGTGTTTCTTTTCTCCTCTTGGACCTCTGCAAAACCATAATCTTTCTCTTTATCACATATTTTACAGCATTGGCATATATTTTCCAGAAGTCCTTGTTCGACTTACAATGTTTTTATTTCATCATAAGTTTAGGAAAAACTTATGGTTTTTTTTTTAATTTTAGCTCTATTGATATGTAATTTATATGTCATACAATGCACTTATTTAAAGTGTAAAACTTAGTGGTTTTCAATATATTCACAGTATTGTGCAACTATCACCGTGATCTAATGTTAGAACTTTGCATGTCTACAAAAAGAAACCCTGTATCCATTAGTAGCCAGCCTCTATACTCCCTACCCCAACCCCTGGCAATCACTTATATTCTTTTTATCTCTATAGATTTGTTTCTGCTAGATAATTTATATAAATGGAATCATATAATACATGGTCCTTTGTGGCCTTCCAGTTTTTTTGTTCTTTATTTAAAAAAGAAAACAAGATACATGTGCAGAACATGCAGGTTTGTTACATAGGTATACATGTGCCATGGTGGTTTGCTGCACCTATTGACCCATCCTCTAAGTTCTCTCCCCTCGTTCCCCACCCCACAACAGGCCCTGGTGTGTGTTGTTCCCTTCTCTGTGTCCTTGTATTCTCATTTTTCACCTCCACTTATGAGCAAGAACATGCAGTGTTTGGTTTTCTGTTCCTGTGTTTGCTGAGGATGATGGCTTCCAGCTTCATCCATGTCCCTCCAAAGGACATGATCTCATTCCTTCTTATGGCTGCATAGTATTCCATGGTGTATATGTACCACATTTTCTTCATCCAGTGTATCATTGATGGGCATTTGGGTTGGTTCCATGTCTTTGCTATTGTAAACAGTGCTGCAATAAACATACCGTGTGCTTGTATCTTTATAGTGGAACGATTTGTATTCCTTTGAGTATATACGCAATAATGGGATTGCTGGGGTATTTCTGGTTCTGGATCCTTGAGGAATCACCATACTGTCTTCCACAATGGTTGAAGTAATTTACATTTCCACCAACAGTGTAAAAGCATTCCTATTTCTCCACAACCTTGCCAGCATCTGCTGTTTCTTGACTTTTTAATCATTGCAATTCTGACTGGCATGAGATGTTATCTCATTGTGGTTTTGATTTGCATTTCTCAGATGATCAGTGATGTTGATATACAGACTAATAGAACAGAACAGTGATGTTGATATATAGACCAATGGAACAGAACAGAGACCTCAGAAATAACACCACACACCTACAACCAGCTGATCTTCGACAAACCTGACAAAAATAAGCAATAGGGAAAGGATGTTGTATTCATTAAATGGTACTGGGAAAACTGGGTAGCTGTATGCAGAAAACTGAAACTGGACCCCTTCCTTACACCTTATAAAAAATTAACTCAAGCTGGATTAAAGACTTAAATGTAAAACCCAAAACCATAAAAATCCTAGAAGAAAACCTAGGCAATACCATTCAGGACATAGGCATGGGCAAAGACTTCCATGACAGAAACACCAAAAGCAATTGCAACAAAAACCAAAATTGACAAATGGGATCTAAGTAAACTAAAGAGCTTCTGCACAGCAAAAGAAACTATCATCAGAGCAAAGAGGCAACCTACAGAATGGGAGAAACTTTTGCAATCTCCCCATCTAACAAAGGTCTAATATCCAGAATTTACAAGTAACTTAAACAAATTTACAAGAAGAAAACAACCCCATCAAAAATTGGGCAAAGGATATGAACAGACACTTCTCAAAAGAAGACATTTACGTGGTCTTCTTTTATTTGGTACAGATGCTCCTTTATTTAACGTGGGGTTACATCCTATAAACCCCTCGTAAGTTGACAATGTCATGAGTTGAAAATACGTTTATTATACCTAACATACTGAACATCGTAGCTTAGCCTAACCTACCTTAAACATGGTCGGAACACTTAAATTAGTCTACAGTTAGACAGAATCATCTAACACAAAGCCTATTTTGTAATAAAGTGTTGAATATCTTATGTAATTTATTGAGTACAGTACTGACAGTGAAAAACAGAATGGTTGTATGGGTACTCTAATGTATGGTTTCTAAAGGTTTATTGCTTTCACATCATTGTAAAGTTGAAACATTGTAAAGTTTAAAAATAGTAAGTCAGGGGTCATCTGTGTATTGTTTTCAAGGTTCACCCATATTATAATATATATCAGAGCCAGGCACGGTGCTCACGCCTGTAATCCCAGCACTTTGAGAGGCTGAGGCGAGTGGATCACGAGGTCAGGAGATCGAGACCATCCTGGCTAACACGGTGAAACCCTGTCTCTACTAAAAATACAAAAAATTAGCCGGGCGTGGTGGTGGGTGCCTGTAGTCCCAACTACTCGGAAGGCTGAGGCAGGAGAATGGTGTGAACCCGGGAGGCGGAGCTTGCAGTGAGCCGAGATAGTGCCACTGCACTCCAGCCTGGGTGACAGAGCGAGACTCCGTCTCAAAAAAAAAAAAAAATTTTTTTTCAACTTTTCTGTAGTGACATCTAGCTTTCAAACAGTTTTATCACATGGTAAAATTCTTCGAAAACAAATTTCTAAAGCGCTTCCTTCCAGTTATGTTCTCAGTGTAATGCCATTTTTTTCCCACAGATTTGCTTGTAAATGCATCACGAAGAGGCAGCCCAGAATGAAGAAAGCAAGCAGGAGTGTTGGCTCAGTGCCTAAAGTGTCTGCAATAAGTAAAACGCAAACAGCAGAAAAAATTAAACCTGAAAACAGCTCTTCAGCATCTACGGGAGGCAAACTTGTAAAACCTGGAACAGCAGCATCATTGTCAAAGGTATTCATGTGATGTTTGAATACATGATGGGTTTTTGGAGGACTGAATTTAAATATGATGTTTAATATATTAAATGAGCATTCTTAGGGGTGTGCCCTCTTCTGGTGCTGGGAACACTTGGCCTTTGAAGAGAGCTTACAGTGGGGTGGACCTAATTGCTGTTTTTGGTCTGTCTTTTTGAATGAAACCAGACAATAGGCTTGTTCATGAAACAATAATTGAGCACCTGCCTTGTGCAGGATGCTGTGATTGTGTGAGCTGGAGGTACAGTCTGCCTTCAGGGAGCTTGTGGAGGAAAGGGTGGAGGCAAGGCACAAACATGAATAATGAAAATACCCAGGGAGAATGTCAGATACCCTGGGAGAGCAGTAAAGCATTGTGAACAGTTTCAGGTAAGTAAATATTGTTTCAAGCCTGGGAAGGTTTTATGAAAAGGTCATGTGAGCCAAGTCTGGCAGTCCTGTGACCCCTAGACAGGTGTTTTTATCTGCCTGTCTCCCTCACTGTCACCACCACAAATTGCTGTTCTTCTGGCAGCTGGTCCACGATGATGATGATGATGATGATTATACCATTTTTTAAAAAAGAGATGAGATATTATTCTTATTATTACTATTACCATTTTTTTTTAAATAGATGAGATCTATGTTGCCCAGGCTGGTCTCCTGGGTTCAGTGGATCCTCCTGCCTCAGCCTCTCGAGTAGCTGGACTAGAGGTGTGCGTATGCATGCACAACTGGAAACATGATCTGTTCATTCCAGGCAGGGCCCTGATAGATCATGGCTTAATTATTTTAAGAAGGAACTCAGGAACAGCCGATGAGGAACTTCCTTATATGTGTAGAAAGATCTAACAGGAAATGCTGGTTTTTCTATTCTAAGGTTGTTGGAACTGAACCCAGGCTTATTCCCTTGGCTCGGAGATGCACACAGATTTTCTCCTAGCTGTGGCCCTGAGGAATTGTTAGGTATCATTCTGTGACCTGGAGGATGGTGCCAGGAATAGACCCTTGCCCAGCTTCCATTGTCTCAGTGAACACACTGAATCATTTTGTTGGTGGCAGTGCTGCTGCTTTTTGGTGTAAGACAGGTGGCATTTTCTGACCTAACTGGTTATTCAGTTGCTGGGGCTCTCTTTGGCGTGGAGTGCCTGTGTGACTAGGTGACCTGTTATTTATGTGACTGGAAGAACAGGTTGAAATGTTGGCATTAGATGTGCACTGCTGCCTTCCTTCTGTGGCCTCTTCGTCAGAGGCAGGCAGTGTCTTTGGAGGTTTACTATGGAATGTGCACTGAGCAGGCATGTTACACCTTCTGAGTCTTGGATCTGGAGTTGCTGGGAATTTGGTCTTGAACAGTGAGTACTTTTCCACTGTAAAGCAAAACTGTACACTTACTCTTGCCAGCACATGCCAGCTGTCCATAGCTTTGGCTCTGCTGCATTAACAAGTTTAAATAGGGTGTGTGTGTGTGTGTGTGTGTGTGTGTGTGTGTGTGTGTGTAGCAGGAAGGTCAGGACAGAGGTAAAACTATTTGGCAACACTTTTCCTGGAGTGGAGCAATTGCCTTCACTTAAGAGAGGGGAAGGAAAAAGTCATTAAATGGAGATTAAAGTAAAAACAGAGAAGGAAAGAAGAAAATAGTGGGAAAAAAATGGAAAACATTGAAGGGCTTTGAGACCCCACAGTGTTATTTTATTTTTCTAACTTTTTTTTTTCCTGTGCTTCTCTGGCACCTAGATACTTCCTACAATTTGAATTCCTTTAACTGTCATGGAGCATTGATGATTAACCAGATGAATGAAGTGTTTGGCTTAATTATTGAGACAGCATGTGCACACACCCATTCATTTATGGACACCCACACCTGTGTGTCTGTCACTGCACAATATTCTCATGACTCTCTTCTTGTAGTGACAGGATACAGGATATGCATTTCTTCACCTCTCATTTCAAGTATTGTTTGAGGCTAGATGTAGTTGAGGGTTAAGGGGAAGGACTCTTTTGATCCAGGACACTTCACTGCTGGTTGGAGCTTTTGTAAATACAAAACACTACTGCTGCTCACAGTGAGTTTTGGAGACATTATTCCCACTTCTGTCAGGAGCTGTGTCATTGGGCTTGCAGCCTTTGTATGCTTAATTCTCCTTGGTCACAGTCAGTGGAGAGGATTATTTTCCATGTAGAGAGGGTTTCCTGCATGCCTACGCTTTGCAGGGTTCACTTACTGTTCAGGTGTTCATGATTAGTTCTTTTGAAGTAATATACTTTTCCATTATACTGATGATAATTTTTTCTAAAAATTACAGACATGAATTAATAAGCTTCAGTTAGAATCTATAATTGATATTTCTCCATGATTATTTGTGGTCATACAGTGTAAACATTTGTTAATTGTATGAACAATCCTCCTCGGAAACTTGAAAGGTAAAATTTGATAACAAATCTTCAAATTTGAGAGAAAGATGCATGTGAAACTTGGGCTTGACTTAGAGAAGTATACGTACCTGGTTGTAGTATTTCATTATTTGTGTCCGGAATGCTTGTACCAAATTATTTGCATTTTGCATCAGTTACAAAGAGTAGGCTGAACATTTATTCCTTCATCCATTTCATGTTTTTAGACTTACTGATGGGGGGTGTTTATGTGTGAGAATGCACATGCCTTTACAGAATTTTGTAGCAAAAATTAAAAGAAATAGGGAAAAATAGCAGAGAGCCTGCTAGTAGCTTAGGGTAAAAGGTAAGTTGGAAAATGCAGAGTTGTGTTTTGTTTTGTTTTGACTTTTTTTGTTGAAGTAAAGCATACGTACAGCAAAGTCCACAAAACACAGGTGTTGAGTTTAGTGAATCATCACAAAATGAAACATGTCCTTCAGTCACCACCTAGTTCAAGAAACAGAACATATGTGCCCCTCAGAAGCTTCCACCGTGCCTCTGCTTAATCATTGCCCTTCCTGTCCTCCCCCAAAGTAACTACCATTCTAACTTCTAGCACCAGAGATGATTTTTGCCAGTTTTTGATCTTTACAGGAACGTAGTCACACACTATGTTCTTTTTATGTGTGTCTGGTTTCTTATCTGTACTGTTGCATCTAGCAGCGGTCACTTCCTTTTCATTGTTGGTTAGTAATCCATGGGATGAATATACCACAGTTTGTTCATCTCTTCTGCTATTGGCAGACTTTTACTACTATTGGCAGACTTTTGGAGTTTCTTCTCTGTGGTTATGAGTATTATTGTTATGAACATTCTTATATGTGTGTATTAATACACATGTGCACCCATTTGTGTTGGTTCTAGAATGAGGAGTGAAATTACTGGACCGTAGAGTATACCTATGTTCAGCTTTAATGTTATAGATAGAAGAAAATCATTTCTCAAGGTGGTTACCAGTTTACACTCCTGGTTACTTCACATTTTCTCCTGTACTTAAATTGTTACTCCTTTCATGTTAAGCACTCACGGATGTATAAAGGAATGGAGCAGTGGCATTAATTTGCATCGTTACCAGTAAGATTGAATACCTTTTCATACAATCTTTTTTTTTTTTTTGAGATGGAGTTTCACTCTTGTTGCCCAGGCTGGAGTGCAATGGCGCCATCTCCGCCTCCCGGGTTCAAGCGATTCTCCTGCCTCAGCCTCCCGAGTAGCTGGGATTACAGGCATGTGCCACCACGCCTGGCTAATTTTTTGTATTTTTAGTAGAGACGGGGTTTCTCCATGTTGGTCAGGCTGGTCTTGAACTCCCGACCTCAGGTCATCCACCCACCTCGGCCTCCCAAAGTGCTGGAATTACAGGCATGAGCCACTGCACCCGGCCTTATACATTCTTTTTATGTGCTCAGTGGACATTTAGACCCTCTTCTATGAAGTGCCTGTTCAAGTCACTTGCCCATTTTTCCGTTGTCTTTTTTTTTTCCAAACTTTTTTTTTTATTGTGGAAAAATACATACAACATTCATCACTTTGGCCTTTTAATTTTTAATTTTAATTTTTTAATTTTTTTAAGAGATGGAGTCTTACTCTGTTGCCTGCCCAGGCTGGAGTACAATGGCGTGATCCTAGCTCACTGCAGCCTTGAACTCCTGGGCTCAAGCGGTCTTCAGGCTTCAGCCTCCTGAGTAGCTGGAATTACAGATGTGTGTCACATACCCAGCTAATCAAAACAAAATTTTTTTTAGAGACAGGGTCTCACTTTTTTACCCTGGCTGGTCTCTAACTCCTTGGCTTCAAGTAATTCTCCTGTGACGGTGGGATTTTAGGTGTGAGCCACTGTGCCCAACCATCTTAACAATTTTTAAGTGTGCAGTTCAGTTCTGTTAAATACATTCACATTGTTGTGCAACCATCATCACCATCCATCTCCAGAACTTGTCATCTTGCTAAACTGAATCTCTGTACCCATTATATAATGACTCCACATTCCCTCTTCTCTCCAGCGCCTGACAACCACCATTCTACTTTCTGTCTCTATGAATTTCACTGCTCTAGCTACCTTATATAAGTGGAATCATATACCACTTGTTTTGTGTCTGGCTTATTTAACTTAGCATCATGTCCTCAAGGTTCATCCATGTTGCAGCATGTGTCAGAATTCCTTCCGTTTTTAAGGCTCAATAGTGTTCATTGTATGTATATGCTATATTTTGTTTATCCATTCATCTCTCAGTGAACACTTGGGTTGCTTCCACCTTTTGGCTACTGTGGATAGTGCTGCTATGAATATGGGTGTACAAAGATCTCTTCAAGGCCCTGCTTTCAATTTTGGGGGGGGTATATACCCGTAGGTGGAATTGCTACATCATATGGCAAGTCCATTTTTAATTCTTTAAGGAACTGCCTATTGTTTCTCGCTGCTAGCAGCTACACCATTTGCAGTACATAAGGGTTCCAATTTTTTCGCGTCCTCTGCAATAGTTGTTATTTTGTTTTTTGATAGTATCCATTCTATTGGGTGTGAGAGGGTACAGTGTCTTTTTGCACTGATTTGTGGTTCTTTACCTCTTCTAGATGTGAGCCCTTTATCATTTATACATGCTGCATGTATATTCCCCCACTCTGCCTTGCTTTCGCTCTCTTCTCTCCCCTCCCCTCCACTTCATAAAGGTATGATACCTTTAAAGGTATCTTCATGAACAGCAGTTATTTATTTTAATGTAGCTCAATTTATTAATCTTTTCTTTATGGGGTATGTGTGTCTGTGTGTGTATGTGAGTGTGTGTGTGTGTGTATGTATGTACGTACGTGTATGTGTATGTGTTTTTGTTTAAGAAATCTTAACCCATCCCTAGGTCAAATGAAATAGTTGCCTATATTTTTTTCTTTTTCTTTTTGTAGAAACAAGGTCTCACTATGTTGCCCAGGCTTGTCTCAATCTCCTGATTGCAGGAGATCCTTCTGCCTCACCCTCCCAAAGCCTTGGGATTACAGGTGTGAGCCACCATGCCTGGCCCCTATTTTTTTTTTTCTAAAAGTGTTTTTCTAAATTTCATATTTAGATCCTCAATCTGTCTGGAAATAATCATGTAAAATCTTTTTATTTTGAAATAATTTTAGACTTACAGAAAAGCTGAAGGACTAGTACTAAGAATTCCAGTATACTCTATCAAGATTCCTCATATGTTAACCTGTCATGATTATCACTTCCCTGTATATACCATGTATACACACATAGTTTTTTTGGGGGTGGGGGGGCTGTTTCAGCATGAACTATAGACATAATGCTCCTTTACTGCTGAATATTTCAGTGTGTATTTCCAGAAAAACAAGGACATTCTTTTTTATAACCATAGTAATAACATTGATAGGATGCTAGTATCTAATGTATAACCTTTCATTAAATTTTGCCAGTTGTGCTAATTTCAGATATAGCAAAAGAGAAAAAAAAATCTGTTTTCTGGCCCAGTATCCAATCCAGGATTATGTATTGCATTTAGTTGTTATGCTCCTCATCCTATTTAAATTCGGAATAGTTTCTCACTCTGTCTTTTATCACCTTGACATTTCTAAGGAGCGAAAGGCAGTTATTTGATAGGCTGCCCTCCAGATTTGGGTTTGGTAATATTTCCTTGTGATAAGATTTGGGTTATGCATTTTAGGCAGGAATACCACAGAAGTGTATGGAAACAGATGGCTTCCATGTTTTCCATTGTGGGGGATGTTAACTTCCTTTGGCTAGGTTTCTCCACTGTCAGGTTACTGTGTTCGCTCTTGTAATTAATAAGTAGCTTGTCAGAGATACTTTGAAACTTTGTACATATATCTATCCTTTTTTTTACTAGACTTTTCACCCTGGTTTTAGCATTTTTTTTGGATAGTTCTTTCCCAAATCAGTTAGTATTGTGATTTTTGCCACATGGTAATTTTCTAATTCTGTCATTCCTTCTACATGTGTTAGTTGGCATTCTGCTACAAGGAAGAGTTTTTACTTTCCCTTGGTTTATATATTCATTTATATTATTGTAAATTCATAGATTCTTAGTGGAGTATAAATTATTAGGATCATTTAGTTTTATGCCTAGATTATCCCTGATTTGTCCACTGGGAGCCCATCAGGCTGGTTCCTGTGTCCTTTTGACATGTTCCTATTACTCTTTGAGCACTTCCTTCATTTCTGACGTAGTAAGTTTTGTACCTTTTCGGTCCCAGCCCTAGAATCAGCCATTTCTTCAAGGAGGCCTTGTTCTTTTTAGTGGAGGATAGTACTTAAAAACCAAGACCTGGAGGTTAGATGTGTTCATTGCTTTTGGGACACACACACACACACGCACATATCTATGTCAATTTCTGTATCTGTATCTATTAAAATGTGTGAGTTCACACTGATATTTCCAATTCCATTGACTTAAAAGGTTCATAATAGCCTTTCCACATCCTATAATTGTAATCCATTTATCCAACACTGAAATACCTGGCTTCTACAGCCTATATTTACTTATTTTCTCTCCACCCTAGAATGTATAGAAAATAGTTTTAGAATTATCTGTACAACTGTGAAAAACAGTTTATCAACTGAAGTTCAATTTTTTTTTCTTTTTGAGAGTCTAGCTCTGTCGCCAGGCTGGAGTACAGTGGCGAGATCTCGGCTCACTGCAACGTCCGTCTCCCGGGTTCAAGTGATTCTCCTGCCTCAGGCTCCTGAGTAGCTGGGGTTACAGGCACATGCTGCCACACCCAGCTAATTTTTGTATTTTTAGTAGAGACGGGGTTTCACCATGTTGGCCAGGCTGGTCTTGAACTCCTGACCTCGTGATCTACCCACCTTGTCCTCCCAAAGTGCTGGAATTACAGGCGTGAGCCACTGCAACCGGCCTGAAGTTCAATATTTGCATACTTTTGTCTTTGGCTTGAGAGTTTGAGGATTTATGGTCAAAATACTACCGTGGTGAAAAAATACTTGGGTTGTGTTGTTCATTTGAAATACAGTTAGTCTGTTTGTTCCTATCCTATTCCATTTTAGGTTTTTCCTATCTTTATTTAAATTTTATTTATTTGTTTATTTTCAGCATATGAAACACTAACATGGCTCCACGAGTCAGAACTATATGAGAAGATATGTTCAGAAAAGTGCCCCTCTCCTCCCCTGTTCCCTCTTACGCAGTTCCCACCCATCCCAGAGGTTAACAGGCAATTTAGTTTTTGTTTATTCTTCTCATGTTTCTTTTTGCATAAATGAGCAAATACACATTTTTTATTTCCTTTTTTACACAAAAGGTGGCAAAATATATTCTTTTGCACTCTGTTAATCTTTTCACTTAATGTACTCTAGAAATCTCTCTCCATACCAATTGGTAGCAGTCTTTCTTATTTTTTGTTGCTGTTTAATACCTCATTGTATTCACTAAAGTGTACTTCATATGCTTTCCTGTGTATATATAGGCATTTAAGGCGTACCAGTATTTTGCAATAAAAAACAATGCTGCAGTGAATAATTAGCCATGTGCATATGTATTTTTGTATTATTGGAGGTGTATCTTCAGGTTAAATTCCTAGAAGTGAAGTTGCTGGAGAGAAGGTAAATACATGTGTAACTTTGTTAGATATTGCATGATTCCTTTCATAAGGCTTATGTCAAGGTGCATCCCATCAGCAACTAAGGAGAGTGCCTGTTTCCCCATATTCTTTCCAAAAGAGCATGTTTACCAATCTGTTAAGTGACAAGTGCTGCTTAATTTGCATTTCTCTCATTATGAGTTAGGTTGATCATCATTTTCTCTGTGTGTGTGTGTGTTTGTAAACTGATTGTGTGATTCATTCATTTTGTTCATTTTTCTGTCTTTTTTTTTGGTCTTTTTCCCCTCAATTTTAAAGCATTCTGTGTTAGGGACCTTAACCATTTGTTTGTGAGATATTGCAAATATACTTTCCCAGTTTTTTATGTTTTAAAATTCTATTTATGATGGTTTTTTGGTTGTACAAAACATTTTAACTTTTTTTAATTAAAAGGATTTTTTATTTTTAAGATTTTAATTTTTATGTAGTCACATCGATCAAGTCTTTGTTTTATAATTTTAGATTTAAAATCGTAGTTAGAAAACGTTGGACTTTATGTTTGATATGGTGTGAAATAGGTCTCAGCATTTATTTTTGCCCCCTTGGTGTATACACTTGACCTAGCACCATTTTCTGGAAAACTCTTGTTTTCTCCCTTGCTGCCTTGGTTATAAATCAAGTGTCTATAAATATGCAGTTTCTTTATGGACTCTGTTTCACTAGTTTATTCTTGTTCCAGTGCTGTACTGTCTTAATCATTATAAGTGCAAAGTTTATGATTTGGTGCCGTTATGTGTATTTAACTTTGTCATTAGCCAAAGGCAAATTGTAACCAGAGAAGTGTGATGAGTAGTCCACTTTGACATGACAATGTAGGGTGGTTTTCAATGTAATTATTATCAAATGGAAGAATTTAACTTACGGAGGAAGAAAGATTAGTTCAAAGATAATTTTACTTTTATTAGCAGGATACAAAAGAAGATTGAAAATATAAGAATGTGTTGAGTTTACTTACTGGCTATTTACTGGCTAAGAGAGGAGGGACAAATTGGCAGGAAAGTGGTATGACTTTCATTGTGTGACTTCGGCATCATAGTTGATGGCCAGTTTTTGTGAACAGAAACAAGTCTTAAAAGTATGAACAGACCAGGCATGGTAGCTCACACTTGTAATCCCAGCAGTTTGGGAGGCCAAGGTGGGCAGATCACTTGATGCCAGGAGTTCGAGACCAGCCTGGCCAACGTGGGAATACCCCATCTCTACTAAGAATATAAAAATTAGCTAAGCATGGTGGCGCATGCCTGTAGTCCTAGCTACTTAGGAGGCTGAGGTGGGAGAATCACTTGTACCCGGAAGGTGGAGATTGCAGTGAGCCGAGATCATGCCAGTGCACTCCAGCCTCGGTGACAGAGTGAGACTTTGTCTCAAAAAAAAAAAAAAAAAAAAAAAAGAATATGAACAGTCCTTGAAATTAATGCAGTGTTTCCCTCTCTTTTTATGTATTCTAGATTTCATAATGTAACAGCCCTTAATTACTAGAGTTGAATTCTGTTTAATTCATTGAAAATATTTATCCCTTTTTCTGCCTCTTTTTTTGGGGGGCGGGTGGGGACAGGGTCTCACTCTGTTGCCTAGGCTGGAGTACGGTGGCGTGATCACAGCTCAGTGCAGCTTTGACCTCCCGGGCTCAAGCGATCCTCTCACTTCAACCTTCCCAATAACTAGGACTACAGGCATGTGCCACTTTGCCCAGGTAATTAGTTTTCAAATTTTTTGTAGAAACGGAATCTCCCTATGTTGCCCAGGCTGGTGTTGAACTCCTGGGCTCAAGTGATCCACCTCGGCCTCCCAAAATGCTAAGATTACAGGCATGAGCCACTGTGCCCAGCCTTTTCTGCCTCTTTTTAACCTAATGGTACTGTATTAGAACTTTGATAATTGAATAACAGAAATATGCTTCATATGGACTCACTGACATTTAGAACTGGAAGAGACTTTAGAGATTAGTTACTTATGAACTATCTTACCTTGTAGAAATGAATTCAGTATGATTATCTGAGAGAGGGCATGGTTCCAGATAGAAGATAGTGTAAATCAGTTGGCTAACTCATGCCAAAGAGAGAAAACTTTTGGGTTCTTTTGTTAAAAAGTAGTTTTTCTCTTTTTTTCCCCCACATATCTTTAACTGCTCTGTGTTCCCTTCATTTCTAGGAGAAGTAAAAACGTTTCTTCACTACTTTTTAGAATAATAAATTTACAGCCAATTTATTATCCATAGTGTTTTTTAAGGCTCATGTTTTTTAAATTGCCTTTATAAAATATAAATATTGCAGATGGTCTTTCTCAAGTAATAACGATCATTTAGACAGCAGAACCCTTTCTCAAACTGTAAAGCCTCTAGTTTTTTATTAATATATTATGCATGTTTTAGAAAATACCTCCTTTCAATTGTGACTAAAATTTGATTACTACAGAATTATAAGGTAAAAAAGATAAATTTCAGAATAAATTCTTTTAGATACTGGCCTCATCATGGAATCACTTTAGAGCAGTGAAGATTATTTGACTCTCAAGGATATTTCTTTCTAGAAATTGCAAGATGACACTTCCTGTGGCATTATAGGACTTTCCCAAGATATCATGTGCTATCCCCCATCATCTGAATCTGGCATATGTGGACACATAGCAGGCTTCCATAAAGTCTTTGATTACATGTACGAGTTTATTATTTTAAAAAGAAGTACGTGATTGTTTATAAACCTATAAAGAAGTTCTGTTTCTGTAGGACAGTATGGTGTGCTGCTTACTACCTGTCAGATAGTTTTGGTAATAGGGCTCTTGAACTTAGTATAAAAGTCATGAGCTTTGTTGAGTCTCAAAATATCTAATCTTGCTTGATCTAGTAAATTTGTTTTTATTTTCTGTTGCTTCTAGACCAAGAGCAGTGATGACCTTTTAGCTGGAATGGCCGGAGGGGTAACGGTGACTAATGGTGTTAAAGGAAAGAAAAGCACCTGCCCATCTGCAGCACCTTCAGCATCTGCCCCTGCCATGACCACCGTGGAGAACAAATCCAAGATTAGCACAGGTAACGGTGACATTCAGTCTGAGACTTCAACTGCTTTTTTGTTTGAATGGGCATGATGCATTGGTGTTTACAGTGTTCCATCTAATTATAGGAAATTTTAGACATACAAAAGTAGATGGATTGATATTTCAGCCCAATACGCTCATCACCATTATCAACTCATAGCCAGTTGTAACTCCTGATACCCACCCTTCCCTCTTATTATTTTGAAGCAGATTCTGGACATCATATCATTTCATCCATAAATACTTTATTATCTTGGAAAGAGAAGGATTCTTTTTTTTTTTTTTTTTTGAGACAGAGTCTTAGTCACGCAGGCTGAAGTGCAATGGTGCCATCTTGGCTCACCACAACCTTCGCCTCCCAGGTTCAAGCGATTCTCCTGCCTCAGCCTCCTGAGTAGCTGGGATTACAGGCATGCGCCACCATGCCTGGCTAATTTTTGTATTTTTAGTAGAGATGGGGTTTCACCATGTTGGTCAGGCTGGTCTCGAACTCCTGACCTTGTGATCTGCCTGCCTTGGCCTCCCAAAGTGTTGGGATTACAGGCATGAGCCACTACACCTGGCCAAGGAGAAGGATTTTTCTTTTTTTTTGAGATGGAGTTTCGCTCTGTCACCCAGACTGGAGTGCAATGGCATGATCTCAGCTAACTGCAAGCTTCGCCTCCTGGGTTGATGCCATTCTCCTGCCTCAGCCTCCCGAGCAGCTAGGACTACAGGCGCCCACCACCAAGCCCAGCTAGTTTTGTTTTTTGTATTTTTAGTAGAGACAGAGTTTCACCGTGTTAGCCAGGATGGTCTTGATCTCCTGACCTCGTGATCTGCCCGCCTCGGCCTCCCAAAGTGCTGGTATTACAGGCGTGAGCCACCACGCCCGACCAGAGAAGGATTCTTTTAAAAATATAATCATAATACCATTATCAGTCCTTGAAATAACTGATAATCATTCCTTAAATCATAACTTATTCAATGAGTATTTAAATTTCCAACAGTCTTATAAATATTTTTGTTTTATTTACTGTCTATTTTTATATTTGGATCAGGACTCATGTAGGTCCATATATAATTGGCTGATGTGTCTCTTAAATCTTCTTTTTTAAAATCCATGGGTTTATCCTGATTCTTGCAGTTTAATTTTTGTGGAAGCTGGTCATATGACCTATAGAGTTTCTGAGCATGTGGATTTTTATATCGTAATACCCCCATGATGTTTTTGCCCATCACCCTTTATTGTCTGTATTTATTGTAAATGGCATTGGAGCCTTATGGGACAGATTCAGGTCCCCTGTCCCCCCATTTTGAAAACAAAACAACCAAAATACAAGACTCCTTCATAGGTGGTGGTGTGTCCACCCATCAGGAAACACATAGTTTTTGATTGTCCCTCTTTAAATGATGTTAGAAGCCTCTGATGATCAGTGCCTAGATCCATTCATTCTAATTCTGCCATCTTTCTTCATTCAGTAACAGGTATTTGTTTTTAGATTTGATGGAGTTGATAAATTATCCTACAGTCCAAGGAGTAATGCTCTCATATTTTACTTCTTACGTTTATAGAAAAAGAACTTTAAAACTTCTAGTAAACATAAGATCAAGTGTTTGTAATAAAGCTTATGAAGGCAAATTGTAAAAATTACATCAGATCCTTTTCTGTCATCGTAATTTAGGCTCTTAGCCCCTCTTGTGTGTATTAGACTCTCCTAGCCCAGGATTACCTACTGTCTTCATTTTTGCTTTGGCTTTATGCAGATTCTTCCTTCCATTTCAGATTGGGCCTCCCTGTTAATGATAATAGGTGCGATTAACAGGAAGGAATATTGAAGTCCTTGCTTTCTGATTTACAGGCATGATTTCATTTTATCCTCACCTGTAGTCCTGTGAGAACTAGTATCCTCATTTTAGAGATGAGAAAGCTTAAGTGTCTTGGCCAAGGCCATGCATTCATTTGCTCAGTAAATATTTATTGGGGATCTGTTTTGACAAGGCCACAAGGCTGGTGGTGAGGCAAGGTCTTTTACTCCCAAGCCTGGGGTCATCACCACATTTAACATTGTAGCTTATGTGGTAGGAAGGAAATTAAATACTCTTGCCATTTGCATGTCTTCCTGTTTCCTGCCTTTAGAATTGTACTGGGAGAGATTCCATGTGTTTGTATACTTAGTTTCTTACTGACTGATGCTACCTGACCTCAGGATTCAGTTATCACCTCTCTGGATTAGCTGCCCCAGTATGGCTTTGTACGTTTATTTTATTTTGCTGGGGATGTCATAACAAAATACCACAGACTGGATGGCTTAAGCCACAGAAATTTATTTTCTCAAATCTGGAAGCCAGAAGTCTGAAATGAGGGTGTTAGCAGATTTACTTTCTCCTGAGATCTCTTTTTTGTCTTGCAGATGGCTGCCTTCTCTGTGTCTTCCCTCTGTGTGTGTGTCCTCATCTCCTCCTCTTACAAGAACGCCAGTCATGTTGGATTAGGGCCCACCCTAATGACTTCATCTTACGTTAATTACCTCTTTAACTTCATTATCCTGTCTCCAGGTGCAGTCACATTTGAGGTTTTGGGGTTAGGGCTTCAACATATTAATTTTGTGTGTTTTGTGCGGGCACAGTTCAGCCTATAACAACATCCTTATTCTTCAGTTCATCTGCTCTACCTTTACCTCCTCCAGTGACTTTCCTAAGACTGTTTGATTTCCATGTATCAATTCACTTGTCTTTACCTCAGATTATTCTGTCTACTCATTACAGTAATCCAGAGAAGAATTTTTCTTCTTTTATCTTTCAAACATGAACAGATTTTCTTTTTATTTATTTATTTATTTATTTATTGATCATTCTTGGGTGTTTCTCGCAGAGGGGGATTTGGCAGGGTCACAGGACAATAGTGGAGGGAAGGTCAGCAGATAAACAAGTGAACAAAGGTCTCTGGTTTTCCTAGGCAGAGGACCCTGCGGCCTTCCGCAGTGTTTGTGTCCCTGGGTACTTGAGATTAGGGAGTGGTGATGACTCTGAACGAGCATGCTGCCTTCAAGCGTCTGTTTAACAAAGCACATCTTGCACCGCCCTTAATCCATTTAACCCTGAGTGGACACAGCACATGTTTCAGAGAGCACAGGGTTGGGGGTAAGGTCACAGATCAACAGGATCCCAAGGCAGAAGAATTTTTCTTAGTACAGAACAAAATTAAAAGTCTCCCATGTCTACCTCTTTCTACACAGACACGGCAACCATCCGATTTCTCAATCTTTTCCCCACCTTTCCCCCCTTTCTATTCCACAAAACCACCATTGTCATCATGGCCCATTCTCAATGAGCTGTTGGGTACACCTCCCAGACGGGGTGGTGGCCGGGCAGAGGGGCTCCTCACTTCCCAGTAGGGGCGGCCGGGCAGAGGCGCCCCTCACCTCCTGGATGGGGCGGCTGGCCGGGCGGGGGGCTGACCCCCCCAACCTCCCTCCCAGACGGGGCGGCTGGCCGGGCCGAGGAGCTCCTCACTTCCCAGTAGGGGCGGCCGGGCAGAGGCGCCCCTCACCTCCTGGACGGGGCGGCTGGCCGGGCGGGGGGCTGACCCCCCCACCTCCCTCCCGGAGGGGGTGGCTGGCCGGGCGGTGGGGCTGACCCCCCCACCTCCCTCCTGGACGGGGCGGCTGGCTGGGCGGGGGGCTGACCCCCCTACCTCCCTCCCGGACGGGGCGGCTGGCTGGGCAGAGGGGCTCCTCACTTCCCAGTAGGGGCGGCCGGGCAGAGGCGCCCCTCACCTCCCGGATGGGGCGGCTGGCCGGGCGGGGGGCTGACCCCCCCCACCTCCCTCCCGGACGGGGCGGCTGGCCAGGCGGGGGGCTGACCCCCCCCACCTCCCTCCCGGACGGGGCGGCTGGCCGGGCAGAGGGGCTCCTCACTTCCCAGTAGGGGCGGCCGGGCAGAGGCGCCCCTCACCTCCCAGATGGGGCGCTGGCCGGGCGGGGGGCTGACCCCCCAACCTCCCGGACGGGGCGGCTGGCTGGGCAGGGGGCTGACCCCCCCACCTCCCTCCCGGACGGGGCGGCTGGCCAGGCAGAGGGGCTCCTCACTTCCCAGTAGGGGCGGCCGGGCAGAGGCGCCCCTCGCCTCCCGGACGGGGCGGCTGGCCGGGCGGGGGGCTGATCCCCCCACCTCCCTCCCGGACGGGGCGGCTGGCCAGGCGGGGGGCTGACCCCCCCATCTCCCTCCTGGACGGGGTGGCTGCCCGGCAGAGATGCTCCTCACTTCCCAGACGGGGTGGCTGCCGGGCGGAGGGGCTCCTCACTTCTCAGACGGGGCGGCTGCTGGGCGGAGGGGCTCCTCACTTCTCAGACAGGGCGGTTGCCAGGCAGAGGGTCTCCTCACTTCTCAGATGGTGCGGCCGGGCAGAGACGCTCCTCACATCCCGGACGGGGCGACAGGGCAGAGGCGCTCCCCACATCTCAGATGATGGGCGGCCGGGCAGAGACGCTCCTCACTTCCTAGATGGGATGGCGGCCGGGAAGAGGCGCTCCTCACTTCCTAGATGGGATGGCGGCTGGGCAGAGACGCTCCTCACTTTCCAGACTGGGCAGCCAGGCAGAGGGGCTCCTCACATCCCAGACGATGGGCGGCCAGGCAGAGACGCTCCTCACTTCCCAGACGGGGTGGGGCCGGGCAGAGGCTGCAATCTCGGCACTTTGGGAGGCCAAGGCAGGCTGCTGGGAGGTGGATGTTGTAGCAAGTCGAGATCACGCCACTGCACTCCAGCCTGGGCACCATTGAGCAATGAGTGAAGGAGACTCCGTCTGCAATCCCGGCACCTCGGGAGGCCGAGGCTGGCAGATCACTCGCGGTTAGGAGCTGGAGACCAGCCCGGCCAACACAGCGAAACCCCGTCTCCACCCAAAAAATACGAAAACCAGTCAGGCGTGGCGGCGCGCGCCTGCAATCGCAGGCACTCGGCAGGCTGAGGCAGGAGAATCAGGCAGGGAGGTTGCAGTGAGCCGAGATGGCAGCAGTACAGTCCAGCTTCGGCTCGGCATCAGAGGGAGACCGTGGAAAGAGGGGAGAGGGGAGAGGGAGAGCCAGATTTTCTTTTTTATAAGGATTTTTGATTTAGATAAGGATGTGGTACCACTTGCAGAACTAGGGAAAGGAATTAATGTTGGGGAAAAAAGTTACCCCAGCCAGGTGCGATGGTGCACGCCTGTAATCCCAGCACTTTAGGAGGCCAAGGTGGGCAGATCACTTGAGCCTAGGAGTTCAAGACCAGCTTGGGCAACATGCCCAATGTGGTGAAACCCCGTCTCTACAAAAAATACAAAAATTAGCTGGGTATGGTGGCGTGTGCTTGTAGTCCTAGCTACTCGGGTGGCTGAGGTGGGAGGATCACCTGAGCCTGGGAGGTAGAGTTGCCGTGAGCTGTGATGGCACAACTGCACTCTAGCCTGGGTGACAGAGCCTCAAAAAAAAAAAAAAAGTTATGCCATCTTTTTCCATTTTTGGCCTCCGTATACAGTTGTTTATCCCAGTCTGGTTACTCTTGCCTTTGATATCTGTCACAGATTTCTTGCCTCTTCTCTGTTCTTACTGCCGCCCCTGAATGTGGGACCTCTTTTACCTCATTGATCTACCTGCCCACATTCCTCCTCTGCTGCTCTGCTTTCTTCCTTATGTATTCCACTTAGAATCTGTATTAGTCCATTCTCATGCTGCTGTAAAGAACTGCCCCAGACTGAGTAATTCATAAAGAAAAGAGGTTTAATTTACTCACAGGTCCACAGAGATGGGGAGGCCTCTGGAAACTTAGAATTATGGTGGAAGGGGTAGCAGGCACATTCTTCTCCACATAGTGGCAGGAAGGAGGAGAATGAGAGCCAAGCAAAGGGGAAGCCCCTTACCATCGGCTGTCATGAGAACTCACTATCACGAGAACAGCGTGAGGGTAACTGCTTCCATGATTAAATTACCTCCCAACAGGTCCCTCCCGAAACACATAGGGATTATGGGAACTACAGTTCAAGATGAGATTTGGGTGGGGACACAGCCAAACCATATCAGTATCCTCTAGATTAATTTTCATAAAATGTACTTTTCCTTACATTTCTTTCCTACTCAGGATCATTTATTGACTTAGTGTGACTCACTGAATTCTGCCTATCTTTTGGGACTCTATATGAACATTCCCCAGCAGCTTCCGTTAACTGTGTGACTGTACTTTTCCTTTCTGTGTGCCATGTTCACTTCTGCTTCCTTTCGTTGTCTGTCTTTTTGCCAGCCTGAATTCCGCATCCTCCTGTATACCTGTTCTGTTAGTGGCTATCTCCCTCTATCTGTGGAGATCATTTGCTCCCTGTTACCTCTACAGCCTGGATCCCACCACCTAATGAACCAGCAGGGTCTTTAAAAATACTTATTGATTAGATGTGGATCTTATTTTTTAACATAAAAATTTGTTATTTCTTAAGTATTTACAGGTATTTAAACATATTCCTGGCCAGGTGCGGTGGCTCACGCCTGTAAGTGCGGTGGCTCACGCCTGTAAATTCAGTGGCTCACGCCTGTAATCCCAGCACGCTGGGAGACCGACGCGGGCAGATCATTTGAGGTCAGGAGTTTGAGACCAGCCTGGCCAACATGGTGAAACCCTATCTCTACTAAAAATACAAAAAAATTAGCCAGGCATGGTGGCACGCTCCTGTAATCCCAGCTACTTGGGAGGCCTAGGAAGGAGAATCGCTTGAACCTGGGAGTCAGAGGTTGCAGTGAGCCGAAATCGCTCCACTGCACTATAGCCTGGGTGATGGTCAAGAGAGACTCCATCTCAAAAAAAACCAAAAAAACGAACAAAAAAAACTTCCTGTTCTTTTTGTATTAAACAAATGATTGTGTCAGTTTTCACAGGTTTAAAATTTTAGTAGTTAAGTAATCATGTGATTCACGTAGATTTGATTGACGCATCATCATTATTTAACATTAGTGCTTCGTTGTTTTTTACATTTAGAGAGACAGTATAACATACTGGTTAAGGTGCAAAATCTGGAACCAGACTGCCTGGGTTTCAATTTTGGCTCATCTATTTATTACCTGTGACATGTTGGCAAATTATTTAACATCTGTGTCTGAGTTTCTTCATCTGTAAAACAAGGTGATAATAGCACCTACCTCACGTCTTTAATGAGGCTTATATAAGTTAATGTATGTGAAGTGTTAATGTATTTGTATAACCAAGTGCTAGGTATGTGTTAGCTATTGTTATAATTGTTATTATTTATGTGGCATTTTATGGTGTTAAAACTATTTTGCATTTACTTTGGTCAGAGTAAAATTTTTGTGTTTCTAGTAGGTAGCTTAGATTTTTGGTTTTCCCAGAGACTGCTTTTCCCTTCTTGCCCACCTATGATCTCCCTTCACTATCTGTGTACAGTTAGTTTACCACCGACTGGCTAATCCTGGAGTCATCTTCACCTGTCTTGCCCTAGAATATTATGCCTCTGGCCAACTGGTTAAAACCCCACTTCTGGATTCAAGTTAATGTATATCATTTAAATAACAGCTTTGTAGAAATGTAATTCACATTCCATAAAATTTACTCTTTTAAAAACATGTAAAACAAAGTGTATAACTTATTTCTCCTTGATAATTAAAAGATGAATGATCTTCTGGTTTTGAAGAAATTGAACTTTAACAGACTCTAAGGCAAGATTATTGTAGATCTAAATCATTGTGTAGATCCTGGATTTCATCTCATTACACCTGGGGCAGGAACTGTGTATTCTATGTAGCCTTTTATTGCTGACATTTTTGCCTTACATTTTTTGTATTAAACACATAGGCACAGCTTCTTCAACCAAGCGGAGCACTTCTACAGGTAATAAAGAATCCAGTTCTACTAGAGAAAGATTACGTGAACGTACCCGATTAAACCAGAGCAAAAAACTACCTTCTGCAGGTCAGGGAGCTAATGACATGGCATTGGCCAAACGTTCCCGCAGTCGAACTGCTACAGAATGTGACGTTCGTATGAGCAAGTCTAAGTCAGACAATCAGATCAGTGACAGAGCTGCTTTGGAGGCCAAAGTGAAGGATCTTCTCACGCTGGCAAAAACCAAAGACGTAGAAATTTTACATTTGAGAAATGAACTGCGAGACATGCGTGCCCAGCTGGGCATTAATGAGGATCATTCTGAGGGTGATGAAAAATCTGAGAAGGAAACTATTATGGCTCACCAGCCGACTGATGTGGAGTCCACTTTATTGCAGTTGCAGGAACAGAATACTGCCATCCGTGAAGAACTCAACCAGCTGAAAAATGAAAACAGAATGTTAAAGGACAGGTTGAATGCATTGGGCTTTTCCCTAGAGCAGAGGTTAGACAATTCTGAAAAACTGTTTGGCTATCAGTCCCTGAGCCCAGAAATCACCCCTGGTAACCAGAGCGATGGAGGAGGAACTCTGACTTCTTCAGTGGAAGGCTCTGCCCCTGGCTCAGTGGAGGATCTCTTGAGTCAGGATGAAAATACACTAATGGACCATCAGCACAGTAACTCCATGGACAATTTAGACAGTGAGTGCAGTGAGGTCTACCAGCCCCTCACATCGAGCGATGATGCGCTGGATGCACCATCCTCCTCAGAGTCGGAAGGCATCCCCAGCATAGAGCGCTCCCGGAAGGGGAGCAGCGGGAATGCCAGTGAAGTGTCCGTGGCTTGCCTGACTGAACGGATACACCAGATGGAAGAGAACCAACACAGTACAAGTGAGGAACTCCAGGCAACCCTGCAAGAGCTAGCTGATTTACAGCAGATTACCCAGGAACTGAATAGTGAAAACGAAAGGCTTGGAGAAGAGAAGGTTATTCTGATGGAGTCTTTATGTCAGCAGAGCGATAAGTTGGAACACTTTAGTCGACAGATTGAATACTTCCGCTCTCTTCTAGATGAGCATCACATTTCTTATGTCATAGATGAAGATGTAAAAAGTGGGCGCTATATGGAATTAGAGCAACGTTACATGGACCTCGCTGAGAATGCCCGTTTTGAACGGGAGCAGCTTCTTGGTGTCCAGCAGCATTTAAGCAATACTTTGAAAATGGCAGAACAAGACAATAAGGAAGCTCAAGAAATGATAGGGGCACTCAAAGAACGCAGTCACCATATGGAGCGAATTATTGAGTCTGAGCAGAAAGGAAAAGCAGCCTTGGCAGCCACGTTAGAGGAATACAAAGCCACAGTGGCCAGTGACCAGATAGAGATGAATCGCCTGAAGGCTCAGCTGGAGAATGAAAAGCAGAAAGTGGCAGAGCTGTATTCTATCCATAACTCTGGAGACAAATCTGATATTCAGGACCTCCTGGAGAGTGTCAGGCTGGACAAAGAAAAAGCAGAGACTTTGGCTAGTAGCTTGCAGGAAGATCTGGCTCATACCCGAAATGATGCCAATCGATTACAGGATGCCATTGCTAAGGTATTGTTTAAATAGATTAAAATGTTCCGGACAGCATTAGGCAGCTGCCATGCACAGTGTTTACTGAGAACCTGGGTTACTGGTTTGGTTTGGTGTGTTATTAGCTTTTTTTTAAAACTGATATTTTTAAAACTTGGGAATGGTTTCCTTTTATTGGAATAGTGTGAAAAGTATTCTTAAGATAATGTCACTTTCTCTCACTTGTATTTTGTTTCTGTTTTCCTGCCTGTGAGAGGATATGGCTGGTATTACAGCTAAAACCAGAATTTGTCCCTAGTTCTGAGTATTCCTATGGAGCGGGTCATGAAATTTTACCTCCCCCCGCCTCATCTCGAATCTGTTTTGGTGTAATAGGTGGAGAGTCAGTATTCCAGTCTGTAGCATCAGCAGTGCATGTTTCCTCTTATCTTGCTATAGTAATAGTTTTTCAAATAGAGATCTGTTGATAGTTAAAAAATATTTTTGGCATATAGAGGCTCCTGTTTCTCAGAGGCCTGTGATTTATTGCTGGCAGGGACCTTAGCAATTATCAGTCCAGACCCTTGTTGTACATGCCTCCAGCATAATAGTGAGGACTCAGTTGGAACTGCTACCCAGGGCCACTGGCATTCTGGCCAGGGATCTATCTATACCCCATGTGGTTGCTGATGAACTGTTTATTTCCATGAGTTATTCTAGTTATACTAGTTATTCTAGCTTACATTTTATTTATTTGTTATTTTAGTGCAATGATTTTAAAATAAATTTTCATATATCTTTGGCTAAAATTTGAGTAATTTAGATTTTAGGGTGTTTTTAGTGATCACTTTTAAAGTTACAGTTTAGGAGATTTGTATTAGTTCTTGGCACATACATGTTGAGAGGCTACTGTGAACTAATACTTTTGTAAAAACACTATTTGAGAATTGTTTTCCCTTTTTCAGTTTGATACTGGAACCGTCACAAATATGACATCATTTTTGTTAGGACAACATGTTAATCATTAAACAAACGTACATGCTTTCAGTCCAAAGTTAGGAGAAACGAAAATTTCCAAAGTTTCCTTGTAAATAATCAGGTTAAGTTCAATGATACATCAATATAATTTCAGTCAGTGTTACAGCAACAGTTTAAGTGTATTAGATAAAATCTTACCATGGAGTGCTTTTTCATACTTTTTAACAGTTATTACACAGGTTGTTTTAGTTTATCCATAGTGCCTCATACTTAGCTCCCCTTGGAAACTGTGTGTACCTCAATTCTGGAACGTACCTTAGAACAACTCTTAACTTTTCTAAATCTGCATCGTCAATTTTACGTAGGTAGAGGATGAATACCGAGCCTTCCAAGAAGAAGCTAAGAAACAAATTGAAGATTTGAATATGACGTTAGAAAAATTAAGATCAGACCTGGATGAAAAAGAAACAGAAAGGAGTGACATGAAAGAAACCATCTTTGAACTTGAAGATGAAGTAGAACAACATCGTGCTGTGAAACTTCATGACAACCTCATTATTTCTGATCTAGAGAGTAAGTGATAAGAACTTTTCATTCTTTTTTGTCCTACTCTTTTAAACATGCGGGGATAATTTGCATTTAGTAATAAAATAGGGCTGGGCACGGTGGCTCATGCCTGTAATTCCAGCACTTTGGGAGTTCAAAACCGAACCAGGCTGGGCACAGTGGCTCACACCTGTAATCCCAGCACCTTGGGAGGCCAAGGCAGGCAGATCACTTGAGTTGAGGAGTTTGAGACCAGCCTGGCCAACATGGTAAAACCCCGTATCTACTAAAAATACAAAAATTAGCTGGGTGTGGTGCCAGGTGCCTGTAATCCCAGCTACTTGGAAGGCTGAGGTGGGAGGATCGCTTGAACCCAGGAGACGGAGGCTGCAGTGAGCTGAGATTGTGCCAGTGCAGTCAAGCCTGGGTGACAGAGTGAGACTTTATTTCAAAACAGAAAAGAAAAAGTCACAGATTGATCCTGTGTCCATGGTAACTGCCTGGCAATATCAGCATGATTGATGGAGATATAACCAGAGCGAGAATGGATTATTTTTTGTCAGAGAATAATGGGGTTCATAATCAATAATGGGACTCAAAAGTTATGAACCCATTATTAAATGAGTAGGGCAGTGCCCAGAGTTGTTCAGAACAAAGTTGGTCTAATAACATTGAGAACAGCAGTTTGCCTGATCTCTAGAATAAAAATAACATTGTAAAAATTGAGTTATAATTTGTAATTTAAAAATAGGAAGATCATAGTAGTAGTTCTTTTCCTTGGTCGACTTGAATGTTGCTTTTGAGTTGAAGACAGTAGATGGCAGTGTCCCTCACAGTAGGAACACTGAAGAGGAAGGAAACTGCTGTTAGAGGTTCGAGAGTTGAAGAGTAATGCTGCTTTCTTGTGTGACCACAAATCGTGCTAGATGGCAGTTTTGCAAACTAGTCTTCACAACAAGAACTTAAGCACAAATTCCTTTGTTTCCAGGAAAAAAAAATACATTCCATTTCAGAGTAAAAACGTAGTCATGACTGTAGAGATTGTAAAGTTTAAATCAAATCCCTACAGACACTTTTAGTGCATTTTATTCTGTCTGAGTATTTCCACTGGCTGCCACTTTCCCTTTTACTTAAATGGATTTATTTATTTATTTATTTATTTATTTATTTATTTATTTATAAGAGGTGACAGTAATAAAAATGTAGTGCCGGGGGCAGAAAAACACCTTTTAAAGAACAGTGATTATGTGAATTCTGTGGCCATGAATGAAAAAAGGTCAATAAAGAGAAAAAGAGCAAAGGAATGAATGCAACTTGAGAATTTATGATCAGTCTAAGATGACCAGGTAGCTTAAAATGTCACCTGAGAATCAAAATGCCAAATGTTAAAAGTGAGCTGTCCTGAGATTTGCTGTCATTTGTCATGTGTGTATTATGTTTAACAGTAAGTAGATGTGTCATGTCCTTTGTGACAAGAAAAAGAAAACAATTTTCAGCAAATTTCAAGAGAAATTACACTCCTAACATTTTTTGTTTGCTTGCCTGTTTTTTGCTGTTTGTTTGCTTTTTTGGGATGGAGTTTCATTCTTGGTGCCCAGGCTAGAGTGCAGTGGTACCATCTTGGCTCACTGCAACCTCTGCCCCCCGGGTTCAAGCGATTCTCCTGCTTCAGCCTCCTGTGTAGCTGGAATTACAGGCGCCCACTACCACACCCGGCTAATTTTTTATTTTTAGTAGAGACAGGGTTTCACCACGTTGGCCAGGCTGGTCTCGAACTCCTGACCTCAGGTGATCAGCAGATATTACAGGCCTGTGCCACCACGCCTGACCGCCTGTTTTGATTATGAAATATTTCTTGCATATAAATTGATACAATGTAAATGAAAGGTGTAACTCCCAGTGTTTTCAACATTAGAAATTTTTCAGCTTCTGTCCTTACTCCTCGTCTTATGTCCAAAACCCTGAATTTGTCTATGTGTGAGGTCGCAAGGAACCAAGTTCCCTTGCTGATTCCAGAGCCATCCTTGCCTCCAGAGATAAGGATCAGGGCATTAGACTCGTCTACTCAGCTTGGTGTCTGCTTTACCCAAACCAGATTAGATGGCCTGTTTGACTCTTCGTTTGCAGGTTGAGTCTGAAGTACCTTATGTGTGAGACAGGCTTTAAAGTTTAATCTTTTGCTTATGAAGTCATCTACCCTTGTTGTCTCAACACAAGACTAGCCTTTCTGTCTCTAAGAGGATGAAGATTATATCTTTCCTTTCCTTTACATCTTAAGCACTTAGAAAAAAGCCTGGTACAAAGTTGGTACATATGACACATTTATCAAATTAAAGAGTAAATTTTGAACCTTTTTATTTCACAGGACCTGACTTTGTTACACAGTTTTGGGGCAGTGAATGAGAGCAAGTTAACTACTGCCTACCAGAATTGCCCCTGCCGCCAACGTTTTATCCCATTTATTTCTGATCCAGCTTTAGAAAATACAGCATTATTATTTATTTGTAATAATTATTATTCCACATATAATTGTTGTAAATATTCTAGGCTCTATGTTGTTAAAGTGAATTCATGCCATTTAAAAATACCAGAACACTGGCTGGGTGCAGTGGCTCATGCTTGTAATCCTAGCACTTTGGGAGGCCGAGGCGGGTGGATCATGAGGTCAGGAGTTCAAGACCAGCCTGGCCAACATGGTGAAACCCCGTCTGTACTAAAAATACAAAAATTAGCTGGACGTGGTGGCAGGCGCCTATAATCCCATCTCCACAGGAGGCTGAGGCAGGAGAATCGCTTGAACCCAGGGGGCAGAGGTTGCAGTGAGCTGAAATCATGCCACTGCACTCCAGCCTGGGCAACAGATTGAGACTCCGTCTCAAAAAAAAAAAAAAAAAAAAAAAAACATCAGAACACACATATACCAACATCAAATGTAAAGCATAATGGCAAAAAAATTTTAGAAGAGAAGGTTCTAGTGGAACAGGGGTAAAGAAGATGATGAGCCATCTAAGAAAGAAAGAACATCAGCATACTCATACTTTAGGGTCCTAATTAAAAGCCAATAAAGTGTTAGCTAGAGGAAGAATTTTTTGATTACATGTGTCATTGCAAGCAGGTGTTCACTATGCCTGAATTCCTGCTACTAAGTATAAGGAATGGGAGAGAATGTTATTTACCCAGAAACACTAATGTCTATAGTTATGTTTTCCCTAATGATAAATCGTTAAGTTCTGTCAATAGGATACTTATTAAAAAAAAAACAAAAACCTAGGTAACGATTTCAGCATTACTTTTTATTACTGCTACCATTAGCTGGCACATTTATAAATTTATTCCATTTTAAAGATACCATATTCCAACTACTGAGTCTGTGAGGTCATCACATGGCTTCTTCTGCCTTTGAAGTGTTTTTAGTCTAGTGGTCGAGACAGATGTGTCGAGATGTGGTAATATTGGCGGCAACATGGTACAAGGCTGTGTAAGACACACTTGGAACACACACAACAGCCAGGGATCTACTGGGGTGGGGCTGTAGGTAAATCAGGGTAAAGGATTTGCCACCAGTTGTGTAAGTACCCTTTCTTGCCCTTAACCAAAAAGTGATTGGTTCCTGAGCTGTCAAAGTAACACAGCCGTAAGCGGTTTACTTAGTGGCAGCTATCAGCATAGCACCCTCCTAAGTCATTTATCTCTTATGCATGGATTTTAGAGTAGAACCTCCAAAGAGAAGGTGACTTCCCTTTACGTTTCTGGTTCCAGGGAGACTAGCCTGTGCTACACTTTCATCCTTGTATCCTCACTCTATCTAGAATGGTACTTTGCATCTTATTGGTGGTGCTCATTGAATGTTTTTAGAGTGAATGAAATTGTTCTAAGAAAATTCACATTATCGGATAAATAATTTGAGGAATTATTGATTTACTTTATAAATATATTCTTTATTTTTTAAAAAGATTTTTATAGAATTAATTGAAACAGCAGCTACCCTGAGTATTATATTTTTTACTAATTTTGATTTTACTAATTCACTTCTTTTCTGGAATTTATTCCAGTGTGTAAGGAAAGCTATGCTTATATAAATACTGCAGATTAATAATACTTGTGATTAAAAGTTCATATTGTAGTCACAGTCAATATTGTTTTGATTGGTTATGTACCAACAAAGTGAATTTCTAACGGTTTTACTTTTTGTTTCAAAATTAAGATACTGTGGAAGGAAGTGATTTAGAAATTGTGATTTTTAACTTGATATTTTCCAAAGAAAGTAATATTTGTTATTACTTGAATTTAACATTTTTTCTGTTAAAGTTTTGTATTAAAATTTTTTATAGTCTTTGGACAGGATAACTTTTTTCGAATGTCATATTTAAGTATCCCTTTTCTTTGTATTATTACTCTGAAGATTGTTGTGAGAATAGATATTTAAACTTTGGTGATCTTTTCAGATACAGTTAAAAAACTCCAGGACCAAAAGCACGACATGGAAAGAGAAATAAAGACACTCCACAGAAGACTTCGGGTAGGATAAATCTTCATGTATTGTCTTGTTAGAAAACGGTTTTCTGAAATCTGAGGTGTAGTCATTGACCATGTTATCATTCATCTTAAGTTTTGGATACAGTGATAATACTGGCCCCATTGGGCTTTGGGCAGAAAGCAAATGCTATCATTTCAAATTGGGATTGGTGCTAGATTTTGGGTAGAAGAATGTACTATAGGTTGAGTACCCCTAACCAGACATTCTGAAATCTAAAATATTCCAAAATTTGCAACTCTTGGAGTGATGGCATGATACTCAAAGGAAATGCTTATTGGAGCATTTTGGATTTCGGATTTTCAGATTTGGGATGCTTAGCTGTTAAGTATAGTGCAAATATTCCAAAATCCAAAGAATCTTAAATCTGAAATGCTTTTGGATAAGTGATACTCGACCTGTAGAAATTTATGGGTAGTAATTTTAGAAAGATAGATTTGGGGAAAAAGTGTAAGAAAGGTTATTAGCTTTTGGTTATAAGGTGCCCCAAACTAGTCTGTTTTCATACAAGTTTTCTTCATTTTGTGGCCATGATCCATCTTGCCAACAGCAATGCAGCCATGCTGCAGGGAGTAGGGAGAAAGCTACTCAGTCGTTTGGGTCATACCACAGTTGCTCAGGCTGCTTTCATGGTGTAAGAAAATTGCTTTAGGGGTGTAGGGGGCGTGGGGCTCAGGCATGCCCCAGCTATGGCTCTGATGGAGGTGAGTCCCAGGGAGACTTCCCCACCCGGCCACACCCGCATCCTCCATGACTGTGGGAAGCAACAGACCACGTAGTTCCTTACCGCCTCTTTGTATAATTTTGCCTGCCTATATTGAGTTTAGTGTTTTTCTTCTGGCTTCCTCTTCCTCTTCCTTTTCTTTTGATTTTTTTTTTTCCTGTTAGATTTTGATGTCAGGCTATTTATAGTTTTTCACTGTATGGTTCACATACCATTTATATACCTTTTTGTGCTTTTCAGAGGTAAACATCCATAAATTCTGGATGATGTTTATTTTCATAAGACTTGCTTTGAAACTTGCATGAAGAAGGGAAGCTTGACATTATTATCATTAATATCTGTTGAGCACTCTGAGTACTTGATGCCTCAGTAGGCAGATCAGCTGGAAAATCTTTTCCTTATTAAGAACAAGTTCACTAATAATAGTTGCATTGCCTGTTAGAAATAGATACTAGCAATTCTCTGGGATTAAAAAAATTAATCATCATTTGGAAGCATTAGTGCATTATAGCAATCCAATCATAAACAAATTTTATTGCTTTTAAATAAATCTTGATTGCTCTCTTTTGGAAATAAAAAGTTAGTTTTTTAATATAGGAAGAATCTGCGGAATGGCGGCAGTTTCAGGCTGATCTCCAGACTGCAGTAGTCATTGCAAATGACATTAAATCTGAAGCCCAAGAGGAGATTGGTGATCTAAAGCGCCGGTTACATGAGGCTCAAGAAAAAAATGAGAAACTCACAAAAGAATTGGAGGAAATAAAGTCACGCAAGTAAGTTCTGAGAAACCTGTTGTGTACTTATGTTTCAGTAGAGAACACTTAAATCCCAATTTTTGATGTGGTGCTATGGAAAAAATGTGGAGTTTGATACTTACTGAGTTTGGATCTGATGGAAGTTACTCAGCTTTTCTGGGCCTCATTTTATGGCACATGTAAACTAGTACCATCTATGTGGATCTTTCAGAGTTGTCAGTATCAGTGATCCCCAACTCTGGAGGGAGCCAGGATGGTCTCTCACATGATTCTCCTTTCCCCCAGACCCACAGTCCAGCCCTGTTAATTTTCTTTAGATTGTAGCCTCATGATTAATGATGTGGACTCTGGAGACAGATATTCTTGGCTCGTGTCCAGCTCTGCCTCTTACTAGCTGTAATCTTGGTCAGGAATCTTGACTTCCCTGAGCCTCAGTTTTCTCATCTTTAAAATGACACAATACTACCTGCCTTACAGTGTTGTCATAAGGATTAAATAAGATAATGCCTGCCAAGTGCTCAGGGCAATGATCAGTATACTTTAGCTGGTATTTTTGGAGACCCAAGTAAAGAATGCAAAGTGAGTTTCTCTCTATCACTTACTTGAGGAATTTTCACTTGTTTTATCTTATAATTGCATGAATCTCCACAGTAGGTTTTTTTTCCCCATGTAACATAGACATCATTGGAAACTGATGAAAATTATTAGATGAAATGACAGTTGTGACATGTGAGCTCCACACTGAGACTCCATCTAAGAGTAGGGGATAGTATTTTTGTGTTTGAGGTTATTACTAAGAATTTGATTATTCCTTAGTTTGAGTAATTATTAAGTGGGCATAGGAAGAAATTTAGAAAACTAACAGTATATCTTTAAAAAATGGTCTTATCATTGCCTTGCTCTAGTAAATGGCTCAGAGAAAAGTATTGCTAAGCATTTTTCATTGGATTCCTTAAGCAGAACATGGAATGAGACAGATTATTGTTTCTCTACTAGTATAAAACATGTATTACATTACTTTTTTCTCTTTATTATTAAACGAATAACATATCAGAAATGCTTCATTCTATAGTTATCCTGAGTGAATGAAATTCTACTGTTAAAGTTTCATTCCTTTGGATCTCAAAAATTCATAAGACTTTGAGACACATGTTTTTAAAATGCTTTCTGAAAGAGGTAGCATCTTGTAGGACAGTGGTTCTCAGAGTGAGGCCTGCAGATTCCTGGGTGTCCCTAAGGCCCTTTAAGGACTCTGTGAGGTCATACTGTCTTCATAATACCATCACATTGTTTGCCCTTTTCACTGTGTTGACTTCTAAACTGTTAGTGAAAAGCAAGTGTAAACTGTTGATGAACCAAGGTCTTGGCAATAAATTGCACTCATAGTCATTATACTCTTCACCACCACATACTTGATTTTTTTTTAATGTAGGTTTCACTTAAAGATGTCCTTGGTAAAACATTAAATTATTAATTTTACTAAATCCCAGTCCTTGAGTACACTCTTTAGCATTTTGTGTGACAAAATGGGAAGTACAGAAAAAGCACTTCTGCTTTATGTGCTATACTCAAGACTATACTGAAGAGTGAGGTCACGTTGAGGAAAGTGCTGTGATTAGTTTGAGCTGCTTTCTTTTTTCATGGAATGCCATTTTTTTACTTGAGAATGACAGACAAACTGTGCATCATTCAGACTTTGGTATTATTTGGTGGGTATTTTGTGAAAACAGTTAAGACAGCCTATCACTTAAAGGAAAACAACTGACAGTATTCGTTGCCAGTGATAAAATGTGGGCTTTGAAGTGAATGTTAGGATTTTGGAAAATTTGTTATTTACCATTGGTGAGTTTGGCAGCTTCCCATAAAGTGTCTTCTGATGAGATCATTGCGACTTAAAAAAAATGTATAATGACAGAATTTAGAAAATCTGTCTAATTCAGTGAACCAGTATTTTCCTTACAGCCAGTCTGTGATGTTAAACAAGATTGACCAGTGGATTTTAATGGGCAGAATAGGAAAAGTTCACTTATATGGTTTCAGATTCCACATTGGAGCTAACTTTTAAGTTACTACTTGTTGCATTTTAGTGCAGTTATCAAAGAAGAACAGCTACAGTTATCTAAAAGGCCTATTAAAATCTTCCCTTTTCCACCTGCCTTATCTATGTAAGACTTGCTTTTTTTATATCAAAATAGGTTGAATACAGAAGAAATGAGAGTTTAGCTGTTTACTCTTAAGCCAGACATTAAAGAGATGATTTAAAAATGCAAAGCCCTGTTACTCTTCTTACTAATTTTTTTTTTTGGTTTTGGAAAACTTAGTTATTTTTCATAAAAATATATTAGCCCTGTATTTATTTTTATTTTTAGATGATTAAATATTTGTATATATTCTTAGTTTTAATGTAATGGAAGACAGCTCTTATAAACAAAAGCTTTTTGGGGTCCTTACTCATTTTTAGGAGTAGAAAGGGGCTCTAAGACCAAAAAGTTTGATAGTCACTGTTATAGATTCTTTATTAAAAGTTCTAATCAGCCGGGCGCAGTGGCTCATGCCTGTGGTCCCAGCACTTTGGGAGGCCTAGGTGAGCGGATCACCTGCGGTCAGGAGTTTGAGACCAGCCTGACCAACGTGGAGAAACCCAATGTCTACTAAAAATACAAAATTAGCCGGGGGTGGTGGCACATGCCTGTAATCCCAGCTACTCGGGAGACTGAGGCAGGAGAATCACTTGAACCTGGGAGGTGGAGGTTGCGGTGAGCCGAGATGCGCCACTGCACTCCAGCCTGGACAACAAGAGCGAAACTCCATCTCAAAAAAAAGAAAAGAAAGTTGTAATCATGACAGCTAAATGACCTTAAGAGCCTGTGGTACATCTTGAGGCAAAATACTGTCAGAAGCCAAATGGCCACCAAAGACGGATTTTTCCTAAGGACTGGCTTAATTTTTATTCACATACTTGATAGTTATATGACATATACAAACTCTGCAATTGTAATCTCATTCCAGATGAAATAATTCTGTGTTAGTCAGCGTAGTGAATTTAGAATGGGCCAGAAATGAAATGGAATTGATTTTTTCAAATGACTCAGGATGCATCACACTGAGCTTCTAGGGGACTCATGTTACTAATATGGGTCTAGGCTTTTTTTTTTTTTTCTTTGTAGAATTCTATTTGAAGTCTACACCACTTGCCTTGTTTTTATTTTTATTTTTTTAAAGAGTGTGGGCTAAGCATGATGTATTAGCTGGAGCCAGTATAAATTAATATTATACCAGTATAAATTAATATTATATAGTTATCAGGTACTGGTGAACCTCCAGACTCCTGAGAAGGGCCTTCTCGGCAGCACAGGACCTGGAGAGTCTCAGCTCTGAGCCAGTCTACCTCCTTTTTTACTGCTAATTGATTACTGATGTCCTTACCTTACACTTACTCAGATGAAAATGGAATTTGATGGTTGCTTAACTTACTTAGGATAACCTGATATAAAAATTTCAGTATCATTTCCTGGTATTTACCAAGCAAATGAGAACATTAGACCAGGTAATTTACTAAGCTCAACTGATACAATTTTTTTAAACTGATAGTTTTTTGTTGTTTTTTTTTTTTTTTTGAGATGGAGTCTCGCTCTTTTGCCCAGGCCGGACTGCAGTGGCACTATCTCGGCTCACTGCAAGCTCTGCCTCATGGGTTCACACCATTCTCCTGCCTCAGCCTCCCAAGTAGCTGGGAGTACAGGCGCCCACCACCGTGCCTGGCTAATTTTTTGTATTTTTAGTAGAGATGGGGTTTCACCGTGTTAGCCAAGATGGTCTCGATCTCCTGACCTCGTGATCCTCCTGCCTCGGCCTCCCAAAGTGCTGGGATTACAGGTGTGAGCCACCGTGCCCGGCCATTAAACTGATAGTTTTTAATGCCTTTCAGCTGGGAGGGGAAAATGTGTATGTTCTAGTACCTATGTAAAAATGCTCTGATTTCAATATTATTTTCAGGCAAGAGGAGGAGCGAGGCCGGGTATACAATTACATGAATGCCGTTGAGAGAGATTTGGCAGCCTTAAGGCAGGGAATGGGACTGAGTAGAAGGTCCTCGACTTCCTCAGAGCCAACTCCTACAGTAAAAACCCTCATCAAGTCCTTTGACAGTGCATCTCAAGGTAATTAATTTCTCCTACATTGTGCCTACTGCATGCGGTTGTGTTCACTTACCTTATATTCTCTGGTCTGATTTGGTATTCTTTACTGTCTTACTCTTAGTCCCATTAACTTTCATATAGTATTAATGCACTAGACTTAACAGAAGGTGATATTTAATAGAAGGTTTGAGATCTCTTCAGCTTCAGAGGTGTTAGTCTTAGACAGAAGCCTGAATCCCATGCAGAGATGTGTCTTCTCACCCTCGGTGGATCACACACATTCCTGTTACTTTAAGTATGTTTTCTATGCCTGAGAACTTCCAGATGTATAACTTTAGCTCTTCCCTTCCTCTGAACACCTCAGTCATGTCTATCCAGATGCCTACCTGACATGGACCCTCAGGTGTCTCCTGGACATCTGAAGTCCAAAAACCAAACTCTTGTCTGCCATCTTCAGCCTTCTCCCCATGCATCAATGGCAGCATCACTCTACCCAGTTACTTAAGCCAAAAGTCTGGGGATCTTCCTTAATTTCTTGTTCTTTCTTACCACTACATCTAGTCCATTACTAGCAAATTCTGTTGATACAGCCTACATCATGGATATCTTTGCTTTGTCTTCTCTCCATCTCTAGCGGCACAAGCTTTAGTTCAAGCCACCATCAACCACTAATTTCAGTAACCTCCAAATTAATCTCCCTGTTTCATCCCATGATAAAAAGATCTTTTCTTGTTTAAAATCCTTCGGTTGCTTATTATAGTTGAAATGAAATTCAGATTCCCAAATGCCTCCATGGTCTGACCCCTGCCTACTCTTTGCCTCAGTTGAACCACTCTTCCCCCACTCACTATAGTCCTACACAGCACTTCAGGTTCTGAATCAAGCTGGGCTTTCTTTCATACAAGCTCTAGAAGGCTTACTCTTCCCACTTTCAAATGACTGACTTGTTTTCATCTAACTTCCTCAGCTCTGGGAAAGGAAAAGGGATGTGGTTTTTTCAAACAGTTAATTGTAATATGTCCAGAAGCTCAAATTTTTATCTAGAAATTCTTTAAACTTTATTAACAGGCTACTAGAATCTGTATTCTGTGATTATACACAAATGAGTTTTCATTGACTTTAAAAGCAGAGCAAAAGTCACATGTATACTCCTACACACTGTTGGTGTAGACATTCTGGAGGACTGTTAGGCAACACCTTCCAGTTTAAAATGCCGTATTCATAGACTCTGAAGTTGTTATACTTAGTACTGGCACAAGTATTATGCATAAAGATGGTATTATACATAGTACCATCTTTATATGTATTATGTATAATATAAGATAGTGTTATGTATAATACTATCTTTACAGACTCTGAAGTTGTTATACTTAGTACTGGCACAAGTATTATGTATAAAGATAGTATTATGTATGAAAAACTCTTATGTGTATGTATACATATGTATACATATACAGAGTTTTCAGTATAGCATTGTTTGGAAAAATGGAACACCTAGAAATTGTTTAAATACCTACTAAAAGAATTAAGACAGTTATGACCAATTAATACAGTAAAATAATATGCATATTTTAATAAGGATGACATAGATCTCAAAGTACTGATGTTAAAACATGTCTGTGATCCTTTATTCAAGTGTGCCACCTGAGCAGTCGCTCTGTGCGCTGCAATCCTTTATAGTAAATTGCAGGCCAGTACATATATATATATATGTATATATCTATATATACCTATATGTGTGTGTGTACATATATAGTGTGTGTGGTCTTGTTTTTTTAAGGTACTTAGATAACTAAATGTTTTTGCATTTAAAGTGCAAGAAAGATGTACCCAGAACTGTTGTTAGTGGCCACCTCTGGGTAATATGATGGGGTAAGATGAAAGGAGAACTTTAAAATATATATGCTTTGAGCTGACAAGTGCCTGTAGTTCCAACTACTTATGAGGCCGAGGTGGTAACATGCTATCACCACACCTGTTAATAGCCACTGTACTCTAGCCTGGACAACAGAGCAAGACTCTGTCTCTAAAGAATAAAATATATATATGCTTTGAAAATCAAATTGATAATGGAATGTCTACATTAAATTAAAATTATACACCTATTCAAAATGTTAATAAAGCATGCTTTAATGCACAAAACTGCTTCATACTAATGTTTTTTAAAAGCCTCATGTTATTTTATAATAAAATATATGTAAATGACCCAGCAATTCTACTCCTAATTATATATTCAAAAGAACTGAAAATAGATAATCAGACAAATACAGTCCCTGACTTAACGATGCTTTAACTTTTGATTTTTTGACTTTACAGTAGTGCCAGCGATACACATTCAGTACAGCATTCAGTAATTTAAATGAGTTATTCAACATAGCCATTTATTATAAAATAGGCTTCATGTTAGATGATTTTGCCTAACTGTAGGCTAATGTAATGTTTTGATCTTGTTTAAGGTAGGCAAGGTTAAGCTGGGATGTTCGGGAGGTTAGGTGTATTAAATGCATTTTTGACTTGCTTATGATGGGTTTATCAGGACATAACTCCATCATAAATCAAGAAGCATCTGTGCTTGTACATAAATGTTCGTAGCAGCTCTGCTCACAATAGCTAATAGATGGAAGTAACCCAAGTATCCATGCATTCGATGAATGGATAAACAAAATGTGGTATATTCATACAATGGAATATTATTCAGCCACAAGAAGGAATGAAGTAGTAACACATACTTTAACATGGATGAATCTTTACAACATTATGTTAATTGAAGGAAGCCAGATACAACAGGTCACATATTGTAAGATTCCGTTTATATTAAATATTCACACTAGGTCAGTCCATAGAGACAGAAAGCAGATTGCCATACGCTGGCGGGACAGTGGATGGGAAGTGACTATTGGGATACTAGGTTTTCTTTTGGAATTATGAAATGTTTTGTAACTAGGTAGAGGTGATGGTTGCATAATATTTTGAATGCACTAAATGCCACAGAACTGCACATTTTTAAACGGTTAACTTTATGTTTTGTGAATTTTGTCTCAGTACATAAGAATACATCTAAAGATATCAATTCTAAATATAAGTAAATATATTCGTGTTTATATTGGCTGCATTAAAAAAGTCCACAGTGGTCTGCTTCATCTTTCCACACTGTGTGTTTGTATCCCATTTTTAATTTAATTCAGCATCAAATGAATAATCATTTTTGCAGCCTTTACCAGAATCTGTGCTATGCTCAACTGTTTAGATATTAATAAATTCTAAAAACATAAACTACTTTTCAGCAGTTTATTATAGAGAGAGAGAGACTGATATGCCAACAAGTGATTCCACATCCCTGCATTAAATACAAATCAGAAAATATATGCGAAGTGATGGACTCTGCAGGAGGAATTGAGGAAAGACAAGCAGAAGCAGGAGTTCCTCATTCTTTTGTTTAATATGCAACTATTGAACATCCTTTACCTGCCAGGCTTCTTACCTGATATAGTTATGTAAATACTCCTCTTGGGTTTTACTACTTGAATTTCATTGCTTTATGGAGCACTTTAACTACATAACATAATTAAATAACAAAAACGAAATGACTGCCATAACAAGGGTTAGAAATAAGCATGACTACTCTACAGATGCAAATAATTCACCTGATGGGAGGAAAAGCACCTGTGTGCTAAGACATGGCTACAAGTGTTCAGCAGAGGCTAGACATCAGCCAAGACAGTGTCCAGCGGGGTTTGAGAGCATTGGGTAATCAGGCGAGTCCTTAAGTGGAGACCAGTTAAGCTTCCACTGTACAGTGACATTATTTCCCTTTTTGTTTGTTGTTTTTGTAGTACCAAACCCTGCTGCAGCTGCAATTCCTCGAACGCCCCTGAGCCCAAGTCCTATGAAAACCCCTCCTGCAGCAGCTGTGTCCCCTATGCAGGTGAGTGCCTGGAACCACAGGAGGCTCTTAGAGCCTCAGAATCTGAAAGTTGAGGCCTTTTCTTCACAGTCATTTACACCTGTATTAGTTGGGTAAATGACTACCTCAGCAGGGATGTATCTAGAATTTGTTTCCTAAAATACTATAAATATCTTTAATAGAGATAAATTATATAAGTGTAAATTGTGTTATTCTGATAGACTCTAATAATGATGGCTAACAACAGTTGAACACTTGCTATGTGTTCTACACTGTTCTGAATACTTTATAATGTTAACTCATTTAATCCTTACAACTCTTGGGTATTAGGTACTGTTCTTATCTGTATTTTTCACATGTGGTTACTGAGGCCCAGAAAGGTTAAGTAACTTGCCGAGGTTCATGCAATTAAGTGGTAGAGTAGGGGTTCAGAGTTAGGCTGTCTGGATTCAGTGACTTTAGTCACTACACTAAGACACAAAGGTGTCTCTTGAGTAGAATATGTGGTTGCCATGTCTCAGCCTTTACTGCATAGCAAATCACTTCAGAACTTAGTGGCTTGAAAGAACAGTTTTGTTAGTTTTCACATTTCTCTGAGTTGACTAGGCAATTCTTTGCTGGCTTTCCTGGGCTCATTCCTGCAGTTGAATTCACAGAGAAGGTGGGATGGGGCCTGGGCTCAGCAGGATTCCTGGGCTGCTTTCTTCATGTGATTTGTCTTCTCAGGCTCCTTCACAGCATGGTTATCTCCAGCTCCAAGAGACTGAAAATGAAAGTTAGCAAAGCCTCTGAAGACCTAAGCTTGGAACTTGGACAGTGACACTTCTGTCCTGCTATTTTAATCCAAGCAAGTCACAGGGCAGCTGCGATTCAGAGTGGAAGGGGTGCACAAGGCATGAATTCAGAGAAGCATGATTCATGAGGGCTGTTTTGTAACAGGTCCGGCACAGGTCATTATTGATACATTAGAAACAAGTTTTAAAAGTTGCTCCTCCGTGCCATTGTGGAATGCAGATGAGAAGCGGGGCAGAGGGCTATTCAGTAGTGCTCAAGAGGCCGCTCATTGTGCATTTTATTCAGCCGCTTTTGGACAGTATAGTTGAGGCGGAGTATTTCCACATAGGTGAGAGTAGCCAAAGGAAACATTGCCTAAACCCCATTATCCTGTGATAAAGGGTAGCCCTGGCTGCACCTCTTCCCTAAAATAATGGTGTTGGGGAGCATTTTCGAGTTGAGACATTTGTGCTGTGTTTACTAGTGTGCTCCCTCCGCATTTATATTGTGAGTTCGTGGCTTTGCATTTGCATGTATATACAAGATGTTATGTCCTTTTTTTTTTACCCCGAAACGGGGTCTCCCTCTGTCACCCAGATTGGAGTGTAGTTGCATGATCTCGGCTCACTGCACAACCTCTGCCTCCCAGGCCCAACCAGTCCTCCCACCTCAGCCTCCCAAGTAGCTGGGACCACAGGCGTGCACCACCATGCCTGGCTGTTTTCTGTGTTTTTGGTAAAGACAGGGTTCTGCCACGTTGCCCAGGCTGGTCTTGAGCTCCTGAGCTCAGGTAATCCACCTGCCTGGTCCTCCCAAAGTGCTGGGATTACAGACATGAGCTACCACGCCTGACATTATGTCGTAATTTAAAAAGAAGGGAAGGGAATACTGTTCCACCAATTTAATGACCTTTTTTTTTTTTTTTTTTTTTTTTTTGAGACGGAGTCTCACTCTGTTGCCCAGGCTGGAATGAAATGGCATGATTTCGGCTCACTGCAACCTCCACCTCCTGGGTTCAAGTGATTCTCATGCCTCAGCCTCCAAGTAGCCAGGATTACAGGTGTGCACCACCACACCCAGCTAATTTTTGTATTTTTAGTAGAGACGGTTTTAACCACGTTGGCCAAGCTGGTCTCAAATTCCTGACCTCAAGCAATCTGCCCTCTTCAGCCTTCCAAAGTGCTGGGATTACAGGCGTGAGCCACTGTGCGCAGCTGATTTAATGCTTTTTTTATGTGCTCTCTATTAATCAAACTTCATCTAAAATTCTGAAAATATAGATAAAAGCAAAATAAAGATGCCAAATGTAATAAACTTCAAATAAGATGAACTTTAAGTGGTGTTTATCAGTTGACGTTTAATGTATGAGGCATCACTTTGTAAATCTTTGTAAAGATAGGAGGTGAAAAATATTTCTACAAGTTGCAAAAAACTAATACTTATGAGCTACATTCAGTAGCTTTTTAGTACATGATTAGTTAGTACAGTGCGTCTCAAACCTAATCGTATATAAAAATCATGTGGAGAGTTTTTAAACAGGTAAAATTCCCAGACCTCATCCTGGTAAACCATAATCTCTGGGGACTGGGGCCTAAGCTTGGGATTGTTAGTTTTTCAAAACTCCCTGGGTAGGAATTCTACTTCTAGCTATGTGGGAGTAACAGGCTGGATTATTCTGCCATCACAAACAACGATTAATAGAAAGATGGACAAAATATAAGAAACAATTATTTTCAGACATTGTACGTAACTGTGATCCCTGAACAAAAATTTTAAAATGAGGTAAGTCCTACTGTGGCCCACAGTCTTTTCCTGGAGGCAATTTCCAGGTGGTGGTGCAGGGAAGATGAACCTACATGGAGCAGGGAAGAGAAAACCAATTGGATCTGAGTAGACACAAATCAACATTCAAGGAGAAGGCGACTGCTCGAATTTGCAGGGCAGATACTGGGAGGAGGGAGCTGCATAGAGAAAGGAGTATAGAAATCTGCGTAGGCATCCCTTTGAGTCTTTTCCTGAATACCAACCTGCACCTGCATTGGGTGAAACCCCACAAGGATAATTTTCCAGGAACAGCCCCGCAAGAATAATTTTCCAGGAACAATTTCCAGGAACAGGGAGCTATCACACAAACACTTCTGGTAGCTCACCTAGGGCAGGAAATCATTTGAGTTCCCACCAGCCGCTGTGGAGACACCTCTTTGAATAGATGGCATTCATTATAGACTCCTAAAGGACCACACCTGAAAGTATCATAGAACTAAATACCCTCAGAGTAAATAGTATTCTAGATCTGCCGTAAAAGATCTTTAAAAATAAGATGCAGAAGGACCAAGGAGATCCTTAAGTAGCTATAGTAGGCAGCCTCTAAAATGTTCCCCAGCGATCCCCCATTGGTGGTAGTTGCTCCTTGTGTAATTTGCTCCTGTTGAGTGTTGGCTGCAGCTCGTGATTTGCTTCCAGTGAATATGGCAAAGCAAAAGAAGTGGTGGGATAAGGTTATCACTGCTAAAATCGTTACAAAAAGCTTTGCTTCTGCCTTGAATGTTCCTCTTGCTATCACTTAGAGCCACCTACTCCAGGGAATCCCAGTTCCCATGTTGTGAGCCAGCCCTGCAGAGAGGCCCACATTAGGAAGTGTGGGAACAGATCTTCTGAAGCTTGCCAGCAGCCATGTAGATGAGCTTGGAAGCAGATCTTCGATCCTCGAGATAACTGCAGCCCTGCTGACAACCTGATTGCCTCCTCGTGCTAGACCTTGAACCAGAGGCACTCCGCTAAGCTTTCTGACCCACAGAAACTATGAGATCATAAATGGATTGTTTTAAGCCACTAAAGATTTGAAGTAATTTGTCATGCAGCATAGGTAACTAATACAGTAGTGTACTTATTTGCCAAAGTAATAATTTTTAAAGGAATACAGCAAAATATAAGACTCCATCATAATCTGGCATGCAATAAAAAATTACTAGACAATGAAGAAGCAGGAAAATGTCACCTATAACCAGGGGAAAAATCAGTCAATAGATGCAGACCTAGAACGGATAGAAATGATAGGATTAGCATGCAGCAATGTAAATATGATCTCTGCTTAAGTATGTGAAGGGAAGCATGCACAGATGAAGAGAGAAGTGAAAGATATGAAAAAGAATAGAGGAGGCCAGGTATGGTGACTCACGCCTGTAATCCCAGCACTTTGGGAGGCCAAGGCAGGTGGATCACCTGAGGTCAGGAGTTCAAGACCAGCCTGGCCAACATGGCGAAACCCCATCTCTACTAAAACTACAAAAAAATTAGCCAGGCACGGTGGTGTGTGCCTGTAATCCCAGCTACGCAGGAGGCTGAGGCAGAAGAATCGCTTGAACCCAGGAGGGGGAGGTTGCAATGAGCTGAGATTGTGCCATTGCACTCCAGCCTGGGCTACAGAGCAGGACTCCATCTCAAAAAAAAAAAAAAAAAAGAAATAGAGGAAAAGATCAGTATGTTTGAGGACATAGCAGTAGAATCTGTCCATAATGAGTAACAGAGAGGTAAAAAGACTGGGGAAAAAAATAAACTGAAGCCCTGACTTGTGGGATGAAATTAAGTGGTCCTACATACCTGAAATTGGAGCCCAAGAAAAAAAGGCGGGTCGGGGGGCAGAGTGGGAAGTGTGTCTGAAAAAAACATTTGAAGAAATAGGCTGGGCGCAGTGGCTCACGCCTATAATCCCAGCACTTTGGGAGGCTGATGTGGGCAGATCACCTGAGCTCAGGAGTTTGAAACCAGCCTGGACAACATGGCGAAACCCTGTCTCTACTAAAAATACAAAAAATTAGACAGGCATGGTGGTGTGTGCCTGTAGTCCCAGCTACTTGGGAGGCTGAGGCAGGAGAACCACTTTAACCCGGGAGGCAGAGGTTGCAGTGAGCTGAGATCGCACCACTGCACTCCAGCCTGGGCGACACAGGGAGACTCCATCTTAAAAAAAATTCTTTTTTTGAGGAAATAATAGCCAAAATCCATCCAAATTTGATGGAAATTATATACTCATAGATCCAAGAAAATCAGGAAGCTAAAGCAAGACAAGCGTATATAAACATACAAACACCCTCATCCCCATGCCCATTAAGGCATTGCTGAAAAACAGTGATAAGAAACTCTTAAGGACAGGCAGGTGAGAATGATCACAGACTTCTAGTTAGAAACTGTGCAAGTCAGAAGACAACAAAATGGTTGTGTTTTTTTTTTGTTTTGTTTTGTTTTTTTGAGATGGAGTCTAGTTCTGTCGCCCACGCTGGAATGCAGTGGCGTGACCTTGGCTCACTGCAACCTCTGCCTCCTGGGTTCAAGTGATTCTCCTGCCTCAGCCCCCTGAGTAGCTGGGACTACAGGTGCGTACCATGGTGCCTGGCTAATTTTTGTATTTTTAGTAGAGATGGGGTTTCTCCATGTTGCCCAGGCTTGTCTCAAATTCCTGGACTCAGGTGATTCACCTTCCTCGGCCTCCCAAAGTGAGCCACTGTGCCCAGCCCAAAATGGCATCCTCAAATGCTGAAAGAAAAACCCTGTCAACTTAGAATTCTGTGTATTTAAAAAAAAAAAGTAAAAGTAAAATTATTTAGGCAAACAAAAGCTGAGGGAATTCATTATCCACAGACAGTTGGGGGAAAGTGAATGAGGAGTATATGGGACTTTGCTGTACTATCTTTACAACTTCCTGGGAATCCATAATTATTTCAGAATAAAAGTTTAAAATAAAAAGGCTTCCCACATAGAAAACTCCAGGCCCAGGTGGTTTTACTAGTGAATTGAATCAATCCTTTGTGGAAGAAATAATTCCAATTGTATATAGTCTTTCAGAAAACAGAAGAGTAAAAGGACTTTCCAGTTCATTTTAGGAAGCTAGCATTACCTGATAGCAAAACCAGACAAAGACATTGCAAAAAAAGAAAATGGCTAGCCAGTATTCCTCATGATTATAGATGGTTATAGATGCAATATAAAAGCACACATTAACAAAACTGAATCCAGCAATATATAAAAACGACAATCCATCATTACCAAGTGTGATGTATCCCAGGGGTGCAAGGTTAAAATTTACCTCAACACAATAAAAGAGGGAAAAAAAATTAAAAAAAAAAACATTAATCTCAACGTATTTAGAAAACTATTTGACAAAATTTTACATCCATTCATAGTAAAACTCTTTAGCAAACTAGAAATAGAAGGAGACCTGTGGGAACTCCACAGCTAACGTCATACTTAATCTGGAGACTGAATGCTTTCCCACCAGGATCAGGAGCAAGGTAAGGATACCCACTGTCACCACTTTTGTTCAGCATTTTGCTGGAGCTCTTACCCTGTGCAATTGCATAAGACCAAAAAAAAAAAAAAAAAAGAAAGAAAAGCATACAAGTTTGGAAAGGGTAAAGTAAAACTGTCATTATTTGCAGATAACATGATCATTTATGTAGAAAATCCTAAGGAGTCCACACAAAAGCTTTTTGAGTTGAGCAGTGTCAAGGTTTACACGAGGTCCTATACAAAAGTTATTTGTTTTTCTGTATATTAGCATGAATAATTGGAGATTGAAATACTTAGCAATAAATATAATGAAATGTATGCACAACCTGTGCAATGAAAACAATAAAATATTGCCGAGAAAAATTGAATAAATAGAAAGTGATGTCATTTATAGATTGGAAGACTCAATATCATTAATATCTTGTAGTAGTCTTTTAAATTGGTCTGTAGATTCAACACAATACCAATTAAAAGAGCAGTGCTCTTTGGGTAGAAATTGACATGGTAGTATTAAGTTCATATGGAAATGCAAGATCCCTGAATATTCAAAACATTGTTGTGGTCGGGGGGGTGCGGGTGGAGGACAAATTTGGAGGACTTGTACTACCTGATTTCAACATTAGATCAGTAGAACAGAGAGTTCAGAAGTAGGCCAGTCGATTTTCTACAAAGATACCAAAGTAATTCAATCGGTAAGGAATAGTTTTTTGAAGAAAAGATTCTGAAATGACTAGATAACTGTATAGAAAAAAAAATAACCTCAGCCCGTACCTTATGAAATACACAAAATTTGAAATGGACTATCAACCTAAATGTGAAAGCTAAAACTATAATTTTTACATGAGAACATGAGAGAAAATCTTCATGACTTTTAAGACTGCAAACATTTATTAAGATATAAAAAAGCATGAACTATAAAAGCAAGTTGATAAATTAGGCAACTTAAAACTTAAAACTTCTCTGAAAGACGTTAAGAAAATACAAAAAGCAAGCTACAGACTGGGGAGAATGTATTCATAATACATTTACCTAACAAAGATTTACATTCAGTAAGAAGACAAACAACCCAATAAATAATGGGCTAAGATTTGAGAAGATCCTTCCAGGAGAAGAATACAAATGGCCAATGGCACATGAAAAGATGATCAACATCATTAGTCATCAGGAAAATGGAAATTAAATCCACAATGAGATCCTATTCTATATTCTTCCAAATGGCCAAAATCTAAAAGGCTGACGATCTGAAGTGTGGTAGGGATGTGGAGAAGCTGGACCTTGTCCACATTTCTGATGGGAATATGAAATAAATAGAAGTTAGCCAGATAAAAAGGGCTGGGCGAAATCTGTGGGAGTGAAGCACAAGAAAAACATAGACAAGCAACGTGGTCTGCATGATAGTAAATAAGTAGGTTGGTGGTGTTTGAGCATCATGTAGAGGTGGCAGGAGAGCTGAGGGGTTTTAAGTGTTCATGGTGGATTCTTTCTGTTTTTTTTGTTTTTTTTTTTTTGAGATGGAGTCTCACAATGTCACCCGGGCTGGAGTGCAGTGGCGCGATCTCGGCTCACTGCAACCTCCGCCTCTCGGCTTCAAGTGATTCTCCTGCCTCAGCCTCCCAAGTAGCTGAGATTACAGGCGCCTGCCACCACGCCCAGCTAATTTTTTGTATTTTTAGTTGAGACGGGGTTCCACTATATTGGCCAGGCTGGTCTCAAACTCCTGAGATCATGATCCGCCCACCTCAGCCTCCCGAAGTGCTGGGATTAAGGCATGAGCCACTGCGCCTGGCCGTGGTGGATTCTTCTGGCTGCCTGCATATGCAGAAGTCTGGCGATGATGCCAGTGACAAGCCATTGCTGTAGTGCTGCACTGAGATGACAGGCTGTACTGGGCAGTTGTTGTAGCATTAGCAAGCGGGTGGCAGAATTGAGATTTATTTGAACCAGGACTTGAATGGTCAGTACAATTACAAAAGGAGCACATCTGCATTTTATTTTGGAACATGTTTTTGTATTTACTGAATTGGTTTGTGATACTTTAAAGATTCTCTTCCAACAAAATAATGAAACCACATTCAGAATACCAGTGGTTGCCAGAGGTCAGTGATAGGGGGTTGGGGACGGGAAGAGGGGTGTGACTGTAAAAGGGCCCCAGGAAGGATCCTTATGGTGATGGAAATGTTCTTTATCTTGACTGTATCAGTAACATATAAATGACTATATAAGATAATGACTATATCAGTATTTGGCTAATGTCAAAATCCTGCTGGTGGTATTTTACTATAGGTTTGTAAGATATTACCGTTGGGGGAAACTGAGTAAAGAGTACGTAGGATCTCTTTATATTCTTAAAACTGCATATGAGTCTATAATTACCCCATAATAAAAAGTCTAATTTTTAAAAAAAGTATATTGATCACAGTCCATGCCTGTAAGGTGTGTTACAACCTTACTATAGCAGTATGGAAAGAATTAATACGGATTTATAACTAAATATCTACTCTGTGCGGCATTTACTTTGTGAGTCCAAACAGTCATTTTAACTTTGATGTTGTTTATCTTATGATTTCAGAGACATTCCATAAGTGGACCAATCTCAACATCCAAACCCCTGACAGCCCTGTCAGATAAGAGACCAAACTATGGGGAAATCCCTGTTCAAGGTACGTGTAATATGCCATAGCATTTCACCTTTTTTTCAATTTTTGAATTGTTCTGGCTTTTTTGGCAAACTAAATATTTTCTTTGCTCTTGATACTATTTCAATCAATCTGGTATACCTTTGTATCAGAAGTTCACTAGTAAGTATATCTAAATTACAAGTGGGGAAAGTAGTTGTTAATGAATGCATCTTTCCTGACAGCTGTCATAATGGGTAATAGAGAGTGTACACCATTGCTAGGCACTGTTTTCACAGTTCCTCATGGCATATGTATTATTGTCATCCTCATTTTATAGATACCAAAAATGAGGCTTAAAGAAGTTAACTAATTCAATTCAGGTTAACACAGTTAGTTACTAAGCAGTAGCCCAGGGCAGCCTGACTTCAAAGCCCATTCCTTAAATCTCTGGACTGAGTTTTGTTACCCTGAGAGAGCTGAGACTCTGGAAGATGAGGGTCAGCAACTCTTTGGAGCCCTTGGGAGGAACTTGCTGTTTTCACACAGCCATTTTTTTTTTAAGCTGGAGTATCACTCTGTCTCCCAGGCTGGAGTGTAGTGGCACAATCTTGGCTCACTGCAACCTCTGCCTCCCGGGTTCAAGCAATTCTCCCACCTCAGCCTCCCGAATAGCTGGGACTACAGGCGCACACCACCACGCTCAGATAATTTTTGTATTTTTAGTAGAGACAGGGTTTCACCATGTTAGCCATACTGGTCTCAAACTCCTGACCTCAGGTGATCTGCCCACCTCAACCTCCCTAAGTGATGTGATTATAGGCGCAAGCTACCGCACCTGGCCTTCCACGTAGTTTTTTTATGGTAGGGCTGGCACCAGAACCCAAGTATCCCACCTTTCGAGGTTGAGGCTCCTTCTCTTACCCCACGCTGCCTCTTCATGTGAGGTACTAAAGTGCATTGGAAAGATGAACTGCAGTGTTGGGGTGTGGTGCTGGGAAAAGCACTGCTTCATTTGGGGTGGGTGTGGGAATGTTCCCAAGTGTCCCCTCAGGGCCTGAGGGCTCCTCTTAGCTGATGCAGGCCAGTTACTTCCATGCGTCAGGAATTCTTGGTTGTGCATGTTAGGCTGTGTATGTTAGACTAGAAGGCTTCAACAGGTTTTGGGTCAGAAGTAAGCAGACTTGTGAAAAGTATTAAATTAAAGAACCCAAAGGACTGGCTCTGTGGGCTCCATGTAGTACCAGCGCCTGAAGAGTTCAATTTGGTGGTTGAACTGGCCCTATACCTGTCAGTCTTCAGTGTTCTGATAAGCTGGTTGTGTACACATTTAGGGGCAATGGAGTACAAGGTGGTGCTGCTACTACCTCCCTGGCACAAAGATTTGCCTTCTGCCCTGCTTCTTGGCTTCTGGTTCATTTGTCAGTCATCACCTAAGCTCTTTTCTCCCCTCAGAAGGTTTTGCTAAGGGAACAAATAGTGGAAGGTTTAAAGTTTTCTTAACCCAAATACTCTGCATCTCTCCTTCCTCTCTTTACATCCCGCCTCCCAGATGAACCCACAAAGGATTTACATAGGTGTGCAGCACAGAGATCTTGGCCTTGCCATGGCCTGGCTGTTAACTGCAACCTTTTTGGTGCTGTCTCCTCATCTGTAAATTGATAGTGAACACCTAGCTCACTGGGTTCCTGGGCTCTTAACACCTGCAGCTGCTGAAGTTGTCAACGACTGCTGTGTCCCCAGCCCAGCCAGTTCAGTCCTAATCTGATGTGACCCGTCAGCAGCATTTGGCACTGTTGAGCACTCTGTCTTCTAGGACATTCTTTTTGGTTTCCCTAATACCACACTCTTGTGCCTTCTCTCTGTCAGGCTGCTTCTTCTTCCTCTCCTGTGTGGCTTTTCTCCTTTTTTTTTTCTTTGTTTTTTTGAGACAGAGTCTCACTCTGTCGCCCAGGCTGTAGTGCAGTGGCACGATATCAACTTACTGCAACTTCCGCCTCCTGGGTTTAAGTGATTCTCCTGCCTCAGCCTCCCGAGTAGCTGGGATTACAGGCGTGGAGCACCCCACCCAGCTAATTTTTGTATTTTTAGTAGAGACGGGGTTTTGCCATGTTGGCCAGGCTGGTCTCGAACTCCTGACCTCAGGGTGATCTGCCAGCCTTGGCCTCCCAAAGTGCTGGGATTACAGGCATGAGCCACCGCACCCGGCCTGGCTTTTCTCTTCTTCCTGACCTGTACGTGGAGGTGTGGCCCAGAGCTCAACACAGGGCCTTTGTTCTTTGTCCTCACTTTCTTTGTTATTGTATCCTGTCTCATGACTTTAAATACTATTTTTGTGCTGAGGACTGTCAGATTTGCATCTCTCGCCTGTTCTTCTCTGGACTCTAGGTTCGTGTATACAGTTGCCTACTTGACATCTTCCCATTTTGATATTGAATATTCTCAGACAATGTCTCCAGGACAAGATTTCCCCCACTTTCCAAACTTGTTCTACATGTAATCTGCCTTCTCCATCTCCATTCATGGCAGTTTCATCCTTAGAAACCTTGGAGTCATCCTTAACTCCCGTCTTCATCTTAGACTTGTTCAGTTGTTTAGGAAATCCCATTGACTCTACTTTCAAAATATGTCCAGAATAAGAGCATTGCTCTTTTCTCTACTGTCACCTCCCTGGTATAAGCCACCATCATCTCTCAGCTGGGTTCTGGCAAAAGATTCCTAATCACCCTCAGTGTCTGTTCTTGACACTGTAGCTTGAAAAACAGAAATTGAAACCTGCTACTCTAGTCAAACCCTCTACATCTCCCCATTTCTTCTAGAAGAGGAGCCAGAGTTCTCTCAGGGGCCTCCAGACCCTCGCAGCCTGGCCTCAGTGTCCTCTCTAGCCTCTTCACTTTCTTGCTCACCCTGCCTCACCACATGGGCTTCCCTGCTGTCCCTGAGTACTTGGGCATGCTCCTGACTTAGACACCTTGCAACTGGCACTTTCTATGCTGGAACCCTCTGCCTGGAACACTGCTGGATCGAACCTCCTCAGCAAGGCCCTAAGTACCATATTTAAAGATGGAAACCACTCGTTCTCCCACACACCCCTTTCTCTGCTTGCTCTCCTTATCACTGGTCCCATTCTAACATCCCATATGGTTTGTCTATAATTTTTATTTCTTTCTCTTATTTCCCTAAATTGTAAGACCTATAAGGCAAGATTGGTGTCTGTTTTGTTCACTGAGGCATCCTCAGCACCTGTAGAAGTACTGGACTCTTGATAAAAAATTGTGAGGTGAGTGAAAGAAAGAAGAGTTAAAGCTTGTAAAGTGCTTAGCGCCAATTCTATCCCATAGTAAATCTTTGCTGTTCAATTTTATTACTATATGTGTGAACTTTTTCTGAGTAGCACAAGTGGCTGAGAATGATAGCTCTCATTGGCCCACAAGTCAAAGATTTTAGACGCCTGAGTTGCCTGCAGGATTTTGCTTAGCTGCCAGCAAATAACTAAAGCACCTACACAAGTTGTGTCCTAGGCATCTTTAAAAAGCTCTATGTGTTGAAGGCAGAGATGGTAACCAGGAATTCAGGAACGTTTCCACTCTGCTGCTTGGTAGGTGTGCCCTAGTTCTGTCAATAGTCAGCCTTTTGACCTTCTTCAGTCTGCGTTAAGTGTGGTCAGAGCCAGTGCAAGTCTGCAGCAGCCTCTGAGGGTAAGTATAACCCTGTGCCAGTACCCTAAAGCTGTGAGTCCAGCCTGGGCACGGTGGTGTGGCTGCAAGCCTGAGAAAGCCCAGGAGGAGAGACCCCTATCAGAGGGCACTGAGGTGATCCTGGGGCATCAGAGGACAGTGACGCTCCATGTTCCAGGTGGCCTCTGAGGAGAGTGGAGTGCTGCACTGAGAAATGGCTCAGGGTCTTCCCATACCTCCTGAGCTCAGCTGAAGCCAACCCTCGAGGCCTTCTCCACTCTCCACTGCTGCTTTCCAGGCTTATCTTGATGGGGTTAGAGCAGGGCGAGGTTTACCAGGGGAAACCAGCACCAGTGGTGTGTCTCAAGCTTACCTGAGTCACTTGTTAAAATATAGAATGTTGGGCCTCCCCTCAGATCTAATGATGTAGACTCAGTAGCTTGGATATGCCATTTTCACAAGCACCCCAAGTGACTCTTAGGAATAAGTGAATTTGGAATATTATTGGGCAAAGACTACCGTTTAATTATTTCTGTTACCTTGGCTTTTGTGGGTGGAGAATGGGTGTGGAAGGTCTGTAGGCCAAGGTTATTGAAAACACAGATTAAATGCATTAAGATTCTATTCCTGGCTCTTATTTTATCATCTGGTGATGCATCAAACGGTAGTGCCAGCGGCATGGGGGTACATGCCGTCAGTCTATGTAAAAGCTGGTCTCATTCTCCACTTCAGTCTGTTGTCATGCCTTAGTGGAGTGTGGTTGAGACATTGCAAATACAGGAGAAAGGAAACACACTTAGATGAATCTATATCACAGTAGTTGATACTGTGATCGTTTATCTTAAACAGTCATTCAAGAAAAGAACCACTCAGAAAACTAAGAACAACCAAATGATTCGTGGCCATAAAAAGCCACTGTGGTTTTCCAAATTGTGATGAGAGTAGGATTTCTGAGCTCTGTCTTGAACTGCTTTTCTTCCTTGGTTGTCTTATTTACTTAGGGATGAATTTAAAAATACAGTGTGTAATTTTCGTTTAAAAAATTTAAGTGTCTTCATTACTGAAGTTTAAAAAGATGCTGCCTCTTGGAGAATGGCGTGAACCCGGGAGGCGGAGCTTTCAGTGAGCCGAGATTGCGCCACTGCACTCCAGCCTGGGGAATAGAGCGAGACTCTGTCTCAAAAAAAAAAAGATGCTGCCTCTTGCTCTACAATAGTTTTTTTTTTTAAATCTATTATCCTTTAGCATCATGCACTTGCAGGAAAATGTTTCATACCAGAGAAATCTTACTATAAATGCACTTAATCAAATGCTCTTTTGTTGGTATTACCAGCAGTGGAATTAAATGGCTAGGGTCATGACTGGTGCCACCTTAGTGAATCTTTGTAGATAGTATATGAATTAGCTTTATGCCCTAAGCTGAAAAGCACAGATTCTGCTGCCAAGTACATGGATACAGGTAGTTGGAAAGTGCACAGTGACCAGATGAGCTCCAGAATGTTAAGCATAAACCTCAGCTGGCTGGTGTAAATGGTTGAGAAGCCTGGGATTGCCCAGTGTCAGTGTGACCCTATCACCGTGTCTCTCAGCTCAGGCATATAGATGTCTTAAGAAGTTCGTTAGTCCAAGTGTAGTTGTGTTCTGTAAGGAAATTTCATACCATTATTACCTGTCTAAATTGTGTTACTTGAGGCCAGAGATTTTTATAAACTGAGTATTTTGAAAAAAAAATGATTTATGTTAAGGGTACATACCATAAATTTGTATGAAGTTAGGAGGTTTTACTGGAAAGCCAAACCTTCTGTTTAAAAACTTTCACAGAATTTTCTTTTTTACTCTAAATCAGATTCTGCCTCAGCTTTAGATCTAGCCTTAGGCCATGAAAGTCCCAGGATAAAATGAGATAGAAATCCTACCCTCCTGCACTTTACAGTCTAATTGGATATTTAGTCACTCCCCCTTCTTCTTCCTCTTCCCTGTGGTTCTTGATAAAAATCAGAACTTATTTTTATCAATCTCAGCTCTTATTTTCTCCCCAACATATTATAATGAAAATTTTCAAACATACAGAAAAGTTGCAAGAAGTTGTGCCGTGAATTATCCACTTACTTACAGCCTAGATTCTGTGGCATTCTTTTATATTTGCTTTATCACAAAGTAAGTTATAATCACTACCCTTCAGCATGCATATCAGTATTTATGGTGTTCTGTCTCTCTGTGTGTTTCCTTTTGAAATAAGTTTAGACTTAACAAAAATATTAGAGTTCCCTTCCCCCAGCTTCCCTTATAGGAACATCCTACATAACTATAGAACAGTTACAAAAAGTAAGAAATTAATAGCAGTAAAATATTATTAACTAACCTACAGAATTTATTTGAATTTTACCAGTTTTTCCACTAATGTCCTTTTTTAATTCTAGAATCAAATTGAGGCTCCTACTTTCCATTTAGTTGTCTTATCTCTTTAGTCCCCACCAGTCTGCAGCTGCTTCTCACTCTTCCCCTGTCTCACATGACCTCAACACTTTTGAAGAATACTTGTCAGTTATTTTGCAGAATGTCTCTCAGATGGGCTTGTCTGATATTTTCTTCTGATTTAAGTTGAGTTTATGGAGTTTTTTTCGTTTTTTGTTTGTTTGTTTTGTTTTTTGAGTTTTTTGAGATAAGGTCTCACTCTGCAACCTCCGCCTCCTGGGTTCAACTCTCATGCTTTAGCCTCCCGAGTAGCTGGGATTACAGGCGCATACCACCACACTCAGCTAATTTTTTTGTATTTTTTGGTAGAGATGGAGTTTCACCATATTGGCCAGGCTGGTCTTGAACTCCTGACCTCAGGTGATCCGCCCACCTCGACCTCCCACAGTGCTAGCATAACAGGCATGAGCCACCATGCCCAGCCTGAGTTTATGTTTTAATGGAAGGGATACTGCAGAGGTGATGTGTCCTTTTCAAGTTATTTTATCAGGGGTACATGAGATTGATGTGTCTTGTTACTTCTGATGTTAAATTAACTTTGTTCACTTGGTTAGGTGATTGGCTGCTAGGAATTAGTAAATATCTTTGTGTTAGTCCATTCTTGGATTGCTATAAAGAAATACATTAGGCTGGGTAATTTATAAAGAAAAGAGGTTTAATTGGCTTACAGTTATGCAGGCTGTATAGGAGGCATGGTGCCAGCATCCGCTCAGCTTCTGGTGAGGCCTCAGGAAGCTTACAGTCATGGTGGAAGGCAAATCAATAGCAGGAATGTCACATGAAGAAAGGGGGAGCATGAGAGAGAGGAGAGAGGTGCCACACACTTTTAAACAACCAGATCTCACAAGGACAGCACCAAGCCATTCATGAGGGATCTGCTCCTATGACCCGGGTACCTCCTACCAGGCCCACCTCCAACACTGGGGCTTACATTTGAGCATGAGATTTGGAGGGGACAGACACCTAGACTATATCAGTTTTGTTCCTTCTTAAACTTTCTCTCACTGATTTCAGCATTTATTTATGCATTTTGCCCACAACAGTTATTACCGTGGTGTTTCAGTGGTGGTTTTCTATTTCCTTATTCCATCTGTAAGGAATTATTTATATGTATTATTCTATTGACATCATTCATTTATATTAGTATAGACTCATGGATATTTGTTCTTTGGATTATAATCTACTACCATTTTTATTTGTTTTGTTGTCAGGTTATTCCATCAGTGGCTGTTGAGAGATCTTTCACATTGACTCCTTGCTTTCTCAATGCACCTTCCCTCCACCCCTGAAGTACTTTCTGGCACTACAAGATGCTCCAGCCTATCTTGGTTTTTTTTCCTGCACCAGCCCTGGAGTCAACCATTTCTTTAAGGAGTTCTGGTTACTCTTTTTTTTTTTTTTTGAGACAGAGTCTCACCCTGTCGCTGGAGTGCAACGGTGTGATCTCGGCTCGCTGCAACCTGCGCCCCCTGGGTTCAAGTGATTCTCATGTCTCAGCCTCTTAAGTAGCTGGGATTACAGGTGCATGCCACCACACCTGGCTAATTTTTTTGTATCTTTAGTAGAGACAGGGTTTCACCATGTTGGCCATCTCATGACCTTGTGATTCACCCACGTCGGCCTCCCATAGTGCTGGGATTACAGGCATAAGCCACTGCACCCAGCCAAGTTCTGGTTACTTTTATTAGAGAATAGTATTTAGAAACCAAGATCCAGGCCAGGCGCAGTGGCTCATGCCTGTAATCCCAGCACTTTGGGAGGCCGAGGTGGGCGGATCAGGAGGTCAAGAGATCCAGACCATCCTGGCAAACATGGTGAAACCCTGTCTCTACTAAAAATACAAAAATTAATTAGCTGAGCGTGGTGGTGTGCACCTGTAGTCCCAGGTACTCAGGAGGCTGAGGCATGAGAATTACTTGAACCTGGGAGGCAGAGGTTGCAATGAGCCAGGATCGTGCCACTGCACTCCAGCTTGGCAACAGAGTGAGACTCCATCTCAAAAAAAAAAAAAAAAAAAAAAGGAAACCAAGATCCAGGTGCTAAATGTGCTCATTGCTACTGGGGTTTCACAGCCTTTAGTCCCTCTCTGGATAGAACTAGGGAAATTGTATGTATATGTACCAACTCATGTGTATACACTATCCTGTCTGTCTGTCTGTCTACCTACCTATCCACCCACCCACCTACCTACCTACCTACCTATCTAACTATCTTATTTGTCTGTCTGTCTGCCTGTCTATCAAAAACTGTAAGTTTATACTCATACCTGACTCCAAGCCATCACCAATGGGTTCATTCCAGAATTTTCCCTTCCCTTACTTATAACTTCTTTCTTTTGGGGGTGAGAAACTTGGCTCTCATTATCTACAATATATTTATGTATTTGTTCAACCTTACTATACATATACAAAGTTACTTAAGCCAGTTCCTTTTTCCCTACTCACTTCAGTTGGTCTGTCATGGTTTCGTAATGCAGTCAGATTAATTTGTCATAGTCTGCATTCTGTTCTCCTCCCCTTCTCTCCCTCCCTCCCCCCGTTCTGTTTTTTTTTTAATTTACATACAGTAAAATTTACACTATCTGGTATACAGTTTTGTGGGTTTTGACAAACACATAGCCATTTGTCTGTCATCATAGTTACACAGTTCTGTACACAAGAGTTCCATCACCCCCAAAATTCCTTCATGCTGCCCCTTTGTAGTCAACCCCTACCATACACCCCATTCCCTAGCAACCACTGATATGTTTTTCATCCCTACAGTTGTACCTTTTCTAGACTGTCATATAAATCAAATCATACAGCATACAGCTTTTTTTTTAAGTCTGGCTTCTCTCACTTGGCAGCATGTTTTTATTTTGCTGTTATTGGGCAGAGTGTTTTATAAATATCAGTTAGATCTAGTTGGTTGTATTGTTCAAGTCTGGGTCTTCTGTATTTACTCATTTCTGTCTGCTCGTTTCTAGGAATTACTGAGAGAATAGTCTTGAACTCTGAAAGTCTAGTTGTGGATTTCTATTTCTCCTTTTAGTTCTATCAGGTTTTACCTCATGTATCTTAAAGTTCTGTTGGTAGATGCATACCCATTTGGGAATGTGTTATGTCTTCTTAGAGAACTAGCCCCTTTATTATTATTATTATATTTTTTAAATCTCTGATAATGTCCCTTGTTCTGAAGTCTTTCTTTTCTGATATTGATGTACCTACTCCAACCTTCTGTTAGTGCTTGCATGGTATATTTTTTTCCATCCTTTTAATTTATCTATGTCTTTAGATTTAAAGTAAGTTTCTTGTAGACGGTATATAGTTCAGTCTTTTTTATTCATTCTGACATTTTGTCTTTTAATTGGTGGATTTAGACCATTCTCGTTTAATATGATTATTATTATGGTTAGATTAAAATCTACCACCTTGTCGTGTTTTGTATTTGACCCATCTATTCTGCTTCTTTTTCCTTTTTCTGCCTTCTCTTGGGTCCATTGACCATTTGTTATTACTTTGTTTTATCTCTCCTACTGACTTATTATTTGTATCCATTAAATTCTTTCAGTGGTTGCCTTAGGTTAGGGTTTGTCAGCCTTGCCTTTATTGGCGTCCACATAACTGTTGTGGGGGATTGTTTTATGCATTACAGGAAGTTTAGCAGTATCCCTGCTCTCTACCCACCAGAGTCCCAGTATCACCCCCATCTCCCCAGTTATGACAACCAAAAAATGCCTCTAATTTTTGGTTGTCACAACTGGGGGAATGGGGGTGATACTCTAATAATCCCCTGGGGGGGCAAATTTGCCCACAGTTGAAAATCAGAGATACAGTTTTCACAGTTTTATTTGTCTAATTTCAGCAGAGAGATGGAAGCTATAAGAGAAAATCAAGTAGGAAATCCTAGCCAATCTTGCATATTGTCTGCCTTTTCCCTTAGAGACCTTGTTTCACTTAATATCATGTTTTCAAGGTTCATCCATTTTGTGGCATGAAACAATTTCTTTTTAAGGCTGAGGCTGGAAACTGGCTCACACCTGTAATCCCAGCACTCAGGGAGGCCAAGGCAAGAAGATTGCTTGAGCCAAGAAGTTAAGACTAGCCTGAGCAACATAGTGAGACTTCATCTCTATAAAAATATAAAATGATATATTAATCATAGTTATTTTAAATGCTTTATAGATAGTTCCAACATCCGTACCATTTGGTTTTATTGATTACTTTGTGTTCTGGTGTAGTGAGCTGGGTATGTTGGCTTTTTCTTGGCTTTTTGTATATTTTACAATTCTTTATTGAAAGCTAGACATCTTACATGGATAGTAGTTGATTTTATGCCTTGAAATGGACACCTTTTTTCTTCTACTTAGGTCTTTAAATGTGGGAGTTTGAGTTAATCTGCTCAGGAGCTGGGCTGGGTTTGAGGTTTATTGTTGCTGTGATTACCCTCAGGGCAGAACAGGCTTCCAGTTTCTCCAGTAAATACTTTGTGTTTAGAGTGTGGAATAGTTTTCCAGAGGGCTTTTCTTAATGCCTGCTCCAATTTCAGTTTTAGGCTGTCCTTTGCATTTCATCTCAGACAGAGAGCCTGTCTTACCCTCTTACAATGCTTTCAGCTGAGCTTTCCTATTTATTCATTCACAGAGGGCATATTTTCCTTTATAATACTGGTCACATTTGTAATAGCTGCTTTTAAGTTCTTTTCTGCCATTTCTAGGACATAGGCCATGTTCAGGTAGGTTTCCATTTCTTTTGAGTATGGCTCACTTTCTTTTTTCTTTGTACATCTAGTAATTTTGAGTTGTGTCTTGGGTGTAAGGATCACATATTGTAGAGGTGTTTTGTTTTTTTTGGTTTTTTTTTTTTTTTTTGAGGCAGAGTCTCACTCTGTCACCCAGGTTGGAGTGCAGTGGTGTGATCCTCACTCACTGCAGTCTCGACTTCCTGGGCTCAAGCTGTCCTCCCACGTCAGTCCCCCAAGTAGCTAGGGCTACAGGTGTGCACCACCATGTCCGGCTAATGTTTTTGTAGAGGTGGGGTCTTGCTGTGTTGCCCAGGCTGGTCTTAAACTCCTGGGCTCATGCTCCTCCTCCTGCGTCAGCTTCCTAGACTATTGGGATTACAGGTGAGAACCATTGCGCCTGGCTGAGAGACTTGATTCTATTATATTCCTCTGCAGAATATTGGTTTTTGTTTTAGCAAGCAGTTAACTTGGCTCACCTCAGACTCCAAACCCTCCCTGCAACTGAAATACCTGTTCAATTATTTTGTCCATAATTCAGCTCTTTGGAGCATGAGTACTTGTGGACTTCAGAAGTCAATGAAGGATTTGGACAGAGTTTGTATACAAACTGTTGGCTCTGTTTTCGTGACTCTCCCTTTCTGGTATTTTCCCCACAGCCTCACTTTCCAACTGCTATGGTTGTCCCAGGATATGTCGTCTAGTTCTTCAAGACAGTAAGACTGGGTTTTCGACCAAATTTTAACTGCCCCACTTGGCCTCAATCACCAAAGCTTCTATTTTAAAATCTATTTACCTATAAGTTTGATTTGGGAAACAATAAAGGGAAAACTACCTGTAACTATTTATTTCTACAATTAGAATTAACTAGCAGACCTAGCATGCCCATGTTATGTATCTGTCTGAAGTAATCAGAATGTATCTCTGTTTACGTTTATCCACTTATCTGACCCCTGGATCTCCTCCTCTTGGACTTTGTCAGATGCTGTTAACCTTATGCTCTTGATGGTTTATTTCCTTCTCCTGTATCTTCAACTTTACCCTCTTTACCGGCGAGCTCCTTTCTGTCATTTAAAAATACATCTTTCCTTTGTTAAGAAAAAAAAACTATCCTCCCTCTGTTGCCCACCAGCTACTATACTTTCTTCCTTACTCTTGCTCAGTTTCTCTCCACATCTTTCCTATCTCCCACTCCCTTCTCAGCACATTCTAATCTTACTTTTGTCCCCACCAGTGTATTAATTGCTCTGACCAAGATTACCAGTAACCTCCATGTCACCGAGTGCACTCCCACGCCATCACCTGTGTGCTTACAGTTTCGAAACAAAATATTCACATCAGACTTTTCTTCTGCACTCTCTCTCTCATTGCCTGGTCCACATCTTTCCCTGGGTATCTCAAAGGGTTCTCAAATTAAATGTGTTCACGTCTCTTCCTTCCATAATCCTCCTCACCTTTCTTACCTCTGTATGTGGTACCTCCTTCCTTTTTACCTTCATATCCATCTGTCGGCAAGTCTGTTGATTCTGCTGCATCAAAGAGCCCTTGAATCTGTGTCCCTCACATTGGCTCCCCTTTGCCAACTAGATAAAGTCCAAACGCCTTACCCTGGAGTTTGCCTGCGTGACTCTCGCTTGCCTGAGCTGGCCCCTCTGGCCTACCTTTGAAGGCTTACCTCACTCTGCTCTTCCCCTCCCACTGAACATCACCACAGTGTCCTAGATTTCTTTGGGGGTATACTAAGCACTCAGTTGGGAACACTCTTTTTCTTCTAAGCTCTCCTTTGCCTGCATAAAGACTATTAATTATCCTTCTAATCTCAACTTTGCTGTCATTTCCTGAGGAGGCCTTTCCTGTTCTCCCCTCAAGACCAGGTCACATTGCCTGCTGTGTTCCCAGAACCCCTGGTACTTGTTTTTTCTTAGCATCCCTCACTCGTAATGACTTTTTGAATGCTTGCTTCTACTCTAGACCCCAAGTTCCATGAGAGCAAGTTTCCTGTCTGCTTTCTTTTTTTCTCTGACCTTTGCACCAAGCCAAGTGCCTGGCAAGTAGTGGACACCTAAATGATTTTTGTTTAATGAATGGATTAAGACAAGAATAGCTTTACATGGCAATAGAATAGAATCTGTTACTGTAAACATAATATCTCCTGCCTGCTACACTCAATTGTAATACACTAATCTTATTTCCTGAAGAGGGATAAACCAACAGTTTGACATGAACATTTAAGCCAGCCTACTTAGTAGAGTAGTAAATGGACCTGTGTTCTTACTGTGACAAGTGCCTCTGGGCAGATTTGATTCTCACAGTGGAAATACTTCATGAAATGGCAGCAGCCTGGATTGTGGCTGTTAAAATTTAACACAAATAATTTTTAAAACAATACCCTATTTGGGTTCTCAGTGCGTTTTTGTGTATTTTCAGAAAGTAAGTGTGAGGCTGTGACAGGGACAGTCTGTCAGATTGAGGCAGACTTGGATCCTTAACCATGCAGTAAGAAACAGACTCAGCCAGCGTTGGGCACATGTATCAGCAATACATTTCATGAACTTTTTTTTTTTGCAATTGTGCTTATAGTGTGTATTGTAAAAGAGAAAATTAAGATAACTTAGACAGTTTTCATGTAGGGAATGACCAGGGCTTATGCCTGTGTCCATAGCAAGCACCTTGTTTTGATTTATTTGTCTTTTCAACCTTCGTTTTCACTTTCTTAGCTTGCTGTGTTCTTCTTTGGGAGACTAAAATTTTTTAGGGAAATAACCATGGTGTCAAAATTATAGAATGGAAAATTTGATTAAATGTAAAACATTGATCTTTGTTTCCTACTATTTCCATGTTCTTTTGCCTTTGTTTTGTCTGTCAGATTTTGGGCATAATATACTCTTCCTTTACGGGTAAATGCCAACTGCCAACAGAGTTCAGAATTCTGTGATGCTTGCTTATGGGTTGTTTACACAGAGATGATGTTTGTTCAAGATAAGAACACTGTAGGGACTCTTTAAGCTATATACATCCCATCTTTATTAAGCTCATCCTTCCACTCCCCTAGGCCTCCAAAGTAGCAAATAATTATAACCAAATGTTCCTCATACCCTTAGAAAATAAATTTTAGCCAGACTTGGTGGCTCATGCCTGTAATCCCAGCACTTTGGGAGGCCAAGATGGGAGGATTGCTTTAGCTTAGGAGTTCAAGATTAGCCTGGGCAAGATAGTGAGACCTCATCTCTGCAAAAAACTAGCCAGAAGTGATGGTGCATACCTATAGTCCCAGCCCTTCAAGAGGCTGAGGTGGAGGATCACTTGAGCCTGAGAAGTCAAGGTGGCAGTGAGCCAAGATCACACCACTGCACTCTAGCCTGGGCAACAGAGCAAGGTCCTGTCTTAGAAATAAATAAATAAATAAAAAATAAAAAGAGGCTGGGTGAAATGGCTCACTCCTGTAATCCCAGCACTTTGGCCAACATGGCAAAACCCTGTCTCTACTGAAAATACAGAAACAAGCCTGGTGTGGTGGCAGGCACCTGTAATCCCAGCTACTCAGGAGGCTGAGACGGGAGAATCGCTTGAACCCAGGAGGCTCAAGAGTTTGAGACCAGCCTGGGCAACATGGTGAAACCTTGTCTCTACAAAAAATACAAAAATTAGTCAGGTGTGGTGGCTCACACCTGTAGTCCCAGGTACTTGGGAGGCTGAGGCAGGAGGATCACTTGAGCCTGGGAGGCAGAGGTTGCAGCGAGCCAAGATTGCACCACTGCACTTCAGCCTGGACAATAGAGAGAAATCCTGTTCCCCCCTCTCCTGCCCCCTCCAAAAAAACAAAAAACGAGAGAGAGAGAAAGAAGAAGAAGAGGAAGAGGAAGGAGGAGAAGGAGGAGGAAAAAGAAGAAAAAAGAAGAGAAAAGAAAAGAAATTTTGGAGTGCAGAATATATGTTATCCTTAAGAGATAGCATGATATGCCATTACTTTTGACATCATTATATTTTTAGGAGGGATCATGTTTAAATTGTCAGTTCTTAAAAAGGATTGGTGGACATTCTTGGCTGAGAGTCTTCATTACATACAAGGTTTGGTGTTTTTCTTAGCCCAGTCACACACCAGCCCGTGACCAGAAAGAACAATTCTGGTTGTCCTTGTGACTGCCTCTCTGTGTCCTGGTCTGAAGAGTCTTGTCGGGCTGTAGCCCTAGGTAAGAAGTGTGCAGGAAGAGAGTCAGCAGGACAACTCCGGTCTGTGTTTGGTGGGGGCTGGCAGGGAAGCAGGTCCTGGGGAAGTGATGTTCAACTGAGACCTGAAGGGTGATCAGGTTAGCCAGGATTAGGAGGGAATAGAGGAGGAGGTGAGGGGACAGCTGGTGCCAATGCCCAAGGAACTAAAGGAACTCCCAAGACAGCTTGTGTTTAGAGAACAAGGGAGGAGTAGAACAAGGTGAGGCTGAAAATGGAGATGGTCGAAGCAATATCTGATTGTGTCCTTCCCTGAAGGCTCAAAAATGTTTGATGCTTCCTTGTTGCCCTCAGACTAAAGTCCACATGCCAGGTAATGAAGGTTTTCCTTAATCAGCCTCATCCTCCTTTAAAGCCCCTTTCCCTGCTGTCCTATTTGTTTTCCACATACCCCATGTTTTAGCCATACTTAGCCTTTATTATTCTCTAACTTGAATGTGTTTGTACCTTTCTCTGACTGTTGTTGGCTAAAATCTAGTTCCCCACCTCTTTTCAGTAAGGCCCAGCTTAATGTCATTGGTTTTTTCGAAGCCTACCCTGCTGCCTGAAATCAAAGAGAATGTCTTCTCTGTGGTTTGATAATACTTTTGTCATTCTGTTACTCTAATTATCCCATCCTGACTTGTCTGTGGTTGTATATATTAATGTGTGTAGCTTCCACACTAACTGTAGGCACATGAAAGCAAAGCTTTCATTTAGTTTGTAGCGTAGACCTAGTTGCAGTAGAGGATCTTTGAATTTTGGTGGAATTGCATCAAACAGGTAAGTGGCAGCCCAGGATTCAGAAGTATTCGTCTGTGTGGGGCGTCTCATTCCTAGAGATAAAACATTGAATGGAATGTTCTACTGTGTTCTGTGTATACGTGAGTTGTTTTGGATAAACAGACTATGGGAAATTGTTGAAGTTCCCTGGATTGGGAAGAAGGATGAGCTTCAAGGCTGAAAGGAGTAAAACTCACCTTCTTTGTACCTTTATTACTTTAAAGTTCAGCATCAGATTTCTTTATTGGGATTCTTTCTACTTTGTACAGAGCATCTGTTAAGAACATCTTCAGCCAGCCGGCCTGCTTCCCTGCCAAGAGTGCCTGCGATGGAAAGTGCCAAGACCCTCTCAGGTGATGACTTTCATCTGAATTTTTGTTGTATTTGTTGTTTTTTAGAGACAGGATCTCACTATGTTGCCCAGGCTGATCTCAAACTCCTGGCCTCAAGCTATGCTCTCACTGGCCTCAAGCTGTCCTCTCACCTTGGCCTTCCAAAGTGCTGGGATTACAGGTGTGAGCCACTGTGCCCGGCCTAGCTGGGCTTTAAATCAATTGGAAGTCCTGTGCTCAGCTAAAATTACCATCCCAAAGCCTTTTTCTGTGTGTGTGTTCTTCAGATTCTTTCTCAGTCTGTTTCCTCTATTTTGTATAAAGTTCTGAGAGGTTTTCTCATCCAGTTTCCTAGCACACCACTTAAAAGAAACTACTGATTTAAGGACTATAAAGAATTGACATTGAACGAAAAAGACATAATTATAAAATTATGCTAGAAATATATAAGCATGTCATTTAAAGATCATATAACAGGAGAAAATATTTGTGCCCTCTGGATCTTTAAGGGCATTGCTTTACTAATGCAGAGTTACATTCTGCTTGTGGTTATCCTAAAATCATTGAGAAAATTTTAGCCAGTAAAGTGGGCGGTGGGGGTGGGGGTGGGGGTGGGAGTGGGGGCAGCAGTTTTTAGTAATCAGGGGAAAACAATTACTGACATGTAACATGGATTGCATTAAATCAGCCCAGGAATGATAGAGTTAATGGCGCCTGCAGATCCACCTTCTTCTGAGGTGAGAAAGAATCTGAGGTCAGGAACTTTGTCGACTATGTGACTTGTCACTGTGCTCAGCCCTGCGTTCTGATTACCTGGCAATACTCAGTGCTGCCTTTAGAAAGCTGCTGTTGTGGATCTGGTACCAGTGGCTAAAGTGCCTACTCCCACTGAACAGTTCTCAGAACATTTTGTAATTCTAATGAGGTAGTACAGTGGCTTACTATGCCAGACTTCAGAATAGGACTTTTGCAAAAGATTGTTGCTATTTCCCAACAGTTGACTTGATACGTTTTGGTTTTCTGTCTTATTGATTTAGTTTTTTAAAATGTGCCCTGAGGCCAGTTGCGGTGGCTCATGCCTGTAATCCCAGCACTTTGGGATGCCTAGGTGGGCGGATCACCTGAGGTCAGGAGTTCGAGACCAGCCTGGCCAACATGGCAAAACCGTGTGTCTACTGAAAATACAAAAATAAGCCTGGCATGGTGGCAGGCGCCTGTAATCCCAGCTAGTCAGGAGGCTGAGGCAGGAGAATCACTTGAACCCAGGAGGCAGAAGTTGCAGTAAGCCGAGATGCGCCACTGCACTCCAGCCTGGGTGACAGAATGAGACTCCCTCTCAAAAAAAAAAAAAAAAAAAGTGCCCTGAGCTAGCATTGCATGTAGCCCTGTAATAAAGCATGTCTTTCCTTTCTGTCCCTTTAACAGTGTTTTTGGCTGAATTTAGAAGGGTTGTATTGATTTGAATTGTGTGTGTTGGGCAGAGCTGAGTAGTTACAAGTCTGATTATAATTAGCCTTTGGTTTTTAGTTATATTTGTAATTAAACAGATGTTTATGTAGTACTCACTATGTGCTTGGTAGGTACTGTGAGGGTTATAGAGATGGATAAGGCACACTCCTTGTCTATAAGGAATATGGAGTTCAGTGCATATTTCAACTATGCCTTTTCACAGTTTTTTTGTTTGTTTGTTTTTTGTTTTTGAGATGGAGTCTCTCTCTGTCGCCCAGGCTGGAGTGCAGAGTGGCGCAGTCTTGGCTTACTGCAACCTCCACCACCCGGGTTTAAGCAATTCTCCTGCCCCAGCCTCCCATGTAGCTGGGATTACAGGCATGCACCACCATGCCTGGCTAATTTTTGTATTTTTAGTAGAGACAGGATTTCACCATGTTGGCCAGGCTGGTCTGGAACTCCTGACCTCAAGTGGTCTGCCTGCCTCGGCCTCCCAAAGTTCTGGGATTATAGGCGTGAGCCACTGCACCTGGCCTCACAGTTTTTTTAATGGAAAAATAAGAAATACTTTCCAGTTATCAATATTAGTTTTTCCTCCTGTATGGTAATATCTGTTGTTTTTGGAATCTTCAGAAAAAAAAAATCTCAAGAACTCAGTCTAAAATGTTTTTGCTATAGAGTGCATAATGACTATTTCTCACAGTGTCTCGACGAAGTAGTGAAGAAGTGAAACGGGACATTTCTGCACAGGAGGGAGCGTCGCCAGCCTCTCTGATGGCTATGGGAACCACGTCTCCACAGCTTTCCCTGTCCTCTTCTCCAACGGCATCTGTGACTCCCACCACCCGAAGCCGAATAAGGTAGAGAACAGTTAATATTCATGCATTTCGTGTGTACCTTTCCTGGCCTTTTGACAGTAAATGATCAAGTTGTAAAATGATGGCATTTGAGCACTGTGATTTTTCTTTTTCTGTGTGTTGTTTGCGAATCTTTCTTATATCCAGAATTGAGTAAATGGTATAGAAGACACTGACAAATTAAAAATGATAGTTCCTTTCCTCAAGCAGCTGTATCTTTTTTTTTTTTTTTTTAGAGAATGGTTGCATGCAAAACGAAGTATTATGAAATTTAAATACCGAGGAATGGGTGGAGTGTTAGGGAAGGCATCCCAGAAGGTTAGAATTTGAGTGGGGCCTCGAAGGTTGTAGACAGGGAGGGTGGGGGGCATGATTGGCAAGGTCAGTAACTTGAGGGGATGCACCAAAGGGATTAGTAAGTGAGGAGTATGGAGGGGGATGCTGTAGGTAGGTGGTTCTATAGATTCAGTAGACTGATACAGAAGGCCAGAAGAAGGTGTACCTACCATATCAAGGAACAGTAGAAGAAAAGATTGACTAGGCAGGGGATGGCAAAGTGATGGAACTTTTCTTTTTTTTTTTTGAGATGGAGCCTCGCTGTCGCCCAGGTTGGAGTGCAGTGGCGCGATCTCGGCTCACTGCAGGCTCCGCCCCCTGGGGTTCATGCCATTCTCTTGCCTCAGCCTCCCGAGTAGCTGGGACTACAGGCGCCTGCCACCTCGCCCGGCTAATTTTTTGTGTTTTTAGTAGAGATGGGGTTTCACCGTGTTAGCCAGGATGGTCTCGATCTCCTGACCTCGTGATCCACCCGCCTCGGCCTCCCAAAGTGCTGGGATTACAGGTGTGAGCCACCGTGCCTGGCCTGGAACTTCTTTAAAGTCAAATTGAGTCACTTTGATGTAGTAGAAGCTATAAAGTGATGTAAATAAATTATCATGTCTGGATCAGTGTGATAACAGTGGAAAAGAGGTGAAGAGAGGGTTGGACCCAGATTTTTCATAAAGAAAGGTGATTTCAGTAACAGATCTTTATAAAAGGAATGCAAGAATGGATGATATCAAAGATGGCTGTGTTTGTTTACACTGGGAGTCTGGGAACGTGGTGCTACATTAATAATTGATAAAAAGTACATGAAAATCTAAGTTTATATTTTATTCATAGTTCTCTTAGGACTAAGAGGTATTAAGAACTTGGGGGAAAAACAGATGTCAAAAATTTAGCATACGTTGTTTATAGGGATGAAGAAAATTGTTGGCAAGCATTAAGAATAATTAAAGGAAGCAGCCGGGTGTGGTGGCTCACGTCTGTAATCCCAGCACTCTGGGAGGCCGAGATGGGCAGATCACTTGAGGTCAGCAGTTCGAGATCAGCCTGGCCAACATGGTGAAACCCCATCTGTACTAAAAATACAAAAATTAGCCTGATCTGGTTTTGCGCACCTGCAGTCCCAGCTACGTGGGAGGCTGAGGCCCTAGAATCGCTTGAACCTGGGAGCCAGAGTATGCAGTGAGCGAGATCGTGCGACTGCACTCCAGCCTGGGCTTCAGAGTGAGACTCTGTCTTTAAAAAAGTGACTTTTATGTTGAGCCGTGACAAGTTTTTGTTTGTTTTTTGTTTTTGATGTGCCTTTTTGCATCCATTCACATAACTGTGTCTTTCTCTTTCCCTGTGGTTTAGTGATAGTATAACAAACTTCTTGGAATCCTTTAAAGCAAGCTTCTCCAACCCGCAGCCCAGGACAGCTTTGAATGCGGCCCAACACAAATTTGTAAACTTTCTTAAAATATTATGAGATTTTTTTTTTTGCAATTTTTTTTTAGCTCATCCGCTATTGTTCATGTCAGTGTACTTTATGTGTGGCCCAAGACAATTCTTCTATTTCCATTGTGGCCCAGGGAAGCCAAAAGATTGGACGTCCCTGCTTTATTTAAAGCAAAGCAGGAATGTTACAGGCTGGCACACAAAAATGTATATTTCCTTCAAGGAGGCAGTCTAACTGCACATAGAAAAGTAGTATTTTTCCTTTTGGTTCTTAGAGCAATAAAAATTGGTACTATTTCAAGGCTCCTCTCAATTAGAAAAGCTTCTGTTGTAAATGTGTCCTCTTTGATTTCCTAGCGCACTTTGGAGGGTCAATACTAACAGAATAAATATACTGAGGAATACTAAGCTGCTTGTAACATACGAACCTTTAGGATATTTATTGGGCTGCTAAGTTCACAGAACATGGGACTAGAGTCTCCACTTTGCTATAATCACTGAAAAATAGGCCAGTCTTTTAAGCACAGGCTACTAGTCAAGCTGCCGGTTACATTACACAGCACTCCCTTTCTCTGGGTATTCCTTGGTGTTCTGTTCCACTTCCAGAGTGTGACCAAAAGGGAAGATACGGTGCAGAATGAGTAGAATTGGAAGTCTTCCCTGCCCCTTCACCAGGGGTGATTGCAAAACCTTTTTTGATTAAAGGTCTGGCCTAAGGCAGGATATTTATTTTGACTACAAGGCAGTTGACAATGCCATAAAGTACCCTACATAGAATTTTTAAAAAATGAATCATATGTATAGCCACGGAATTTTAACCCCCCCAAACTTCTACAGTGGTTTTACTTACTATCATATAGTAAACTCTGAAGTTCCTTGGGATAGGGGCCCTGTGTTGTTCACCTTCAATTGCCTACTGCCTGCACATTGCCTGGCACGATGGTGCTCCATAAGGAGATGTTGAATAAGTGAGCTTACAGAGAAATTCCATTTTTGAGCAAGGCAAAATTCTAACTGCCTAAAGTCAAAAAACAGTGTACAACATAGAACTAAATACATCTGAGACATTTCATGGAAGTTACAAATATTGTTCATGTTTATTGCCATCTTTTGTCTGCTTCCCCCCATTGTAGACTTCTTAAAGGCGAGAACTATTATGCCTTAGAATCCTGCACCTTGCATAACCTTACCCTGTATATTTTACAATAAGTAATTTTTTTAAATGATGAGATGGTAAAGGACATAAACGGTTATTTTATTTTATTATTATTATTTGAGACAGTGCCACTCTTGTTGCCCAGGCTGGAGTGCAATGGCGTAATCTCAGCTCACTGCAACCTCCATCTCTAGGGTTCAAGTGATTCTCCTGCCTCAGCCTCCCAAGTAGCTGGGATTACAGACACCCGCCACCATGCCCAGCTAATTTTTATATTTTTATTAGCAATGAGGTGTCACCATGTTGGCCAGGCTGATCTCAAACTCCTGACTTCAGGTGATCTCTCTGCCTCAGGCTCCCAAAGTGTTGGGATTACAGGCGTGAGCCACAGCGCCCGGCACATTTTAATTTTAAATGCACTTTGTACTGTCTTTGCCACTTTCCATGTGGGTGATTTTTATAGAGTCCCTTTCTTCAGTTAGCAAAGAATTCTGACAACAGTGCATCTATGGAGCCATAAACTAAAAATCAAATGTATGAAAAACTATGTCTTGCCTTTGTATTGCCTTACCATGTATATTTCCCCTGTTTAAAAATGCAAACTTTAATACTTTTCTCTTATTCTGGTGCCCAAACAAAAAATATTTCAACTTTGGGTTACTTGTTTTCAGAGAAGAAAGGAAAGACCCTCTCTCAGCATTGGCCAGAGAATATGGAGGATCAAAGAGGAACGCCTTGCTGAAGTGGTGTCAGAAGAAAACAGAAGGCTATCAGGTAATCATATGATTCTTTTGTCCCATGTGAGTAATTGGCAAACCAACTGCTGGAGTGTCGTAGCTTACTACGTGTCACACATTAGAAATGATAAGTCCTGACCTGGCATGGTGGATCACACCTATAATCCTAACACATTGGGAGGCTGAGGCAGATGGATCACTTGTGCCCAGGAGTTCAAGCCTGGGCAACATGGCAAAACCCTGTCTCTACAAAAATAAAAATAATAATAAGCTGGCATGGTGGTGTGTGCCTGGAGTCCCAGCTACTTGAGAGGCTGAGGTGGGAGGATCACTTGAGCCTGGGAGGCAGAGGCTGCTGTGAGCTGATAAAAGAAGAAATGATGAGTCCTATACAAAATGTTAGGAACACATTCTCAAAGTCCAGCCATAACTTGACTATCACTTGGGTGAAATAAGTTTGTTACCTTTCCACAGTACCCAATATTTCCAATATTACTCATCTGTTGTAGCACTTTCTTACTTAAGTCCAGGTTAAATGCTTTTTTTAAGTTACGTTAAATATAACTTTGGAGAGCAGACTCTAATTCTCCATACAAAAGGGAAACCTGTAGAATTCATCCATTCTGCTAAAAAATACAATTTTGATTTCTAGTGTCCTCACATACAGTATTAGTTACAGAGATTCTCCCCAGCTTGCAGCTGGTACTCTTGATTGCATTTCATGCTTTGGCACAAATGCACAGAAGTACAACACAAAAAGGGAATGGAGTTCTATGTTCCTGATCTCTTCACATTAGACTTCATCTCACCAAAATGGCATAAAAGGTGTGGCTACAACATTTGCATACAAATTTCATGCAAAAGAGGTAATAACATTAGTAGAGGAAAAGAAGATCTGCCATTAACAGGTCACTTTTGGATGAATTTGTACATGACTTTAAGTGATGATCCTCAACTCATTTAAGATTAAAGAGCCAAGCATATTGCAGTGGACATACAGAAAAGTCATGATAATCATTGAGGATTTACTAAGACTCTCCATGTCTCAGCTTCAAGCCAGTGGCAAGTAAAAAAGAGAAGAGAAAATAATTTAAAAAAAGAATCTCCATGCCAGCTTCCACTGGCTAACAAAGGAGATAAGTAGTGTTGGCAAAGATGTGGAGAAATGGGCAGGCTTATGTTTTGTTGGAGGGGACCTATAAAATGTTGTAACTGCTGTGGAAAATAGTATGGCAGTTCCTCAAAAAAGTAAACAGAATTACCATATGATCTGGCAGTTCCACTTCTGGAAAATTCCACTTCTAGGAAAGCAGAGACTTGGAGAAATATTTTAGGCACACCCATTTTTGTGGCAGTGTTATTCACAGTAGCCAAAAAGTGGAAGCAACCCAAGTGTCTGTCGATAGAAGAATGGATAAACAACCTGTGGTATATAATACAATGGAATACCATTCTTCCTTAAAAAGGAAGGAAATTCTTACACATGCTACAACACGATGCACACTGAAGACATTGTGCTAAATGAAACAAGCCATATACAAAAGGGCTAATACTACATGATTCTAATTATATGGAATACCTAGAGTTAGTAATATTTATAGAGACAAAAAGTAGAATGATGGTTGCCAGGGGCTGGGGGAGGGAAAAAAGAAAGGGGGTGGGTACACAGTTTAGTTTTACAAAATGAAAAAAGTACTGGAGATGGATGGTGGTGATGGTAGCACAATCATATGAGTATACTTAATGCCACTGAACCGTATAATTAAAGATGGTTAAAATGATTTTTTATGTATATTTACCATGATAATAAAACTCCACTGCAAAAAGAAAAAAAAGAAAGATTGAGATAAGACCAGATAGAAAACCAGCAAGGGAATAGAAGACTTGAATAGTACTGTATACCAACCAGACCTAAAGACATTATACAACACTGCACCCAATAATAGCAGAATACACATTCTTCTCTCAGGTGCACATGGAAGATTGCAGGTTAGGCCATATGTTAGGTCATAAAACTAGTCTCATTAAATTTAAAAAGACTGAAATTGGCCAGATGTGGTGGCTCGTGCCTGTAGTCCCAGTATTTTGTGAGGCCAAGATGAGAGGATCACTTGAGCCCAGTAGTTTGAGACCAGCCTGGGCAGCATCGGGAGGCCCTATCTCTACAAAGATTAAAATGAAATAAATAAAAAGATGGAAAGCATTTAAATTTTCTTCATTTTTTTCTGATCACAATGAAAGATTAGAAATTAGTAGCTGAAGGAAAATTGGAAAATAAGTGAAAATTAAAGCACACACTCTAAATAACCAGTGGGTCAAAAAATTAATCACAAGGGAAATTAGAAAATGCTCTGAGAACAAAAATGAACGCAGCATACCAAAATTTATGGGAGGCAGCGAAAGCAGTTCTCAAGGGGATTGACATTGATTGATTGATTGATTGATTGATCGATTGAGAGACAGAGTCTCATTCTGTCACCCAGGCTGGACTGCAGTGGTGCGACCTTGGTTCACGGCAGGCTCCGGCTCCCGGGCTCAAGTGATTCTTCTGCCTCAGCCTCTCAAGTAGCTGGGATTACAAACGTGTGCTATCATGCCCAGCTAATTTTTGTATTTTAGTAGAGACGAGGTTTCGCCATGTTGGCCAGGCTGGTCTTGAATTCCTTACCTCAGGTAATCTGCCTGCCTCAGCCTCCGAAACTGCTGGGATTACAAGCATGAGCCACCGCGCCCGGTCTCAAAGGGAAATTTATAAACACCCACCTTTACAAAGAGGAAAGATCTCAAAGCAGTAATCTAAGTTTCTTCCTTAAGGAAGTAGACCAATAACAGGCTCTGAAATTGAGGCAATAATTAATAGCTTACCAACCAAAAAAAGTCCAAGACCAGATGGATTCACGGCCGAATTCTACCAGAGGTACAAGGAGGAGCTGGTACCATTCATTCCGAAATTATTCCAATCAATAGAAAAAGAGGGAATACTCCCTAACTCGTTTTATGAGGCCAGCATCATCCTGATACCAAAGCCTGGCAGAGACACAACAAAAAAAGAGAATTTTAGATCAATATCCCTGATGAACATTGATGCAAAAATCCTCAATAAAATACTGGCAAACGAAATCCAGCTGCTGCTGGATCCACCATGATCATGTGGGCTTCATCCCTGGGATGCAAGGCTGGTTCAACATACGCAAATCAATAAATGTAATCCAGCATATAAACAGAACCAGTGACAAAAACCATATGATTATCTCAATAGATGCAGAAAAGGCCTTTGACAAAATTCAACAACACTTCATGCTAAAAACTCTCAATAAATTAGGTATTGATGGGACGTATCTCAAAATAATAAGAGCTATCTATGGCAAACCCACAGCCAATATCATACTGAATGGGTAAAAACTGGAAGCGTTCCCTTTGAAAACTGGCACAAGACAGGGATGCCCTCTCTCACCACTCCTATTCAACATAGTGTTGGAAGTTCTGGCCAGGGCAGTCAGGCAGGAGAAAGAAATAAAGAGTATTCAGTTAGGAAAAGAGGAAGTCAAATTGTCCCTGTTTGCAGATGACATGATTATATATCTAGAAAACTCCATCATCTCAGCCCAGAATCTCCTTAAGCTGATAGGCAACTTCAGCAAAGTCTCAGGATACAAAATCAATGTGCAAAAATCACAAGCATTCTTATACACCAATATCAGACAAACTGAGAGCCAAATCATGAGTGAACTCCCATTCACAATTGCTTCAAAGAGAATAAAATACCTAGGAATGCAACTTATAAGGGACATGAAGGACCTCTTCAAGGAGAACTACAAACCACTGCTCAATGAAATAAAAGAGGATACAAACAAATGGAAGAACGTTCCATGCTCATGGGTAGGAAGAATCAATATCATGAAAATGGCCATACTGCCCAAGGTAATTTATAGATTCAGTGCCATCCCCATCAAGCTACCAATGACTTTCTTCACAGAATTGGAAAAAACTACTTTAAAGTTCATATGGAACCAAAAAAGGCCTGCATTGCCAAGTCAATCCTAAGCCAAAAGAACAAAGCTGGAGGCATCACACTACCTGACTTCAAACTATACTACAAGGCTACAGTAACCAAAACAGCATGGTACTGGTACCAAAATAGAGATATAGACCAATGGAACAGAACAGAGCCCTCAGAAATAATGCTGCATATCTACAACCATCTGATCTTTGACAGACCTGACAAAAACAAGAAATGGGGAAAGGATTCCCTATTTAATAAATGGTGCTGGGAAAACTGGCTAGCCATATGTAGAAAGCTGAAACTGCATCCCTTCCTTACACTTTATGCAAAAATTAATTCAAGATGGATTAAAGACTTAAATGTTAGACCTAAAACCATAAAAACCCTAGAAGAAAACCTAGGCAATACCATTCAGGACATAGGCATGGGCAAGGACTTCATGTTTAAAACACCAAAAGCAATGGCAACAAAAGCGAAAATTGACAAATGGGATCTAATTAAACTAAAGAGCTTCTGCACAGCAAAAGAAACTACCATCAGAGTGAACAGGCAACCTACAGAATGGGAGAAAATTTTCGCAATCTACTCATGTGACAAAGGGCTAATATCCAGAATCTACAATGAACTCAAACAAATATACAAGAAAAAAAAAATCCCATCAACAAGTGGGCGAAGGATATGAACAGACACTTCTCAAAAGAAGACATTTATGCAGCCAAAAGACACATGAAAAAATGCTCATTATCACTGGCCATCAGAGAAATGCAAATCAAAACCACAATGAGATACCATCTCACACCAGTTAGAATGGCGATCATTAAAAAGTCAGGAAACAACAGGTGCTGGAGAGGATGTGGAGAAATAGGAACACTTTTACACTGTTGGTGGGACTGTAAACTAGTTCAACCATTGTGAAAGTCAGTGTGGCGATTCCTCAGGGATCTAGAACTAGAAATACCATTTGACCCAGCCATCCCATTACTGGGTATATACCCAAAGGATTATAAATCATGCTGCTATAAAGACACATGCACACGTATGTTTATTGCAGCACTATTCACAATAGCAAAGACTTGGAACCAAGCCAAATGCCCAAGAATGATAGACTGGATTAAGAAAATGTGGCACATATACACCATGGAATACTATGCAGCCATAAAAAATGATGAGTTCATGTCCTTTGTAGGGACACGGATGAAGCTGGAAACCATCATTCTCAGCAAACTATCGCAAGGACAAAAAAAAACAAACACTGCATGTTCTCACTCATAGGTGGGAATTGAACAATGAGAACACATGGACACAGGAAGGGGAACATAACACACAGGGGCCTGTTGTGGGGTGGGGGGAGGGGGGAGGGATAGCATTAGGAGATATACCTAATGTTAAATGACGAGTTGATGGGTGCAGCACACCAACATGGCACATGTATACATATGTAACTAACCTGCACCTTGTGCACATGTACCCTAAAACTTAAAGTATAATTTAAAAAAAAAGGAAGTAGAAAAAAGATAAGCTAAACCCAAAATAAGCAGAAGGAAGGAAATAAAGATTAGAGCCAAAATAAATAAAATAGAAAATAGAAAAACAATAGAGAAGATCAATGAAAAAAAAATGGGTTCTTTGAAAAGATAAACAAATTGACAAACCTCTAAGTAGATAGATAAAAAGAAAACGAAGACTAAAGTTACCAAAATCAGGAATAAAGGGACGTTACTAATGACCTTAAGAAATAAAAAGGATTAAAATGGAATACTGTGAACAATGAATGCCAAAAATTGGATAACTTAGATGATATGGACAAATTCCTAGAAACATTAACTATCAAAATGGACTCAAGAAGCAAGAACATCTGGAGAGACAAATAACAACTAATGAGATTGAGTTAGTAATCAAAATACTTCCAGCAAAGAGAAGCCCAGGACCAGATTACTTTACTGGTTAATTCTTCCAAATTTTAAAAGAGGAATTAATAGCAATACTTCTCAAACTCTTCCAAAAATCAAAGAAAATATTACTTCCTAACTCATTCTGTGAGGCCATCATTACTCTCATACCAAAAACGGAAAAAGATATTACAAAAAAAGAAAACTGTAAAAGCCCTTGACAAAATAATGACAATATCCAGCAGTATATTAAAGAGGATTATACACCCTGACCAAGTGTTCTTTATCCCAGCAATGCAAGGTTGGTTCAACATATGAAAATGAATTAATACTGTAATACCATATTATTAGAATAAAGGGGAAAAAACCGCATGATCATCTCACTAGACACTGTAAAAGCATTTGGTAAAATCCAGCAGCCATTTATGATTTTAAAAACTAGGAATAAAAGGTAATTTTCTCAATCTAATAAAGGGTACCTATGAAAACCCACAGTTGGCTGGGCACAGTGGCTTATGCCTGTAATCCCAGTACTTTGGGAGGCCAAGGCGGGTGATCAGTTGAGGCCAGGAGTTCAAGACCAGCCTAGGCAACATGCAAAACTCCATCTTTACTAATACAAAAACTAGCCAGGTGTAGTGGCACACACCTGTAATGCCAGCTACTTGGGAGGCTGAGACATGAGAATGACTTGAACCTGCGAGGTGGAGGTTGCAGTGAGCTGATAACACACCACTGCACTCCAGCCTGGGTGACAGAGTGAGACTCTGTCTCAAAACAAACAAACAAACAAACAAAAAAAACAAAAAAAACCCACAGTTTTAACATTATACTTAATGGTGAAGACTGAAAGCTTTCCCCTTAAGATCAGGAACAAGAAAGAATGTCGTTTATCACCATTTCTATTCAACATTTTTCTGCAAGTTCTAGCTAAGACAGACAAGAAAAAAGGAAAGAAAAGGCATCCAGATAGGAAAAAAAGTAAAATGATCTCTATTTGCAGATGATGTGATTTATGTCTAGATTTTTTTAAGAGATAGGGTCTCACTATGTTGCCCAGTCTAGGTTCAGACTTCTGGGCTCAAGTGGTCCTCCCACTTCCAACATCGTGAGTAGCTGGGACTACAGGTGTAGGCCATCACATCCAGCTTATATCTAGAAAACCTTTAAGAATTCACATAAAAACTGTTGGAACTAGTAAATCCAGAAAAGTTGAAGATGCAAGATCAGTATACAAAACTCACTTGCATTTACATATAGTAACAGTAAATTAAAACATTCCATTTATAGCAGCATCAAAAAGAATAAACTATTTAGGAATAAATTTAACCAAGGAGGCACAAGTCTAATACACTGAAAAATACAAAACATTGCTGAAAGAAATTAAAATCTAAATAAATGGAAAGACATACCTTGTTCATGGATTAGAAGTTCTGATACATGCTGCAACTTGGATGAACTTTGAATATTTTATGCTAAGGGAAAGAAGCCGAACATAAAACTTCAACCTAAAAAGACTTCCACACTCAGGCCTGAAAAGTCTCAAGTTTTGTTGAACGGCAGGAACGTGAATACTGGCAGTTTCAAGTTGGTTGTAGAACTGAAACCTCAAGCATAAGTGAAAATTACACAATCACCTAGTTTTTTTTTTTTCTTAAGAAAGAACTTTTTTTATTGAGATATGCCACACAAGATACAATTCAGCCACTTAAAATGTACATTTCAGTGGGTTTTTGTTTTTTTTTTAAGTGTATTCAGAGTTGTATAACCATTACCACAACCAGTTTTAGGCTATTTTTACCACTCCATAAAGAAATCCTATACCCATTAGCATTCATTCTCTATTTACTATAGGCAACCACTAATCTACTTTCTGTCCTATAGATTTCTTTATTATGGACATTTCCTATAAATGGAATCACACAATATGTGGTCCTCTGTGACTGGCTTCTTTCACTTAGCATCATGTTTTTAAGGTTCATCCATGCTGTAGCATATACTAGTACCTCATTCCTTTTTATGGCCAAACAATATTCCATTGTATGGATATGCCACATATTTATCCATTCTTCTGTTCAAGATGGTGTTTGTGTTGCTTACACTTTTGGGGGGGTTATTATAAATGTCACTGTTAAGAACTTTTTTTTTTCGACATGAGGTCTCACTATGTTTCCCAGGCTGGTCTCAAGTGATCTTCCCACCTCAGCCTCCCAAGTAGCTGGATCTACAGGCACATCCCACCATGCCTGGTTTGTTGTAGACATTTGTGTACAACAAATTTTTACATGGACGTATGTAGTTTTCTCATCTTCTTGTCCATCTTCTAGCCTACTACCAAAGTGTTTTTGAAATTGATCTTGTTACTTCTCTTTAAGCTGCTTCATTTGTTTCCCCTTTGTCATTTGGTTAAAGTCCATGATCTTGGCTTGAAGAGGCAAGACCCCATAGTTTATTGAACATTTTAAGCCCACTCCTTGATCTATGAGCTGCAGAATGGATGTTGTATTAGCAGACAGGAAAACAACATTAATCTCCTCGTATCATCATTAGAGCTCCTGGCTGACTGGTTACATTGTCAATGAGCAGTAATATTTTGAAAGGAACAGTGGGCTTAAAATGTTCGATAACTATGCTGTCAACAGATGTGCTGTCATCCAGGCTTTGTTGTTCCATTTATAGAGCACAGGCAGAGTAGATGTAGCATAACTCTTAAGGGCCCTAGGATTGTGGGACTGGTAAATGAGCATTGGCTTCCACTTAAAGTCACCAGCTGCTTAGGCCCTAATGAGAGAGACAGCCTGTCCTTTGAAGCTTTGAAGCCAGGCATTGACTTCTCCTCTGTAGCTATGAAAGTCCTAGATGTCATCTTCTTTTAATAGAAGGCTGTTTTATCCACATTGAAAATTGTTGTTTAGTGTGGCCACCTTCATCAGTGATCTTAGCTAGATCTTCTGGGTAACTTGCTGCAGCTTCTGTATCAGCACTTGCTAGCTTCGCCTTGCACTTATATGTTATGGAGATGGCTTCTTTCCTTCAATATCATGAGCCAACCTCTGCTAGCTTCAAACTTTTCTTCTGCAGCTTCGTCACCAATCTCAGCATTTATAGAATTGAAGAGAGTTAGGGCCTTGCTGTGGATTCAGCTTTGGCTTAAGGGAATGTTGTAGCTGGTTTGATCTTTTATTCAAAGCACGGAAACTTTCTCCATATCAGCAATAAGGCTGTTTTGCTATCTTATCATTTGTATATTCAGTGGTATAGCACTTTTAATTTCCTTCAAGAACTTTTCCTCTGCATTCACAACTTGGCTAACTGGCACAAGTGGCCTAACTTTCAGCCTTTTGGCTTTTGCCGTGCTTTTCTCAATTAGCTTAAGCATTTCTAGATTTTGATTTAAAGTGAAAGATGTGCGAGTCTTCCTTTTACTTGAACACTTAGAGGCCATTGTAGGGTTATTAATTGGCCTAATTTTAATATTTTTATATCTCAAGGAATAGGGAAGCCCAAGGAGAGGGAGAGAGACAGAATGGCTAGTCAGTGGATCATTCAGAACACACAGAACTTTATAGATTAAGTTCACTGTCTTATATGGGCACAGTTCATGGCACCCCAAAACAATTACTATAGTAACATCAAAGACCACTGGTCATACATCACCATAACAGTTATAATAATAATGAGAAAGTTTAAAATATTGCAAGAATTACCAAACTTGACCCAGAGACATTGAAGTGAGCACATACTGTTGGCAAGATGATACCAACAGACTTGTTTGATACAGGATTGCCACAAACCCTCAATTTGTAAAAAACGCAGGATCCATGAAGCACAAGAAGATGAAGTACCATCTGAGGTGTGTCTGTATTTTCTTCCATGCTGTTAGGTGTCTTCATATAACCTAAGTTTTAAATTTTGCTAGACAATAACTTAAATTAAGTAATTTTAGAACATTATAAATTACTTCCCCCTTGAAGGATCGCTTGTGATTAGGAGTTTGAGACCAGCGTTGGCAACATAGTGAGATCTTCTCTCTATTAAAATTTAAAAAAAAAAATAGCCAGGCATGGTAGCAATCCTCCTACCTCAGCCCAGCTACTTGGAGGGCTGAGGCAGGAGGATTACTTGAGCCGGGAAGTTGAGGCTGCTGTGAGCCATTATTGTACCACTGCACTCCTGCCTGGACAACAGAGCAAGACCCTGTCTCCGAGAAAAAAGAAAAAAAAAAATTTACTTCCTCTTGATTATAGAACTTTCCCATGTATCAGGTTGATTAAATGGAGATAATTCAAACATTAAGTCAGTTATTCCATGCCTCTTGGATTCTTCTATGTTTACCTTAATATATAGAGAGAAATATATATACATACAAATAAACTAATAATTTGAAGTTTTTTCCATTTACTTGGTACTTAAAATGCAGGGGGAAATATGATATAGGATGGTTAATCATACATTAGGAAAATTCTTTTTGTACACTTGACAGTCTTGGCTACAAACCCAATTCTCTGCTTTCTCATTTCCTATCGACACTTCTTTGATGATACATATGTATGGCTTGTGGGAGGCAGTTGGCTTTTGTTTCCTGTGAGACAGATATCTATCTGTTCCTTCCCTTTAGAAGCAAAGAGGATACTGGTTCTTTCATTGCAAGATCTGTAAGTTAACATTGGACAGCCTGAAATGCATAATCTTTTGTTTTTGTTTTTGAGACAGAATCTCACTCTGTCACCCAGGCTGGAGTGCAATGGCACAATCTCGGCTCACTGCAGCCTCCATCTCCTGGGATGCATCTCCATCTCCTTCTCCTGCCTCAGCCTCCAGAGTAACTGGGATTACAGGCACCTGCCACCCCGCCCAGCTAATTTTTGTATTCTTAGTGGAGATGGGGTTTCACCATGTTTGCCAGGCTGGTCTTGAACTCCTGACCTCAAGTGACCCACCCTCCTCAGCCTCCCAAAGTGCTGGGATTAAAGGCGTGAGCCACTGCACCTGGTCTGAAATGCATAATCTTTTAAAACTGAAAGCCATATCTAATAGTGTTCTTAATTTGTCAAGAATCGTATGAGAAGTGCCAGTGCCCTTTGCCTGTCTAGCTATAAATGGATGATCATGCCCATCCTTTGGAGCCAGCAGTTTTGGTTCTGTCCTTTGGTCTCTGACTACTCACAGTCTGCAGAAAAGAGCAGGTTGTGACACTTGACTAGTTTATGAGAGCAGAAGCTGTTACGTGACACTTAGCACATACTGCTCCCAGAGGCCCCAGATGGATCATTAATGCTTGGAACGTGCGTGCTTTATGAAGAAGCCGTCTAATCAACGGAGATAGATTCCCTAATACCCATATCATCTTTCGTTAACTCTCTTAAGAGTCACCCTAAAATTACTGTGCTGATCACTGTAATTTCATTAAGCATCCATTACAAAACAAGCCCTTATGAGTTTAGCTTTTATTTAACAAATACATTTTTCTCTTTTAACTTGTGCCCTGCCATTTATCATACATTGAAGCTTTAGAATAGTAGAATATTTGTGTTGAAAACATCTTGGCATTCTGGTTTATTATCAGGTTTACAGATCTGGGACTGAAACCCCCACAAGGATAAATGGCTGCCTCAAGGCTGTTTTGTGAGTCCAGGGCATTATGTAACCAGCTTTCAGTACTATTGCTTTAAGGGTTGGGTCTTCCTTTTTTTCTCTTTTTTAAAAATTAGTGCCTCTGTTTATATACAATTATGTTTTTAATTTAAATATAGGGCTAACTCTAATAATTTTTAAGTGCTTATCATGAGAAGTGGTAATCCAGTTCCCTGCTTCCTTATCTCTAAAATTTCTGCTGTCCAGAGACAACCACTTTTAATTTTTTTAGCCGTTGTCTTTAGGGTTTGATGGTACAAGGTTGATAATACAAGAATAACCAACTGGAATAGGGAAAGTATTTATACTTTCAGTAAACTTTTCTTTGGTTTTAGATTTTATATCTAAGAGCTTGTGTTGCATCACTGTTTTCTTGCCCTGGAAAACCCTAACTGAATGTAATCAGGATGCCCCCAAAGGTTGATTTGAGAGCTTTATTTTGAATGAAAAATCTCAATGTTTTCTGATAAAATGCTAGACCTAGAAATGGATTGGTTAAATCTAAAGAATAATGAAATCACTTAATCTAGTACAAAATAGTTTAAATAAATGAACAAAATATTTTAGTGCTGCCTGAGGTAATTTAATCTCAGATTAACATTGAGAATACAGTTTTATTGGGGGATGTACTTCATTAATATGTGGGCCACTGAAGAAAAGATTGGATATTCCTTACTGGAGATAAGTGGAATTAAAAGAATTAATGGGTTGGACTGGTTTAGCAGGCGTATATTTATGTGTTATGCTTTACTTGAATTCTAAGGTTTTTTTCCTAATATAAAAGCTAATAATTGCCGGGGCGTGGTGGCTCATGCCTGTAATCCCAGCACTTTGGGAGGCCGAGGGAGGCGGATCACGAGATCAGGAGATCGAGACCATCCTGGCTAATATGGTGAAACGCCAGCTCTACTAAAAATACAAAAAATTAGCCAGGCGTGGTGGCAGGCGCCTGTAGTCCCAGCTACTCGGGAGGCTAAGGCAGGAGAATGGCGTGAAACCGGGAGGCAGAGGTTGCAGTGAGCCAAGATCGCACCACTGCACTCCAGTCTGGGCGACAGAGCGAGACTCTGTCTCAAAACAAAACAAAACAAAAAGCTAATAATTTATCAAATAGTAAGTTCTGTGTCAGGTAGTGTGCTGAGTGTTTAAATAGAAGTTAGGAAATAAAAATAGTTTCTATTCTCAGGAAGTTTATAGACTAGTCAGTAAAAAAAAATCAGTAATTAAAACTCAGTAAAGTAAAATTTTTGTTTATGGTTATAAAAGAATATCAGACCAAATCTCTGACGAGACTACTGTAAAAACTGTTTAAAATACAAAAATAAATATCTTTGAAGGCATTGGGGACTAACCAAGGCAGCCAAGTCAAATTTGGCAGGAGCCAAAATTATAGAGAAAAATTCAATTGAGTTGAGCCCATATTTACCCCTGCTTTTTTCCCTTAGGGCGGTGGCTAACTCTTCACATGGGGTAGAGGCCAGACAAAGCAGTGGTCCAGAGTTTGTTTCAGAATCACTGAGTAGCAGGACTAAAATTTGAATTGAGGGATTCTAAGGCAGCCAAGATGTTGAGGGTCCAAGATCCTAGGAAGAAGACAACCTCAAGAGTAATGAGGCCGGGCGCGGTGGCTCCCGCCTGTAATCCCAGCACTTTGAGAGGCCGAGGCAGGCGGATCATGAGGTCAGGAGATCGAGACCATCCTGGCTAACATGGTGAAACCCCGTCTCTACTAAAATACAAAAAATGAGCTGGGTACAGTGACGGGCGACTGTAGTTCCAGCTACTTGGGAGGCTGAGGCAAGAGAATGGCGTGAACCCAGAGGCAGAGGTTGCAGTGAGCCGAGATCATGCCGCCACTGCACTCCAGCCTGGGCAACAGAGCAAGACTCCATCTCAAAAAAAAAAAAAAAAAAAAAAGAGTAATGAACTCAGCCAGCATGGTGGCACCTGTCTGTAGTCCCAGCTACTCAGGAGGCTGAGGCAGGAGGATTGCTTGAGCCCAGCAGTTCGAGGTTACAGTGAGCATTGATCACACCACTGCACTCCAGCCTGGACAACAGAGTGAGACCCCATCTCTTTGGGAAAATAAAGAGAAAGAGGGTAGTAAACTCAACATTTGACTTAGCTTTTGCTGTTAAGGTATTTTTCAAATTCAGAAGGAGAAATTCAGTAGAGAGCTATTACCAAAGACTTAAAAACTTAAGCACAGTTTTTGTTCTTACAGGAGTAGGTAGACAAAAAAATTAGATTTCAAGGCCAGCCAAATGGGAATGACAAAGGGAAATATTCGAGGCCTTCGGTTGAGACCTCAAAAGAATTATGTCCTACAAATAAAGGTTGACCAGAAGTTATCAGCTTTAAATCTAACTTCAAAACTTTGATTGAATGAGGTGATCAGCCCTTATTCTAGTTACCTGCCAGAAGAAACTTAGCCTCTATACTATTTGAAACATAGTATCCTGCATTCCATCAAAATACCAGGCATGACCAGGCACAGTGGCTCATACCTGTAATCCTAGCACTTTGGGAAACCAAGGTGGGAGGATTACTGGAGGCCAAGAGTTCAAGACCAACCTGGCCAACATAGTGAGACCCTGTCTCTATAATTAATTAATTAATTAAAATAGGCATGCCAATAAGCAGGATCAAATGAATGAAAATCAAGAGAAAGAATGAGTAACAAGAAAAGAAGAGGTGATCCAGATATTGGAACCCTTAGATAGGCTTTTAAAATAACCAATTTATGAGTTTAAGGAAACAGATGAAGAGATAGAGAGTTTTACCGGAGAACTGGAATCTGTAAAATAGAATCAAATCAAAATTTTATTTTATTTTTTGATTTTATTTTTTGAGACAGAGTTTCATTCTTCTTGCCTGAGTACAATGGTGCGATCTCGGCTTACTGCAACCTCTGCCTCCCAGGTTCAAGTGATGCTCCTGCCTTAACCTGTTGAGTAGCTGGGATTACAGGCACCCACCACTATTTTTTTTTTTTTTTTTTTTTTTTTTTTTTTTTTTTTTTTAGTAGAGATGGGGTTTTGCCATGTTGTCCAGGCTGGTCTCGAACTCCAGACCTCAGGTGATCCGCCCACCTGGGCCCCCCAAAGTGCTGGGATTACAGGCGTGAGCCACCGTGCCTGGCCCAATGAAAATTTAAGGACTAAAAAATTCATTAGCTTGAGCTAGGAACTCCCATATATGTGTTTCACAACCACTGAACACAGAAAAGACTTGTGAATTAGAGGATTGATCAGTAAGAAATATCCACAGTGAAGCACCGAGAAATGAAAGGATGAAAAAAACATAGTGTAATGGAGACAAGGGACATAATAGAAGGGTTAAGACACATACAATTGGGTTATACCAAAAGAGAGGGCTAGGAGTGTCATAAGTGCTAAAAGTCAAGGACAGTGAAAAAAATATTTAATTGCTAGAGAAAAAAGATACTAGGTTAAGAAGAATAATGGGATCAACAGCCGATTTCTCAATAGGTAACAGAAAGAGGATTTGTCACCAGCAGGCCCATTCTGAAAGAAAAAGGAAGTTCTTGTAGCAGAAAGAAAATAATCCCATAGGGAAACAAAATTTCAGGAAGGAATAAAGAACAGTGGAAGAGTAAATGTGAAAGTAAATATATATGAATATTGACTGCAGTGTAATAAAAATATCTTGTTTAAAGATATATGTAGCTTGAAAATTTAAGATAAAATGGTTTAAAAGTTAGGAGGGGGACAGTAAATGTAATTAAGGTGTTGCAAGGTCTTTGAATTGTTCAGGAGGTTAGGAAATTAATTTGTCATAGACTCTGAATAAGTGAAGGGTTTCACATTGTAAATCTCTAGGGCTACACTCTGCTACAGTTGACGTTGGCTGCATGGAGTTACTGAGAACTTAAAATGTGGCTATTCTGAGTTGAGATGTGCTGTGATTATAAAACACCAGATTTTGAAGACTTTGAAGACTTAATATAGAAAAAGAGAATGTAGGCCGGGTGCGGTGGCTCACGCCTGTAATCCCAGCACTTTGGGAGGCCAAGGTGGGCGGATCATGAGGTCAGGAGATCAAGACCATCCTGGCTAACATAGTGAAACCCCGTCTCAACTAAAAATACAAAAAATTAGGTGGGCACCTGTAGTCCCAGCTACTTGGGAGGCTGAGGCAGGAGAATGGCTGAACCCGGGAGGCAGAGCTTGCAGTGAGCTGAGATCGCGCCACTGAACTCCACCCTGGGGCACAAAGCGAAACTCCGTCTCAAAAAAAAAAAAAAGAAAAAAGAATGTAAACTACCTCATTTAAAAAATTTAAAAAATACTGATTACATGTTGAAATGATCATATTTTTAATATATTTGATAAAATATATATTTTTTGACTTTTTCAGTGTGGCTATAATATTTAAAATCACATATTAGCAAAGTAATAAAAGAATGGAAAATAAGGGGCTAATAGAAGATAAGTAGAATATTAATACTTGATTCATCCAAAATAAGGCAGGAAAGGAGAGAAAAGGAACAAAGAACTAAAGGTATAGTAATAGATGTAAATCCATATATGTAAAAATCACATTATAGGTAAATAGGCTGAATATTCCAGTTAAAAGACAAAGATTTTCATGTTAAAAACAATAGACTCAACCATGATTTGTGTATAAGAGACCCACTTTAAATGGAAAGACTGAAAGTAAAAGAGTTGGAAAAGATGTCCTATGCGAGCACTAACCAAAGGACTGCTGGAAGAGCTATACTAATTTCAAAGCATCATTTCTCAGTAAGAAATATTACTAGAGATTGAGATTGTCCGTAATGATAAAGAATTAAAACAATAACAATAGCCAAGGCACTCTTAGAAAACAACATTGGAAGACTTCATGCTGCCCAGTAAGACTTTAGAGGCACTGAGAGCATATCATAAATTCATATGCATCAGGTAACATAGCCCCAGAGAATATAAAGGAAAACTGATAGAACTAAAAGGCGAAATAGGCATATTTGGAGATTTTAACACGCTTCTCTCATTAACGAATAGAAAAAGCAAATGAAATTTAGTAGAGCTATAGAAGATGTAAGTAATGCTATTAACTACTTTGTCCTGACTGAGCTATAAAACACTGCACCAGACAATAGTGGATTGCACATTCCTTCTAATTGGCCACAGTATATTCATCAGAATTGGCCACATGCACTGTCAAAAGATTTCAATGAATTAAAGTCCTTCAGAGTAAGTTATCAAAATGGAGGGGAAAATGTGATCTAATCAAAGTAGATGAACAAAAGCATTTGATAAAATTTAACTCCTGTTTATTAGTTTCAAAAAAAAAAAAGCCCCACAGAACAAATTTCTAACAAACTGGGAATAAAGGGACTTTTAAAAAGATGATAAAGGGCATCTACAAAAAATATTTATAGTGGACATTAAGCTTAATGGTGACTTATTGAAAGCTTTCTTCCAGAGATGAGGAAAGAGACAAGACCCTGCTCTCATCACTTCTATTCAGTTTTGTATGTAAAGCTCTATTGGGAGGCTGAGGCAGGAGGATCCCCTGAGGCCAAGAGTTTGAGACTTGGCCTGGGCAACATAGTGAGACCCCCGTCCCTACAAAAAATTAAAAAATAAAGTTCTAGTCAGTGCAGTAAGGCAGAAAGAGAGATAAGAGGTATAAAATTGGAAAGAAAGAAATAAAATTGTTTCCAGACATGAGTATGATGTAGGAAATACTAACAAAGATGCATGTAAAATATGAGAGTTAATAGCAAGTGAAAAAATTTTCAGGATCTAATTATTATTATTGTTATTATTATTATTATTATTATTTTGAGACGGAGTCTTGCTCTGTCATCCAGGCTGGAGTGCAGTGGCGCTATCTCAGCTCACTGCAAGCTCCACCTCCCAGGTTCACACCATTCTCCTGCCTCAGCCTCCCAAGTAGCTGGGACTACAGGCGCCCGCCACCACACCCGGCTAATTTTTTTTGTATTGTTAGTAGAGACTGGGTTTACTGTGTTAGCCAGGATGGTCTTAATCTCCTGACCTTGTGATCAGCCCACCTCGGCCTCCTAAAGTGCTGGGATTACAGGCGTGAGCCACTGCACCTGGCCCTCAGGATCTAATTTTTATTAGCATTTAAAAAATAAATTATAGCCAGGCTTTGCTATGTCTGCAGCAGATTAGACACAGAAAGCCTGATTTAAAAAGCTGATAACACCAAGTGTTGGCAAGGAAGCAGAGAAACAAGAACACTTGCACCCTGCTGACAGGGCTCTAAACTGTTCTAGCCAGTTTGGAAAATGTTGGCAGTATCTGCTGAAGTTGAATAGTCTCCATAAGAATCAAAAGCTGGAAACAACCCAAATAATCATTAAGACGTAAATGGATAAATGAATTGTGATATATAAGGTACTACAAAACAAGCAAAAAAAAGAATAAACTGTTGCAACATGCAGCAGCATGGATGAATCTCACACATGTAATATTGAGCAGAAGCAGCCAGATGCACAGGAGTCTAAACTATGATTCCATTTAAATGAAGCCAAAACAGTGGTGAGATTAATCTATTATGATGTCAGAATAGTGGTTATCTTTAGGGGAACTGAGGGATCCTTTCTGGGATTCTGATTCATTCTGTATCTTGATTTGGGGGAGGCGACTACATGGTATATTCACTTTGTGAAAATTCTTTTAGCTGTACTTATCATTTGGGTACTTCATGTATATTGAGCAAAAATTAAGGAAAAAATTTTTTTGGTATTTTCAGGAATGTTGTCGCCCCAATTATCTGTGGTTTTGAGGTTTTTATGTCACATGTTTCTGATATTTTACACTTCTTCATTTATTCCAGATGATTTATTAAGATTCATTAGATTCATTTTCTTTTCTATATAAAACAAATAATTTATAATACTGTATTTGTTTTCTATTACTATTGAAATTACTACAAATGTAGTAGCTAAAACAACACATATTTTTCATCTTAGAATTGTATTGGTTAGAAGTCCAACATGGCTCTTACTGGACTAAAATCAAGGTGTCAGCAGAGCTGTGTTCTTTTCTCAAGCTTTAGGGGAGAATCTATTTCCTTGCCTTTTCCAGCTTATAGAGACAGCCATGTTTCATGGCTTGTAGCCCCTTCCTCCATCTTCAAAGCCAACAACAACTGGTCAAGTTGTCACATTGCATCACTCTGACCATAGGTTATCTGCTTTTAAGGCCTTGTGTGATTTGATTGGGTCCACCTGGACAATTCAGGATCCTCTTCCTGTTCTTAAAATTCTTTTTTTATTATTATTATTATTATACTTTAAGTTTTAGGGTACATGTGCACAACGTGCAGGTTAGTTACATACGTATACATGTGCCATGTTGGTGTGCTGCACCCATCAACTCGTCATTTAACATTAGGTATATCTCCTAATGCTATCCCTCCCCCCTCCCCCCACCCCACAACAGGCCCCTGTGTGTTATGTTCCCCTTCCTGTGTCCATGTGTTCTCATTGTTCAATTCCCACCTATGAGTGAGAACATGCAGTGTTTGTTTTTTTTTTGTCCTTGCGATAGTTTGCTGAGAATGATGGTTTCCAGCTTCATCCGTGTCCCTACAAAGGACATGAACTCATCATTTTTTATGGCTGCATAGTATTCCATGGTGTATATGTGCCACATTTTCTTAATCCAGTCTATCATTGTTGGACATTTGGCTTGGTTCCAAGTCTTTGCTATTGTGAATAGTGCCGCAATAAACATACGTGTGCATGTGTCTTTATAGCAGCATGATTTATAATCCTTTGGGTATATATCCAGTAATGGGATGGCTGGGTCAAATGGTATTTCTAGTTCTAGATCCCTGAGGAATCGCCAAACTGACTTCCACAATGGTTGAACTAGTTTAATCACATCTGCAAACTCTCTTGCCATGTAAATAAACATGTTCATAAGTTCCAGAGATTAAGACATCAACAGCTTATGGGCCTACCACAGATATCTTATAAAAGTTAACTTCTGAGAGTTGAGTTTCTAAGATTTAGTTGTGTTATTTTTTTTACAACTCCCGTACCATACAACTCACCAAGTTGGACAGTTCAGTGGTTTTTAGTATATGCACAGAGTTGTATAATCATCATCACAATGAATTTTAGAATATTCTTACCACCTCACAGCCCTAGGCAGCCACCATGGGTTTGCCTGTCCCAGACATTTCATGTAACTGGAATCATTTGTGGTCTTTTGTCACTGGCATCTTTCATGTACCATATTTTTGAGGTTCTTCCACGTGGCATGTGTTAGTACTTCACTCCTTTCTATAACTGATTTTTTTTTTTTTTTTTTTTTTGGAGACAGAGTTTCACTCTTGTCACCCAGGCTGGAGAGCCAATGGTGCGATCTTGGCTTACTGCAACCTCTGCCTCCTGGGTTCAAGCGATTCTCCTGCTTCAGCCTCCCAAGTAGCTGGGATTACAGGTGCATGCCACCATGGCCGGCTAATGTTTGTATTTTTAGTAGGGACAGGGTTTCACCATGTTGGCCAGGCTGGTCTCAAACTTGACCTCAGGTGATCCACCCACCTCAACCCCCCAAAGTGCTGATTACAGATGTGAGCCACTGTGTCTGGCCAATAATACTTCTTAGTTTGTTGTTTGCCTTTGGTTGATTTGCCCTAAAATGGTAATTTGTGACACTTTTGTCCAGGTTTATATTTGTGTTTGTGGGGGCTTTCGGGTTTTTTTTTTTTTTAGGGAAAGGATCTATCTACCTCTTTGCTCTACTGCAGCCAGAAGTTTCCTAGCATGCGTCATTTTGGGATTCTTTTTTATTTTCCCTACCCTCTTTCCTAAGCAAGGAAAAGAAGTACTTACCTTTATTCTCCCAGAATTGTGTGTCCCCATAGATTGAAGAATCAATAGAGTGAGAACTAGTGAACAGATAAAAATAGCTCAGTCCTTCACAGCTTCCTTTGTAATAATAGAAATAGGAGACAAATAGGAGAAAAAGGAAGTGCTCTTTATAAATTGTATGAAGTATTAAGTATGGTACTTGCTACCTGCACAACCCAGGCATGAGATTAGCACTTGGTGTTAGTCACACCCCCTTAGGCCACTACTCATTGCCACCATTTCAAAGCCTGTGGGTTGAGTAGATTCTTATATAAAGGTGACTTTCCTAACCTAAAGAGATTGGGCCCAAAAGCACAAGTTTCTTCTGATTCTTCCTAGACACTACATACTGGAAAAGACAAGGGAATAGAGACGCTTCCTTTTCACATGTCATCCCTCTTTCCCTTATGTGTCCAGCCTTGAAGGGGAATGTTATTTCTACTCATCCCCTACCCCAACCCTTAAAAAAAAAAAAAAAAGAGGACTTTAGTTTCCTCTCTGGAAAACATTCCAGAATGCCGCTCTTCCCCTGATCCTTCCTTTTCTCACCCTTCCACCTTCCTAGCGTCCTCTCTCCATGATCAGAGTTAGGACTGGGCTAGGGGTGTGTGGCATGAGAAAGGTTAGAGAAAGCTGGGAGTTCTTCCAGTAGACAGAATGCTGTTAAAATAATGCATTAGGAATTCCTCATAGTCCAAGCAGAGCTTAGTTGGTTTAATTTCCTCTTCTATAACTGGAATCTTAGGTCACAGGAATTACTTCCCAGAGTTAAAAAATAAAAAAAGGTGCTGGCAGTAGATAAGAGTTTTGATCTGAATCAAATCTAGGTTGAAAGTCTAAATCTTTTCATTTTACATTGTCACTTGCATGGAAACTAAGTATACAGAAAGATCTTATTGTTTGTAAATATCAGTGTGTTCCAGGGGTTAAAAATACTTGAACAAAGGGGAACAAGAATGGCCAGCCTTGCGTCCCACCCATTCTTTATGTGGACTGTGTCTACTCATAAGTTCTCCACAGTGAAGCAATAAAAACTCCTGGAGTCTAATCATTTTCTGTCCTGATGACAAGGTATCTTCATCCCGAAGGCTCAGCGGTTGGCCAAGAGCTTCACATTTCTTGGAGCCACCGGGGAATAGAAACAGCTTGTATCTCAGGGCTCTTCTTGGGCCTGTGTTCCTTTTTTTTTTTTTTCTTTTCTTTTTTTTTTTTTTTTTTTTTTTTTTGAGTCAGAGTCTCACTCTGTCGCCCAGACTGAAGTGGAGCGATCTCGGCTCACTGCAACCTCTGCCTCCTGGGTTCAAGCGATTCTCCTGCCTCAGCCTCCTGAGTAGCTGGGATTACAGGCGCATGCCAGCAAACCCAGCTAATTTTTTGTATTTTTAGTAGAGACGGGGTTTCACCCTGTTAGCAAGGATGGTCTCAATCTCCTGATCTTGGGATCCGCCCGCCTTGGCCTCCCAAAGTGCTGGGATTACGGGTGTGAGCCACTGCGCCCGGCCGGGCCTGTGTTCTTTACTGCACACAGCAGAGGTTAATTGATGGCTTTTCTGTCCCAGTGAAGTGAAAGAACTCTTTCCTGTTTTCAGGGCATTCCTTTTAATGTCAAACATAGCAGCTGGGAAACAAAGTTTTCCCAGAATCACAGTGTACTTACTGCATTCTGTTTAAACATGATCTTGATAGCTACTATTAACATCTATTTCCAGAAATTTCAGGGCTGTAATTTTAAAAATCAGTTGCTTAGTGCCATTACCATAAATGAGTTTGATCAGTGTGTTTTGTGTGTGGTAGATGAGACTACTCAGTCAAGGCTTTTCTCCCCTGGATGACACAAATTAGATCCTCCCAAACAGGGGAAGGAGTGGAGGCCTTGTATACAGCACCAGTCCTTAAATGCTCATTTCACTCCCCTCACTGTGAGCATTTTTCAGAGCTGCATTCAGGACCGGTACATTTGGATTTGGAAAGAGAATTAGGAATGGTGCCCTGGCGGAGGCATGGTCTGTTGGCAGCAACAGCAGTAGCTTGGATGTACCTGTTGTTACTTCACCAACTAGATGGGCTACTGGCGGTGGGCAGACCTAAGCAGTTTGAATGGAACTCTACAGGGTTGTCTTCCCTTTAGCTCAAGGTTTTGTTCCTTTTTCTTGCATTCTTTTTCCATTTAACTTCCACTAATGACATGGAGAAAACCTGCCGAATGTAATAAAATGGTTTGTTTGCCAATGCTCTTGTTTAGCTTTAAGATAATTGTCTCAGGATGCATTTCCTTAGATAAAATGTGAAATACTTCATGTGAATCAGCACCCACATTCCATTCTCAGAAGTTAGAGGAAGTCAGACTTGAGACAGCCCCTAGAAATCACAAACCCAGGGCTTCCATTTCACATCTGCAAATCAGAAAGGTGCCATGCTTGCCTAAGACCATACAATTGGCTCTCCAAGCTCCCAGCCCCAGGCTCTTTCCACTGAGCTGTCCAGCCTCCACGGCAGTGTCCCAGACTCTTCAGTAAGTTTCCAGTAAGTAGGTATTTTTATTACGAGTAATGCTGAGAAACAGAAATCAGATAAGTAACATTTTCAAGAGCTGCCTAATTATTTTGCTAAAAGCAGAATCATTAAATTCTCTGGGTCAAATAATCTTTATGTATCATCTCAAATAACAGGCACAGTTCTTGACTTCCTTGCATCATGAGAAATCATTGTTTTCTTGTGCTTCATCCACTTTGGATGGGATGACAACATAAGGATGTGGCCTCCACAGACAAGTTGGAGTTCAACAGGTTGATTTCATTAGATACATGATTGCTCTGGATTTTCACAAATGAGTTTAGCCTGAGGTCATTCTGGCAATTTATGGTGACCTCTCCATTTGAGAAGCAGGTTATTTGTAAAGATGCCCTGTTGCTGCCTCATGATAAATGATTATGGGAAGGGTAATTAGCCATTAGACAACATAGGGCGGGAGAGAGAGAAACTAGTTTCCTTTCTGAATGCACTCTTTAGATTCAGTAGAAAAGAGGCTGGTTATCTATAAACACCACCCAAAACTTAATGGCTTAACATAATGACGTCTATTTATATCCTGAGTTTACAGTTTGGGTGGGGCTTAGTGGGGATATCTCATCTCATCTCATCTCCGCTCTACTCAGCTCAGTGCCACTGGAGAGGTGGAACTAGCTGATGGCTCCCTCCCTTACAGGTCTGGTGGCTGTTGGCGGAGACTTTCACTAGACCTGTGGCCAGAGCACTTCTATGTAGCCTCTCCAATATTTGGTCTGCGCTTCCTCAAAATGTGGTGGCCACATTCCAAGGACAGTTGTCGAGAGGGAGAGACAGGCATAAGCCACCCCACCTTTGATGACACAGTCTTGGAAGCCATGCAGCATCTCTTCTACCATACTGTTTGTCAAGGCAGTTACAAGGGGAAGGGAAATAGGCGCCACCTTTTGATGGGGCATAGGAGGCTTCTGAAGAAGATGTGGGGCCAGAAATACTGCTGTGGTCATTTTTGGAAAATTTAATCTGCCACAGAGACTGTTATCTCTTACTTAAGTAATTAGAGAAGCTAATAATGTGACAGTGACCTGACAGAACCTTATGATGCTTTTTTAATGTTGCCTCACAAATGAGAGGGAATCTGGGTAGATGAGGCAATATGAGGGTGAGATTAAGTGGTGGTGTAGGGAAGAATGCTACATGATGTAAGCCAGGTGTGTTTGCAGCTGCAGGACTTTCTAGTGATTCACCTAAGATTTAGCTTATACCCTGGAACACACAAGATGACTTTCTGCCAGTTAGCGTCCACCCAGGATATCTTCCATCAGACATCAGCTTTTGACCAGGGTCCCTTGGACTGTGCCTGGACTGTATCCAGTTCTGCCATGGTTTATACCTGTACTACATTCAGTTAAAAAGCTCTAAAACAGAGAGAGCCTGTGTGGTACCTAAATGTGTTTGTGGCCTTGGGCTTCCTTTTTTTTAATAGTTGCATTGAGGTATAGTTGACATAATAAATTGCGTATAAAGTTTACAACTTGATAACTTTTGACATACATATACATATATGTCACATATATACACCTGTGAAAGCTATCACCACATGATAGACAAACCATCACCATGAACATTTCCTCGTGCCCCTTTGTACTGCCGTCATCCTGCTTCTCCCCCACATTTCCCATCCCCACACAGCCACTGATCTGCTGTTGCTGTATATTGTTTGTATTTGTTATAGTTTTATATAAATAGAATCATAGTGTGTACAATTTTAGGGGAGTTCTGGCTCCTTTCACTTAGCACATTGAGATTCATTCATGTCATTGTGTGTAACCGTAGCTCATTTCCTTTTTTTCCCTGAGTGTTAGTCCATTTTTTGGGTTTACCACAATTATTAAGCCATTCAGCTGCTGATGGACATTTGGGTTGTTTCCAGTTATTGCTTATTGTAAGCAAAACTCCTATGAACGTTCACGTGCAGGTGTTCATATGGTGTCTTAGTCAGTTTGGACTACTGTAACAAAGTACCATAGCCTGGGTGGCTTATAAACAACAGAAATTTATTTCTCACAGGCCTAGAGGCTGGAAGTCTGAGATCAGGATGCCAGCATGGTGGGATTCTTGTGAGGGCATCTTCCAGGTTGCAGACTGCCATCTTGTGTCTTCACATGGTAGACATAAAGAGAATGAGAGAGCTGTCTGGGGTCCCTTTTAAAAGCACACTAATCCCGTTCATGGGGACTCCACCCTCATGACCGCATTACTTCCCAAAGAACCCCACCTCCCTATATTATCACATTGGGGATTAGGATTTCAACATAAGAATTTGGGGAAACAGGAATATTCAGTCCATTGCATATGCATAAGGACATCTGAAAAGTGGACTAGCTGCTGGATCATGTGGTAGGTATAGGTTGAACATTTTCAGAAGCTGCCCAACTGTCTTCCAGACTGGCTCTACCCTGTCACTTTACCACCAGCAGTGAAGGAGAATTCTAGTCCTTCATATCCTTGCCAAGACCATGTGGTCAGCCTCTAGACATTCGGAACGTGTAGTGCTGTTTCCTGGTTTTAATTTTGCAGTTGCCTGATAACTAATGGTGTTAAGCATCTTTCCACATGCTTATTTGCCACCGTATATCTTCTTTGTATTTTTTGTTTTGAGGGATTTTTTGAGACAGGGTCTCACTCTGTCACCCAGGCTGGAGTGCAGTGGTGCAATCATAGCTCACTGCAGCCTTGAACTCCTGGGCTCAATCGACCCTCCCACCTCAGCCTCCAAAGTAGCTGAGACTACAGGCATGCACAACCACACCTGGCTAACTTTTGTGTTTTTGTAGATAGGGTTTCATCATGTTGCCCAGGCTGGTATCAAACTCCTGGGCTCAAGTGATCTGCCTGCCTCAGCCTCCCAAAGTACTAAGATTACAGGCATGAGCCACAGCGCCTGGCCAGAAATTCTTAATTTTAATAACATGCAATTTATACATTTTTTCTTTTATGAAGCATACATGTGTTTGTGTTGTAAATAAAAAATGTTTGCATAACCCAAGATCACAACGATTTTCTCCTGAAAGTATAATTTTTTATACATTTTGGTCTGTACTTCATTTTGAGTTCATTTCCCAATACGATGTGAGGTATGGATTGAGGTGAACTTTTTGGCCTGTGGACTTAAGTTGGGAAGGTTGCATGTGATAGAGTGAAGGATTTAAGAGCACCTTGAAAACAGCCTGGTCACACTGACACATACAAGATGCCCCATAATACCAGAGAGGGACTGAGGGGAAAGGAAGAGGACATGTCTTCTCCAAGGAAGAGATATTTCATCAGGGTCAATGACAGCTGCTCCAGAAAAGACAGAGGAAGAAGAGCAGATTTGTTTAAGAGACATTTTCATGGATTGCAAAGGAAAGGATTTGGGGATCCACACTTTTTATCTCAATACTCTTCAGAGAAAATAATTTTTTTTTCTCTTTTTCAGACAGAATCTTGCTCTGTCTCCCAGGCTGGAGTGCAGTGGCGTGATATCAGCTCACTGGAACCTCTGCCTCCCAGTTTCAAGCAATTCTCGTGCCTCAGCCTCCCAAGAAGCTGGGATCAACAGGCATGCACCACCACGTCTGGCTAATTTTTTTGCATTTTTAATAGAGACAGGGTTTCACCATGTTGGCCAGGCTGGTCTCGAACTCTTGGCCTCAAGCAGTCTATAGTTTGAGAACCCCCTTGGCCTCTCAAAGTGCTGGGATTACAGGTGTGAGCCACCAAGCCTGGCCCAGAGAAAATACGGATTAAAAAAAGGCTTTGATCTTCTTTGGCTAGATGTTAGACCTCAAGTTATCAAGTAAGGCAAGATTCTGCTCTTGGCCTTGGGTGTCAAGTGACAGAGTGATTCTTTGGGTTTATAGCTCCTGCAGGGAACTGTCAGCGGATGCATCTTTGCAATGCTAGCTCTCTCCTTTAGGCATCTAAACTTGTGGAAATTTTTCTTTCAATGCTCTAAACCAGTCATGAAATACATATTTGACACTTGTTGTGCACAACCAGAGAGGTAGTTAAATACAAGGAGGAACAGAATGCAGTCTAGAGTATGACCTTTGCCCTCAAAGAACTTTCTGTGGTTTTTTTTTTTTGTTGTTGTTTTTTGTTTTTGAGACAGGGTCTCACTCTGTCACCCAGGCTGGAGTGCATTGGCTCACTGCAACCTCTGCTTCCCGGGTTCAAGCGATTCTCCTGCATCAGCCTCCTGAGTAGCTGGGATTACAGGCGTCTGCCACCACGCCCAGCTAATTTTTGTATTTTTAGTTGAGACAGAGTTTCACCATGTTGATCAGGCTGGTCTCGAACTCCTGACCTCAGGTAATTCACCCATCTCGGCCTCCCAAAGTGCTGGAATTACAGGTGTGCCACCACCCCCAGCCTCAAAGAACTTTCAAGATTATTTCTGAAACATATTATTATTTCCAGGCCTTTTAAAATTCTGCCATTTCCAGGGAATAATTTAACCTTTTCAACACTCCAGTTTGTGATTAAAAACACTCATTTACTGTACTGCATAGAAGTTGCGTTTCACGTGGCCTCTGTACTTCTGCTGCCATTGTGTCCCTCCATAGGGTCCTCAACACTCTTTATCTGGCTGTACCCTACCCTACTGTGTTTTAATACCAAGGAAACAGCAAGAAAAGCTGGTAACCAACTCGTATGTAAAACAAAACCCAAAAAAATAAGCATGGGGTCAGGAGTGAAGTGCCACGCAGGGCGCTCTGCTTGAACACCAGCTCTTCTCTGGGGTCCTGGTGACGGTCCTGTCGTCACTTTCTTCCAGTGGTGGTATCTTGTTATATTTGGTCCAAAGTAAAGTGTTTTATGGTTCCCTTCATCATTTATTGCACTAAAGGAAAAAGTAAGTAAACTATTGAGCACTGAGTTGAGGGCTCTGGAGAGAAGTACAGGAAGGTGGTGCCACAGGTGTGCACCTTTTTTAGTTGTTTTGCCATTTTCCCTCTGCCAAAACAGTATCTAGTAGGTGTAGAAACGAATACACCGACAGAGTGAAAAGAATGCTTCAGTTCCTTCTGTAAGCAATAAAATAAGTTCATCGTAAGGTGAGCACACTATATTGAGCATCTCTTTCCTGATATCATTTCCTTCCTAAGCTCCTGCAAGACCATGGTGCATTTCATATCCAGGCTGCTGTACTCAGATGGCCTGGATGTCCCAGGTCAGACTAAATGCACTGCCTGTGATTTCAGAAATAGGAAGTGTTGTGCCAGGGAAGACCAGTTGTCCTTTTAGGCTCCCGTTCTGTCTCAGCCGGTGTCAGGTGCTTGGAGGGTGAGGTTGGGTGGGTGATCTTCCTCTGAAATACCAGTACCAAGACAATAATGATGCATTCAGAAAGTGCATAAGGTTTCACCATTGATGCAGTGGTCTAAATCTTTTTGCTTTGTATTAAATTAATAAAATCCTATAGTCTCAGTTTGGTAGCTTATCCTTTTTTATATAAGTTATATTTTTCAAATATTAGTATTTGAATGAGTCCAGATATATACTTTGCCCATCCTGTCTGCTTCATATTTTTTTTAGCAGACCTCATTTTTAGAAGTGAAGCCTGTTTTTTTCTTTCTCTTTAAATTCTCTGGACTTTGTTTCTGGATGGAGTTTTCTTACACCAGTATGTTATTCAGCAAACCTTTGTTTGCCTGAAGAGTGTGCCAGGTTTACCATTCAGCACTTGGTCAAGATTAAGGTCACCCCTTTGGAGCTTGAGAGAGAAGCAGAGTCATGTAAGTGCAGTACATTGCAGTCCACATCCTGGAGACCCTGTGACAGAATTTTCTGTGGCTGCTCACAGAGCCATCAGATCTTCATCTTTGGCCACATGGCAGGATCTCCTGAAATTTGGGGGTACTGGCTAGAGAAAGGGACTCAGGAACCAGCATGGCTGTCTTCTGGTATTCAGAGGCCTCTCCTGGGGCCAAGGGAACACTCTTGTGTTTCACACTTTTGTGTTGTAGAAGGTGGAATCAACACCATCTCAGGGGCAAAGAGCAGGGATCGGGGGAGAAGAGGACAGGATGTGTTGAGCTTCAGCTGGAGGGCCTTACAGATGTCATTTTGTTAAATCTTCATCATTATTTTTTCCATTGTGCATATGAGAAGAGTGAGACTCATACAAGTTAAAAACGATGTGCCCACAGTCCTACAGGCAGTACAAAGTGCCACCAACAATCAAAGTGCAGATCCATGGGACTCTGAAACCTAGGATACTTTGGCCACACCACTCTGCTTTTCCAGTGATCTACAGAGACATGGCTTTCAAATCAGTATAAAGAATTTCCAAGGACTTATAATGGAGGAGGAGTCAGCCTTGAAGCTTCTTCCTGTAACCACAAGGTTCTAGCATAAACTAAAGAGGCCTTTCTCAGAGAAGGCTTCTGAACAGTGTTTCTGTGTAAGTCATGGCTGGTGACACCACTCAGATTCCACCACATTCATCTCTCTGAGCCTGAAGACACAATTGGTGACATTTGTCCTGAGGGTAAATTAAAGAAGGCCCCCCTGGATGTTTTGGAAGGCCTAATTAGTTTCTCCTCAAACAATCCAGTTCCCCTAAAGAGGCCAGGAAAGCTTTTGGGGGTTAGGATGAGGACACGATTCTGCACCGTTACCTCCCTTCCTCCCTCACCCAGTCCCTTCCTCAGAGCATGCACCAGGGCAGATCTTGCTTGAGGATTTCCACGAGGGTCTTTTTCAGTTGAGATTGCATTTTAGTGAGTAATATCCCCTGCCAAAGCTAAACTAAATCTGTGGGAAAAGACAGTAATCATTCCTAAGCTGCTAATAAAACTGCTCACAACATGCTCAGAGTTCATCAGTTAGCTGTGACCCAGCCAGTGGCTCTTGCCTGACACCCATCTCTGCCTGGTGGCAGTTTCCTGAGTTATCAGAAAGCAGACATCATGATTCCTGTGTGCTTCTCCATGAAACGTCTCCCTCTGGAGGGGTTTATGGGGACATTAATCCCTAGCTCTTAGGGTGACATTGGCTGACCAATTATTTTATTCTGAACTGTCCCCTCAAAATAGGTTCATTTGACTAAAAAAAGTTAAAGCGCCGGGCATGGTGGCTCACGCCTGTAATCCCAGCACTTTGGGAGGCCGAGGCGGGTGGATCACGAGGTCAGGAGATCGAGACCATCCTGGCTAACATGGTGAAACTCCATCTTTACTAAAAATACAAAAAATTAGCTGGGCGTGGTGGCGGGCGCTTGTAGTCCCAGCTGCTCAGGAGGCTGAGGCAGGAGAATGGTGTGAACCTGGGAGGCGGAGCTTGTGGTGAGCTGAGATCCGCGCCACTGCACTCCAGCCTGGGCGACAAAGCGAGACTCCATTTCAAAAAAAACAAAAAAAAAAGTTAAAGCATATTAAATCCAAAACATACTATAGATTTTGTTTTTGTGAAGCTTCAATATAGTTGAAGCTATATCTGAGAAGTATGCTTGCTACTTTGAGCATATGGGGCAACGTAGTTGTGGTTAAATATGGCTGCTTCTCCCACAGAATCAGGGATGGCTTCCCTTTCTTGGGAATAGCCATTTACAGAGGATGACATATATCAGGTTCCTTTTGCCATACCAGAGGTACTCAGTTTCAAGCTGACTGATACCCTGCCTCCTACCCTTAGCTGCCTGTTTATTTTTAAGAAATATATCTATTTTTACATTTTTAAAGCAGAGCTGTAATAAATTCTCATAGAATCCATGCTCATGCATCATCTGAGTTTTAATGTAACTTCTCAGTAAACACTCCAGGATAATTTAGTTGTTTATGAGATCCACCTAGTGTATAGAGTTACTGGGCATAAACTGTACTTCAGAACATCTGGCAGCCTCTTTTATTTGAGTAAAACATATGTAACAAAAATTTACCATTTGATCATTTTTAAACATACAATTCGGTAGCATTAAGTGCATTTGCAATGTGTATTCATCACCACTACCTAGTTCCAAAACTAGATCACCCCAAGTGGAAACCACCTACCCATTCATCAGTCAGCTCCTTCTCCTCCCTAGCACTTGGCAACCACTCGTCTACTTTCTGTCTCTGGATTTGACTATGGATATTTCATATAAATAGAATCATACAGTATGTAGCCTTTTGTGTCTAACTTTCACTTACCATAATGTTTCAATACTTACTCATATTGTGGCGTATATTCGTACTTTGTTCCTTTTCATGGCCAAAAAATAATCCATTGTATGGATAGACCATATTTTGTTTATTCATTTGTCAATTGGTGGGCATTTGGGTTGTTTCCACCTTTTGGCTTTTTTGAATAGTGCTGCTGGGAACGTTCCTGTACAGGTATTTGTTTGAACATCTGCTTTCAGTTCTTTGAAGTATAGACAAGGAGTGGGATTGCTGGGCCGTATATTAACTCTGTGTTTAACTTACTGAGGAACTGCCAAACTCTTCCTCAGCAGCGGCATCATTTGCCGTTCCCACCAGCAGTGTCCAAGGATTCCAGTATCTGCATCCTCACCATGTTTTTCTTTTCTTTTAAATAATAGCCATCCTAATGGCTGTGAAGTGTCATCTTCTTGTGGTTTTGATTTGCATTTCCTTAGTGACTAACCGTGTTGAGCCTTCTCATGTGCTTGTTGGCTATTTGTATATCTTTGGGGAAATGTTCTATTTACGTCCTTTGCTCATTTTTATGTTTGGGCAACTGGGTTGTCTTTCTGTTGTTGATCAAGTTCATGTTTGTTTGTTCTTAATGGAAATTTTCAAATATGCACTAAAGTCATGAGAATGGTAAAACAACCCTCCTGTACATAGCCCTAGCGACAAGATATCAGCATAGGGCACTGTCCCCACGCCCACCTGGAGGATTCGGAAGCAAACACCAGCCACTTAATGTCACCACACACTTAGAGCTCACTCCTCCCATTGTGTCATAATCAGTTTGCTTGAATTAAGATCCAAATAGGGTTCTCACATTGTGTTTGGAAGTATGTCTCTTTTAGGTCTCTTTCAGTTCATAAATCTTTTTTTCTTTCAGTTTCTTTTTGAAGGAACGGGATTGATTGTGCATCCTACAGAGTGACCCACAGTTCAGATTCTGTTGGTTCCTTCCCCATCCTGTTGTCCGTGGTGTAAACTGGTAGGCAGAGCTGGAGGGTGGATCTGATTCCAGTTCATGTTTTTGGCAGAAACATCTCAGCTGTGGAGTTCTGTCCATTCGCAGCAGGACTGGCTGCCTCTTTCTGTGATGTCACTGCCTCTGATAACGAGGTCAGTCATTCTGGGTAATTCTGTCACTCCTTCCTTCATTAGGCTTCCTCTTTACAGAGAAACCCCTTTGTCAGCTGTTCAGCTGCCTTGACTATGGTTTGGTCTGGAAAGTTCTATCAGGTGCTTGTTCCTCTCCCTTGATTTTCCAGCACTCAGGTTCACGAGTGGTTTCCAAGCCAGGCTGGGTGTGCCTTTGTAGATATCACCATAAACTCACCGATGTCACATTTTAGATGTACCACCCCATTGTACTTAACACCTAACTTCAGTTTTTCAAATGGTGAGCCTTCCTGTTGGCTGTGGATTCAGATCACCTGGGTACCTTTAAAGAACATTATGCCCTGACTCGTTCACACCACGTGAATGAATGTCTCTGGGGTGGGGCAAGCGTAGGAAAACCCGAAAAATCTTTGCAGTGATTCTAGCGCACAGTGAGGATTGAGGGTCCGTATTAGATCAAGAGCAAAGACATGCAGGGCTTATCTCCAGAGGCTGCCAGCTCCACCTCGGCCGCCTGCCCTACCTCGGCCGCCTGCCCTGCCTCCTTCTTGCTCCCTCTTTACCATGTAAGTACCAACACCTGGGCTCCATGATGAGCCAGGCAAGACTCTCCCTGAAAATGTACTGCTTCCCCTTCCTTCCCCTTCCTTCCCCTTCCTTCCCCTTCCTTCCCCTTCCCTCCCCTTCCCTTCTCTCCCCTCCCCTGACCTGGAGCAGAGATTGGCCCTGCTTCAGGGAGGAGATAAGCACTGTAGTCCCCAGGGCAGCACCCTTAGATCAGCAGCTAGAGGGCCTGGCCAGGTTACCCCACAGGCACCACCGGCCCCAGGCAGGTGCCCATTCATCACTCCCAGGGCATTCTGTGTTTAACAGCCACTACCCAGAGATATCAATCAACAGTCTCGATGGTTTTTTTACTCTCTTTCAGACATTATATCTTCTCCCACCATACTACACAGAAAAGGAACCTCACTCACCTCACTCAGGCTCCCAAACTCTGCCACAGTATAGGGGGGCATCGTGAGCCAGGGTTTTGTTAGTAACTCACTCTTACCTCATGAGGCTGGGCTGTGATCCCCAGCAGGTTTCATTCTGAGTGCACTGGGTTGCAGCTTAACAGTGTGGTGTCCTTGTGAAGCTGGAGGACCAGTGAGGACCACCTCTGCCTGAAGGTGGACCTGGGGACAGCGCTCTGCACGGCTCAGACAGGCATGAGGAAGTGGATGCTTGCATGTGTCAGCAGAGAGATGAATCAGAGCCCTTGGCTTCTTGCCCTGTGTCCATAAAAGTGGCATTTCCTTAAATAGACCAGAACCTTAATAGCTATTTAAAGAGCATGTGGTATTTGGGAGTATATTTTATGGCCCTTAATTAAACTTCAAACAAATTAAAACATTTAGAGATCTTTTATGACATATTTTTAATCTTTTTTGTGGAGATTTGTATAATCTCTTGGCTTTCACATCCCACCCTAAGGCCACAGACAGAAGGCAGGGTCACATCTACAGTTGGGGTTTCCATCCTTGGTCAAGAAGCAGTGAGTGGAAACCACCCAGCCAGTCCCTTGGAGGGGTGAGGCTGTCAGGAGTCTTTATGAGGGTAGAAAGGACAGCAAATGGCACTGTGAAACAGGCCCTGTCTGTCCCCTGTCACATCTCTTAGTTGACATTTCCTGGATGAAGGATGTGTGCCCTTAGGAGAAAATGGGGCAGAGCTTCTCATTCGAGTCTGTGCAGAGGCCGTTTTGAAAGTTTCTTCTGGCACATGTCATCTCTCTTGTTTTGTCGACCCTAATCCAAACATGGAATTATCTCGTAGAGTAGAAAAGCTCTAAATTGACCTGAAAAAAACTAAGTGCAAAATCTGAATTCATCGGTAAGAAACTTGCATTATAATTAGTAAGTAATATGTTTTCTATGTCTCTATTATTTTAAAAAAGTTAATTTTTTTCTTCTTAGATTGCCACCATTGCCTGTGAATAGTGAACAATAGAAATTCCTTCCGTTAATGTGCATTTTCCCCTCAAATAAGTGTGAGTTTTGGCTTTGAGAATAGCTTACTTTAAAGGGCTCTGCTGGCCTCCATCAGAAGCTGTCTCTGTAGGAATCAGGACATGAGTGCAGAGTGGAAGGCCCTTGGCCCTCCAGCCCCTCCGCTCTTCAGCAAAGTGTAAATGGCCTTCCCTCAGAGGGAAACCCCTGGAAGATAAGGACTTTCCTTATGCACTGAAAACGCCACTTTTACTAAATAGAAATGCTATTTCTAGGCAAGGTCTGTGAAATAAACTCGTAAGAAGGGATATCTGTGAAAGTTGTAACACTATTATGGCTCATCTAATTTCATGCTTTTCTGGCTTCTGAAAATTTCATTTGCGAGGCATACGGCCAGAGTCCCAGCTACTTGAGCAGCTGAGGCAGGAGGAACCCTTCAGCCCAGGAGTTCAAGCCCAGCTTGGGCAACATAGTGAGAGACTCCCTCCCTTTTTTAAAAGCACACAAACCTGATTTGTGGTTGCTCTTCCCTTTATTCGCCATTGCTCCTGTTGCTTCATGGCAACTCATATGTTTCTAACTGCAGGAGATTGGAAGTCCTTGTGGCCTCTCCACATCACTGCTGCATTGACCACTCTGTCCTGTTTTAAACACACTCTTCCTTTGCCTTCTGGTTTCTTTCCCCCAACCCCCAGCCCTTCCCTGTGTTCCATTAAAGGCTGTTCTCCTCAGCATGGCCATTACTTGTTGGAGTGCTGAGGGGCTGGATCCGAGGCCTCCTTCTTGCTTATGGCCCACTGTGACCATCCCTAGGGGATCCCATACAGGACTCCGATGATGCCGCACTTTCTGTCTCTCCGCACTGCTCTCCTGACTCACGTGTCAGCACCACCAAGCACCTTTGGGTATCTCCAAGGTATCTTGAACTTAAGGTGACAAAAACACACCCCTCATCTGCTCAGTGCCCACCTTCCTCCAGGGAGCTCTGCCTCTGTGAAGGCCACCACCAGCGTCTGGTTCTGCCCACAGAAGCCAAGGCCCATCCGGAGCACTGCATGCGCTCTCCCTCCTCATAGCCAGTCTGTTGCCAAGTCTAGTCTGCTTTAGCTGCCAAGTATCTCTGGAGCCCTACATCTCCCACCCACCACTCCAGCCCAACTTGATACGGACCTCTGCAGCCACTGACCAGCCGGCCTCTGACTGCCCTCCCCCTGCTCCTGGCTGTTCTGACCCCAGTCCAGCCACTCTTCCCTTTAAACCTCCTTGAGCCCTGGCCCATGTCAAGTCCGTGTGTCAGCCCTGTCCAGCAAGATGCCCGCCCACCCATGAAACCCCAGGTGAGGACTCGCTGAGTGTGCAAATGAATCCTCAAAAAGAGCAGCCCATCCCCAGGCCCTCTGCCCTTTCCCACAGGCTGTCCCTAGATGTGTGGCCATGGCCACGTCCACCTGTGGATTCCATGCTGGGGCCACAGATTTTAGGGTGTCACTGTGTCTCCTGCTCTCCAACATGGAGGTTCCCCATTACTGTTAGTGGAAGAACACAACTCCAGGCCCTTCATTTTTCTGTTTGTATGCCAATCCTGATAAGATCTTTGCAGGCCTGCAGAAAACAAATCCACACACTGGTGGCCCCGGCCCTCCTGCTGGGGTGGAAAGCTCTGCCTTGTGGCATCCAAATGGCTTTGAAACAAGTTATTGTAGAGCATGCTTCCTACCGTTGTGTTTTGAGTGAGAACTTCCAGCAGCTGGGATTTCGAGCTAGTTTGTTATCTGAGTTCCTCATCCAAACCCCCTTAGAGAGAAGGGGAGAAGGAGGGAAGGAAGGAACCACACACCAGGGCACGTGGTATTGCTCCATGTGCAGCAACACATGGAGCAGTGGAGGCAGGTGGAGGTTTACAGGTCACATGAATATGATGAGGGTCAGCAGAATTGCGGCCACGTCCCCAGGAGCAGGGCTCCAGGTAGGAGCAGCCTAGGGACTTTCTCGGTGATTCTGTTGCGTGTTGGTGTCCTGGTTTGGATTCATGCCATCTGCAACACAGCAGCCATCTCCTCTACAGTAAGCAAACTAAACCCTAAAAATACCTTACAGGCTGGGCACGGTAGCTCACACCTGTAATCCCAACATTTTGGGAGGCTGAGGTGGACAGATCACCTGAGGTCAGGAGTTCGAGACCAGCCTGACCAACATGGTGAAACCTCATCTCTACTAAAAACACAAAAATTAGCCGGGCATGGTGGCGGGTGCTTACAATCCCAGCTACTCAGGAGGCTGATGCAGAGAATTGCTTGAACCCAGGAGGCGGAGCTTGCAGTGATTCGAGATTGCGCCACAGCACTCCAGCCTGGGCAACAGAGCGAGACTCTGCCTCAAAAAAAAAAAAAAAGTACTTTACATATGTAAAGCACATTACAGTTTCAGTAGGGGTCGAAGACTCGTCATCTTGTGTGGGCTGGGATTTCACTGAAGTCCAAGACAGCCAGGGTAGTGTGCCCAGGAAGTGTCAAACCTGGCTCAGACCCCTGTCCGCAAGCTTCATACTGGTGGTGGTGAGTTGTTTTTATCCAAGACATAAAAGCTTTAGCTTTTTTCCTCAATTGCCAAGAACATCCAGGGTGATTTTAGCCCTCCTGGGAAGGTAGGGATCATAAGTTCCAGGGGCCACCAATCCGCAGGCAGATTCACCTGTTGCCACCTTAGAAAGCAACAGAAAGTTTAGTTCCAGACCTCATGCAGATGGGGACAGAGCACCAGGCTGCTCCCAGGCTCTTCTGTGGGGTCCAGGCATGGAGCAGAGGCATGAGGGGCAGATGGCAAAAGGCAGGTCTGGGGGCCGCCTGCAGACACTTGATGAGGGCCCCAGGATCAGGGGAGGAGTGCTCAGCAGGCAGTAGGGAAGACAGGGCATGAACCCTTGCCCCAGGCATCCTGCGAGCAGTACCTCACTGTCATTCTCACAGTCATCCAGAGCAGTCTGGAAGGAGGCTGAGGCTCCAAGAGGCCAAGCACAGAGCTGGTCTGTGGGATCATTCTCCTCTCCCTGTGCTCCCCTGGCAGCCTGGAGCCCACTGTGGTCTGGGTTTGGGGATAGCTGGCGGGTTGTGTGCATGGTGGCGGCTGGCAGGTAGGGGGTGGAGAAGGCCTCACTGGGTGCTGGTCACACCTGCAGAGCAAAGGTCTTGACTGAGTGAGGAAGGGAGAAGCCATTTCTCTGGTGATTCCATGCGATTTTGTGTCGTTTCATGTGTTTCCTCTCCAAGATACTGATCCCGTCATAATATTAACGGGCCGTGGTGGCCGTGTGGAGGGGAGCTCCCCGCCTTCCTGCCTGGTGTTCTTGCACCGTGCCTTCCGAGAACCCAGCTTCGTTGTTCTTATAATTTAGTCAATATGACTTCATTAGCAGTTAGAGTTTTCAGCCTGGAACATTTCAAACCATGCAACAGCCAGTGACGTTGGGAGCAGAGGGCTGCGGGCTTCTTCCTCACTTCCCTGGAGGAACCCCTTTTTCAGAGCCCGGCTCATTCTCCCAACATGATCTCTGTGGATGGGGGAGGAAGCAGAGCAGCCAGTGGGCGCTCAAGCTTCACTTGGGCTCCCTACTTTCTGCCTCCAGCTTATCACATAGGGTGCCTTGGAGCCACGTGCAGCAGTCTGGCCTGGCTGCTCTCCAAACCTCCAAGGGTTAAGGGAGGTAGGGCCCCCAGCTAGCCTTCTTTTGGGCTTTACTTGTATTGATAGGAAATTTCGTTGTCAGGTACTCAAATGTGAACTTCCTCAGCCTGGAACTGAAGAAGCCATTGTTTTCTTCCCGGTTCAGGTCACTGTGGCATGCTTTGTAAAAGAAGTCTCTCTTCCCGGAGGTTCCAGGTGGGGCGGGGGTGCTGGAGCAGCAGCTTCTTCCCTGGCGGGGTGTTGGGTTTATCTTGAGGAAGCGGAGGGGGAAGGCTGGGGTTCCCACAGCCAGGCGGATGGGACACAGGAGCCTCTGCCTCGAGGCGCTGTGCAGTGGTGAGGCCAGGCACGTCCACGACCCTGCCAGAGCTGCCTGCGTTTCAGGGAGCAGAAGGGGCGGCTGCGGCAGGAAGTGAAGGTTTGTTTTCCTCCAGAAGTGAATGTGACCTCTGAGGGCCAGGCGTTGCCATTGGCCTCACACAGAGCTCCACACGTTATTAAGAAGCTTCCTGGCCCCCTCTCCCTGCAAGGATGCCTCTTTCATCAAGCACTTAGTCCCTTAGACCTGGCTCTTTTTTTTAGTACCTTTAATAGACTTTTTCCTCTGCATTTTGGACAAGGGGACCTTGCATTTTCATTTTGTAGTGGGCCCTGCAAATTACGGAGCAAGTGAGTCCTGGCCCATTCTTCATTTGTCTTGCATACTTCATTCCTGCCTCTTCTCTGTACCCTAATCCTAGACTTACTTCACTGTGGAAAGGTGCACAGGGCATTAGGAAATCTTACCTAGACAACTAAAGGAAAGCAGGCCCATCCTCCTATGATACACCTCACTTTGAATGATCCCAGAGACCAGCTGTGTGGCCTGGGTGAGTGTCTTGGCCTCTCGGAGCCTCACCCTCCTTCCAGACTGCTGCGGGTGGCTGTGAGAGTGAAAGTGAGTACTGCTCACAGGATGCCTAGGGCAAGGGTTCCTGTCCTGTCCTGTCTTCTCTGCCACCTGCCTAGCACTCCTCCCTGGTCCTAGTTTCCTCCCTAAAGAGCTGCTTTCTGAGATTCCAATGAGATCAAAGAGATGAGATTGCATGCGTGTGCGTGTGTTCAGGGGTCTTCAGTCAGCAGTAACTGTCAAGCCCTGTTTGCCACAAGGCACCTTCTTCATTAGGTCATCAGAACCCTTTATGGAGTGGTAACTGTTAAATCATGGCCAGAGCAGAGAGCCGCATGGAGGGCGGGCCAGGCCTCTTGGGAATGTAGCAGGTCTTACCCTCAGGACTGCATCTTCGTGGCCAGAAAGTGTGAGGACTACAGACTGAGGCAGAGAGGATTCTCACCTGGCCTAGGTATTTGGGGAGGACTGACATCAGTGGATGCCTGGTGGCACACATTTAGGTAGCCAGGTCAGACTGTCGGCACACCAGCCACCAGAGGCTTGCTGCCACCTTCCCCTGCGACTCTTGGCAGGTTTGCGTTTCCTCGTTCCTTAATCTGGTCACTTTCCTCACAGCAGTTTATAACAATATCTCTGGGTCATATCAGAGAAGCTGGAAGCAGCAGATGTTCAGGTTAATGAGAGGAAATGGCCTGTGAAAGTAACTCTTGGGTCTGCTGTCCTTTGGAAGGCTCATGCTTTGCACAGACACTGGAACGTTCTGGGCACGTGCAGTCAGAAGCCAGACAATACATTCTGATGATGCAGGTGATGAGAAGTCAGCCTCGTGATCCTCCACGTGGTCTGCTGCTGTGTAAGGACACCTGCCTAGAGCTGTGAGGCTGGACTGACGGTCTCCCTCGCAGGGGCGGCCTGCCCAGCCTGCTTTACTTGGGTCCTTGCTGGTTGGACACATCCTTGCAGCTCTGAGCCTGGGTTCCCATGGCCCCCACCTGCCCTTGTCTCTGAGCCAGGTCCCTGACTTGGTGTTAGGTCCTAACAGTATATAAAGAGGGGTCAGGATTCGTAAAGTGCTTTGTAAACTTTGTAAGATTCTGTACAGATATAGTTAATAATATAATGATAATAATAGTGTTAACATCATTCTGTGAATCACTCATTCCTGGGAGGAGTATAAAGTGCTCCCCAGGAGCTGGACGGTTTGCATTGAATAATAAAATTTGGGCTTTCTCAGTCCTAAAATAATAAAATTTTAGGAAGCTGGCTCTTGGTGCAGTTGAAGGTGGCGTGAAATAATGAAAGTGGGACATGGTGGTGGGGAGGTGTTCTTGTTCAGCTTGTGGTGTCTGCATAAAGTGTGAATTAGGAAAATTGAAATGTGTAGATTCATCTTCATAAGGACTGTTGCAAATAAGGGTAACGGCTACATACCAGCTGAATTGCAGAATATTTTATATGATAAAATACTCTGGGCCAGGTAAGGTGGATCACACCTGTAATCCCAGCACTTTGGGAGGCTGAGGTGGGAGGATTGCTTCAGCCCAGGAGTTCAAGGCTGCAGTGAGCTATGATTGTGCCACTGCACTCCAGCCTGGAGACAAAGTGAGATCCTGTCTCTTTAAAAAGTAATAATAAAAAATGAATTATATATTCCTTTTATAGTTACAAATACTTTAAAATATGGAATAAGGTGCCCCTTAAAAGAAAGTCAAGGCTGGGTACAGTGGCTCTTGCATGTAATTTCACTGCTTTGGAGGCTGAGGTGACATCGCTTGAGCTCAGGAGTTTCAGACCAGCCTGGGCGACATAGCGAAACCTCATCTCTACAAAAAAACAAACAAAATTAGCTGGACGTGGTAGCACGTACCAGCCTGTAGTCCCAGCTACTCAGGAGGCTGAGGTAGGATTGCTTAACCCCAGGAGGCCGTCAAGGCCGCAGTGAGTCAACTCCACTCCAGCTTGGGTGACAGAGAGACCCTGTCTCAAAAAATTTTAAAAAGTTGAGGTGGTTCACCAAGAGGTGGCATGGAGAGCACATAGCCGGCCTTAATCGGCTCCTAATGCAAGATGGGGGCTGTCAGATGATGACACCTTCAAGTTACAGAGGTGTTTTGGTTTGTGGTTTGTGTGTTTTTTCGGAGATGGGGGGGATCTCACTGTGTTGGCAGGCTGGGGTGTAATGGCTGTTCACAGGCACAGTCATACCATGCTGCAGCCCTGAACTCCTGGGCTCAAGGGATCCTCCCGCCTCAGCCTCCTGAGTAGCTGGGACCACAGGCGCATGCCTGGCAGCAAATTGCAGAGGTTTTTGATGGACTGCAAGTCTTAGCTTAGAGTCCCTGATCTGGGAGGTCAGGCTGAGTCATAACTTTTCTTAACAGAACAGCCCTGCCCCACTCCTGTGCCCCATGCTTCTTTCTCCCTGGCAGAGTTGAGGCTACAGCCTGCAGGGCTGAGGAGCCCTGTACTCATCCCACCTCCCCACACCAGACACTAAAAAGACCAATGCACAGAGGATCGAGGCATTTAATCAGACCACTAAATTGCCTCATCAAAGACATCTTTAAGCGAAACCTGTATTTTCAGATTACTTTTTTTTAACCACAAGTTTGTGGTGGGGTACACTATAGCAATCTCCAGTACATGTGGTGCGTGGCCTGGACCAATGCTCAGGGGGCCACGTTGTTGCTCTCCTTGGCTTCTCACCATCCATCAGAGCAGGTGTCATTACAGTGAAAAGGGCAGAAGGTATCTTCATGTGTGGGCGCACTTTGAGATACACCCTGACTTGGAGGATCTTTGACATGCTTCAACAACCAATGGAGAATGAGTTGCATTTTAATACATGGTGCTTTAAAGGTCATTGATTACCGGCCAGGTGCGGTGGCTCACACCTATAATCCCAGCACTTCGGGAGGCCAAGGCGGGTGGATCACAAGGTCAAGAGATTGAGACCATCCTAGCTTACAGTGAAACCCTGTCTCTACTGAAAATACAAAAAAAAATAGCCGGGTGTGGTGGCACATGCCTGTAGTCCCAGCTACTCGGGAGGCTGAAGCAGGAGAAATCACTTGAACCCGGGAGGTAGAGGTTGTAGTGAGCCGAGATCATGCCACTGCACTCCAACCTGGTGACAGAGTGAGACTCCATCTCAAACAAACAAACCAAAAAAAACAAAAAACAAAAAAGGGGGGGTCATTGATTACCACCCACATCCTCTGGTCTGTACTGTCACCCCAACAGGTCATGGTAGAGGCCAGCTTCAGCAGCCTAGGGTCCTCTCTTTGTATGCAACAGCTAGTAAGTCAGCAAGACGCCACGTGTTATACCAGGCCCAGGCGTGACCACGTAGGGGCAGCCATCTACAGCTGGTGGGTGGGACGGGTTGGGGAGTCATAGATACCAGGTAGCCCTTGGACACAGCCGCCCTGCCCTGGTTTTGGTTTTGTGTTTTGGAGGCCATGCAGCATCTGAGGCCTCCTGCGTCCTCCTTGGCATCTCCTAAGAGGGTCCCAGCATGTGTTGGTTACATGTTTTTCTTCCTTTCCTTCAGAATATTGACATTACAAACTTCAGCAGCAGCTGGAATGATGGGCTGGCCTTCTGTGCCCTCCTGCATACATATCTCCCTGCCCACATTCCATATCAAGAACTGAACAGCCAGGATAAGGTAGGCCATGGAGGGCCAGCTCCTGGCACCCACCTCACAGGGTTGGAGGGCTGAGAACCAAGGGCAGCACCTGCCTCAGCAGGTCACATGCCACAGCGCTGGCTTGCGATTGCCTCGTGCCATCTGGGTCTTCTGGGATCAGGTCATTCATGCTGAGCCCACCAGTCCCTGTCCCACCTTGTGTGGAGTATTTGGTTGGTTCAGAATTCCCCAAGTGATATCATTCCTAGTGGGAGCAGCCAGTCCTTCCTGAGTGACTACATTTAGGATGAAGAGCTTCACCAGGAGGGGCCCAAGAAGCTCCGTGAAGGCAGGAGTAGTCAGGCAGTGCTGACCAGGCCAGGCCAGCCTCCTGCCACCTTGAGGAGGGCTGTCACTCCATAGCCCATTCTGCACTGTGGGCCTTAGAACTGGCAAGAAACACCAACCCTGTGCACTCCAGGGCATGGTTTAATGTTTCATCCAGATAGTTCCTTGGGGACAGGGTCAGGGAAGAAGCCCTACCCAGAGGGCCACTGGAGAGGATCCAGGCCCGCAGCCCCCACCCCAGTCCCCTGCTTCCCCCATGTCAGCCCCCAGCCCTGCAGACAACCCTCGAAGATCCCTGTGGGGGAAGCTCATTTGATGAGTGTTCCTAACTAGCTTTTGGGGGTGCGTGTTCAGGTGCCACAGCATTGGTGCGGCAGAAGTAGGATTCTTCAGGAGTGAGGAAAGAACGGGTGTTGGTGGGTCACTGCAGCAGGTCAGGAGGGGAGGGTGGCCGGGCCTAGTGCAGGGTACTTGGTGCAGATGCAGAAGCTCAGGCTCCCAGCATAGGTTTGTTGTGGCACCAGGTAGAGGTGAGTGTCGTCCTTCAGATGCATCTGTCCCAGGCAGTTGTGGAGGCCACGTGACTTTCTCTGTGCCTTGTTCATGCACTGCAGTGACACAGTTTCTTTTACAGAGAAGGAACTTCATGCTGGCTTTCCAGGCAGCTGAAAGTGTCGGCATCAAATCCACACTGGTGAGCCCTTGTCCCCCTGAGTCACTGGCAGGGCCCTCCTTCTGGTTAAGAAGAGTTCAGTCCTGTTTAAGCTGAATCCTCGTGGGCATGGGGTAGTGTGGCTGCCTGGTAAAAGGCAGCTATGGGGTGCTCTGGGGCCAAGGGAGGGTCCCGTCAAGGGTGGGTGCAGATGTGGGATCTTGTGTCCTGGCCCCCAGCACTTTTATCTCACGTGAAACACCCTAAGGATGCCCCCTGAAAGGGTGGGAGGCCTGAGACCATGGGCCCAGCCAACCTTCCCTGGGACGGCTCTTTGCAGTCATCTCTTCCATAAGGGAGTCCCTCAGGTTAAAAGAAAAATGTCATATGTTTATAAATCTCGCTGTCAAAAACACCACACCAGCAGGTCCATCTGCCTTGTTCATCTAGAGCGAGAGGGCAAGGCAGCTCTCAGCCAAGGCAGGCGGCTTTAGAGGCTGGACCGGGGAGGCTCCTGCACTTCCTCGTGATGGTGTGGGTAGCCGCCACTCACAGGACAGAAGTGTGGAAACCCGGCGTGTTCTCAGGTTCTTTAGGCCTCTCACGCTTCTACCTTGCCGAGCCCAACTTTCCGGGAGAAAACATAGCGTCCAAATCCAAAGCCAAAACTTCTACACCCAGAGACGCTTTTATTAAGTGAACTGAGTGCCGCAGCCTCACATGGGACACACAGACCATCGGGATTTTCAGAAAGGGCGGAGAGCCCACAGGCCAGTCCAAGCCCCAAACAGTCCTAGATCTGGGGCCCTCCAGGGTCACCTCCCCATCCCCGTGCCCCCAGCCTAACTTGTAGCAGCTGGAGGTGCTGTGAAGAAGTGTTTACGCCCATGTTCACTCATTAGAGTCTTCATGCCACAGGTGCATCTAAATCCCTAGAAATGTGCATTTTTTAGGGTGGCCTCTGTTCACCTGTACAGGGAAAAATAAGTTAAATATTCCCCCATTCCTGGATATTTTACAACACGTGTAAAGTTCCAATATATAAAAAAAGCAGGCCTTTTTCCCACCCTCAAAAGCTTCTATAGTCAAGATTCTTGCATTGAACAGGCAGGTTTTCGTTTTCTGCATCAAGTCACCAAGGGCGCCCTCCTGATCCTGCGTGCTCAGCCACACGTCCTGTGCTCGTCACCCATGGGAAGGGAAGGATCTCTCAGGCCGGCCCCTTGGGTCACTCCCCGAGCCTTCAGCAGCAGCAGTGTGTCACTTTTTGAGGCCTTCTGTCTCGTGTTAAAGGCTGTGAGACACTGGAGTGAGGTGGGGGTGGGTCCACGGTTTCCCAAGTTTATTTTCCTAGAACATCAGTTCACCGGTCACAGGTCACTGGCGTTCAGCAGAGCACAGTTACAGAGCAGAGTCTTGGATGATTTCAGACTGTTGCCCATGGTGAAGGCCGTCAGAGTGTTGGTTCTGGGAGCCCCCGACAGAGAGAAATTCTCCTAGGCCAGTGCCTGGGGCTGAGAAGGGCTCTCAGAAGGGTCCCCCAAGGAGTGGTTTAAGAAGAGAGGCAGGCGCGGGGAGGAGGGAGGAAGTTCCTCCGCCCAGACTGGATGAAACCCTTCCCATCCTGCAGAGCCGTGAGCAGGGAGGCACCTTGCCTGTGGCTCTGGGGCAGGGGTGGATGGCCTGGGGACGATGCTGATGCCCAGGGAGGAAGCATTCTTGGCCAGGCTTTAAAAATGTGTAATTAGGCCTAGAAAATATTTCAAGGCCCCATCCAACTCCAAGAGCCCATGTTGCTATGGCAGAGCCCATTGGCACAGCCTGGAGGTGACCTGCAGTTCTAACCAAGCGTCTTCCTTGTCTGTCAGGACATTAATGAAATGGTACGGACTGAACGACCCGACTGGCAGAACGTGATGCTGTATGTGACGGCGATCTACAAGTACTTTGAGACCTGAGCATGCCGGGAGGAGCCGCCCCAATAGCGGGGGTACCCCTCCACAGCGACCGAGCGACACCGACGCCATTAGCTACGCACCCCTGTAAAGCTTCCAGCAACTCTGGGCTGCCCCACAGCGTGTGAGCCTCCAGCTCGGGGCTTCCGTATTGGAAGAACTCAGCCGTGTGGCCCACAGCTCCCACCAGGGCCCCTCCCACATGACCCGTCCATTCAGGTCATGTGGGCTCAGCACACATCCTGCAGGCCGGTGGCTGCTGGAGTTTTCCTTCTGAAGAGAATATTGAACTACACTAGTGCTCCAGGGCACCAAACAAAAAGGGCTCATGCACAGCTGAATTTGGGAAAAGGGATTCAGTTCTGTGGGAAACTCACTAGGGTTGATGAAGGCTCGGCCGCGGCACTTCCTGACTATTGGCTGGGGTGGGTTCCGGTGCTGGTGAGAACCCAGAAGGAGAGTCAGCGCCTGGCAGTTCCCAGCGCCCTGGGCCCTTCACCGTCCTAGTTTGGAGGAGCATGTTCACCACAGACGTGGGTCAGCTGCCCCACACCTGACGGGGCTGTCCCGGCCGACACAATCCAGGCGTGTTCAGCCTGAGCTAGGAGAGTATCTAGAGGGCGTGGTGCGGGCACGCCAGGGCTGGGGTGCTGCTGCTGCACTCACGCGGCTGGGCTTTCTGGCGGGAAGCAGTTACGGGGGCCCCTTGCCTGGACTCAGCGACCTGTCTTCCAGCCTGGAAGGGGTTTGGAGTCCCAGCTCTGGCTTTAGATTTCTTCATCATAAGGAGTTTTTCTAGTTAACATTTTTGTTTTGTTACGAGCAATGCTGGAAAAGGTCGCTCCTGTTCTGTTAGTACCAAAGTTACATTGTTTCAATAAGCATAGAAATCTAAACAACATCTGTACATTAGCATGGTGAGAGCAAGGAATAAAGCAGGAAATAGGAGAAAAGTAAACAACTTTAGGGAGCCCAGGCAGTGTCATTTAAACTCACTGAGTCACTAAGACATAATTCTCCTAGGCCAGAGTTAAAGAAAGTGCCTTAACTCTTCTTGTGAGGGCAGCCACTGCCCTCCGTGGCCAAGGCAGGACCTCCAAGACTCAGTGGTTGAGTTGTCTCCTACCACCATGCCCGCCCTCCCCAGGTACTGGGTCCATGCCCCCTGTGCCCACCCTCCCCAGGTGCTGGGTCCATGCTGTTTGAACCAAAGCCTTATTTAAAGGTGGTCACTGGAGATGCTCTCAGGCCAGAACTCAACAGCTATTTTTGGGAATAGGGATCTCCCGTGTGCCTAACGCAGTAGCTATTGGTTTGAACAATGTCCAGACAAGACCTGTACCTTTGAGAATATAACTGTGTTTGGCACCTGCATAGCACCATGAGGAAGACCAGCCACCAGTGGAAGCGGGGTCACTGCCCCACAGACTGGATGCAATGAGGGGCTCACAGGAGGCCCAGCCAGCCCGATTGTGGGCTGAGGGGTCTGCATTCAAGCACGATGTTCTAGAATAGGAGTTTAACGTGTCTACGTAACCTAGAATGTGGTTATTAGGAAAGGGGCTGTGCATGTGGGTGCAGCTGGCGGCACACCTGGTCACCAGATGGCCAGAAGCTGCCCATCAGCCCTGCCCAGATGTCAGCCTGGGAGCTCAGGCTGCTGCCGCTGGCTGGATGCCCTTTGGTGAAATGCCTGTTTTCAGCTAAGAAAGGAGAGGCCAGGCAAGCAAAGTCATGCCACAAAGCATATCAGAGACCCCCGCAGACTCCTGGCCCCGTCCCGCCCCCTGTCTGAGTTGTGTTTTTGTTGCTGTTCCTCTGTTGATGGCCAGCTCTGCTGTTGGCATGAGCCACTGATGTTCATGTGAGAATTACTGTTTTTAAGTGTCTCTCCACTTAGGTGTCCTCAGTTCCCACTTTTGCTCTCATTTGCCTTCACAGAGGCCACTCCACCTGTCCGGATCCAGCTGTCTGGTCATGGTTTGGTTTATTTATTTTGTCCTTCAGGGGCTGTTTTGCCCTAAGAATGAGGGGGCTTCCCCTGGTCTGCAGTTCCCAACTTTATCCCTTGCTGGCCATGCGAGCCCAGCCCTGGTGCCTCATGGGATGGGGGGGTAGGGGTCCCCAGGATCTTCTGGAGGAAGGTGGCCATGGATGGATGGGCTGTATCTGTGTTTTCCCTCTGGGAGTCTCATGGGTCCAGCATCAGGCCTGAGGTCAGCAACAGGGAAAGAGGGTGGGCACGGGGAGGGCTTGGCCCCGCCTATCTAGAGGCTTGCCTCGGGCCCCTCCTTGGGGAAGGTTTGCGTGCAGAGCTGCAAGGGAGAGGGTTCCAGAAGCATTGCCTTTTGCCTCGTCTAATAGGATCCTTAGGACACTGTGGGCTTTAGGAATGACTATAGATGCTCACACGTGTTTAAAGTGACATTTGGAGATGCTCTCAGTCCTGTGGCATCTGGCACGAAGTCTCCAAGAAGCCACTTTGCCTCTTCTCCCTTCAAGCACAAGCTTTACTGCAAAAGGGCCAGTCGCGTTTCTATTTCTCTCGATCCCAGGCTTCTGCGGACCGACGATACGTTTAAATGTTGTTCTAGTAAATATTCTTGAATGTATTAAAATGGCTGAAACAACAAGCTTGGGCTTTTCTAGCTTGCCCTCCACTCCCTGCCGTCCCTCTGACGTCGCATAAACCAGAACCCAGCTCCCTCCTGGGACTGGCTGTGGAGAGAAGGGCACCTCTGAGCCAGCCTGTGGCCCTACCCCAAGGCGCACTTCCTCATGTGGGCAGATCCTGACCAGGAGTCCAGGGTGGCCTCCCCTGGGCCACAGCACATCACCGTGTGGCCTGGGGCTGTGGGACAGTGAGCCCTGTAACCACTAGGGTTCTGTGACAGATGCCAAGACCCCAGAGACCGTGGCAGAGCTACCCCCAGGAGAGCGGAAGCCCCTACACAGCCCAGACACATGCCTTCCCTGGGGGCTGGGGAGTGTGTCTCGAGGGGTTTTGTTTGTTTTGAGGCATGTATCATCTTGGAAATAATTGTCAGGATGTATAAAATAGAGAAAAAGAAAAAAGGTATCCTACCCAGAGGCAACCAGATAAACTTTTTTGCCTGTGCATTGTTTTTTGTTGGTTTTTTCGAGACGGGGTCGATCACGGCTCACCACAGCCTTAACCTCCAGGGCTCCAGCAATCCTCCCACCTCAGCCTCCTGAGTAGCTGGGACCACAGGTGTGTGCCACCATCTCCAGCAGTTTGTTTATTTATTTTTTCTTTTTTTTTTTTTGGTAGAAATGGGCTTTTCGCCATGTTGCCCAAGCTGGTCTTGCACTTCTGGGCTGAAGCAATCCTCTCGCCTTGGCCTCCCAGAGCCTTGGGATTACAGGTGTGAGTCACTACAGTGATTGTGAATGCACTGAGCTGGCCTGGAGAACACTTACCACCTTGTCCACGTCACATGCAAAAGGCCCATGGTGGTGGTGCTTCCTGCACACGAGGGCATGTAGTGAATGCCCTTCCCAGGTGGAGACTCCTCAGGGTTGGGAGCCCAGCAACTGCCTTGGCCCTGAGTAAGCCAGGAGTTGCACTGTGACCTGCAAGTGCTTGGGAGCTGCACCCCTGGGTGCCAACAGCTGCAGGTACCCTGGGGTGGGCAGTGGGCAACAGCTGTAGAGCTGGGAGCTGGGCGTGAAAGGACTGGGGCAGGACTGGGCTTGGACTCAGCTCCTCCCTGCTCAGCAGCCCCTTCGTTGTGTCCTCTGCTGTGCGGAAGGGGTTCTGCCCTAGTGGTCAGCAAGCATCCATGGAGCCTGCCGGGCGGGCCCTGTGTGCAGCGGCCTCCACACGTCAGCAGGGGACTGCCGTCCCTGCCAGCGCACCTGGGCCTTGTCCTGGGCAGCACAGACCCCTTAGCCACCACTCCCAGGTGGGGCGGTCACTCCCAGATCCTCCATCCGTCCCGCCTGCAGTGCAGCTGCCTTGGATGCTGATTAGGGTGGCCCTGAGGGGATCCTTCTGTCCCAAGTTACGGGCCTGCGGGGCCCGTCCACAGTGCTGTGCCCCTCAATTTGGAGCTGGCTCTGCTGCTTCCCAGGGCAGCACCTATGGGGAGGGCATCGTTTATACCTTGACTCAAAGTTCCAGGATCTCAGGGACAGCTTAATAGGTGGAAGGGGGAAGCTGTGAGATTCCAGGGAGAGTGGAGAGATTCCAGGGAGAGTGGAGAGATTCCAGAAGGATCCCTTACACCCCTCCAGCACCCTCAAGGGCCTGCGGTCCTGTGCCCAGACGCCACGCCCTGCCCCAGCAGCCCTGCCTGGCCAGCTCTATGGCCCCAGCCCCACGGGGCCGGCACTTCGTGCAACCTCGGGGTAGCCTGGGTTCTATTTTAGGTTGTCCCTTAGGTGAGGGACCGGGGCAGACAGAACCAGTCTCAACATGCTCGCAGCCACTTCCCCGTACATCAGGTGAGTGAGGACAGACTCCTGGGTTGCTGAGATTCGGGGATCTGGATTCTGGCAGGAGCTTTGACCCCAACAGGTCTGGACCTTACTGGGCATCTACAGGAGCTGGGCCGGGCACAAGAGAGGACTCCATCTCTCCTGCCTGACAGGAGAGGACTCCACCTGACCAGCCCTCTCAGGCTGGGAGTGCCTCGGGGAGCCTGCTGTGAGGCAGGGGGAGGGGTGCGGAGAGACCGGGCACAGCTTGCCAGTTGACTGCACCAGGCCCAGAGCAGGTGCTGAAAGGTCTGGTCTTTTGTCTGCACCCTCCCGTGTTTGTGAGGAAGGGGTGGCAGGGGGTCTGCAGTCTTAAGGGCCAAGCAGAAAAGAAGGGCCAAGGCAGGCACCCACCAGGCAGGAAGCAGGTGTGCCCTGAGGGGAAGGACAGGCCATCGCAGGGCTGGGTTGCACCCAAGACTTCTGCCAGGAAGAGCACTGAGGAGTCGGGACACACAGGTCCTCCCCAGGTCAGCCACCGACACTTGGGATGTGCTGGGCTTGTTTCCACCTCTGCAAAGCAGGGCCCCCTTCTGGGCCCTCATATCAGGCACTCTGACATGGGGTACAGTCCTGGCAGGTCATGGGGCTGGGGCCACAGGGAGAGCGGGCAGGTGGCTTAGAGCCATCGGGGTGATGAGTGGCAAGCCCCGGCATGAGGGCTGCAGAGGACTGTCACTGCCCACGCTGGAGCCAGGGCTCCACTCCCCTCAGGGCCTGCTTTCACATCTACGCCGATCATCCCCAAGGCCGGGTTGCTAGCGGGTTGCTGTTTGTCCTGACACCCAGAAGCAGATATGGGGTGAACATCTTGAGTGGGGTGGGGTGAGTTGGAGGATGATGACCAGTGACTCGGAGATCACTTCCTCCGTATGTTTCTTCTGCCTTTGCAGGACCTCTGTTAGGATAAACTGGAGCCTTGTGAGGTCCCTGCCCCATTGGAGAAGTTGGGGAGCACCCAGGGTGACCCAGTTGGTTTCCAGGGACCCTTCCCCTGCTCACTGGCTGCTTGTCCTGGGCCTGGCATGTCTTGCTCCTGATGCAGCTCAGCTGGCCTCAGAGCAAACAATGAGGGCCAGAGGCCACCAGGTGCATCCTGGGCAGGAACAAAGGGCCGGAATCCTGGAGCTGGGGAGGCCCAGCTGGCCCCGCCGCCGCCGGGCCTGAGGATCTGGAGCCTGGATGGAAGGAAGGGTGGGCGCCCACAGCCTTTTCAAAGCCTGCCTGGGGCTGGGCAGGGAAACCAACGCCTGGAGCCAGAAGCTGGGGCCTGCCAGGGGCCTCCCCGTGCCCACCAAAGGGCAGTGGTTGCAATTGGAGAGCTTCTGCCCCTCAGCCTTGTTGCTCCCTTGGGCCTGGGGGTGGGGGAGGCGGGCAGCCCAGGCACCTGCACAGGGACCTCCCCCAGCCCCACAGCCTTGGTATCTGAGGACAGCACTCAGCTGAGGTGGGTACGGGGCTGGCAAGGGGGCAGCAAGGCCAAGACTGAGGAGGTGGCCTTAAGGCACGTGGTGCCGAGAACACAGGCCCCTCCCTGGAGAAGACAAGCTGGCTTGTGGGGCAGGCAGTTTGGGGACAGCCCTGCCAGGTGCCGTTCCCCATCCCTGAACTGGACAGCTTGGCCTGTGCCGTCTCTGGGCAATGGCAGCGCTGGAGACCTGGGCCAAAGCACCTGACAGATGACACAGGACCGCGGGGCTCTCTGCCTCTGAAGGGCCAGGGAGGAGCCCAGTAGGGGAAGGGTGGGGGCCTGGCCTGAGCCGGCCCATCACAGCCTCCTTGGCACTGGCTCCTCATGGGTGGCTGTGGGGACTGTGGAGCTGGCTCTGGGGCTGGAGCCACTCCAGGCCCTGCCTGACCACCCCCTGGCCTCAGGACACAGTTCCACCGGCGCCACTGCTGAGGAATGGAGGAACTGCCCCTTGAGCCCTAGAGGTGAATGTTAAGGGCTTTGGCACTGTGACCCTGAGGACCAGCTTTGGAACAAAGCCATCACTCCCTGCGTGAGGACGTTGCGGCTGCAACCCTCCTGCTGTGGGACTGGGGTGCACATGGCTAGACCATGCATGGGAAGGTCCACGCAGGAAGGTTGCGGGCCCCAGGATGGGAATGGCAGAGGAGTCATTGGGGTCCACACTGGGGGACGAGACAGACCCTCAGAATCGGCTGAGGGCTGGTTTCTGCCTCGTGAGCCCCCTGAGCCCCTCAGGAAGACTCAGGACGCTCCGTGCATGTTTGCTGAGTAAGGGCTTGAATGAATCTGGGTCCAGCAGGTGTGGGCGGGAGGGGTTTGTCCCCACTAGAGGAGAGGTTTTACCTCGTGGAGAGCCCCAGAAGCAAGGATGGGGGGGCCAAGGATGGGGCCAAGGGAGGGCCCCATGGCCGTCAGCATCCCTCACCCCTACCTTGTGGTTTGACTTAACCTCCAGGAGGGGGCAGGGCAGACACAAGATACTCATTTTACAGGTGAGGATATGGGTCCTGGAAGGTCTGCAGGGAAGCCCCTGCCGCTGGTCCCAGGGCGGTGTCCCCACCTGGAGGGGGAGCTCCTCCACTGAGGAAAGCCAGGGCCATGGGAGAAGGCGAGCTCCTTTGAATAGAGGGTCAGCAAAGGCCAGGATGACAGAGAGGGGGGCACCAGGGCCAGGTCTCCTTGGAAAGACCTGGGGACAGCGCCCCAAGAGTCTCATGTGGGTCTCGCCCTTCGGAGTTTAACTCAAGCTGTCTAGGTCCCCACACATCCCAGGGTTTCCTCCTCCACCTTGGACATTAGGGAACACAAGGACCAGGAGAGCCGGGCTAGTTGAATGGGAACGGGGGCCCAGGCTTCGATCCCAGGAATAAGCCAGGGAGGCTGCCAGATGCTCAAGGCTGCATCTGGGTAAGCAATGGTCACTGCCATGGGCCCCATGCTTCTCCTAACACACTGGCCAGGTGCCTGTGTGCCCATTTCCCACCCACCCTCTCCTCCCTGCAGTGAGTGGTAGCTGCTGTGATAGAGGTCATGCCCCCATTCTGCCTTCAGCCTTAGGGTCCAGCCTGGCCCTGGGCAAGCCCCTCCACCCTGGGCCTCTAGCCAGGACCCCACTGGTCCCCAGAGGTTCTAGAATGCAAGGATTCCCAAAAGCCTTTGGCCACCAATGCCCCGGCTGTCTGACATAGCCTGTCCTGTCGTGAACAGTTGGGATTAGTCCACATCCCTCCAGATGCAAGGGTAGAAGGCGGGTCCCCTTGGACAGCTTGGAGGGCTGGACATGAAGTTGTTCCCAGTTGGAAGTCTCCAGAAAATAGGCGAGTGGGGCGGGGGGATGGGGGGGGAATTCCCAGCCTCAGGCTCTAAAATTCCCAGTTAGTCTGTGGTGCAGACAGGACTCCCTGCCTCCTTGTTCAGGGAAGTAGGGGAGGATCAAGGCCACACTGGGCACCAGGAGCTGGAAGAACAAGAGGGTCTCTGGCCCAGAGTCTGGGATGGGGAGAGGCAGAGGGGGCATTGGAAATTGGGGACACATCTTTGAACTGAGATAACAGCTGTTGCCAAGACCAGCACCTGGGCCAGGCTAAGGAAGGGCAGGGCTAAAGGTGGGGGAGCTAAGGGTCAGGCAGGGCCTTGAACGCCGTGTTCAGGAGGCTGGCCTTTATCCCTCAGGACCTGGGGAGCCATGGAAAGATCTGAGGAGCAGGCATTGGGCACAGCTGGACACTGGGGAACGGGTGACACAGGGGCATGGATCCAGCCCAACTCTGATAAGGAACAGCAGAGTTCCACAGGACCATAGTGGCAGAGGCAGCAGTGAGGACTTCTTTTTTATTTATTTGTTTGTTTGAGACAGAGTCTAGCTCTGTCCCCCAGGCTGCAGTGCAGTGGCGTGATCTCAGCTCACTGCAACCTCCGCCTCCCGGGTTCAAGCGATTCTCCTGCCTCAGCCTCCCGAGTAGCTGGGACTACAGGCGCATGCCACCACGCCCGGCTAAATTTTGTACTTTTTTAGTAGAGACAGGGTTTTACCTTGTTAGCCAGGATGGTCTCAATCTCCTGACCTCGTGGTCCGCCCACCTCCGCCTCCCAAAGTGCTGGGATTACAGGCGTGAGCCACCGCGCCCGGCCGGCAATGGGGGCTTCTTAAAAAAGAGGGAGGCTGGGCCCGGTGGTTCACGCCTGTAATCCCAGCACTTTGGGAGGCCGAGGCGGGCGGATCACGAGGTCAGGAGTTCGAGACCAGCCTGACCAACATGGTGAAACACCGTCTCTACTAAAAAATACAAAAGTTAGCCGGGCGTGGTGGCGGGCGCCTGTAATCCCAGCTACTCGGGAGGCTGAGGCAGGAGAATCGCTTGAACCCGGGAGGTGGAGGTTGCAGTGAGCCGAGATCGCGCCACTGCACTCCAGCCTGGGCGAAAGACCAAGAGTCCGTCTCAAAAAAAGAAAAGAGGGAGTGTGGGGGTGGGGCCCGGAGCGCTCCAAGGGGCGGGGAAGGGGACTCCCAGGCCCGAGGACTCCTGGAAGGGAGGTGAGTGTGGCGCTGAGGAAGCGGCGGGACGGATGCGAGCCCGGGAGGAGCGCGCTGGGGGGCCGCAGGCGGGGGATGTGGCGCGGTCCAGGCCCGTCGCGGCCTCGTCCTGACAGGGACACCTGCGGGATCGTCCTTCCAGGATCGCCTGCGGGCCTCGCGGGCCGATGCCTCGGGTCCCCCTCCGGCCTCGGTTTCTCCGCGCAGCGGGGCGGGGCGGGGGCAGCGCGGGTCTCAAAGCTGCCTGCAGGGGGCGCCCGTGAGCGGCGCGGCCGGAGCCGGAGACCCAGCGGCCGCCGAGACAGCGGGAGCCGGCGTGCGAGCGGCAGGTCAGCCGGGGTGCTAGGTCTGGCGTGCGGGGTCCTGGGTGCCGGGTCCGGGGTGCGGGGTGCCGGGGGTCCGGGGCTGGTGGCCGGGCGGCGTGGGGCCGTCGGGGGTGCGGGGCCGGGAGGACTGGGAGGCTGGGGTTCTGCTCCCCTCAGGGTTCCTTTCCCGCCGCCCCGAGACCAGTTCCCCGGCGCGGGGTCCGAGTCCTGCCCCGCGGCGGCTGCCGGCACTGCCTGTGAAGGGCCCAGGCACAGTCACGTCCCAGGCGCAGTTGCGGCGCCGCGTGCGGGACCCTCCGAGCTGTCCCAAACTGCACCGGAAGGCGCGCAGGGGTAGGCGGGGAGGGAAGGCAAGTGCGGCGGCCGGCGCGGCGCGGGGTGCGGAGCCGCAGGTAGCGGGCGGGGAGCGTCCGTCCGTCAGTCCGTCCGTCCGTCCATGCGCCGCAGACCGGCCCCGCGCGCTCGCATGAACCTTCGCGAGCTCCTCCAGCAGGGATGGACCGGGGGCGCAGAGGCGCTTCCTGAGGGGTGGCGGGCCGGGCCCCGGGGCGAGGGAGATTCCCCAGGTGGAGGAGCCGGGCGGAGACCGGTTCCCCGGGAAGGTGAGGCGCGGGCAGAGATACCCGAGCGCCCGGGACGCGCCGAGAAAGGGGGAATCAGGAACGCTGGGCCGAGCGCTGGCGTCTTCCGTGGACAGTGGTGGCGGGAACTGGGTTTGGGGGACCCAGGAGACGACGGGGGACGGATGGGGGTGGGTGCGCGCCTCGGACTGGCCCCGGCCGTCTGTCTGGCTGCCCGGAGCGGAGGTAGGAATGGCGGGAATGGTGGCGGCTCTCGAGGGATTTGGCGCAAGGCGGCCCAAGGGCTTGAGGAGGAGGCCGCGGGCCGGCAGAGCTGAGGTCCCTGTGTCCCGCACTCAGACTTTAGTTGCCCCGACTGTACCATGGGAGGAAGAGGGAGACCCAGGGCTGGGTCCTAGGCTGGGGGAGTCGGGGCCCTGCAAAGACGCGCAGGTGTTTGTGGCCCTTGTTGGAGGGTGAGCCGCAGGTCAAGCCAGCCCTCCGTCGCCATCCTGAAGCACCTCCTCTCTTGGGCTCTGCCACACACAGGGCCTTCTCCCCTATTGCCAGGTGCTCAGGCCGCCTCCACCCTGCCTCTGCTGCCGGCTCCCCCTGGGTTCCCCGGCGGGGCACCCTGCCGATACTCCATGACGCGCCAGGGCTGCCCCAGGGTGCCCCAGCCCTGGGGACCATGGTGGAGGGTTCTGTGGAGCACCGCGGGCCTGGGAAGCTGTTGCGGGGTCGGGGCTTCCTCACTGGCCCTGCTTTGGCCGTTCCTGGAGGCCTTGGGTGGGGCTGGGAAGGCCGGGCCCTGTGGGCAGCACCCCCCCCCCCCCCGCCCAACATCCCGGCAGATCCATGGCAGGGGCGCCTCACAGGCTGGTCCACGGCCACGGTGTCAGTCCCTCCTTGTTCTGCGCTTGCTTTTTGGGGTCTCCCAGCCTCTCCCTAGTCCTAGAGTTTCTCAGGCAAATCCCAGCCACTACCCCTCCATCCGTGTCCCCTGTTTCCCCAGTGCTGAGCTGGCTGAGCTGTGAGCTTTCCTGCTCCTTGCCTCAGGAAGCCAGGGGCAGCCCAGTCACCTCTGGCCAGAGGCGGGCCTTAGGCCAAGGCTGACCTGGCTGGTCTGAGAGCTGTGCTGGGCTTCTTCCCATATCAGTCTGTGAATTACAGATCCCCAAATATGCCCTGCGTCGCGATGGAGGAGGGCAATCAATGGCAATGACTGCCTCATGGGCAACGCGATGTGCTGGAGATTTCAGTGCTCTCGTCTGGGTTCTGGTCTTGCCTCCTCGACCCACTCGCTGAGCAGGTTGCTGTCCCGGGGAATCTGATATCTCATCTGTAGAACAAGGATGATGATCTTAGCAATGCCTAATGTGGAAAGGCCTTGGCTTGGGAGCAAGTGGGGGAAGGTTTAGGGCAGACCAGAGGGCCGGTGAGGGGTGTGTGCTGGAGCGGGGAACCCGGGAGGGAGGGTGTTAGGCTTGAGGGTCAGGGGACACCACAGGGATTGCTGTTGGCAGAGGGACATATGAATGGTAGTTGGCCTGGGAGCCAGCATGTGACTTGAGAGCATCACGTCCTGCAAAGTCCAGGTGAGGCCTGGGCAGTGCCTGCTGTGTGGGACCACAGCCCCTGGTGGCTCTCAGCTGTGTCCTGACACTCCAAAGAAGGTCTTAGTACCCTCTCACAGACCTAATACCCGAGCCACCTAACCCCAAATGAGCTAGAACTGCCTTCCCAACCGTGTTTGCGGGGTCTGTCTTGTCTATTGCAGCGCAAACAGAGCCCTGAGCACGCAGGAGAGCAGAGGAAGGACAGACAGAAGATGGATGGATGGATGAAGGCGGGAAGCACAGGCTGAGGGGATTTAGGGCATGTGTGGTGGGGGTGCTGTGGAGAGGAGACTGCACAGGCAGGAGCTGAGCTGGTGAATGGGAGGGTTCTAGCTCCCAGAAGGGTCTGGGCCATTGACAGGAGGGGCTTGGTCCTAGGAGGTGGGTGGTCCAGAGGTTGCAAGGAGCAGAGGAGCCCAGATGGGGAAGGGAATGGAGCTGGGGTGCAGAGAGGAGCCCCCACACAACTGCCCACATCCTGTGCAGAACCTGGGGCTCTGGGTGGTGGGAAGAGGCAGTTTCATGGCGGAGGAGGCCTGGGCCCCTGCAGCCTGGACTCCATGGATCTGGCCAGGGACTGGGGAGGATCAGGTGGAGAGAGGAGCAGCAGAGCAGCTGCCCCTCGTCCCAGCACAGGGGATGATGGGAGCCCAGGGAAGGCAGGACCCTGGCTTCGGGCATTTTCTCTGCTAGAATCTCTCGATACCTCTCTCCCTTCACCTTCTCCTCCAAGTCTCACCCAGATGATGTTTCTGTGAGTTGCCATGGGGATTCTCTCACCACCCCCCGCCAACACCCCGCAGGGGAAGCTTGTTCCAGGAGTCACTGGGCAGGGGCTGCTGCTGCTCTTCTGTGCCCACTCCTCGGATGTGCCGCTGCAGCCCTGGTCTCTGGCATCGGCCGTCACCTGGTGGAGAGGCTGCCGGAGCTGGCCAAGCAGAGGGAGGCCGATGGTGCCACTTGGTGTCTCCTCTGGCATCTGGGCAGGAGACTTCTCCCCAGAGGCCCCGGGCTGGTCTGCCCGTGTCACAGGAGGACTCGCCTCTGGTCCCTCAGTGGCCTCTGCAAACCCTGAGCCAGCCTGGGGGAGGCTGCTCAGTGGGGAAGAAGCAGTGGCCAGGCTCTGCTTGGTCACCCTGCCCTCCTGTCAGCCTCCGGGGCTGCCTCGTCGCACCTGCCCAGGGACCCAACAGCCGGTCCTCACCCCTCCCATCCTCATTGCAGCCACCCTGGGGCATTGTGAGGCCCTGCACCCAGCACTGCCCCTTCAAGCCTCCCACAGGGTCCCGCCCAGGACTCCTGGGCTCTGTGTCCGCGGGGCCATCTAGAAACACTCCCTTGTCCCCCCTTCAGCGGCATAGTACCTGTTGCCCGCCATCTGAGGGAGGTGCAGGTGCCAATCCTTCACGTGACGTGACGTGGCTCACCACAGCCTGTGTACATGTGAGCAGCCGCGTGCAGAGGGGAAGCTCTGCCTGGGCCTCAGGGACTGTGACATGGAGCAGGAGCCGCCCCCAGCCAAGCTGCTTTCAGCACAGCGTGGGCCCCCAGCACCTTGGTGCGGGGTGCGGCCCCTCGGAGGAGGGCTGTCAGGTGAAGCCTCGTGTGAGGGGGTGAGTGGCCCCCAGGCGGGGAGGAGGGGGTGCTGTGGCCTTCCTGGCCCCTAGCCTGGACACATGGGGGTGTGGGGAGCAGGAGCTGGGGCCCCCAGCACTGGCCCCGGGGCTGCGATGTGGGGGCTGCTCTGTGAGGCAGGCTCAGAGCCTTAGCCTCCAGCTGCAGGGAGCTGGGTCTTGGCCCCATCTTGCCCACATCCTGCCACCAGGAGCAGAGAGCTGCAGCTGCACCCGGGCTGTGGGGGAGGGATGCCAGGTGTATCTCTGGGTCCCGGGCCCAGCCTGCACCCAGCGCCTGAAGTAAGGGCCACCGGGCAGCCCCGGAGGTCAGGAGGGAAGTGGAGCCCGTGCTGGGTGGCTGCTTACCACTGGGCAGTGAGGAAGGCACCTGCGCTGATGAGTTTGGAAGGGGTATGGGGATCCTGGGGCCCTGGGTTCTGGGAGGTTCATGCCCAGGCCCCCCTGGGCCATCCCAAAAGCCAGTCATAGTGGGGCCCACAACCTGCCGTGCCCTGCCGAGCTCCCGCAAGCCACTTGTTGATGCTTCTCAGTCCACCCCATGCCTCTCAACCGTTTCCTCCTAGACTAGGTCTCTTCATGGCGTTTCTGGGAGAATTCCTCAGTACTAGCTTCAGATCCCCAGTCGTCTCTTCCACTGTACGTGTGCCTGAAGCTCACCACATCCCTTACTTCAGTCCTTCTATTTTTCAGTCCCTGGATTTTGTATTATTTCTTGTTCATATCCACCTGTCCTTGTTTCATTTCCGCCAGTCGGTTCAGAAGTTCTCATTCTTGTCTACGGATGCCATTCCTTTCTTTGCCTCTTTGGAGATTCTAAAGGTCTCTGAAATCATTATTAGATTACTGTATTACCTTCCTTCCTACTGGAATGAATTCACCTCCATGTTTTTTATTCTGTTGCTTACCTTTCTTAGCCTTCATATACCTCTTGCGCTTTGAAATTGATTTGCGACTCCTCTTAGCTGAGCCAATGTTGTGGAGACAGGGAGTGGCCTGCAGTGCCTGAAACTGCAGGGCAGCAGCCGCCTCCCAGGAATGTCCTGGGTCCTTTCCTCCTTTGAGGTCCCCTGCCATATGCTCAGATGGGGCCAGGCACAGCAACGGGGGCACACCTCCCTTTGGCCCAGCAGTTGGGGTGCTGCCAGGCCTGGTGGAGGTACTTGGTAAACATTTGTTATGGAAAAGCAGCAGGAGGGTTCTAAGGCTGGGATTCTGGAGCCCAGGAACAGGCCAGGCATGGCTGGAGCGGGTCCGAGTCCGTGCACTGTGTCCTGTATGTTGCTCTTAGCCGCACTCAGGAGCAGATGTGCAGGTCACTGCCTAGAAGCTGGTGGGCACCTCCGTGCAGCAGGCTCTGGGGGGTATAGCCACCATCTGGGCATGTGTACAGAGGGCCTTGCTAGTGCGACATATGAGGAACCAGAAGATGTGTGGGTTTTGATTAAATGGAGTTTTAATTAAAGTGGCCAGGTTGGGGGAGGTGAGGAGGAAGGCAGGAAGCAGCAGCAGTTTTGAGTCTGACCGCGTGGAATCCTATAAGGTGGTTCTTTCAAGAGGCATTATGCACATTCCGCAGCATGTGTCCCCTGTCTGTATGGGGCAGCATCTGCCCTCTGATCTGTCCCCAACAAGGGGTAATCACAGAGAAGTATTACATTATTAATATTTAATTTCCCCTCCTGGTTAGCAACAGATGACTCAAGGAGTAATTAGATGCACAGAGCCAACAGAGAGGGATAGGAAATTGCCAGATCCTGGCCCCGCCCCCTCCCCGGGGCCTCTGACCTTCCTGTCACTCTGGGAGGCTTCTGAGGGAGGGGAGCTGGAGGCCCAGGAGCCTTCCTGCTGCTGTGCTCTCTGTGCGCACGGCCGCAGCCCTACACCACCTTCCAGTGCTCTTGGTGAGGCTGAGAGAGGTCGCTTCGTGCCTTTGGGCCTCAGTTTCCTCATCTGTAAAATGGGCTTCCTGGGACCAGCAAGATCACAGATGACAGTCATTTCCCAAGCTCCTAAGCAGGCTGCACAAGCTGTGTCTGAGGGTCCAGTGCAGTGCCTGGCCTCTAGGCAGGTGCCCCCTGGGACGCGTAAGGTTTGGCAGCTCAGCAGTGACTGGCATCGTGGCCAGCTGACTCTGTGTTGCTCCCCAGTTACGGTCCACGACACATTAGTAGCTTGAAACTGGGCACAAGGGGAGAATTTACACCACAGAAATCAGGCAAAGCCTGTAAGTCAGGGTGCCCCCGGCCAGGAGCTGATTTGCCAGCCTACGGCTGGGTAGCTCCCAACCTTTCCCCAATGAATGCACTCCTCTTCCCCTGTCTGCCCCAAAGGTGCCTCTGACTCCACTGATCTGCTTTGCTCAGGGCCGAGAAAGGCACAGCTGAGAGTGGATTCTGGCTTGGCAGGGGCCCAGGTTGCCTGTGGGTCCGGGCAAGCCTCACCCGGGATGTGCTGGCAGCAGCTGGGAGAGCCTGCAGGAGTGCTTAAGGAGGGGCTGAGGGAGAGGACGGGCAGCGAGGTGGCCTGTGTGGACCCTGCTGGCAGGAGCCGTGGGTGTCTTTAGCCCCGTGTGAGGCCGGCCTGGGCAGAGGGGTCTGTTGCTGTCACTGAGGCTGGTGGGCAGCAGGAAGGTGGCTTCAGTATAGTCAAGAAGGTTATCGGTATCTAGTGCTGTTTAGCATGGGGACCCACAGCACAGAAGGTGGGGAGACCCTGAGAACGGGGGTACACAGGCAGGTACCCAGGGCTGCCAGGGAAGCCTTGCCAAACAGAGGCCCTGGTCAGGCTTCTCCCAAACTGGGCATCCCAGCTGGCATGGCACCAGTCCAGCCCGTGAGGCAGGCGCCGATGATTTGACCCCACCAGCAGGGCTCTGGGTGATGGGACTGGGGAGTCCTCCTTCACTTTGGCAGACGTGTTATGTTCCACCTTGTTTGCCCCCAGCAAGGCCCTTGAATCTGGAGCGTGGTCTGGGGCTGCATCAGCCTTCTAGCCTGGGATGGTCAGATTGGCAGAAGGCTGTGGCATCCTTCAATGCAGATGCCCTAGAGAGGGCCGTGGTGGGAGGCAGGATCCCTGGGTAGAGGCGGCTCCTCAGTGGCCCACTGGGCCTCACTGGACAGTCGCCTGTTGCTGCTGCTGGTGGTGCTGGGCCTGGGAGTCCACCTTGGAGCCACAGGCCAGGCACCTGGGTGGGAGGCAGCCCGGGGCCAGCACCAGCTCCACTTGTACCTGTTGGGCAGGGGCTATCGTGAGTCAGGTGGGCCCTGGTGAGTACTGCTCAGGGAGAGAGGCCAAGAGCATCAGGGATAACTGTGTTCCTTGAGTGTGGCCAGGGATGGTGCCAGGAGAGCTGGTCTGGTGCATCCCTGCCAACGACACACTTTGTGAATGGCTGCCTGGCAAGTGCTCCATGGAAAGCAGGGGCTTGGGAGGACTCGGCCCTCTCCAGCTGCTGCAGGCCCTCCGTTGCTGCAGGGTTTCTGGCTCTGCTCTCTCCTTCCTCCTCCTGCTTCTGTGTCAATGCTCCATTCCCAGGCTCCTAGTAGGGGCAAAAGGGCCTGCTGGGTGCAGGAGAACCTCCAGTCCCAGGTATGGCTGCAGCCCGTGCCAATCCTGTTCCAGCCACTTGAGGTGCCGACAGCATTGGAGTTGGAGGGAAAGTTGGGGTCTGTGTGTTTGAGCTCTGTCACATGGACAATGGGGTAGAGGGGAGCCTGGCCCTTTGAACAGGGCTCAGGACCAGGAGTGACTTCCTCTCCAGGTTGCCAGTCCTGCTCCATCCCTCATGTCCTGGAAGAGAGAGAGAGACGAGGTGGCTGCCCGAGTCCACGTGAAAGGCAGCCTCTGACCTCTTGTCCCCAGGCAGGTGGTGGCGGCTGGCAACACACTCATAGGGCCCCATGAGGGTTCAGGATTGGAGGGGGTAGATTTGGGGGCCTCTTAGCTCTCAAAGAGGGGCAATTTAACGGGCAGAGGTCCATTTGGATCCAGACCATTCACAGGCTCGAAGGGGACACTGGGAGTTGGGGCTGGGCTCAGGCCTGCTGGGGAACCAAAACTTCTGCTTCTGAGGGGTGTCAGTAATTCCATTTTGACTCTGGGGGAGCCATTTTAAATCTGTTTATTTCCTTCTCATAGAATCATGGGTGAGAGCTGGCATGGCCCCTAGAGGTCATTTGGGGTCCAGCTGCCTCACCGTATCAATGAGGAAACTGAGGCCCAGAAAAGAAAAGCATTTTTGCCCAGAGTCCCTCAGTGAGTCCTGGTTCCGTACCTGCTTTCTGCCAGGGACCAAACTCCCGTTAGTCATTCCTGGTGTCAGCCAGGCAGAGGAGCAGGTGGGGGAGAGGGCGTGGGAGGAGGGAGGTGAGGCAGCTCCCTCCGAGTGGAAGCTCACAGTCAGCTGCAGCGCCGCCCCTGCCCTGACTGCAGCTGACTGGCAGGGGCACCTGGAGGCAGCGGGTTCGGGCGCAGTATGAGAGGGCTTACCCTCTGCGGCAGTGGGAGACAGGACCAGGCAGCTCCCCACATCCTTCCACATCCGAGCTCCAGGGGTCTCTGGCTTGTCCTTTCACAGGGCGGCTGGTGTCCCTTAGGTGGGTGCTGGTAGTTCCTGGGAGAGTTGACGGGATGGAGCAGGCCAGGGGGGCTGAGAAGTTGGCCTGGCGAGAGAAGGTGGGTGGGACTGGGAGAGCCTGGGCAGGGAGGGGCCTTTCTGGGAGGGAGTGTCATGGGGCTGGCCGAGATCCAGGACCCAGGAGACTGGCCAAGCTGCCACAGGAGGCCTGAGAGGCTGAGCATGGGGGGGCCAACACTGACAGACTTTAACAAGTTTCTGGCTCCCCCAGGAAAAAAACAGACCACATCTGATCCTTGGCCCTGAGTCCAGAGTGGGAGGCACCGTGACAACAATGCGCAGAGCAGGGAATGCAGGGAGCCATGGATAGTGCTGGGGTGAGCTGGAGTCCTGGCAGGGGCCCAGCTAGGGCAGTACTCATTCTGCAGAGCCTGGGAGAAGGGGCTGCCTCCTTGGGAGGGGTTTGTGTGGGAGTCTCAGCGGGAATTCTATTGGACCAGGGGAACCAGCCTTGCTCAGTGACTTCTCTGGGTGTCCTCCTCTAAAGTGAGGGTCAAATTCCCACCTCTCTCGCCTCCTGGCTATGACCACAGCAGACCAGGCAGGGCATGGGGCTAGGCGGGGTCAGGGGCCATCCTCAGGCTGACACCTGGCCTGTGGGTAGGGTGGGATCTGAAACTATAGGGTCTTCAGGGGGCCAAGTGTGGGGTAAGGGGTGGCACTTTCCGCAGGGCTCGCCCTCTGCAGATGGTTCAGCTTCTCATCGGCTGTCCCTTTGCAGGTGCCTCAGGAACCCTGAAGCTGGGCTGAGCCATGATGCTGCTGCCAGAACCCCTGCAGAGGGCCTGGTTTCAGGAGACTCAGAGTCCTCTGTGAAAAAGCCCTTGGAGAGCGCCCCAGCAGGGCTGCACTTGGCTCCTGTGAGGAAGGGGCTCAGGGGTCTGGGCCCCTCCGCCTGGGCCGGGCTGGGAGCCAGGCGGGCGGCTGGGCTGCAGCAATGGACCGTGAGCTGGCCCAGCCCGCGTCCGTGCTGAGCCTGCCTGTCGTCTGTGGCCATGCCCATCATGGGCTCCTCGGTGTACATCACGGTGGAGCTGGCCATTGCTGTGCTGGCCATCCTGGGCAATGTGCTGGTGTGCTGGGCCGTGTGGCTCAACAGCAACCTGCAGAACGTCACCAACTACTTTGTGGTGTCACTGGCGGCGGCCGACATCGCAGTGGGTGTGCTCGCCATCCCCTTTGCCATCACCATCAGCACCGGGTTCTGCGCTGCCTGCCACGGCTGCCTCTTCATTGCCTGCTTCGTCCTGGTCCTCACGCAGAGCTCCATCTTCAGTCTCCTGGCCATCGCCATTGACCGCTACATTGCCATCCGCATCCCGCTCCGGTGAGCAGGGCCGGGGTTACATCTGTGCAAAGGCTGTTGGTGCCCAGGCTTTGGTCTGTGCCCGGAGCCAGGGTGAGCCTGGGATCAGGGCCTGGTCTGCAGTGTCAGCATGGTGAGCTGGCGACGGGGCCCCAGGCTCAGCAGGGGCTCCCCAGGGCCAGCACGTGGCCAGCAGTCATGCCGAACTGACTGACCCCTATGGGCGCAGGGCAGCCTGGCCCTCCCAGGCGGCCTGGGTTCCCCTAGGCTGCCTGAGGCCAACTGTGCTCTGCTTTTTGGCAGATGAGTGTGGCCAGGGTCTGGCATTGGGCTTAGCAGGGAGCTGTGGTCCCAGTGACCCACGTGCTGCCAGCGGGTGTGTCTGGGCCATTCCTCACACACAAGCAAAACTTCCCGGATGATGCTGGGGTGGAGTGGGGAGCCAGGGGAAACCATAGGACCTCAGAGTTAGGAGCCGCCCGCCACCTGCCTTCCCCCAGATCCTCTGGGCCAGCCTTGCAGTGTGCACATTAGGAAAATGACCCAGAGAGGGGAAGTGACTTGGTTGAATGCCACAGTGAGTCACTTGGACCTATATGCAAATTCTGTTGCTCCTCAAGTCACCAAGGACTCATCGTCTTAGAGGCAGCCAGTGTGCTCAGGGGCTGGCTGTTGGAGGGGATTTTTATGGTGAATCTTTTGTGAAGTGACTTCAGCCAAGTAATTGTGCAAATGAAGATTTTCCCAGAGGCTGAATTACTCGGCATGGATTCCACCTACCCAGGCCATAGATGAGGCTAGAAAGTGCATCCCTCCCTTGGGGACGTCAGAGGCCTTCTGCCCCACCTCCTGGCCCCTCTGCCACAGAGCTGGGTTCCACAGCCTGGGTGGTTGTGGGCCCTGAGGCCATGTATGAGGCTTGAGGTGGTGCCTCTTGAGAGTCAGGGAGCAGGGTGCACCATCTCTGCGGTGAATTATCTGAAACTGGTGGGTGCCTATCTAAAGAGGAAGCCACAGCAGGTTGAGGGTGCCCCAGCAGGAAGGAGGACCCAGCTAGATGAGCAAATGGAAATTTAGAGCGTCAAAGCCAAGGGGCCCTTAGAGGTCATTTCCTCTCATCTTCGGGATGGAAAATGAGCCTCAGAGAAGACAGCCAGCTGTTTCCGGGCCACACAACGAGTTGGTAGTGGAGCTGGGGCGAGTCCTGGAAAGAAATGTGGCCTGATCCCCACTGTGACTTCAGTCACTGGGGAGCGGTCATGAGCAGCCTGTCTCGCAGAGCCTGCACCAGGTGGCTGTCCCTGTCACCTGGGCTCTAAGTGGGAGCAGGAGCTGCACTGGGCTGCTCCAGGGAAGGGGAGGAATCTGGACCTCACACTGCCCTGTCAGATGCTCTCTATCCCAGGAGAGTCTAGAACCCTCGGCAAAGGAGAAGGGGACCCTGGCCAGCCCTGAGAGGGGTGGAATTAGGGATTGTCGGACTCCAAGTGCAGTCTCTGGTGAGCCTCCATCCATTGCTCTGCGACGGGCAGAGCAGAGTTTAGGTTCGTCCAGTGGCAGCTCAGAACACGGAGGCCCAGGAGGGGCCCTGTCTGCAGGTGCCCAGGTGGGCCAGAGAACAAAGCACTGGAGGGGACTTCAGGGAACCAAGCTGAGTCTGCACACTGATGGGATGCTCTATGGGGAAGCAGAGGCCAAGCTCTCACTTTTTTCTCTGATTCAAAGGGTATGATCAGGGCTGCCGTTCTCAATTTAAAGGAGCTCGACTTTTTTTCTCTTTTGTCTCTCCCTTTCCTTCTCTGTTTTCTGAGAGTTGAGAGAATGACTCCCTATGTAGTAGGACAGGATGTGCTGTGTGGCTATGGAAAGTTAGCTGCCTCTCTCTGGGCCCATTTCCTCATCCATAAAATAGGACAAGTCTCTCTGCCCCTCTGAGCTCACAAAGGTGTTCTGAAGGTCCAGTGAGTGGATGGGGTGACAGGGACCCTGAGGAGGGTTGGAGGCGTGGGGAGGGTGGGGATTCAGATCTTTGGGTTCAGAGCCATGGACCTGCCCCCTATCCTCTACCCATCTCATCCCAACTTCCTTGGAGCTGGACCTTAGTTCCACCCAGACCTTGAGCCATTTGACTCTGCTCCATGAGGCTCTGCAAGGCTTAGGCTGGTCTCTTCTGCAGGGGGCCCTGGAGAGGATGACGACGATGATGTTCATCCTCCCTTGAGGGCAGAGAGCTTTGCAGTTGCCAAAGGATGTCAGCTCAGCATCTCCTGTCATCCTCTTGGCCTGCATTGTGGCCAGGCGGATGTTCTGACCCTCCTGTTACTCACAAACTCATGGGGAGGCCAGAGCAGGGAAGGACATACGAGTGTCTCCTGATGTGGATGGACTCCAGGGCCCTTCAGGCTGTTCCTGGCCCGCAGGTCCCTTCGCTTTCCTGTTCCTCAGGGCCCCTGGGCCTCTGGGCATGTGGAGGTGTCCATGTGGGCTCCCGAGAGCAAGCGGGGTATGAAAGGAACTTGGTGACACTCCTGGCCGGCGCTGGAGTCACAGCCTGCCTCAGGATCCTCCCTCCTCCTTTCTCAGCTGGGAATCCAGCCTCCTCTACGTGCCGTTTCCTGCTCCACTCAGAAAGGTCCATTCGGCTAGCCCTGGGTCTAGCCTCAGGCCTGCCCCACTCTCCATTAACTTTTTTTTTAAAAAAAAGAACTCAGTTTTGGAAAAATCTGTTATTTTCCAAGTTCAGGGAACCTGTTGGGCTAGCACAGGGCCTAGTCGAGGAACTCTGTGAGAAAGACTTCAGGCCAGAGGCAGAGATGTAGCTCTCTGTGTTCCCAGAGGATAGGGAATTCAGGGTGAGAGACACAGGCTTCTTTTTCCAGTTCCCAGGGGATTTTTGCCTCACTGTCCCCTCCCTGGCTCTCACAGCAGCCCTTGGTGGATGTTCTCGCTGGTTTGAGGAACAGGCCAAGGTGCAGGTGGCAGCTGGTGGTGAGGCCCGAAGTCCTAACACTTCTAAGAGGGCAGGATTGGGAGAGAGGGCTCCCTGGAGGAGGTGTCACCCAGTGGGTCTTGCAGGACGGGCAGGCAGGGTCTCACTGGCATGAGTGTGGGGGCAGGTGTGTCAGGAGGGGGGCAAAGCCTGGGACAAGACCCTGAGGAAGGAATGAGCATGTGAGCACTGGGTAGGGAAGGGTGGCCTGGCTGCCTAGTGACAGAGAGAGATGAACAGAGTGGGCAGGAAAGGTGGAGGCCAAGTCAGGCCTGTTCGTACCAGGGGAAGGAATGGAGGTTTCCCTGTGGGTCCATGGCTCTTCAATTCTTGGATCAATGACTCCTTTGGACAACTTAGGAAGGCTCCACCTACTCCTCAGGTTGGGACATGTGCACATAAAGCCCCAGCTGGAATCATGGGGCATATTCTTGGACCATAGGGTGAGCCCCCAGTGTGGGTAATGGAGATCCCCAGAAAGGGGCAGCCTGCAAGCCGGGGGACACAGAGCTGCAGAGGGCACCTCCACAAAGGGTGGGCAGCAGCTCTGGGACCCACATTCTCTGACATGCCTGGGCACCCCAGAGTGGTGGTGTGTCACGCTAGACAGCCTTGGCATCCCTTCCAGCTGGATGGTCAATGTTTGGGGTCTAAGACGGCAAGATGTGAGTGTGTTGGTCACAGATGCAGCCCAGGATATGCTGCTGGGCCTGGCTGAGGCTCAGCTGTGATTCCATTTGGGCCCTGATGCTGTCCCCACCCCGTGGGCACCAGGGTCCAGGGCTCTCAGCCTATGGAGATTTCTTTTGAATAAACTTAGTCTATTTGCAATTTAAGAAAAAAAAAAGTCATGTTTTGCCCACTCTAAAACATTAAAAAGGAACAAAAGAGTATAGTATAGTAGAAAGTTGTCCTCCATACCCCCTGTCCCCCACCCTCAGTTCCCTGCCTGCAAGGCCATGTTAAGAATCCTTCCAGAGATATTCTTTGCATATATAAGCAAGTGCTATTAATGTATGTTTTGTTTCTGTCCCCACACGGGACTTTCTTTGCAGAGTACGGTGGAAGACTCCCCTTGTGGGTTCCCTTTTCTGTACAAGTCAACAATTGGACAGACCAGGGATTTCCATACTGTGTTCCCAGAAGCCTTCGGGTTGGCTCTGGTGTCCCCACCAATTCACTGATTCAATAAACATTTAATAAGCCCCTTCCCTTCCCCAGCAGCTTCACCTCTGTGACTGCCTGGGAATGTGGGCGACAAGGTTTGCTGCTGAGAACAGTTTGAAAACCAGCAAAGCAGGTGGCCCAGGGCCCAGGCAGCTCTGCAACACCCCTGTGGCTGCTTGGCTCTGCTCTGTTGCCTCAAATGACAGGAAACTCACTATTGCCTGAGGCAGGCCATCTCTCCTGTGAACAGCTCAGCTGAAAAACTCTTAACCTACCCTGAGTTACAATCTGCCTCCCTATAATTTCCACCCACTGATTCTCCATTCTGCCCTTAGAGGGCAGAGTGCTGACAGGTCCACGACTTGGTCCCATTTTACAAATGAAGAAACTGAGGCTCAGAGAGACAAAGTTTTAAAACATTCCTGTTAACAGGGCCAGAACCCAGGAAGGGATATGCTTTTCTCAGGAATAATGTCAAAATTAATATAGCTTCCCAGTCAATGAGGACTATATAAATTACTATTTGCAAAGCACTAAGAACAGTGTCCGGCACAGAGTCAGTGCTATGTAATGTAGATGTGAGAATGAGAGAGCCTGAGATTTTATGTTTGCGAGTCCCACAGGAGGCAGGGCAATGCCAACTCCCTGTTGCTTGGAAGCAATGGGCAAGTCTATGACCCTCCTGTTGAGGCCCTGTTACAGGTAACCAAGCCCCCACGGAATGGAGCTGAGGAGCTCCTGAGAATGGGCTTGTCCGGTTACTGTTTGGATTCAGAACTGACCTAAGAGATTCAGAACAGACAGACTCGCCTTGGCCTGAGTTGCCTCTGGGCTCTTGGAATGTCCACAGCAAGTCCATTCCTCTCCTTGGGCCTCAATTTACCCACCTGTAAAACAAGAGGATTGGACCACATAAGAGATCGGAAGCCACCAGGGTTTCTCTTTTTCTCTTTTATTTGAATTAGTTGACAAAACTTAAATCTTGGGAGATTTTACCCAGAAAATCATCTCCCCAGCCCCACCTGAGATCTGGTAATAGCAGGCGTACGTTTTGCATGGCGCTGAAGACCAGGTAAACGCCCCACCAGCTGCCTCCTGTGTGTGCTACCTATAGGCGCCTGTTTGCTACCCGTGAATGAGATGGTTTCTGTGGATGTTCCCAGCTCCGCAGTTAAGTAGAGCACATCCTTCCCCTTGCACCTTTTTTTTTTTTTTTTTTTTTTTTTTTTTGGAGACTGAGTCTTGCTCTGTCTCCCAGGCTGGAGTGCAGTGGCGCGATCTTGGCTCACTGCAAGCTCTGCCTCCTGGGTTCACACCATTCTCCTGCCTGTCTCCCAAGTAGCTGGGATTACAGGCCCCCGCCACCACGGCCGGCTAGTTTTTTTTATTTTTAGTAGAGACAAGGTTTCTCCATCTCCTGACCTCGTGATCCGCCTGCCTCGGCCTCCCAAAGTGCTGGGATTACAGGTGTGAGCCACTGCGCCCGGCCTCCTTGCACCTTCTGAGTGTCCCTGTCTCGGAGCTGGCAATGCAGAGATGGATGTAGGAAAGCCCTGCCCCCGAGGGGCCCAGATGTGGTGGGGATCTGCTGCACTTCGGTAGGAAACTTCTTTGAGATCTCTATCCTGGACTTGAAGGATGGGTAGGGTTTCTGCCAGGTAGAGGGGAGTGTAGTCTGGTCTTGCCAGAATCAAAACTGTTAAACAGAAGTCATCCCTCAGTGATCATCAAGGTTGCCTTCCTAAATTAGGGAGACTTTTTTTTTTTATTGTCCATTCTTTCATGAAATCTAGGCCACCTTTCCTACAGGGCTGAGGTCTGCTTACTGGCTGGCAGATCCAGCCATTTCCCGAGTATGAGACTGGGAGTCGGTAGGCTTGGATTTCTGTCTGGCTCTCACTCAGGAAGACTGAGTGATTTCGGGCAGATTACTGTCCCCCTGGACCTCAGTATTTCCTTGCAAATGTTAAGATGGCCATGTAAATGTTAACAAGTAATTCTCTCATTTCTCTCCAGAGGGCTGTGGGTGGGTTTGGAGGGGAGAAATGGCATCTCCTTTGGCCTGGGACCTCCTCCCCTCTTTTACCCTCCATGCTGCCTCTCCTCAAGGGCTTCTGGAGTCCCCAAGTCAAATGGCAAATGGGGAAGAGAAGACAGGGTATGGAGTACAAGAGGCCTAGATCCTCTATAGGTCTGATCTGGCTGGTGCTGCCCCTAGCCAGTAAAGCCACCCTCCAGACCCCTTCAAGCCTGTTGTAGCCTTAACCAAGATCAACCAACATGGAGGTGACTGATCTTGGTTAAGGCTGCGACCAACATGGAGGTAATTGATCTTGGTTAAGGCTACGACACGTTTCCCTTTAGAGAAAAATCATGTTTTCCCCCTCAAAAAATCATGCGTTAATTTCCTCCAACCAAACTAAGTCCCAGGACTACTCCGAAAACTACTCAATGACCATCTGGGCATTTGTACATGGGTTTCCATTTCTTGGATGCCTGCTCTCCTGTTACCTCCCAGAAGCCTGTGAAAAAGGCAAGGCATATTACTTCCACTTAACGGAAGAGGATGCTGGGGCGAGGTGGCAGGAAATGACTGGTCCAAGACCTTACAGTCAGGAAATGTGGAAACGGGTGCTGCTCTGGGGTTCTGAACTCTTGGCCCTGCTTAACCCTGGCTTCTCAGATCTCTGATGCTGGTCTCTTCTCCCCAGGTACAATGGCTTGGTGACCGGCACGAGGGCTAAGGGCATCATTGCCATCTGCTGGGTGCTGTCGTTTGCCATCGGCCTGACTCCCATGCTAGGTTGGAACAACTGCGGTCAGCCAAAGGAGGGCAAGAACCACTCCCAGGGCTGCGGGGAGGGCCAAGTGGCCTGTCTCTTTGAGGATGTGGTCCCCATGAACTACATGGTGTACTTCAACTTCTTTGCCTGTGTGCTGGTGCCCCTGCTGCTCATGCTGGGTGTCTATTTGCGGATCTTCCTGGCGGCGCGACGACAGCTGAAGCAGATGGAGAGCCAGCCTCTGCCGGGGGAGCGGGCACGGTCCACACTGCAGAAGGAGGTCCATGCTGCCAAGTCACTGGCCATCATTGTGGGGCTCTTTGCCCTCTGCTGGCTGCCCCTACACATCATCAACTGCTTCACTTTCTTCTGCCCCGACTGCAGCCACGCCCCTCTCTGGCTCATGTACCTGGCCATCGTCCTCTCCCACACCAATTCGGTTGTGAATCCCTTCATCTACGCCTACCGTATCCGCGAGTTCCGCCAGACCTTCCGCAAGATCATTCGCAGCCACGTCCTGAGGCAGCAAGAACCTTTCAAGGCAGCTGGCACCAGTGCCCGGGTCTTGGCAGCTCATGGCAGTGACGGAGAGCAGGTCAGCCTCCGTCTCAACGGCCACCCGCCAGGAGTGTGGGCCAACGGCAGTGCTCCCCACCCTGAGCGGAGGCCCAATGGCTATGCCCTGGGGCTGGTGAGTGGAGGGAGTGCCCAAGAGTCCCAGGGGAACACGGGCCTCCCAGACGTGGAGCTCCTTAGCCATGAGCTCAAGGGAGTGTGCCCAGAGCCCCCTGGCCTAGATGACCCCCTGGCCCAGGATGGAGCAGGAGTGTCCTGATGATTCATGGAGTTTGCCCCTTCCTAAGGGAAGGAGATCTTTATCTTTCTGGTTGGCTTGACCAGTCACGTTGGGAGAAGAGAGAGAGTGCCAGGAGACCCTGAGGGCAGCCGGTTCCTACTTTGGACTGAGAGAAGGGAGCCCCAGGCTGGAGCAGCATGAGGCCCAGCAAGAAGGGCTTGGGTTCTGAGGAAGCAGATGTTTCATGCTGTGAGGCCTTGCACCAGGTGGGGGCCACAGCACCAGCAGCATCTTTGCTGGGCAGGGCCCAGCCCTCCACTGCAGAAGCATCTGGAAGCACCACCTTGTCTCCACAGAGCAGCTTGGGCACAGCAGACTGGCCTGGCCCTGAGACTGGGGAGTGGCTCCAACAGCCTCCTGCCACCCACACACCACTCTCCCTAGACTCTCCTAGGGTTCAGGAGCTGCTGGGCCCAGAGGTGACATTTGACTTTTTTCCAGGAAAAATGTAAGTGTGAGGAAACCCTTTTTATTTTATTACCTTTCACTCTCTGGCTGCTGGGTCTGCCGTCGGTCCTGCTGCTAACCTGGCACCAGAGCCTCTGCCCGGGGAGCCTCAGGCAGTCCTCTCCTGCTGTCACAGCTGCCATCCACTTCTCAGTCCCAGGGCCATCTCTTGGAGTGACAAAGCTGGGATCAAGGACAGGGAGTTGTAACAGAGCAGTGCCAGAGCATGGGCCCAGGTCCCAGGGGAGAGGTTGGGGCTGGCAGGCCACTGGCATGTGCTGAGTAGCGCAGAGCTACCCAGTGAGAGGCCTTGTCTAACTGCCTTTCCTTCTAAAGGGAATGTTTTTTTCTGAGATAAAATAAAAACGAGCCACATCGTGTTTTAAGCTTGTCCAAATGAGAATGGCGTCTGAGTTCGTTTCCTACTCCATAGCTAGGCCTGTGCACACATACAGGCATGTGTTGTGTATGAGAGAGTGTGTGCGTATGTGCAGACACCCTGCCTGCCCCGGGGGCCCTCCCCAGGGTCCTGTCCTCGAGGGGACAGGCTGCCTGGCTGCACCACAATCCAACCTGCATTTCTATGAGGGCCCACAGGGGCTATGGGAGAAGGGGCTTTCCCCAGCAACTCCCCCCCTCCTTATCTTCCTACATCTTTAAGGGAAGATCTCTTTGTATGTTACCTTCTCAGAACTGTGACCCGCCACCTGCCCTGCTGCACCCTTTAGCAGAGGTCACAGAGGTATCCGCAAACAGATCTGGGCAGGGGCTACACGGCCTTCCCCTAGAATCCCCCTCCTTCTGTTCTTAACAAAAGAAACCCAGAAGGAAGGGGTGTTTTTGCTCTGACCCCGGCCTTAGGGGCCTCCTGCCTGAGGAGGTGGTGCCATCTTTCTGTGATGGCGAAGTTTGAGGCCTGGAAGGCAGTTAGCAACCTGCCCCTGCCTGAGGTTGGTGGAGAGCTGTGATTGTCCCGGTTTGGTCTCACTCACTCTGGGACTCCCGGAAGGAGTGTAAGAATGTCAAGGGTAATCCTCACACAGCCCTGTGAGCCCTGTTTTACAGATGATTAACAAGCCCAGAGAGGTTACATGATTGCTCCAGGTCACACAGCTAGTAAGTGGCAGAAGTGAACTTAAAACTCAGGTCTGTCTGACTGTAAAATCCATGTTCATTGTTTCCATTAACTTAATGATGAACTATTTGAACCGAACCAAAAAGTACAAAATAACATCATTTCCTCAGCACTCTGCTTAAGAACTGAAACATTACAATGTTGCATCTGACCCCTGCCCATCATTACCCTGCATCCTAGGCCTGGAAACAACCACTTTCCTGAATTTCATTTCTTTCCATTGCACTTCTTCTTCTTCTTTTTTTTTTTTTCTTTGAGACGGTTTTCTTTTCTCGCTCTGTTGCCCAGGCTGGAGTGCAGAGCAGTGGCACGATCTTGGCTCACTGCAACCTCCGCCTCCCAGGTTCAAGTGAATCTCCTGCCTCATCCTCCCGAGTAGCTGGGACTACAGGCACTTGCCACCATGCCTGGCTAATTTTTTCTGTGTTTTTAGTAGAGATGGGGTTCCACCATGTTAGCCAGGCTGGTCTCAAACTCCTGACTTCATGATCCGCCTGTCTCGGCCTCCCAAAGTGCTGGGATTACAGGCGTGAGCCACCGCGCCCAGCCCTTTCCATTGCACTTCTTTACACTTTTAGTATATGGATGCCTGCAAAACTATCCCAAAACCAACAAAGGATTGTTTTAGCTATCTCACTGTTATATCCTCAGAGGTCCTCTAGACTGGCTGCACAGGAGAAATACCTAGGAAGCTTCAATCAGCACCAAAGCCTCAGTCCCTTGCCCCAGAGACACTGGATTAATTGGCTAGGGTAGATCAAGTAATTCCCCAGGGGGTTCTTATGGACAGCCAGGACAACCTATAAGGAGCCACTGATACAAATGCACTGAGTCCACCCCCTGTCCACACCAGCTTCCTCCCTCCTAGGATCTGCACTGGCTGTGGGCTGAGGGTGGAACAGTGGCTGGGGTATGCCTGAGAAGACCAAGAGCACAGAAGCTGCCAGTCCTCATGAGCAATTGGTGGGAAGAGGCCAGAAAGAGAACTACAAAGGTAGGGAAGAATGAAATCCCGTCTCTCCAGCCTTTTCTGAGACCTTGGGAACCAGACTTTGAGTACTGAGCTAGATGGGTGTAGGCTTTGGGGCTGGGAGAACAGGGCCAGGGGCTCAGCAAAGGCTTCTAGGTACAAATGGGCCCTAGTCCTCCCAGGGCCAGCTCCTGCCTAGTGGTAGAGCACAGGCCTCCTCATGTCCTCAGGAGCTTAGGGTCCCATGTCCACACCCACCCCATGTTGGTTCCCACCGTCAGCAGGCCTGAGTGTAAGCACATGGGCAGAGACCTGAACATATGCAGGCATCATTCCTCTGACGATAAGAGAATACATTTGTGCACATATAAACATGCTAGGGGGCAGAGCCCACCTCAACAGGAATAAGTGCCCACAGCAGCAGCATGAGGGAGATGTGAAGACTGGTGAAGGGCATGAGCAACATCCCAGCGCCATGGGGTGCAGGCTATGCCCTGGTCTACACTGCTCTGGGCCAGGCTGCCAGGAGCTGTGGCCTGGGCTGCTCCAAGCCCTGCAGCTCTGTGGAAGGGCCCCTCTCCACCCTCTCCCTGCCCTTCCCAAAGGGCTACGGGTGGATAACATGCTTCATTCAGGCCTGTCCCACGCATAAGGGTCCCATCACAGATCCATGTTCTTGATAGCCCCAGCCCCCCTCTACAGCAGGTGTTGCCAGGCCACAGGGAGGTCTGAGAGCAGGGGTCTGGCTCAGGCTCAGCCTTGGCTCATCACTGGCCCTCACAAGAGACAAGCCCTCCGGAGGGCTCCCTTTCACCCTCCTCCTCTAACCACCCCTCCTGAAACCCTACCTTAATCTGGTTGGATTAAGGCCCTATCCTCTGGGAGGCATCACCCGGGGGCTCAGGGAGCTGAGTAGGGCCACAGTTCAGTGCGCTGACCAGGGGACAGCAAACCACAGCAGGGCAGGAAGAGGGGCCACCTGGGTGCTGTGAGGAAATGAGCTGCTGATGCTCCCTGCATCTTCTGGGACTTGGTATCCCAGAAATGGGAAACTGGTCTTTTCAACTGTGGTGGGGAAACAAGAACCCGGGGGAATCCAACTGCTCAGCATGTGGGAAGGGCTCTGCGCAGCCCGCCCCTGCTCCTGGGGCCGCAGGGAAAAGTGGGTGAGGCCAGCACTCTGTGCCTGGGATGCCACTGCTGTCCTGCGATGTTGTGCTGCTCCCCCGCATGGCTGCTGCTACGGGCTCTTGCCACAGCTGGACACCCTCCCCTGAGCTCCAGTGCCGGACAACTGTTTTCTGAGCATGCTAAGCAATGACCCTCTGCTGACGGGAGAAGTTACTTTAGAGGGGACAGAACTTAGGAAGACCCAGGTGTGCTGTGAGGCAAGTGGCTCCCTCCCTGACCCTTACTGCTCAGTGTGCAAGGTTACCACCTTCTCCTCCTCCCCACACCCATCCCCCCTCTCTCCCAAGGTGCCCCTCATTGCTGCTGTCACTCATCATTAGCAGTCACTGTCATTGTTAGGACAGCCCCTGTCAGGCTGCAGAGCCAAGGGAGGGGGCAGGAGAATGTCAGATGACTCACACAACCTCAAAAGAGGGGGATGGACACACAACACAGAACCTAGCTACAAGAAGCACCTCGTGAGACTCTGGTTCAACCCTTTCTTTTTCCAGAGAAGAAAGAGCAGCTTAGCAGAGTTTCCTGACAAGTCCCTCTGCTTCCCACTAGTCAGGCTTGGAGGGAGGCTGGCCTAGGAGAAAGGCCAGGCCAGGAAGTCAGCATGAGGCTGGGCAGGTGACAGGTGTAGCCAACCCAGGGTCCTCTGAGGGAGGTGGGGAAGGCTTTGCATGGACCCATCCACACTTCTTTGCCTTGTCCAAGGAAGTGTTTCCGTTTGGGGGAGGAGAGGAGTGACTCTTTGTCAAATCAGCCATCTGGACTGTCACCTAACGACCAGCTAAGCCCTCGGATCAAGCTGGTTAGGACCTGAGCCCTGTCTCCTGGCTCTCTGTCCCTCTCCCAACCACTTAATGAGCCCTTGCTGATGCACACTGAGCCGGGGGCAGGACGCAGGGAGCCAACAACTGACTGAGGGGAATAAGCCCGACGGGGAGAATAAGCCCGACGGAGGGAATAAGCCTGTGAGGGACACACAGGCTCTCAGAGGAGGTGAAAACCACACGCCAGCGGGCAGTCAGGATGGGCTTCACAGAGGGGGCCACACCAAGCTGGCCTGTCAGAGGCCGGCGGTCAGCTCCAGGGCCCCATCTCTTCAATGTGTTAGTCAGGAAATAAGAACAAGGAGGGGCTGAGTAAATCTGCGCCTGATTTTCATCTGCCTACACTGAATTATGCCATCCATTTGGAGGCAATTTTCAAGTTAAAATGTTGTCAGAAGGCTGTCACAGTTTTTATCTTTCTTTTCTGTTCTTTCTCAACCCACCCACATTTTCTAGTTAGGTTGGAAAGGGGAGTGAGGGGGATAGAGCCTGGTTTATATTCAGAGATTTCTGGAATTGTTAAAGATAGATGAGACTTTTAGAAATTATCAAGTTTTCTCTTAGGAAAATTGAGTCCCAGTCCAATATCACAATTAATTGTTCTTTCAGTTCCAGAACTTTTAGGGGAACTGGAGGGACCTGGCCAGGCATCCTGCAGGCTATCTCTTGGGGTTTCAGCTTGATTCTCTCTGCTGCCTGGTTCAGAGATGCCCAATAATCCCACCACTTGCTCCTTCCAGCCACCACCCTGTTCCACTGACTGCTGAACGGGGAGTCAAAGCACCAGTTTCAATCCCTGGTCTTGCCATTGACTTCTTTGACAGGACAAGTCACTGAGCTGCCACACCTACTTTTACATAAAATGAGTTAATAAATGTGGGCCGGGCGCGGTGGCTCACGCCTGTAATCCCAGCACTTTGGGAGGCCAAGGTGGGTGGATCACCTGAGGTCAGGAGTTCAAGACCAGCCTGGCCAACGTGGTGAAACCCTGTCTCTACTAAAAAAGACAAATAAAAATTAGCTGGGCATGGTGGCAAGTGCCTGTAATCCCAGCTACTTGGGAGGATGAGGAAGGAGAATCTCTTGAGCCTGGGAGGCAGAGGTTGCAGTGAGCCGAGATTGTACCATTGCACTCCTGCCTGGGCAACAAGAGTGAAACTCTGTCTCAAAAAAATAAATAAATGTGGCAGTGCTTTGGAAGGTATATTTAACACAAATGCCCAGGATGATGATGATCATTATTATTGCAGTAATAAATCCATTCTCAGCTCAGAAAAATAAGAGGGTAACCAATCAATAGCTCCAGTGTTCTTGGAATCAGAGAGTGGAAAGGAGGCTGGGAGGGAAGGAAGATGGGGTGGCAGGGAGGAGAGCTACTGACCACCTTCTATATTCTGATCACTGACATTGCCCAGCCATTGCCAGAGGGAGAAATGTGGTGGGTATGAGTTCAAGCCAGGCACCTGGAAGTCCCTGATCTCTGGGTGCCGGGAGGTGGGTGTGGAACTGGCAGACGACCTAGGCAAGGGTCACTGATTATGGATCATTTACTTTCTTCAACCCTATACTGTCCCATCTGTTTATGAAAGTCTAGACATTAGGGAAATTTAGACTTATCTAAGAGGTTAATGGAGAAGGGATACAGTAAATGTCTGGGCCAACAGAGTCAGGATTCAAAATGACCTCAAAGGGCTGGACAGATAAAACTGAGCAAGGACCAGTGTAAAGTCCTGCTCAGACCGGATGTGGTGGCTCACTCCTGTATCTGAGCACTTTGGGAGGCCAAGGCAGGTGGATCACTTGCAGTCAGGAGTTTGAGACCAGCCTGGCCAATATGGTGAAACCCCGTCTCTACTAAAAATACAAAAACTAGCCAGGCACGGTGGCTCATGCCTGTAATCCCAGCATTTTTGGAAGGCCGAGGTGGGCAGATTGCCTGAGGTCAGGAGTTTGAAACCAGTCTGGCCAACATGGTGACACCCCGTTTCTACTAAAAATACAACAAAATTAGCCAGGCGTGGTGACAGGCACCTGTAATCCCAGCTACCCGGTAGGCTGAGGCAGGGGAATTGCTTGAACCAGGGAGGTGGAGGTTGCAGTGAGCCGAGATCATGCCACTACACTCCAGCCTGGGCGAAAGAGCAAGACTCCGTCTAAAAAAAAAAAAAAACAAAACAAAAAAAACTAGCCATATGTGGTGGTGCATGCCTGTAGTCCCAGCTACTCGGGAGGCTCAGGCAAGGGAATCACTTGAACCTGGGAGGCAGAGGTTGCAGTGAGCTGAGATCACGCCACTGCACTCCAACCTGAGCAACAGCGAGACTCCATCTCAAAAAAAAAAAAAAAAAAAAAAAAAAAAACCCAAAAAAAAGCCTGCTCAATTTCAGAAAAAGCCAATGTGCAGGGAGGAGTGGGAGGATAGAGAGACCCAGCCTACTATCAGTTCAGGTCAAAACAACATGGACACTACAGTTACTCAGTTGAGCACTGGCTAACACCGTGGGACAGGCTGGGAAAGAAGCAACTGCAGCCTCAAGCTGCACTGACATCCTAGTTACTAGGAAGTGAGTCCCAGGCTACAGGGACTCACCAGGTACCCACTCAAGGCAGGAGACATGCTCATTTCTCAACACCACCTGCTCATGAACAAACTGAAATGAGTTTGTCATTTTGTGCCTGCAAACAAGACGGTAACCTCCCAATGACACTCAACGAATTAACAAGTGGCCAAAGGAAGGGGATCAAGACAGGGAGCATCTAGAAACTGAAAATGTCTGGAGGACATGAGGTTGGAGAAGACTTAGGGAGAGCTATGGTGAACAGATCAGATGAGAGAAACAGCTTGCATTGTGCTATTCCAAAAGGCACAACTGGGCTCACAGAAGCTTCAGCAGAATAACTAGTTCACGTTAAAGGCCACCAAGATGCAACAATTTGAGACTCATGGCTGGGTCTTCAGTGATCCAAGGACAGTCATGTCAGGATATTCAGGTGCTTGCTGGCCTGGAAGAGGCCTGGACCCCCTTATGGGCCTTGAGGAGACTTCTCTGTACTTCGAGGGCACAAGGCTAGTGAAGATGGCTCATCTTTTGTGGCCAGAATTGCCTTCAGTTCAGTTTTCAGTTCATGGAAGCCCAGAGCAGGTATGTGGGATAAGACAGAGGATTAGGAGGAGGGAATGACAACATATACATTAAAAAGTCACTACCTGCATCAAATGTATGAGTATAGCTGGGAGACAACTACCTGGTATGGATTGAAAGGCATCAAAGAGGCCCAGAGTCCTGTATTAACAGAATACACCCCAAGGCCAAAAATTCCTCCTTAGATGACAGCAGTATTACCCCAAGTGAAGGACATTTGCCATCTGGGGAGGGTACCATGATGATTTATTGGGTCAACATGTGGACATCCAGCAGAGAAGCCTGGAGGGGCTGAGACATAGGGTAGAGAAGGCATCCTGCAGCCCAGGGTTAAGCAAACTCTGCCAACTTTACAAAATGCTCTCACCCAAGGAGTGCCAGAGGGTGAAGCTGGGGAGGGTCCTCATCCACTTCCTCCATCCTACCCCATACTTCCTGTGGCCACTTCTTACTTCCCTAATCCTATTAGTAGGAGCTCTTCTCCTTATCTTCCCAAATCCAATCTATTGCATTCTGTTAATTCTTTCTGAACATCTTTGGAATCTGTTCCATCCACTCTACCCCTCAGTAACCCCTCAAAGTCATGGTCTTGGCGGAGGCACTATCATCTCTACCAACCTGAATACACTCCAAACAGACCTCTTTGTTGATCTCTTTTACCGCAATCTATTCAGCCCAAGCAGTCAGATTAATATCTCCAAAGCACAGCATCAGCCATGTCCCTCCCTTGCTCCAAAACATTTAGTGGACCCTAAATATGCAGCAGATCAAGTCCACCTTCTTTCTGTGGCCATTCAAGGACACAGCTTTGCCCTCCAGCCTGTCTCTGACCACCCACTTTCCTACCCACTACCCTGCTCCTCACTGTGCCAAACTGAACTGTCTACCATCCTCTTACCCCATTCCCTGCCTTTGTCTCTCAGGCAGGCCACTTTGCCTGGGATGCTGTCACTCCCCTACTTTAGACAATTCCCATGCTTCAGGGACCACCTGAAGAGCCGTCTCTTCCATGAAGATGGAGGGAGACTTTGCTGAAATCCTCTTTTCCCCTTCCTGAGCGCCTTTAGATGCATGCCTGTCCCACGCACCAGAAGTTTGTTACCTGCTTCTGATGACATCTCTTCTGCTGCTAAGTTATGACTTAACGCCTGAATAATGTGCTGGTTTTCACCAGTGTATGTTCTATTTTCCTACCAAGACTATAAATTTGAATCCCAGAGAGAGGAGTGGGGATGGTATCTCCTCCATCCTAGGGCGAAGCATAGCAACACTTGGTAAGGCACACTGACTGGGTCGAGAGACCTGGGTTTTAGTTCTCTGCTGCCATTAACTGGTCATGTGACTTTGGGTTTCCTTCCCTGCAAAATGATGAAGCAGTGGATACATATCGCTTCCAGCTCTGGTATTCTCTGAGTCTATTTGACTGTGGGCTGACCCACCCAGCTCTAGGCCTGGCTAGGGAAGGAGCAAGGGAGGCTATGGACAAGCCCAGGGAGAGAGAGAGGGAGAGGGAGATGGGGAGCTAATAGCTCTGGAGGAAGGAAGGACATGCTGGGCTAATGGGATAATTGGATAATCCTCAGAGCTAGGGGCTGCCAGGCTGGGGCCAGCTGTTAGAAGCAGACACAAATAGCACAAGCAAAACAAGGGCGCTGATGCAGGAAGCAGCTTGCTGAGAGATATGGAGGAAGGTGGGTGGTGGCCAGAGGGTGGGGGAGGGGACAAAGAGAAACTGGAGCCCCTTTCTGTTGAAATTTTGAGGACAGGATCTTAAGGTCTTGTACTCTGACCCCATTTAGAAAGACTGCATTTAAGGATCCTGGCCTTCTATATACCAAAGAACATTCTTAGAGACCAGTGGTTTATCTTGGCCTCCACAGTGTCCTGGCCACCAAGGACCTTTAAGGACCATAAAGCCCTCATCTTTGCCCATTGAGGGTTATCTGTAAATGGGGCATCCATTTGACATGCCTGTGAAAATATTGCTGGACTCTTACAAAATATTAATTTTAGATACATGACTCAGTGGGTCCCTTCATTTCAGGCAGATAAGTGGTTCTGTCAGTGGGGTTGGGCACAGAACAAAAGAAATTTTGGAGGGGTCTAGGACCCAACTCTGCTAGGTCACATAAGTCATGACCTCAGTGACTGGACCTCAGTTAGCCCATCTATAAAATGGGGACAATAAGCATTACCCTCCCTGCAAGGCTGTTGTGGAGATAAAATGAGATCATGAATGGGAAAGTAATTTGAAATGCAAGTGCTTTGCCAAGCACTTTAGTCCCAACTCTGTTTCTAATTTTGTATGATTTTAGAAAGGCTATTTCCTTTCTCTGAGTTCCAGTGTCTTCCACTATAAGATGATGAGATCAGACTAGATGCTCTTTAAATTCCCTTCTAATTCTAATGACTCTAATTCTTATTAAAAATAGTATATTTACATTTGTATACCCTATAAGGACAGTATGAGAAAAGAAAATTAGAGGCCAATTTTATTAATGAACATAGATATAAAATACTAAAGATTAGCAAGCCATATCTAGCAATGTACAAAAAAATATATAAATCATTATCCAGTAGGGTTTATCCCAGGAATGCAAGGATGGTTTCACATCAGATAATCATTCAATATCATTCATATTAATAAGTTAAAGAACACTAAAGGAGAATCTCAACAGATGCAGAAAATGCATTTGATTTAAAAAAGTCAACACCCAATCATAGAAAAAACTGTTAGCAAACTAGAAATATAAAAACATTTTCTTAACTCAATAAAGTATATTTTTCAACATCTCACTGAACACACCATAGTCAATGGTGAAATAGAAGCCTTCTCTTTCGGTCAGGCACGGTGGCTCATGTCTGTAATCCCAGCACATTGGGAGGCTGAGGTGGGCAGATCACGAGGTCAGGAGTTCAAGACCAGCCTGGCCAACATGGTGAAACCCCATCTCCACTAAAGAATACAAAAATTAGCTGGTTGTGGTGGCACATACCTGTAATCCCAGCTACACGGGAGCCTGAGGCAGGAGAATCGCTTGAAGCCAGAAGGCAGAGATTGCACTGAACTGAGATCACGCCACTACACTGCAGCCTGGACTACAGAGGGAGACTCTATCTCAAAAAAATAAATAAAAAAAATAAGAAGCCTTCTCTTTCTAGTCAAGACCAAACCCACTATTCTATCCAATATAGTACTAAAGTTCCTAGAGATCACAATAATACATGAAAAAGAAAAGAAACAAAATAACATTATCTGCAGCTGAATTAACTGTCTATATAGAAAAATTCAAAACATTTCTTTGGAATATTATTGGAACTAATGAGAGTTTATCAAGGCTGTCGGATATAAAATCAACATAAAAAACCAACAGCATTCCTATAGGGCAGCAAAAACTATTATAAGTCATTTAAAATATATCATTTATAATAGTAGCAAAAACCAGAAGGTACCTAGAATAAATCCAACAAATGCACAAAAAGAAGACTCAGATGAGGAGATGTGCCATGTTCATGGATGGGAAGAATCAATACTATAAAACTGGCAATTATCCCCAGTCCATCTGGAAATCAAGTGTAATCCTTTAAAATTTCCAATAGATTTTCTTTCATAAATTATACATTTTGGATCCTAAAAATCATTTGAAAAGAAAAAAGGCCAAGAAGAGCCACAATAATCTTCTTCCTTTTAAAGAAGGTGAAGAATTGTCCTAACATACAATAGTGTGGTACAGGAACAGGCAAACAGATGAAGTGAATGAGACACAAAGGTTAGAAGCAAACCTGTCTTTGTATGGGAATGTGGTATGTGGTAGAGGTCACATTACAAACCACAGAAAAAGCATGGAAGGTTCATTAAGTGGTTCTGAAACATGGAAAGGTAAAATTGAAGACAAAGGTGAAAGAAACAAAGATCTTTAACACTTTAAAAAGCAAATATATGAAAATGTCTTTATGACCTCTGGCCAAAGATTTCTTAAAACACAAAAGCAAAGCCATAAAAGAATATGCTGCTAAATTAACTAATGAAACTTTAAAAAAAATTTTTTTCATGAAGAAACAACGTAAAGTACAAAGACAAGCCACAGACTGGAAGAAGGTATCTGCAATGCATATAATCAATAAAGGATTAGTGTCTGTAATATATAACTCCTATGAAAATAAACAAAGATATTATCAGACACCTTAGAAGAAAAAACCTAAATGATCAACAAACACATGAAAATAAATTCGATCTCACTAGTAATTAGGAAAATGAAAATTAAAATATATTTTACCACCATTCACAGTCAGCCAACTAGCAACAATTTAAAAGTCTTGGTGGGGAACAGAAATACATAATACCTAGTAGAGTTGAAGATGTGAATAGCCTATAACCTAGCATTTTCCATTTCTAAGCCTCAATCTTCAATCAAGTCACACACATATTTTTAAAAACCATGCACTTGGATGTTCATTGTGTCACTGTAATACTAAAAATGTCAAAGCAACATTTTTAGTATTTCTTAGTATCTTTTAGAGTTAGAATGGATATATGAACTGTGGTTTACTACTTCAATGAACTATCATACAGCAGGCAAAATAAATGAACTCATTATATCAACACCTGTTCTATATTCCAAGTTAAATTTCTCTAGCTATTTCCAGACCAGACCTTGAATTTCCACCTTTGTGCCAGTGCTCATGGTTATTGTCTTTCCTCTCACTTTTAGCCCAAATTTTAATGATATAATTTAAATGCCCCTTCCTCCTAAAACATCCCAGGATCCTTTAAATTCTGATATTAGAAATTAGAAAACCAAGACCAAAAAAAGTTGAGTCATGCTAAGTTCACATGGCAGATGACTGGCAGAATTGGAACCAGAACCCTGGTCTTTATATCCGTCTTTATACCCATGCAAGGCCACAGATAATCTCAAAAGATGATAAAATACAGAACAAATCCCAATTCCTAGCCTAGGCCACTTTATCCCACAAACATCCCTGGAACAGCTGTGGTCCCAGCTTCTACAACCCCTTCTAGCCTGTGAAGTGTTAAGATCTGGCTTCACTACTATGTGACTATGAGTCTATGTGACGTTGAGTAAGTCAAACTCTCTTGTGCCTCAGTTTCCTTATCTGTTAGCTGCCAATAATTCCTGCCTGGCTACTGCATAAGCTCATTAATAGAATCAAACGAAATAAACGATAATAAACTAGAATTGTATTAAATACATAGAAATATTTACCTTTTTATTATTTTCAAGATATAGAAATGCCTGCCCTCTTGCTAAAAGAATCATGGGATGTCTGATTTGTAAATAAATTTAATTTTGAGAGTTTGCCATTGCTTGGTGATGGAGGGGAGATGTTGTCCTTATACAAGAAGCAGGACTCTGAAAGCTCTACTCCCTTTTCCTGCCCTCTTCTGCTTGGAGGTTTTGTGCCACTGAGTTCCTTGGCACAGGAGGACCAGCAGGCAGACTGGGGTCCCCGGAGGCGGGAGCAGCCAGCCCTGACAAAATACTGAAGTTGGTCAAGATTGTCTTTAAAATCTCTTCCCTGTGCTCTTTCCCCCGGTTTAGCCTTCGCTACATCTTTCCTGGGTTACTGAGGAAGGGGTTCTATACAACCTCCTCCCTCTCCACCAACCACTATTCAGTTTCCCACCATTCAAGATCTACAAGGGGCCAGGCGCGGTGGCTCACGCCTGTAATCCCAGCACTTTGGGAGGCCGAGCTGGGCGAATCACTTGAGGCCAGAAGTTTGAGACCAGCCTGGCCAACATGGAGAAACCCCATCTCTACTAAAAATACAAAAATTAGCCAGGTATGTGGCACACATCTGTAATCCTGGCTACTCGGGAGGCTGAAGCAGGAGAATTGCTTGAACCCGGGAGGCAAAGGCTGCAGTGAACTGAGATCACACCACTGCACTCCAGCCTGGGTGATAAGAGTGAGACTCCATCTCTAAAAAAAAAATAAAAATAAAAAAGACCCACAAGGACCAAAGACTACGAGGTTGGGAAATGTGCCTGGCCCCATTTTGGCAGAGTCAGTATTCAACAAATGCTGAACTGAGCCAAAAGGACTGCCTGTGTGTCTTCCCCATTAACCAGCAGCTTTGTCCTAAGCAGGTCCTCCTGTTCACAAGGAAAACGTCTGATGGTTCCCTTCCCACAGACTACTGGGGACCACTGCATTTGCCCTCCCCTCCTAGGCTCTATGCATTTTCAGACAGGCCCCTGGAGAGGAATGGTAAACCTGGGGGCGGTCACATAGGGCAGTTAGGGCAGTGGAGGGAGGAACAACGGTTGAGAGTGTAGGGGCTTGAGGACTCTACTCCCTTCCCTTTCTTGCCCTGACTCCTCTGCTGCAGCCCAGAGGTGTCACACCACCATGTTCCCTGACATCAGCAGGCAGGTGGCCTGAGGTGTCTACAGTCAGAGCTACGGCTGAGAAAGGCTTTGAAGTTACACAGGTTATGTTACCTCTCTTTTTTCATTTTTAAAATAAAGAAATATTTTCCATTCTCCTGCTTTACAAAGCTGTTAAGAAGATTAAATGTAAAAACGAGTAAAAAGAGAAGTAGGACAGTCAAGTCTGCCAGGCCCTCCTGCCTGTGACCCTTGGGTCGCTGCCAGCTTGGACCTCAGTCCAGCTTCCCAGGGCTCCCTCCGATGGTCCTCCTCTCACCCAGACCAAGGACACTAGGACTAAACATGGGAGGCCCCGCCCTCCTGAGTGACTCTTTATCTATACAGGATTGTATTCTCTGCCAAATAGACCAAAAGGAAGGAAGGCCGGCAAGACATTAGCTCTTTTCTTAGCTCTCAAATAGCTGACATTTCAGGAAACTGAAATTCTGAATGGGACCAGAGGTGATTTCAATTCATTGTGCCTGTCTGCAGAGTCAGTCTATATGAGGACTCCATTATATAGGACGTACTTCTAGAAGTTCAGCGAAACCCTTGTCAATAAATCTCTTTCAAACTTATCTACTCATGCTTGGAAATTCGTCATTAGAGCTTTACTTCTTTGGCACAAGCCAAATGTGGGTTTTTGTCTTTTATAAAAGACATATCAGTCATATCAGTCATCTCAGTGTGAATGGAGTATACTGGTCCTTTCCTGGGAGCAGGCTCATACGAAGAGAAGACTAGAACACTGAAGACTTGTAGCCTCTGAAACTAGAAGAGGGAAGATGGGCAGTGTGTGGAAGAGAAAGGATGTAGAGGGAGGTGGAGCTGGTGAAGGCTTTCCACCTGAACAGTCAGGTATGATCTCCAAAGTACCCAACAAAGCTACATGTAGGCCAGGTACAGTGGCTCATACCTATAATCCTAGCCCTTTAGGAGGCTGAGGCAGGAGGATCCTTTGAGACCAGGAGTTCAAGTCCAGCCTCAGCAACATAGCAAGACACGATCTCTACAAAGAATTTTTAAAAATTAGCCGGGCATGGTGGCCATGACTGTGGTCCTAGCTACTTGGGAGGCTGAGGCAGGAAGATTACTTGAGCCCAAGAGTTCAAGGTTACAGTAAGCCATAATCGTGCCACTGCACTCCAGCCTGGGTGCAGAGTGAGACCCTCTCTAAAAACAAACATAACAAAAAAACTACATGTAACAAAGCCAGACAGAAAGAGAGATTATTCTGCATGATTCCATTTATATCTAACAAATGAAAACTAATCTACAGTGACAGAAGGTAATCAGTGGTTGCCTGGGCCAGGTTGGGAGGAGGCAGGAGGGTGGAACTACAAAGGGGCATGAGGGAACTTTAGGGGCGATAGCTATCTTGATTATGATGATGGCTGCAGGACTGTATATATATGTCGAAACTTATCAAGTCATACACTGTAAATAAGTGCAGTTTATTGTATGTCAGTTATACCTCAATAACACTTTTTTTTTTTAAGACAGAGTCTCCTTCTGTTGCCCAGGCTGGAGTGCAATGACCAGATCTCAGCTCACTGCAACCTCTGCCTCCTGGGTTCAAGTGATTCTCCTTCCTCAGCCTCCCAAGCAGCTGGGACTACAGGTACATGCCACCATGCCTGGCTACTTTTTGTATCTTTAGTAGAGATGGGGTTTCACCATGTTGGCCAGATGGTCTCAAACTCCTGATCTCAAGTGATCCACCTGCCTCCACCTCCCGAAGTGTTATGGGAGCCACTATGCCTGGCCTATAACACTTTTTTTTTTTTTTAAGAGTCTCGCTTTGTCATCCAGGCTGGTGTGCAGTAGTGCAATCTCGGCTCACTGCAAGCTCTGCCTCCCAGGTTCACGCCATTCTCCTGCCTCAGCCTCCTGAGTAGCTGGGACTACAGGCGCCTGCCACCAGGCCCAGCTAATTTTGTTTGTTTGTTTTGAGACAGAGTCTTGCTCTATCACCCAGGCTGGAGTGCAGTGGTGCGATCTCCGCTCACTGCAAGCTCCACCTCCTGGGTTCACGCCATTCTCCTGCCTCAGCCTCCCGAGTAGCTGGGACTATAGGCACCTGCCACCACATCCGGCTAATTTTTTTTGTATTTTTTTTAGTAGAGACAGGGTTTCACCATGTTAGCCAGGATGGTCTCGATCTCCTGACCTCATGATACACCCGCCTCGGCCTCCCAAAGTGCTGGCATTACAGGCATTAGCCACTGTGCCCGGCCGCTAATTTTGTTTTTGTATTTTTAGTAGAGACGGGGTTTCACTGTGTCAGCCAGGATGGTCTCGATCTCCTGACCTTATGATCTGCCCACTTCAGCCTCCTAAAGTGCTAGGATTATAAGCATGAGCCACCACACCTGGCCAACACTTTTTTGTAAAAAAAAAAAAAAAAAAAAAAAAAAAAGGGTCTCGCTGTGTTGCCCAGGCTGAAGTACAGTGACCATTCACAGTGCACTACAGCCTTGAACTCCTAGGCTCCAGCAATCCTCCTGCCTCACTTTTCCAAGAAGCTGGGACTACAGGATCACGTAACCACATCTGGCAATAACAATTTTTTTAAAAGAGTGAAAACACAAACCTACAGTATTTTGTGCCTGCCAAATAATGTCTCACATGCCTCTGCTAAGTTCTGGCAGAAACAAGTGTTTTCCAGCATGATAATTCACCTTTCTGGGAATTGGATTTTCTCTCTGTGAGTTGATAGGGCTGAACTTGATGATCCCAAAGTCTGATCCATATATAATAGTCTAAGTAGTGAGGATCAAATATGTTAACTGATAGAAATCCACTATGAAAGCTTAAAGGGTTTAATACAAATATAAGATACGAATCATTAAATAACTAGTATATACAGAGATACTGAATAAAAATAGTGGATTAGGCCAGGCGCAGTGGCTCATGCCTGTAATCTCAGCATTTTGGGAGGCCAAGGTGGGCACATGACTTGAGGTCAGGAGTCTGAGACCAGCCTGACCAACATGGTGAAACCCCATCTCAACTACAAATACGAAAATTAGCCGGGCGTGGCAGTGGGCACCTGTAATTCCAGCTACTCCTGCTGAGGCAGGAGATTCGTTTGAACCTGGGAGGCGGAGGTTGCAGCAAGCCAAGATTCTGCCACTGCACTCCAGCCTGGGCGACAAGAGTGAGACTCTGTCTCAAAAAAAAAAAAAAAAACAGTGAATTAAACACATGCATCTAATTTTGCTATATCTAAAACTTCATCAAAAAAATGCTTTTTGGCCGGGTGCGGTGGCTCATGCCTGTAATCCCAGCACTTTGGGAGGCCGAGGCAAGTGGATCACTTGAGGTCAGGAGTTTGAGACCACCTGGCCAACATGGTGAAACCCCATCTCTACTAAAAATACAAAAAATAGCTGGACGTGGTGGTGCATGCCTGTAATCCCAGCCTCTTGGGAGGCTGAGGTAGGAGAATCGCTTGAATCCAGGAGGTAGGGATTGCAGTGAGCCAAGATTACGCCACTGCACTCCACCCTGGGCAATAGAGCAAGACTCCTCCGTCTCAAAAAAAAATTTTTTTTTTCAAGGGTAAAGCCTACAATAGGAGCTCTTGGAAAGAAAAAATACGACATCAGAAACAAAATGCTTAGTGGAAGGATTAGAAAACATTGAGGAAATTTTCCAGGAAGTAGAATAAAAAGACAAAATAGAAACTAGGAAGGAACAGATGAGAAATTCATCCCAATATGTGAATAATAAGTTTTAGAAATACAACAAAGGAAATGAAATAATTCAACAAAACACTCCAGAATCGAAAGGACATGACTTTTCAGATTGAAAGGGTCACGAATGGCCAGGACAATAGGTGTGTCATTGTAAAATTTCTTAATGCTAGGGACAAAGAAATCCCGCAAGGTCGCACACACAGAGTGAGGAATCAGAATGGCTTTGGCCTTCTCAACAGCAGCACTGGAAGCTAGAAGACGACAGGGCTGAGGAATCTAAGTTCTGAGGCAAAACGATTTCTTACCTAGAATTCCACACTCAATTAACCAAGTGTTAGACATTTTCAGACACACAAGATTTTGAAAAAAAATTATCTCTTGTGTACTCCCAGGAAACTCCTGGAGGACATATGTTATCAAAACGAGGGAAGAAAGCATAAAATGAGAAGACATGGGATCCAGAAAACAGGCAATCTAACACAAGAAAGAGGCAAGGGAATCCCCTGGACAGTGGTAAATAGAGGTTCCAGAATAGCAGTGTGTAGCAGGCCCCCAGTGCAGGAGAGAAGGCTCCAAGAGACTTTCCTGAGAAAAATGTATTGAGAGAAGATCTAGGTAATTGGCAGACTTTAAGTGGTAAGAGTGACTAGTGGTAAGGCCTTAGAAACCTAGGTGGATGAAAAAAGATAAGCAAAACAAAGTGATGTGTTAGGAAAAGCAATCATGGCTGACTACATGGCTTAGCTCCAAGTGGCATTTACACTGTCATAACAAACACTATTATCTACAAAACTTACACTATACTGGGAGCAAGGGGGCACAGAGAGGGATGCATATGTATAGAGGGGGCAAATGAAGAAGAAGGAGCTAAATCCTCGTCTTCCATAGTGGGAAGTCAACAGATAAGGCCTAAAGGAAAAAACAGGAAGTAGTATTATAAAACATGTTATTTGGAGATAAGTAAATTCCAAAAGAATTAAACAAGTTGAAATTGGTCCCTCTAAGGAAAAGGAAATGGGGTTGGGGTGGGTACAGGGAGGTTGAGGACTGCTCTTTGTCTTAACAAATCTTAAAGAACTAGTTCCCTTTTTAATCAATGTTCCTGTATAACTTTGATAAAATTTAAAATTAAAAAATTACCATGGTGAAGGGTGATGAAATGAACGCTTATTGAATGCAGTCAGTGCGGACAGGTGCTCCCCATATAGGTGCCACCCTGCTGGTGTCCAAGCTTTCTGAGCTGTTACAGATCACGCCCAAGGTATGCAGGAAGGTGCCTCCATTTGGGAAACAGCATGGGGGCTGGTCCCACACGGTGCTGACTGCTGCCTCAGTAAGTCACTTAGCCTAAGTCTCAGCTGTCCCACTTTGCAGAACCAGATTCAAGGAGTGGTGAAGGTTTCACGGGCAAGTGCCTGTAGAATACCTGGATGGGCAGCCACCTACTTCAGGTCCTGATCTGGAGAAAAGAAAGCAGTAGGAAAGCAGTGAGCAGAACAGAAAAATATGCAGTCTGATAGTGGAAATAGACTCCGGCCCCTGGTGGCATGAAAAAGAGGAGCCCCTGCAGAGCAGAGCTACTTGTGAGCTGGCTCACGCCCTGCATGTCAGACTCTGATCGTACTCCTGTGTGCTGGAGAGTTTCTGTTTCAGAATGTTGAAATGGTGGTTTCTGAGAGTGAGCTCTGTTGTCAGATACTCCAGCAGCAGCACAGTGTGAAGCATATCTCGGGATAAACACCTATCAGAGGCCACAGTCTAGTTAGCGAGCTGAGATAAACCATGTTCTAGGAGAACTCACAATACAAGGTATGGCGAGGAAGAAAAATGCCCCAAAGGAGGAATGAAAACATCCAGCTTCCTGGATGCCTTCTCTGACACTTCTTGCTTTGTGACTTTGAATAAGTCACTCGCCATCATCACTCACTTTTCTCTTCTGTAAAAGGACTGGACTAGATGCTTTCGAGGGTCCTTTCCTGGCATGTAAGAAAGTAAACTCACAGCTGGGCACGGCGGTTCACGCCTGTAATCCCAGCACTTTGGGAAGCCAAGGCAGGCGGATCACCTGAGGTCAGGAGTTTGAGACGAGTCTGGCCAACATGGTGAAACCCTGTTTCTACTAAAAAAATACAAAATTAGCTGGTTGTGGTGGTGCATGCCTGTAATCCCAGCTACTTGGGAGGCTGAGGCAGCAGAATGGCCTGAACCTGGGAGGCGGAGGTTGCAGTGAGCCGAGATTGTGCCACTGCACACCAGCCTGGGTGGCAAAGCAAGACTGTGTCTCAAAAAAAAAAGAAAAGTAAACTCCCTGAGGGCAGAGACCTTGTCTGACTTGTTCATTGCTCTGTCCTCAGTACCCAGCAGAGTGCTTGATACAACCAGGTGCTTGATGAATACTTGTTGAATGAATGAAATGGAAGATAAAAGCAATCAGTTTTTTAGAGTCTTAAAACTGAAAAATGACCCCAGTCAATGCTTTAATTTCACAGGTGAAAAAACAAAAGCCCAGTGAGGAGGGAAAAAATGTGCTTGTGATCACCACAGCTAAGCAGGAATGGAGCTGAGATTCAAGTCCCAGCACTGTGGGAACTCAATTGAGGGTAGGTTAGGGTAGACTAGACGGGCGAGGGAAGGCCACATCTTTAACTATTCAGAGGTGAACTTCAGGGTAACAGTCTTCTGAACTAACTAATAAAGTTTGGCTGTGGGGCAAGACGTAGTGAAAAGTATATGCAGTTATCTGGGTTCAAGTTCCACCTCTGCTACTTACCTGTGTGATCCTGGCCTAGCTACCTAATCTCTGAATCTGTTTTTTTGGAAAAAGAGATAATAATAATATCTACTTTACATAATTTCTGTCAGAATATAAGTAAGTTGGATATGGTATGTGAAAAAAATATTTTTCAAGATGTCAAATCTCATAGGTTGTTAATGTGTTTAGCCTAGCTCCCTTCTAGTAATATCTCATTCACTAACAAATCAACATAGTTTATTAATAATGGTTTATTCATCCAGTTAGTCATCACTTTGAAAATCAAATGGAAGAACTTTGAAAGGTAGGTAAGTTTTGATGGAGTAGAGCAGGAGGAAGAAAAACTGGGGAGTTAGAATCTAGGTGGGGAGGGCCAGGTTTGGTGGCTCATGCCTGTAATCCCAGTACTTTGGGAGGATCGCTCAAGCCCAGGAGTTTGAGCCAGCCTGGGCAACGTGGCAAGACCTCGTCGGTACTAAAAGTTAAAAAAAAAAAAAAATGTTAGCTAGGTGTGGTAGTGTGCACTACTTGGGATGCCAAGGTGGGAGAATTGCTTAAGCCCCGGAGGTCAAGGCTGCAGTGAACCAGGATTATGCCACTGCACTCCAGCCTGGGCAACAGAGTGAGATCCTACCTCAAAAACAGAAAAAAGAATCTGGGTGGGGGCATTGCAGGGGCCAGTCCTGAGGAGCCAAGGGCAAGCACAGAGAGGCCCAGGAGTCGGAAACCAGATTCCATACTCTGTGACTGGGAGAACCTGTTAACCCTCTTGGTCTGTTTCTTCATCTGAAGTGGAAGGATAATGACAGTACCTCTGCTAACTTGGAGGCTGCTGTAATATCACAAGACCATGGATGTGAAGAATTTTTAGGGATCATCAACTGCCATCTCCACAGATGGGAGATTATCATTCCTTTATAAGAGTATGGATGAGAGGGTAAGAGACATACTTGAAATAAACCTTGCCTATCAAATTGTCTCCCCTAAATTTATATTTTGAAGTCCTAATCCCCAGGGTGACTGTATTTGGAGATAAGGCCTTTAAAGAGGTAATTAAGGTTATATAAGGTCATAAGAGCAGGGCTCTAATCCAATAGGACTGGTGTCCTTCCAAGAAGAGGAAGAGACACCAGGGATGTATGTGCAGAGAGAAAAGGCCATGGGAGAACACAGCGTTAAGACAGCCATTGGCATGCCCAGGAGAGACACCTCACAAGAAACCAACCCTGCCAACATCTTGATCTTGGACTTCCAGCCTTCATAACTATGAAAAATAAATTTCCTGTTTAAGCCACCCAGTCTGTGGTATTTTGTTATGGCAGCCATAGCAGAACTAATACACCCACCTTACGGTTTTGCTTCCCTTACTCCTTCCCCCAGAACAAGTTCTCTCTTCATACGTAACGGCATTGCACAAAAATAGCTTCTGGTCAGCCAGTAAGGCAGGAGGCAGCGTGACTAATGGGCAGGACCAGGTGTTGGGACCTTGACCAGTCTACTGGCAGGTTGTACTCCTGAACTGCTAAGTGGGTGGAACCAGTTTTGTCTGTTCTTAGACACCAAGTTTGTCTTCCAAGATTCTGAGGCTCGACAGAATGATGAACTGTTTAAAGAGCTTTTAGTCACAGGGAAGGATTTAGGCCCATGATTAAAGCTCAACTTCCCCCTTTCTTATGTCCTGGGTAATTTGAATAATGTTGCCTTAAAAATAGGGGACAAGTAGGCCGGGTGCAGTGGCTCACACCTGTAATCCCAGCACTTTGGGAGGCCGAGGCAGGTGGATCACCTGAGGTCAGGAGTTCAAGACCAGCCTGGACAACATGGCAAAACCCCGCCTCTACTAAAAATACAAAAAAATAGCTGGGCGTGGTGGCACATGCCTGTAGTCCCAGCTACTGAGGGGGCTAAGGCAGGAGAATCGCTTGAACCTGGGAGGCAGAGGTTACAGTGAGCCGAGATCACGCCATTGCACTCCAGCCTGGGCAACAGGGCAAGACTCTGTCTCAAAAAAAAAAAGAAAAGAAAAGAAATAGGGGACAACATTTATATCCTGATTAGAAGCTCCTAAAGTAAATACATAAGCTTCCTTGGGATTAGATTGTCAGAAATTTCAAAAAACAAATCTGGTAACTGCATTATTCAGTCAACAAATTTTCATGGTCACCTACTATATGCCAACCTCTATTGTAAATTATACAGATACAATAGGAATAAAATAGACTTAGTTCCTTTTTTTTTTTTTTTGAGATGGAGTCTTGCTCCGTCACCCAGGCTGGAGTAGAGTGGCGCGATCTTGGCTGACTGCAACCTCCGCCTCTTGGGTTCAAGCGATTCTCCTGCCTCAGTCTCCTGAGTAGCTGGAACTATAGGTGCGTGCCACCATGCCCGGCTTATTTTTTATGTTTTTAGTAGAGACGGGGTTTCACCATGTTAGCCAGGATGGTCTCGATCTCCTGACCTCGTGATCCACCCGCCTTGGCCTCCCAAAGTGCGGGGATTACAGGCATGAGCCATCATGCCCGGCCAAAAATTTTTTAGACAGTACACCTGCAGAGGGCACATACCATGAATGGAACTTGCAGGACTGGAGGTTGCTCTGGGTGTGTCAGTGAGTGAGTGGTGAATGAATGTGAAGGCCCACGGCATTACTGTGCACTACTGTAGACTTTATAAACACTGTATACTTGGGCTACACTAAATGTATTTTTAAATTTTTCTTTCTTCAATAAATTAAGCTTAGCTTATAGTAACTTTTTGACATTATAAACCTTCTAATTTTTAACCTTTTGACTCTTTTGTAATAACCCTTAGCTTAAAATACCAAAACATTGTACAGCTGTACAAAAATAGCTTATTTATATCCTTATTCTATAAGTTTATTTCCATTTTTAAAATTTTATTTTTGTTTTACTTTTTAAACAGTTTTGTTTGAAACTAAGACAGACACATACACATTAACCTAGGTCAGGGCTATCCAGAGACCCTCCCTACCCAGGGTCAGGATCATCAATATCACTGTCTCCCATCTCCACATCCTGTCCCACTGGAAGCTCCATGCAATAATATGCATGGAGCTATCCTCTATGATAATACTACTTTCTTCTCAAATATTTCCTGAAGGATGTACCTGAGGCTGTTTTACAGTTAACTTTTTTTTCCTATAAGTAGAAAGAGTACACTCTAAAATAACGATTAATAGTATAGTAAATATATAAACTAGTAACATCATCATTTATTATGAAGTATTATGCACTGTATGTAATCGTATGTGCTATATTTTTATATGACTGGCAGTGCAATAGGTGTGTTTACACCAACATCATCAAAAGCACGTAAGTAATGCACTGCAATAGGATGGTATAATGGCCATGACATCACCAGGCAATGGGAATTTTTCAGCTCCATTATAATCTTACGGGCCCACCATTAGATGTGTTATGTGGCACATCACTGTAAAACTCTTTGGCCTGGCATTGAAAACCCAGTTCAATCTGGGCCTCCTACCCTCCTATTTAGATGTCTTTTTCCAACCAAGGGTCATCCCCAGTCAAACCTTTCAAAACTCCAATTCACTAACTAGAATGCTTACTATGCCTTACTTAAATCCTATCCATCTGGCAAGGTATGGCAGGCAGCCTCTAAGATGGCTCCCATGATCTCTGCCTCGTGGTATTCACATCCTTGTATGTGGGCTGAACTTGGTGACTCACTGCTGATAACAAGAATACAACAAAAGTGATGGGATATCGCTTCTGAGATTAGGTTGCAAAAGGAATGTGGCTTCCATCTTGGTCACGCTTCCTCTCTTAAACCTCTCACCCTGGTGAAGCCGGCACCAAGTCTTGAAGCAGCCCTATAGAGAGGCTTATGTCTGGAGGGACTGAGGCCTACCAACGACCACTTCAGTGAGCTTGAAACTGGATTCTTCTCTACCCTCTGATGAGCCTTTAGGCTGAGAGCTTAACTAAAACCTCATGAAAGACTGAGCCAGAGGCACCTGGCTGAGCTACACCTGGATTCTTGACCCATAGAAACTGTTGGATAATAAATGTTTATTGTTTTAGGCCACTAAGTTTTAAGGTAATTTGTCATGGAAGAATAGACACTAGGCTACGCGTGGCAGCTCACACCTGTAATCCTACCACTTTGGGAGGCTGACGCAGGAGGATCCTTTGAGCCCAGGAATTCAAGACCAGCCTGGGCAACACAGTAAGACCCTGTCTCTATAAAAAAAAAAAAAAAATAGACAACTAAAACACAAAGTGGAGCAATATGTTACACAGCAATAGATAACTGATAGACAAGACCAGTTCAAGTTGCTCCCCTGAATTTTCCTTGACCTAGCTTAGCCCAGAGCAACCTCTGCCTAATGTGAACTTGATGTAGAGCTGTTCTTCTCATTGGTCATTTTGCACAAGGGCAACATTAGTTATCTTCTATCCTCTGTGTCTCTTGTCTTTTCCAAGTAACCTGAGGTCAGTAGCTGCTTAAATTTCTTGTATGTCTCTGGAGAAAGTGTTTGTGCAAGTAGAGAAAGCGGTAGGCTTTGAGAGGCTAGAACTGCGTCTGAAGGGTCTTTTCATTCATGTTTGGTGACTGACTGAAAAATGACTTGTTGGTGGGAAATTGAAGTGTATGTTAGAAGAGGGACCACAGCTTAGGAAGAGCTGATTTTTGATCTTCATCAAAATGAGGCTTCAGTGGCAAATACTAACAGCCAATCCTCCTTGTAAATTCTGTTGATTTCCTTCTTATTGTGTAAGGAGTTTAGCCTTCTGTTGGCAGTTGTGTTGTGACAAGCAGCAGAGAGGGGGTGGCTCTGGGACACTGGGGTCACTTCAGAGGAAGGGAAGTTGATTGTCTTCTCAGGGCCCCTTCTCTCACATTTATTCTTTCCAGGGCCTCTGCAGCAGGACTGTGCTGAAGCCCATTTCCTACACGTAGCACCATTTATTTAAAACACACACTACATATACACAACAGACCAAATGCAAAGGAAAAAAGGGGAAAAAGGCTGCTGAAGACCAGAGTCACTAAAAGTTCAGGCTAAGAATAGACAAGGAACTCTGAGAGCTGCTCAGCTATGTGACCTCCTGCAGGGGCTTGGCAAGAAGCCCAATTCAGCTTTGTTTTTTCTGTGCTTTTACAAAGAAAGAGCACTAGCTTGGGAGTCAGGAGACCTAGGTACCAGACTTTGCTTTGCCAGTGCCTCTTTCTGTGGCCTTGGGTAAGTTTTTCCCCTCTCTGGGCCTCAGTTTCCCATTTGCAAAATAAAAGTGTTTAAGACTAGGTTCCAAGATTTTCCAATTCTAATGCTGAGAGGATACAGAGGAAAACAGAAAGAATGCTGGCTGAGGAACCAGGAGACTTGCCTTCTTGTCCCAGCTCTGCCACTGACCTGACCTCTTTGGGCCTCTGCTTCCTCATCTATAAAATAAGGTACTATATTCATTCATCCAGTCCTTCAACGAATATTTCTTGAGCACCTACTATGTGCCAGGCTTGGTGCTGGAGATACGATGATGAGTCAAGCCAGACAGTCTATGTTCTCATGGAATTTCTAGTCTATTGGGGGTGGAAGGGAGGAGGAGAAGATGAACTGTAATCAAACAATCACATAAATGAAGGTGTAATTAATGCCAGGGTAAGAAAAACAGGGAAGGGTCACACTTGGTTCTCAGCAACTGAGGGATAGCCACAATGTCCACCAATTCCAATGTTCTGTGACCTAGTATGTAGCTCTGCGGGGAGGTGCAGAGAAGCCTTTGGAATAACTCATATCTAAAATCATAGGGTTTTTTTGTTTGTTTGTTCGTTTGTTTTCAGAACGGCACAGCTCAATTAATCCAAGCAACCAACAACCATCTATTGGGGACCTTCTAGCAGGAATCAGTCACCTACCTCTGGCCTCTCTGGTGCTTTACACTAGTGGGCAGAATGGACTCATAAATGGACACAGCTATAAAATGCCTCACATCATTCTCTGATGGCTAATTATATGTTTCAAATACTAATGTGTCTAAGAATTAGGTGAGAATTGGATGTGGTAGGACAATCAGAGAAATTTTCTCACAAGTAGAAATTGAGATAGGCTCTGAAGGCTTGCTGCATAGTTTCAGATAAACAGAAACAATAATATCAGGGCACAGTGGGCCCATTCCCTCCTACTAGACAGTACAGGTGCATGGGACATACGAGAGATATCTGGCCGGGTGTGGTGGCTCACACCTGTAATCCCAGCACTTTGGGAGGCCGAGGCAGGTGGATCATGAGGTCAGGAGATCAAGACCATCCTGGCTAACACGGTGAAACCCTGTCTCTACTAAAAATACAAAAAATTAGCCAGGCGTGGTGGCAGGCACCTATAGTCCCAGCTACTTGGGAGGCTGAGGCAGGAGAATGGTGTGAACCCAGGAGGCAGAGCTTGCAGTGAGCCGAGATAGCGCCACTGCACTCCAGCCTGGGCTACAGAGCGAGACTCCGTCTCAAAAAAAAAAAAGAGATGTCTCAAGTAAGAGACTCCTAAATTTCATTTTGGGGCAGGAGAGATTCAAACCCTACTTGTTTTGTCAAAGAGCAAAAGACCTCTTCTGTGACCTACTCTAAATCCCGTCCCTTGGATTAGGAGGCCTGCTACTGATGGGATTCCTAACTTGGGGTAGCCATCTCACCTCAATGAATCTGTTATCCTGTAAAATGAAGGGGTTAGATGATACCCAAAATCCCTTATAACACCCAGAAAGATGGCTAAAACTTCATTCTTTGTAAGAATTTTTATTACTTTATAATAAAACTGATGGTTGCTACTATGGAGTATGAGCTGTGCGATCTTAGGCAAATTACTAAGTTTTCAAAACCTGTTATACTTTCTTTTTAAAATTTATTTTAATTTTTAAATATTTTATTTTCTTTTATATTTTTGAAACAGGGTCTTGCTCTATTGCCCAGGCTGGAGTGCAATGGCACAATCACAGCTCACTGCAGCCTTAAACTCCTGGGCTCAAGCAATCCCCTCACCTCGGCCTCCCGAGTAGCTGGGACTACAGGCATGTGCCACCAAGCCTGGATAATATAAAAATTTTTTTTTGCAGCAATGAGGTCTTGTTATGTTGCCTAGGCTTGCTATGTTGCTAGGGTTAAAATGGCCAATTTTACGTTATATATATATTTAAACCATAATCTTTAAAAGTAATATACCAAAAGTAATTCACTCATATAAAGTGAATTATACACTTTAAATGAGTGAATTATATGGTTTGTGAATTACACCTCAGTAAGAGGATATTCTCCATCCCAACCTAAACTTCTGTCCCCTCCTCAGAGGCAACTATTTGTTTCTTAGCTTTCTTTCTAGAAAGATTCTAGGCATAAACAAGTACATCTTAAAATCTATCATACTTTTTCTTTTCATACAAATGAAAGGAAGTGATATACCATTTTATACTCTGCTTTTTTTTTACTTAATATCTCTTAGGTTGTTGTGTATCAGCACATGCAGATTTACTGCATTCTCTTTTTTTTTTTTTTTTTTTGAGAAGGAGTTTCGCTCTGTCACCCAGGCTGGAGTGCAGTGGCACGATATTGACTCACTGCAAGCTCCGCCTCCCAGGTTCATGCCATTCTCCTGCCTCAGCCTCCCGAGTAGCTGGGACTACAGGCACCCACCACCACGCTCGGCTAATTTTTTTGTATTTTTAGTAGAGACCAGGCTTCACCATGTTGGCCAGGCTGGTCTCAATCTCCTGACCTCGTGATCCGCCCGCCTCAGCCTCCCAAAGTGCTGGGATTACAGGCATGAGCCACCGCGCCCAGCCTCGATTTACTGCATTCTTTTCCACTTCTACATAGAAGCCCACTGGAGGGACCTATCACACTTTATTTAATGAGTTATCTTATTGATGAATATCTTGTTTCTAGTCTTTTTTTTTTTTTTGAGAAAGGGTCTCGCTGTATCACCCAGGCTGGACTGCAGTGGCATGATAATGGTTCACTGCAGCCTCCAACTCCCGGGGCTCAAGCAATCCTTTTGCCTCAGCCCCTAAAGTAGCTTGAACCACAGACAGGTGCCACTATGTCTGGTTATTTATATATTTGGTAGAGATGGACTCTCACTATGTTGCCCAGGCTGGTCTTGAGCTCCTGAGCTCAAGTGATCCTCCTGCCTTGGCGTCCCAAAGTGCTGGGATTATAGGCACGAGCCACCATGCCTGGTACCCATGGTTTTAGGCAGACACATGAATACATCATCTATAGGATAAATTCCTAGTTCTGGTGTTGCAGGGTCCAAAGGTTAGCACATGTTAAGTATTACTATTGCCAAAATGACTTCCTTAGAATCTATACCAATTTACACTCCTAACAAGAATTCATTCACTCACTTTTTTCATTCAACCAATATTGAGTACCTATCATGAACCATGCACAATTCTAGGTCCTGGGGACACAGCAAATGAACAATAACAACAGGAATAAAAAGATAAAAATCCATTCCCTAATGGAGCTTACACTCTCACAGAAGGAGAGGGCAACCCAAAAAGTAAAATATGTAACATCTTAGATGGTAATAAACGCTATGGTTGGCCGGGCGCAGTGGCTCACGCCTGTAATCCCAGCACTTTGGGAGGCTGAAACGGGCGGATCACGAGGTCAGGAGATCGAGACCATCCTGGCTAACACGGTGAAGCCCCATCTCTACTAAAAATACAAAAAAATTAGCCAGCTGTGGTGGTGGGTGCCTGTAGTCCCAGCTACTCAGGAGGCTGAGGCAGGAGAATGGCATGAACCCAGGAGGCAGAGCTTGCAGTGAGCTTGCGCTGGGCGACAGAGCGAGACTCCATCTCAAAAAAAAAAAACTGCTATGGCTAAAATAAGGCAGAGAAAGGAGTGCTGGCCATGGGTAAGGGCTAGTAATTTAAACGGGATGGTTAGGGTATAAAAATTCTAAGCCTCAGCTTCCTTATCTGTGAAGCAGGACAACAATAGTACCTATGCTGGCCAGGGGCTGTGGCTCATGCCTGTAATCACCGCACTTTGGGAGGCTGAGGCAAGCGGATCGTTCGAGGCCAGGAGTTCAAGACCAGCCTGGCCAACATGGTGAAACCCCATCTCTACTAAAAATACAAAAATTAGCCGGGCATGGTGGTGCATGCTTGTAATCCCAGCTACTTGGGAGGCTGAGGCAGGGAAATTGCTTGAACCCAGAGGCAGAGGATGCAGTGAGCCAAGACAGCACTACTGCACTCCAGCCTGGGTGACAGAGCAAGATTCCATATAAAAAAAAGTACCCATGCCATAGGATTGTTGAAGGAATTCAATGATACTATATCTGGTATACAGTAAAAATTTCCTAAATGAAAGCTATTCTTATTATAAACAACTTTACAGCTAAGGAAAGTGTGGCCCAGGGATGAACAATTTGCCTATGGTCTCAGGGAAAATTAGTGGTTGGGTAAGAGCTAAAACCAGGCCTCCTGACCCTCCATGCAGTACACTTCCAAATATATCAAGGGACCAAAAGCATTAAGATGCCATCCTACTGGGGCTGCTAACGGGCAACGTGGTTTTAGCTTCAAGAGTGCTCTGAGAATGTGATTTTCAACATGCAAAAGAGGGGAAGGGAGATGAGAGAGTACACAAGGTTCATTAAGGAGAAGCAGGCCAACTTCACTCAGGCCTAAGGCTGAGCCTGCTGGGGTTTGCTCACAAGACATTCAGATCCAGGATAGTGTTCTCAGCCAAAGGCAACAAGCGTTCTGGCTGCTGCTCGCCCATCTGCTCTGATGAGACTCTCCCAAACCCTGGACTCCCATTGGTTTCATTCCAAGGAATCTCCTGGAGGAAAGATAAGCAGCAGTTAAGTCACAGCTGTAGAAATAATAAGATCTGGAGGGGCACTTATATCTGTTTGGCCGAGTTAGATTTTCAAGCAGGCCAAGTATGTGGTGATGGTGGTCTCTCAACTCTCTCTGTGCCTTTTCCTCACCCCATGGCACCTCCTCTCCCTGTCCACAGCCAGATACTATTTCCCTAGGCCTTCTGCCTACCCAGAGCCCTTTCCTTGTGTGGGTTCTATCCTTCCTTTAGCCCTATCCTTTCTTCAGTGAGCGTTTCATTCCCTCCATTCCTCCTAACCCCTACTTCGGAAATACATATTTTTAAAAAGGTGACACTTACTGGCTTAACAGTGTCACTATGGAACAGGATTCAGGGAAGTCAGTGTTCTGGGCTTGACCTCTGTTAATGTGTAGGTCCCTATATGACCTTGGGAAAACCAATTACCTTTTCTGGGCTTCAATTTCTTCATCTAAAAAATGTATTTCGGCTGGGCGCAGTGGCTCATGCCTGTAATCCCAGCACTTTGGGAGGCCAAGGTGGGTGGATCACCAGAGGTCAGGAGTTCAAGACCAGCCTGGCCAACATGGTGAAACCCCATCTCTACTAAAAATACAAAAACTAGCCAGGCGTGGTGGCTCACATCTGTAGTCCCAGCTACTCGGGAGGCTGAGGCAAGAGAATCGCTTGAACTTGGGAGGCGGAGGTTGCAGTGAGCCAAGATCACGCCATTGTACTCAAGCCTGGGCAACACAATGAGACTCGGTCTCAAAAAAAAAAAAAAAAAAAAAAAAAAAAAGTATATCATGGCTGGGCATGGTGGCTCACGGCTGTAATCCCAGCTGTTTCGGAAGCCAAGGTGGAAGGATCCCTTGAGGCCAAGAGTTCAAGACCACCCTGGTCAACATAGCAAGACCCTGTCTCTACAAAAAAGAAAAAAAATTAGGCATGGTGGTTGTGCGTTTGTAGTCCCACCTACTCAAGAGGCTGAGGTGAGAAACTTGCTTGAGCCTAGGAGTTTAAGGTTTCAATGAGCTATGATTGTGCCCACTGCACTCTAACCTGGGCAACAGAGGGAGGAGACCCTGTCCCAAAAAAAAATTTGTTTTAAGATGTATATCATGGCATTTCAAGTACCACAGTGTAGATTTTTCTGCCAAGGGCAGATCCCAATGATCCACCTGAAGACAAAAAGGTATACAGAGAAGTAGGAGGGCCAAAGGGAGAAACATTCAGAGTTGAGGTGCCAAGGCCACTAAAATGCTATTAAAAGGGGTGTAATAAAAACCAATATTTGTTGAATGGCATCCAGTATCCAGTCCTGGGGCAGCCATAAGGAAATTCATACCTGGGCGAGAGATTTAGGTTTAAAATCGATTCTTGTATTGGGTAGACCTCAATGCAGGGGAAATTCCAGACCAGCTTTGGACCATGGCAACTCTACTCTTAAGAAGGGGAACATAAGAAAGAAAAGGTACTTTGTCCCAGATCACTAGCCCCTCAGTTACTTGAACATCATGGTGTAGATCTGGCTGTGAGATTTCTCTGCAAGGCTAGAAAGAGGAAGATTGAGAAACATTCAAACAGATTGATAAAAAGGGTTCTTGAACTCAAATTTGAGGAAGTGACCTAAGATTTCAAAAGATGTTAGAATTATAAGCAAATTATGTGGATGTTTCCACTTCTGTTTAATCTGTGGACAATTACATTAACAGATGGAGCTTCTGCTGGGGCAATCTGAGAAAACTTAAAAAAAAAATCTCAGTGACTATCACTAATGTTATCTTTCAAGCTGACATCCATGATCTTATTTTTTATTTTATTTTTTGAGATGGAATTTCACTCTTGTTGCCCAGGCTGGAGTGCAATGGCGCAATCTCGGCTCACTGTAACATCCGCCTCCCAGGTTCAGTGATTCTCCTGCCTCAGCCTCCTGAGTAGCTGGGATTACAGGCATGCGCCACCATGCCCGGCTAATTTTGTATTCTTAATAGAGATGGGGTTTCTGCCATGTTGGCCAGGCTGGTCTTGAACTCCCAACCACAGGTGATCCACCCATCTCGGCCTCCCAAACTGCTGGGATTACAGGCATGAGCCAGCACGCCCGGCCATCATCCATAATCTTAATTTCATCCACAGAGAAAGGTAGAGAGCAGCAAGGGGAATTGAGACATGAGATTCTGAACTCTGAAATAATCTATGATAGTCACTACATCATTGTTCCTGCCTGGAAAAACAATCCAGACCCCAAACTTTTCTTCTTTGATGCCCTGCAGTGGGGTTGACAATAAACTCTCACAGGCTTGAGCCTTGTGGCATCATCAGTACAGCAGAAACAGTTGCAGACATTTTGGGTGAAAAATCAACCAAGCCTGCTTAAATCCCTCTGCCTGCTGGGACAAAAATATGGTCAGACTTCCAGAGTCAGCAGTGCATCCTAGCAGAGAAACACTGAAGGAGAGATGGCACTGTTTTCACGGAGTCTTCAGTGACTTTCCACTGAGCTGTGGGAAAATCTGACAGTTGACTGTAGCTGAGTCATAACCCAGAGGTCCTGACCACTCAGATATTTGAAGATTCCTTTCATTCCTTTCCCAAACGGGGAACCTGGCAAACTCCAATTGGTTAATTCCATTTACCTCCTGTTCCTTGCAACTATATGTAGGTATAGAGTAGTGTGCTCTCAGCGGTAGCAAAAGGGTATCAGAATAACAGCATATACACTTTGTAATTATAATAGCTTATATTTATCTTCTACTTACTGTGTGTCGGGCACTTTCTATAGATTTTTTTTTCATTGAATCTTTAAAACTGTTCAGCAGTATATTTACTATTATTATCCCCAGTCTACAGATGAAGAAACTGAGGCTCAGAGAGGCTAATAACTTGCCCACAGTCACATACCTTTGGTGTGAGTTGCTGAGGTTTAACCTAAACATTCTAACTCCAGAGTTTGTGCTCTAGCCACTATGCTATACTGTAGCCAAACACCAGCATGGATATCCCAAGCTCAAAGGCACTTCAAATACCACAAATCAATCAATTTTCCAGCTGAGAAAACAGGCCTAGGGAGATTATAGGAATTACCTAGTGATAGAGTCAGGGTTCCAGGCAGATCTCTTCACTCCAGAGTTCTACACTCTCTCCACTGCATCAGAATACTTCAGGTTCGTAGACAAGCATGTGGTGCACACTTGTAGTCCCCGCTATGATCGCACCACTGCACTCCCGCCTGGGTGACAGAGTGAAATCCTACCTCTAAAAAAAATAATAAAATAGAAAAAGAATGCTTTGGGTGCTCTCCATCATCTTGAGAATCTAGAGCTTTTCTATATCTTATCCCTTATTCTTTAGGGAATGGAACTTAATTTTATGTAAACATAAAATATTTTCACATAGTTTTTCTACAATATACTGATTTCCCAATCCTTCCCCCCTCAACTTTTTTACATAGACTTTTTTTGAAATGGCATCTTACTCTGTCATCCAGGCTGAAGTGCATGGCTCAATTTCAGCTCACTGCAACCTCCACCTCCAGGGCTCAGGTGATCCTCCACTACAGCCTTCTGAGTAGCTGGGGCTATAGGCACACACCACCATGCCCAGCTAATTTTGTGTTTTTCTGTAGGATGGAGTTTCACCATGTGGTCCAGGGTGGTCTCAAACTCCTAGGCTCAAGCATTCCACCTGCCTCGGCCTCCCAAAGTGCTGGAATTACAAGCATGAGCCACTGTGTCCGGCCTATGTAGACTTTTAAAGGGCATTTTAAGTTCACAGCAAAAGTGAGTGGAACACATAGAGCTATCCCACAGACCCCCTGCCTCCACACACAGCCTCCCCTGCTACCAACATCCAGCACCAGAGTGGTGCATTTGTTACAACCAGTGAACCAACACTGACACGTCATTATCACCCGAAGTCCATATGTTTGGATTAGGGTTCACTCTTGGTGTTGTATATTCTATGGATTTTAGCAAATGTATAATGACATGTATCTATCATTATGGTATCATATAGTATAGTTTCGCTGCCCTAAAAATCCCATCTGGTCTATTTATTCATCTCTTCCTCCTAAAGCCCCTGACACCCAGTGATCATTTTACTATCTCCATAGTTTTGTCTTTTCCAGAATTACATATAGTTGGGATCATATAATATACAGCCTTTCAAATTATTTCATTTAATAATAAGCATTTAAGGTTCTTCCATGTCTTTTCATGGATTGATAGCTTGTTTCTTTTTAGCACTGAATAATATTGCATTATATGGATGTACCATACAGTTTATTTACTCATTTATCTACAGAAGGACATATTGGTTGCTTCCAAGTTTTAGCAACTGTGAATAATGCTGCCATAAACACTCATGTGCAGGTTTCTGTGTAGACATAAGTTTTCAACTCCTCTGACTAAATACAAAAGGACAATTGCTAGACCATATGGCAAGAGTAGGTTTAATTTTATACAAAACTGTCAAACTCTCCCAAAGTAGCTGTACTGTTTTGACTCCCACCAGCAATGAATGGGAGTTCCTGTTGCTCCACATCCTCATCACCATTTGGTGTTGTCAATGTTTTAGATTCTAATAGGTGTACGGTAGGATCTCGTTGTTTTAATTTGCAATTCCCTAATGATGCATGATTTTAAGCATTTTTTCCTATGCTTATTTGCCATCTTCTTTGGTGGGTGTCCATTCAAATTTTTTGCCCATTTTTTTTTAAGAGATGGGGTCTCACTATGCTGCCCAGGCTAGTCTCAAACTCCCAGCCTCAAGTGATCCTCCCACCTCAGCTCCCCCAAGTGCTGGAATTACAGGTGTGAGCACAAGCCTGGTCACCCTTTTTTTTTTTTTTTTTTTTTTGAGACAGAGTCTTGCTCTGTCGCCCAGGCTGGAGTGCAGTGGCGTATCTCAGCTCACTGCAACCTCCACCTCTAGGGTTCAAGTGATTCTCCTGCCTCAGCCTCCCATGTAGCTGGGATTACAGGTGTGTGCCACCACACCCAGCTAATATTTTTGCATTTTTAGTATAGATGGGGTTTCACTATGTTGGCCAGCTGGTCTCAAACTCCTGGACTCAAGCAATCCACCTGCCTCAGCCTCCCAAAGTGCTGGGATTACAGGCGTGAGACACCATACCCAGCCTTCAGCTATGATTTCTTTTTCTTTCTTTTTTTTTTTTTTTTTTTTGAGACAGAGGCTCACTCTGTCGCCCAGGCTAGAGTGCAGTGGTGCGATCTCAGCTCACTGCAACCTCCGCCTCCCAGGTTCAAGCGATTCTTCTGCCCCAGCCTCCTGAGTAGCTGGGATTACAGACAAGTGCCACCATGCCCAGCTAATTTTTTGTATCTTTAGTAGAGACGGGGTTTCACCATGTTGGCCAGGCTGGTCTCGAACTCCTGACCTCGTGATCCACTTGCCTTGGCCTCGCAAAGTGCTGGGATTACAGGTGTGAGCCACTGTGCCTGTCCCCAGCTATGATTTCTAGTAGTCAATTATTGAGTGTTTCCTGATCTCTGCATAATGCCCTCCTCTACCCCTCCCTCTTAGGAAATGACCAGCTAAGGCTCCAGTATGCTCCCTCAGTTCTCACTTCTAGGGAGGCTTTCCATCTCTAGGTCTTACCTGTGTAGTTTATTCTTTATATCCTGCCTCCTGTCATGGGGACAGTGTCCCTATTCCTCTCATGCAGTTTGTCCACAGTGACCTTGGCCCCACTAACCTTTCCAGCCTCTTCTGTATCCAGACCAACTTCACTTTCTTTAGTGAAGGATTAGAGATGGATAACAGCCTGGAAATGGCCACGTGTAGTGGAAAGGGTTTAGTCTTAGTCAAACAATTCTTGACTCCTCTGGGCAAGTTAGTTAACCATGCTGAGTCTCATGCCCAGTGGATAGGACACCCCTGCTTATAAGGTGATAATGAAGATTAAACACAAAATCATGTAAAGGGGTTAGCCCATATCCTAGAACACTACAGATACTGATTTCTCTCTCTCTTCTGGCCTTTTTCCCACTTCTCACAAGAAATGTTCAAGAAAGCTTCATTTTTAAAAAGCCCAGGCCAGGCGCAGTGGCTCACACCTGTAATCCCAGCACTTTGCGAGGCCAAGGCAAGTGGATCACGAGGTCAGGAGTTCGAGACCAGCCTGGCCAACATGGTGAAACCCCGTCTCTACTAAAGATACAAAAAATTAGCTGGGCATGGTGGCACTTGTCTGTAATCCCAGCTACTCAGGAGGCTGGGGCAGAAGAATCGCTTGAACCTGGGAGGCGGAGGTTGCAGTGAGCTGAGATCGCACCACTGCACTCTAGCCTGTGTGACAGAGTGAGCCTCTGTCTCAAAAAAAAAAAAAAAAAGAAAGAAAGAAAAAGAAATCATAGCTGAAGGCTGGGTATGGTGTCTCACGCCTGTAATCCCAGCACTTTGGGAGGCTGAGGCAGGTGGATTGCTTGAGTCCAGGAGTTTGAGACCAGCTGGCCAACATAGTGAAACCCCATCTATACTAAAAATGCAAAAATATTAGCTGGGTGTGGTGGCACACACCTGTAATCCCAGCTACTTGGGAGGCTGAGGCAGGAGAATCACTTGAACCCTAGAGGTGGAGGTTGCAGTGAGCTGAGATGCGCCACTGCACTCCAGCCTGGGCGACAGAGCAAGACACTGTCTCAAAAAAAAAAAAAAAAAAAGGCCCTATTTCATCTTCAAAGACCCTTTCTTGCCCTCTATTCAATTCATTCTGATCGCTATTTATTGAGCCAGGGACCACCTTTTCAATACTCTCTCAAACGCTGAATTCAACACATAATGGCAAATTGGTCTCACTGCAGCATTAATATTGCTGGACACTGACACTGGGGGCCTGCTGATTCCTGCATCTCCTCTAACTTCTCTGAACATTTCTGTCTCAGGTACTTTATACTTCTCATCTTTCCACATCCTGATCTCTTCTATTCCCATGGCTTCAACAACCACTATTTGCTAAAATTTCCAGTTTTTTCTCTCTCTAGTCCAAATTCCAATCCTTAGGCCCCAGACCTGAATTTCCAGCCATTCACAGGGATCTCCTTCTGGAGGTCCCAGGGGCATCTTAATCTCCAAACTGGCTTTTTCTCCTCATGGCTCTTATTTCCTAAATGGCTTATATTATTAAACCAATACTCAGACAAGAGGCCAGAATCATCCTGAACATCCTTGTCTTCTACACCTCATATTCTATGTTGGAGCCATCACAATCCCTTTGATTTTCATTTCCACAGTGCTTCTTGAATCCATCCCCACTCTATTTCTAGGGCTTTAGTTCAGTCCTTTATCATGTCTCACCTCAGATATTGCTGCAGACTGGGAGCCCTTATTGCCAGGCACTCACCCTGCTCATACTCTGCTTAGAGCCCAGATTTATGTAATTAATAGATCTGAGAATATTAATCATCTGCTACAAAGTCTTCCATAGCACTAAGTGAAATACTAAATACTAGTATCTTTAGCTCGCATTAGGATGGAGGTGCCTCAACACTATTAAAGACCTTGTCTTATTAATTATTATATCCCATGACATAATATTGTACATTAAATATTCATTAAGAAATGCTTATTAAATTAATGAATAAAAGCCCAGAACTATGCCATGTATAGTAGGGCATATGAAAGAAATATAGGATGGTCCCTGTCCTCTAGGAGCTTACACTCTTACTGGAGAGACAAGATAAAAACAAGAAACTGGGCCAGGCACAGTGGCTCATGCCTGTAATCCCAGCACTTTGGGAGGCTGAGGCGGGCAGATCACTTGAGTCCAGGAGCTCGAGACTAGCCTGGGCAACATAGCGAAACCTGTCTCTACTAGAAATACAAAAATTAGCCAGGCGTGGTGGCACACGCCTGTAGTCCCAGCTACTTGGGAGGTTGAGGAGGAAAAATGGCTTGAGCCCAGGAGACAGAGGTTGCAGGGAGCCGAGACAGCATCACTGCACTCCAGCTTAGACGACAGAATGAGACCCTATCTCCAAAAAAAAAAATAAGGAAAAAAGGAGTTTGCCTAAAATAAGAAAGCAGTAATTTTTTTTTTTTTTTTTTTGAGACAGAGTCTAGCTCTGTCACCCAGGCTGGAGTGCAGTGGCATGATCTTGGCTCACTGCAAGCTCCGCCTCCCGGGTTCACGCTATTCTCCTGCCTCAGCCTCCTGAGTAGCTGGGACTACAGGCACCTGCCACCATGCCCTGCTAATTTTTTGTATTTTTAGTAGAGATGGGGTTTCACCATGTTAGCCAGGATGGTCTCGATCCATGATCCACCCACCTCGGCCTCCCAAAGTGCTGGGATTTCAGGCATGAGCCACTGCGCCCAGCCAGAAAGCAGTAACTTTTTTTGAGTGCTATAATAACACCAAAGTGGCCAGGTGTGGTGGCTCATGCTTGTAATCCCAGCATTTTGGGAGGCCTAGGCAGGCGATCACTTGAGGTCAGGAATTCAAGACCAGCCTGGCCAACATGGTGAAACACCATCTCTACTAAAAATACAAAAAATTAGCTGGGCCTGGTGGCACACGCCTGTAATCCCAGCTACTCAGGAGGCTGAGGTAGGAGAATTGCTTGAACCTGGGGGGCAGAGGTTGCAGTGAGCTGAGATGATGCCATTGCACTCCAGCCTGGGCAACAGAGCAAGACTTTGTCTCAAAAAAAAAAAAAAAGTGAACATATACAAAAGCTATAATAGAAAAACTACCTTTTGATACACATATATACATACTCTTTTAATGAAGCAATCCTTTGAGAAAGATATTATTATCCCCACTTCACAGACAAAGAAACTTTGGCACAGAGCCATTAAAGAACTTGTTTGAAGTGACACAGCTACATGCAAGACCCTGTACTAAGCACTACTGACACAGATTAATAAAATAGTTCATGCTTTCAAATATCTCAAAATCGAATCAAAAATTCTGAAACTAAATGATTCTCTCATAAACAATTACCTATACATCAATGTCGGGTATTGTAATAAATATACACATAAGATGGGAGTGTTATTTTAGGAATATTAAGCTTAAACTATTACGCTGAAAAGGCTCTACTAGAAGACAAACACACTGAAATAGGAGAAATTAGCTTCCTAGCTAATACAGCTTCTTTGCTAATACAATGACGCAGGCAAGATCCAGGCAGGCAGGTGATGATGGTGGATGCAGTAAGACTGGAGAAGGGGCAGGATGCAAGACAGTTCACAAACAGGAATGACAGTAAAAGTTTAATGTAAGAACAAAGAATCAGGCTTAAGTTTTTAAGTCTTGGAAACTCAAGGATATTAGCAAAGACAAAGATACATTTATTTTAAGGTATGGTATACTGAGCTGAAGACTGCTTTGCTCTGAGAGAATATAATATAATATAGATTCAGAAATGAGACTTTACAAATCATTAGCAACCAGGCTTGAGTTGTATCTAAAGAAAGAATTTAAAAATATTTCAATTAGGCTCTGTGTCAGTGGGATGGCCTCTACATGTTTTCTTTGGTTTTATTTTCTCCTCACTCTCCACTGGTCTCTATTATCAATTCTGTTTGCAGCACCTTTTCCACGGAAATGAAGTGTGATTATAAAGTAACAATGCTGAAGTTTAAGCATACAAGAATTTATCCAAAACTGATTCCAAAAATGTTGTTTTTGCTTTAACACTTTTCTGGAACTTCTGTGTTGGAGTTGCTTTCAGAGTCCATCTACAATCCCAACAAGGAAGCCAATTATTTCACAGTCATACTTTATTTGTGAACACCTCTAACCTGATCATCCATTAACTTAGCTCAGAGTTAATTTCTGTTTTTTCAAAAGTAAAATCTACCCTCGAAAAAAAAAAACACAGATTTCTTGAGTAACCAACACTAAGGTTATTCCAGGGGTTGTGCTCCTTAGGCAACTTCATGAGAGGCTTTCCTGTAGGGGAGACATGGAGAATTAACATGTCTGAGCCCTTACTGAGAGCTGGGCATTGGACTGCTAATTATTTCCCAGACCTGCTTTTCATGTAATCCTTGAAGCAACCATTCAAGCAAGTACTGTCATCTCATGATAAAGAATAAAAGAAAGTTCAAAAAAGTAACTTATATAACTAATACATAGCAGAGTTAGAACTTTAAAAACACAATTTTGCTACTGTACCATGCTGCTTCTAATAAAATAAGAACACCGCTTCCCAATGAACAGAAAAATGATCAGTTAAACAGTATCATTACTATATAATCCTATATTATATGCCTATAGCTTTAATACTCTTTTAACATCATTTGGTTCCCTGCCACTTTCTGTACTGATTAACTCAGGAAAATACTGAGAGAAATATGAGCAACCAGCCATGAGAGTCTGTCATAGATTTTGAGTTAAGTCTATCTGATAGAAACAGAATGTAAGAAACAGAAATGTCTTTGGAGCATCAGGCTTGACTCTCTCTAATTATACTAGAATAATATGGGTTAAGTACATTATAATCCAGGTCAACAAGCAAATAGTATTTCCTTTCCCTTATACACCTTCAAATGGAGGCTACTGTATATTTACCACCAGGGCTTTATTCATGCACTCTTAGTTGAACACAGATAATACGTTTTACTTATTCCTCCTTTGAATTCTACTCATTTATCACTGGAACACTATCCACATTTATATATAGCAGACTCAAACTATCTTAAACTGAATTGGAAGACTGCAGGCTTGAATTATTTAAAAGAAAAACATTTCCACTTGTCCTGCCAAGTACTTGATCAATGCTCACTTAAGTGATGTAATCATCTCCTCTCATTTTGTAAGCTCTATTCTCTCTCTTCAGGTGACTAAGCAGTCTGCAATCTTCCTTCCTTTAATTGAATAATTTTCAGGCTTGTGTCTTATCCTTCCGGTTTTTACAAATTCATGCAATCATTTTCTCCTGTGACTACAGTAAAGGGTTTTATGGCTATGGTCCTTTCGTTAGCACACATGTCTCTAGAACTCTCTAGATCTGCTACACATACACTGTCTCAACGCAGACTTTCATCTACTCTTATGTTCCAGATAGACTAGCTACTCTGCAATGGCTATCTTTTTCTGCTTGTGGTCTTGCTTTTCCTTCTTTTTGATTGACCTTCCTGTGCCTTCCACACATCCCTCTGGCTCAGGTATTTTTTTTCTCCTAACTCAGATATTTTTTTTCTCCATACCTCTCAGATATTTTTTTTCTCCTACCTCTCTGGACCTGCACGGTACTTTTGGTAATGTTATCACCTACTATTGTAAACACAGCTACTGTTTATCCCACCTCTGGACCTGCACGATACTTTTGGTAATGTTATCACTTACTATTGTAAACATAGCTACTGTTTATCCCACCTCTGGACTTGCATGGTACTTTTGGTAATGTTATCACCTAATATTGTAAACATAGCTACTGTTTATTAAGCACTAACCATGTGCTGTGTTTGGAGCCTTATGTATGTAACACAAACTATCCAGCTTTTCCTCCTACCCCTCACAATGCACTTTCCAGCCCCTATAAAATCTGTCACTTACAGGCCTGGCACAGTGCCCGGCACATAGCAGGTGCTCAAGAAATGGAAGGTATTATTATCATAATTATGAGAAGAAGCACCATATGACTTATTCATGTTTGACCCCAATGTCTGGTTCGTTTAATATTTGTTTACAAAACTAGGCAATGGGCTGGGCACAGTGGTTTACGCACTTTGGGAGACCAAGGCGGGCAAATCATTTGAGATCAGGAGCTCAAGACCAGCCTGGCAAACATAGTGAAACCCTGTCTCTACTAAAAAAATGGAAATTACTGGGTGTGGTGGCACATGCCTGTAATCCCAGCTACTTGGGAGGCTGAGGCAGGAGAATTGCTGGAACCCGGGAGGCGGAGGTTGCAGTGAGCCGAGATCGCGCCACTGCACTCCCGCCTAGGCGACAAGAGTGAGACTCCGTCTCAAAACAAAAACAAAAACAAAAACAAAACAAAACACATCTAAGCAATTAAGAGAATAAATGTTGAATGGTTGTAAGCCATCTGTAAGACAAACTGTGCAGCTTGCCATGGACTACTGAAACTAACTCTTTCCAGAGTCTGGACAGGACAAGTACATAGTGGGGCTGTGCTGCCCAGATGCATGGCCTGGAAGTCCGGCAAGAAGCTCTTTTTGGCTAGTGACTGCAGAGGCTGAGTATAGAAAAGGGTCGTCAGTGTGTTGCTCCAACACAGGCCAGTATCAGTTTGGCTCCCTAGGTGCAGAATGTGTGGTCAGACCAACTCACTGGGATCAGAGAGAAACATGAGACTGTAAGAGAGGATTCGGATGATGAAGGAATTCCTGATTCTTAGAACTGAAGGCTGTAACTGTTGCACTCACACAGGCACAAAGGTGGGGCTCTGGGGCTCTGGGATTTGGCAATGGCAGTCTAGGAAATAGTCTATGTTAGTCTGGCAAGATGTAGCAGGATATGCCAGTCACAGTGGTGTGCTCCTGTAGTCCCAGCTACTCGGGAGGCTGAGGTGGGAGAACAGCTAGAGTCCCAGCGTTTGAGACCAGCTTGGGTAACACAGCAAGAACCCATTTCAAAACAAACAAACCAAAAAACAACTCACAGAAAAGAGGTAGCAGGACACAAAATTCAGATTCCAGATTCAAGTCTTTGGCAATGCTAAGTTTAAAAGGGGGCTGTGCACTGAGATATCAGAAAGAGACTTGAGTTTAAGGAAACAAGAGATTCAAGATTAGAGCACAAAAGGGTTTTTTTTGTTTTGTTTTGTTTTTTTGAGACAGGTTCTCACTCTGTCACCCAGGCTGGAGTGCAGTGGCACAATCACGGCTCACTGCAGCCTCTACCTCCTGAGCTCAAGTTATCCTCCCACCTTAGCCCCCCAGGTAGCTGGGACTATAGGCACATGTCATGATGTCCAGCTGATTTTTTTTTTTAAAGATGGGGTCTCATTATGTTGCCCAGGCTGGTCTCAAACTCCTGGGCTCAAGAGATCCTCCCACTTTGGCCTCCCAAAGTGCTGGAATTACAGGTGTGAATCACCATGCCCAGCCACAAAAAGGTTTAATGCCCTAAACTAGTTATTAGATTTGGGACATTAATTCAGGCAGGGCTAGCAGCAAGCAAGGTTGAGATCTGAAGTAGGACTCAGATTCTAGGAGTGAGGGCAGAACTAGTCTAGTGTTTAAGGTGGGGCTGAACTTGCCAGTGGTTGAGTTTGTTGCTGGGGCAGAGAACCTGGTAAGTTATTACAATACTGTAAGCCCTCCACAATGAATCATTAGTATACCTTATAGCTTCTCAGAGTACACAATCTACTTAGCTTCAGTATAAAGTATTTTAAGATGCCAATTATCTGCAGATGGTGAAGTATAGAACATAAGTCTGTTTGGCCTAACTTAACAAATACATAATTCTTTCTACACACTTGTTTCGCCCCGGGCTGTGTACCTATTTGACCTCTTAACCCCCATCGATTTTTGTCCCCTTACGATTCTCCAGATACAACCACTTCCAATTTGAAATTGCTCTTTGCAACCATGAGGTAGTTGTTTCATCCCCAGATTCTGGGACCAGAACTCTTTTCACCATTAGGTTCCAGAAACTAGGGTCCAAATACTCTTGCAATAAAGTGTTTCCTTTAAACCAAATCCAACCAAACATACTTTTAAAAAAGTTAATAATAAAATCTTCCCATCATCTGGCTCTTCAGTAAACTCACAGTTACTGACTTTTACTTCATCAAATACCAGGCTGTCTTGTATCGTTCTTTGGCTTATTTATGGTTCTTTGGATTTGACATCCCTAAGGTTTTCTTGGTTCATATTACAGCAATATACAGAAATCACAGACTGTAATTCAACTACCCATCTGATGACTGACTATCTTCTACAACACTCCCACCAAGTGGTCATCTGGACCGTACCTGAACACCCTGAATGAGAACTCATCACTTGCAGAGACTGCCTATTTCATTTTTTTTTATATCACCCAATGAAAATAACTGTATTGGCCTGAAATATCCTCCCTAAGTTTCTTGAGACAGAGTCTTGCTCTGTAGCCCAGGCTGGAGTGCAGTGGCACGATCTCAGCCCACTGCTACTCACTGCTACCTCTGCCTCCCGGGTCCTGGCTCAAGCAATTCTCCCGCCTCAGCCTCCCAAGTAGCTGGGATTACAGGCACATGCCAACATGCCCAGCTAATTTTTGTATTTTTAGTAGTGACGGGGTTTCACCATGTTGGCCAGGTTGGTCTTGAACTCCTGACCTCATGATCTACCCGCCTCGGCCTCCCAAAGTGCTGGGATTACAGGCGTGAGCTAGCACGCCTGGCCTCCTCCCTTAGTTTCTATCCATTGACTCCAGCTCCTCTCCTTAGGGACATGTGGAACAAATAAAAACCTCTTATATGTGGCCCCTTCAGAAATCTGAATGAAGTGACAATATCCTTCCTGAGTTTGTTTGCCTTGTTTTGCTAAATATATGTTCCAAGTGCCTTTAACATTTTGTTGTTGTTGTTGCTGTTAGATCTCTCTTTTCTGCATATTCAAGATGATCTATATGTCGTGTAGCTATCCCAGAGCTAGATTAATTTCAGGTGTGCTCTGGTCAGCACAGAACAGAATGAGATAGTCATCTTCCTTGTGTTCTGCACACTATACTTCTCATAATGCAACCTAAGATTATATCAGCTTTTTTTGGCAGCCACACACACTGTTGACTCACATTGAGCTTCTAGTCAACTCAATACCCCTAATTCAGCCACACGTACTGCTGCTAGGCCCAATGCATACTTCTGCAATTGTTTTAGCGGGGAGGAAGTGGTAAAGAGAAAGATTTATCACATTGATACTTCATGAAATTTGGGGCCCAAAAATTCAACCTGGGATTTTGCATTCCTGTCATACATAAGCCTATGCTTAGTTTGCTATCCTAAATGATTAGACAAACTAGTGATGAGTCATGGACTGGAGTTCAGCTTAGGCTAGTCAGCTTTGCTTTGTTTCATGGTCTCATGCAGCCTTCTCAAAATTACCGATCTTTCAAATGTATGCTATTTATCCCGAGAAGAACTGGTGGAAAGACTATAAATGATTCAATGCAAAGCCATTATCACCACTGAAAAAAACAACGCAAAGATAAGTATCCAGTACATTAAAGATGGTATATTTATAATTTGCCATGGAAGAATTATATCTAAACACCTTCTCCTTGATTAAAAATAGCATCTATAGAGATAATGCTATATAGATTTTCAAAGATATTTCAACTTAGCTTATTCCATTCCTTCAAGAAAGTGGGGAAGGTATCATTATCCTCATTTCTAGTTCAGTTCAGTCCTTATTGTACCCATGGTATTCCAACACAAGTGAGACCCACCCCATGTGATTAAGGCACTCATATCCAGGGTGTTCTCATTTCTAGTCCAGTTCAGTCCTTATGGGACCCATGGTATTCCCACACAAGTGAGACCCAGTCCGTGTGATTAAGGCACTCTTATCCAGGGCGTTCTCCTGTAAGTGTCAGGCAACATCTGCTCTGCTTGCCCTTGCCATCTGGATTTTAAAAAGGATCTCATACTCCGTTAATCATAAAATCATAGAATCTATGAGAATTAGTCTAATATCTTTGAAGATTAGGAAGAGGTATCAAATAATGCACCTAAAGTTTCAGTTACCTAATAGTAAAACCAGGATTAGAACATATTTATATTCTAACCAGTATTCAGACCAATCTTCTTTCTCTTACACTACTATTTCTCAAGATACAAGTAGGTAACTGTCTGTTATCTACAGCAAGGACATTTCTGAAAATGGGATCTGAGATACACATTCTCTGCAACTCAAGAATGTTATGGCTAAGGATCCCACCAAACTCCTAATCCAAGGGAATATGGGCCAGGAAGCTAATCAGAGAGGGATGAACCATGAGATGCTGAACCAGCGACTTCCCAGTAAACAGATTTGTGCTATATGAAGCAGCTCCCCCAATATCTACCATTGTTAGAGCCACTTGAGGATTTAGACCACTTGTGTTCTAGATAACCAGGGTGCAGAGACAGCTAGAAGTCATGTTGAAAGGAAATAATTATAAATCTGCTACAGCCAAAGGTGGTCTTTTTCAAAAGCAGGCTAAATAAGCCGCTGAGTTAATATAGCTAAAGGAACCCGGTAAGTGACTATGATTGCATCAGTGCACTCCAGCCTGGGCAACAAATTGAGACCTTGTCTCTAAATATTTATCAATACTGATATGGTGTCCAATTTGATTCAACAATCATTTATTGAGTGCCAGTTATATGCAAATCACTGTAGACTCAAAGACATGCCATTCCTTTATCCTTAAGAAACAACAGATTCAGGTTGGACATGGTGGCTCATGCCTATAATGCCTATAATCCCAGCACTTTGGGAGGCCAAGGCAGGAGGACTGCTTGAGCCTTGGAGTTCAAGACCAGCCTGAGCAACATAATGAGACCCTGTCTCCAAAAAACAAAAAACAAAACAAAACAAAAAAAAGGGCATGGTGGCTCGTGCCTGTGGTCTACTTGGGAGGCTGAGCTGCAAGGACCGCATGAACCCAGGAGGTTGAGGCTACAGTGAGCCATGATTGTGCCAATGCATTCCAGCTTGGGCGACAGAGTGAGAGACCCCACCTCTAAAAATAATTAATAATAATGACAATAATGTTTATTTCAAAATAGCCACAAAGAAGTGATAAATATTTGAGGTGATGGATATGCTAATTGGCCTGATTTGATCATTCCGCAATGTATACATGTATCAAAACATCACATTGTGCCCCATAAATATATACAATTATTATTTGTCAATTAAAAATAAAATTTTAAAAACACTTTAGAGGTTTAATATGAATAAAGAAGGTTTACTATGAGTAAAGCAGAGCTGGTCATGAGAGGAGAAGAAACCCACAACAAAAACAAGGGACAAAAAGGAGGCTGCTAAAATGGGGGCCGTAAAACCTTATTTGTCACAATTTTGGCTGGGTTGGCCTTGCTCTGCTGCAAAATCCATTTTTGGTAAGTTTGGGTGGGCTACTCCAAGACTTTTTCATGTGAGACACTTAAGTCTACATAAGGATAAAAAACAATAAAAAATGCTAGTGAAAAAAGAATTGTGACTTCTGGGCTAAGGAATGCAATGTAGGGACAAATTAACCCAGAAATTGGGTTTTAGAATGTTGCTTAGAAATTGGGTCACCTCAGATCTTTTTTCCCTTGACTATAAGTAAAATATTGGCTCTTACAGTTTCTTTCCAGTAAATACCATGTTTAACTTGGAAATCTGACAAATACCAAAAACCCTATCCCCTTACCTCACAGTATTATTGGATGATCAAATGCGACAAGATGACGCAAAAGCCTTTTGTGTGTTGTAAAGTGCTAAATGAGGGCATAAACAGCCCCTCTGGGTCATAGGAGAAGACTGGTGGGATCTCCATGTCATGGCCCTTATTAGAATTGTTCACCATTGATCATCATAACATTTTAGTCCTTCAAATGTAAATGAGTAAAAATAGTACCTTACTATATGATCCAGCAATTCCACTGCTGGGTATATACACAAAAGAAAGGAAATCAGTGTATCTAAGGGATATCTGCACTCGCATCCCATGTTTGTTGCAGCACTGTTCACAATTGCCAAGATTTGGAAGCAACCTAAATGTCCATCAACAGATGAATGGATAAAGAAAATGTGGTACATATACACAATGGAGTACTATTCAGCCATAAAAAGGAATGAGATCCTGTCATTTGCAACAACATGGATGGAGCTGGAGGTCATTAAGTGAAATAAGCCAGGCACAGAAAGACAAACCACATGTTCTCACTTATTTGTGGGAGCTAAAAATTAAAACAACTGAACTCATGCAGATGGAGAGTAGAAGGATGGTTGCCAGAGGCTGGGAAGGGTAGTTGAGGATGGGGGAAAAGTGCAGATGGTTAATAGGTACAAAAAGTAGTTAGAAAGAATGAGTAAGATCTAGTGTTTGATAGCAGAACAGGGTGACTATAGTCAATAATTTAATTGTACATTTAAAAATAACTATGAGTATAATTGGATTGTTTGTAACACAAAGAATAAATGCTTGAGGGGATGGATACCCCACTTACTATGATGTGATTATTACACACTGCATGTCTGTATCAAAGCATCTCATGCACCCCACAAATATATATACCTACTATGTCCTCACAAAAATTAAAAATAAAAAAATTTAATTACCTATACACATTACTTTTTAAAAAGTACTTTAAATACCTTCCCTAAGGATTGAAATAAACACATATTGTGAATTTAAAAGTAATACCTAAAAACAGACACTAATACTTTTTTTTTGAGACGGAGTCTCGCCCAGGCTAGAGTGCAGTGGTGCAATCTCAGCTCACTGCAAGCTCCATCTCCTGGGTTCATGCCATTCTCCTGTCTCAGCCTCCTGAGTAGCTGGGACTACAGGCACCCGCCACCACGCCCAGCTAATTTTTTGTATTTTTTAGTAGAGACGAGGTTTCACCGTACTAGCGAGGATGGTCTCGATCTCCTGACCTCGTGATCCACCCGCCTCGGCCTCCCAAAGTGCTGGGATTACAGGCATGAGCCACCGCTCCCAGCCCCACTAATACATTTTTAAAAATAAGCTCCTTCTGCAGAACCAGCTTCTATAATGAAACTGTTTTCTCACAAATAAGCATATAGAGGAATTTATACATGGCTAGATTATTAGAATCATATTTTATTAGAATTAGGACAAGACTTACATCATCTCTATAGACTGTCTCACCAGTTCCCTCCCCTCCCTTTTTTTTGTTTTGTTTTGTTTGAGACGGAGTCTTGCTCTGTTGCCCAGGCTGGACTGCAGTGGCACGATCTCAGCTAACTGCAACGTCTACCTCCCAGGCTCAAGTGATCCTCCTGCCTGAGCCTCCCAGTAGCTGGAATTACAGGCACGCACCACCATCCCCAGCTAATTTTTGTATTTTTAGTAGAAAATGGGGTTTTGCCATGTTGGCCAGGCTGGTCTCCAACTCCTGACCTCAAGTGATCCACCCACCTCGGCCTCCCAAAGTGCTGGGATTACAGGCCTGAGCCACCGTGCCTGGCCCCTATCTTTTTTATAACAGGAAAACTGAGGTTAAAGTAGAACCCAGACTAAACTGCAGGTTTTCTGACTCCTGTTCTAAGTCTCTTTTCTTCTATAATTTTTTAAAAAAATATTTCAAACATAAAGAAAAGTATTGGTAATAATAAGCACCCAGATTTTTTAAATGTTAATATTGTCATATGTCTCAGATCTCTTAAAAAGAATTAAAACATTATCTATCAACAGATAATTCCCATTCTTCTATTTCATTCCCCTATCTCTCTCTCCAGAGGTATCCATCATGTTGAAGTTGTGTGTATTCTGTCCTTCCTGCCCATGTTTGTATACACTTACCAAATTATGGGTTATATATCCTTAAACCACACCATGTTGCCAGAGAAAGAGTTGTTCTTCCAAACAAGGAAGAATCCCTCACTCTAGTATGCTTCATGCAGTTATAACCTTTTGGGTTGGTGGGATATTTCAGAAAGAAACTAGGGCAAAGCCTTAAGTCTTTTTAAATGATTACCACAGAGCCGGGCGCAGTGGCTCACGCTTGTAATCCCCACACTTTGGGAGGCTGAGGTGGGCAGATCACCTAAGCTCAGGAGTTTCAGACCAGCCTGGCCAACGTGGTAAAACCCCATCTCTACTAAAAATACAAAAATTAGGCGGGCGTGGTGGCGTGTGCCTGTAATCCCAGCTACTCTGGAGGCTGAGGCACAAGAATCACTTGAACCCAGAAGGTGGAGGTTTCAGTGAGCTGAGATTGCTCCACTGCACTCCAGCCTGGGTGACAGAGGGAGACTCCAACTCAAAAAAAAAAGCAAAAAACAAAATGATTACCACAGAAAGAGCTAGTGAAGTGTCTTGCTATCATTCAGAGTAAAAAGTAAATTGGGCAAATATAAACATTTTTAATACAACTTTTTAAATCCTAAGTTTTATTTATGAAACACTGGTTTACAATGAACAAGTACGAATGACCTGTCACTGAACAATAGGGAAAGATGAACTAAACAATTTAACTAGTAATAATAGCTTCTACTACTGCTTCGAGGTCCAGCTCAGTGTTATCACCTTAATGAATTTGTCCATGATCCCAGAGTTGATTCCTTCAATAATCATTTATTGAGTGCTAAAGTCCTCTGGATACAAAAGTAGATCCGGTCCATTTTCTGAGGACAGCACAGAAATAACTACACAATACTGTTTAATAAATGTAACAAGAGAACTATCTATGAAGGCCTGGGGGAGCCTAACTTTTTCTGGGACAATTGGAGAAGTCTTTACAGAAGTGATGTTTCAACTGCATGGTGGAGGATGAGAAGGCGGTCACAAAATGAAGGATGAAAGGTGATTCCAGGTAGGGATACACTGAATGAGAGGGTACAAAGGATGGTAAGATACTAGTTTTAGAAAGACAACTAAGGATAGACATTGGAGGTGGAGAGACAAGTTACAAGACTGGCAACAATTCAAGCAAAAGATGACAGGAGGCAGACATGAGGAGGGAGGAGGAAGGATATGAACAAAATCCAGGAGATAAATTTAGCAGAACTTGATGCCTGATTGTATTGAGGAAAGAAAGAACATGGAGGAGTTGCAGATGACTCTCAAAAACTTGGCAAATCAGTGGGTGGTGAGGCCATTACTGAAATAGGGAATACAGTGCAGAAGATAAGAGGCTGGGCGCGGTGGCTCATGCCTGTAATCCCAGCACTTCAGGAGGCTGAGGCAGGCGGATCACCTGAGGTCAGGAGTTCAAGACCAGACTGACCAACATGGTGAAACCCCATCTCTACTAAAAATACAAAAAATTGGCTGGGTGTGATGACACACGCCTGTAATCCCAGCTACTCGGGAGGCTGAGGCAGGAGAATCGCTTGAACCTGGGAGGCGGAGGTTGCAGTGAGCCAAAATCGCACCATTGCACTGCAGCCTGGGCGACAAAAGCGAAACTCTGTAACAACAACAACAACAACAACAAAAGAAGATAAGAGCCTGCTTGAGAAAGGAGGTGAAAGTTCATTCAGTTTGAAGCATTTTGAGTTGGCTTTGAAGCCTCTTCCATGAGACCTCCAACAATTTCTCTAAGCCAGAAATCACCTCTTTGCACTCCATAGTATCTTTTTCATCTCAAATTATTTAAATCTGCTGTATTTACAAGTTTGTCTTTCCTTTTTTTTTTTTTTTTTTTTTTTTTGAGACGGAGTTTTGCTCTTGTTGCCCAGGCTGGAGTACAATGGCACGATCTCAGCTCGCTGCAACCTCCGCCTCCCCTCCTGGGTTCAAGCGATTCTCCTGCCTCAGCCTCCCGAGTAGCTGGGATTACAGGCATGCGCCACCATGCCCGGCAAATTTTTGTATTTTTAGTAGAGACGGGGTTTCACCATGTTGGTCAGGCTGGTCTCGAACTCCTGACCACAGGTGATCTGCCCGCCTCGGCCTCCCAAAGTGCTGGGATTACAGGTGTGAGCCAACGTGCCCAGCCGTCTTTACTTTAAATCACAAAGAAAAGGTACTAGGTCTTATCTGTCTTTATATGGCTCTCTTAGCAGTGCCTTACACATAGAAAGTCCTCAGAGTTTGCACTCTTGAGAAGGCAGCTCCATCAGATACTAGAAACCGTCAGCTAACATTTATCAAAACAAGGAACAAAACTTGTGAATTAGCAGCTGAAACAAAATACCTGAAGTATAATATTTTTAATGTTAGTAGCTGATTCTAGATATAAATTAGCTCCCTTTGTGCTCATTTTACTTGCCTCTTTTTTTTTTTTCTTTGAGATTGCGTCTCACTCTGTTGCCCAGGCTGAAGTGCAGTGTTAAGATCATAGCTAGGGAGCCTCGAACTCCTGGGCTCAAGCGATCCTCTCACCTCTGCCTCCCAAGAAGCAGGTGCGCACCACCATGATAGGCTAATTTGTAAAACATTATTTTGTAGATACAGGGTCTTGCTGTGTTACCCAGGCTGGTCTGGAGTTCCTGGCCTCAAACAATACCCCTTTCTAGGCCTCCCAAAGTGCTGGGTTTACAGGCATGAGCCACCGTGCTGGCCTTTTCTGACTTTTAAACAACCCCGCAGCGTAATCTTTGCATTCCTATTTTACAGATAAAGCAACAGAAGCCTCCAGCGACTAAGTTAAACTTTCCTGGGGTCACAAGGTTTACAAGTGGCTGAATAGGATTTCTACAGACTGGTTCCTTCACCCGGCTGCCCGCCGAAGTAAGCGGGCCTTACTGCCCTAATTCTCAATAGGACCCCAAAGAGGACGCTTCTTTGCTCCTGAAGGGATGGCACCCTCTGGATTCGCGGTAACAGCAAATGGGGCTCTCACTCCTACCATCTCAGTGACAGTTTAAAGCGCACCCTACCGCAGGAAAGTGCCCATATTTGCACACACGCGGCAGAGGGCAGGGCTGAAAAGGGGCCCTAGGGTGCAGGGGGCGCGCCCTCACCCGGGGACCCCGCATTTTACAATATTAGCTCCACCGAGGCGCACGGAACCGCAGGCGAGCAACTGACCTTCGGCTCCAGCGGCCCCAAAGCCGGGGGTGGGAACGCGCGACCCAGGTAGCGGCATGGACTCCGAGCCTGGCCCCTCGGGGGTTAAAACTCCCCAGACATAAAGGCTCCGGACGACAGAGGTGCAGCCGCCGCGTGCCCGTGGGACACTGAAACTCTTCCCTTACCTTCCTCGGTAGTCCTGTGAGGGAGGCTGGCCCGGCCGGCTGCCCTACGGTGCGGACAGGAGGTCGCGGTCGGGAGGGGCCCTGCCCGGCGGTTGCTGCTGGAACCAGCCCCCGCAAGGGCCCGCAGCGGCCGGGCCGTTTACCTCAGACCCGCGCCGCAGCCTCCCGGAGCCCGCGCCCAGGACTCCCTCACGACCTCTCCAGGGTCCCGGCCCGACACCAAGGGGCAGGTGAGGGGTGGAACCTGGAGGCACCCGCGCCAGGGCCCCTGAGGGAGGCGGGAGGGGGACAGCCTCAGTCCTGACTCGCAGCCGAGGCGCGACGACTCCGCGCAGTCCCGCCTGTGGAGGGGCGTGCCTCATCGCTTGCTAACCGAGAGGCGAAGGGCAAGGGGCGAAGGGCAAGCGCCGGATCCTTTCGCCCCCTCCCCACGTGAGGCCCTGGAGGCTGATTGGCCGTGTGCTGCGGAGGCGGCAAGAGGAACGTGTCCTGGCACGTGCCGAAGGAGCGCTAAAGGCCAGGGGCGGTCCCACCCGCGAAGCCCTGGAAGGCGGATTGGCTGCGCGAGGAAGTGGCGTGTCCTCACTTGAGCTGTCTGGGAGCGAGAGTAAGAGATAAAGGCAAGGGCGCCTGACCGGGCCTGGGCACCTCCTCCCACTGCGGGCAAAGGGCAGGCAGTTCGTGCGCGGACACAAGCACTGGCGGACCGTGGCCATGGCGGGCGCTGAGTGGAAGTCGCTGGAGGAATGCTTGGAGAAGCACCTGCCGCTCCCCGACTTGCAGGAAGTGAAGCGCGTTCTCTATGGCAAGGAACTCAGGTCCGCAGCCAAGAGGCTAAGCTAATGGGGTCTTGGGGCCACAGAGTGTGGGTCTGGGGGAGCAGGCAGGGAGGGCCTCAGGGTCTGAAGGGCTCAGGGGAGGCGGTGAGAAGTCCTGAGTTGGCGGGCAGAGACCATAGTAGGTCTTGATGGGACGGCCCCGGGGTCCTTGGGGGTTGCAGAATCCTGGCGTGACCTTTACAAATCTCTTCTCCCCCACGTTGCCCAGAACCGGAAGGAAAAGGACGGGATTTTACTCTCCAGGGCTTTCTCTGTGGCCATCCCAACCCTCCTCCCCGGAGCCGGGCTTGTCTTCTGGATGTCTGGCTGGATCACTGTCTCCAACCAGAGCACCCAGCAGGTGTACTGATTGTCCGGCCCCAGACCATCCTTCTTGCGGTGACCCGACCTCTGGCTGACCCTTGGAAATAGAGGCTGTCTGCATTTAGTTGGCGAGGGAACCTTTCCCACTGGCAAGCCATGGGCGCTGGTTTTTCCACTCCCTGCAAGCTTGTGCATCACCAGGACTTTCTGAGGGCTGTATACTGCTGGACACTGTGTCCACAAAGCTGAAAAAGACACTTCCTGGCCGGGCTCACACCTGTAATCTCAGCACTTTGGGAGGCCAGGGCTGGAAGATTGCTTGAACTCAGGAGTTCGAGACCGGCCTGGGCAACATAGTGAGACACCCATCTCTATAAAGCATTTAAAAAAATAGCCAAGCATGGTAGCATGCATCTGTAGTCCTAGCTACATGGCAGGCTGAGGCGGGAGGATCACTTGAGCTTGGGAGGTCGAGGCTGCAGTGAGCCAAAATCTCTCCTCTGCACTCCAGCCTGGGAGTCAGAGTGAGGCCCTGTCTCAAACACACACACACACACACACACACACACACATACACACACACACACACACACACGTCTTTGGATTTGGAGCTTACTTGGATAATCCCGGATGATCTTATCTTGAGATCCTGACCTTAATTACGTCTGTGAAGACCCTTTTTCCAAATAAAATCACAATGACAGGTTCCAGGTGTCAGGATGGAGACACAGCTCAACCTGCTACAGTAGCTTCAGGGTCTGCAGGTGGAAATAACTCAGGGGCTATTTGCTATGTGGAGGTGGGCCTCAGGTGGGCGAGGCTGGGCTTGTTGAGCTGCCCTGGAGATGGTCATTCCAGGTGAAGGAGGAGCAGGTACAAAAGAGGGCGCTGGAGAGAATGCTGGAAAACCTGGATATTCAAGGGGTCAGAGAAAGAGACTTTGTGGGAGATTCTGGAGGTGAGGACTCTGGGGCAGGACAGGAAAGAAGCATCAGATGGCTCAGAAATGTCTAGCGGGTGAGGACAGCAGGAAGTCTGCTGGATTTAGCCATGATAAGGCTGTTGGCAGTTCCTGAGATGGGGCCAGGAGGTAAGGCCTGAGCTGAGGGGAAGCATGTGTGGAAGCTCCCTAGGCAGCAGGGAGAGACAGCAAGTGAGTAAACACATGGACATATGTGGAACACTGTCCCTCTTTCTCTTTCTTCCTCACCTTCTCTCCCCCCTATCTCCCTTCTGTTTTTCAACGGGAGAGACTCTTTAACAGCTTCAGTGATGGATGTGGAGGTCTGTAGGTACTAGTGGAGAAAGATGTCCAAGCTATGTGTATTAAGTGAAAAAGGCAAGTTGAAGAACAGAAAATACAGAATGATACCATTGTATTTGTAATGCATACACGTAGGAAAATAGGAAAGAGACATAAAACATTGTTAAGAGGGGTTGCCTCTGAGTTTTGGGACTAGGGGTGGGGTAGAAAGGGGAATGTATGTTTCATTTTATACCCTTTCCCACTATTTGATTCACCCCCGCCATGAGCACATGTCTCTTTTGTAACAGAGCTCTAGTTTAATGATTTAAAGTGCTGGTGGTAAAGAGCCATCAGACATGGAAAGATGAAGTTCCAGAAGTGAGAGGTTGCTGAGGAGGCAGGAACTTGGTGTCCTCTGGCAAGGTCTGCCTGACCCTGGGTGGGAGAGGTGGGGGCCCTGAAGGGCATGGTGGGGCTAGGATGGGAAGTGAAGGGCTTTACTCCTTGAAGTTTGAAGGGAAGCCCTGAGTGGGGAGGCCTCAGTAGCAGGGTGAGGGGTAGAGGGTCTGAAAGCCAACTACAGGGACCAGGGCAGGCAGTGGCAGCAGGAGGCCGTCTGTGAGGTTATGGCTCATTTGCTGGTCTTGTCCTCCTGGGCAGTGGCTGATTGATGTTTTAGTACTTTTGGGCTACTATAACAGAATACCAGACTTCCCTGTACTTGTGGGCAATCACAGGGAGAAAAAGGAGAAGGGTCTGTGTGTCTGTTTCCCCAAAGGTCTGTGGGCCTGGTAGCTGGACAGCCCTTTGGGAACGTCCTAGTGAACACTGTCCTCAGCCTGTGGTCTCACACCAGGAAGAAGTCAGGTGGCAGAGCTCTTGTCTGAGTGTGCAACCCTGGCTGTAACCAACATCTGGCTGCGGTCTCTTTCCCCATCTTAAACCACATGAATTTATTCCTCACAGTTCTGAATGCTATGAAGTCCAAGATCAAGGTGCCACAGCAGATCTGGTGTCTGTTGAGGGCCCACTTTCTGGTTTTTGATGGTGCCTTCTCACTGTGTTCTTACATGGTGCAGGAAGCAAGCATGCCCTCTTGGTCTTTTAAAAGGACTCTACCCTCATGACCTAATCACCTCTGAAAGAGCCCTATCACATTGGAGATTAGGATTTCAACATATGAATTTGGGGCAGACATAAGCATTCAGTCTGTCTCAGTGTTCCACTGCATCTCCTGTACCAGGCCTTTCGGTGGGCACAGCACATGGTCATTGACTGCGTCTACACAGGGTATGGCTTGAGGATTGGTTAGGTTCTCCAAGATGAAGCTGTGTAGGATGTGGTAATGCACCGCCTTTGATAATGGGAGGGCAGAGAGGCCTTACAGGTACTGCCCAGATAGTAGACAGGAGTGGCTGGGAGGAGGTAGAGCCCCAAAGGTGGCTGTCCTGGAGGGTGGAGCGGCCTCTCCTGTATTACCTTGGCTTAGAATGAGCTCGCAGGGAGCTGGGGATAAGGAGGTGGGCAGCCTCAGGGCTGGCTAGGCGGAGGCATCACTTGGGGGAAGAAGGGTAGGTAATGGAGGTTGTGCATGGTGGGAAGATGAGGAGAGAGACTTCAGCCAGGTGGTGGTTACAGCCATGTTTCCACACCCAAGACGAGCTCTTCACCTGACATTTTCCTGGTGTGAGACCACAGGCTGAGAGGCCAGGCAGGGTTCACCAGGACACTCTGAAAGAGCTGTCTGGCTCCCAGGCCCACAGGCCTTCGAGGGAATAGACACATAAGCCTTGCTCCTTTTTCTCCTGGTGTCTGCCCACACCCATATCCTGGAAAGCTGCGTGATTTATGTCCACCAGAGGGGATTTGCTCTGAGGCTGTGGCCTGCAGGAGCGCCCTTCCGCTGGAGGGTGGGAGGACTGTCTAAGGCAGTCACAGCAAGGAGAGGCACGGTGTGGGCACTGCTGCTATTTCTAACCTGCTGGAGTGAAGGGAACCTTGACTACTTGAAAAGCAGGCTGATTGTCAGGGGCGGAACCGAACTCAGAGCTGTCAGGGCCGTCACATGGAAAGTGCCTGGCAGGGGGCGGCGACAGGGGGCTTGGGCTGACAGGGCTGTGATTTTGAAAGAAACGTCTCCAAGAAAGTGATTTAAAGTAGGAGAGAAATATTATTATTAGATAATGGCTGTCAGGTTATTTTTTGATGTGTTTTCTGAGTATTTCATAATCATCTTGCGCTTAGATGGTAAGCCCTTCCTGGCTAGGGGCCGTGTCCCATCCCATGCCTCTGTGGCTTTCACCTTCGGGTGTGCAACAGGTATCAGGAGGTATTTGCTGTTTGGCTAATGGTCACTTCAGTGGAAGGTTTTATAACTAATTCTCTAGCCTTGGTTAATAAACTACAAATGTGGATGAGCACTTAGGGCTTCCATCTGAACACCTGGGCCCCTCCAAGCCCACCCAACACCAGATGTAGAACTGGCCTCCCCCAGCAGGAGCAGCAGGACAGAGTGGCCAGGGTCTTTATTCACCATAAGGCCATCCATGTGATCCCAGGTCATGGCCTCTCCATCCAACCTGTCTCCTGAGCCCCATTTTCCAAGCCCCTCGGCTCCCACAGCCTGCCTCACACCCTAGGCTCAGCATAGCCCTGATTCTGGTTCAGAAACACTTTTGAGAATCTGTTCCCTCCTTTCTGTGCTGACTGCCAGGACTTTAATTCCTACCGTGATTTCAGCAACTCTAAAACACCAACCTCTTAACTGGCCTCCCCATTGCCAGGCCTAACCGTGCTGACTCTGCTGAGGTCTCCCTGCCAATTGCAGGTAAAGTCCAGGTTCAGTGTAGTGTTCTGTCATGGCTGGACCCCACTGCTCGCCAGCTCCCTTGGGCCCTGGCACTGAGCGCCTTCTAGCCAGGACATCCTCACCTCTTTGGCTGATAAATAGCTACAAGAAATGGGAGAGAGATTTTAAGTGGAGCAGACTGCATCAAAATCCCCTTCCCTCTTTTTTCCTGCCCATCTAGGAAGCTTGATCTGCCCAGGGAAGCTTTCGAAGCTGCCTCCAGAGAAGACTTTGAACTGCAGGGATATGCCTTTGAAGCAGCGGAGGAGCAGCTGAGACGACCCCGCATTGTGCACGTGGGGCTGGTTCAGAACAGAATCCCCCTCCCCGCAAATGCCCCTGTGGCAGAACAGGTGCAGACTCTTTTGACCATAATAAATACACAAACAGGGTTGTGGCCTGCCCTTGGAGCACACCTGCAGGCCCTGGCTGGCCGCATACTCCGGGTCTGCAGGCTTGGGCGCCTCAAGCAGTAGCAGAGGCGCTTCTGCCCTGGCCTCCCCACATCCCTCCAGCCTGCATCTCTGGCTCTTCTGTCTTCCTGTTCTTATTCTGTCTCTCCCTCCTCCTCACTGATCTTTCCACTTCTCTCCAGCTATTGATCTGAAGCTCCATTTACCAACCGGGAGGGTGCCCTTTTGGCCTGCTCGTGCTCTCCACGGGACGCTGCCTCTCAGCTGCCTGCCAGGAGGCGGCCAGCCAGCACACGCTGGTTGGGACCGTCTGTCCGTGTGTTCTTCTGCCTTAATCCTCAGGGCGGGGACTCGCTATACCCAGAAGTCTGTCAGTTGTGGTGCCTACAGGATTACGGGAATAGATAGGCATTCGCTTATGACCTCAGAGTTAGTAAATAAAGGTGACAGCATCTTGTATCTCCCTAAAGAAACATGTTGTCACAGGCGCAGGTGGTTTGCTTTATACACTTCTCCACAGCATTCCTCCAGCTGCTCAAACTTTCAGGGATTTTCCTGCACAGGTTTCCTCAGGATACGGCGTGTTTGAGGATTCTTAGGGATTCTGGAGAAACCTAAGGCCTCTTGGATTCCAGGTTTGGTTCTGCATCATCATTCACATTGGTCCTTCCTTTGCTTTTGTTGGATTCACAGATGTCTGGTTCTCAGTTCTCTCACTTTTTGTATCAGGATTTGTTTTTTGTGGATATGTCCCCTCTATCATCCCAGACTGTCAAGTCATAGGACCAGCTATGTTTTTTTCACGTGCACAGGGCCTAGAAGTATGCTTTGCGTTTTGCTAACACCAAGCAAATGTGTGTTTGCGGGGCTGATGCTGTCAGCAAATATCCACAAAGCCATGGGGTGCACAGCCTCTCAAAGGAGGAGACTATAGGCCTTGTGGAGAGTTTGTGCGCTCTGGGTTTTCAGCCTGGTTCCTTTGGTCTGTCTTTGAACAAACGCTTTTGAATGTCTCCTGGGAGCCAGGCATTGTGCCAAGGACAAGCAGACAATGAGGATGCTTTCTTCCTATCCCCAAGGAGCCTGTGGGGTCCTGGGAGTGACAGACAGCAGAGGAAGAGTGGCACACAAAGCAGTGGCACACAATGGCTCCCGAAGGCCAGGGGATGCTGAGTTACCTTGACACTTGGCCCATAGCTGTGAGAGCCTGCAGAGGCCCACAGAGGGGTGACATGTGACATAGATAACACCTCCAGGAAGATTAGGTGGGAGGAGGGAAGTACATTCCTGGCCCAGGGCACAGCACACACCAAAGCACGGGGATTTAAAAGAGCCAGAGAGGCGAGGCATTCCATGATAAGATGCACACAGGATAAGTAGGATAAGTGTGGAACCAGGCTTGCCTCTGAAGGCAGGAGAGTGGGGAGCGGAGTCCCGGGCCAAGGGGGTGGCTGACCTGGGAGATGGGTGTGAACGTGGGCCCTGGACCGGAAGCAGCACCATCCTCATCCCTGCCTCTCAGCAACCCCACAGGTCAGGTGGCAGCCTCCCCATTACCAGGTGAGGAAACTGAGGCAGTGTCCAAGTGTCTGACCCCAGAGCCTCTGCACCTCCAGCTTTTCATGCAGATTTTGGACATCAGGAGATAACCAAATATAGAACCTCCCCACCCTACTCCTCATACCTGCCCAGGTGGGCATTGATTTTTCCATATGCATTAGGATGAGATCCTAAAAATTGCCTTACCAATAGAACTAAATGGATTCTAATCCTTTTTAAATTCTCAGGTCTCTGCCCTTCATAGACGCATAAAGGCTATCGTAGAGGTGGCTGCAATGTGTGGAGTCAACATCATCTGTTTCCAGGAAGCATGGAGTGAGTCTTTTTTATGGTGCTTTCTCTGCTGCCTTCAAACAATTGTGTATTCTCTCCATGTTGCCAAGAGTGTCTGCTGCCTGACTTTTAAAGAATCTCCTTTGTTTCCTCATCCATGGAAAGTTCTCCGTCCACATCACCAGGAACCCCGGCCTCCCTGCTGTTACGCACCGAGCTGTTGTCTGATTCCTTCAGTTTTCCCACATCGTTCTGAATCCATTCGCTCCTCTCCATCTCTCTACCACCACCTGGTCCAAGCCCCTGGCAGCTCACCTCTGGCTTTTGTAATTCCCTCCAGCTGGTCTCCTGTGCCCTCCTGACCAGGACTTCTTTACCTTCAGATCTCAGCCCAGAGCCAGCCCCCCCATCTAAACATCCTGGTAGTATGTACCTTTGTGGTTTTTATTTTTATCAGAGTTTTACATGCTCATGGTTTAGAGTCAGATGGGTGTACAAGGTCTGTTACCAAAAAATAGCTATTATCCCCAGCATCAACACTGAGCTAGTTCCTTTGGAATTTACCTTTGTTAGTGTTGCTACTTCCTAATTTTTTAGTTTTGCATCACCTATTGACTTCCCCCTATGGAAGATGTCAGTGTTAGCCCTTTCTTGCCTCCTCCTGGCCCTTCGACATACATGTGTCCTTGTTCTATCCCCCCAGCCCATTTTGTCAACTTTGATTCCTTTTCTTTTTTTTTAAGACAAGGACTTACTCTGTCACCCAGGCTTAGAGTACAATCACAGCTCACTGCAGCCTTGATCCCAGGCCCAAGCAATCCTCCCACCTCAGCCTCCCAAGTAGCTGGGACCACAGGTGCACACCATCACGCCCAGCTAATTGAAAAAAAAAAGTTTGTAGAGATGGAGATCTCACTATATTGCTAGGCTGAACTTTGATTTCTTTTCCTGAATTATTTTCTGTTTTCCCTAGAGTTTGCTTTGTTTTCTACTTGCCACGCATTCAACCCCAAACTTTCTATCAATTCCTAAATCTCCCTTAATGTGTTTTAGACGCATCAAACAGTCTATCAGTTTCATCTCCTCCAAGGAATCTGCCCCAGAGCCTTGTGACTGCTGTGGTCTGAATCAGGTGCCCCCTCTGCTGGCCACACAGTTATTGTCCTGGGATCCCCCCTCATCATCACCCTGGGGAATCCCTTTGCCTTGCTCTTGTGTTTCTCTGTTCCCACAGCTTCCTCTTTCTTGGTTTATACCCTTATTTTAGTGGAGTGGTGTAGTGGATCCTTATAGATTTATGTTGCCTCGGCATCCATGTTGAATACAAGTTTAACTCTCTCATACCAGCGGCAGGGCTCGGTCACGCTGGACACAGTTTCCAGATCTACACCACACCGAGATGGCTCAAGCCAAGTGGCCAGAGGTAAGAACTTAAGAGGCCTCTCTCCCACCAGCAGACTGGGCTGCCCACTTTCCTGCTGCTTCCTTTAAATGGACCATCCAGGCATTTGGCCATTAACTTAAGGTGACCACATCTTAGTCATTATGTGTACTGCTAGTTGCCCCATACTCTCTCTGACTCTTCATTTCTCCCTCATCTGACCTGGGGACAGAGGACTGCCCTCCTGACTCATGGCACTCTCCTTGCCCAGGATCTGTAAGTAAAAAAATCTTTAAACTTGTTTCCTATTGCGATTGTGTGTTGAATTTGCACCTTCCATGAGAAGAACCAGGGGCTGCCCCAGGCTGGGTTTTCCTTGGGATACCGGTGGAAACACAAAGTTGGGCTCCTAGGGCCAGAGTGGTAGTCAGGCAGGGACAGGTCAGGCAAGAGCTGCCACACAGCATGTGCCAGTATAAACAAGTTTCACGTATGAGGGACCCCCTGGTCACGGGTTGGACAGACAGGCATTAGGCTGTCCACCATGTACAAGATGTATCCTGTGAAAGGCACACTGTAGAGACCACATCCAGCTCCCTTCATTTCCTGTTAGTGCTGGGTTGCCAACCGCTCTGGTACTGGAGCCCCCATTTAGCTAGGGACTCTCAGAACAAGTAGTTCCCTGAGGAAGAACACATCAGAGGTAAACTTTTTGAGGCCTTGCCCATCTGAAAATATGTTCCTTCTACAATTTTCTTGATAGTTTGGTTGAGCATCAAATTTTAGGTTAGAAATCATTTTCCTTCAGAAGTTTGAACACATTGTTCCATTGTCTTCTAGTTTTTTGGGCATTGTTGAGTAGTCCACAGCCATTTTAATTTGTGACCCATTGTCTATGACTTGTTTTTCTCTGGAAGACTGTAGGAGTTTCTCTTTTTCACCAGTACTCTACAATTTCATAATGATATTCCATTGTGTATATCTATTTTAATCCACTCTAGGCACTCAGTGGGTTCTTTTAGTCTAGAAACTTGGGTTCTGAAGCTCTAGGAAATGTTCTTGCATTATTTCATTCATTATTTTCCCCTCTTTTTTTCTCTTTCTAGACAGTCCTACTATTAGGATGTTGGAACCCTGGACTAGTTCCCTAATTTTGTTATGTATTTCCTCCTTTTTTTTTTTTTTTTTTTTTTGATACGTGGTCTTACTCTGTCACTGAGGCTGTAGTGCAGTGGCACAATCACAGCTCACTGCAGCCTTGACCTCCCAGGATCAAGCAATCCTCCCGCCCCAGCCTCCTGAGTAGCTGGGACCATAGATGCATACCACCACACCTGGCTAATTTTCTTGAATTTTTTTTTTTTTTTTTTTTTGTAAAGATGAGATCTGTGTTGCCCAGGCAGGTCTCAAATTCCTGGGCCCAAGCAATTCTCCCACCTTGGACTCCCAAAATGCTGCAACTATAGGCGTGAGCCACAGGGCCCAGTCACCACTTTGTCTTTTTGCTCAATTTTCTGGTGGATTTGATCTGATTTGTCAGTCAGCCCTCCTATTCAACCTTTCATTTCTGCTGTCAAATTTTGAATTTACTAGTGTTCTTTTGGTCTGAAAGTCCCTGTTGTATTACATCCTGTTCTTGCATCATGGTTGCGATATCTTCTCTTACCTCTAAGGATACTAATATTAAGTAAATTTTGTTTTCTCTCTTATTCCAAGAGTCCTTATTCCAAGTTGGACGCTTTGTTTGATTGCTCATATTTTAAGAATTGGGGATTAAAAATCTGTGAGCTCTGAGTTTGTAGTAGGGGCTCACCCACTGAGCTCCATTATAGGGTGATCTGATTTAGTGGTAATTCCCAGGTAATCCCAGTGTTAGTATCTCTGGGTCATTCTTTTCAGGCTGGTCAGAGTCCCCAGAGATTTTTCTGCCCTTGTGCCAAGAAGGGAAGGAGAACAAAGGTTCAGCATGCTGATGTTTACTCAATCCCTCTGTTTTGACACTTCACTTGCTTTCATCTGCCCTGCTCCAAAGCCAGAGAGCCTCTGCTGAACCATCTCTGGAGGATGAGCCTCTGGCCTTCTTCTGGGGTAGATGGGGCAGGTCCCAGCCTCTTGGTGTGGAGAAAGGACCTGGATTTCTAACTGCTTCTTTTTTTATTTTTATTTTTATTTTTTTTTGAGGTGGAGTCTTGGTCTGTCACCCAGGCTGGAGGGCAGTGGCGCGATCTCAGCTCACTGCAACCTCTGCCTCCTGGATTCAAGCGATTTTTCTGCCTCAGCCTCCTGAGTAGCTGGGACTACAGGCCCGTGCCACCATGCCTGCCTGATTTCTGTATTTTTAGTAGAGATGGGGTTTTGCCATGTTGGCCAGGCTGGTCTCGAACTCCTGACCTCAGGTGATCCACCCACCTCAGCCTCCCAAAGTTCTGGGATTACAGGCGTGAGCCACCGTGCCTGGCCCTAACTGCATTTTTTTTTTTTTTTTTCAGACGGAATCTTGTTCTGTCACCCAGGCTGGCATGCAGTGGCGCATTCTCAGCTCACTGCAACCTCTGCCTCCTGGGTTCAAAAAATTCTCCTGCCTCAGCCTCCTGAGTAGCTGGAATTACAGGCCTGTACCACCACACCCAGCTAATTTTTGTATTTTTAGTAGAGACCAGGCTTCACCATGTTGGCCAGGCTGGTCTCGAATTCCTGACCTCAGGTGATCCGCCCACCTCGGCCTCCCAAAGTGCTGGGATTACAGGCATGAGCCACTGCGCCCGGCCCCTAACTGCTTCTTAAATAGACCTTTGACCAGTCCTTGTTTATCATACTTCCCTGCTTCCCCACCTTCAGAGGTACCTGGTGCCCCTGGGTCCTGAGCTTTGGATAAGCAGGAGATCTTCTCTACTGCTAGCGGGACTCAGTTTTCTCTGATCTGCTGAGAGATTTGCCTGCATCTTTCCGCCTTCCAGCTTCCCGTGTTTCCGTGCCTCAGTGCACCATCCTTGTTGGGTATATGCCTTTGCATGAACATTGCTTTCCTGTCATGTTAATGGGGTTTCAGGAAAGAACACGTGTCTGTGTCCCAGAAGTTCATGTCGTTTTCCTATTTTTGTTACCTTTGTACTCTCACTCTTCATTAGACTATGAGCTCCATGAGGATAGTATCTGTGTTTGTTTTTCCCAACTCTCCACCCACCCCTGTTTCATCTTTAGTGGCAAGAATAATCCCTAGTGCATGACAGGCACTACAAATTAGTATTGGCTGGATAGTTGAACTAACATCTCCCCTTTCTTGGATCTGGAACTCCCCCTCATTTATCAAAGTCTAGCACAGGTACCCCTCCTTTGTGGGGCCCTGGGGACTCCCCCAGGACTCCCCCTGACCACTCTGTATTGCCAGGTTGTGTGGCCGCACCAGGTTCTAATTCATCTCCTTCCCTCTAGGCTGGCAGTTCCTGAGGGCCAGGTGTTAGGTCAGTGCATGTGGAACCTCGTCCCCTCTAGTTGAAGAACTGTAGTTGGGACTTTGCAGCCAGCCTCACCCAACCTCACTTCCACATCCTTCTTTTGAAAGTGTGTTTACATTAGAGTGGTTGTGTAAACAGGAAAAGAAGCTGCTTATTCTCTGGGGGCACTTGACTCACTCCTAATGCTCTGAAAGCTGAGAATTAATGGTCATTAAGGAGCATTTGTGTTTTCAACAGCTTTTCTGTTGGCTTCCTTAAAATAATTCATCTCTCTTCACAGAAGGCGAGCCTGGGGAGCCTTGAGCCTGCTACCAAGGCCCCCAGGACTGTTGCTGGCAGTGCCTGCCGCCTGCTTGGCAAGATGGTGGTGGTGCCATTGGCGGGATATTTACTGTGGTACTCTCTTAGGACCAGGCTTCCTGGGACCGGAAGGAATTGAGAGGCTGAGGCTTCTCTTCCTTCTCTGTGAAATAAAGGGGGTGACACCAGCTTAGGGATGTTGGAGACGATCTGCCTATTACGAAGATAGGAGTTATAAAGAAATACTTTTTAGGCAACTAGAAAGGAGTAAAAGGAATAAAGGAGTAAAGGTTCTCAGTGGAAATTTTCCTGTAATAAGAAGCAACTCCTGAACCATTTCTTTTCTAACCGAAAAGGCGGCTTAAAGAGCCAGGCCAGCAAGCTTTGATATGCAAATGTCGGCAATTAGAAACTAGGTCCACCCAACATGGCAATTCCTGCCCTCTTCTCCTTGTCACCACCTGTGCCAAGTGTCATGACCGCCTCCAGATAACTCATACATGTTCAGGACATCATGGCAGCTCACGTTTGCATATTAAAGGGCTAAGGTGGGAGGGCTAGATTTTTTGCGGGCTACTTGAATGTCACACCTGGTCAAACCAATCCCCTGGGCCCTATGCAAATCAGACCCCACCTCCTCCAGCCCCCCAATATAACCAACCACTTTTCCGCTGCACACCGGATTTCTCTTGGTTCAGACTCCCCTGGCCCCCTCCGCCGTATGGGGGAGCTGTTTTCTTCTTTCTACCAGGCACCATGCTTCACATATGCCTGGCATTTAGGAGATACTGTCTACAATTGTTAATTCTAAAGGGGTCTTAAGGCCCTCGCAGAGGCCAGTTAAACACTGCCCCATCACATCACACAGCTTCCTGCACACCCCCCTCAAGTTAGTTCAAAGTAGCTGGAACAATAGCAGACAACTGGAAACTTCTGTTAGGCTAATCCCTCTAAAAGTAATGGACTTGGGGCCAGATGTGGTGGCTCACGCCTGTAATCCCAGCACTTTCTGAGCCTGAGGTGGGCGAATCACCTGAGGTCAGGAGTTCGAAACCAGCCTGGCCAACATGGTGAAACCCTGTCTCTACTAAATATACAAAAATTAGCTGGATGTGGTGGCGGGCACCTGTAATCCCAGCTACTTGGGAGGCTGAGGCAGGAGAATCGCTTGAACCCAGGAGGTGGAGGTTGCAATGAGCCAAGATCGTGCCACTGCACTCCAGCCTGGGCAACGAGAGCGAGACTCCGTCTCAAAAAAGAAAAAAAAAGAAAGAAAGAAATGGACTTGGGCTGGGTGTGGTAGCTCATGTCTGTAATCCCAGCACTTTGGGAGGCCGAGGCAGCTGGATCACCTGAGGTCAGGAGTTTGAGACCAGCCTGGCCAACATGATGAAAACCCATCTCTACTAAAAATACAAAAAAAATTAGATGGGCATGGTGGTGGGCTCCTGTAATTTCAGCTACTTGGGAGGCTGAGGCAGAAGAATCGCTTGAACCCAGGAGGTGGAGGTTTCAGTGAGCCAAGATCGTGCCATTGCACTCCAGCCTGGGCAACAAGAACAAGACTCCATCTCAAAAGAAAAGAAAAAAAGAAAGAAATGCACTTGGGTTATTGTGAGGTGGGAGATCTACAAAGTATACTGAATTAGTCCAGACAAGGATTGAGTTCTCCACATTGAGAAAGAAAAAGACGAATAGCACAGTAGGAAATAGGCAAAGGGTATGAACAAAAAAATGTAGGGGAGGAATCCAGACTGGCCAGTGAATGTGTGGTGAGGGGTTCAGCCTCACCGGGGATATGGGAAACATTTACTCACAGTGAGGCACCGTTCACACCAGCAGACTGGCAGGTACTAAAGGTAACTCCATGCACTGCAGATATTCACGTGTGGCTGGGCTGTAGAGCAGCATTAGGCACATAGCCAAAGGTCCCAAGGGCCCACCCCAGCGGAGTCCCCTCCATCCCCTGCATAGGAGACTGCTCTGAACTTGGTGTGCATGGAGATGACCAGTATCTTTGAACTGTTAATCTGTGTGTATGTACCTACTGTTTGAAAAAAAAAAAAAAAAAAAAAAAAAAAAAAAAAAAGCAAAAACCAATGAGTCGAATGAAATTTCCTACTGAATTAGCTCCTAGGTGGGGCCTGGCCAGAGATCATGAGAATAAGAGCATTAATCCTTGCAGATGTTCATCCTGTCCAGTGGTTCCCAAACTTTTTGTGGGATCATTAATGAGTAGCTTTTCTTATTTCTGAAGAAGCCTCCTTGTCACTAGGAGGAGGGGGGGTCCCAGTGCCATCCCCAGCAGCCTTCTGATACTTTCCCCAAGGAGTCAATGGAGCTCCTGCCACCCTGCAGATTGGCCAACAGCATGAGATCTGCTGGTTGGGAACTTTGGCAATTTAAAACTTTTTGTGTGTGTGGCATATAGATATACATTAACAATATTTACCATTTTAACGTGTACAGTCTGTGGCATTAAATACATTCATGTTGTGCAACCATCATCACCATGATCTCCAGAACTTTTCTCATCATTCACAATTGGACACCTCTACCCATTAAACAGTAACTTCCCATTATCCCCTCTTCTGGCCTCTGACAGCTATTCTACTTTCTGTCATTAAGAATTTGACTACTCTAGGCTGGGCGTGGTGACTCACACCTGTAATCCCAGCACTTTGGGAGGCTGAGGTGGGCGGATCACCTGAGGTCGGGAGTTCAAGACCAGCCTGACCAACATGGAGAAACCCCATCTCTACTAAAAATACAAAATTAGCCAGGCATGGTGGCGCATACCTGTAATCCCATCTACTCGGGAAGGCTGAGGCAGGAGAATTGCTTGAACCTGGGAGGGGGAGGTTGAGGTGAGCCAAGATAGTGCCATTGTACTCTGGCCTGGGCAACAAGAGCAAAACTCCATCTCAAAAAAAAAAAAAAAAATTTGACTACTCTAAATACCTCCTATGAGTAGACGCCTACAGTATTTGTTTTGTGTCTTAGCATATTCTTAAAGGTTCATCCATGTAAGCATGCATCAGAATTTCTTCCCTTTTTAAAAGAGAGTTGACTGATATTCCATTGTGTATATATATATACCACATTTTACCTATCAGTTCATCTGTTGATAAGACACTTGGGTTGTTTCCATCTTTTGGCTATTGTGAATAATGTTCCTGTAAACATGAGTGTGCAAATATCTGTTCAAGTCCCTGCTGCAATTGTTTTTAAGACTTTGGGAAAGACATTTGGCCCAGCCCCTTGTTTTGCCATGAAGCCCAGAGGTAAGGGCTGCCCACAGCCAGGAACAGGACCCAGAAGCCAGGCCATGGCACTCCTGAGACTGTATTCTTTTGCAGTGACTTCCCGCTGCTGGGCTGAGGAGCCCCCCTCAGAGGCTGTGCATGTTGGATATAATTCTGCCCTTTCTCCTATTTATAGCTATGCCCTTTGCCTTCTGTACGAGAGAGAAGCTTCCTTGGACAGAATTTGCTGAGTCAGCAGAGGATGGGCCCACCACCAGATTCTGTCAGAAGGTAGGACATTAACGGTGCCTCTGGCAGCAGCTGCCAAATATGTGCAAGTCACAGAGCATGACCACAGCTGCCGGGTTTGGCCTTTCACCATGGAAAATGCACCCATTTGGTGCTTGTTTTGCCAGATAAGATTAGATAAGACTATCTGCCACTTTTTTTTTTAGCGTACTCTTAGAATTGGGGCGTGTAAGGCTCCAGAAGGGCCATTAGCTTTTTCAGGCAAGGGAGCTGCAGCCCAGGGAGGGTGGTCGGAGGTGACTTTTGTAGCAAGTCCCACAGCTGGCAAGTGGCAGAGCTGGCATTCAGGGACCAGAGAAGCCAGTTTCTCATCCAGAGCTCTGCATGCTCCACTGCAGTTTGCTTGAGTCACAGAAGCTTCGATGCATGGCCTGTGTCTCATCAGCATAGAAATTGGTTTTGATTTTTCTTCATTAAAACCTTATAATACATATTGTATGATCCCATTTATATAAACTGTCCAGAATAGGCAAATCCATAGAGACAGAAAGTAGATAAGTGGTGGCTAAGGGCTGGGGGTGAGGGAGGAAGGGAGTGACTGCTAATGGATACAAAGTTTCCGTTTAGGGTGATGAAAATGTTCTAAAATTAGATAGTGGTGAAGGTTGCACAACTCTGTGAATATCCTGAATACTACTGAATTGCACACTTCAAAAGAGTGACTCCTTGTTCTGCTGTTTCCCACCTCTCGCTACTGTACTTGACCAATCTTAAAGTGAATCTTATGCTCTGTGAATTATATATATATATATATATATTTTTTTTTTTTTGAGATGGAGTCTCACTCTGTTGCCCAGGTTGGAGTGCAGTGGCACGATCTCGGTTCACTGCAAGCTCTGCCTCCTGGGTTCACGCCATTCTCCTGCCTCAGCCTCCGGAGTAGCTGGGACTACAGGCGCCCGCCACCATGCCTGGCTAATTTTTTTTTGTATTTTTAGTAGAGACGGGGTTTCACCGTGTTAGCCAGGATGGTCTTGATCTCCTGACCTCGTGATCCGCCACCTCGGCCTCCCAAAGTGCTGGGATTATAGGCGTGAGCCACCGCACCTGGCCTGAATTATATCTTAATAAAACTGTTATCAGAAAACCCATGAGGTGACGAATGGTCATTTATCCTTATTTTCACCTCTAACACAATAACTCTTTTCATTTCTTTGTATTCTCTTTCAGGTTTTATACATATACTTAGGGGCTTTTGGGGCAGAGCTATAATCATGGTGACTTTATCAATACTCAGTTGTGATTCCAAACATCGATGTTCTCAGGCTGTAGGGGAAAAAAAAAAATCTCTCATTCACCAGGTTGTTGATTTCTTGCTATGGAAAAAAGAGGAAGGAGACTGGTTAGGGGACTTTTGCAGATGATAAGTCTGAGCCAGGGCTGGAGGAAGAGTGTGAAAGAGAGCTGGTGCCAGAGACACTCCGCCTCCACAGGGACCTGAGGCTGCCCTTAGCATGGCTCCTAGTGTTGCCTTCTGAGCATGCCTCTCCCCTATCCTGTTGTTAAGGCCAGAGATCATGACAGCTAATTAGAGTAGAGGACAAATGACCCGCTGGGCTGCTCATCCTGTGGTCACCAGGGACTGATGTTCTTACTTGAGACAAAAGGAATTTGATGCCAAAGAAATTTATTTTTGGCATAGATAAGTCGTTTGATTATTATTTTTATTCTTTTTTCAAGTGGTAAAATATACATATAAAATGTACTATTTTAACCACTTTTAAGTGCACAGTTCAGTAGTGTAAAGTATATTCACACTGTGCGGATCTCCAGAATTTTTGCATCTTGCAAATCTGACTCTGTCCCATTAAACAATAGCTCCCCATTCCCCCAGCCCCTGGCAACCACCGTTCTATTAATATTATAGTTTCCATTTCTGTGAGTTTGACTACTCTAGATACCTTACACAAGTGGAATCATACAGTATTTGTCTTTTTGGGACTGGCTTATTTCATTTAGCATAGTATCATCAAGGTTCATCCATGTGTAGCGTAGAACCGTGGCATCTAAGGCTGAATGATACTCCATTGTATGGATGTGCCATGTTTCATTTATCCATTCACCCATTGATGGGCACTTGGTTGGCTCCCACCTCTTTGCTATTGTGAATAATGCTGCAATGAATATGCGTTTGCAAATCTCTTCTGCTTTCAATACTTTTGGATATATACCCAGGATTAGGATTGCCAGATCAAATGGTAATTCTTGTTTAATTTTTTGAGGAACTCCCATATGGTTTTCCAGAGCAGCTGCACCATTTTACTCTACCACCAACTGTGTACAGGACAATGTGATTCTTATTTAGCAAAGCATGGACATCAGGGTATTTAGTGTTCCAAACAACAAATGCAAGTGGTTGCTCTGACCCAAGCCTATTGATTTAGTAGGATCATTCTTCTTTGATAAAAAACTACAACAATTGGTTTATAAGTGGGACTCTGCCATATTTATCATTTTTCCAGCTGGCGAAGAACCATGACATGGTGGTGGTGTCTCCCATCCTGGAACGAGACAGCGAGCATGGGGATGTTTTGTGGAATACAGCCGTGGTGATCTCCAATTCCGGAGCAGTCCTGGGAAAGACCAGGAAAAACCACATCCCCAGAGTGGGTGATTTCAACGAGGTGAGCCACCCATAAGATAGATAACCAGCCCTGCTCACTTGCCCCTCTGTATGTTGTAGATCTCTGTGGGACTTTCTGTGGGGAAGTTCTGTGCAGGATCATACTCCATGTCACGTACACTCCACGGGAGCACAGTGTGGCTGCAGTGCTCAGAGGGTTACCTGACATTGCCCTATATCACACAGGCAGACAGGATTCAGGCGGGACTCTCAGAGGAGTCCCAAACACCTTTAGCACAATGGGGCATATATTTTTTTAATACAACCTGATTTGGCCTCCTGAATTCTTTGAAGTAAGTGGTATATAAATTAAAACCAAAACTAAATATTGCACAAACATGAAATGATTCCTGTGGCCCCTTTCAGGCTCAGAGCCTAGCACGCCACAGCCCTGTCCTTGTTTGGAGCATGGCATTCCTTGTCTGTGGATCATGGGGGGGTCTGAGGTGGCCCATGTTTGTGTGTCAGGTGGCAGTAGGCAAACATGCATGTCTGTATACTGTGCATTATGTGAAGTTTCATGTGCCCATGATCAGGGCATAAGTTGGGGGGGCCATTTTGGTTGGTTAATGCCAACCCCTGGGTGGGTAAGATGGGAGCGGTGGATGTTTGAAGGAGGGAAATGACCTCTGCCTAATGCCTAAGATGTTAAATCTGAACTTGATTTGCCATTAATGCAGTTGTTCAGGATGTGATGTCCCCAGTTCTCTCTCCATGAATGTGGGGGTCCTGGCCGTTCTCAGGCTGGTCAGGCAGATAAGAAATGGCCTGCAGAGCTAGAGGAGGTTTCCCAGGGAGAAAGAAGAACCCAGCGTTTCTCAGTAACAGCTGGAGGTGGGGGTGGGAAGACGCGCCCCTCACCTGTTTACCCTGGGATTAATCTTTAGCTCCCTGCAGATAGCACAGGGCTTGTCTCAGCACAGCAGGATCTGCTCCGGTGTTCACCACGTGCACACATCCTGGTTGCTGCCTGACCCTGGCCAATTTTGATGGCCAGGATCAGGAGGAGGTGGAAGGCTCCTGGAGCAGATCTGTTTGGGACCCTGATTTGCCCTCTAGCTTCCCTCAGTGCTGTCCAGGACAGTGTCCCTGCCCTGGCACCCTTAGGAGCAGACAGAGAAGCAGGGATGGGAGGATGGGGTCTGGTCCGCCTGCCCCACAGGGACCTCCTTAACCCTAGGCAGGATGGAGAAGGTGCGCTTTCAGGGTGTGGGTTCCACTAGAAGCTTTGGCCTTAATCATTTGGGCGAGCTATGCCCCCTCAGGAAGCAGCTTTCTCCTCTGACCAGGGAGAGAGTTGCTTGGATGTGCTCCAGGTCTCCGGGCTCCACCGTTCTATATAATGACATGTGATTGCTGAGGGCATTGACCAACTCGTGTTAATGCCAACCAAACCCGAGCCTTGAGTTGGACCATAATTGAAACCTCACCAGAGTTTGAAATAGTGTGGAACGTCATTGTGGGGATTTTTGTGACATGTCAGAAAGGAGACTGGGCAAATGCTTAAGCCACTGTGATTTCCCCCGGGGGCTGGCTTATTTGGTGTCAGGGTTTTTTTGTGTGTGTTTTGTTTTTATCATATTGAAATTCTGGAACTTAGAGTCACACTCAGGAGTGTAACCACCTCTGGACTATTGGTGATATTTCAGTTTTTCTGCTGAGTCTAAGGAAATCTTGAAGGTCAGAGGCATCAGTATATGGCCCTTTGCTTTTCAGTCAACTTACTACATGGAGGGAAACCTGGGCCACCCCGTGTTCCAGACGCAGTTCGGAAGGATCGCGGTGAACATTTGCTACGGGCGGCACCACCCCCTCAACTGGCTTATGTACAGCATCAACGGGGCTGAGATCATCTTCAACCCCTCGGCCACGATAGGAGCACTCAGGTCACTCAGTTGGTGGGGTCTGGGGGGCTTCCTGGGGCCCAGCCAGCTAAAGCCCAAGGCTGGGCTGTGGAGCTCCAAGGTGGCAGCAGGCAGGCGCAGCCACCAGGATGTTAACAGAGCTGAGCCCCCAGGATTGCATGTTGTACATGTGACCAGCTTTTCAGTGAAAAGAATCCTCAAGATGGCAATGAGCAATCCCCCACCCGCAGCAAGAGCTGCTCTACAGTAAAACACCAACCTCTGCTGTGATTCTGAACACTGAGATGAAAATAATTCCCCCCTTTCCCTGTAGTCAGCAGGGGGCTTCAAAAAGCCCCACATTGGGCTGAGCTCGGTGGCTCACACCTGTAATCCCAGCACTTTGGGAGGCCGAAGCAGGTGGATCACTTGAGGTCAGGAGTTTGAGACCAGCCTAGCCAACGTGGTGAAACCCTGTCTCTACTAAAAATACAAAAATCAGCCAGGCGTGGTGGTGTGTGCCTGTAGTCCCAGCTACTCGGGAGGCTGAGGCAGGAGAATCACTTGAACTTGGGAGGCGGAGGTTGCAGTGAGCCAAGATGGCACCACTGCACTCCAGCCTGGTGATAGAGCGAGACTCCATCTCAAAAAATAAAACAAAACAAAACGAAAAAACAAAAAAGAACCCCCACATCTAAGTCCTTGGAGCATAGTAGGTGCCTAGCCAGCATTGGCTCTTGGATGGGGAACTGTGGATTCCTAGTCCTCACATCTGCAGCATCCTGCACAGGCAGGACAGACATCTGGACAAGAGAAGCTGCAAATGAGGGAGTTGGAGATCAGTCGAGGAAACTTGTCTTTAACCAGAGAAGGGTTTTATTTTTATAACACATAACAAGTGTTTCGGTGTTAGCCTCACCCCTAAACAGATAGAACTGCCCTTGTCAAGGCAGGGCTGGGGGATGAGGGGAGGGTGGCCCCGGAAGCCCGAGAACTGGGCAGTACCCCACCCCTGGGGCCCCTCATTTAGGAGGGGCATCCAGCGAGCTGATCTGACTGCATGACTCTGCTGCTGCTGCCTCTCTCTTCCACAAAGGCTGAGCATTTGGGTGGTTTCCAGTTTTGCATCACTACAAGTAACAGAACTCTAGGAATTTATGTGCAAATACTTTTCTCCCCAACTCACTTCTTTCCAAGCAGGATTCCTGCAGCAGGAGGTGCTGGCTTTCACTTTCTGTGGTCTTGGCTGCCAGTGTCCCCAGCAGGACAGGGGTGTGCCCTGTCCTGCCATGGGTGGGGAGCAGGGGGAGTTCTGGTGGGTGTGCAGCTTTAGTCTCTGTCAGCCTGCACTTGTCTCTCTTGTCCTCATTCTTGACTAAATTTCAGTTGAATTTCTTCTTTTTTTTTTTTCTTTGAGACGGAGTCTTGCTCTGTCACCCAGGCTGGAGCGCAGTGGCGCAATCTTGGCTCACTGCAAGCTCCGCCTCCTGGGTTCACGCCATTCTCCTGCCTCAGCCTCCCAAGTAGCTGGGACTGCAGGCGCCCGCCACCATACCTGGCTAATTTTTTGTATTTTTCGTAGAGATGGGGTTTCACCGTCTTAGCCAGGATGGTCTCGATCTCCTGACCTTGTGATCCACCCACCTTGGCCTCCCAAAGTGCTGGGATTACAAGCGTGAGCCACTGCCCCCGGCCAAATTTCAGTTGAATTTCTTCTAAACGTCAGGGTGTGACATTTACCTTTTCTTTTCATACAGTGCCCCTTTCTCAAGAGTAATATCCCCTCCCCATTCAACATTTATTTACATAGCAGGTTCCTTCTGGAGCCAGAATGCAACCCCTCCTCTGTTACCTCAGGTCTACCACCCTGCCCATGTACCTGGAGGTCTGGTCCATGTCCAGGAGGGGTACTGTTGGGTAGAAGGGGAATATCAGGCCTCCATCTCCCCTCAGAGAACATACTGGAGTCTCATGGTGGTCAGATCACCAGTGATAGCATTCATTGGTGGTTGTCAGTAGGGTTTTTACTGGTCATCCAGCTACCAGGCCTGGGCAGAACTTTGGGGCCACCCCCTAAAGCAGCCCCCTCTGCTGGCTCTGGGTAAGACACTTGGCAAGCTCCATCTTCCCACTGGGGTCCCTAGAGGAACCCGAAGCACTAGGGCATCTGGCTTCTGGGCCAGGGCAGACAAAGTTGTGGCTGTGGACTCAGATGGCTCCTCGCCTTGTGTGTGCAGAGGCCCTCCCTGACCCTCCTATCTCAGGCTTTTATTGGCTCCAGTTAGGCAAACAGAAGCACCCCAGTGTAATATGCATATAATTGCTATGTCCTCAGCAGCCTATTAGGCTTATTAAAAATGATTGATTTTTCTTTCCTCAGCCAAGAATCATCCAACCCTTGGCTTTCCAGGGTGTGGTGAGGCTGGCAGTAAAAACTAACAGGTCTTTTGGAAAGCAGTATGTTTCATGAGCTCCTAAAATGCTCATGCCCTTTGGCCTGATAATGATGCTCCTAGAACTGTAGCCTGAAGAAACAATCTAAAAGAGGAGGGAAGGCCAGGCACAGTAGCTCACATTTGTAATCCCAGCCCTTTGGGAGGCCAAGGCTGGCGGATCACTTGAGGTCAGGAGTTTGAGACCATCCTGGCCAACATGGTGAAACCTCATCTCTACTAAAAATACAAAAATTAGCCGGGCATGGTGGCAGGCACCTGTAGTCCCAGCTACTTGGGAGGCTGAGGCAGGAGAATCGCTTGAACCTAGCAGGTGGAGGTTGCAGTGAGCTGATATTGCACCACTGCGCTCCAGCCTGGGTGACAGAACAAGACAGAAAAAAAAAACAGGGAAAGGCAATGCATGTGAAGGTGCTCACAACAGCTTACTTACAATAAGGGAAAAGCTGACAGCGGGGGAAGTGTCTGAGCTAAGCACATTACAGCCCACCTCTTCCACAGGTTATTGTACAGCCACTATAAAGAGTCATGATGAAGGTAATGCAAAGTGATGAAAGCCTGTGAGCAAGAAAAAGACGTGTTCAGGCTGTGGTCAGAACTCTTGGAAAAAAAAGGAAAAAAAAGTTTGCCTATGGATGAGGATAGTCATGGAGTGTGGATAAAAGGCAACAGGTGGTTTATTAAGATGGTAGGATCCTGGCTTGTTTTCTTAAAATGATGAATGATGGAATTGATAGTGTTTTTCAGCATAATGCTGGGCAAATCCCCACCAGCATTGGATCACAGCATCCAGAACCATCCATCCCCTTTTCTGGCACCTTCTGCCGCCTGTATTAGAGACAGACATACACATGTGCATGCACACACATGGGTCAGCAGGGTGTCCTCATTCATTTTTGAGTCCCACAGTTCTAAGTACATAGTAGTGTCTGAATGCTTTTGATTAGGTTATCCTCATAATCCAAGGATGTGTCCCTTACAGCTTGGGTGACCAAAGATTTCTACCACCTGTGTACATTCATTGGCAAGTCACCATCCTATCCTCTTGCTGCATCTTGCCTTTCCACTGCGATTATTTTTAGGGGTGTGTGTGCACCGCGCTGGGAATATGGCAAACGTCCCCACTCCCCATCAGACGTCATGATTCCTGCACACACTGGGCTCTCACTAACCCCAGCTTCCTTTCCCCTGGTGGTTTTGAGAGCATAAATTTTATTTCCAGCTGTGGGTTTGGGTCCTATGCAGAACACCTCCCTGGAGAATTGCAACTAAGATGTTTATGGCAATCGCCCTGCAAGTGTCTATTTAATTCCTGAAAATGTCATTTACTGGTGTGTTTCTGTAAAAATCATTTCTGAAAAGTTTTGTCAGCTTGGCTTAGCAGCTGGGGGAAAAAAGCAGCAAAATGAGTCCCCTCAATCAAGCCTGTGATTTTTTATTTTTTCAGACTCATGAATCCTCCTGAGAATTAGGCTTATGACAAGCACCCACCCCCTCCACCTACTCCCTGGTTTAAACCAGGTGCCTGCTGACACGAAGGAAGATTCCGGGGCATTTTGATCCTAGTCACACAGTGTTTCTAAGTGGGCATTACTCCTGTCAATCCACAGTCTTAAAGATGTTCCTCAGACAAAAGATAATTAGTGACAAGAAGGCCCACTAGATTCCATGTCATATCTTAGTTGGCGGGCCAGAGAAGGACAGGGTCTCTGGTTGGGGCCGTGTCTCCCATCGCATTCTCCCTTTGCAGGTGCTGAAGTGAGGAAGGCCCACAGCTCAGCCAAGCACATGGGGTGCCTCCCTCCTGGGCCACTAGCCCACTGGCCAGTAAGAGAACCAGGGAGCCTTTACTTAGAGACTCAAGGTTCAGAAGAGGGAAATGGGAAGTCACTGGGAAATGGCCCAGCTTGGAGGAGGTGACCCTGCTGCCGAATCTGACCCCTTATCCTATTACCTAAGTTCCTTTCTTGTTTACTGGCCCTGAAATCACCCGCTTTGGAGATTGCCTTGCAAGGCAGCATAGCAGAGTAGGAGAGTTAGGGTAGGGCAGGTACAGCCTGTGCTCAGCCCTCACAGGCCCTGCACAAGCCCACCAGGCCCCCGGCTCCCTTCTGGCATTCACCAGGAGAGGTTCTGCCCAGCCCAGCAGGTGGGTTCCAGGAGAAGGGATGGAGGTGGGAAGTGGTGGTTATGGAACTCCTACCACTTGGATCTTCACCTGCATGGTCATTCAGTCTTCATAGTCTTCTTTTGAGGACATTTCAGAAAAGGAAACTGAGGCTCAGGATGAGGATTTGATCCAGGGCTGCTAATTCTTCTGACAGAGCACAGCCACGTGGCTTATGCCTGCAGCAGGCCCTTCCCAAAGGCTGTTCAGGCCAGGGCAAGGTGCTGAGGACAGGCTGGCCTGGTTGCAGGTTTGGGGTGTGACCGGTGAGTCTCCTGGTTGTCCCCACCACTGGCCCAGGAAAGCCTGCAGCCAGGCCAGGCTCTGTCCCCACCACTGGCCCAGGAAAGCCTGCAGCCAGGCCAGGCTCAGGGCTGAGCATCCACTGAGTCTGCCTGGAAAGTCGGCAACCTGGTTCCTCTTGGTCCTCTCTTACAGCGAGTCCCTGTGGCCCATCGAGGCCAGAAACGCAGCCATTGCCAATCACTGCTTCACCTGCGCCATCAATCGAGTGGGCACCGTAAGTCCCGAGGTCTGGCTGGGGAGAGGAGCCACCACCTGGTGGCTCTGGTGGGGACACCCCGTTCCCTCTGCACACATGCCACAAATCCTAGGGTCCGGAAAGGGGTAAAACTGGCTTGGTCCGTTACTTTTCAAGATATCTCTGTCCTCCTGTTTTTTCTGTTTTTGTATTTGGCTGAAGCCCTTTTGAAAAGATCTTTGACATGGCAGTTCTCACCCTATCACCTCCAAGTATCCAGTTTATTTTCCCCATTGACCCCATACACTTAACAGTTTTGACTGCCAAACAGAATGCACTTATTATATCTCTTCCTCATCCTTATTAATCAGATAGCAAACTCTAATCAGAAGATCTTTTCAGTCTGAGATAACCAAGGTTTCTACACTAAGTCTATCTGACTTCTAGCAGCATAAAGAAACCTGATGTTTTGGCTGGGTTTGGTGGCTCATGCTTGTAATCCTAACACTTTGGGAATCCGAGGCTGGCAGATCACCTGAGGTCAGAAGTTTGAAACCAGCCTGGCCAGTGTGGCAAAACCCTGTCTCTACTAAAAATATAAAAATTAGCAGGGCAGGCTGGCACGTGCCTGTGATTCCAGCTACTCAGGAGGCTGGGGCACGAGAATAGCTTGAACAAGGAGGCAGAGGTTGCAGTAAGCCAGGATCGCGCCACTGCACTCCAGCTTGGGTGACAGAGTGAGACTCTGTCAAAAAAAAAAAAAAAAAAAAGGCCAGGTGCGGACGCTCATGCCTGTAATCCCAGCACTTTGGGAGACCGAGTCGGGTAGATCACCTGAAGTCAGGAGTTCCAGACCAGCCTGGCCAACATGGAGAAATCCTGTCTCTACTGAAAATACAAAAAATTAGCCGGGCGCGGTGGTAGGCGCCTGTAATCCCAGCTACTAGGGAGGCTGAGGCAGGAGAATTGCTTGAACCCGGGAGGTGGAAGAGCCGCGGTCGCATCATTGCACTCCAGCCTGGGCAACAAAAATGAAACTCCGTCTCCAAAATAAATAAATAATTAAATAAATAAATAGAAAAGAAACCTGATGTTTTAGTTAGCCTATGTAACCCCATCACAGGTTGATGTACAGTTTCCATTAGGTTCTGGAGGAAATACTGAAAGCAGTGTGTGTACCTGCCCACTGCCTTCACACACCCCGGCCTGGGGTTTTAATTACTTCAAGCAGGCCAGCCTCAGGTGCCCACAGCCCTGAGAACCAGTCTGTGCCCAGTTTCTTTCTCTTCTCTCAGATTATGAACTCCCCAAAGGCACCATCCAGGTTTTTACCCCGCTTGTCAAATTCCCCTCTGGCCCAGGGCTGGCTGCTCAGCAGGAGTGTTTAATAAGCACTTAATTGCCCGGTGAGTACAGACCATTCCAGCTCACCTTAACTGTTTCCTGGCTGACTCGCCTCTCGGCCTGATTGCCCTGCTCATCTGGCTGAGTGAGCTGGAATGAGTGTAGTGGTAGTGCCACCTATAGGTTCCTCTTACCTTGGTCTTATTTCACAGGAGCACTTCCCGAACGAGTTTACCTCGGGAGATGGAAAGAAAGGTATGTCCCATGAACCATGGTGGCTGCAGTTGAGGAGTGGGCCTTCCTCTCCCCTTCTCTGTCTGCTTCCTCCAGTCAGGATCTGCCACACAGATCACATCTGCATGCCTGGCACCTAGGAGGAGGCGCCAATTCCTCTCTGCTTTATTGCCTGCAGTGTGGGAATCGGGCTGTGGCTGGGGTGTGGATAGGCAGTCCTGAGCTTGAGGAGTGGGTTGGACTCCATCCATTCCCCGGGACTGGTGTGAAGATGAACCAAGAGGATGTGGGGGATCCTCTGTGAGCTCTCTGAAAGGGAGAGGTGCTCTCATCCAGCCCATAGATCTCCCTTTCCACTTTCCTTTGTCCTTGTCCCCCCTCCCCTTGCCCAAACCAGCTGTACTGATGCCACAGGGCATTGGCATGGATGGCCCTGGGTTTCTAGAGTCCATGGCTTGTTTTGATCCAAGGGCATATACCACCTCACCTCTGCTAAGAACCCTAAAGACTCCTTTCCCATGTCTCTGGCCAAGAATGAGGGAGGTAGGGACTGCCCCCCTCACCAAGGAGGTATCTGAACCTTGGTGAGGTAGCTTGGACACTTGGAGGTAGCTCAGAGTGTCCTCTAGAAAGCCAGGAGGAGGCCAGGCATGGTGTCTCATGCCTGTAATCCCAGTACTTTGGGAGGCTGAGGCGGGCGGATCACCTGAGGTTGGGAGTTTGAGGCCAGCCTGACCAACATGGAGAAACCCAGTCTCTACTAAAAAAAAAAAAAAAATACAAAAAATTAGCCGGGCATGGTGGCCCATACCTATAATCCCAGCTACTCAGGAGGCTGAGGCAGGAGAATTGCTTGAACCCAGGAGGTGGAGGTTGTGGTGAGCTGACATCGCACCATTGCACTCCAGCCTGGGCAACAGGAGGGAAATGCCACCTAAAAAAAAAAAAAAAAAAAAAAAATGCCAGAAGGGGCTGAGCGAGTCTGTTTTCCAGGAAAACACTTCCTGAAAGGGTCCCAGATGCCGCCATTTCAGGTCCCCCGACTTCTAGAGTCCCTGATCCTAGTTAACTTACTGCAAATAGAGATGCAGAAAGGGCAGGGGAATGAGCGTCCACTGGGTGCCTGCTGCATCTGGGCCATGCTAGGCCCTGCCCAGCCCCACCTGCTCCTTACACATGTGTGGGGTGGCTGCTAGTCCTCCCTGACTGGTGAAGGGACCAAGGCCTGGAGGGAGGATAAGGGTGACGCAGCTGGCAAGGCAGATGAAGGCAGAGCCTCCAGCTCACTGTGAGGGCCCCCATAGGAAGCCCCCAGAGTGTGACTTTCTGTTTTCCTTAGGCTGTGGGTAGAAGTGACACCTCTCAGAAGGGTGACATTTAGACATTTCCCCAGGGGCAAAGGGAAGCAGCATAAGGGGGCCATTTGCAGCAATTTGCTGGGCCTTCAGGCCTGAGATGAGAGACAGGCCTTTTGGGCCTCAGCATTTGGCAGACACTGGGGAGGATGGCATGGACTCCGTGTCCTGGGCCTGCCTCAAGGTGCCTGACCCTCTGTGGAGCCCACAGTGCATCTACACAAGCTCACAGATGTGTTTCTTTGTTCCTTTAAAGCTCACCAGGACTTTGGCTACTTTTATGGCTCGAGCTATGTGGCAGCCCCTGACAGCAGCCGGACTCCTGGGCTGTCCCGTAGCCGGGATGGACTGCTAGTTGCTAAGCTCGACCTAAACCTCTGCCAGCAGGTGAATGATGTCTGGAACTTCAAGGTAGGTCCCCAGGACCCCTGTTGTTGCCTGCTCCTCTGCTTTGGCCCTCATCCTGCTCTCAGGAACTGCTGTTGCGGGGTTGCCCATGGCAGCATGAGGTACCAGCTCCCACCTGAGGGCTCTGTGTGAGCTGAGGGCTGAATCTCTGCCTCCTTGCTGGCTCCCGGGAGGAACAGTTGGGTCAAACAATGTACAAGCAGCAGGCTGCAATAAATTCTCCTCTCATCTGATTTAGATTCTGGGTGCCTTCAGACAAATTAATCTCAATTTCATTTGTCCAGAGAATAGAATGGATTGGCTCCTCTAATCCTTTTTCCTTTCCAGGCATTTGCACTTATCACAAGATAAATATGCATGTCTGGTTCTGCTTGTGGCCAGTCCCTGCAGTCTAGGCCTTGACGATAGCAGGAAATGGGTCATGCAGAGAAATGGAATCTAGGCCTGGCTCTGCCACAGCCTTCCTTCCTTGGTCACCTTAATTAAGCCCCTTGTGCTCCCAAGCCTTAGTACTCCCAGTTGTAAAATACGGGGCTTAACTCGAAGGTCCCATGCTGGCTTTGACACCTAATGCCCTGTGATGTCAGGAGTCAGAGGAATGGAGATGTCTGCCCTCCTGGGATGGGACTCCACCCTAGAAAGGCTCACAGCTTCAGAGTTTGCTGTATTAGTGTCCGAAAGTATTTCCACCAACTCAGCACCCCTTTTTCTTTTTTGGTGGAGTAGGGGGCATGGAGACAAGGTCTTGGCTCTGTCATCTAGGCTGGACCAATGGCACAGCCATAGATCATGGCAGCCTTGACCTCCTGGGCTCAAGCCATCCTCCCACCTCAGCCTCCCGAGTAACTGGGACTATAGGCGTGCACCACCACCACACCCAGCTAATTTTTAAAATTTTTTATAGAGACCGAGTCTCACTATGTTGCCCAGGCTGGTCTTGAACTCCTGGCTTCAAGCAATCCTCGCACCTCGGGCTCCCAAAATACCAGGATTATAGACATAAGCCACTGTGCCCTGCCTCAGCAACCTTTTATAAGCAAATTGTATATGCAAATGTCCATTGTTATAACTGACTTTGCCCGGTGTGACTAAAAGACCACCAGGGCCTCTAATCCACCCAGACATGGGCTTTTGGCCTTGATCCTGTTTTCTGAGCATGGGTTCCTCAGTCTCGGATCCTTGTCAGACAAACAAGGTATTGGGCATGAGAGAGTCTCCTGACCTCTCTCTCCTCTTCCTGGGCAACTAGGATGAATGTAGGATTCCACCCAAATCAGAAGGGAGCCAAGAATGCTGGCCAACTCTTTTTAATAAGTATCCCAGGAGCAGTAAACCAAATGTTTTCTCATTAGACACTTCTTAGAAGCAGAAGCCTTCCCAACTTTGGTAATGGGCCTGAGCTCCTGTCAAGGCTTTTGGGAGTAATCCACCTTGGGAAAGGAGGGAGGGAGGGAGGGTGTGCTGGGTGTGAGCACTGTGGGTGGGCTTTCCAACTCCACCAGCCTCTGTATCCACGATGAGATGCCACATGGAGTAGACAGAACTCCAGGCCCATCCAGGAGCCCCTGGTTCAAATCCCAGCCTTTTCTACAACTGGCTAGTGACCTGGAGCAGGTCACTCCTCTCTGGGCTGTAGGATGCTCTTCTGGGGAGCAACAGGACCACGGGACTCCCCTTCTCCATCCTGCCTCAGCAGACCACACTTTCTGGATAGACAGGTCGAAGGGGTCACAGCAGCCAATGCTGGGCTGTATGAGTCATTGTAGCATCTGTGAACTTTGCCACAGTACTAGAATCAGTGCCAAGAGGTCACTGTCAACGAGCCTTCCTGATGCGTTCCTGCCCCATGACTGCCCTCCAGTGGCAAGAGGTGGTGGCGTGTAAGTGATGGGGATTTATAAAACCAGAACCTCTAAAGTACATCTGTGTTTTGCTTTCAGATGACGGGCAGGTATGAGATGTACGCACGGGAGCTCGCCGAAGCTGTCAAGTCCAACTACAGCCCCACCATCGTGAAAGAGTAGCCGGCTTCAGTGCCTGCCTTGGGGTGAGGAAGACACCTCTGCCCCAGTGGATTAGCAAGTGTGGCAGGCTTAACATGTCCAGGTTCTCCCCAATAACATTGTCCAGGTTGGTTTTAAAATTCCCAGGCAGGGGGAGAGTGGCATGGGGAGTGACTTCTTAATGGGTAAGGGGCTGCTTACTTCTGGGGTATTGGAAATGTTTGGGGACTAGGTAGAGGTGAATGTACTAAATGCCACTGAATTTGTATACTTCAGAATGTTTGTTATGTAAATTTTACCTCAACTAAAAAAAAAAATGCCCAGGTACTGCTTGTGCAGGTGGATTTGAGGTTAGGCAGATGATGCTGTCCATCCCGTACACCAGTGGGAAGAGGGTGAGGGCTGATCCAGAGACCCTGAGCCTACAGCAAGGCTGTGGTGGGTCGGATGGTCTTTGGATGTGTCAGCTTAGCTAGGCCACAGTCACCAGTAATTCAATCAGACACTAATCTAGGTATTTCTGTGAAGGTATTTTGTAGATGTGACAGAAGTCCATTCCCAATTGACTAAGTAAGTGAGATTATCTCAGATAATCTGGGTCAGCCTGACCTGATTAGTCAGAAGGCCTAAAGAACAGAGCTAAGGGTTTCCCTGAGGAAGAAATTCTGCCTGAGGACAGCAGCCCAGTGCTTGGCGAGAGTTCCTGACAGTCTGCCCTTCTGATAGCCTGCCTCACAGAGTTTAGACATGACTAGCCAGCTCCTACAATCACTGAAGTCAATTCCTTGCAATAAATCTCAATATATCCCCTACTGGTTCTGCTTCTCTAGTTGAATCTGACTGATACAGATTTTGGTGCCAAAAGTGGTTCTAGAAAAATAGAATCTTAAAGATGAGTTTTCTGCATTGGTTCTGGATTTTTTTAGAATTCTTCCCTAGTTTGATTGAACTTAAAGGCATCAATGACTCTATTTCCATAGAGTCAGGGTAAAGAGGGTAGTTGGTAGTCCATGGCATGGTGCAGCAATAGTTATTTATGTGCGAGACTAGCCATCAGCCATCAGTTTGTGCCCAGAGTTCCAGCCTGCCCTTTCTGATGGCTTGTCCTGTGGATATCAGACTTGCCTGACCAGATTCCATCATCATAGAAGGTAATTTGTTGCACTAAATCCTTTTATATCTCTATCCATCACCTACTAATTCTGCTAGTTCTGCTAATGTGGTTGAGCTCCATTTTACACATCAGATTACTCACTTCTCTACACCTTGGTTTTTACATCTGTAAAATGGGACTGGGCCAGGTGTGGTGGGGTGGCTTATGCCTGTGATCCCAGCACTTTGGGAAGCCAAGGCAGGTGGATCACTTGAGGTCAGGAGTTCAAGACCAGCCTGGCCAACACGGCGAAACCCCGTCTCTACTAAAAATACAAAAATTAGCTGGGCATGGTGGCGCATGCCTATAATCCCAGCTACTCAGCAGGCTGAGGTATGAGAATTGCTTGAATCTGGGAGGCAAAGGCTGCAGTGAGCTGAGATCACGCCACTGTGCTCCAGCCTGGACAACAGAGTGAGAGCCTATCTCCAAAAAAAAAAAGGGGTGGGGACCATATTCCTGCTTTATGTCAAGACACTGGTAAGAGACAGACTAGATGGGCCAGGGAGCCCCTTGGCAGTTATCAGTGCAGCGCCTATTTAGCCCTGTCCCTGAACAACACGGCAAGAGCCCAACCTGCCAAGTCTCAAATAGCAGTTAACCAGAGTATCGGGTTGGAGGTGGGGTTGAGATTCTGTAATTCCCCGCTTATTGTTCCCAATCAGAGAAGGCAGCCAGAGAAGGCAGCTTCATCCCTTCACTGGCCCAGCAGCTGAACTATATGGAAACCTCCATGTCAGGGCTAGGGTACTCCTGGACAGCCACCAAGGATGAGAAACCCTGATGGAGCTGCCTGGCCACAGCTCTGCGGTAACTTCCTTGAACTCTCTGTGCTGCAGGTTTTCACTTTACCTAATGGCCCTTCTTGCACCTTTAAAAAAAAAAAAAAAAAATTCCAGTCCTACAGACACAGTGAGCTTTTTTGCCTGTTCCTTTAGCTTTCAAAATTTAGTGTCAGCCAAGGCGGGCAGATCACAAGGTCAAGAGATGGAAACCATCCTGGCCAACATGGTGAAACCCCATCTCTACTAAAAATACAAAAATTAGCTGGGTATGGTGGCGCACGCCTGTAGTCCCAGGTACTCAGCAGGCTGAGGGAGGAGAATCACTTGAACCCGGGAGGCGGAGGTTGCAGTGAGCCGAGATCACACCACTGCACTCCAGCTTGGCGACAGAGTGAGACTCCGTCTCAAAAAACAAAACAAAACAAAACACCTTAGTGTTTTTGGTTTCTAGAGGGTGTAATCAACCTAATACAGAAGCCAGCTTAGGTGACAAATTGGTACATTTGTGAAACAGGCATGAATAAATGGACCACAACTCTTTGATTATCTGCAACTCTCATTGCCTGGAAACAGAACAGTCAGGCCCATCTTAGAGTATGCAGGCCCTGTACAGCCAAGGTCATTTCAAGGTTTAACTCATCCCTGGAACATGCAGATGCTCAGTAAACATTTGAATGAATCTGTGGTGGAGGTTTTTGCTTCCTGGTGATCATTGCTGATGCTACAGGGCAGTCTCTCAGACAAGAAATTGCAGTGGTTCAGTGTACATGGCCTGCAGGCCTGTGGGCCCCTGTGCAATCTTGGATGAAGCCTTCTGACCCCTCAGTTTTCTCACCGGTAAGATAACAGGTGGCTGGGCTCAAGAATTTCTCCCTAGAAATTCTCAGTTCTGGAAGGCCACCTTCCTGCCAGGCTATAGCTTTATTGCCGGAATCTGGGGTGGAGTAGGTGAACTTCAGTGTGCCCAAAAGAAAAAAAGGAGGCTGTGCACAGTGGCTCACATCTGTAATCCCAGCACTTTGGGAGGCTGAGACAGGGGGATCACTTGAGCTCAGGAGTTGAAGACCAGCCTGGACAACATAGACCTTGTCTCTATAAAATTTAAAAAAAATTAATAGGAAAAAAAGGGCTAAGGCATTATTAAATATAAACCAGACCACGTATTAGACCACAAAAAATTCCCAGTAAACTTAAAGATTAAAATCATAAAAGTGTATTTTCCCATCACAATGGAACAAAACTAGAAATCAGTAGTTGAAAGTTTTAAAAATTAAACAATGGCCGGGTGCGGTGGCTCACGCCTGTAATCCCAGCACTTTGGGAGGCCGAGGCAGGTGGATCCCAAGGTCAGGAGATTGAGACCATCCTGGCTCACACAGTGAAACCCCATCTCTACTAAAAATACAAAAAATTAGCCAGGTGTGGTGGCAGGTGCCCGTAGTCCCAGCTACTCGGGAGGCTGAGGCAGGAGAATGTGAACCTGGGAGATGGAGCTTTCAGTGAGCCAAGATTGCCCCACTGCACTCCAGCCTGGGAGACAGAGCAAGACTCCATCTCAAAAAAAAAAAAAAAAAAATTAACACACTTTTTGTTTTCTGAGACAGAGTCTTGTTCTGACACAACTGTGGCTCACTGCAATCTCCGCCTCCCAGGTTCAAGTGATTCTCGTACCTCACCCTCCCAAATAGCTGGGACTACAGGCACATGCCACCATGCCTGGCTAATTTTTGTATTTTTAGTAGAGACAGGGTTTTGCCGTGTTGGCCAGGCTGGTTTTGAACTCCTGGTCTCAAGTGATCCGCCCGCCTCAACCTCCCAAAGTGCTGAGATTACAGGCATCAGCCACCCTTCCTGACCAACAACACACTTTTAAACAACCAATGGATCAAAAAAGAAATCATAAGGGAAGTTAGATATCTTGAGACACATGAAACAAAAACACACCGAAACCTGTGGGATACAGCAAAAGCAGTACTGAAAGAAATTTATAGCTATAAATGCTTACATTTAAAAAGAAGAGTCTAGGCATGGTGGTTCCCACCCATAATTCCAGCACTTTAGGAGGCTGAGGTGGGAGAATTGCCTGGCCCCTCTACAAAAAATTTAAAAATTAGCCAGGGATGGTGGTGCACACCTATAGTCCCAGCTATTCCAGAGGCTGAGGTGAGAGGATTGCTTGAGCCCAGGAGTTTGAGGCTGCAGTGAGCTAAGTGAGCTATGATGGCACCACTGCACTCTAGCTTGAGCAACAGAGCAAGATCCTGTCTCTAAAAAAAAAAAAACAAACAAACAAAACCAACTGAACTGTACACATTATTTACACATTAAGGCACAAAAAAAGAGCAAATGAAAGAGCTAACAGAAGGAAGCCAATAAGAACAGAGCTAGAAGGAAGATAACAGAGCTAGAGAATAGAAAAAGAAAAAAAGAGAAAGTCAACAAAATCAAAAGTTGCTTCGTCAAAAAGATCAACAAAATTGACAACCTTTAGCTAGATTGAGTAAGAAAAAGAGTCAAATTACTAAAAGGAGAAATGAAAATCGGGACACTACTACCAATTCTACAGAAGTAAAAAGGGTTATAAAGTACTACAGACAGTTGTATGGAAACAAACTGGATAGCCTAGATTAAATGGGCAAATTCCAGCTGGGCATGGTGGCTCAAATCTGTAATCCCAGCACTTTGGGAGGCCGAGACCGGTGGATCACTTGAGGTCAGGAGTTCAAGACCAACCTGGCCAACATGGTGAAACCCTGTCTCACTAAAAATACAAAAATTAGCTGGGTGTGGTGGCGTGCGCCTGTACTCCCAGCTACTTGGGAGGCTGAGGCACGAGAATCACTTGAACCCGAGAAACAGACGTTGCAGTGAGCCAAGATTGTGCCACTGCACTCCAGCTTGGGCGACACAGAGTGAGATTCTGTCTCGAAAATAAATAAATGAATGAATGAGTGAATGAATGAATAGGCAAAGTCCTAAAAACAAAACCTACCAAGATTGAGTCATGAAGAAATATTAAAAAGCACAAACATCAGATCAAAAACTGAATAGTCAGAGATTTTACTCTATTTGCAAGCTAGGTTAGCCTACTGCAGTAGTTTCACAGATGCTCATAGAAGATGTACTTTTTTTTTTTTGAGATGGAGCCTCGCTCTGTTGCCCAGGCTGAAGTGCAGTGGTGCAATCTCAGCTCACTGCAACCTCTGCCTCCTGGGTTCAAATGATTCTCCTGCTTCAGCCTCCTGAGTAGCTGGAATTACAGGCTCCTGCCACCACACCCGGCTAATTTTTGTATTTTTAGTAGAGACAGGATTTCACCATGTTGGCCAAGCTGGTCTCAAACTCCTGTCCTCAGGTGATCCACCCACCTTGGCCTCCCAAAGTGCTAGGATTACAGGCGTGAGTCACTGCACCCAACCAGACAAGACACTCTTGGGTCAGACACAAAGGACAGTTTATTACAGCAATAGCAGTAGCCAGAGTACCAGCATTTTCTTACAGCCATTTCCCAAGCCCAGTTCCCTTAGGGCAACACAAAGAGGACCAAGTGAATCCTGCACATGCAGTGGGTTTTATTGAGGAAAGGAGGAGGGAAGAGAGCTAACAGAATTTGCGTCTTTTATATTGGATGGTTGGTATGCCTTCCCTTTGCACTAACAGGAGGCATTATCTCCACCAAGGTCACAAGAACACCTGTCCTTTGCTCTGTAGATGCAAAGCACCTGTGTCTATCTTCCAAGGCTATGCCAGCTTCTTTGAAAAGATAGTCTAGAACAAAGGCCTTCATAGTTTTAGCTGACAAGACACATACAGAAATGTGAGAGACCTGTGGACAATTATCTCCCAATAATATCCACCCCTCATTTCCACATTGTCTTGGCTTCTGGCAATTTTCTTATGGGTATGCCATTTTATCAGTCACTGATTAATCTGACAATAGGCATAGAGCAAATCAGTTCAGCTTGTCTCACAGAATTTAATTTAATGAACAGCATTTCAACAGAATGAGTCCAACCTGCAATATTAACCCCAATCCTGACCCCAGGGTTTTCTTTTTTTCCTTTATTTCTTTTTTTGAGACGGAGTCTCACTCTGTCGCCCAGGCTGGAGTGCAGTGGTGCGATTTCGGCTCACTGCAAGCTCCGCCTCCCGGGTTCATACCATTCTCCTGCCTCAGCCTCCTGAGTAGCTGGGACTACAGACACCCACCACCACACCCGGCTAATTTTGTTTTTGTATTTTTAGTAGAGATGGGGTTTCACCATGTTAGCCAGGATGGTCTTGATCTCCTGACCTCGTGATCCACCCACCTCGGCCTCCCAAAGTGCTGGGATTACAGGCATGAGCCACTGCGCCCGGCTGACCCCAGGGTTTTCAACTCAACAGGTTGAACAAATCCTATAAACCATCAAGGTCTACCTAAGAAAGCCAGGTGACTTTCTCAAATATTGACCTTTCCACTCAGCCCAAGTCATTAATCCAGGTACAGCAGGATATATTAGATATTGCATAATCTCCACTGGTGGTTCACAGGGAGGAAGCCTAGGGCAACTCTGTCATCCATACAACCTCCACCCTGGCCAGTGAGTTGCCGCTGACCTGAATGCCTTCCAGGGGCAAGGTGGTACCACTGATCACCCAACTAAAGTTAGAGACAAATGTTGCATCACCTTTCCTAATCAGAGGACTCCCATCATAGGGATAATAAGTGCACATAAGGAATGAGTCAATTATCAGTCCAAGAAGTTCCCCTGAGTAAACAAGGGCAGCCTCACTTTAGAAAGATCTTCACAGTTGTCAGCTGGGTGCGATGGCTCACGCCTGCAATCCTAGCACTTTGGGAGGCCAAGGCAGGTGGATCACCTGAGGTCAGGAGTTCAAGACCAGCCTGGCCAACATGGTGAAACCCTGTCTCTACCAAAAGTACAAAAAAATTAGCTGGGCGTAGTGGCAGGCGCCTGTAATCCCAGCTCCTTGGGAGGCTGAGGCAGGAGAATCGCTTGAACCTGGGAAGCAGAGGTTGCAGTAAGCCGAGATCACGCCACTGCACTCCAGCCTGCATGACAGAGCAAGACTCCATCTCAAAAAAAAAAAAAAAAAAAATCTCCACAGTTGTCTGTGGGCTACATAATCTATTGGTGGTATTTGCTTAAACACTTGAAGGTCTCTTGACCACCCTGAAGGGGCAAGACACTATTTTGGGGAGGATGATGAGTTAATGTTTAGCCTCCACACAAGTACAGTCACAAGGGCACATATCGTTACCCCTAGAAAATATTTATAATTGTTGGAGGTCCCCCAAGTGGGACCTATATTTGTTGGAGCACAGGTCCTGGCCACCTGGTGGGGCTTCAGGTTCCCAGTTTACTTTCTTTTTTTTTTTTTTTTTTTTGAGCTGAAGTTTCGCTCTTGTCACCCAGGCTGGAATGCGGTGGCGCGATCTCAGCTCACTGCACTCTCCCTGCTAGGTTCAAGTGATTCTCCTGCCTCAGCCTCCCAAGTAGCTTCCCAGTTTGAATAATTCAGTCTAGTCCTTGTATTTGGAAGGACAGCCTGAGGGCAGTTAGTCCAATCTATCCCATTTGTCCATACCACTAGCAAGGTGGCACTCGTTCTCTCCACAGAATGGCTGAGTGGAGTCTATGGGAATAGGGATGGGAACGACAACTGATGGTATCACAGGTGATTTTCATGGAAGGTGCAGGAGCCAGGGACATCCCCTGCTCTTTCCAGTGGACTTCTGGTAAGGTTAATGGGAATGGTGAGCAAACCAAATGGTGGCCAAAGCCATCTGTTGTTGGGGCAAGGCAGAACCCACAGTCGTTAAATTTGTTTTATTTGAGACAGGTTCTCAGTCTTGCCCAGGCTGGAGTGCAGTGGTGCCATCACAGCTCCCTGCAGCCTTGAATTCCTTGCCTCAAGCGATCCTCCCCTGCAACTTCCCAAGTAGCTGGGATTACAGGCAGGAGCCGCTATGCCCAGCTTTGCAGTCAGTTAAATTTGAGGTGCTTGCAAAAGCTTGGGAGAGCTGCACAGATCTTTTTTATGTTCATAAGGAAGTCTTCAGGGGCAATTATGAAGGACAAAGATCATAAATGCCTCCCCCTCTTTATCTCCTGGAATCCAAAGTATTTTCTGTCTAGGTGCCAGAATTGCTGCTCCCCCTCCCAAATCGGTGTCTCATTTCAATACCTATAGTCACTTCTTTAAGGAAAAAGAGGTGACTGGACTGACCAGTACCAGCCACCTCCTTTTCCAGTTATCCCCTTTGTGCACCTAGACTTTTTGATTCGAAGAGTCAGGTCCAAGAGGAACAAGGGCATGTTTACAAAATGCGTGGGGACCCATTATGTTCCCCACTTTGTCCTGTATGTGCCACCCTAAGGGGTCTCAGCGAGCAGCGTACTTGCCCAAGTGGTCATTATTCTTATGCTCTAAGACCATGTCAGTCCAACAAGAGAATCCAGGTGGCTGAAACACAATCAGGTTTGAGCCCCTAGACCCCCTTACAGTTGGACTGCCATCTAGGAGGTGTGCCCACCAGGCTGGCCTGGGATTGCTGCCAGGGGAAAGCAAGCAAGCAACACGCCCAGGAAGAGTCTGATCAGAATCCCAAATTTTAAAAATATTTCTTTATAACCTTCCTACACCTCTTCATTCAGACACACCTTGCTAGGAAGTAGCCTTTTTAAAGACAGCTGCATTTGGTGACCAAAATGTTTTAATAGGGCCAGGCGCATTGGCTCATACCTGAAATCCCAGCACTTTGGGAGGCTGAGATGGGAGGACTGCTTGAGGCCAGGAGTTCGAGACCAACTTGGTCAACATGGCAAGACCCCATCTCTACTTAGAAAAAGAAAAAGTGGGGTGCAGTAGCTCACATCTTTAATCCCAGCACTTTGGGAGGCTGAGGCGGGTGGATCTCTTGAGGTCTGGAGTTCAAGACTAGCATGGCCAACATGGGGAAACCCTGTCTCTACTAAAAATACAAAAATTAGCTGGACATGGTGGCGTGTGCCTGTAATCCAAGCTACTTGGGAGGCTGAGGCAGGAGAATGGCTTGAACTCGAGAGGCAGAGCCAAGATCGCACCACTGCACTCCAGCCTGGGCGACAGAGCGAGACTCTGTCTTGAAAAACAAAAACAAAACAAAATGCTTTATGAAAGTGTGTGGACCAGGAAGGAGGGAGAAAAGTAGAGTCAGAGACCTTGAGTTGATTTTTTTTTTTTTTTTTTTTTGAGACGGACTCTTGCTCTGTCACCCAGGCTGGAGTGCAGTGGCGTGATCTCGGGTCACTGCAACCTCCGCCTCCCATGTTCAAGCGATTCTCCTGCCTCAGCCTTCAGAGTAGCTGGGATTACAGGCACCCGCCACCATGCCCAGCTAATGTTTGTATTTTTAGTAGAGATGGGGTTTCTCCACGTTGCTCAGGCTGGTCTCGAACTCCCAACCTCAGGTGATCTGCCTGCCTCGGCCTCCCAAAGTGCTGAGATTACAGGCATGAGCCACCGCACCCGGCCCAGTTTTTGAGGAAGCCATTCCAATACTCAACAATGCCAGAATCTCATGATGGCAGGAGTGTGGAAGATCTTTTGAATACCACTATTGTTGAGTGGCTTTTATGATAAAAGGTGCACCATTGTCACACTGCAGATGGTCCAGAGAGCCAAAACATGACACAGATTAGTTTCAGGGGTTGCAGTGGTATGCCCAGAGCTGGTTGATAGGACTGCAACAATCCAATAACCTGAAAAAGTGTCAACAGTGGTAAGGCACCACCAATAGCCCCAAGAGGTCAAAGGTCTAATGGAGTTGATCTGCCATGAGTAGGCTGAGGCCACGCCCTGTGCAAGATGACCTCCTCCTATGCAAGAGAAATGGGCCAACCTTTGGTAGGAATCACAGCCTGGTATGTGGTGGTAGCGTCTGCATCAGAAATAGTCCTTTCCAGCTGGGTGCGGTGGCTCATGCCTGTAATCCCAGCATTTTGGAAAGCCAAGGTGGGTGGATCACTTGAGGTCAGGAGTTCGAGACCAGCCTGGCCAACATGGTGAAACGCTGTCTCTACTAAAAATACAAAAATTAACTAGGCATGGTTGTGCGTGCCTGTAATCCCAGCTACTTGGGAGGCTGAGGCAGGAGAATCATTTGAACCTGGGAGGCGGAGGTTGTGGTGAGCCGAGATGGTGCCACTGCACTCCAGCCTGGGCGACAGAGTGAAACTCCATCTCAAAAAAACAAGCAAAACCCCCCCACACACATACACAAATAGTATTTTCCATTGTGCCCAGTCCATGGTGGTGGATGTGTTGCCATGTCCGGCATAATGATGGATCCCAGTAGCAATATGGCTAGTGCAGGCTCCCTCAACAGCCTTATTTCCGTTGGTCTAATCAGAGAACAGGCTTCAACCATGGACATCTACATGTGTGACCCAGACAGAGCAATCACAGCCAAAACTTATTTCCATAGTTCATGACCCCAAAGATGGGTGTCTTTAATCTGCCAGTTGAGGTTTTCTAAGTGTCAGACCGAACACCTAGGCCATTGGCAACACCCCAAGAGTCAGTAAAAATATAACAAGGGTTACCAAGAGGAGTATTGGCTCAGGGCCTACTGAGCAGAGTTACTCATCAATTTTCTGTTCTGCGCAGCTGTTTCTGAGGGTGAACAGCCACAGCAGCCCTGTGGACACCATGAGGCTTCCACTTCATCAGACCATCAGTGAACCAGGCCCTGGCATTTAGGAGAACCTCTGTGAACTTAGGTTCCTGTTGACCCAGTGACTTTGCTTTGGTGGAGTGGGGGATATAAGTGTCCCCCAAAGGGTTAGCTGCCAGTTTTTTCATGTAAAACTGAGATGTCAGCAGGGCTAGACTAGCTGTGTTCTTAAATATACCATTTCCATCTTAAGTACACGTACATTCCATAAAAGCCATCCTTTTGTGGGTCAGGTATTCTGTTGTAAGAAGCCAGATAGTAAGCTTTTCAAAAGAGAAGTACCTGGCCACTGTGTCAGGGAGACAGGCAGTAAGTCCAAAACAGGGGCACCTCTGGGTACAGTCTGCTTCCCTTTGCCAAATGTTCCAATTAGCAAAATTAGTCACAGAGACTTATATAGCTCAAAGGGATCATTGGGTTGTGAGGACCCACAGGTAGAGTGGGCTTGCTGGACAGCTTCCAATACAGCTTTCTGGCCTGGGCCCTGCTCTAAAGGGTGCTGGTTGGCAAGTTAGCAGATGTAAAGGACCAAGTAGGATGCCCAAAGTGAGGCATATGCTGTCTGCAATACCCAAGGAGTCTGAGAAGGTGCAGGGCCTTCTTTTTTTGGTGGTGGTGGAAGGACTACCAGCAGCTTTTCCTTGACTCCTGGAAGGATTAAACATTGCGAATTGGCCGAGTGCAGTGGCTCACACATGTAATCCCAGCACTTTGGGAGGCCAAGGCTGGCGGATCGCTTGAGGCCAGGAGTTCAAGACCTGCCTGGCCAACATGGTAAAACTCCGTCTCTACTCAAAATACAAAAGTTAGCTGGGTATGGTGGCGTGTGCCTGTAATCCCAACTACTTGGGAGGCTGAGGCAGAAGAATCACTTGAACCTGGGAGGCAGAGGTTGCAGTGAGCTGAGATTGCACCACTGCACTCCAGCCTAGGCGACAGAGTGAGACTGCATCTCAAAAACAAAAAAACAAAAACTTGTGAATCAGCAGTTGTATTCCAAGAAATGGAATTTTGTCAGGGATTGTCAGTCCCTGCTGCTGGTGGAGATGTGGTAACACTATGATCAGGATCTCCAACACTGGGACTGTTGACTTGCCATCCAAGAGGACATCATCTGTATGGTGAAAGTTTTGGACATCAGAGGGCAGAGGGACTGAGTTAAACCCTGACTCACCCATGGCGGGTAAATGGCAGGGGAGCTTATCCCACTGGCATTGACTGAGAGAACCCCCTTTGGCACTTCAGGGCTGGAAGGAGAAGCACCAGTTCCTAACACAAATTCAGGTATAGATGCAACAAAACCAAGACTTCGAATTGTCCCAAAGGGCCCTACAGCACTTGGCTTTTTCTCTCTGCACTATGAAACTTGTCCAAACCCTGTCAGTTGAATTTGGACACTCCCTTTCCCCCATGAGACCAGGTAGGATGGTGGCTTATGCACCCATATCCAAGAGACAAGTTTCAAGGCACTTTTGTCCCCAGTGTACCTTAGCATACTCGGGTGCTCACGGCCTTTGGTCCCCCTTGAGGACAGGGAGACCTCATCCCTGTCCCTCATCATTTCTCCTTAAAGCAGCTGAGGTTGAGGTAGAGAATAAGTGAGGGACCAGGGATTGTGGGCAAGAGCCTTGCAGGCAAGAGACTGGTTCTGTGCCATTAAATGAGGGCACTTCTTACTTCTAGGTTCAAAGAGTGTGGCAGCAATTTGTGGCTCAAACAAATGAGTTTCCAATATTTTCAGCCCACCCACAGCCCTGTATCAAGTGGCAAGGCCACCATTACTGACTCTGTTTATTTCAGCTTTGGGGATCCCTTGACTCCATAGCCACATTGCTTTCTGGTTGAGGCCCCAGGGATTTTGTTCTTCGCTGACTCAGACTAGACGTAAAGCCAGAGTGCCAGAATTTTCTTGCACTGATTCTCCATCCAGGGGGATTGGAGGCCAGGGGACACCTGCACTTGCAGAAACCTGTCATGAGGGGAATCCTAAGTTTAAATAACATGAAGCCTTTTTTTTAAAAAAGTGTTTTTCGTTTTTTTTTGTTTGTTTGTTTGTTTTAAGTGAAAAGGTCTCACTCTGTTACCTAGGCTGGAGTGCAGTCGTTTAATCATGGCTCACTGCAGCCTCGACCTCCCGGGCTCAAGCATCTTCACACCTCAGCTTCCCGAGTAGCTGGGACCACAGGTGTGCACCACCATGCCTGGCTAATTTTTTGTATTTTTGGTGGAGATGAGCTTTCACCATGTTGCCCAGACTAGGCTCAAACTTCTGAGCTCAAGTGATCTGCCTACCAAGGTTGGGATTACCTTCCAAGGTTGGGATTACAGGTGTTAGTCACCATGCCTGGCCATTTTTTGTTTGTTTGAGACAGGGTCTTGTCCTGTTGCCCAGGCTGGAGTACAGTGGCACAATCACAGCTCACTGCAGCCTTGACCTCCTGGGCTCAGGAGGTCCTGTCACCTCAGCTTCCTGAACAGCTGGGACCACAGGCACGTGCCACCATGCCCGGCTAATTTTTTGTAGAGGCAAGATTTTGCCATGCTGCCCAGGCTAGTCTCAAACTCCTGGGCTCAAATGATCCACCTACCTCAGCCTCTCAAAGTGCTAGGATTACAGGCATGAGCCACTGTGCCCGGCCCCACACAAGTCTTGAACTTCTAGCCTCAAGTGATCCTCCAGCCTTTGCTTCCCAAAGTGCTAGGATTACCGGCGTGAACCACTACACCTGGTCACTTGAAGCTTTTCTAATGGGCAGTACATCTTGCTCCTTCCACCATTCCTTGTAGGAGAGAGTGTCTCCTGAATCCTGGGTGACATCAAAGGATTCAAGTTCTGCCTCCCCTTTATTATTATTATTAATTTTTTGAGACAGAGTTTTGCTCTTGTTGCCCAGGCTGGAGTGCAATGATGTGATCTCAGCTCACCACAACCTCCACCTCCCGGGTTCAAGCAATTCTCCTGCCTCAGCCTCCTGAGTAGCTGGGATTACAGGCATGTGCCACCATGCCCAGCTAATTTTGTATTTTTAGTAGAGATAGGGTTTCTCCATGTTGGTCAGGCTGGTCACGAACTCCCAACCTCAGGTGATCTGCCCGCCTTGGCCTCCCAAAGTGCTGGGATTACAGGCATGAGCCACCGTGCCCGGCCTTCTGCCTCCCCTTTAATGATTACTTTTAGTTCTGAAAAGTACAGGAAAGCTGCTGAAACAGGTATTGTTTTAGCCTACTATCCGTTCACTCACATTTACTGAACATCTACTAGGTGTCAGATACTGGGGCTATAGCAGTGGAGACAGACAAGATGATGTGTTTGAGGGAGGATGGGAAGGAACAGAAGTGCTTCTTTAAAAGTGATGACATTGGCCAGGCACAGTGGCTCATGCCTGTAATCCCAGCACTTTGGGAGACTGAGGCAGGCAGATCACTTGAGGCTGGGAGTTCGAGAGCAGCCTGGCCAACATCATGGTAAAACCTGTGTCTACTAAGAATACAAAAATTAGCCGGGCGTGGTCGTGTGTGCCTGTAATCCCAGCTACTCAGGAGACTGAGGCAGGAGAATTGCTTCAACCCAGGAGGTGGAGGTTGGAGTGAGCCGAGATCGCACTACTGCACTCTTGGTCTGTCTACCTCAACCCCAACTCTGCATGCTCTGAGCAGCCAGCTCCACCCAGCACTCACCATCCCACCCACTTTCGTCTCTCCTGCTTCAACATCTCCCTCATTCTGTTGTGTCTCCTGTAGTTGCATTTGTTGCAGTTCACTTGAGCTGAGCCCCGAGGCCCTTCTACCTCTAGTACTGCCTGTCCAGGACAGGCACAAGCATCCAGGCCTGAACGGGATGGATATGGCCCTAGAAAACAGAAAACAGGATTCCAGTCCCAGCTAAACTGGGTATGGCAAGACAAGGACCTGGGTTCCCATGTGCTCATGCTGAGAACTTGAGAAGGGACAGGAATTCTGCAGATCAACACAGCTTCATAAAGGCCAGCCAGGGGCTACCACCATTTTGCAGTGAGAATAATGTTTATTGAGAATGGCTCATTACAAACAAAATATATATAAAATCTCTGCAATGCAAAAGATCCCTTTCATCCCCGTGGCTAGAATGAACAAAGCCCAACTGTCCCACATGGCTTCAGGTGCTGTGCTGGTCCCCAGCATGTGAACAGGCTGGGCAGCTGTCGGTGTCATGTGCTGTGGGCAAAAGTCCCTGATGTCCAGGCTCTCTGGCTCCATTTTCATGACTTGTGCAAGAATGCAACACAGTGTGTCTTACATCCTGCCTCTGTGACCCTCCCTAGGCAGATGAGTCTTGAGAATGGGCAGCTTTCTCATTCATCTTTCAGGAAGGTGACCTTTAACTTGTGGCATGCCCTGAGAAGCCATCCTCTGGGACCAGAGACTGAGTGTTTCTAAACATTTTGGCTGGACTGAGGTGCTGTTACCACCCTCCATGAAGGCCACTCCCTAGTGACAGCCCTAACAGCATGTGCACTGTCTAAATCACATCCCACCATCCTGAAAACTTCATTTCCTCCCACTGGTTTCCTTCATACAGCTATTCTAACAATTTTACCAGAACACCACCTGAAGATGCCCACACCCCACAGCTGCTGTGCATGGGTACTCCTGGGCCACCTGGCATTAAGGCAATGGAGATGAGACCAGTCTAGAGCCAACACCGGTCTCTGAAACCCAGAAGGGCTGCCCAACTAACAGCACCTCCCTCTTGGCCAAAGGCTTTGTCTAGGGTTGAGAAGCAATTTGGCTGGGTGGTCTCACTGCCCTCCTAAACAGAGCCCACCTCTGCCCCCAGAGTCATCTGTGCTCCAAAGCAATGGGCGGGGGCACAGCTGCCACCATGCCATGCCTTGGGCATTGGAAGAGCAGGACCCAGGAGTGCAGGGATGGTATCACTGTTGCCCCTTTGAAAATGACCCATTTCCCACTTTGGGAGGCCGAGGCAGGTGGATCACCTGAGCTCAGGGGTTCGAGACCAGCCTGGCCAACATGGCGAAGCCTGGTCTCTACTAAAAATACAAAAAAATTAGCCGGGCATGGTGGCATGTGCCTGTAGTCCCAGCTAGTGGGGGGCTGAGGCAGGAGGATCGCTTGAACCCAGGAGGCGGAGGTTGTAGTAAGCCAAGATCGTGCCACTGCACTCCAGTCTGGGCAACAGAGTGAGTCTCCGTCTCAAAAAAAAAAAAAAAAATCCATTTCCTTTAGTTTTTTAGGTGCAGACTGGGGTTCAAGACCCAGCTCCACCACTGTCCTGAGCAGACTCCCAAGACTGGGCCAGCTGCCTCGTCAGCTGCCTCGTCTGAGAGGTGAAGGGGCAGGTACTTAAACCACTGGCCAAGTCCCTTTCTCTGAAAAAGAACTTGAGCTGGCTAACTGCCCTGTGCAGAGGTGTTAGTGGTTCCAAAGTACCTTCACTCTTGCTATTACTGTTTTACTTGAAGGTGATTACCCCTCAAAAATGAAAACTTAAATCTCAAAGAAACAACCCCTGACCCCAACCTCCCCAAAAAAGAGGAAGGAAAGAGCTCTATGCTACTTGCTGTGTTGTAAGATCCTGGGCAGGAACCCCTCTTCTCCATCAAGATAGACAAGACCCAGTATCCTGTGCAATCTGGTGTGAAGACCAGGTTGGGTGGGCAGCTGCAGGCTGCCCCAGCCCGTTGCTTTGGAGCACAGGCCTTAGCAGCCAACCTTAAAGGACTAGGGGCTCCCCACACTCAAGAGGGCAGACCCTGCTGTCAGGATTTTGGCTGGTGTCAGGAGGCCTCCTGGGTGCAGGGATCCCTCTGGGGCTAGGGCAGCTGTTTATTCCCAGAGCACTGCTGCCAGCCACGAGGCCTACCAGTGGGATCTAGGCCCGAGAGCCCTCCATCTGACAGAGCTGGAGGACCTGGAGGGCTGTGGGGGCTTTAAGAGTCTCCAGCGGCCAGGGCTCTGCATGGCAGGGCAGCTGTGAGGTGTGTCTATGCTGGGTGGCAGGGGTCAGATGCCCTGTAATGAGCCACAGAAACTTGGGCCCATGGGTAGGCAGGTGGTGGTGGTATCATCAACCACTGGGCACAGGGGCATATGCAGCACTTCCAGGAGAGAGGGGCCTGGAGGGGTCCTCAGCCCTGGGGGATTGGGGTCAGCTATGCTGTCTCCAGACACTCACATACTGTCCTGACAAGTGGCATCCGTCAAGCAACTTCTCTCTCCAGGCTCAGTCCTGCGGTCTGTGGGGAGACCATTGCCATGGATCTGGCTCAAAGGCAACAAGGGCACTGTCGGGACTGGACTTCCTGTGGGCGCAGCTGGAGTCAAGGCTTGGGGTCTTGGGGTATGCTTCCAGCAGCCAGCAGGTGCTTGGGGTGAGTGACATGACAACACACGGCACTGGCAGACAAAGCAGCTGTGCCAGTCTCCGAGTTCCTGGGACTCTGCCAGATGGGCTGAGGCTGCAGTTCCACATTCCAACCCCAGCAGCCCCAAGCCTGGGCCAGGGCATCCTGAGCGGGCCCGGCTGGGGTGGGGATGGGGTCCGAGGGCCTAGGCGCACCAGGCTCCTGCTGTCAGCTGTCCAAGTAGACAAAGAGGATGTCCTCATCTGTGCCATAGCTGGTTCTGGCCTCCTCAAAGTTACTGATGCTGGTGCTGCACATTCCTGCTGGGGGTGGGGAAGGCAGAACGGGGTCAGTGGGTTGTGAGAGAGCACCTACACCACCGACACAGTGCCCAGGGGAGCTGAGTGAGGTCTGTTTCCCATCCACATGGCCATTCCTCTCAACTCAAGTCCTCCACCCCCAGGAAGCCCTCCTTGCCCATCCTGGTCTTCATGAGGTTTCTCTGACTCCTCCCCAGTAAAGCAGTTGGAGAAAGGCCCAGAGAGGGGCAGAAACGTGCTCCAGGCCACATAGACGGGGTAAGTCTATGTGGTCAGGGCGTCCAGGGGCTGTCTATGTGAATCCAGTCTATGAGAGTCAGGGCAGCCCTTCCCTGTGCCCGGAGGGCAGTAGGCAGGCCAGGATGGGTCTAGAGCAGGGGCTGGGTCTGGCCGGGCTTTTCTTTCTGAGGAATGTGCCGGCCATCCTGGTGGTTGGGGGAGGGGTGCAGCCTGGGCAGCATGAAAGGGTAAGGCAGGGACCTGGGCAGTGGCGTGGGGCCTGTGGTGTGAGAGGGAGGGGTGGCCAGGGTGTAGAGGAGGCTGGCACAGTTTGCGGCAGGTTTGCCTGCATGGCCTGAGGGGTGGCCACAGTGACAAGAGCCCAGGAGGAGCAGGGGCTTTGGGGAAAAGGTAGGGAGGGAGGCCCTGGCCACACTAGATTGAATGGGTGGGAACTGTGGGCACTGGGCATACAGAACAGTGAATGTGGACCACTCTGCCTCACCCACCCCACCCAGCACTCACGGTCGGCATAGGCTGGGTTGTTGTAGAAGATGCAGCCAGTGGCCCGGTTGTAGCCACGCAGCACGATGAAGTGGCCCTGGTAGTCAGGAGTGCGGCAGAAGCAGTGGTGGCCACTGGGGGTGAAGCAGCAGTACTTGACAGGGCTGGAGCACAGGTCACAGTGCAGCACCCCCGAGTTCACCAGCACGATGGCCACATGGCCCTGAGCCAGGTGCGCCTGGATGTCCTTCACACTCACTGTGCTGTGGGCGGGAGGGGGGTCAGCTGGTGCTGCTGGGCCCCCATTCCCCATCCCTCAAATGGATCCCTGCTTGTGCCTGTTTCTCTGTTACAAAGCTTGGGGATCGGCTCCTTTTCCCTTTGCCCTGAACTCCCTGCTCTGTCACTGTGGCCCAGGCTCAGCCTAGAGCCAAGCAGGAGACCGGTGGGGGGGGTGTGTGTGTGTGTCTGAATGTGCACAAAGATGAGCTGGCTCTGTCAGGCCCTTCACGGGGAGAGCATTCAGCTCCAGGTGGGTCCAGTCAAGGGCCACTAGAGCAGCACACAGAAACCATCCTCCTACTGCACCCCAGCCTGGTTAGTGAATTCTTTTTGCCCAGCCCTGTCTCTCCTCTACCCTAAATCATGTGTGGTTTACATTGAAAACTGCCAGCCAAGCATGGCTCAGACACTTTCAAAACCAAATGCTTCTCTGAAAGAGCTATTTTACTTTTTTTCTAAGGCTCCTGGTGGCAGAAGGGGCTGCCCAGGAAGGGCTGGGCCACATTGCTTCCAGGGGAGCTCCAGTTCAGCAATGACATCTACCTGGAGCCTCCCTCACTGGCAGAAGGCACTGCCCCATCCTGTGCCTTCCACTAGGCAGCAAATCCAAATGAAAACCTAGAGCAGGGCTGGGCACAGTGGCTCACACCTGTAATCCCAGTGCTTTGGGAGGCCAAAGCGGAAGGATCGCTTGAGACTAGGAATTAGAGACCAGCCTGGGCAACACAGCAGTACCCTGTCTTTACAAAAACATTTAAAAATTTACCAGGCGTGGGGCGTGGTGGTATGAGATTGTGGTTCCAGCTACTCGGGAGACTGAGGCAAGAAGATCACTTAAGCCTGGGGCTGTAGCAGTGAGCTGTATTGCAATATTGCGCCACAGCACTACAGCCTGTATGACAGATTAAGACCCTGTCTCTTAAAAAAAAAAAAAAGAAAAGAAAAGAAAACACCCAGAGGGACAGAGGGCAGATGGGGCTGTGGGCAGGGGGAGCTCTAGGCCAGGGGCTCCTGCATCTTTGCTGGAGGGGCTGCTCACCCACTTGGGGCCTTCCTTAGGAGTGGCAGCATCAGTACCATGTGGCCTGACCCAGCTTCAGCCACAGCTGAGTCACGTGGCAGTTTGGATTGCTGCCTTGGCCAAGGAAACATGCCATTTTTCCATTTGGTCTTTGAAACAAAATAGCTGGCTGAGTTCCCAGTGGCAGTGCACAGGAGTGGGATTTCAGCTATAGGGAAAAAGCAGGGGCTTGGCTGGAAGGAAAAACTACAGGCTTCAAGGAATAACAAGCATGGGTTCAGATCATGGCATGGCCAAGATGCTGGGGGTGACCTTGGGTGTCTCTCTCCTCCTCAGTTTCCTCCCCCGAGAAGCAGAGATAGCAACAGCTTTCCCACTCAAGGAGACAGCACCTGTTGAGGGCTGCTAAATAAACATTTGCTGCCTTTCCTTCCAACATGTGCCCATGTGGTCATAGTATGAATGGAGATCCCACCCCACTATATTCTTTTTTTTTTTGAGACAGAGTCTGTCTCTGTTGCCCAGGCTGGAGTGCAGTGGCGCGATCTCGGCTCACTGCAAGCTCCGCCTCCTGGGTTCATGCCATTCTCCTGCCTCAGCCTCCCGAGTAGCTGGGACTACAGGCACCCGCCACTGCGCCCAGCTAATTTTTTGTATTTTTAGTAGAGACGGGGTTTCACCATGATCTCGATCTCCTAACCTCGTGATCCGCCCGCCTCGGCCTCCCAAAGTGCTGGGATTACAAGCGTGAGCCACCGTGCCCGGCCTGTTTTGTTGATTTTTAAAGCCCGGGGCAGTACTCTTGGAAAATGTCCCACATCCTGGATTTGCCTTTCTGTTTCCTTGAGGGCAGATTCAGACAGAGTCTCGCTCTGTCCCCCAGGCCGGAGTGCAGTGGCACTATCTCGGCTCACTGCAAGCTCCGCCTCCTGGGTTCAGGCCATTCTCCTGCCTCAGCCTCCCGAGTAGCTGGGACTACAGGCGCCTGCCACCACGCCCGACTAATTTTTTGTATTTTTAGTAGAGACAAGGTTTCACCGTGTTAGCCAGGATGGTCTCGATCTCCTGACCTCGTGATCCGCCCACCTCAGCCTCCCAAAGTGCTGGGATTACAGGCGTGAGCCACCGCGCCCGGCCCCCAAACCCCCATTTTCTAAATCACCTATCATGTGATTATACTACGTCAATAATGAAAATATAAATCCGCAAAGAAAGGGAAAATCTGAGAAGAGCCTGTCCAGGACCTAGAGGCAGCAGGTCTGAGCCCCACTCCCACGTAGCCCAGAAAAGAATGTGACCCACATCTGGGCAAACTGCACCCAGAGTCTTCCTGAATCCAGCCCCAATGCATACAGATGAGAAGAGGAGGCCCTTGTAAGGTCACAGCAGCCCTTACACACTGGGTCCTCCCTGTTCCCCATCCCTTGTCAATCACTGCACCAGCACATTCCTCTTAGGCCATCGCCCTTTCATTAGGGGCCTTGTGTTCTGTCCCATGCTGTCTTTCTGCAAGTAGCCCAAGGGCTGGGTGCAATCTCTCTCACTCACCTATCCCTCCAGCACCTGCTCAGGATCCACCCCTGGTCAGAGCCTGGGTCATGTAGCCCCAGTGAGCTCCATAAACCAAGGCTCAAGGGGGCAAGTCAGTGCCCACAGCCACCCGGGTAGCCAGTTCTGCCTGGCTCCAGAGTCCTAGCCTTTCCTGAACACCATCCCGAGGCCTCCCCACTGCAGATCTGTGGGTGAGCAGGCATGAGAGGAAGGGCAGGTAGGAAAGTTGGGGGGCTCACCATTTCTCCACCAGCACCTTGCAGGCCTTTGCTTGTGCAAACAGCTGATTCACCCGGGTCTCTTCTGTGTCAAAGTGCTTCCTGTAGAAGGACTGAACAGAGAAGAGGGGGATGGAGTGGCCACCACCCAGGCTGCCTTCACTCCATTTAGATGAAGGAAATAAAGAGCGTGTTACAGAGGCAGAGACAGCAGGAGGGCAGAGGAGCCCCACCTGCCAGGGCAGACGGTACATGCAGCAAGCCAGATCAGAAAGCTGTCTGTCCTAAGCAGGAGCAGGGAAGCAGGACCACACAGAGGCATGAGGATGATGCTTGAGAGAGGGGTGGGCAGCTGGGCTCAGGTCAGCTCTCTGGGGAGGATCGATCACCCTTGGGCTTGTACACTCTGGCAGGCATGAGCAGGAGCCCGTAGCGAATAAGCAAGGGGGATGAGGCTGAACCACCTGGGACAGCTCAGCTACAGCTTGGCTTAGCTAGGTGTCGTCCACGGAACACACTTTGCTGGCATGGCTATGTTGGCATTATTTTTCAAAAGGCAAAAAAAAGAAAAGATGGTATTTTGGTTTTCTTCTAGACTACCAATTATATAGCTTAAAAGCTGGCTCTCCTGGTGAAAAGTAAAAAAATGTGCAAATGATGGCCGGATGAGGTCAGTGATGTTCTCAGAGGCCCTGGGCCTGCCTTGTGCTGAGGACAGTAGGAAAGAACGTAGGAAGTGGCCTCTGCACATTCTGAGGGCTGTAGAAGGCAGGTGGACAGGAGCCAGGACTCAGTACTCAGATCCTCTGGGCAGGCCCGACTGCAAGGGCACCTGCTCTGACTGGCTCCCAAATCCTGCCTATAGCCTCTCTGCTGCTGCTCCCTGGTCTCTGCACACCTGGGTATCTACCTGGGTGTCTAGCCCTTGACTGTTCCCTCTTCCAACTACTGGAACCAGGTGGCCTTATACCTCTGTGTGGCCCCACATGGGAAGGCCTGGTGGCTGGTCGCTCACCTGGTTCTTGTAGCCCTTGTCGACACCCAGGGTCTGGGTACAGAAGCGGTGCCTCACGCCAAAGTGGTGCATCAGGTAGGCCAGGTCGATGGTCCAGATGCTCCTGGTCAGCTGCAGCTTCTGCAGGGCTCTCTCAAACTCACTGTCGTCCAGCTGGCCCAGGTACCTGCAGGTAGACGAGCTGGGGAGCTCAGCTTGGTCTTGAGGGTCAACTGGTCTGAGTCACCCTCCACCCACTGGCCCAAGAGCCCCGTCACAGGTCCCATTCCCCAGAAGTCTCCCTCCTTCATCATGAGACCCTAGGTCCTGCCCACACACTGCCCAGGCTGCTTGGGGCACCGTCCTGGCTCCAGAGTTGCAGGCCTGGACTCTGCTTCTCAAATCTATTGTGTCTTGTGGGCTGTGACCTTGAGCAAGTCATTGTCTTCTCTGGCCTCTTTAGCTTCATCTCTAAAATAAGGTCCCTGATCACATCAGTGGTTTTCAAAGTTTTAGGCAAAGAACGCTTTTGTTGAATTTTCTCTTGCTGAGATTCCCAGGATGTAAAACAGATGAAGATGCAGCTGCCCTGTGGTTCCAGGAAGCCAAATGAAAAACTCTTGTACAAGGTGACGGCTACAGTCCCTCTTGGCTCTCACTGTCCAGGTTTCTGTGATATTCACACAGCCTCAGCTTAACGGTCAGCACCCCATTCTCCCAGGAGCCAGAAACTGGGGAGTGGAGGGCCTCCTATCCCAGTCACAGAACTGCCTTGTAGGACAGGCCTGGGCACCTGGGACTTCCTGGCCACCCCAAGCCCCCAGACATTACTATCATGGAGAGCTGGAAGGCCTGGTCCACCCCTTGCTCACTTTTGCAGATGGGACTAGGACCAGGTAGAAGCTTGGCCTCCTGCAAGCCCCAACCAAAGATAGCTACATGGACCATGGATCCCACCCAGGTCTCTCCCAAGCCAGAGCAGAAGATGTAGATGGGAAGCACCTGGGCCCCCAGCCCTGGCCCCACTCACCGCAGCACCATCCTGGAGCAGGCCAGGCCACAGTCCCAGTGGTAGAGCTGCTGGATGACGGGCACAGGCAGTTGCACAAAGTCCCCTGTGCAGAAACAGAGGGAGGTCACAGACCCTCAGCGCAGAGCCCACCACTCCCACCCTCATGGGAGCCAGTGTCACTGCCTCCTGCCTAGACCCTGCAGGGGCTGCTCAGGGACCTTCCCACAATCCTTCAGGAATCCCCTCAAATCCAGGCTCCTATAATAGCAGTGATCTCCCCAAAACACCGGCCAGAGCAGGTCAGCCCAACTGAAAATCCTCCAGTGAGCTGGGTCCCACATTCCTTAAGACAATACCTCCATGGCTGCTGCCCTAGCACCCTCTGCACCCTTGCCTTTGCTTGTCATAATCCCTCACACCCTGGAGGTCTTTGCACACCTGGTTCCTCTGCCTGGACATACCTGGCTTCCCAGGTGCCTGAGCTAACTCCTGCCCTTGGATGTCACTTCTCCAGTATTGCCCCTCTCAGGCCCAGTGACCCACATGTGCATTCACTTCCCACCATGCCTACTCAAAGCCCTTCTTTTGGTGGGAGCTCTGAGGAGGAGGGACAGAGTCTTTTTCTTTTTTTTCAACAGGGTCTTGCTCTGTCGCACAGGCTGGAGTGCAGTGGCATGATCTCGGCTCACTGCAACCTGCGATTCCCGGGTGGCAAGTAATTCTCCTGCCTCAGCCACCCAAGCAGCCTGTAGTCCACAGGCGTGCGCCACCATGCCCAGCTAATTATTGTAATTTTAGTAGAGATGGGGTTTCACCATGTTGTCCATGGTTCCATGGCTGGTCTCGAACTCCTGACCTCAGGTGATCCACCTCAGCCTCCCAAAGTGCTGGGATTACAGGCGTGAGCCATTCCGCCTGGCCAGCAGGGGCTGTTTTGTTTCCTGCTTTCATTCCAGGGCTGGCACATGGGAGGCACTCAGCAGATAATGTATCTGAGTTCATGAGGCCCCTGGAGGTTTGCTTGACTCCAAAGACCCCAGGACCACCAGGGTGTGAGACCATGGCCAGGAGAAGGGAACTGTCACGTAAGCTATGAAGCATATGTAATATTCTTGTGAGCTCCATCCCCCACCAACCCTGGGCGACCTCTCGGTCTGTCTTTGCCAGGCTGTGAGGTGGAGCAGAAAGGGCCTGACCTAGCGTTCCAGTCTCAACTGTGCCACTGCTGGCTGGCTGTGGGCTGGGCAGCTGACTTCCTCTTGCTGGAATGAGTCTGGCCATCCCTAAACAGGGGGACTTTGGTCTGATTCAGTCATTCAGTCAACAAATATTTCCCAAAAGCCTAGTAAGTGCCTGGTGTGTGTACTGGAGATACAGCAGTGAATGACACAAAGTCACTCTCCTGGTGGATAGCAAAAATAAGCAAACATAGCAAAATAGAGGCCTAGGCTGGGGAAAACAGTGGGGGTGTGCCTTAGAGGGGATGGGGGAACAGCATGTGCTAAGGCCCTGAGGTGGGGCAAATGGGCTTGTGGCATGCAGGACCCTCCTCCGTAGCCACCTCATGAACCTGGACAAAGTTCAGAGTCTAAAGAGGAAGAGACTTATCTCTGCTGTTACTCACTCATGACACTCATTCAGCACGTGAAAACCTTGCCCACATTGTTTCCCCATCTGGCAGGTCTCTCCTGGACTGTGTGACCAGCTCTGTGTAGAGCCACCCCAGGAGCCCTCCTGCTGTGCCAGCCCCAGTTCCCCTCACTTCCCTGTGTGCGCCAGCTAAGACGGCCACTCACTAGTCCTGGGATCTGTCCTGGCCTTTCCAACCTACCAGGCTTTGAATCCCAAGTTCCTCCCTTCCTATGTCTGACCTTCCCCAGCCTTCAAGGCCTGGCTCAGAGGCCATTTCCAGGGCCTTCCCTGATCACAGACTGGCTACACCCTTTCACTCATCTGTACTTCTCTGGGCTTGAGTTCACACTTTGCCTCCTAGGATGCGGCCCTTGCATTGAGCTTGTCTGTGCCCTCCTGTGTTGCTTATACGTTCCCAAGAGGCAGGGACCTATCACTGCTCCTGGTGTCTTTCTACTCCATGTGCAGCAGGGCCCATGGAAGGCACAATGGCATGAGCAAAGCAGGCCACCTGCTAGCTAAGTTGCCTGGCCTCTCTGTGCCTGCTTCTTCCTCTGTGAAATGGACTACCAGACGCCAGCCTGCAGGGTGATGTGAACCCTAAGGACAAGAACGTCTATAAAGCCCTTTGCAGGTGCTAATAATGTGAACCTGCCCCCAGCTGGGGCCTGGTATGCTAAGCCCAGGCTGGACTGAGGCCTCATTCTCTTCCTTCCTCTTAACCCAGATGCCTCCAAAAGATACCCAGGCCGTTCACTCAAGGCGCTCACATGTTCCCCTGCTATCACTGCCAAGGATTCAGTGGCACTGACCCCTGCCTGTCCCTGCCCCAAATTCCACTCCCAGCACCTCTCCCACCTCTACATACAGCAGCCGTAGGGATTCCCATTCAGTTTCCCACTGCTCTTGGAATAAGGTTCTCATCCCTTACCGGGGCCCTGCCTAACCTGGCCCGCCAGCCTCATCTTGGCTGCCCTCACCTGTGGTCTAGTTAACCTGTGAACTCATCAAGGCTTCATTCTACCCCAAGGCATCTGCACGTGAGGATCCCTCTGTCTGAAACTCTCTCCCGGCTGCTGTTCTCAAGGTTGTGTCCCTTCTAGTCATTCAGGTCCCAGCTCAAAATCTCTTCTTAGAGGTTTTTCTGACTAAGCCTTTGAGAAACGAGGGAACTCTCCTTCACAGCATCCTATTCGTTTCCTTCACAGTGCTTGGCAAAAGTAACAATAGCATCAAGCCACTCTCTTGAGACGGCAAGCTTCCTGAAGGCAGGTGCTATGGTATCCTCTCCAAAATTTATGTTGAAACTTAATCTCCATTGTGGTGGTATGAAGAAATGGGTGCAGAAGATATCCACAACCAAAAATATAAATAAATAAGAAGTGTGGCCTTTTGTGAAGTCAGGAGGGCTCTGCCCTCATCAGTGAACTAGTGCCTTATAAAAGGGCTGGAGGAAACTAGCATAGGCCATTTTTTTTGCCCTTCTGTTCTTCTGTCATGTAAAAGCAGTGTTCATGCCCTTTCTGTTCCTTCCACCATGTGAGGACACGTAGGTGGCACCATCTACAAGGAACAGGCCTTTACCAGACACAGAACCTGCCAGCGCCTTGATCTTGGACCTCAGAGTCTCCAGAACTGTGAAGAATTAAATTTCTAGAGCTGGGCACAGTGGCACACACCTGTAATCCCAACTACTCACGAGGCCAAGGCAAGAGGAGCCAAGGAGTTTCAGACCAGTTCGAGCAAAATAGTGAGACCTCCATCTCCAAAAAAGAAAAAAAGAAATTAAATTTCTATTGTTTCTAAATTACCCAGTCCCAGGTATTTTGTTATAGAAGCACAAATGAACTGAGACAGCAGGAAACTTGCTGATCTTGTTCACTGTTATTCTCAGTTGCTGGTGTTGAATGTTTAATAGTAACTCAATAAATATTTGCTGGAAGAAATAAACTTTTTTTAGGCCGTGCACAGTGGCTCACGCCTGTAATCCAAGCACTTTGGGAGGCCAAGGCAGGCGGATCACTTGAGGTCAGAAGTTTGAGACCAGCCTGGCCAACATGGTGAAACCCTGTCTCTACTAAAAATACAAACATTAGCCGGGCAGGGGCCAGAGCCTCTTATCCCAGCTACTCGGGAGGCTGAGGCAGGAGGATTGCTTGAACCTGGGAGGCGGAGGTTGCAGTGAGCCAAAATTACGCCACTGCACTACAGCCTGGGCGACAGAGTGAGACTCCATCTCAAAAAAAAAAAAAGGAAAAGGAAAAAAAAGAACTTTTTGTTTTCTTCTGAAACAGGGTCTCACTCTGTCGCCCAGGCTGGAGTGCAGTGGTGTGACCAGAGCTCACTGCAGCCCTGAACTCCCAGGCTCAAGGGATCCTCTGACCTTAGCCTCCTGAGCAGCTGGAACTATGGGCACACGCTACCACACCCAGATAATTAAAAATAAAATAAGCCCTCACTGTTTGCTAGGCTCTGGGGACACAAAGGTAACTAAAGACCCACCCAAGCCCTGACCCCTAGGGACTCATAAAGAGCTGAGCAGTGGGAGAGCTCTATGCAGGATGTTGTGCTGTCACGGTGAATGCCTGCCTGTTCAAGAACCCCTCACAGCAGCCACACACTGCCTTTTTGTTTTTCTCTACTCATACTGTTTCCTCCCCAGCTTTTGCTCTTGCACATCCCTTAGTCTAGGAGTGTCCAATCTTTTGGCTTCCCTGGGCCACACTGGAAGAATTGTCTTGGGCCACACATAAACTACACTATCACTAATGATAGCTGATGAGCCTTAGTCTGAAATGTTAATGTTGTCTCCATGCTCTAATCCCTCTCACTCTCAGGGCCCCTCAATATGGAGTCCTTAAAGAGGCAATGAGAATTCTTCAGTGGCAGATGGGGATGAGGTTGCATTTGCCTCCTTCCAACCCTCAGCCCAGAGTAGGCACTTAGATATGCTTGGGGAATGGAAGGCGTTTTCCAAAAAGACCTCATACCTTGAGATGCCCAGGCCTACTTGTCACTTCCCTGCTCTGCACCCCTCCTCCCCCAGGCTTCCAGACTACAGCCCTCTGTGTGAGGCTCCCTCCTTACTCTGTGGCTTGGGCTGTGACACTGACTAGCTGGGCTATCTTCTGCCAGGCTATGACTGTCCATGCCTTTCCATGTCCAGCTATAAAATGTGGCACAAGACAGCAGCTCTCTCTCAGAGACTCAGCTGCGCCTCCTCCTCTTGCCCTGCGCTCTAGAACTCCTTGATCCTGAGGCCTGGCAGGCCCCACAGGGCCATCTCCAGCCTCGGCAAGGGCGGATCGGACCTAGAGGTGCTCATGTTGGGGGTGATAAGGTTAGGCGAGGCCTTGGCATCTGTCCCCATAACAGCTTTAGCCTTCTAAACACAAAGCCACAGCCAGACGTTGCTGCCTGGAGCCAAAGGGCTGCCTGGAAGGCCCTGGCCTGAGCTCAGTTAGTGGCTGTCACTAAGGAAGGCAAGCAGTGCACTAGCCTTTAATACTTAACCCATCTCAGACTCAGTCTGCTCAGCTGCAAAAGTGCAAATCACAGTGGGCACCTACTTCACTGGTTCGTTATGAGGATTAATGAGGCACTGCATGTAAACAACTGCACGCAGCGCGCGCCTGCCTCATAGAACACTCCCTGTGAATGTAAGCCATTCCTCCTCTGAGGCTCAGGAAAGGCAAGTATCTTGTCTCAGACCACAGGGCTAGACAACTGGAGGAGGAGGGTTGTAAATCCCCCACCAACTCCACACAGCAGACACAAAAGGGAACACTCCCTGGGAGTGACACCTGAAGGTCAGGGTCCCACATGCTGTTGACCTCTTCCACAGTTGGCACTTCACTTCAGAGTTTACTAGCTAGAACTCCGTTTGTCATCAACCCCGCGCCTTCAGCAGGACAGGAATCACGTCTTCCCCCTCCCCTACGTCTTGGGCAAGCAAACTAACGGCCAAGACATTGAATACCAGTCCGGGTCTCCGCCCCAAAGGGGCTCAGGCTACCGCGTGGCAGAGAGAACGAAAGTGAAGAACAAGAGCAAGACAAAACGCCGAGTCTCGGAGGCCAGGGCACTGGCCCTTCCATTGCTCGGTGCTCTCGGCCAGTTTCCTGCCCTTCCCAGCCTCAGTCCTCCACGGTTTCCCAAGGCATGGGAGCTCCCAAGGCGGCTCCAGCAGGACTTTTCGCTTCTGGGGAAGGTGGTGCCCCTGCTACCCGGACCTTCCCACCATGCTGACAAGGGTCGCAATCCTGCGAGTGTCAGGAAACCCCCACTGACTGGAACCAGGCGGGTGTGGGGGCGAGGCGGGAGTCGGCCCAAGGTCGCGCGACTGGACCCTGCCCCGCGCTAGGGAGGGGTCCCTTTCGTTCCTAGGGTGAAGACTGGGCCCACAGAGAGGCACTGACCGGGCTCGAGCGGCGGCCCCGCTGCCTCCGCCTCCGTCCTCATGACCCGGGCGGCGCGGGGCGCCCATGGCCCCGGCCCAGAGCGGGCTACAGCTTCCGCTTCGGCTGGGGCGGGAGGGCGGTCGGTGCGTGTCGAGTTCCTTCTCCGCCACCGCCGCCGCTGCGGAGGAGAGAACGGGAGGCGGCGGCTGGGCCGCCCCAAGCGCCGCCCCAGCCCTTCCAGGTCTCGAATCTGGAGGCCCCGCCCCCTCCTTAGGCCCCGCCCCAAACTTTGATCTTAGAGGTCCCCAGCCTCTTGATTTAAGTCTGCTCCGGCCATTCGCCGCCTCAGCGTTGAGTGGCCCCACCCTCTCGCCCAATCCTCGCGCAGACGCGCAGCTCACCAGGACGCGGGCCCCGGAAGCCCCGCCCCTTTCTTTGAGCCCCGCCCCAAAGCTCGTGCATTTCCTGAATAGAGGCTCGTCCCTTCGGCAAGCCCCGCCTCTGCCGGGTCCCGCTCTTTTGCCAGTCCTAGGTGTAAGCCCTGATCCCGCCCAGTGCATCCCCGAGGCCCCAAGCAACTCTCCTCCAACTGTCTTTAGGGATAACCCTGAGCGGGCAGCCGCTCTACTCTATACCTAACTTTATCCGTACCAGATACCTAGCCTCACTCAGGGCCCCCCTTACCTGGCGGTGCCGGGATCAACAAATGAAATTGTGACGGGAAGTCCTGGCCCTTGGCCCAACCTCCTGCTGTCCCCGGTCTGAGGGCCCAAGCCCCGCGTCTCCGCCTTGCCGTCCAGCCTGTCCTTGGTGTGGGGTGCTTGGAAGTGTGAGCACCCTCTCTGGCTCTTTGCCGGCCCCAAGGGTCGTTGCGGCGGCCCCCGGGCCCAGTCATCAGCCCTCTTTTCCGGTGCCGGAACTATCGTACTGGTGCCCTAGTTTCCCAGCCGGCAGGCGGAGTGAGGAGGAAGCGGAGGCGAGACCGCGCTCAACACTGGGGAAAGGAAGGAGGCGGGCCCTGCGCGCAGCATTTTGGGAAAGAGTGGAATTCTGGGTGTTAGGCCCGCCATTCGCTTGACTCACGCCTTCGCCGTAGCATCTTTCGCAGCGGACCGAAGAGAAGAAAAGTAGGCCAGAGCCGGTGAGGCTGGGGACGGGCGAGGGGAGGTCGAGGCGCCTGTGAGGGGCCAGGGGCTGGAGAAAGACTTGCTGCATGGAACTCTGCGGGGCTCGGGGAGGGAAGAAAGCGGGAAGCTTGGGCCACCCAAACATCAGCGTCGCCTCACTAGCTCCTGGAAGTAAGTTCATTAGCTTTCCCCTCAACGTGCATGCTTCTCACATTCTGTATCTCTCCAGGTGAGTGTTTTTCAAAGCTTCCAGGCAGTAATCTCGAAGTCATTTCTGATTGACTATCTCCTTCCCCCAAATCCTATGAGTTTTTTTTTGTTTTTTTTTTTTTAAGTAGAGACGGGGTTTCACCATGTTGCCCTGGCTGGTCTCGAACTCCTGGGCTCAAGGGATCCACCGGCCTCGGCCTTCCAAAGTGCTGGGATTACAGGCGTGAGCCACCGCGCCCAGCCGGTCATTTTTTAAAAAGTTCTTTGTATCTCTGCCCCAGTCCCCTTTCAGGCAATGGTCCCCTCATGCTTTCCACACTGTTGCAGCAGTTTTAACTGTTGCAGAAGTTTTAACAAGTTTCTCTGCTTCTAAACCTTACGTTCTATCCATTTTGTAAATAAATGCTGCTATCTTTTCATTGCGTCATTCTTTACATATAATTCTGCAGTGGTTCTCCACTACCTTCAGCATAAAATCTAGACTCCTAAGGCTGAAAGCCAGGGATCCTCACCAAAGGAGCCTGTCCTTTCAACCTCATGTTCTCCTGTCTTAGGTACGCTTAAGTTGAAACTTAGAGTTGTTGCTCATCTCAATAAAAAGTTCACTGCTTGATGCTTTTGATTAGGTCAAGTCAGGTGCTTTCCCTGATTTTCCTCCATGACAAGCATTTCCTGCATATAGCACGTTGTCACTTTGATATTTTCTCAATATCCTTGATAGTAAAATAAGTGAAGGGTTAAAGGGCTGAATTAAAAGTACAGCCTGCTCTCCTAGATGTGCATGGTCCTTTGGTCTGTATCTGCACCTTCCATAGGGTAGCCACTAGCTACATGTGGCCGTTGAGGACTTGGAATATGGCCACTGGGATTGAGGGACTGGGTTTTTTTATTTTAATTCTATTGTGTTTTAGTTAAGTTTAATTTAAATAGCTACGTGTGTACATGAGCTGCTGTATTGGACAGCTCGGGCCTGTATTATTCTCAAAACGTAATCATCTACAATTAAGGGTTAACAAATAACAGTGCAACAAATTAACATTCCAGTCCCCCTCCCCTGACACACACAGTATTGGCTAATGGTCCTTTAGCTGAAGATTAAGGGACATAGGGTAGCGGGGACACATGACCCATGGGAGATGCTCTCTTTTCATTCCTAGTTTTACTTCTGTCCATCCCATCATTCCTCCTCACCCCACATCTTGCACATATTTGCCAGATAGTTTCCTCCAAACCAGGAGCTGAGCTTTTTTTTTTTTCCTTGGTAGAAAATGCAGCTTTGGTGTTTTTGCTAAGTTTTATGGAGTGCCAGGCCTTAAAGGAAGCATGATGTGTGCCACATGCCTTTTCAGACTCTGAAAGATGAACTGACTGTTGTCTCTCTCATTGTAGAACTCTCTTCCTGCCAAGATGTCTATTGGTGTGCCGATTAAAGTACTGCATGAGGCCGAGGGCCACATTGTGACATGTGAGACGAACACCGGTGAGGTATATCGGGGGAAGCTCATTGAAGCAGAGGACAACATGAACTGCCAGGTATTCTGCTTTGCATGTGAGGCTGTGTGGGAGGAATGGCCCTGTGTCTTGAAGGACAGAAAAGTGTGTGTTGAGGGTCTCTGGAAATTGTTCTCATTCAGCAGTGATTTCCTAAGTGCCTAATGCATACCAGTCAGGTGCTGTTATAGGCTCTGGGGGTGTGGGCATGAACGAGACACATAATCTTGAGGCAGAAAAGCCATTTGGAGGTTTGGAATATTTTACTTTGTCCTTTTTGTTTTTTCCATCCCCAAATATGGGGGTCTATTTGGGAGAAGTGCTACTTCCTTCAGTAGAATCCTTCAGATTCAGGGCCATTATCCATTTGCCTCCACTTGCTTTGCGATTAGCAGAATCTTCTCACCTACTGTATTTGTTTCCCTTTTCTCTTGGAGGAGGAGTCTCATTTGATTATTGCAACTACCTTGTGAGGTAAGCAGGTTTGGTGATAGTCTTGTCATCCATAAAATAGGGAGAATGAGATTAAAGGGCTCATCACTCTGATGATAAATAATGGAGTAGTTTCCTGATATGGTGTCCTTCTCATGGCACAACTTTGCCTTTTGCATAGTCATCTGAATTTTTATAGCATTGTTTTTCAGTTGTATCTTCACACTTTCTTTGTTCTTTAAACCACTGGTTAAGAACTTGGACTTGGGAGTCAGAGAGAGATGTGGGTTTGAATCCTAATTATATGACTTTAGATGTATTAACCACTCAGTTTTCTCATCTGTAAAATGGGGGTGGTATTATGTTGGGTTCTTTGATGTAGATGCCAAGACAGAATTTTGCAAGGTATTTATTGGGGGAAATGACAATAAAGGATAAAAGAGCAAGGAAGCAGTAGTAGGCAGGGAAATTTTCAGTCTATGGTGCTGGTCTGACTGGTGAAATGAGAGGGGAAAGGAAGGAGGATTGAGCAGGAAGAGCCTTAGACTACAGCGTAGTTTTGAGGAAATCTCAGCAAGGCAGCGATTGCTCGTTAGAAGAGTCTAGCATGGGGCAGAAATGGGCGGACTGGCACCCCCGGTGTGTTCAGGCTGGCAACATGGGGAGAGAGTAGCCTCAAGTTGAATGCCATGGTGGACTGCAAAGATGGAGATTGTCGGCTGCCTGCACTCCTCATAGCCTGTTCTCTTTTGAAGGGAGATGTGAGCAGCACACCCTTAAGACTGCCACAGGGGTAATATCCACACCCCCAGGACTTTTACAAAGATCAGATGAGCTGTATGTGTGCCATAGCTGCTCAGTGCCTCACATACTGTGAGTGTTCAACATATGATACCTATTGCTTTTTTCCAGATGAGAAGGTCAGAGAGGTAAAGCACCTTACACCGCGGTCAGGCATCCTGACCATCCATTGGTTTGCAGGGTTCATTTATTTGTGATTTTTCTGTAGCTTTGAGCGTCTGTCATCTTCCTGCGAGGTTGACAAGCTTGGTCAGTTCCCTGAATGCAGAGAAGTAGACCTCTGGTGACTCAGGTTTATTGCATTACTGTCAATAGATCAGTTTATCTATTGAGGGTAGATAAGTTTATCATCTCTCATATATCCAGTCCTCTGGCTTAAGGCATGCTCATCCACTTTAAGGTTCTTTAATTTGGTGAGGAGAATGCAAGACTTGGGTTAGTGAAGCTTAATGGGTTTGTTCAATTAGCTGTATGTATTTGGACAACTTGCTGGGTTTCCAGGGCCTTTGTCATCCCATCCGTAACGTGAAGGTGTCTAACCAGATAACCTTGGTAGCCATTCAGAGATGCAGTCAACATGACACAAAGTGCACAGACCTTGGTGTCCGACAGACCTGGAATCAGCTTGTAGCCTGCCCCCTAGGGTGACTTGGGGCGAGCTTAGCTTTGGACCTCCTTCATCCTCTGGTCCCTCCTCTAAATCAGGGATAAAAATAGCACCTTGGCCTCAGAAGGAACCATGCCTGACCAATGGTGGGGGACAGCCACCTGCCTCCCTGCTTGTATTTGTATGCTAGTGCTACCATAACAAAGTTTCACAGACTGGGCAGCTTAGACAACACAAATTTATTTTCTCATAGTTCTGAAGGCTGGAAGTCTGAGATCAAGGTGTTGGCAAGGCTGGTTTCTTCTGAGGAATGTGAAGGAAGGATCTGTTTCAGGCCTCTCTCCTTGCTTATATATGGCTCTCTTCCTGTGTCTTCACTTGGTCTTCCCTCTGTAGTGTTTCTGTCCAGATTCTTCTTATAAGGATACCATGCATGTAGGATTAGGGCCCACTCTAATGACTTCATCTTAACATAATTATGTTTATAAAGAATTTTTTTTTTTTTTTTTTTGAGATGGAGCCTTGCTCTGTCACCCAGGCTGCAGTCTTGCTCTGTCACCCAGGCTGGAGTGCAGTGGCGCGATCTTGGCTCACTGCAACCTCTGCCTTCCAGGTTCAAGCGATTCTCCTGCCTCAGCCTCCTGAGTAGCTGGGACTACAGGCATCTGCCACCATGCCCAGCTAATTTTTGTATTTTTATATTTTTAGTAGAGACAGGTTTCACCATATTGGCCAGGCTGGTCTCGAACTCCTGACCTTGTGATCTGCTCGCCTCGACCTCCCAAAGTGCTGGGATTACAGATGTGAGCCACCATGCCCAGCTTGCTTGCTTTTTTTTTTTTTTTTTTTTTTTTTTTTTTTTTTTTTTGAGAGTCTCACTCTGTCGCCCAGGCTGGAGTGCAGTGGCATGATCTCAGCTCACTGCAACCTCTGCCTCCTGGGTTCAAGCACTTCTCATGCCTCAGCCTCCTGAGTAGCTGGGACTATGCCCAGCTAGTTTTTCGTATTTTTAGTAGAGATAGGGTTTCCCCATGTTGCCCAGGCTGGTCTCAAACTCCTGAGTTTGCCTCAGCCTCCCAAGTGCTAGGATTACAGGCGTGAGCCACTGCACCTGGCCTTTTTTTTTTTTTTTTTTTTTTTTTTTTTTGAGACAGAATCTTGCTCTGTTGTCCAGGCTGGAGTACAGTGGCACAATCTCAGCTCACTGCAAACCTCCGTCTTCCCGGGTTTAAGCAACTCTCTTGCCTCAGCCTCCTGAGTAGCTGGGGTTATAGGCATGGGCCACCGTACCCCACTAATGTTAATATTTTTTGTATTTTTAATAGAGATGGAGGCTCATCATGTTGCCCAGGCTGGTCTCTAACTCCTGAGCTGAGGCAATCTGCCCACCTTGGCCTCCCAAAGTGCTAGGATTACAGGCATGAGCCACTGCACCCAGCCTTTTTTTTCTTTTCCTTTTTCTTTTCTTTTTTTTTTTTTTTTTTTTTTTTTGAGATTAAGCTTTGGTCTGTTGACCAGGCTGGGGTGCAGTGGTTTGATCATAGCTCATGGGCAGCCTTGGACTTCTGGGCTCAAGAGATCTTTTCACCTCAGTCTTCTAAGTATCCAGGACTACCAGTGTGCCCCACCATACCTGGCTAATTTTTAAATTTTTTTGTAGAGACGGAGTCTTGATATGTTTTTCAGGCCAGTTTCAAACTCCTGGCCACAAGTGATCCTGCTGCCTCAGTCTCTCAAACTCCTGGAATTACAGGCATGAGCCACCACATCTGGCCTGTAAAGATTTTTTGTCTCTAAATATGATCACATTCTGAGGTGCTGGGTATTAGGACTTCAACAATGAATTTTTTTGAGGGATACAATTTAGCCTGTAACAGGATGTAGAGGCCTCACTGGGTCTATCAAAACCTAGGCACATTGAATAAGAGCCAGCAGACTGTGGCGTAGCTAAAGCTGGTGGTGGGTGAACTCTGAGCACAGTTTAGTTTGTTCAGCACATCTCAGGCTGTGAGGCTTGCCTGTCCTTCCCAGATCCAGTCATTCTGCCTTTTGGGAATGAGAACATCCTCTTAGCACTTTTCCTTGCTTGTTCAATAACATTTTCTGTTATAAAAGTGGGGTGGGACAAAATGTGGTGGCTACTCCTATAATCCCAACACTTTGAGAGGCTGAGGCAGGAGGATCACTTGAGCCCAGGGGTTCAAGACCAACCTGGGCAACATGACAAGACTTTGTCTGTAAAAAAAATAAAATAGACGGATGTGGTGGCACATGCCTGTAGTCCCAGCCATTCAGGTGGAGGCTGAGTTGGGACGATTACTTGAGCCCAGGAAGTCAAGGCTGCAGTGAGCTATGGAGTGCCACTGCACTCCAGCCTGGGCGACGGAGTGAGACCTAGTCTCACACACACACAAAAGCACACCACAACGATTCGGAAAAGATAAATAGAGGATCTCACTCTGTTGCCCAGGCTAGTCTTGCACTCCTGGACTTAAGCGATCCTCCCACCTTGGCCTCCCAAAGTATTGGAATTACAGGCCTAAGCCACACCTGCCCTGTTTTGGGGTTTTAGTATTTACTTTTTATTCTATCCTCTTTCAGAAATAGTTAGACCCTGTCTCTTCTGAAAAGCAAAAAAGTTTAAAAATTATCTGGATGTGGGGCTGGGCACTGTGGCTCACGCCTGTAATCCCAGCACTTTGGGAGGCTGAGGCGGGCAGATCACGAGGTCAGGAGATTGAGACCAGCCTGGCTAACACGGTGAAACCCTGTCTCTACTAAAAAAAATACAAAAAATTAGCCAGGTGTGGTGGCGGGCGCCTGTAGTCCCAGCTACTCGGGAGGCTGAGGCAGGAGAATGGCGTGAACCCAGGAGGCAGAGCTTGCAATGAGCCAAGATCGCGCCACTGCACTCCAGCCTGGGCGACAGAGCAAGACTCCATCTCCAAAAATAAAAAATATATTATCTGGATGTGATGGCTTATGCCTGTAGTCCCAGCTACTCCATAGGCTGAGGCAAAAAGGATCACTTGAGCCCACCCAGCAGTTCAGGCTGCATTAAGCTCTGGTCGCACCACTGCACTCCAGCCTGGGTGACAGAGCAAGACCCTATCTCTAAAATTAAAAAAATTCTATGGCAGGATAAAAGTAGATGCATAGATCATGGTGCAGGTAAGCTGGGGTAGAATGTAAAATGAAGCCAAGCAGTCAGTATCCAGAAATGTAAACCTGAATCTCTCTGTACATTGAATAAAGGTATATTCCAGTGTAAGATTAAGCAGGGAAGATCATCAGTTCCAAAATGCATAGTGTTCTTAAGTTAAAATAGCAATTGTGTGGATTTCCCTGGCACTCAGATACAGGAGACACTATTAGATGATATCCTCGACAACATCCCCATACAAAATACCCTTTTATGGTCCCTCAAGTAGTTTTAAAGTATCCTGTTATCTTAGCACTGTTTTTGACATTTGAAAATGCAAAATATGGCCAGGCACATTGGCTCATGCCTGTAATCCCAGCACTTTGGGAGGCTGGGCCAGGGGGATCACTTGATCCCAAGAGTTTGGGACCACCCTGGGCAACACAGTGAGACCCTGTCTCATATATGTGTGTGTGTGTGTGTGTGTGTGTGTGTGTGTGTGTATGTGTGTATGTATGTATATATGTATGTATATATATGTGTGTGTGTGTGTATATATATATATATTTTTTTTTTTAAAGGAAGAAGAGGAAATATGTGTATGTGAAACTCAGGATGAGGTCCCTGAAATGGTGCTTATCGGGTCAGAGGGTGTGCATCTGAGGTTAAGCTGGGAAGGCAGGGAGCTTTTGTTCTCCTTCTCATTCCGACAGCTGCAAGCCAAGCACTGGTGGCCAGTGCTGCAGGATAGGGCATCAGCTGCAGGATATGGCATGTTGGTCAAAATGCTGTTGGCATAAGTGAGAAAAATAACAATACTCCAAAATATGTCCCCAGTTTTATAAAAATGGACCCAAATTATAAATGATACAAGCAAATACAGAGAGTAATGGTCAAACCCATTTCACTACATTCAAAATGACTTAATTCTTAGAAGTTTTGGTGGGAGAATGTGGTGTAGAGCTCTGCACAAGCAGACATTGTGCTTTTGGGGCTTCAACATGACCACCCAATCACTGATGGGACTGTTTGAAATCTGTTTTGTTGGCTTTGGCATATAATAGCCATCTTTGGAAAACTGGTCTCTGTATGGAATATGGTCTTGTGTCACTGTATAAAAATGAGAACCCAAAAGAAGCTCTCACATGATTGGGTCAGAAAATTGCCCATAACTATTGCTAGGAAAGTTTTTGAAATCTCTGAATTCAATGTAATTGAATTTCTTTAGACACCTAGCCCTCTAGGTTGAAGGAAAACCAGTTTTTTAAACTTATCGTATACTTTTTTTTTCCTGTACTGTTTGTGTGTGGATTGCATTCATCATGCTCCTCTACCCCATAATACTTTTGTATTTCCTAAGAACAAAGATAGGTAGATGGCCTTAGTTGGTATTCGTATTATAGCAGTGGCATCCAAGCACCTCTGCCTTTGTGTATGTGTGAAATTGTCCTAAAGAATGCATTTCTGGTGTATTGACAGGCCTGAGACACCCCAACACACCTTCACAGTCCTGGAGCTAGCTTTCTCCATCTTGGCCCCAGGTATCTAAGAAAGTCCCACCACTTTGTGCTACAAAGATTCTCTCTCTCCCCCTCAGGATGTCATTTCAGTTGGGTACCTGGCTTATACCATATGTGTTTCATTGTGGCTGTTGAGGAAAGTTGATTAAACTGGGTGTTCCTGCCTGGAGTTGATTAGGATCTGGTTCACTCAAAAGTTGCTGCCTTGGGCTTGTGATACAAACACAGGTCAGGCTTATTAGCAAGCTCTAGCAGGCATGTGTGCAGTGAGACTGTGGGGTTTTGTCCACAGCAAGCTGTTCTTAGCCAGTGCTACAGGGAAAGCGAGAGCAGTAGTGAGCCTGGTTGTTAGGGTTAAAATAGGAGTCAGAGGACACTGGACTCTCCTGCTTCAGCCAGGACATAGTTCATTTATGGAAATGCCTAGATTAAGTCTTGTCGGACTTATGCAACAGCTTCTGTCAGGAAAGGAGTGAGATGTGCCCCTGTGCTGGAGGGAGTGTGGCTTAGCAGTGGCACAGCTCCCAAAACACATTTTAGCTGTCAATCAGATTTAGCATGTACTGAGTCTCTATTATGTATTAGGCAATAGAGACAGCATTTAGACATACTTTGCCTTGTTCATTTTTTTTTTTTTTTTTTTGACAGGGTCTTACTCTGTTGCCCAGGCTGGAATGCAGTGTCATAATCATAGCTCACTGCAGCCTTGAACTCCTGGGCTCCAGCCATCCTCCCACCTCAGCCTCCCAAGTAGCTGGGACCACAGGCATGCACCACCACACCTGGCTAATTGTTAAAAATTTTTGTAGAGATAGGATCTTGTTACATTTCCCAGGCTGGTCTCAAACTCCTGACCTCAAGCAGTCCTCCCACCTTGGCCTCCCAAAGTGCTGGGATTACAGACATGAACCACTGTACCTGGCCTGATTTGCTTTTTAACAATTTCAGGAAATGTGCAGTGGTTAAGAGTGTGAGTTAGAAAGAACTGGGTTCAAACTCCAGCCAGGCCATGTAAGCGTGGTGTGACCTCAAGCAGGAGAATAGAGGGAAAGGGCATGGGTTTCTGGGGACAGATCTGCCTCTGAATGGCTATGTCACTTCATCTCTTTACCTTGTAGGATTTTGTGGGGTAACATGAGCTGCCGTGGGGAAATCACCTGGGCCAGCACTTGATGTCTAATAAGTGCTCAGTAACTGTTGGCTTTGTTGTCTTGTATTTTCAAAACTCAGCTTTGTAGTTGAGGGAACGGAGGCTCAGGGAAGCCTGGAGATATACCTAGGGTTACACTTCTGACAAATGGCAGAGCTGGATCTCACCTATAGGTCTTTAGGCCTATTTTGTGTCTTCTACAGAGTCATGAGTGTGGCACAGTCCCCAAAACACGTTTTTTGTTTGTTTGGTTTGTTTTTTGTTTTTTGAGACGGCGTCTTGCTCTGTTGCCCAGGCTGGAATACAGTGGCGTGATTTTGGCTCACTGCAACCTCTACCTCCCGGGTTCAAGTGATTCTCCTGCCTCAGCCTCCCGAGTAGGTGGGACTACAGGCACCTGCCACCACACCCGGCTAATTTTTGTATTTTTAGTAGAGCCAGGGTTTCACCGTGTTTGCCAGACTGGTCTCAGGTGATCCACCCACCTCGGCCTCCCAAAGTGCTGGGATTACAGGCATGAGCCACCGCGCCCAGCCCCAAAACACATTTTAATTGTCAGTCAGATTCAGGTGAGCCTGAGTTGTATCCAGTTTCTGTCTTGGGTAGTCTGACCATAAACCTGGCGTTCATTTGTGGCACTAGAGGTTATGGTATTCTTCAGGGGAAGAAAAGGATTGGTAAGGACTTGGGAACTGGATGAAAATTTAATAACAGGCTGGGAGTGAGGAGCCTGGAGCAGAAGGTTTATGAGAAACTGGAGCCCTGTTGCCCCTGAAGGTAGAACAGGGATAGTGGGTAGAAGCTCTAGAAACCATTCCTCTAGAAACTGCTCATATACAACAGGGGCGGCCCCAGAGCATAGTTTTGTTTGTTTTATTTTTGAGAGGATCTTGCTCTGTGGCCCAGGCTAGGGTGCAGTGGCTCCATCACAGCTCCCTGCAGCCTCGACCTCCCAGAACCAAGTGATCCTTTCACCTCAGCTTCCCGAGTAGCTGGACTACAGGCACATGCCACCACACCCAGCTAATTTTTGTAGAGATGAGGTCTCACTGTGTTGCCCAGGCTGGTCTCAAACTCCTGGGCTCAAGTGATCCTCCCACCTTGACCTCCCAAAGTGTTGATATTACAGACATGAGCCACCACACCTGGCCCATAGTTGTTCTTTTCTGAGTGTTCAAGCAGAGGCTGGGTGGCCAGTTAGCACTTGAGGAAAAGAATGAATGAGTATAAGATGGCAGCTAGCCAGACAGAAATCTGCAGAGACAGCACATCTTTCTACAATAAGGGCTGACCCATTCTAAATAAATTATAGTTCTCTCTCTTCAGAAGGTTCATACAATAAGCTGCTTTTTCTGTAAATGTGGTGCTTGTTGAGGTTGATGCTGGCAGATTGGTATCACCCTCCCATGCCAAGCTGGTCTCACCTTCAGGCTCCCCATTTGTCCATCCTGCAGTCTATCCTTGTTGCCACATTTATCTTTCCTGAGTGCTGCCTTAACCCTATTGATCTTTCCTCTATCGACAAACTTGACTGACTCCTTTATCTGAAGTAACGACCCCGTCCAGTGTCATTATTCGACTGCTCTGGTCCTCACATCCTGTAGGCTCCTGCCCAAGTGCCTGCTCTTTTCCTTGTGCAAGCTCTTGCCTCATAACCCTCCAGTAATTTCAGGCCCTTTTTACAGGCCTTGTGGTACCACCTCCATTTCTCAGTCCCTAGTCACTCAACCTAGAGGGTTCTGTCTCACCTTCTAGAGTATGCACTCTGGAGGGTCAGAACCACATCTGGTATATACTTGTGACCTTCATGGTGCCTTTGAAATCTGAGTGCCAGGCAGTGCAGGGGAAGACAGTTTGGACCAGCAGTTTGAAGCTGTTTTCGTTAGGGTTTAGCACCTTCAAGAGCTCTTCACATCTTTGCTCAGCAGGCAGTGCAGCACAGCCAGGGCTCTGAAGCTAGGCCAGCTGGTTCGAATCTGGAGTTCCCTGCATTCCAGCTGTTTGACCTGGGATAACTGCTTTGGTTTTTTTAACATGTAAAGATGGGAGCACTCGGCTGGGCGCAGTGGCTCACACCTGTAATCCCAACACTTTGGGAGGCTGAAGCGGGCAGATCACCTGAGGTCAGGAGTTCGAGACCAGCCTGTCCAACCTGGTGAAACCCCACCTCTACTAAAAATACAAAATTAGCCGGGCATGGTGGCGCATGCCTGTAATCCCAGCTACTCAGGAGGCTGAGGCAGGAGAATCGCTTGAACCCGGGAGGCAGAGGTCACGGTTAGCCGAGATTGCACCATTGCACTTCAGCCTGGGCAACAAGAGTGAAACTCCATCTCAAAAAAAAAAGGGGGGGAGCACTCATACCCACGCTGAAGGTGTTGTGAGGACTGTTTAGGTAAAGTGCTCAGTGCAGTCCCTGGTGTACACAGTTAGTACCGATGATTGCTGGGTAATTCACCAGCTTTGTCACAATGTCAGTCTGCTTTTCTGGACTTCCCCCTCCCACCAGTCAAGGCCCTCCCCACCGCTGGTGCTGTTGACCGTTAACTTATTAGCTGGTGATTTCCTTCCAGATGTCCAACATCACAGTCACATACAGAGATGGCCGAGTGGCACAGCTGGAGCAGGTATACATCCGTGGCAGCAAAATCCGCTTTCTGATTTTGCCTGACATGCTGAAGAACGCACCCATGTTAAAGAGCATGAAAAATAAAAACCAAGGCTCAGGGGCTGGCCGAGGAAAAGCTGCTATTCTCAAGGCCCAAGGTAGGTGCTTTTCATGCACAGGTTTTAAAATATAGGTTTGTCTTGTGTCTTGTAGAAAGGGGCCCTATTACTGCCTGGAGACAGAGAGGGTTTGACCTCTGCTCTCTCCACACCCACCACCCACTGCCACCCCTTCCCCTTGCAGCGTGGAGTGATCCTGTGAGGCCATTATTTTATTTTTTTGAGACAGAGTCTCGCTTTGTCACCCAGGCTGGAGTGCGATGGTGTGATCTCAGCTCACTGCAACCTCTGCCTCCCAGGTTCAAGCAATTCTCCTGCCTCAGCCTTTCAAGTAGCTGAGATTACAGTGCGCACTGCCCTGCCTAGCTAATTTTTTTATTTTTAATTTATTTTTATTTTTATTTTATTTTTAATTTTTTTTAATTTTTTTATTTTTTTGAGATGGAGTCTCGCTCTGTCGCCCAGGCTGGAGTGCAGTGGCGTGATCTCGGCTCACTGCAACCTCCGCCTCCCGGGTTCAAGCAGTTCTCTGCCTCAGACTCCTAAGTAGCTGGGATTACAGGCACCCGCCACTGCGCCGGGCTACTTTTTGTATTTTTAGTAGAAACGGGGTTTCACCACCTTGGCTAGGCTGGTCTTGAACTCATGACCTTGTGATCCACCTGCCTCAGCCTCCCAAAGTGCTGGGATTACAGGCGTGAGCCACTGCGCCCGGCTTATTTTTATTTTATTTATTTATTTTTGTATTTTTAGTAGAGATGGGATTTCACCATGTTGGTCAGGCTGGTCTTGAAGTCCTGACCTCACATGATCCACCTGCCTCGGCCCCCTGAAATGCTGGGATTACCAGTGTGAGCCACCGCACCTGGAGAGGCCCATCTTTTCTAGAAGTTCTGTGTGAGAGGTGTGGGATCGCTTGCCCTTGTCTAGTTTGCCGAGCAGACACAGCCCGGAGCAGATGAGCTGACTCGAGTGTGAGGGCAGCATTTCCTAGCGAGACTGGGTCTTATGGATGGACACCAGCATGTACTTAGGGAGGTCTGATAGTGGAGCTCCGTTTTCAGAAATAAAGCCACCTTTTAGTACATTCCAAAAGTGGGACTGTCCTTTTCGCAGTCCCCTAGTCTGGTCTTGCTTCTTGGTTAGCCTAATTTGGTTTTATATTTAGGTTCATGAAAGTTCTGTCATGTTGATTAGACAACAAAGTAATTGTGGCCCTTGGAAACTGTCTTAGTGTTGGTAAAAAAGGTTTGCAGCCAAGGAAGGCACTGGATTCTTCATTGGTATCTTTAGCTGCTGTACATGTTTTATATGTGTGTGAGGAAAAAAGTCAAACTGTGTTTTTCCTCTGCTCTCACAACACAACAATCAACAAAGACTTCTGTGACCAAGCAAGCAGTCAGTTCTGCAGTAGACACCAGCTGGGTGTCCTTCAGTTCTGACACTATCTACCTGGAGATAGCCTGAAAAACCACAGGTTGAGGGCTCGGTCCCACAAGACAGCCCCTGCACCCCCCACTATTATTCATAAGCACAGGCCTCCAGAACATCTGAATGGCTTCAAGCCAGGGTTCTCACGTCTCACTCCTTGGGTTCGATTAATTTGCTGGAGTAGCTCACACAACTCGGGAATCACATACTTAAATTTACTGGTTTATAACAGGATATTTTATAGGCTACAAATAAACAGCCACATGAAGAGATGCATAGGGTGAGATCTGGAAGGGTCGCAAGCACAAGAGCTTCTAGCCCCATGGAGTTTCCTCCCGGCACATGGATGAGTTCTTGTTCACCTTCCTGTCAGGCTGCGCATGATCAGCTGTCCCGAAGCTCCCCTAACCCTGCCCTCTTGGGCCTTTTATGGAGACTTTATTGGATAGTCATGATTAAAGGATGGACAACCATGTGGAAATGCCATTAGACAAAATGGGTGTGATCTAACACTAATAGACGGGGTTGGGAAACCCCGCGAGGCCTGTCCAGATTCTTTTTGGCCTCTCTCTGCAGCATTTGTTCCTCCAGGGTATAGGGCAGGACCTTTCTCTGGAGTGAGGTCTTATGACCCACAATCAGATTAGGGTCCTGCCTTGGGCAGGTGAAAGGAGGGCAGGAGAAGTTTCAAGAGAGAGATTCTGTCTCCTGAGTCCTGCTTCTGAGGCCTAAAGTGCCCCAATGTTATAACAAAAGACTATAACAAGGACTATAGGAGTTACGAGCTGGGAACCATAGATGAAAGCTCAAGTTTAAAGATGTAATAGTGTGAGGGGCCGGGCGCAGTGGCCCATGCCTGTAATCCTAGCACTTTGGGAGGCCGAGGTGGGCAGATCACGAGGTCAGGAGTTCGAGACCAGCCTGGCCAACACAGTGAAACCCCGTCTCTACTAAAAATACAAAAATTAGCTGGGCATGGTGGCAGGTCCCTGTAGTCCCAGCTACTCGGGAGGCTGAGGCAGGAGAATCGCTTGAACCCAGGAGGTGGAGGTTGCAGTGAGCCGAAATCGTGCCACTGCACTCCAGCCTAGGTGACAGAGCTAGACTCCATCTCAAAAAAAAAGAATATTTTATTTGTTCTTCAAAGCCTGTCTTCTCCTAGAACCCCTGGGTTACAGAGGAGAACAGCAGTCTTATCATGCTATTTATATGGAGTGTGTTTTCTTTTTGCTACTATGAAATAATTCTTTTTTTTTTTTTTTTTTTTTGGAGACTGAGTCTCCATCACCCAGGCTGCAGTGCGGTGGCTTGATCTCAGCTCACTGCCACCTCCTCCAACTCCCAGGTTCAAGTGATTCTCTTGCCTCAGCCTCCCAAGTAACTGGGATTACAGGCGCATACCACCACGTGCAGCTAATTTTTGTGTGTTCAGTAGAGAAGGGGTTTTGCCATGTTGGCCAGTCTGGTCTCAAACTTATGACCTCAAGTGATCTGCCTGCCTTGGACTCGCAAAGCCCTGGGGTTACAGACATGAGCCACTGCACCCAGCCTGAAATAATTATTTTCTCAGAAAAAAATACAAAAGATAATATAACCCTTCTCCCAGATCTAACACATGTTAACACTTAACTATATTTGTTTCAGAATTGAAAAAATTAATTCAGTGCATCTATAATGTTTTTCAGCTCACCCAAGGCCAGCCCCAAGGATTTGTCTTTTCTGTAGCTCTCAGACCACCTTCTTTGCCCTCAGCATGCTGCCTCCCAGCCTCTTGTAGAGAGCAGTGTGGGACTGGAAGGCAAGAGTGTGCTGCTAGCTCCTGCTTTGATGCCAGTCCCCAGCCCCTGCCCCTCCGTCTCCATCCCCCCTGTTAAATGCAGTGGCTGTCAGCTGGACGTGTTGGCTTATGCTTGTAATCCTGACACTTTGGGAGGCCGAGGTGGGTGGATCACCTGAGGTCAGGAGTTTAAGACCAGCCTGGCCAACATGGTGAAACCCTGTCTCTACTAAAAATACAGGAAATTAGCCGGGCGTTGTGGTTCACGGCTGTAGTCCCAGCTACTCAAGTAGGAGGCTGAGACATGAGAATCGCCTAATCCCAGGAGGTGGAGATTGCAGTGAGCCGAGATCATGCCACTGCACTCCAGCCTGGGTGACAGAGTGGGACTCCGTCTCAAAAAATAAAAAAAAAAAAAGGCGGGAGGTGGAAATGCAATGGCCAGGGTGGTGTTGGACCAGGTAACCCTTCAGAACCCTTCTAACTGGTGTCCTAGGGCCCTGGCTACTCTGTGCTATGAGCATTCACCGACCACACTGACCTGGCCTCATATTTTCTCTTCCCTTTCAGTGGCCGCAAGAGGAAGAGGACGTGGAATGGGACGTGGAAACATCTTTCAAAAGCGAAGATAATTTTCTAAGTTGAACAGAACTTTGTCCTTTTTTCTTTCAGGTTATCTGAGTTCATTGGAGTGGGTGCTTGTGCATATATGCTAGGTATCTTTTGCCATCTTTCTCTTTAGATCAGGGGAAATGTTTAAGCTAAATAAATCTGGGGGGTTTTTTGTTCTGTTTTGTTTTGTTTTCTTTGAGAAAATAAGGACTTTGTGTTCATTTGAAGTTTGCTTTGGCTAAATTTTGACACCCTGGGGGATGTCCTGGGAGAATGCCAGTACTTTGAAATAGCACAGCTATTGATGAGATTTTAAGCTGCTGTTCCTGGCCAGTTGCAGGTTAAGCCCCAGAAAAGTTCACCTTGGAGAAGCTCCGAGAACACACAGATTGTGTCTCATTCATCTTCAGACACAGGCACATAGTGTGGCACTTTGTTCAGTTAACATTTGTGGAGCTGTCATCAGCTCAGCTTTAACAACACAGGTGACTCTTTCCCTTGATAAAGTCATAGGTAATTCAGGGGCTGGGTGCGGCGGCTCACGCATGTAATCCCAGCACTTTGGGAGGCCAAGGCGGGCGGATCACGAGGTCAGGAGTTCGAGACCAGCCTGGCCAATATGGTGAAACCTCGTGTGTACTAAAAATAAAAAAATTAGCCGGGTGCGGTGGCATGTACCTGTAGTCCCAGCTACTCGGGAGGCTGAGGCAGAAGATTCGCTTGAACCCAGGAGGTGGACATTGCAGTGAGCAGAGATCATGCCACTGTACTCCAGCTTGGGTGACAGAGCGAGACTGCACCTCAAAAAAAAAAAAGTAATTCAGGGGATCCTAGTGGCCAGCTTCCTTGGCTCGTATACTGGCTACAACAAGTAGTTTTGTGGTGATTTGTGGAAACAGATTCTTGGGAGCATATCAGAGCATCTCAGCATTGATTGGCACATCCATAGTTGTTAATGTAGGAAGGGTGACCAGCAGCTCAGCACAGTGGCTTGCTTCCAGCACTCTGGGAGGCTGAGGTAGAGGATTGTTTGAGAGGAGTTCAAAACCAGCCCGCGAGACATAGTGAGACCCTGTCTCTACAAAAAATTCTAAAAATTAACTTGGCATGGTGGTGCACACCTGTAGTCCTCGCTACTAGGGAGGCTGAGGTGGGAGGATCACTTGAGCCTGGGAGTATGAGGCTGCAGTGAGCTATGACCTTGCCACTGTACTCCAGCCTGGGCAAAAGAGCAAGACTTTGTCTTTAAAGAAAAATAAGTAGTAGTAAAGAGTATAAGATACACAGGGTGAATAATTGTGACAAAAACACAGAAACTGGAAAAGCAGCCTGAAAAAATCAAATCACCAAAAAGAGGTCTTGCCAGGTATTCATTATGGTATGAGCTACAGCATAAGCCATCAAGAGGAAAACTGATCAATTATTGGCTTTTAGAATATTGCTCATTGAACAGATTATTCAAGTAATGAAAGAGGAGGGGAAAAAAATCCAGCACATTAGTTAACCTGGCATCAATTAATGAGGTTCTAATAAGCTTTGTCTTATGATACTACCTGGAGGTTACAGAGCTGGTATTCTGAGGAATAAGCATCAGTGAGTTGGTCAGATACAATAGACGTTTAAAATAGGGCTTCAGGCCAAACATGGTGCCCCACGCCTATAATGCCAGCACTTTGGGAGGTCGAGGCGGGAGGATCACTTGAACCTAGGAGTTTGAGACTAGCCTGGGCTGTTAAGCTTTGTTAACCAAGACCGCATCTCTACAAAAAATTGAAAAGTAGCTGGGCACAGCTGATGCCTGCAGTCCCAGCTATCCTGGAGGTTGAGGCAGGACGACCACATGAGCCCAGGAGATTAAGGCTGCAGTGAGCTATAATTGCACCACTGCACTCCAGCCTGGATGACAGTGAGACCCTGTCTCTTAAATAAAAAACAAATGAAAGCAGTGGTTTTCAACATCAACTAAGGATCTTATTAGAAATGAAGACTGCAAGCCGCACACCTGGAGTGGGGCCCAGGAATCTGCATTTTAAACAATTCCCTGGTCCCCAGATAAGTAATTCTTAAGTATTCTATCTTAAGTAGACCTAAAGCCGTATTTTGACCCTGTACTAGTATGTTATTTTAGTATAATCATTACTGAATTCATCATACTTTTACAGTAAACAGTACTTACTTTGAATAATAACACATTACACTTAATAGTAGTGAACTGCATCCTCGATATCAAAAGCGACTTTTGATGTAGTTCACTCTGGACCCGTACAGGAACACCAGCCTTGCAGATTCTCCACGCAATGGAAACTGGCTATAACCCTACCTAGATCTGAAAAGTGAAGGGGGATCAACCTAAAATATGTAGCTTTGTAAACAGTTTTATATCCTGCATCTTAGGGGGGAAAATCAGTTGACGCAGATTGAAAACAAGTTGTTCCATAAGGTTTATTATGAAAAACAGTAGCCCTCCTACCCTGCCTTTACCCCACTTTCCTTGCCTCACAGTAGTCTGTCCAACTCTTGGCTGATTTGTTTGTATTTACCTCCATGTCTCAATATGAACATGTTTTCATGACTATTCCTTGATGGTTTTTTGTTTGCTTGTTTTAAGACGGTCTCACTCTTCCCCAGGCGGGAGTGCAATGGCACAATCATGGCTCACTGCAGCCTCAACCTTCTCGGGCTCAGGTGATTCTCCCACCTCAGCCTCCTGAGTAGCTAGAAATACTGGTGCACACCACCATGCCTAGCTAATTTTTGTATTTTTTGTAGAGACAGGGTTTTGCCATGTTGCCCAAGCTGGTCTTGAACTCCGGGGCTCAAGTGATCTGCCCGCCTCGGCCTGCTGGGATTATAGGTGTGAGCCACTGCACCCGGCCACCATTATCTTTTGAATCCTCTCTTCCTCCTGCCCACCATGAATTTACTTCCTCTCACCCATCTCCCTGATATTGTAATTCTGGTTAGATCATATTCAGTGTCAAATTATTAAGATGTGATTAAACTTTTTAAAAATATGACAGTGTCATAGTGATCACAGCTGAGTCATACAATAGACTAGATTACTGTGGAACTTTTCCCTGAAAGTAATCCTCTTGCATTTTTATTTGCTTGGTTTTCTATTTGTCACTAATTCAACCCCAATCATATCTGAAGATCATGACATCATTTATCAGTTATTATTCTTGACCCACCCCAATCTGGACTGGTTTCTCCCCGTGCTTGGTGTGTCACTGTCACCCTGGGCACTCCCCACACTGCTCCTCTGTTGGATCTCTGTTTTCTGTGTAACCTCTTCTTTTATCACCTTATTTTGGGGGAGTATCTGCATGTCTAAAAATGTGCTCACACTTGATTTGATTGGGTATGAAATTCTATGTTGGAATTAGTGCCGGGCGCAGTGGCTCATTCCTGTAATCCCAGCACTTTGGGAGGCCGAGGTGGGTGGATCACACAGTCAGGAGATCGAGACCATCCTGGCTAACACGCTGAAACCCCGTCTCTACTAAAAATACAAAAAAATTAGCTGGGCGTGGTGGCGGGCACCTGTGGTCCCAGCTACTCGGGAGGCTGAGGCAGGAGAATGGCATGAACCCGGGAGGTGGAGCCTGCAGTGAGCCGAGATTGCACCACTGCACTCCAGCCTGGGTGACAGAGTGAGACTCCGTCTCAAAAAAAAAAAAAAAAAAAAAAAAAAGGAATTAGTATCCTTCAGAATTTTGAAGTTATGGCTACTTTGTCATCTAGCATTGCTGTAGAGAAGTCTGAAGTGATTTTGAGTCCAGATCTTTTTTTTTTTTTTTGAGACGGAGTCTCGCTCTGTCTCCCAGGCTGGAGTGCAGTGGTGCGATCTCGGCTTACTGCAAGCTCCGCCTCACAGGTTCATGCCATTCTCCTGCCTCAGCCTCCCGAGTAGCTGGGACCACAGGCGCCCGCCACCACGCCCAGCTAATTTTTTTGTATTTTTAGTAGAGACGGGGTTTCAGCGTGTTAGCCAGGATGGTCTCGATCTCCTGACTGTGTGATCCACCCACCTCGGCCTCCCAAAGTGCTGGGATTACAGGCGTGAGCCACCGCACCCGGCCAGAGTCCAGATCCTTTTTATATGACTTTTTTTTTTTTCCCTTCTGTTATCAGTGTTCCAAAATTTCAGAATGACGTATTAATACCTGCCTTGGCGAAGGTCTGTTTCCATGCCAGGCCCCTTTCCGAGTGAACTCTTGTCCTTAATTTCTGGGAAACTTTCTTGAATTCATTCTCAGTGATTTTCTTCCTTAGGTTGTCTGTGGTTTTTCTTTTTCTTTTTTTTTTTAAAGACTGAGTTTCACGCTTGTTGCCCAGGCTGGAGTGAAATGGTGCCATCTCGGCTCACTGCAACCTTTGCCTCCGGTGTTCAAGCAATTCTCCTGCCTCAGCCTCCCAAGTAACTGGGATTACAGGCACCTGCCCCAACACCCGGCTAATTTTTTGTATTTTTAGTAGAGGCAGATTTTCACCATGTTGGTCAGGCTGGTCTCAAACTCGTGACCTCGGGTGATCCACCTGCCTTGGCCTCCCAAAGTGCTGGGATTACAGGCGTGAGCCACCAGGCCCGGCTGTCTGTGGTTTTTCTTTCTGGAATTTCTGTTACTCAGATGGTGGACCCAGAATTACCTCTCCTCCCTGTGTGCCCCAACCCCAATTTTCTTTTCTTTTGATCATAATTTATGGAGGATTACTCCAAGTTGATTCTCTGATTGTTCCTTTATATACGTAGATATATAGGGACAGTACCTTGTTCCTTGTTGCAACATCTTTGAGGATATTAATATGCTCTGTAGAAGCTTTCATCTCCCTGCATATGTCTTTCTGCTTTCTGTTCTTCAATTTAATCTTTCATGTTACAGACTTTCTTTAGCTGCCTGGCAATCGTTGGTAATCTTGCTTATATTTAAGAGTGGAGTATTAAAAAGAATATGTGATTGTAAGGTGATCTCATTGAGCTTCTTTGGGGAAATCCCCAGTGTCCATACTTCTAGAACTTTGCTCCAGGCTGGACAGGTTCTCTTGGAGAAACTTTTGGTTTCACATCAGGAGGGTTTACTCTGAGCTGCTGGATTGAGAGCTCTGTTGGGGAAGAGGGTGAGAATTTCAGCATTCTAGTATGTCCACATTCAGTTCCTTCATCCAGGTCTCTGGGAGGGCTCCTAGTCCAGAAACCTTCTAACCCCCTCTGGAGAATAAGCTTCCAACTTTTTTGCCAAGATTGGGGAAGTCAGGTCATGTGGAAATATGAATGTTTCAGCATGCTTTTGCTTTTTTTCTTTGAAAATATATTACTTTAAAATGAAGAATAAGACTGGGGGTGGTGGCTTATGCCTGTAATCCCAGCACTTTGGGAGGCTGAGGTGGGCAGATCACCTGAAGTCAGGCATTCAAGACCAGCCTGGCCAACATGACAAAACCGTGTCTCTACTAAAAATACAAAAATTAGCTGGGTGTGGTGGCACATGCCTGTAATCTCAGTTACTGGGGAGGCTGAGGCAGGAGAATCGCTTGAACCCAGGAGGTGGAGGTTGCATTGAGCTGAGATCGCACCACTGCACACCAGCCTGGGCAACAGAGCGGGACTCTGTCTCAAAAAGAAAAAAAAAAGAATAACTCAGATTTAAAGAAGATATAGACTAAAGGATGATGTCATAAAGGTAATTAGACCAGTATTTAACATGAATTCTGAGCAGGACACGGTGGCTCACGCCTGTAATCCCAGCACTTTGGGAGGCCGAGGCAGGTGGATCACGAGGTCAGGAGTTCGAGACCAGCCTGGCCAAGATGGTGAAACCCCATCTCTACTAAAAATACAAAAATTAGCCAGGTGTTGGGGCGGGTGCCTGTAATCCCAGCTACTCAGGAGGCTGAGGCAGAGAATTGCTTTAACCCAGGAGGCGGAGCTTACAGTGAGCCGAGATTGTGCCACTGCACTCCAGCCTGGGTGACAGAGCAAGACTCCATCTCAAAAAGAAAAAGAAAAACCAAAAACATGAATTCTGGTTCTGAGTGCCACCGTGACCACCTCTCCCAGCCTCTGGTTGGTTATCTGTACAAGGGTGGATGTGGACTCACTTGATTCACTGATACTATCCCAGCTTCTACACTGGTAGAACCATAACCTTAAAAAACAATCAAAGCATACAGGAGTTTTTCTGCCACTAGCCAAGATGAAAGTAATTGATTTATCATTGTGTCTGAAAAAACACACACAAAATAATATGAAACAATGGTTTTCAAGACATCAGACATTGAAGGAGACTAATCCCTGAGAAACGAGAAATAAATAAGGGGAGTTGTACAATTGCCCCAGCTCACTGCTTACAAGAGTCTCCAAGCTGTGGCACAGGGAAGGGGACTGAAGCTGACCTACCAGCCTGCCTGCATTGAGAAACGAGAGCTAAGAGTTCAGAGAAGCCACCAAGGCAGCTAGGACTATAGGACAGAATGTCAAGAGAAGAAAGCCACACAGAGAACCCAAGAGATCTGCAGCGGGTTGCTTTTGAACATTCAGCAGAATACTGATGAGCACACCGATGTGAGGAAGTTAACAGGCTGGGGAAGACCCATAAAGAATTGGAACAGTGCTTGGCGTCATGCTAGGCTGAGACTAAACATTTTCCTATCAGTCAGACAAGAAATTCACAGGATATGGAGTACAGTGTTGTTTTAAGATGTACCATATCTGATTTTGTTTTAATCAGGTATGGTAAGACCCAGAGACAGCTGCCTTGAAAGAATGTATTACAGTTCTCAAAGAAGGGGGCAAACCACGTTACGTGGGCCATATGGGGAGACACCAGCCTGAGTCAGGAGGCAGAAGGAGCAATGGCAGAGCAAGACCCAGAGCCTTCATTGTAGTTTTCTCATGAAGGAATGAGTGAGGCAGAGTAGGCAAGTTTGAGCAAGTTTAGGATTGGATAGTCTGAATAATTTTCAACTGGGTTATAAGTGGTCTCTGTAAAGTACCTTGCCCTGAGGTGATTGAGGGTAAAGGAAATACTGGCTTAGTGTATGAGAGTTAGATAAAGGAGGCAGTTTTGGGTGTGGACTTTGGATTGTTTGGTTTGTACATGAAAGACACGCTGCCAGCAAGTTGTTTACTATCTCTAGGAATTAGCTAACCCTGGGAGGAGCATCCTTCAGGATTAGCAAGGCCCAAGATACCAAAGCATCATAAAACAGAAAACAAAAGGCATGATTAATACAAATATCCAGGAAGGCCTTGCCTGGTAAATGAGGAATAATTAGCCCAAGACTGAGCGCTGGACCTGAATAACAAGTCATAAAAACAACACATTAAAACATGAAACTGTTTTTCCGGACCAATTAAATATATCCAAGAATAAGACTCAAAAAGATTTATAGGAATATAAAAATGTCCAGTACCCCACACAGTAAAATTCACTGTCTGGCTCCAGTCAGAGATTGCTAGGCATGCAAAGATGCAGGAAAGCACAGCACATAATGAGATTAAGAGATCCAAAACTACACAGATGTTAGAATTAGCAAAGAAGGACATTAAAAGTTATAACTGTGTATTTCAAAAGCTGAGCAGATTTTAAAAGAAGACTCCCTGATTTCAAGAATTACTATAGAGCTGTACTCATCAAAACAGCATGGTATTTCATCAAGTTAAGCAAATAGATCAAAGGAACAGAGTCTGAAAACAAATCCACACATGTATACAAAATGAGTTTTTTCAAAGCCACAAAGGTAATGCACTGGAGAAAGGATAGCATTTTCAACAAATGGTGCCAGAACAATTGGATATCTGTATGGAAAAATCCCTCAAAACTTGGGTCTATACCTCATGCCATACAAAAAAATTAATTCCAAATGGATCATCCACTTAAAACTATAAAACTTCTAGAAGAAATGTAACCCTAAACCTTGGGTTAAGCAAAAATTCAGATATAATACCAAAAGTACTATCCATGAAAGACCAAACTAATATATTAGACCACCAAAATAAAAAACTGCTTTCCAATGACACTGTTAAAAGACTAACCACGAAATTTTGGCAAAGCTAAGTCTAATAAAAAATGTGTATCCAGAATATATAAAGAATTTGTGGCCAGGCACCGTGGCTCACGCCTGTAATCCCAGCACTTTGGGAGGCCGAGGCCAGATCACCTGAGGTCAGGAGCTCGAGACCAGCAACATGGAGAAACCCCGTTTCTAGTAAAAATACAAAATTAGCCCAGTGTGGTGGCACATACCTGTAACCCCAGCTACTCAGGAAGGCTGAGGCAGGAGAATCGCTTGAACCCAGGAGGCGGAGGTTGCGGTGAGCCGAGATCGTGCCATTGCACTCCAGCCTGGGCAACAAGAGCAAAACTCTGTCTCAAAAAATAAAGAATTTGCAAAGCTCAATAATAAGACATGGGGAAAAAATTTGAACAGACTTGAGAAGATACAGATGGCAAACATGCACATTAAAACATGTTCAACATCATTAGTCATTAGGGAAATGCCCAAGTTAAAGCCAGAGAGATATTGCTACACACCCAGAAGAATGGCTAATGTTTAAAAAACTCACCATGCTATGTGCTGTTGAATATGTAAAGCAACAAGAACTCCCAAACACTGCTGATGGGGATGTAAAACTGCACCACCACTTTGGAAAACAGTTTGACAGTTTCTTAAGACATTAAAAATACATCTACCTTATGATCCCCACATTCCATTCCTAGGTATTTACCCAAGAGAAAAGGAAATATATGTCCATGCAAAAACTTATACATGAATTTTCATAGCAGCTTTATTTGTAATAGCCAAAAACTGGAAACAACTCAAACATCCATCAACAGATGAATGGATAAATTGTGGCACACCGTCCAGTGCAATACTCGGCAATAAAAAGGAACTACTGGTACACGTGAGTGAGTCTCTAAATAATTGTGCTAAGTGAAAAGCCATATAGAAGAGAGTACATCCGGCTGGGTGTGGTGGCTCATGCCTGTAATCCCAGCACTTTGGGAGGCTGAGGCAGGCAGATCACTTGAGATCAGGAGTTCAAGACCAACCTGGCCAACATGGTGAAACCCCATCTCTACTAAAAATACAAAAATTAGCTGGGCATGGTGGCATGCTCCTGTAGTCCCAGATACCTGGGAGGCTGAGGCAGGATAACTGCTTGAATCTGGGAGGGGGAGGTTGCAGTGAGCTGAGACTGCACTCCAGTATGGGTGACAAAGTGAGACTTCACCTAAAAAAAAAAAAAAAAAAGTATATCCTATATGATTCCATATATCCCCAAATCTCACAAATGCAAACTGTAAAAAACAAAGCAAATCAATGGTTGCTTTTGGATGTCAGTGGGCATGGAGAGGCGGGAGGGAGGGATTACCAAGAGGCATGACAAAACTTTCGGGGTGACAGGTACATTTACTATCTTGATTGTGATAGTGGCTTCATAGATGTATACATGTGCAAAATGTATCATATTGCACATTTTAATCTTGTGTAGTGCTCGGAATGTCTACTTTTTGTGTTTCAATTATACCTCAATGAAGGGTTATTTTAAAAAATAAAATATTTTTAAAAAACAAGCCGAGCGCAATGGCTCATGCCTGTAATCCCAGCACTTTGGGAAGCCAAGGCGGGCAGATCACAAGGTCAGGAGTTCAAGACCGGCCTGGCTAATATGGTGAAACCCTGTCTCTACTAAAAATACAAAAATTAGCCAGGCATGATAGCAGTCTCCTGTAGTCCCAGCTACTCGGGATCCTGAGGCAGGAGAATGCCTTGAACCTGGTGGGGCAGAGGTTGCAGTGAGCCAAGATCATGCCACTGCACTCCAGCCTGGGTGACAGAGTGAGACTCTGTCTCAAAAAAAAAAAAAAAAAAAAAAAAAGTTGTGCATAGTTGGAAAAGAAAATACTAGATTTCATGGGTGATTGGCAACTAGCTCTAAGTGGAACAAGTGCATTTTCCTTTCCTTCCAGGTCCCAGAGAAAAACCTCCATGCTGGGTTGATAGCAGCAGCTAGGATCAGTTGCCCAAGACTCTGGATTCTCGAGATGAAGACCGTCAGCAGAGGCTGATCTCTCCTGTGGGCTCATGTCCTAAAGCACCTTATTTGGGCTCAAATATCCTCCCTTTTAGGACAGAAAAGAAGTTCCCGAGTCTTGGTCATGTTGGGCCTGTGGAGCACATCATCTTTTCTACGTGTTTCCTTTTGATGTTCTCAGCATCCCTGCAAGATGTTCTCAGCATCCCTGCAAGGCAGGCTAAGGCATGAGGAGCTATAGGCCCAGGGAGCTGAAGGCAGATTCTAAGAGCTGGGTGTGGATGCTGCACCCCTGAGCCTGGGCCGCCTGGGTTTTGCTCAGTCTGGGAAGTACTTCCAAACCCACTCTTTGCTAGTCTTTTACAATCCTGCGGGAGGGCAAAGCCCAGATCATCATGGCTGCTTCCACCATGTAGCTGCAGATCAGGAAACTGAGGTCCAGGGAGGTCCTTACTGGCTTTGCTCCAGGGACAACGAGGCTTGAGGTCTGTTCCCCACAGGAGGACCATGATGGTTCTCCTGCTTCAAATGGCCCCTTTGGAAGGGGCTTGCTCATTTAGGTGAATCCTGGGGCCGAGCAGCCCCAGTGATAGTCCCTGGGATGGCTGTAGGAGAGGGAGCAGCATGCAGGCGTTAACGTCACAGACTGGCACCAGGCCACCCGGGCTTACACTCTGGCTCCTCCAGTTCCTGGCTCTTTGAACTTGGACAAGTAATCCCCTTTCTTTATTTTTTGTTTTTTTGAGACAGTCTCGCTCCGTCACCCAGGCTGGAGTGCAATGGCACAATCTCGGCTCACTGCAACCTCTGCCCACCAGGTTCAAGCAATTCTCCTGCCTCAGCCTCCCAAGTAGCTGGGATTACAGGCACCCACCACCACGCCTGACTAATTTTTTTTTTTTTTTTTTAGTAGAGATGGGGTTTTGCCATGTTGGCCAGCCTGGTCTTGAACTTCTGACCTCCACCCGCCTCGGCCTCCCAAAGTGCTGGGACTACAGGCATGAGCCACGCCGCCTGGCCAACAAGTCCCCTTAACCTCTTTCTGCCTCAGTCGACTCACCTGGAAAACAGAGCACCTACCTCCTTCAAATGAGAAGAGAAGTAAAGGAGTATAAGGCCATCAGAACAGTACCTGGCCCAAGGGAGGCTATGGAAGTGCTTGTTGAATAAAAAAATGGCTTCATCTCTGGCCTAGCCCCAAAGGTTTGAGTTCCTGCCATTGCCACCCAGACAGCCCTGGGTGGAGGCCCTGCTGACATTGAAGAGTGCCTGCCCTCCTCCCCTCAATGCGGTAGACACTTTCCAAAACTTACGTCATCCTCACTCTCACTCCAGTGGGATAATGGGAGGCTTGGTGTACCTCATTCCCAAGATGAGGGAACAGGCTCTGAGAGGACCACATCGCCAGCAAGTGACAGGCTGGGACCAAGGCCAGGCCTGTCTGCCTCCTAGACTAGGCCTGAGTGAGGACCGGCCTGAGTACGGCCCACCTGCTTCCTCCTCCGTTTAGAGCTTGGGCTGGAGCTGTCCTGGCCAGTGCTCTCTGCCTCACCAGGCTGCATGAGCCACAAGCTGCCACTTGTGGAGCTCGGTGGCCCTGCCCTCGACAGCCTTGCTGGTGGTCGTGAAGGCTCTAAACACCTGCATGGCAATGAGGCCAACCTTCTCCGCTTGATCCGTTTCAGGCTCTGGCTCCGCTACTGCATCGTGTGCTTCTGTCCAAGAGGCAGAGAGACTGAAACTATCTGCTGCCGCCTGGATTCTCCCAGAGATTGCCTGGAACACCAGCTCGGGTCCTCGCACACCATCCTGGTAGGAATCTCTCAGTGACAATTGAGAGTTTGTGGGCTGGCTTAGGGCCAGTGGTGGGCAGGGAGTCAGCAGGGCGCAAGGGACTGGAGAGCTTGGCATTTCTCCAACAGGAGTTTCAGGGAGAGCTCAGAGGCCTGCTTATGTGACAGGTTTATCAGCTTGCCTGGCCCAGGGCCGGCTCTCATACCGTTTTGATTTAAATAATAGATTGCTCACAGAATAAATGTATGTTGGTTTAAGCTTTCACTTTCTCATAATCCTCTCTGCTGGCCCCTCCCACCATCTACCCCATTTTGCCTCACTCTGGGGAGCCTGAACACCCTGTTCCAGAGTAGGGGCATAGGGAAACACTTCTATGGCTTCTGAGCTGCTGGGCAGGGCCAGTCCCTAAAACAAGGAGAGCTGGGAGGGAGCTGGACCCCAGGATGGAGTGCTGAGAGCTGAAAGTCCTATTTAACAGAGGGGAGGGAGCAGAGATCCCAAAAAGGGAAAGGCCTGGCCAGGTCCCACAGCAAGTCAGGAGCAGAGCGGGCCTGAACTGTGAGATCTCCAATCTCTCCAAAGCCTTTGGGTAAGAAGTCCGCCTAAAGCAGTGAGATCAGTGGGGTCTGAGGAAAATCCTTTTCCTCACTGCCTCCATCCCAGTCCTGGGACCCAACACCATCCTGTCCTCACCCTCCTTGGCCATCTCCTTTTGCCCTGAGAAGCTGTTATGCATCCAGCCAGACTGGGAATGTGCTGGAATCCATGCACCACAGGGGATGGATGCGCCGCTTACAGTCCCTGTGGGCCATGGCTGTGAGGGAAAGTCAGAGCTGGTGGCTGGGGTGTGTAGGCCCAGGAGGACCCCTGCCTCCTCCTTAGCCTTGGAGCCCCCCTCTGCTGCTGAGTCTTTCCTCATCTAGCAGGGCCCCACTGCCCCCAGACCTTACCTCCTGGCTTAGCACATGACTTCCCCACTCTGGGCCTCAGTATCCCCCCGGACATCTCTAAATTCCTTTCCCGCCTGCCCTGCCTGTCTTCTGGTTGGGCTGAACTGTAACTCCCCACACAGGGCTGAGGGTGACTGTGGCATTAGGCTTCTGGCTGGGAGCCCACCCTGATGGTGCTTGGGGAGGAAGGGAGACACTTCCCCCTGCCAAGGGCAGCCCTAGGACTACTCTGCCCCCAAGGCCCCCTGCTGCTGGTGATGCGCACCTCCACCCGCTGCATGCTCTCCCACACGGGGACTCCCACACGGGGACCCCCAGGGCCTGGAGGGAACACACAAGCACTTTGTCTCTGGCTTGCTGTCTCCTAACCCCACAGAGCTGCCCCTCGCCAAGTACAAGAGGCCTGGGGCTGGGTCCTGAGGGTGGCAAGCAGCACTGTACCCTGTGGGAGGCAGGCACCAAGTCCTCTCACTTAGTCGGCTGTGGCCCCTGCCTCTGGTCTGTGCAGCCTTGTCCCCTGCCCAGAGGGCTGTGGTGGTGAGGCTGGCAGCCTGGGCTCAGACGTGAGCTTGCTGTGGGGCTCCATGTAGAGCTTTGCTCCTCCTGGGGCTCCCGACCCGCTCCTTCGCAGCTCCCCTTCTCAAGGAGCCCAAGCCCTGCCCAGATGTGAGGGCCCGCTCCCTGGAGGCCTCCTCTAACTCTCCAGCCCACAGGGATGGACCCAGGACCCCCACATCTTAGACTCCATGGGGGACTTGCCCAAAGAGCACCTGGGGGAAGGTCAGTGTGACCTTTGTCCCACCCTTTTGGATAGACACAGCCACCCTTTCTCCCCACCCCAGCAGCAGGGCTGTTGCTCAGTGACCCTGAGGTTGGTGATGCAGAAAAGCAGAGGCGGGTGTCACTCTTTATTGCGGGGTCCACACTGTGGGTGCTGGGGCCCCTCCCACTGAGGGAAGGCTGAGCCTCTAGCCAGGGCTGGCCACCTGGCCACCTATGAGTCCATTCTTCTGTCCCCTTAATCTCAGGCTGAGCATTTACACTGGATTTCTGGGGGCCTGTGAGTCCTCCTTGACCTTCATCGCCCACTATCATGTGCTTGAGAGCATCACAAGTCAGTAGCAATGAGCCAGGTGGGTGGTGGGTCACCTGGCACAGCAGGCCTGGGGCTCGGGTCCCAGCCCAGCAGCTGTGGAGTCCCAGGTGGAGGCAGGGGTGGTGGCCCCGGCCGCACTGCCCTCAGGCTCAAGGTCCAGGCCCTCGTAGATGGTGGGGAGTGAGGTGCGCTGGCTCAGCCGCCGGCGCAGGCCGACCAGCAGGGGCTGGGGCAGGGAAGCCACATCCACGTTGTTGCCCAGGTCCACCCAAGCCAAAGCAGGGAACTTGGTGGTGTCCTTGATGGCATCAGTGAGCTTGCGGGCAGTGGCCCGCGTCAGTCGGTTGCCGTTGAGCAGGAGCTGGGTGAGGCGGGGCAGCGCCCACAGGCTGGGCAGCAGGAGGTGCAGCAGCTCATCACTCAGCCCCGTGAAGCTCAGGTCCAGCACCGCCAGCACAGCACCATGGCTGCTCAGGTAGCGTGTGATGTGTTGCACGTCCTGTGTCGACAGCGGGATGCCTGAGAGGTCCACAGTCTCCCCTGCCAGCAGAGTCTTCTGGAGGCTGCTCTTGAGGCTATGGGAGAGTGGCAGGTGGGGATGGACTAGGCAACCAGGCAGTCCCCCCACTGACCACAGACAGTGACCTGTCGGGAACAGCCCAGGCCTACAGTCTGGCAAAGCCAGATTCAAACTGTGTCTTTCGTATTTTTTGAGACAAAGTTTCGCTCTTTTTGTCCAGGCTGGAGTGCAGTGGCACAATCTCGGCTTACGGCAACCTCTGCCTCCCGGATTCAAGCGATTCTCCTGCTTCAGCCTCCCAAGTAGCTGGGATTAAAGGCATGTGCCACCACGCCTGGCTAATTTTGTATTTTTAGTAGAGGCGGGGTTTCTCCATCTTTGTCAGGCTGGTCTCGAACTCCTGACCTCAGGTGATCTGACCGCCTCAGCCTCCCAAAGTGCTGGGATTACAGGCGTGAGCCACTGCGCCCGGGCCCAAACTGTCACTTTCTAAGTGGGTGGCCATGGGCAATGCTCAGAGGCTCAGTTTCCCCTTTGGTGAAAATGGGACGTGGTTGTTGTGAGGATTAAATGCACACACAGTAAGGCTCTTTCTTCATGAACTATTATTTGAAATCTCACTGTGTGCCCAGCATCCCACACCTGTTTTATTGACATCTCACTTATTTTTCAGATAGGTGAAGTAACTCTTCCATGGCCACACACCACTAAGCGGGGAACCAGGTCCTCAAACTGAGATGCTCTGACTCTTGAGCCCACATGTTTTTTTCCCTGTGCCCCTTCTGATGTCGATTCTTTTAGGGTAGGGAGAAATTCTCCTACAAAGGGACGGCTATTAGGCTGTACAGGGCACCGGGGATAGAGAGGGACAGGCCCACAGTAGTGAAAGGGGAGGTCCTGGGTGTGCAGGCTGGGGGCCGGCCATGAGGGAGGGCTCCCCGTGTTTTCTCAGTTAGAAGGGAAGTTCAGAGACTGAGAAGGACCCCCGCCCCCACCAACCCTCTAGGTCTCTCCCCAGTTATCTGAACAGAGCCCACTAGGCAGACAGGCCTTTTGGGGGACTGACAGCAGTGAGCACACCCTCAGGACCCCCACCAGCCATGGCAGGGAACAACCTTGTGGGGTCCAAGCTCAGCGTGGCCTATTAGGCCCAAGGTGGGACAGGGGTGGAGGGCAGACAGGGGAGGCCTGCTAGGGTAAGCTCCCGGCAGCAGTTCAGGCCTCTGGGCCTGGGTGCCTGTGGCCAGCTCTGGACTGAGCCTGTGTGTGAGGCTCCATGGATGGAGTCACTCCAGGATGGAGTGTCTGAGAGGGACCCATGGCAGAGGGAGCTATTGGGCAGCCACGGAAGCCTCAGTTTTAGGCAGCCTGGCAGTGGCAAAGAATTCCCAACAAGGTACAGGAAAATCAGGGTAGAGTGTGGCCTTAGGCAAGCCACTTCTCCGAACCTGTTTCCTTCCCTCTAAAATGAGAATCGCGATCCAGAATCTGCCTCCCCCGCAACCTGTTGGGAAGTCTCAGCTGAAGATGCCTACTGAGGTCACCTTGGCTGTTGGGTGGAGGGGTGGGGTGTCCAGGCCGTGTAACAGACCAGGGATTGAGGGATGTATGAATGGCAGGAGGCAGGACCGTCCTGTGGGAAATGCCAAACGGGTCACTCAGAGGGTGCAGCTTGGCTTGGGGAGCATCTGCTACCACGGGCCAGGCTGACTTCCAGGGTAGGGCCCTCATGCGGACCAGGTGAGGGCCTCACCAGGTGGGATTTCAGCACCAGCCTCTTGGTGAGAGTGCAGGTGTCAACCTGAGAAGGGACCTTGGAGCAGCAGTGAGGAGGGGCAGTGGCTGGGCTACCCTTACCAGCTCTGGGTCTTCCTCTGGCGCAGGCTGGACCCTTGCTGCTGCTTCGAGTGAGGGGTGAGGTGGTAGATGAGCTGTCGGCAGATCTTGTCCGAGGACTTCCAGAGCTCATAGTCCTGTGGGAGGGCAGTGTCACCATGGTGAATCTGAGCCCCTCCTGCCCACCTCAGGGCCTTGGGGAGAGGGACCCAGGCAGCCAAGTGTGTGTGTGAGCACAGTCATGCACCATGCATCACCGAGTTGCCCACCAGGGCCTCCCCCTCCTACCCCCCAACCCGGCTGTGGCCTGGCACAGAGCCAGGGGAGGCTGCCCTCTGGGAGCTGGACAGGCTGGTCCAGTCCCGCAGTGCCCGGCGGGAGGAAGCCCAGACAATGAGCCCTTGTTCCCTGTCCTCGGGCCCAGGGCCAGCGTCTCGGGCTATCAGCCGGCTGCCTGCCCACCCTCAGCACCCTTCGGGGACTTGCCACAGGGGGAGGAGGCCAGACCAGGCCCCTCGAGGGAGCCGTGCTCCACTGACGCCAATCCCAGGGAGTAGGAACAAGCCAGGTCAGCGTGTTCTTCTTCCTCTCACTCTCCAAGCGAGACTGCGCCTGCGGGGTCTGGGTCTGGGCTGACAGGGCTGGGGGATGTAATGTTTTACAGCACCACCACCTGGCTCTCTCTCAGTCCTAACTGGGCTCCGGCAGAGGCCCAGCTCAGGGTGGAATCCGAGGTGCGCGGCCCACAAAGCTGGCACTGAGCATGCTCCACTGCATCCTTTATCCAGTCCCTCTGTGAGCAGCCCCAGGAGCAGGCAGCACACACAGCAGCTGCAAGCCCTGGCTGTTCCTGTGATGGCCGTGGGCTAGGCGCAGAGTCCTAGGGGCCGACTGTGCAGAGACCTGGGCATTCAGAGCTGGCAGGGCCCAGAGCGGATACCCTGGTTTTGGTTGGGGACTCACTGTGACTAGGAGTCTGGGTCCGGTGGCTGGTCACAGCCACACATCCTGGGGCTGTGTCGATGCTCATGGCAGGACATCTGCAGGTGCTGTCAGCATGGGGTTCTGGGCAGCTGTGGGGTGGAGGCTGCAGGTGGCAAACTCCACCCCAGCAAGGAGGAGGGCCTTGCTTATGACCCCAGCTGTTGTAGGGGAAAGCAGTGAGCACCCGTCCGCAAGGGTGTCTGTACAGGATGGAGACCTGCGGACAGACGGGGGCTCTAGCCGAGAGCGGCTCTCTTCTGGCCCAGGAATTCAGAGGCTAGGAGTTTGTTTCCGTTGGTGGATTTCTCAGAACAGTCTGTGACCCGCAGGGTCCCCATATGACTTCTGCCCAGCTATAGTCTTCCTGGTCTGGGCCCCCAGGCCTGGTGCACAGTGCTGCCACACAGAAAATGGGTCTGCCCAGGACTCTGAGGGTCCTGCAAAGCACAGCTCACACTTGCTCTAGCTGGTGGCCAGCCTAATATACTGATGCTGGCAGCAGGTCTCAGACAGGGACAGTGACTTGCCTAAGGCCACACAGCAAGCCGCAGAAGGACCTAGCCTCCCAGTCCCCAGCCCTGGGCTCTGTTGGCCCCCCTGTCCACCACAGTGCCCAGCCCAGGGCCCGTGCCTGCCAGCCTCACCTTCTTGGGGCACTGCAGGTCCCGGGCCAGGTTCACAAGCAGGTCATGGGAGATGGGGTCGACCGGGTTGAGGAAGGCCACATCTCTGTAGAGGATATCAGGAAGGAGGGTCCTCTCAAGGCCCAGGTCCTGTGAGTGGTGAAGAGAGAGTTGAGTGAGCCCGTTGGGTCTCCCATCTCGAGGCACCACCCCAGCCAGCCAGATGCTGCTTATGCCCGTTCCTGTCTCTCCATCTCCTCCCTAAGGCTGGCTGGATTCTCCCCACAGGCGGCCATGGGCCAACAGTCCAGTGGCGGGTGGCCCCCTTCTTTTTTTGCTTATTTATTTTTTGAGACAGGGTCTCACCCTGTCACCCAGGCTGGAGTGCAGTGGCGTGATCTCAGTTCAGTGTAACATCTGCCTCCTCAAGGAATCCTCCCACTTCAGCCTCCTGAGGAGCTGGGGCTATAGACAGGCACCACTATGCTCAGCTAATTAAAAAAAAAATGTTTTGTAGAAATGGGGTCTCACTATGTTGCCCAGACTGGTCTCAAACTCCTGGGCTCAAGCGATCCTCCCAAAGTGCTGGGATTACAGGTGTGAGCCACTCAGCCTTGGAGGACCCTTTGGATAAGTAGAGGGGAGGGACATGGGAGCCCTCAGGGAAGTGGTAAGTGAATCCCAGAACCCTTAGACCAGTTCCCTTGAGGTAGTGTTGTGCTGTGACACTGCCTTCTCTGGGGTTAGGACTTGTCAGTGGGATTCTTTGGGGTCTTTCGTCTTATGGTGGGGGGGTTTGCTCTTCTTATGACCCCTCAAATTCCCCTGTCCCCCAGTGTTCCCTTCAGATCCTCTGCCTTCCCACCTATCCCTTGGTTTTCCTAAGCTGCGGCCAGCATCTGTTTGCGGACAGGTATGGATCCTTCCCTTGGGGGCGGACCTCTCTCTCAGATGTCTCAAAGGCATGCCACCCTGAAGCCAGCCTCACCACCCATGCCCCAGCTCAGTATAGGGCACCTCCATGACCATCTTCCCAGGCACTGGGGCCAGAAGCTCTGGAACCCCCCAGCACTCTTCCGTCCTCCTCTCTCCCCCAGCTCACCTAGTCATCCCTTCTCTCTCCCCACCACTCCTGCCAAGATTCAGGCCTCCAGCCTCCTCTCCTACCCATCCCTCACCCCACCGCCTGCATAGACCTGCCCTGGCCTTCCTGCCTCACTCCTCCACTTTCTCCTCCTGTCTACTCCCACAGGACTGGTGTGGGGCTGAATACTCTTTCAGAGGGTCTCTTTGTTTTGAGACGGAGTTTTGCTCTTGTTGCCCGGGCTGGGGCGCAGTGGTGCGAGGTCAGCTCACCGCAACCTCCGCCTCCCGGGTTCAAGCAATTCTCCTGCCTCAGCCTCCTGAGTAGCTGGGATTGCAGGCATGTGCCACCACGCCCAGCTAATTTTGTATTTTTAGCAGGGAAGGGGTTTCTCCATGTTGGTCAGGCTGGTCTCGAATTCCCGACTTCAGGTGATCTGCCTGCCTCAGCCTCCCAAAGTGCTGGGATTATAGGCGTGAGCCACTGCATCTGGCCCAGAGGGTCTCTTTAGAGGACATTTTGAGAGCTGATGGGGCAGCCACAGCCAGGAGGGGCCTCTAGACCCCATGTGGGCCTTCTCCAATCCATAGGTGATATGCTCTGTGCGTGGGTCCCAAGCACAGGAAGTTGGGCCAGGCAGGGGAGGCCGTGGGTCACAGCTGCAGGGTCCCTGCAGGTTATGGAGCAGGATAGGCCCCGGCTGGACCTCAAATCCCAACCTCTGAGACACAAAGAGGTGGTCTCTGAGGATCCTTCTTTCCCTCTAGTTTCCCAGCTAAAATGCCCAACTGGTGTCTTGGACTCCAGGCAGCATCCCAGACTGAGATCTGTGCCTCTGGTTGTCTGGCTGATTCAGTGCTGCTCTGCTGTTTGCCACAGATGCCAGCTAGGGAAGATCCAGGAGGAAGGCTGGCTGATGAGCCTGGCAGACCCAGACAGGGCCCCAGACCGCAACCTGCCAGCCTGCCTTCCATGGGTCTAGACAGCTCCTCTTAAACGGACAGCTCCATTTTTCCAGCCTGCTGAATCCAGAGTTGGAGGAGGTGGAGAAGGGAAGGGAGGAAGAAGGGCTCTGGCCCTGGCTTGCCCCACATTTTCTCTGTGGGCCCTGGGGTGACCACTTCGCTCCATGCCTCAGTTTCCCCATTTCTAATCTACCTTCTGCAGGCCGAACACCTGCATGGCTGACTTCCTGCTCACAGGATGGGGCAGGTAGTGGTGGTAGCTGCTGTAGGGGGTGGGGACGGGGTGGTGAGGGAAGTGGCATGCCCAGGTGATTGGGGGGACCAGCATCCTGGGACAACCCAGGGGTTGGGATCTGGGTTTAGTGTACCTGGTGTGTGTAGGAGCAGAGCCACCACCGGACCGAGTGTTGTGATGCACAGATGCTGGGGATGTGTACTCTAAGGGCATGAGCCGCCTGTTGGAGAACTGGTGATGCATGGATGGCTCTCTGTGGGCTGCCATGGTGTCTTGGGGTGAGGCTGCATCCCTAGACCAGCCCTGGGTCCTCTCTCCAGGGTCCACTGTCTCCCGGATCCTGGAGGAGGGGGAAGTTACCCTCTTCCATTGTCTCTCAATACAAGATGATTTGACCTCACTTGCCACTCCTCCCGGGCCCCTCCCATCTTGCCAGGGCCTGAATTTGGGCTCTTAGGTCCAGGCTACCGGGCCACCCTCAACACACACAACCCCTCTCAAACCCCAAAGACCCGGACACACTCAGCAGCCCCCTCCTCCACACGGTCCGCCGACCTCACCCAGCCCTCACTCCAGGCGGTCGCCCTCTCGCCCACGCAAGACCCCGCGTGCTGCAGCCTGTCGCGCCCTCGGAACCCGCCTGCGCGCGCCAGAGACCAGCTCCGCCTCGCCTCCCGGCGGATACAGGCCCACAACCCATAGCCCCGCGCCTCCCAGACCCCCAGACCCCCAGACCCTCCCTGGCCGCCAGCCCAGGGGCGGACGGCTCCTTCTCTCGCCTGGCGCAGGAGGCGCAGCAGCTGCCGGGCGCGCTCCGGCCGCCGCTCGCGGAGCGTGGACTGGATCTCGCGGAGCCACCGCACCCGGCGCTCGTAGGGCGCGGGCCCGCAGCCGGCCGCCGCCCCGGCCTCAGAGCCAGCCTCGGGCCCGGCCCGCCGGCCCAGCCGCGCCCCCATGGCCGCCGCGCGATGGTCGCCGAACCCACAGGAGGCCGGGCTGTCTGCGCCCCGCTCCCGGGGCCGCCCCTAGTCGCCCCGCCTCCAATCACCGCGGCCCTGCCCCGTCCGGGTCCGAAGGCTGAGCGCCCGCCCCACCCCGCGCCGGAGCGAGGCCAGTGGGTTCCTCGGTTTGGCCTGATCACACTGGAGGAGGCCCTGCTTGCGTCAGTCTTGGCGCTAGAACCCGAGGGCCTGGAGCCGCCAGGGGAGACGCGGAGCTCGGCCGAGACGAGGTGGCTTTTGGCACCTCTTTACCCTCTGGCCCCAGTGCTGACTGGGGAATAGTCGCTTTGACCGTGCAAAGAGCATTCTAGGCGGGGTGGGGGGGTTCTGCTGTGTGTGCCAGTGTTAGGTATTGCCCCCATTGCTTTTAGAAATATGCCCTGCATGGTGAATCTCCGTCTCTACTAAAATACAAAAATTAGGCCGGGCATGGTGGCTCACGCCTGTAATCCCAGCACTTTGGGGGGCCGAGGCAGGCGGAATCTAAGGTCAGGAGTTCAAGACTAGCCTGGCTAACATGGTGAAACCACATTTTTATTGAAAATACAAAAAATTAGCCGGGCGTGGTGGCGGGCGCCTGTAATCCCAGCTATTCGGGAGGTTGAGGTAGGAGAATCAATTGAACCTGGGAGGCGGAGGTTACAGTGAGCCGAGATGGCGCCACCGCACTCTACCCTGGGTGACAGAGCAAAACTCTGTCTCAAAAAAAAAAAAAAGAAAAGAAAAGAAATCTCTGCAGCTGGCAGTTGTGGTGTAGGACCTGCTCACGCTACATGGACACTCCTGCACTGGCAAATATTTACTGCCTCCTGCTTCTTGGTTTGGGGCAGGCCCCCACCTCTGACCCCAGCCTGGGAAATAAACCGGACGAAGAGTCAGGTTAACCGTTAAGCCCAGCTCTGGGCAAGCTGGCAGCAGGCGGGCTGTATCTGCCGCTGGCTTCAGTCTGCCTCCCTGACAAGGGGTGGGGGTGGCGGCAGGCAGAGTGAGATGGGGGCCCTGGCTCCTCTGAGGACCAGGGTGAGGTACGGACCCACCCAGCTCAAGGTGTATCCCACTTCCCAGGGCTCCCTCAGCAGAAGCCTAGGTCTCTGCTGCAGGCCTGCTGGGCCCCTGCAGCCCCAATCCCGGCTCTGGGACGCTCACATCTCCTGCGTGGGGAACGTTTGAGGCACTGATCTGCAGTTCCCACTTCTCTAAGCAAGGAGCACGTGTTTAGCCTGTGAGGACTGGTACCTGTTGTGCAGGAAGGGCTGAGCACTGTCCGAGGGCATATATGAGGGACGACAGCCAAGCACCCGTGTGTATGTGTGTGTGTGTGTGTGTGTGTGTGTGTGTGTGTCTGCTAATTACCCTATGAAGATTCAAGGTTCCTTCCTTTGGGTTAAGCACTGCCTGCCCAGAGATGGCAGTGGGGAGAGGGCAGGGTGCTAGGCTCTGTCATCCTGTGGGGCTGGGCCCCTGAGACAAGGCAGAGGACAGCAGGATGTCTTAGCCCCTTGACCATCCACGGACCCCCAACCCCTGCTGGAGCAGTGCTTGCACCCCCTTCTCCCCTGGCACCTGCCAGCTGGACCCAACAGCCTCTCCTCCCACTCCAGTGCAGCCAGCATTGTCCTGGGGCCACCTTGGCACCACAGGTTTCCTCCCTGGCAAACCTGCATGACGGCCTTGCGTGCCCTCCCCCAGGGCCAAGGCGCTGTTGCTGAACTGAAGTGGCAACCTACCCGGTCAGAGCTTTAAGCTGCAGCTCTGATGCCCCAGGGACCTCTCAGACCCCCCTGCCCAGAGCAGGCAGCCCGGTAAGCCCTCCTCCTCTTCCCCTGCAGCCTCAGGGCTGGAGCCACAGCTGGGAGGGCTCCCAGATCCTGACCATATCCTCCCAGAGGCTGAGCCAGGCCTGGGCACTGTCCCCTCAAATGTGAGAATACTGGGCAGGGGGAGGGGAGAAAGGAGGGAATGGAGGGCTGAGCCTGGAGGCATGAAAGGGGCAACCTAGGCAGCGGTATGGGGGAGTGCTCAGAGCTTAGAGTCCTGTGGAAGGCAGAGAACTGCCCCAGCCCCTGCCTCTCATCCCCCACCCTCTGTGTCCCTGGCCGAGAGGTTCCTGGAGGACATTTTTCCAGCAAAAGAGGGAGGGTGGTGTCTGGGCCTAGATCCTTGGATGGGCTTTTCTCTGCCTGCTTGTGGGGTGCCTAGGGCGAGTGGGCTTTTGGAGACAATTTCTGGCCTAACCTGACTTGGACAGCAGCCCCCAGAGGCACAGCTCTCCCCTCAGGCATGGGGGCATGATTCCACCTCGCTAGCCCACATGTGTTCTTCACGGAGGGCTGCTGGCCCGTCTCCCTGGGGTTACCCTGAGCAGCAGAGCTGTGTTTGTTGAGACTCCATGGGGTGGAGGGATTGCGATGTTGTCCTCTCAGTTCCCGGGGCTGATGTGGAAGCTCAAGGGCTTGCCCTGGATTCTTCAGGGTAGCCCTGCCATCCCTAGTGAGTCAGTGAGTTGGGAGGTTGGGGGCTGGAGAATCAGGTAGGGAGGACACAGCTAGACCTCAGGCCCTGATGGGAACGTACTAGGCTCCAAGTGGGACCTGCCAGGAGACAAGAATTGATGACAGCCACACCTTTGGAGTCTCAAGCCCTCTGCCACCCATGCGGTGGCCTAGTTCAAATGACAGGAACACAAGGTCCAGCTGGCCCAATGGGCAGGTAGAGGGCTGCAGCCAGGGCTGGAACTGGCCTTGCACTGCCTCTGGGCCCTTCTCTACCCACCCAGTAGTATTGTTCAAGCCCAGGAGGGAAAAAGGCCAGCTCAGGGTTAATGTTACCTCAGCAAGTAGCTGAGTGGCACTGAGCCTCCTGGTAGCCACTGTAAAGAAGGACACAGAATGGTTTGGGGGCATTCGCTAGGAGGAAGGAAGCAGATGGATACTCTATGGAGACAGAATGTCCTCTGTGTTTGCTCTACAGGAACGGGTTGTCAACCTTCTGCAGGGCCAGGAATTGTCATGAGGCTGTAGTAGGCAGCAGAGCTTGGCGGGGTGAGGCGAGATCACAGGTATAGGCTCAGGGCCTGGATTCAAATCCCCTGGGCTGCCACTTGTTGGATGTGTAACCATAGGCAGAGTAAGGACCTGCCATAGCAAATTACCACAAACTCAGTGGCTTAAAGCAACAGAATAGTTCTGGAGGCTAAAAGTCTGAAATCCAAGTATAGGCCAAGCCACACTCCCTTTGAGGACTCCAGGGGAAGATCCTTCCTTGTCTCTTCAGCTTCTGGTGGCTCCTGGCAATCCTTGGCCTTCCTTGGCTGCTGCTGCATCACTCCAGTCTCTGAAACCATCTACCCTATGTGTCTGTGTGGCCTTCACATGGCATTCCTTATTTTTGCAGTGGGGTCTCACTATGTTGCCCAGGCTGGTCTTGAACTCCTGGGTCCAAGCAGTCCTCCTGCTTCAGCCTCCCAAGTAGCTGGGATTATGAGTGAGTGCCACCATGCCCGGCTCACATGGCCTCCTTGTAATAACGCTAGTGCCTGGGTGCGGTGGCTCACGCCTGTAATCCCAGCACTTTTGGAGGCTGCGGTGGACGGACCATGAGGTCAGGAAATTGAGGCCATCCTGTCCAACATGGTGAAACCCTGTCTCTACTAAAATACAAAAAAAAAAAAAAAAAAAAATTAGCCTGGTGTGGTGACACATGCCTGTAGTCCCAGCTACTTGGGAGGCTGAGACAGGGGAATCGCTTGAACCCGGGACGCAGAAGTTGCAGTGAGCTGAGATTGCGTGGTGACTTCACTCCAGCCTGGTGACAGAGCGAGACTCTGTCTCAAAAAAAAAAAAAAAAAAAAAAGAACTGAAGCTACTGGATTTAGGGCTCATTCATTCTTTTTTTAATTTTAATTTTTTTTTTTTTTTGAGACAGTCTCACTCTGTTAGCCCAGGCTGGAGTGCAATGGCATGATCTTGGCTCACTGCAACCTCCACCTCCCAGGTTCAAGCGATTCTCCTGCCTCAGCCTTCCAAGTAGCTGGGATTACAGGTGCCCGCCACCACGCCCAGCTAATTTTTGTATTTTTAGTAGAGACAGCGTTTCACCATATTGGTCAGGCTGGTCTTGAACTCCTGACCTCAGGTGATCCACCCCTGTCAGCCTCCCAGTGTTGGGATTACAGGCGTGAGCCACTGTGCCCAACAGGGCTCATTCATTCTAATCCCGTATGATCTCATCTTAACTAATTACTTATGTAGAGACTCTATTTCCAAATAAGGTCGTGTGAGGAAAAACCAACTCAAACTGTGTTTTTTGGCCTGGCGTGGTGGCTCACACCTATAATTCCAGCACTTTGGGGAGGCTAAGGTGGGCGGATCACTTGAGGCTAGGAGTTTGAGACCAGCCTGGCCAACATAGCAAAACCCCATCTTCACTAAAAAATACAAAACAAAAATTAGCTGGGTATGGTGGCATGTGCCAGTAGTCCCAGCTACTCAGGAGGCTGAGGCAGGAGAATCGCTTGAACCTAGGAGGCGGAGGTTTCAGTGAGCCGAGATAGCACCACGGCATTCCAGCCTGGGTGACAGAGTGAGACTCCATCTCAAAAACACACACACACACACACACACAAAACAACTGTGTTTCGCCTCTGTTCTCACAAGACAATAATCATCACAGAAGACTTCTTGTAACCAAATTTGTGGATTCTCCCACACACCCAGCAAGAATCAATTCTGCAGCAGACTCCAGCTGGTGTCTTCCAATTCAACTCAATTCTGGTGCTGTCTACCTGGAGATGGCCTCAGAAACCACAGGTTGAGGGCTTGGTCCCACAAGACCAACCCCCATCCCACCAGTCACAAGTCTGGGCATTGGGAACATCTGACTAACTGGCTTCTAGTTGGGGTTCCAAGGCCCCCTCTTTGGGTTCAATTAATTTGCTAGAGTAGCTCACACAACTCAGGGAGACCTGTTTATCGGTTTATTTCAAAGGATGTTTTATTTTATTTTCTCCTCAGACATACTTTATCATCCCTTAAAGTCAGTAGCTCAAAGGAAACTTTAAAAGCTATAAATAGGCCGGGCACGGTGGCTCACGCCTGTAATCCCAGCACTTTGGGAGGTCGAGGCAGGTGGATCACTTGAGGTCAGGAGTTGGAGACCAGCCTGGCCAACATGGTGAAACTCCATCTCTACTAAAAGTACAAAATAAGCTGGGTGTGGTGGCAGGAGCCTGTAATCCCAGCTACTTGGGAGGCTGAGGCAGGAGAATCATCGGTTGAACCCGAGGGGTGCAAGTTGCAGTGAGCCAAGATCACACCTCTGCACTCTAGCATGGGCAACAGAGCGAGACTGAGACTCCGTCTCAAAAAAAAAAAAAAAAAAAAAGATAAAGGCTACAAATAAACAGTCAGATGAAGAGATACATAGGGTAAAGACTGGAAGACTCCTAAGTACAGAAGTTTCTGTCCTGGTAGAGCTGGACACATGGATGAGTTGGTTTTTTTTGTTGTTGCCCAGGCTGGAGTACAGTGGCACTATCTCAGCTCACTGCAGCCTCTGCCTCCCGTGCTCAAGTGATCCTCCCCCCTCAGCCTCCCAAGTAGCTGGGACCACAGGCATGTGCCACTATGCCCAGCTAACTTTTTTATTTTTGTAGAGATGGGGTCTCTCTATTTTGCCCAGGCTGGTCGTGAACTCCTGGGCTCAAGCCATCCACCCACCTCGCCCTCCCAAAGCGCTGGGATTATAGGCATGAGCCACTGCACCTGGCCATGGATGAGTTCTTGTTCCCCTTCCTGTCAGCCTCCACATGAAACTCCCCAAACCCTGTCCTCTTGGGCCTTTTTTAAAAAAATTAATTAAGAAATTAAAGACAGGGTCTCTCTATGTTTCCCAGGCTGCTCTTGAACTCCTAGTCTCAAGTGATCCACCCACCTCGTCCTCCCATAGTGCTGGGATTACAAGATTAGAGATGCCAGCTGTCAGGTGGCTAGGTGGATTCAGTGTAAAGTCCTAGAAGATGCATTTTAGTAAAAACAGCTAGCCACCTGACAGCTGGCATCCATCCATTCAGTGAAGATTGTTGGGCACTGTGGATACTGTGGAGGAGGCAGCAGTCGCAGCCGGCCTGCAGAGTGAGATGCAGTGCCAGAGGGCTTCAGGAGGAGGTGGCATTGTGATTGATGTCTGAAGAGTGTCTCCATGATAATGGAGTCAGTGCAAAGTCCCAAAGACTGGGAAGGAGCAAGAGGAAAGGATAGCTCATATCCAGCTGCCCCACTCCAAAAAAAAAAAAAAAAAGAGGAAAGGACGGGCACCAGCAAGGTAGGACAAGGGGGGCCTCTGGAGTGTTTTCTTCTCAGTTGGGGAGGGGTGTGCTCAGATTTGCATGCCAAGTGCCTGGGCTGCAGTAGGGAAACAGCAGAGGGGCTGGGACCTGTGATTGGGAGTCTCCAGGTGAGAGGGTTGGCCTATGGGGACTGGAGGTCAGGTGAGGCTGGTAGTGGGTTATAGAGGTGGGAGCAGCTGGACAGGCCCAGTGAGGATGCAGGGGTAGCTGCCCAGGGCTAGACTCTGGCTGCTCTGGTGGCAGTTGCTTAGCTCAGGCTTGGGCACGTCCACCTGGCGCATCTGAAACATTAGCCAGCAGGGCGCAGACTCGTCAGTGAGAGCATTCCTGAGCCCAGCATCCAAGAAGCGAGGGAGGTCGGGAAGGTGCTGCTATGAGGCAGGGGGAGGTCCCCAAAAGTCCAGGTGAGAGCATGGCATGCGTGGAAAGTGCTGCGCAGTTTTGGCATCAGTGAAGTCACAGGGGGCTGTGGGTGAACAGGTGTGCTTGGGCATGTCACCAGGGAGGCCTTGAGACAGGAGCGGGTTGGCTTTCCTGGAGATCAGGCTGTGGCATGGTGTCGGGACTGGGGCATGGACAGTCTTCCTCCACCCCCATCCCCTCCTTGGAGCTTTCAGACACTGCAGATAATTACCAGGTGATGTGATAAATACTACCTGTGGAGGGTGCCTTGGGCAGGGAGGACAGGGCGGCCAGGAGGGGGGCCCTTTGGGCCCCTGCTCTGAGCTGCTCATCAGGAAAGGGGAGAAGCTCCTACAGGCCTGGTGTTGGAGCCTAGCCAGACCCTGTGAGGCCTTGAAAGTAGGAGGTGCATTGTCTGTGCATTGTCATCTCAAGGAATCCACCCAGCAACTGTTCTAGTTATCCCTGCTCTCTAGGTAGGAGACTGAGGCTAGGAAGGGAAAGGCTGCTGTGATACCCACACTATCAGTGGCTGGGGTTGAGTTTAAACCCAGGGACTCTAGGGCCCATGCCTCTGCCATCCTGCCTCTGAGTTTTGGAGCTGGACTTGTTCCATCAAGTGCCAGGCCAGCCCTGCTGCTGGGTGCTCCCAGGCATTCACAAGCTGACAATTCTGAAGGGCCCACGCACTTGGCCATGCTTCAGTCTGTGTCCTGACATCACAGGTGGGTGCTGGAATAACAAATGCTACAAATGGCACTGGGGGTGTTGGCCAGGCTCTGGGGGCACAGGAGTTCTGCCCATGCCCACAGCTGGCCTGTGCTGACCTCCCTCCATCACAGCTGAGTAGCACCAGCACTTCCATTGAGCTGAAGTCTTCCTCCCATTCCTTCAGTGTGGTCTTTGTGGCTCAGAGAGGCTGTGGCCAGGTACAGGATCTGGAGTGGCCCCTGCTTCTCTGCTCTGTGACCTTAGACAGTGGGCAGGATCTGAGGCCAGGCCCACCTGCAGCAGGTGTTACAAAGAGGCAAATTGGCGCTTAATGTTGGTAAGAACTTGCCAGCCAACCAGAGTCCCACTATCTTTGGAGGTAGTGAGCTCCCCATTGGGGAAGGTATGTAAGCCAACCTTTCTGGGATGCTGGAAGATCAGAGAGCAAACACTTGAGATTCTGTGATCCTAATATTGAATCCAATGCTATGATGTTTGGATTTGAAGTCAGTTCTATTTAGCCAGTTTACCAAGTGTCTCCTTGGTGCAGGACACCAGGAGACACAAAATGTCCTGGATAATATTGGGTTTCTGGCTCCCAGGGGTCCCTGAGATGTTGTTCCAGCGGTTCTGGAGTATGGGCCAGGCACCGCTTGCATCTGGACCGATCCGCATTGTTCGATCATTGTGAGCCTCATGATGGCAGTTCGGGATGTCATGCCCCCATGCGCCCCCCAACCCCACCCCGCCATGGCCCTCACCATGGCCCACTCAGGGCATGAGGCTTTCTGGGTGATTGCTGGTATTCAGTGTTGTCAGCTTCTTGGACCTGTCAGTGGGGGTGGGGCTGCAATGAGATGCCAGTTGCAGGAAGTGGTTTGCACAGCCTTCCTGGTGTCATGGGTCACTCTCTTGCCGAGTGGCTTTGGGCAGGTCCCTTCCCCTCTCAGGCTGCAGGTTCCTATGCCAGGAGCTCCCTTCTTGCCCCACCAGGGCCTTGTTTTCCCAGATACAGAGGTGGGGCAGATCCCAGCCCGTTGAAACAGACTGGGCTTTGGAGGCCACAGTGGGCCCATTTCTCAGAGGGACTGTGTGGCTGGATGCTGAGCCAGGCACTGGACTGGCCCTTTGAGCCTCCTGTCTGGCCAAGGCCCCTGAGGCACTGTGGGCTGCTGGTGCCAGCACACAAGGGTGATAAGGAGATGAAAGTCACTAGGATGGTGGGGCGGCACCCGCCCCGGGCTGTGTTGGCAGCTGCCCCTGGCTGGAGGCCAGCTTGGCCCTGGAACCCTCCTCAAGGAACAAGGACACAAAAGAGCCAGCTCAGCCAGCCTCTACCTAGCACCCCAATCAGCACTCCCTTCTTCCCATGACCCCTACCCTCTGCCCAGCTCCTGTAACTGGCCAAGGAGCTAATGGACACCCACCAGGGTCTTAATGAGTGAGCCAGGGTTAATGGGTTACTGGGCCCGGTGACACATTCACCAGCCTCCCAGGGCTCTCAAAGTCCACACTGGCCTGGCCTTGAACGTCTTAGCTCGGCCACCTCCTTTTCCAGCTTTGACACCTCGGGGCTCAGGACGGGCCTAGGGTGGTCAAGAGGTCCCCTGCAGCCCTCACTTCCTGGAAAAGGCTCCATTTCCTGGCCTTCAGGCTCAGGTGGTTCCTTCCGCCTGGCAGGTCCTCCCCAAATCCAATCCCAGCTCGGGCTGGATTCCCAAGGCCCCTATTCTGGTGTCTGCCCCTTCCCTAGGGCTCTTCCCCCTGGGGTGACCATACTCTCATGCCCAGCCAGGTCAGGGCTCCTTGAGAGAAGAATCTGGAGGGGCCAGGATTTGATGGGAGAATGAATGATGGAATGAAAGAAGGAACGTAAGCGTGAGCCTTGCTAAGAGTGACAATACTGGCAGGCTGCAGACCATGTGTGGACCTCGATCTGAGGGCTTAGAGGCTTCGGCCTGCCAGCGCTGTGGGGGCACCCACCCCATCTCATTGAATGGGGCAGAGCAGGTGAGGGCATGAGATGGACAGATGGGCCTCATCCCCCTGCTTCCGTTGCCTGGGGTCCTCGGTCAGCCTGTTTGCTCAGACCCCTGAAATTGGGGGTCAAGGAAGGACCCTCCTGGATTATGTGACTCCCTTCAGTCCAGGTGACCAGGGTCCTTGGAGTGACAGCTCCTAGAGCCCCACCTGTAGTCCTGCAAGCTGGGGAGAGGGCCTGTTAGGAGAGGCATCCCCTGCCCTGGGGTTGTAGAGGTGAACTAGGCTCCTCAGACCTTGTGGGGCCTCAGATGCTTACATCTCCAGCCCCTCCTGGCGTGGGCATCTGGCTGCAGCCCAGCTCTGTGGCCCCATCTCCCAGGGAACCTTTGGTCTAATCTGCCTCCCGCTGAAACCCAGCCTCATTCAGCCCCACCGAGGCTTTCAGAGTTCAGGTCTCTCATTCAGGGTTTGAGACCCCACCGGGCTCAGAGACACCTGCAGCCTGCAGCGGTCCCAGATCACAGCCTCAGGGATGGGACCAGGAGCCAGCCCACATCCCACCTGCAGCAGTTCCTGTGCCTTTAAAGCCTCCCCTCCCCCCGCCCCGCCCCCAGGCCACTAGGGGAGGGAAGGAGGAGCTGGGTCACAGCAGGGAATCTTAGCTTGGTTTTGGTGTGCTGCTGGATGACCAGACCGGGCGTCGGGTGAGCCCAGAAGTGAGAGCAGTTGGCTGTGCCCCAGTGCTGTGTGACCCAGAGGCGCCGCTCACCCTCTCTGAGCTGGTGGACATCATAGGTGGGGAAGCTCAGGTCAGGGCACTCCCATGAGTGTCTGGAGGCCTGAGTCCCATTCTCAGCTCTGCCATATGCTTGCTGCGCTCTAGAGGAGTTCCTCTTCCTCTCCAAGCCTCGGTTTATGTACCCGTGCAGTGGGAGTGAGTTGCACTTCGGGGTGAAGGGGGCAAGACTTGTGTGGGCGCATCCTGCAGAAGGATCCCACAGGTGGGCAGAGCCCTGGGTTCTTTATCCGACTGGGTCTGGGCTGGGGGCCTCTGTTTCTTGGCTGATGAGTTTATGTGAGTTTGAGTGAGGTATGCGAGTGGGTGAAGGAGGGCTGGGGGGAGTCACCTGACTTGTGCGAAGAAGCTCTTGAGAGAGCCGTGGCTTCTTGGAATTAAGAGGAAAGAGTGCAGCATGAACAGACAGGCCCTGGAGGATCTGGCAGCCCTGAGTGGGGGCGGGGGGTCAGCTCTGGAGTAGAGCCAGAGCTGTGATGGGGTTGGGGGACCCTGTGTCCTTGGGCCATGCTTGCCTCGCTCCTGGGTTCTGTTTGTGGCTGTGGATTGGGGTGGGGCAGGGCCGGTTGTGCGAGGGGTCATTGCCCAACTCCAGGGGGCGCCTGCCACCTCTCAGCTATATATATAGGGATATATATAGTTCTTTCGACAGGTTTCCAGCAGGTAGTGGTTATTAAATCTTACTGAAGGGGTGTTTTTTCTGATTCTCGGCTCTGTGCCGCAAGGGTGGAAACTGTGAGAGACAGATTCCAACTCCACGTCTGGGTAGTAAGCATCCAGTCCAGGGCTGTAGGCAGTCCTGGGGAAGACGCCAGAGATCTGTGCATTCTCATATCGAGGGATAGCGACTCCAGGCTGGGGGCTGGCAGGGTAAGGGGTGGGTGGGTCCTGGGCTTACCCGCAGGTCTGCAGACTTCCTGGGGCCAGCTGACCTCGTAAAATCCCTTTTGTCTAAGCTTCAGTTTCCTGCCTGTGAATGGGGTTGGGGCTGTGCTCTGGTTTCACCCTTGTGGCTCTGGGGTTGTGGTGACAAAGCCATCAAGCTGGGTTGAAGGATTAACCAGGAAACTTCAGACTGGCTGCCGTGTCTACCTCTTCCTCATACTCCTCTCTCTGCTGCATCCTGGGAAGCTGCTCTGCTCAGCCTAAATGAGGCTCAGTTGTGTGTGTGCGCACGTGCTTGCACGTGTGTTGGAAGTGGGTGATACTGACACCAGAGTCTGTGTCTCTGGGTGAGTGAGGCTTGCACATTTCTCGGGACAGGGAACTCACTACCTTATGTGCCCAGGACAAGAGCTGTGGGGTCTGGAGAAGACTTCTAGGCCAGCCCCTGCAGTCCTTCCTCAGGTGACATGGCTTCCCCAGACCCACTTCCCCCTAGGTGCCCTCTCTGCATTCAGGGGGTAGAGGGCTGACTGGGACAGAATGTGACACACTCAGCATGTGAGGAAAAGCCTCCTTCATTCTGTAGGCCCTACCTCTATTAACATGTCCTTTGATAAAGTGCCTCCCCTCCTGTCTCCCCTCTCTGGAATCCTCAGCTGCTGCCAGGCTTCAGCTGTGCCCCATTGAAGGCAGCTCTGTCTCCCTACTTTCCCCAGCCCAGGGTTTTCCTTTTGGGGTCAGCTGCAGGGATCTGGGCCATCCTTTGCCCACTCAGACTTTCTTTCTGCCCACCTGCTGCTGTGAATCCTGTATGTCATATATATATATAAAATATGTAATATATTATATATTATATGTAATATATAATATATAAAGTATATTATATAATATGTATTATATTATATATTATATAATATGTAATATATTATATAATATATAATATGTATTATATTATATATTATATAATATGTAATATATTATATAATATATAATATGTATTATATTATATATTATATAATATGTATTATATTATATATTATATAATATGTATTATATATTATATAATATGTATTATATATTATATAATATGTATTATATATTATATAATATGTATTATATATTATATAATATGTATTATATATTATATAATATGTATTATATATTATATAATATTATAATATGTATTATATATTATATAATATTATATAATATGTATTATATATTATATAACAATATATAATGTGTATTATATATAATATAATATTATATAATGTGTATTATATATTATATAATATTATATAATGTGTATTATATATTATATAATATTATATAATGTGTATTATATATTATATAATATTATATAATGTGTATTATATATATAATATTATATAATGTGTATTATATATATAATATTATATAATGTGTATTATATATATAATATTATATAATGTGTATTATATATTTAATATTATATAATGTGTATTATATATTTAATATTATATAATGTGTATTATATATTATATAATATTATATAATGTGTATTATATATTATATAATATTATATAATGTGTATTATATATTATATAATATATGATGTGTATTATATATTATATATTATATGATGTGTATTATATATTATATAATATATGATGTGTATTATATATTATATAATATATGATGTGTATTATATATTATATAATATTATATGATGTGTATTATATATTATATATAATATATAATATTATATATAATATATTACATATAATATATCATATATTATATTTATATAATTTATATAATATATCATATATTATATTTATATAATTTATATAATATATCATATATTATATTTATATAATTTATATAATATATCATATATTATATTTATATAATTTATATAATATATCATATAAATATATTATATATAGTATTATATATATAAAATTATACTTTAAGTTCTAGGGTACATGTGCACAACGTACAGGTTTGTTACATATGTATACATGTGCCATGTTGGTGTGCTGCACCCATTAACTTGTCATTTACATTAGGTATATCTCCTAATGCTATCCCTCCCCGTTCCCCTCACCCCACAACAGGCCCCAGTGTGTGATGTTCCCCTTCCTGTGTCCAAGTGTTCTCATTGTTTAATTCCAACCTATGAGTGAGAACATGCATGTCTTATATGCTCTCAGGCAGAGAGGAAACTGCTGAGCAGGCCGGGGCAGGGGACAGAGCCCTGTGGCTCTCCACTTTAGACCCCTCCTGGCTGACTGCCATGGAATGCAGCCACTTAGCAGGGCCAAATCCCCTGATGTTCCTGTTGGCTGTCTAGCCTTCAGGGACAGGTCATGGGACCTTGGTTCCTGCCCTGTCATCTTCCCAGTCACCCTGATCTTCACGGGGAGGAATAGCCTGGGAAAGGACTTGGTCACAGCACCTCCACCCTAGGGCTATTGAGGATCTCACAGTTGTGTGTCTGGTGGGTTCTGTCCAGAGCCCATTTGAGAGCAGTGGATGACAGGACAGGCCTATGTGACCCAGGCAGGCAGCAATATTGGGTCAGCCTTCATGTCCCCTTCTGTCAGCTGGGGCAGCCTGGAAGCATGATTGTGGGGTAGGTGTTATGGGCACGGAATAGACCTCAGGTGGAGGCTGCAGGGGCTCTCCGGCACCGTAGACACAGCAGGCCCAGGAGCAGGGGAGGGAGCCATGACTCAGGGAGACTCTGGCCCATATCCTTGGCAGATGAGGGCCACAGGGGAATGGGCAGCACTGTCCAAAGTCCCCTGGGCTGGGTCCGCAGCTGTTCCTGGCTCAGACTTCTTGGTGGGCTGGTCAGAAACATGCAGTAACTTGGGGCAGTTACCAGGTGGCCAAGCCTGCACTGCTGGGCTCTGTGAGCTTGGGCCAGCTCAGGCCCTCTCTGGGCCCTGCCTTTCTGGGCTGTTCGGGTGGTTCCTTGGGCCTGGGGTGCTAATGTTTCTGGATGGGCAGCAGAACCAGTCTGCACTCAGGGCCCCAGGCCATGTTCCCGGAACACACCTTTAGCATTGACAGCAGCGTGTGGTGAGGCCCCTTAGGCTGGGTTCTGGTCTAGTGCCAGGGGCACCACTACTCCACCGCCTCCAGAGCCATCTCTGGGACACTGGCTGTGAGTTCAGATGTTCTGAACAGGGACAGGGAGAGCCAGAGGGAACCAGCCTGGGGCTCACTGGAGGGGCTCGTGGGCAGACAGCGCCCTTTGGAGGGAACTGAGTCTGAAAGGAAGGAAACCCTTTCCCCGGCTCATAGCACCTGCCATCCAGGGCCCTCCCAGGGCTGCGTGAACTTTAGTCACGTGGTGACAGGCCGAGTCACCATGCCAAGTCACTGTGCGCCTCCTTGCTGCTGTGACGTCAGCTTCCCCATCCTCCCAGCCAGGCTGGACCTCCGTGAGAGGCCTGCCTGTCCTGCACCCTGTGCAGATGCCTCCCACTGTCCGCCGGGGCTGCTGGGCACGCCCTGGCTGGTCTCTTGGACTAGGTAAGCTCATGAGTCCTCTGGCCGCTCCTGCTCCTTCCCTGCCTCTGCTCCTCCTCGGAGGTGGCCACCCCCAGATCCCAGTCCCAATTCGGAGGCCCCCTGAGGAGTGCTGCAGGGGGCCACAGGCGTGGCTCTGAGCCACTCTGGAGAGTGGCGGGGGGCCCAGCCAGTTCTGTGGCTGGGACTTTCCCAGGCAGACAAGTCTGTCTCTTCCTCCCCAGCGGGTGCAGCCCAGAACTGTCTTCTGAGGAAGAGGTGCTCTCCTGGGCCCCCACTGTCCCCAGGCCTCAGGTAAGCCCATCAGGGTCCCAAGGAAGGGGGTCTGGGTTTGAGGCCAACCATGGCAGCTGACCTACTTTCTAGCCTCAGTTTCCCCTAGTGTGTGCAGCTCTCACGCTGTTTGGGTGAGAACCAGGCCTCTGGGCTTGGACATTCTTTCAGTGAGTTTTTAGGGTGGAGGGATGGGAAATGGAAGCCCAGGACCTCAGCAGGGTGTCTTCCTCCGATCCGGGGACATCTGCCTGTGGGAGGCTGGGCCCACCCTCCCTTGCTGACCTGCCCTGGGAGGAAGGGACAGGGCCCAGCACTGCCTACTCCCCTCCCTGTTCTTCCCAGCAGTCTGAGCCTGGCTGGGTGTCCCCTGCTCCTCCAGCAGCCTACTTGGGCCTTTGGGTAGACAGATTAACAGACAGGCGAGGCTGGGTCATGGTTGGACCACCCCAGGACCCTGACCGGGGGCTCAGCTCATGACCCTGAGCCTGGGAGAGATGAGGCCATGCCCTCCAGGGCACTCAGCATGACCCGGCCCAGTGGACGGGACTGGGTAGCTTCCTTGGTGCAGGGGGCTGTCATGCTAGGACGGGGTCACTGACCAGGCCAGGCCCCTGCCCCATGACTTGTGGTGGAAATGTCCTTTTGTTTTTGTTTTTTTGCATTTTTTTTGAGACGGAGTTTCACTCTTGTTGCCCAGGCTGGAGTGCAGTGGTGCAATCTTGCCTCACTGCAACCTCCACCTCCTGGGTTCAAGCAATTCTCCTGCCTCAGCTCCTGAGTAGCTGGGATTACAGGCACCTGCCACCATGCCTGGCTAATTTTTTGTATTTTTAGTGGAGATGGGGGTTTCACCATGTTGGCCAGGCTGTTCTCAAACTCTTCACCTCAGGTGATCCACCTGCCTCTGCCTCCCAAAGTGCTGGGATTATAGGTGTGAGCCACTGCACCCGGCCATGTGATGGGAATGTTCTGTGTCCATAATAGATGCTGCATATTGCTGGCCCAGCTCCTGAGGCTCTTTGGACCTCCAGGAATCGGTGTCTCTATCAGGAACCCTTAACCCTGACCCGGACTCCCAGCTGGGACCCGGGGTGTCGGAGTGGCAAGAGCGCTGTCAGGCCTGGTGAAGGGTGTGAGCTGTCCAACGGGGCAGGGAGGAGGCAGGGCCTGTTCTGCAGTTGGACAGACAGAGCCCTCTAGCTGCTTTCTGGAAGACTGAAGGGCAGGTGATGTTGGAGGGAGGGAGTGCAGGCAGGGGCTGTGAGGGAGTTCAGGTCAGAAACAGGTGGCGCCTGGATTCAGGCTGTGGTGGTCACGGTGGGGATGAGGGGCTGCTTTGGATTGTGCTGGGGATGTGGGGTGGTGCGCTGCTGCATGACTACTGCCAGGTCTCTCTGCTCTTAGTGTCTGCATCCAGGGCTGGGAGGGGGTCAAATGAATCACACTATCGGCCCCAGGCCCACCAAGCCTGGGGAGGTGGCCACCCTTCCATGATGGCATTTGGATGTTCCCTGTGTGTGGGGAGGGCACAGGGACTCCATTCGTAGACCACCTCTGGGACAGTGTGTCTGCCTCTGAGGTCAGACGCTCTGCACTGGGACAGGGTGGAGTGGAGGGAAATCCAGCTTGGGGCTCATTGGAGGGGCTTGCTGGCAGACACCGCCCTTTGTGGGAAACTGACTGTGGGAGAGGGGAACCCCAACCTCTGTCACCACATCCCTCTTCCCTGTTGTCACACCTGTCACCTGCTGCCATAGCCATGAGACTTCCCAAGGGTCACTGCTGCCACTCACTGCACAGCCTGGAAGGGAGTCCACAGGGGACATACAGTGAGCAAGAGACCTGTGCCACTCAGGCCTCCTGGGGGTGTCCCCAGTGCAGCCATGATGATAATCACAGCTACCATTCACCAAGCCCTGCCCACAGTCTAACCTACTCTATTCACAACACTCCCAGCAGCAAGGCAAGTGAGGTGCTGCCGTCATCCAGGCTGGACAGTTCAGTGATTTGCCTGAGGCCCCACAGCAGGTGAGTGGCAAGTCCAGCATCAGAGCAGGGCAGGCTGGCGGTGCCCCCTGAGCCCCCTTTGCCATGCTGACCACATGCACATCCTGGGCTTCTGCAGGAATGCCCTGTCCCCTACCTGCCCTGCTCCGTGCAAAACCCTCTTTGAGCTGTGCCTGGGAGACATGCTGAGAGAATTCATGGAAACAAATGTGTTACTGACAGCCTCTTTGCCTCCAGAGTTCAACTGGAGACAGAGAAACCAGCTAGAGGCAGAGGGAGGTAACACGGAGTCCCCCAGAAAGGTCTGGGCTGCGCGTGCTTCAGGTAACCTCCCTTGACCTTCAGGAGAACGAGAAGGCTGCCTGATCAGAGAGTCCCTGAAGAAGATTCTGTGGCTACAGGCTTCAGCAGAGTGTGAGGGAGACCCCGGTTATTTCCTCAGCTATTTCCACCAAATCCTCCTGTCTTTCGTGGCCAACACCCCAGGCAAGGCTTGGGGCCCCCGTCTGCTGCTGGACGGTAAGTCCTGGCCCCGTGGCAGTGAATCTGTGGGGCGCTCTGATTGTGGGCACTATGGAAGCTAAACCCCATGCTCCAGGTGGGGTGGAGGGTCTTCAGAGGACTCCTGGACAGTGCCAGGCTCTAGGCTGGGGTGGGGGACACAGGAGAAACCAGGCCAGGCCCATCCCTACTGGAGCTTCTCCCTAAGCAGTGGAGGCTCAGCCACTGTAAGGAGGTAGGCAAGGCCCTGCAGAAAGAGGGGTGTGGAAATCTGGGGGCTCCCAGGAAGGGCCGCTGCTGGAGATGGGGTTCTTACCAGGATGGGCTCTGAAGATAAGCAGGGAGGATTTGGGAGGGCAGAGATGAGGCCCAGAGCTTCTGGCAGAGGGCATGGCCTGCGCAAAGGTCTGGGGGCCGGACAGCCTGCACGTATTCTGGGAAGCGGGAAGGAGACACAGGCCTTGTGTTTCTGAGGCCCGACTTTAGACTGTGCCCTGTTGGGGAGGGGCCAGGGAATGTCTGAGGCTAGGCCTGACCCTGCTTCTTACCCCGTGGGTGCAGCAGAGCCATGAAGAAGAAGTTAGTGGTGCTGGGCCTGCTGGCCGTGGTCCTGGTGCTGGTCATTGTCGGCCTCTGTCTCTGGCTGCCCTCAGCCTCCAAGGAACCTGACAACCATGTGTACACCAGGGCTGCCGTGGCCGCGGATGCCAAGCAGTGCTCGAAGATTGGGAGGTGAGCAGGGCAGGGCATGGGACATGGGCCCTGAAAACTGGGCAAGTGGACCTGAGCAATACCTTCACCCCCCTGAGACTCAGTTTCCCCATGTGTAAGCTTCGCTTGGACTCTCTCAGTAGCCTTTGGGAAGGGGACAGTGACTCCGAGAGCAGGGTGTGGGTCTCTAGAGCCAAACAGGGCCCCTTTTCTCAGTTCTAAGAGTCTCTGTCTCTTTGGAATAAACTGCACTGTTTTGTTGTTTGGTTGTTATTTTTACTTATTTCTTCCTATCTATCTATCTATCTATCTATCTATCATCTATCTATCTATCTATCTATCTATCTATCTATCTATCTATCTATCTATCTATCTACTATCTATCTATCTATTTATTTAGAGATGGAGTTTTGCTCTGTTGCCAGGCTGGAGTGCAGTGGTGCAATCTCAGTTAACTGCAACCTCCGCCTCCCAAGTTCAAGTGATTCTCATGCCTAAGTCTCCCAAGTAGCTGGGATTACAGGCGTGCGCCACCACGCCCAACAAATTTGTGTGTGTGTGTGTGTGTGTGTGTGTGTGTGTGTGTGTGTGTGTGTTTCCAAGACAGAGTATCGCTCTGTTACCCAGGCTGGAGGGCAGTGGTGCAATCTTGGCTTACTGCAACCTCCACCTCCCAGGTTCAAGTGATTCTCCTGCCTCAGCCTCCACAGTAGCTGAGACTACAGGCATGTGCCACCATGCCCAGCTAATTTTTGTATTTTTAGTAGAGACAGGGTTTTGCTATGTTGGCCAGGCTGGTCTTGAACTCCTGACCTTGTGATCCTCCCACCTCTGCCTCTCAAAGTGCTGGGATTAAGGTGTGAGCCACTGCTCCTGGCCTAATTATGGTGTTTTTAGTAGAGATGGGGTTTCACCATGTTGGTCAGGCTGGTCTTGAACTCCTGACCTCAGGTAATCCACCCACCTGGGCCTCCCAAAGTGTTGGGATTACAGGTGTGAGCCACCACGCCCGGCTTATTCTTTTTTTTTTTTTTTTTTTTTGGTTAGGAGACAATTTCTTTCTTTCTTTTTTTTTATTTTATTTTATTATTATTATACTTTAAGTTTTAGGGTACATGTGCACAATGTGCAGGTTTGTTACATATGTACATATGTACACATGTGCCATGTTGGTGTGCTGCACCCACCAACTCATCATTTAGCATTAGGTATATCTCCCAATGCCATCCCTCCCCCCTCCCCCCAAGGAACACTGTTGCCCAAACAGGGACATGAAGGGCTTATTCTTTTTTGTTGTTGTTTTGTTTTGTTTTGTTTTTTGAGACGGAGTCTCACGCTGTCTCCCAGGCTGGAGTGCAGTGGCGCAATCTCGGCTCGCTGCAACCTCCGTCTCCTGGATTCAGGTGATTCTCCTGCCTCAGCCTCCTGAGTAGCTGATATTACAGGCATCCGCCACCACGCCCGGCTAATTTTTGTATTTTTAGTAGAGACAGGGTTTCACCATAATGGTCTGGCTGGTCTCAAACTCCTGACCTCAGGTGATCCGCCTGCCTTGGCCTCCCAAAGTGCTGGGATTACAGGCATGAGCCACCATGCCCGGCCGGGCTTATTCTTTTTTTAAGGTGGAGTCTTACTCTGTTACCCAGGCTGGAGTATAGGGGAGCGATCATAGCCCACTGCAGCCTCAAACTCTTGGGTTTAAGTGATCTTCCCGCCTCAGCTTCCTAAAGTGCTGGGATTACAGGTGTGAGCCATGGTGCCTGGCTTCTACTGTTTTATTCTATTTTAGACTCTTATCTCATGTTATATACAAAGATCAGTTCCCTCCTAAAGACTTAAACAGAAAAAATATTATGTTTTTCATATTTTGAGACAGGGTCTTGTTCTGTCACCCAGGCTGGAGTGCAGTGGCATGATCATAGCTCACTGCAGCCTTGAACTCTTGGGCTTAAGCGATCCTCCCACCTCAGCCCCCTGAGTAGCTAGGACTACAGGCGTGCATCACACCTGACTAATTAAAAAAGACTGTTTTCTAGAGATGGTCTCACTCTATTGCCCAGGCTGGTCTTGAACTCCTGGCCTCAAGTGATCCTCCACCTTGGCCTCCCAAAGTGCTGAGATTACAGGTGTAAGCCACCATCTCTAGCCGGGAAAAAAAATGTTATTAATAAAGTATAGCAATTTCCCTTTTTGTCCCAGTTATAAAAGTCATGTACATTTGTTTGCTTGATAAAGAGGAAACTGTCTGGGCAAGGTGGTCCACACCTGTAATCCCAGCACTTTGGGAGGTTGAGGCGGGCAGACCACCCGAGGTCAGGAGTTCGAGACCAGCCTGGCCAACATGGTGCACTCTGTCCCTACTAAAAATATAAAAAGTTAGCCGGGCATGGTGGTGTGCGCCTGTAATCCCAGCTACTCAGGAGGCTGAGGCAGGGGAATCACTTGAACCCAGGAGGCAGAGGTTGCAGTGAGCTAAGATCATGCCACTGCACTCCAGCCTGGGCAACTGAGTGAAACTCCCTCTCAGAAAAAAAAAAAGAAAGAAAAGAAAAGAAAAAGAGGAAACTGTAATCCCAGCACTTTGGGAGGTTGAGGCGATAGGATTGCTTTAGACCATGAGTTCGAGACCAGCTTGGGCAACATAGAAAGACCCTATCTCTACAAAAAAGACAAAAAATTGCCAGGTGTGGTGGTTCTTACCTGTAGTCCCAGCTACTCAGCAGACTGAAGTGGGAGGATTGCTTGAGCCCAGGAGGTCAAAGCTGCATTGAGCCAAGACTGTGCCACTGCACTTCATCCTGGGTGACAAAGTGAGACCCTGTCTCATAAAACAAAGGCTGGGCACAGTGGCTCATGCCTGTAATACCAGCACTTTGGGAGGCCAAGGTGGGTGGATCACTTGAGCACAGGAGTTCTTGACCAGCCTGGGCAACATGATGAAACCCCATCTCTACAAAATACACAAACAAACAAAATTGGCTGGGCATGGTGGCATGTGCCCATAGTCCCAGCTACTTGGGAGGCTGAGATGGGAGGGTCAATTGAGCCCAGGAGACTGAGGCTGCAGTGATCTGAGATCACACCACTGCACTCCAGCCTGAGCAACAAAGAGAGACTTTGTCTCAAAAAAAAAAAAAAAAAAAAAAAAAAAAAGAGGCCAAGGCAGGCGGATCATGAGGTCAAGAGATAGAGACCAGCCTGGCCAACATGGTGAAACCCCGTCTCTACTAAAAATACAAAAATTAGCTGGGCGTGGTGGCATGCACCTGTAGTCCCAGCTACTCAGGAGGCTGAGGCAGGAGAATGGCTTGAACCCGGGAGGCAGAGGTTGCAGTGAGCTGAGATCGTGCCACTGCACTCCAGCCTGGCAATAGAGCAAGACTCCATCTCAAAAAAAAAAAAAAAAAGAAAGAAAGAAACTAAAAACAAAAACCCCAAAACTCGAATGGACTTCTCTTCCATCCTCCTTTGGGCAGGTGGGCAGCAGGGTGTGTATGCGGGGCCAGGGTGGAAGCCTGCAGGTTCTCATGCCTTTATGTGCCACATGGCAGGGATGCACTGCGGGACGGTGGCTCTGCGGTGGATGCAGCCATTGCAGCCCTGTTGTGTGTGGGGCTCATGAATGCCCACAGCATGGGCATCGGGGGTGGCCTCTTCCTCACCATCTACAACAGCACCACACGTGAGTGCCTCGGGAGAGGAGAGGGAGAGGGGCAGGGGGTGTGGGTTGGGCCGAGGCACAGCTGGGCGGTCCCCAGGCTCACGTGGCATAAAGGGTTTGGGTGGGCGGGCCTGCCTACCTGCTTCTCCTTCTAGGAAAAGCTGAGGTCATCAACGCCCGCGAGGTGGCCCCCAGGCTGGCCTTTGCCACCATGTTCAACAGCTCGGAGCAGTCCCAGAAGGGTAAGCCATGCGGCAGACTTGGGGCGTGGGTGCAGAGCTGGCTGAGCCACCGGGAAGGGGCCTTGCCCACAGGAGCCTGCTCCCGTCAGGGTTCAGGGGCAGTTCTGTCACCCCCCATCCCTTCCTGTCCCCATAGCACCCTCCCACAATGAGTGGTCAGGACCATCATCACCATGGTAAAGGGCCGGGAGCTTCTGTTATTTCTGCTAAGGCCTCCGGGGCCACTCTGTGCAGCACATGGAGAGAATAATTATTATGCTAGCAGACCTCATGGACCAGGGCTCACTGGGGCCCACACTCTGCTCTGTGCTTTTCACCCATGAGCCTCTCACAACCCTCCCTGCTCCTTTGGGCTAGGGGATGCTGTGTGGATTCCCATTTTACAGGGTGGGGATGCTGAGGCTCAGACAGGTCACGCAAATCAGTTGAGGTCACACAGCTGGGAGGTGGTGAAGCTAAAATTGAACCCAGGCTGTCTATACCGTGCCTTTTCAACAGGCATCCCATTCACTCATTTGTTCATTTGTGGGGATGGTGCTCTAGAATGTGAGGTGGAGTCTCTCTTTTCTAATCTGGTCTTAAGTGGAGAGGAGGCCCCCAAATTCCCCAGGTACCTGAAGGGAAGCCACTGTCCATCCAGGAAGCCACTGTCTGTCCTCAAAGGTGGTACAGTAGATTGTGAGATAAAAGTTGGAGGATGGGAGGGTCTCAACAACTCACGCCTCTAATCCTAGCACTTTAGGAGGCCAAGTCAGGAGGAGCGCATGAGCCCAGGAGTTTGAGACCTGCCTGGGCAACATAGCAAGACTCCATCTCTACAAAAAACGGAAAAAAAAATTAGCTAGGTGTGGCGGTGTGTGCTTATGTTCCCAGCTACTTGGGAGGCTAAGGTGGGAGGATCACTTGAGCCCAGGAGGTTGAGGCTGCAGTGAGCCATGATTGTACCACTACACTCTAGCTTGGGCAACAAAGTGAGACCCTGCCAAAAAAAAAAAAAAGGCTGGGCCTTTTTTTCACAGGCTCACGCCTGTAATCCCAGCACTTTGGGAGGCTGAGGCAGATGGATCACCTAGGTCAGGAGTTCAAGACCAGCCTGGCCAACATAGTGAAACCCTTTCTCTACTAAAAGTACAATAATTAGTCAGGCGTGGTGGCACAGGCCTGTAATCCCAGCTACTCAGGAGGCTAAGGCAGGAGAATCGCTTGAACCCAGGAGGAGGAGATTGCAGTGAGCCGAGATCATGCCACTGCACTCCAGTCTGGGCAACAAGAATGAAGCTCCGTCTCAAAAAAAAAAAAAGTTGGAGGATGGAGGGGCAGGACACACTCACCATAGCAGGTCTTAGACTTCAGGTGGGGGTCCTGGGTGGTGCCCTTTGGAGTCTTCTGCAACATACTCAATCTTTGACTTTTTTCTTTTTTTTTTCTTTTTTTTTTTTTTGTCACCCAGACTGTCGCCCAGGCTGGAGTGCAGTGGCACGATCTCGGCTCACTGCAAGCTCTGCCTCCTGAGTTCACGCCATTCTCCTGCCTCAGCCTCCCGAATAGCTGGGACTACAGGCGCCTGCCACCACGCCCAGCTAATTTTTTGTATTTTTTAGTAGAGACGGGTTTTCACTATGTTGCCCAGGCTGGTCTCGATCTCCTGACCTCGTGATCCCCCGGCCTCGGCCTCCCAAAGTGCTGGAATTACAGGCGTGAGCCACTGTGCCCGATCAATCTTTCATTTTTTTTTAATACTCATTGAGAAACTCAGCATTTGTAGACATGAAGTTGCTCAGGGTAAGAGAATGCGGGAATCATAGGCTTGGCACCTTGTGGACTCTTAGAATCATTTATTTAACTTGAATGTATTGAGTATTCTCTTAAAGAATCAGCTGTTGTTCCTGAAGCTGGGGTGAAAAACAAAGATGGCAGATGAAATCTGTGACACTCCAGGTGGGAGGAGAAACTAGGCAGGTGCAGGTGTGTTACGGGCTGTAGAAAAACAGGTCTGGAGGGCCTCAAAATCTGGGACTGTATAGAGGGTGACCTAGTCAGGGAAGGGGACATCTGAGCAAAGACCCAGAGGCAGAGATGGGGTCAGGGGAGTTATCTCCTGGTCTGCTATCCAGGTGTGATGGCAGGGACAGAGCCCTGTGGGGAGCTGGGGAGGCTGCAGCAAGTGATCCAAGGGAAATGGCCCAGGTTGTGTGGGATCTCTTAGGTTATGGTGAAGCCTCTGCTTCCTGTCTGAGGGAAGTGGGGGCTCGTGGAGTATGTGAGTGGAAGGGGATGGATCTGGCCTATGGACCCCGTGGGTTGCTGTGTAAGGGGCAGGGAGCATGTGGGGACCTGTCTGGAGGTCACTGCAGTAATTCGTGGAGAGGGTGCTGGGAAGTGGCTGACGCTGGACAGACACACTTGGAAGTGGAGTCTGTGGATTTGAGGATGGGTTGGGTGTGACGCTTGTGTAGGGAGTCCCCGGGGACCCCTGATCTTTTGTCTGTACCTGGAAGGATGGGGTGACCCTAATGGAGACAGGCAGGGTTCTCAGGAAGCAGGTTGAGCAGACACTCAGGAGCTCGGTTTTGGGCACGTTGAAGTTTGAGATGCTTTCTTCGAGCAGGCAGGTAGATCCTCAGGTCTGGTGATCGGAGGAGCAGCCCAGGCCAGCAGGTCAATTTGAGAGTTGTCAGTGCATAAATGGAGGCTGAAGCTCAGATGTCAAGCAGACCACCAGGAGAGAGAGCAAAGACAGAGGGGAGAGTAGGAGCTAGGATGGCAGGCGGGGGAGACTCGGGTGGAGCCAGGTGCTGGGATGCAGGGGCAGCTCTCAGGGAAAGTGATGAGCCCAGTAAAGCTGAGAGGGGGCACTGGGTCTGGCAGTGTGGGGGTCACCAGAGAACTTGGCAAGTGTGCTGGCATGAGAGTCTGATTGGCCTGAGGTCAGGAGAAGATTTTTTTTCTGATATTGATACATGATATTTTCTATATTTATGGGTACATGTGAGTGCTTGTTACATGCATAGAGTGTATAATGATCAAGGCAGGGTATTTGGAGTCTCCGTCACCTTGAATATTTTTCATTTCTGGGTGTTAGCACCATAGTCCTCTCTTCGTTACTTTGAAATATACAAAATACTGTTGCTAAGCATCGTCACCCTGGTCTGCTATCAAAGATTAGAACTTCTCCTGTCTTGGCTGGGCACGGTGGCTCACACCTGTCATCCCAGCACCTTGGAAGGCTGAGGTGGGTGGATGACCTGAGGTCAGGAGTTTGAAACCAGCCTGGCCAACATGGCAAAACCCCATCTGTACTAAAAATACAAAAATTAGCCTGGCGTGCTGGCCTGTGCCTGTAATACCAGCTACTCGGGAGGCTGAGGCAGGAGAATCGCTTGAACCTGGGAGGCGGAGGTTGTAGTGAGCTGAGATCATGCCACTGCACTGTAGTCTGGGAGACAGAGCAAGACTCCATCTCAAAAACAAACAAAGAAGAAAAACAAAACAAAACAAAAAATAACTTCTGTCTAACTACAAGGTGGAAGGAATCATGTGCTGGGTGTCAGACCTTCCGGGATGTATGTGCAGCTTCTAGGAATTGAAACCACCAGCTCTTGGAAACTTGTGCCAGGCTTCAGGGTGGGAGAGGCAGTTCTAGAGCCACAGCTGCCAAGCCAAGCCAAATGGCCCCATCATCTCTCGCAAGAGCAGGAGAGTCCCTGGGGGCAGAGGCCATAGTTGTACCTTTCTGGGCAAAGGGTCAGTGTCTGTAGTGTCCTTATGGGCAGCGGGGCTCAGGGGGGAAGCAGGCCCAGGGGTGTGTTTCCAATGACCTCCTCAAAAGTCAGAACTGGAAGGCAAAACCCCTTATAGGCTGAGTGCACCTGTAATCCCAGCATGTTGGGATGCTGAGGTGGGAGGATTGCTTGAGGCCAGAGTTTGAGACCAGTCTTGGCAACGTAGCAAGACCCCTGTCTCTACAAAAAATAAAAATAAAAAATTAGGCTGGGAATGGTGGCTCACGCCTGTAATCCCAGAACTCTGAGAGGCTGAGGAGGATGGATCACCTGATGTTAGGAGTTCAAGACCAGCCTGACCAACCTGGTGAAACCCCGTCTCTACTAAAAATACAAAAATTAGCAAGGCATGGTGGTGCATGCCTGTAATCCCAGCTACTTGGGAGGCTGAGGCAGGAGAATTGCTTGAACTCGGGAGGTGGAGGTTGGAGTGAGCCAAGATTGTGCCATTGCACTCCAGCCTGGGCAACAAGAGTGAAACTCCATCTCAGAAAAAAAAAAAAAAAAAAAAAAGCCCTGTGTAGTGGGGTATGTCTGTAGTCTTAGGTACTTCAGAGGCTGAGGTAGGAGGATCGCTTGAGCCTGGGAAGCCAAGGCTGCAGTGAGCCATGATTGCACCACTGCACTCCAGCTGGGACAACAGAATGAGACCCTGTCTCAAAACAGACAAACAAACAAAAACCCTTATAGTTGGATGGAGAAACTGAGGCTGGGAGAGGGGACAGGACGGAGGTTAAGGCTCAGTCTTGCCTCTCTGGGGCCGTAGAAAAGAGGCAGGGAGCCCTTTCTTGGGGCTGGCTGTGTCTTGAAGGTGGCCTGTGCTTGACCTCGGTCAAGGTGGGATCTGCTCTTGTTTTGGCACATTCTCGTGGAGCCCATGAGTCTTACAGGATAAGGCCTTGTGGTCAGTGAGATGGGAGGGGGTCTGGCCTGGCACAGGATTTTAGACATGCAGGCACCTGCACAGACAGACACCTCATCCTGGGACAGCAAAACCCAGCCGCATGCTACTGCTTCCCCTGCTGTGCCCTCCTCAGACATCCCTGGTCCATGTACACTCCTACCTGCTGAGCCCCTCCTAAAAAAAAAAATTAAACATCCCCTCCTAAAAAAAAACAATTAAAATTAAAAAATAAATTTAAAAATTAAAAATCCCCTTCTGCTAGGTGTGCTGTTCACGCCTGTAATCTCAGCGACTCAGGAGGCTGAGGTGGGAGGATCGCTTGAATCCAGGAGTTCGAGATCGGGCTGGGCAAGATGGCAAGACCCCAACTCAAAAAAGAAAAAAAAAAAATCTTTCCTCCTAAGCCTCATTGCCCCATCTGTAAAATGAGTCAGGGACTGTGCCTGGGATGCTGCCTGCGAGAGATCCCGATGTCCCCCACTCAGGGTCACTAACTATGGCTCTCTCTCCCCAGGGGGGCTGTCGGTGGCGGTGCCTGGGGAGATCCGAGGCTATGAGCTGGCACACCAGCGGCATGGGCGGCTGCCCTGGGCTCGCCTCTTCCAGCCCAGCATCCAGCTGGCCCGCCAGGGCTTCCCCGTGGGCAAGGGCTTGGCGGCAGCCCTGGAAAACAAGCGGACCGTCATCGAGCAGCAGCCTGTCTTGTGGTATGTCTGTGGGTGCGGCCCCCTGACACAGGCAGGGCAGGCACAGCCCAAGGACCTTGCAGGCCGTAGCAGCAGTGGAGCAGCCCTCTGCCTTCAGGACCCTGTGCTGATAATGGGATGAGGAGATACAGACCCTTCCCACCACGTGTGGGGACACATTCTGAGCGTGGGGTCCCAGTGGCCACTGTGGCTGGCCATGTGTCCTGAGTGGCAAGGGACACTAGGAAGCTCCCGGAAGGGACACTAGGAAGACGAGCGCTGAGTGACAGGGCCACCCACCTGTGACAGGCGCTGCCCCTGTTCTGCTCCGTTCTCCTGTGTGGACGGGTGTGAGGGGTGGTCTAGCTGAGTCCACCCCACCTGCTGCCTCACATGAGCCCCCTCTGCCCCAGTGAGGTGTTCTGCCGGGATAGAAAGGTGCTTCGGGAGGGGGAGAGACTGACCCTGCCGCAGCTGGCTGACACCTACGAGACGCTGGCCATCGAGGGTGCCCAGGCCTTCTACAACGGCAGCCTCACGGCCCAGATTGTGAAGGACATCCAGGCGGCCGGTGAGTGGGTAACCTCAGGGGCCTGGGTGAGGAACTCTGCAGTGGAAACCCTGAGCTGTAGCCCAGAGCTATGGGGTCCTCCTGTCTTGCCTGAGCCTGCAGGAAGTTCCTGGTGGAGGAGGGTCAGTGACTGGCCATGTGGGTCCACAGCTCCTGCTTATATCAAAACCAAGAGAGGCCACACAGTCCAGGAGAGCAAGTCCCTGTTGGGGTAAATGCAGGTGTAGGCAAGAGCCAGGGCTAGGGAAGCACTAGAATACAGCCTGAAGATCCAGGAGGACTTCTTGGAGGAGGTGGCGGCTGGGCTGCAGATAACTTTGTTAGGCAGAGAGAGGAAGGGATTCCTAGCAGAGGAACAGCTGGGCTAAGGCCCAGTAGAGGGCGCTTTGATTCACCAAGAGGGTTACAAGGGATGAGGGTCTCCTTGAGAGAGGCATGGGGAAGGGGATTTGTGGGGCAGGGGCCTGGAGCTTGGCTGTGGCTTTCTTCAGGTAATTTTTGTCACGTTTCATGGAGGAGGGTGATTAGCGTGTCGACCTTTACCACTGAGGCTGGAAATTGGCATGCCAATACCCTGTCTGTCTGGAGCTGACTCCAGGAGAATTAAGAGCCTCCCTCCTCTATTCATTCATCATGAGGAGAAGAGGCCAAGCGGCAGGGAGACTGGCAGGAATTCTCCAGTTAGAAAAGGCCCTCTGAGCCAGGCGCGGTGGCTCACGTCTGTAATCCCAGCACTTTGGGAGGCCGAGGCGGGTGGATCACCTGAGGTCAGGAGTTCAAGACCAGCCTGGCCAACATGGCGAAACCCTGTCTCTACTAAAAATGCAAAATTAGTCAGGCATGGTAGGTTGTGCCTGTAATCCCAGCTACTTGGGAGGCTGTGCCAGGAGAATCGCTAGAACCTGGGGGGCTGAGGTTGCAGTGAGCCGAGATTGCACCACTGCACTCCACAGAGTGAGATTCCATCTCAAAAAAAAAAAAAGAAAGAAAGAAAAGGCCCTCTGAGGCCAAGCTTGGTGTCTCATGCCTGTAATCCCAACACTTTGGGAGGCTGAGGTAGAAGTTGAGGCCAGGAGGTCCAAGACAAGCCTGGGCAACATAGTGAGTCTACAAAAAAAATATTGAGAAACTACATAAATATAGTGGGGGTGGGGGTGGGGAACAAGAAAACAAAAAATTCAAAGCATAGTGAAAAGAAATATAGCAAAACCCGGCCGGGCATGGTGGCTCACGCCTGTAATCCCAGCACTTTGAGAGGCCGAGGCGTGTGGATCACGGGGTCAGGAGATCGAGACCATCCTGGCTAACACAGTGAAACCTGTCTCTACTAAAAATACAAAAAAATTAGCCACGTGTGGTGGCGGGCGCCTGCAGTCCCAGCTACTTGGGAGGCTGAGGCAGGAGAATGGCGTGAACCTGGGAGGTGGAGCTTGCAGTGAGCCGATATCGCGCCACTGCACTCCAGCCTGGGCGATAGAGCGAGACTCCGTCTCAAAAAACAAAAAAAAAGTAGCAAAACACAACAAAAAAATTAAAATTTGCTGGGTGTAGTTGTGCCTTTAGTCTCAGCTACTGGGGAGGGTCTGCTGGAGGATCACTTGAGCCCAGGAGTTCAAGGCTGTGATTAAGCCACTGCACTCCAGCCTGGGTGACAGAGCAAGATCCTATCTCTAAAAAAAAAAAAGAAAAGAAAACACTCTGTGGCCACAGATGAGAGAAGGCAGACAGGAAGCCAGTAAGCCAAGCAGGCAAAGGGCAGGTGGCCCCAGCCCGGCTGTTGGGTGGTGAGCAGTGTCAGGGAGACAGGAGTGCCGGAGCTGATGAGGTTCCCAAGGAGGTGAGGTTGCCTGTGGCCCCCTCCCAGGGCACAGTCCCACCCCTCCAGTAGTGCACTCTGTCCTCCCTGGTAGGTACAGGCTTTTCCCCACCACCATGGTGCAGCCATGCCTGCCCCCAACACCACTGCTGCAGCTCCATCCTCCACGCAGTGGTGCAGCCCCATCCCAGCACCCATTTGAGCTGCTGTCCCATTGCAGGGGGCATTGTGACAGCTGAGGACCTGAACAACTACCGTGCTGAGCTGATCGAGCACCCGCTGAACATCAGCCTGGGAGACGTGGTGCTGTACATGCCCAGTGCGCCGCTCAGCGGGCCCGTGCTGGCCCTCATCCTCAACATCCTCAAAGGTGAGTGGTCGCACCACAGCCGTGTGGTAGGACCCATGACACTGCCTCTCTCTCCCCACGCCCCACCCCTCCTGCATCTCTGCTCGCCCCCCATGCCACGTCTTTCCATCACTGAGCTCCCGAGGTGTGTCCCTGCGTCACAGTTCACCATGTCCTGAAGGAGGCAGTGCAGAGCGACAGGGCTGAAGCGGGCAATGCTCAAGGGTTGGAGGAGGAACAGGAGTCATCAGGAGGGAGAGAGGTGCAGGAGCTCAGGGCTGCAGGGCCGGTCCAGAGGGTACCCCGGTCCAGTGGGTGACCCTGCCACTTGGTCATTGAATGGCCAGAGCTGATGCGTGACGTGAGGTCCAGGCTCGGGAGCCCTCACCTTACTTCACTCTCACCACAGCCTTCTGAAGCAGCTGCTGCTATTGGTTATTAAACGCTCCTTGAGGTGGGCAAAGTGGCTCAGGCAGGTGTTAACCCTCTGAGCCCCTCAGAGCCTCTGGGGCTCAGCAACATGCACCTGGCTCTGATCAACCAGGGTACAACTTCTCCCGGGAGAGCGTGGAGAGCCCCGAGCAGAAGGGCCTGACGTACCACCGCATCGTAGAGGCTTTCCGGTTTGCCTACGCCAAGAGGACCCTGCTTGGGGACCCCAAGTTTGTGGATGTGACTGAGGTAAGGGGCAGGGGCTGGCCCACTGTGGGTGTGGGGCCTGCCATAGAGGCATCAGGTGGGCTCCCCAGGGTGGCTACAGCCTCACATATGCTTTATGAATCCATTCCTGCCACAGACTTCGATTGCGGGCCTACTGTGTGCTCGGATGGACTCGTGGGTGACCCCCAGTCTTGGCTTCTGCCGCACAGAACTGACAGTGTGGGGAATTAGTGGCCACCCTCCTACCTCAGGTCCTTTGCACATGCTGTGGTTCTCGAGTGCTCAGTGCTGAGATGAGGAATGCATGGGGGCATTGCAGCCCTCGGGCATGGTGAGATGGATGGGTGAAAGGGAGAGGGCCAGGTGAACAGAGACCTTGGCCACCCACTCCCTGTCACTCCAAACTAACGCTTCCCAGATGCCACCCTCAGCCCTGCACCACCTGACCCACTCACTCAGTAGTTGCCCCAGCTCCACACTGGGTCCCTATAAGACCCTGTCATATCCCTTCCCGCTGAGGATCCTCACATCCCTCCTTACCTACTTGGGTCCTTGGCATTCCTGGGCGGATCTGCAGACCCCCCCACACTGACCAGTGACCTCCCAGGAGGGGCGTCAGCTGCCCAGGTGGTGTCTTCTCTTTCCCCGTGAGCATTCTGCACCTCTGACTCCCGCTGCAGCCAGTGACCTGGTGTCTTGTCTCTCTGAGGGGACAGAGCCACTGCAGTGTGTCCCTCTGCCCTCCTTTTTGGCTAAGGCCAGCTCCTTCATCTACTCGCTGGCTCGGGGTGCTGTTCCTACAATGCTCCTTTCTGCCTCTGATGATTTACTTCTTTATCACGGCTTATTCCCGAAAGAAAGGCAGCTGTTGTTGCTCTAGAAACTTCTATCTGCTGCCTCCTTCTGTCCTTTGCTCCTCTTAGAGCAAACATGGCTGGGCTATGTCCTCTCTCCCTTCAGGGTATCCCCTCCCCTGCTCTATCCCCATGCCACCAGATCGCCATGTCCAGCCTCAGTTTCCCCATCAGGCCCCACTCAGCAGCATCTCACACAGCTCACCACACTCTCCTCGAGTTTTCATTTTGCAAATTTTCGCACCTACAAAAATGTAAAAAAACCCCAAAACTGCCCAAGCATCAATGCTCCCTTTTCCTGGAGTCTGCAGTGTGGATGTTTCTGTCGGATTTCCTAACTCTCTCCGTCTCCACCCACATCTATTGGGATTCGTGTTTTTCTGAGGGATTCCACAGTAGGTTACTGATGTCGCACCTCAGGGTGTGTCTCAAAAGTGAGACTTGAACATAGCACAGCAGGATGTCGGGGTGACACAACCTGTTGTCCCTTCTCTTTACCTACAGTAGGCTCCCTTGGCTGTTTTGTTTTTGTTGTGTTTTTGTTTGTACACAGAGTCTCTGTCATCCAGGTTGGAGTGCAGTGGTGTGATCTTGGCTCACTGCAGCCTCAACCTCCAGGGCTCAAGCAATCCTCCCACTTCAGCCCCCTGAACAGCTGGGACCAGAGGCACGTGCCACCAAACCTGGATAATTTTTGTATTTTTTTTAGAGACAGGGTCTTGCCCAGACTGGTCTCAAACTCCCGGGATCAAACTATCTTCCCACCTCAGCCTCCCAAAGCGCTGGGATTACAGGTGTGTTTTTTTTTTTGAGACAGAGTCTCGCTCTGTTGCCCAGGCTGGAGTGCAGTGGCGCTATCTCGGCTCACTGTAAGCTCCGCCTCCTGGGTTCACGCCATTCTCCTGCCTCAGCCTCCCGAGTAGCTGGGATTACAGGCGCCCGCCACACCGCCCAGCTAATTTTTTGTATTTTTAGTAGAGAGGGGGTTTCACCGTGATCGCGATCTCCTGACCTCGTGATCCGCCTGCCTCGGCCTCCCAAAGTGCTGGGATTACAGGCATGAGCCACCGTGCCTGGCCTGTTTTGTTGATTTTTAAAGCCCAGGGCAGTAGTCTTGGAAAATGTCCCACATCGTGGATTTGCCTTTCTGTTTCCTTGAGGGCAGATTCAGACAGAACACCTTTCCCTGGGATTGGTCAACTAATCCGTGGGGTGTTGCTGAAACTTTATTTTATTTTATTTTATTTTTGAGACGGAGTCTCGCTCTGTCCCCCAGGCTGTCCCCCAGGCTGGAGTGCAGTGGCGGGATCTCCGCTCACTGCAAGCTCCGCCTCCCAGGTTCACGCCATTCTCCTGCCTCAGCCCCCCAAGTAGCTGGGACTACATGTGCCCACCACCGCGCCCAGCTAATTTTTTGTATTTTTAGTAGAGACGGGGTTTCACTGTGTTAGCCAGGATGGTCTCGATCTCCTGACGTCGTGATCCGCCCTCCCAAAGTGCTGGGATTACAGGCCTCGGCCTCCCAAAGTGCTGGGATTACAGGCGTGAGCCACCGCGCCCGGTGTTGAAACTCCCTTGAGGCATTTTCTTCGGCCTTCGGGTCCATCCTCTGTCTCCTCCTTGACCTCCTCATCTCCTCGCCACTGCCTTGGGGACCTTGGCCAGGCTCATGGCATCCAGCAGCCACTCAATGTCAATACCTCCATGTTCATCTCTCAGCCCGCCCTTGCCCGTGAACCCATGCTTATTTATTTATTTTTTTTAATACGTGCACCCATGCTCTTCAGGTCTGATGAAGTATCCAAAATCAAGCTCCTGACCATCCCCAAACCTGCCCCTTCTGCAGGGTTTACCTCGCTAGTCGGCGCCATCCTTGATTCTTCTCTTTCTCCCACCCAGGCCATCATCTCTTGCCTGGTTGATACCCACAGCCTCCCCTTTGGGCTTTATCCTTATCCCCATCATAGCTGCCAGAGGGATCCTGTGAAAACACTCCCCAGCCTGCTCATTCCTCTGCCCTAAGCCTGCATGGCACAGAGCAAAAGCCAGTTGTTATGGGACCTAGGAAGTCCTGTGGGATGGGCCCCAGCCTGCATCTTCATCCTCTTCTCCCCACCCCACTCCATTCACTCTCTGCCTATCACTCACCAGCCTATACCACCTGCCTCAGGGCCTTTGCACTGACCATTTAGGCCACATTCCAGGCTCTTTTCACACGTTGCCTCCTCTGAGAAGCCCTCCCTGACCACTCTGCCCATACCTCATGCCTCTTGATTCCCCTTACCTGGCTTGTGGTTTCAGCACTTTCCCTGTGTGTGTTTGTTTTTCTTGGCATGAGAGCAGGACCTAAGTGTCTGTTCCCTGTTGATTCCCCAGTGCCAGGCATGCAGTGCAAACTCTAGAAATATTTTTTGCATGAAGGAATGAGTGATTGAATGCAGCAAGGGTCTGGAGGCTGAGGACCAGGCAGACAGACATTCAGAGTTGCTGGAACGCGACAGAGACAGGGAGTCAGACTGGTCATGCAAGGTCCTGGGCCTGCCCTTGGGTCCTGGGGAGCCACGGAAGGTTGTGGGTGCCAGAGGGTTGCGGTCAGAGTCACAGTCAAGGGCCTTCTGAGACCTGTGCCCCCTCCCCACCCTCCCTCCCCACCTCCTCAGGCCAGCTCTGGGGTCTCGGCAGGTGGTCCGCAACATGACCTCCGAGTTCTTCGCTGCCCAGCTCCGGGCCCAGATCTCTGACGACACCACTCACCCGATCTCCTACTACAAGCCCGAGTTCTACACGCCGGATGACGGGGGCACTGCTCACCTGTCTGTCGTCGCAGAGGACGGCAGTGCTGTGTCCGCCACCAGCACCATCAACCTCTAGTAGGGGCTGCTGGGCCGCCTGGGTGGGAAAGGGCCAGGGGCGGGTGGCCCAGGGACTGCCCACTTATCCAGTAAGGTGGCTCCGTCACCTCTTTTCCTGGTGGGAAACTGAGGCCCAACCTTGGTAGCTTATCCTGGGCCTCTCAGTGAGTATGTTTGAGCCTCAGTGGGTGGATAGGGACCAGGCTGGGCCAGGCAAGGTCGGGCACTGTCTGACCTGGCTGGGCGGTAGCTTTGGCTCCAAGGTCCGCTCCCCGGTCAGCGGGATCCTGTTCAATAATGAAATGGACGACTTCAGCTCTCCCAGCATCACCAACGAGTTTGGGGTACCCCCCTCACCTGCCAATTTCATCCAGCCAGGTATGGGGTGGAGGTCCGGGGGTGGGGGACTGGGGTGGAGAGGGGCGGGTGTCCTGGGCAGGCAGCTGACGGGCATCCCTGTCTTCTCCCATCGGCCGCAGGGAAGCAGCCGCTCTCGTCCATGTGCCCGACGATCATGGTGGGCCAGGACGGCCAGGTCCGGATGGTGGTGGGAGCTGCTGGGGGCACACAGATCACCACGGCCACTGCACTGGTATGTGTCACACCTTTTCTCCCTGGCCGTGCCCACCCTGCACAGCCCCCAAGCCATGCTGATCACACTCCCATGCCCCAGGCCATCATCTACAACCTCTGGTTCGGCTATGACGTGAAGCGGGCCGTGGAGGAGCCCCGGCTGCACAACCAGCTTCTGCCCAACGTCACGACAGTGGAGAGAAACATTGACCAGGTGGGCCGGGGGTTGGAGAAACTGAGTCAAGGTGTGGGGCCCCAGGGCATCCTGGGCTGGAGGCCTGGATCATCACAGAGTGGACAATGGTTGGTGTCCTCTCTCTAGTGCCTGGGCCATCTGGAGCCCCTGTGCCATGAGGGCCAAGCCCCCTGCTCCAGTGAGACCCAGCAGGCCCCAACCTGCTCTTCCTGATGACCTGGCCCGAAATGGCACCACCTGGGCTGAGGCCTGTGACCACACAGATGTGGTTCAGGTGGCATCTGGAGCCCTGCTCAGGCTTCCCCTCTCCTCCCACCCCCAGGCAGTGACTGCAGCCCTGGAGACCCGGCACCATCACACCCAGATCGCGTCCACCTTCATCGCTGTGGTGCAAGCCATCGTCCGCACGGCTGGTGGCTGGGCAGCTGCCTCGGACTCCAGGAAAGGCGGGGAGCCTGCCGGCTACTGAGTGCTCCAGGAGGACAAGGCTGACAAGCAATCCAGGGACAAGATACTCACCAGGACCAGGAAGGGGACTCTGGGGGACCGGCTTCCCCTGTGAGCAGCAGAGCAGCACAATAAATGAGGCCACTGTGCCAGGCTCCAGGTGGCCTCCCTGGCCTGTCTCCCCACTCTCTGGGCCTCAGTGTATTGTGTGTGAAATGGAGCCATCTGGCTGGGGAGGAACAGAGAGGTGGGATTCGGAGATCTTCACAATGCGGGCACTGGAACTAGCCTCAGCATCTTCAGCATGGGGAGAGCCAGGCACATGGCTGGGGGCCAGGGGAAGGTTCACACCAAGCTCTGCCCCTTCCCACCCTGATCCCTCGGACTTTGGGGCCAGGCCCTCCCTTACTGGGGCTGGGCAGTGACACTACCTAGGATCAGCCACCAGGGGGTACCACGACCCTGGCACTTTCTTAGGCAGAGGGTGGCCAGCTGATGCTGGGAACCCGGGTGCCTTCTTAGACCCGTAGGCGTCCAGCTCACCCTGCCGATGACACTGGAGGTGAAGCTGAGGTCCGAGGAATGGGGACTGGGCAACAGGCTGGAGGAAAACATCTCGGTCAGAGCCACGCCCCTGGGGGGTTTCCAAGTTTAAGCCCAGAGTGAAACCCAAGCTTGTGATCCTCTCCAGAGGGAGGCCTGGTTCTCAGGGAACAGCAAACGGGAAGATGTCCCCAGATCCCAGGGATCAGGGCTTGGACCAGCCGGGGACGCAGCCCAGAGGGAGTGGGTCCAGAAGGAAACAGCTAGACACAGCAGCCTTCACCATCGGCAGCCCCTCCAGGCCTCCCTCAGGGCCTGCTCCCTCCTCTGTGCACAGTTCCAACACCTGGGGCAGGGTTCTGGGAAGGGCTGGTGGAGGTGGGCTGGTGGGAGGCGGTGATCACAGCCCAGCACCTGGATATCACCAGGGGCACTGGGGCCAGGGGCCAGGTGAGGCCAGGTCGGGGCTATCCTTCAGGATCCCCGAAGACCTGGTGATTCCAAAGGGCCCATAGACAAACAGGGTTTTCTGCCTGTGGAGTCAAGTCCCACTGGGTCTGAGCTCTGGAGGGCTGTGTCTCTGGGGCTCTGCAGGGGTGAGATGGAGGTGGGCTCAACTGGTGTACAAGTCACTCTTCAATCCTTATTTTATTTATTTAATTTTTTTAAAAAAAATTTAAACCAATAGAGATGGGGTCTCACTATGTTGATCAGGCTGGTCTTAACTCCTGACTTCAAGCAGTCCCCCCATCTCAGTCTCCCAAAGTGCTAGGATTACAGGGGTGAGACACTGCACCCGGCCTCAATCCTTATTTTGGCCTGAGAGGAAAGGCCGTGGCCCCATTTGCAGGGGAGAAGACTGAAGCTGGAGGGGCAGGCCTTGCTCTGGGTTGCACAGCAGCAACAGAAGTGGGAGCTGGCCACGAGGCTTCCTCGACTCGACACACTGGTGGGGTACACCCTGGTTCTCCAGGTCCCATGGGGCTCAGCCCAGGACTACCTCGGGGGGTGAGGGACTTAAATCCTCTCCTTCATTCTCATCGCCCCTTCCCCCATCATTTCCTGAGGAAGGACATTCAGGGACCTGAAGGAGCGGCCTGCCCCTCCACATCTGTGGGTGTTTCTCATCAGGTGGGACAAGAGACTGAGAAAAGAAAGAGACACAGAGACAAAGTATAGAGAAAGAAAAGTGGGCCCAGGGGACCTGCGCTCAGCATACAGAGGCCCCACGCTGGCATCAGTCTCTGAGTTCCCTAGTATTTATTGATCATTATCTCTACCATCTCAGAGAGGGGGATGTAGCAGGACAATATGGTAATAGTGGGGAGAGGGTCAGCAGGAAAACACGTGAACAAATGTCTCTGTGTCATAAACAAGGTTAAGAAAAAGGTGCTGTGCTTTGATGTGCATATACATAAACATCTCAATGCATTAAAGAGCAGTATTGCCACCAGCATGTCCCACCTCCAGCCCTAAGGCAGTTTTCTCCTATCTCAGTAGATGGAATATACAATTGGGTTTTACACATTCCTTTGCCCAGGGACGATCAGGAGACAGATGCCTTCCTCTTATCTCAACTGCAAAGAGGCCTTCCTTCCTCTTATACTAATCCTCCTCAGCACAGACCCTTTACGGGTGTCGGGCTGGGGAACGGTCAGGTCTTTTCCTTCCCACAAGGCCATATTTCAGACTGTCACATGGGGAGAAACCTTGGACAATACCTGGCTTTCCTAGGCAGAGGTCCCTGCGGCCTTCTGCAGTGTTTTGTGCCCCTGCTTACTTGAGATTAGGGAGTGGTGATGACTTTTAACAAGCATGCTGCCTTCAAGCATTTGTTTAACAAAGCACATCCTGCACAGCCCTGAATCCATTAAACCTTGAGTCGACACAGTACTTGTTTCTGTGAGCACAGGGTTGGGGATAGGGTTACAGATTAACAGCATCTCAAGGCAAAAGAATTTTTCTTACTACAGAACAAAATGGAGCCTCTTACGTCTACTTCTTTCTACATAGACACAGTAACAGTCTGATATCTCTTTCTTTTCCCCACAGGGACCTTCCTGGCTGTGCCTCGGATCAGGACCAGAATGACACCCATTCATTTCCCTGGGCCTTTGCTCCGGTGGTCCCTGCACCCTGGCCTCTGCCTGACGAGGATGGTGGGGAGAGGAGGGGGGACATCCCCCACGCTGCTGTCTCCACTGTGGCCTCTGAGCTTCCAGGACTGCAGCGGGTGGGTGGGTGGCCTGGCCTAAGCCCAGGAATGCACTTCAGCTCCTGGTTGAGCAATGTCACTGAGGCTTGGGAGTCGGGTGGGGACGGGAGGAGGCGTCCGCAGGCCCCCCCTACCGTGAGAGGCAGCCGTGGGAACAGCCTACCTCTAAACAATCGCTGCAGCCCAGGCTGACCAGGGGCTCTGGCCGGACATAGGGGCCTGGCAGGCTGTGTGGCCTGTAAGGACACAGTCTGTCTCTGTGCCTCAGTTTCTCTGCTGCCCAGATGGAGAGGCCCAGACTCCAGGTGTAGACATCTGGAGCAGGCAGTGTTCAGCTGGGGAGGGAGCGGGGAGGACTATGGGGGCCACGTGGGAAGAAGTCCAGCCCACATCACCTGCACCCCTGCTGAGCCTGGTCAACAGAGGCCCTCAGTGGGTCCTCACTCTCCTGGCTGCCTCCCATTTAGGCACCCTGAGGCCTGGGGAGAACAGAGCCAGGCCAGTGTCCCCAGAGAGGCTGCGCTGCCAGCACAGTAGTAGCAGATTTGGATTCAGGGAAGTAGACCTGCAGCCAGGGTGGGAAAGAGCTGCAGGCGGGGTGGAGCCCCCACATGGCACAGCCCCCCTCCTTGGAGGTCTATGCTGCATTTCCAGGACAGCAAGTCCCAGGGATGGATGGTGCCTGGTGCCAAGGGCTAGAGGCATGGTCTGTCTGCATTCCCTACAGGGGCATCTTGTAGTCACCAGCATTTGATGCTGTCAAGTCCCCCTGTCCTCTGTGCAGACTGGGAAGCCCTTGGTCACCCTGGGGGGGGTTGGGGGACCCAGGCCAGGCTGCAGAAACATAAGGACTTGAACCCGGGTCCTGAGTGACACCACCTTGGGTCCTCCTCCCTCTGCCTCTGTTCAGCTCCACCTTGATGGTGACTAGGCTGGGCCATGCGGAGAGGGTTAGGGGATAGAGATGGGAGCTGGGGAGCAGGGCTCCACTCTGGGAGGGGGGCAGCCTTGCCGGATCCAGGGCAGAGTTAAGCGGCCCCAGCTCTGCTTTCCTAGAGCTGCTGAGAACCCGGGAAATGGTGTGGAGGTTCCGGGGAGCCCTGCCCCTACCTGGCAACCGCAGTGCAGCAGGCACCAAGTTCTCCTGCACATTGCGACAGTGTGACCCTGGGCTCTGGCGGGCAGTAGGTGGGGCCTTTGGACCTACCAGCAGTGAGGGAGTTAACACAGCAGCTGACTCCTCTAGGCAAGGAAAACTCCCCTCAGACGCTTTGCTGCCTGGCCTCCTGCCAGCAACAAGCAGGAGCTGAAAACCAGAAGTTGAGGCGTGAGTTTGGTCACTCCGTAGTGTGCACTTGGTGAGGGCAGCAGCTCGCCACAGCTGCCAGCCGTCTGTCCATTCACCCATCTGTCCATCTGGCAGCCCGCTGTTCAGACCCGTCTGTCTGTCCGCCCATCTGTAAGCCCATCTCTGTCCCATTGTCTATCTGACCATCTTTCTCTTACTGTCCTCTTTGTCTAGCTATCTGGCCTATCTGTCGATCCATCTTCGTGTCTGTCTTCAGCCCCCACCTGTTTGTCCATCTGTCCAATTACCTGTGAGTCTATCTATGCACCTTCTTGTCCATTCATCTGCCCACCCATCTGTCCCTCCGTCTGCCCACCGGCCTCCCCTCTCCTTCTGGGCCGCAGAGCCATGGCCCAGGACTGCAGAGCCATGGTTGGCCTGGTCCTGCTGGGGCTGGGGCTTGTGCTGGCTGTCATTGTGCTGGCTGTGGTCCTCTCTCGACACCAGGCCCCATTTGACCCCCGGCCTTTGCCCACGCCGCTGTTGCTGCTGACTCCAAGGTCTGCTCGGATATTGGACGGTGAGTGAGACGTGGGAGGAAGCTGGGTGGCCCTTGGCAGCCAGCCCCTCCTGGAGAAGGCGTGTGTGTGAGAGTGTGTGTGTGTGAGCATGTGTGTGTGTGAGAGAGTATGTGTCAGTGTGTGTGGGTATATGAGTGTGAGTGTGGGGTGTGGGTGTGTGTGAATGTGTGTGATCGTGTTTGGGTGTGTGTATGTGTGAGTGTGGGTGTGTGTGAATGTGTGTGAGTGTGTTTGTGTGTATGTGTGAGTGTGGGTGGGGGTATATGAGTGTGAGTGTGTGGGTGGGTGTGAACGTGTGTGATTGTGTTTTGCTGTGTGAGGGTGTGTGTGACTATGAGTGTGTGAGTGTGGGTGTGTGTAAATGTGTGTGATTGTGTGAGTGTATGTGTGGGTGTGAGTGTGTGAGTGTGAGTATGGGGGTGTGGGTGTGTGTGAATGTGCGTGATTGTGTGTGGGTATGTGTGTGTGTGTGTGAGTGTGTGTGTGTGCGTGTGTGTGCACGTGCACTGGCCCAGGCAGCAGGAGCCATGTGTGTGGGCTTCAGCACCTGCAGGGCTTGAGCGCAAGGAGACAGCCTCAGGGCCCTTGCACAGAACAGGCGGCAGGGTGTGCCCGTGGGGCAGATGGGGACTTGGGGACAATGGTGGTGTGTGAGTCCATACCTGGCTCCAGGATTCAGGAGGCCCATTTGCACATCCCAGGTGGGAACCTGTCTGGCCCCGGCTGACCCTGCTGGCCGGTGCAGGCCCCTTCAGTGAGGCCAATTCTCCAAGGCTGCGGTCTTCTCCCAGGGTCATGGGTGAAGGGGTTTGGAGGCTCCCTGCGTGGGTACTGGCCTGCTGGGTTACACACAATGCTGCCATAGCCAGTCTGCCCCTACACCCAGCCTGGGGCCACATCTCAGGTCTCTCAGTCCTGAGGAGCCCGGTGCCCCACCCCTCACATCCTCTCTCCCTGAGTCAGGGCCTGGGTCTCGTGAGCTGAGTGACTGATACTTGGTGTCCTGGATGAGGGCGTGATGGAGAGGGGCCACAGCGGGTGTTTCCTGACCCTCTTCCAGGAAGGTGCTGCTGCCGCTGCAGGGAGGACACATACAGGATGCCCCTTCCTGCCCCCTGCCTCCCATTGGGCCCACAAAAGCCAGGGCAAGCCTCCCCTCCCTGCCAGCCACCTGGTCTGCTTCCCAGAAATTCTGTCTTGCAGGCTGTTGGGAGGATCCCAGTACTTTGTAAACTAAAGCAAGGGAGGAGTGGCCGTTCTCTCTGTTCATTCATTCACCTTTTCATTCATTCCTTCTTCCCTCCATTCCCCCATCTGTCCATCCTTCCCTGCCCTGATTGCTCATGCCACCGCCCCCCGCAGCCCCTCCTGACCTGGTCCTTTGGTTTCTCTTCAGGGATTTCTGTCTCCTCCCACAGGGCTGAGAATGGCAGCTCAGGGACAAGTAGGGGCTGGGGACTGCTTAGTCTCCCCAGTGGCTCTCAGGGGATTTGAGGGTTTGACGCCAGCTGCCACCCCAGGCTGTGCCCCTCCTCTGCTCAGGAGGACATACAGGATGCAACACCCACTTAAACTCGAAGTTGCAAAGATGCAAATGAGACTGGGGTCTCAGGCACCAGAGACCACCCGTGGGCACGTGGCTTTTGGGATTGGAGACCTGCTGCCACAGATCTCTGAAGAGTCTGGACCTGCTGGGTCTCCCCAAGTGACTCTCTGGGGGTCTCCATAGCATGCCCTGCTGTGTGCATGACGGTCACTGGTTGGGTAGGGGTCTCTACTCTAAAGCTCCCTCTGCCGGCATCCCCTCGAACTCTCCCTTGGTGAAGAGAGAGGATGTGGTTTGCCCCAGTGTTTTATCAAACAACTCTCTCCACTTCCTGTTTTAAGAAGCTGGGAGTGGAAGAGAGCCTGGGGCTGGCCCCAGCTGCTGCTGCGAAACAGGGGTCACTGGACGCTGGGACCCTGGCCGGGCTGGCTGGAGGCCTCAGGAAGAGGCCTGCTACAGTGTCATCCTGGCCAAGATTCCTCCCTGCAGAGGACCCTGGCCACGCTGCCACAGGGTCTGCTGGGGCCACCAGAAGCCCATGCTCCTGCCTCCATCTCTCCCCTCTGTGCTCACCTCTCACCAGGAGGCCCTCCCAGAGTTCAGTGTCCTGCTTTTTTTTTTTTTTTTTAGATGGTGTCTCGTTCTGTCACCAGGCTGGAGTGCAGTGGCGCGATCTCAGCTCACTGCAACCTCTGCTTCCTTGGTTCAAATGATTCTCCTGCCTCAGCCTCCTGAGTAGCTGGGACTACAGGTGCCAGCCACCACGCCCAGGTAATTTTTGTATTTTTAGTAGAGACGGGGTTTCACCATGTTGGCCAGGATGGTCTCTATCTCTTGATTCGCCCGCCTTGGCCTCCCAAAGTGCTGGAATTACAGGAGTGAGTCATGGCACCCGGCCTCATCTCCTACTCTTTCAGCACCAGGTTTTACTCTTGGGATTCTGCTACAGCCGCAGCCCCTGGGTGCGAGTTCCTAAGCTTTCTGTGAGTGTGGACCCAGCACCGTGCCTAGTAGACATACAAAAGGAGCATGGTGACAGTGAGGTCTGTCATCTCCAGCATAATGACTGTTTTGATCCTTGTAAAAAAGGTGATTTTTGGCTGGGTGTGGTGGCTCACACCTGTAATCCCAGCACTTTGGGAGGCCGATGGGGGTGGCTCACTTGAGGTCAGGAGTTGGAGCCCAGCCTGGGCAACATGGTGAAACCACGTCTCTACTAAAAATACAAAAATTAGCTGGGCATGGTAACGGATGCCTGTAATCCCAGCTACTTGGGAGGCTGAGACAGGAGAATCACTTGAACCCAGGAGGCAAAGGTTGCGGTAAGCCAAGATTGTACCACTGCACTCCAGCCTGGGTGACAGAGCAAGACTTGGTCTCAAAAAAAAAAAAAAAAGAAAGAAAGAAAAGTTTATATTTTTGTTCTAATGGTTATCTTAATATCGTCATTCTATAATTGTATGTTTTATATAATTATAATAGCTATATAAGATATAATACCCCTAGTATGTTGTTTTTTGGATATTCTACTTGCTCCTGATGGTTAATTTATATGTCAACTTGGCTAAGCTATGGTGCCCCGTTGTTTGGTCAAATACTTGTCAATATCTTGCTGGGAGGTTATTTCATAGATGTGATTAACACTGACAGTCAGTTGACTTTAAGTAAAACAGATTACCCACCATAATATGGGTGGGCCACCTCCAATCAGTTGAAGGCCGTAAGAACAAAAACTGAGGTTTCCCAGAGAAGCAGGAATTCTGCCTCAAGACTGTAACACACAAACCCTGCCTGAGTTTCTGGCCTGCTGACTGCTCTACAGAGTTTAGGTTCCAGACTTCGAGATCAACTCTTACCTGAATTTATAGCCTGCTGGCTTGCCCTACAGATTTTAAACTTGCTAGTCCCCACAATCATGTGAGCCAATTCCTCAATAAATCTCTCTCTATGTATAATCTATTGGTTTAGTTTCTCTGAAAAGCTTTCACATCCAGTTTCCTGGATGTTAAGAATTACTGAAACTAGCTAGTAACTTCTTTTTTTTTTTTTTTTTTTTTTTTTTGAGACAGAGTTTTGCTCTTGTTGCCCAGGCTGGAATGCAATGGCACAATCTCAGCTCACCGCAACCTCCACTTCCTGGGTCCAAGCAATTCTCCTCCCTCAGCCTCCTGAGTAGCTGGGATTACAGGCATGTGCCACCATGCTTGGCTAATTTTTGTATTTTTAGTAGAGACAGGGCTTCTCCATGTTGGTCAGGCTGGTCTTGAACTCCCAACCTCAGGTGATCAGCCGCCTTGGCCTCACAAAGTGCTGGAATTACAGGCATGAGCCACCGCACCTGGCTCCTAGTAAATTCTTCTTTTCCGTGATGTGTCTCTTACCTCTAATAATACTTTTCTTCTTTTTTTTTTTTTGAGACGGAGTCTCGTTCTGTCGCCCAGGCGGGAGTGCTGTGGCGCGATCTCCGCTCACTGCAAGCTCCGCCTTCCGGGTTCACGCCATTCTCCTGCCTCAACCTCCCGAGTAGCTGGGACTACAGGCGCCCGCCACTGCGCCCGGCTAATTTTTTGTATTTTTAGTAGAGACGGGGTTTCACCGTGGTCTCGATCTCCTGACCTCGTGATCCGCCCGCCTCGGCCTCCCAAAGTGCTGGGATTACAGGCGTGAGCCACCGCGTCCGGCCATACTTTTCTTCTTAAAGTCTACTTCATTAAAAATAGTTATGCTGGGCATGGTGGCTCATGGCTGTAATCTCGGCACTTTGTTGGAGGTCGAGGTGGGTGGATCACTGAAGCCCAGGAGTTCAAGACCAACCTGGGCAACGTGGCGAGACCCTGCCTCTACAAAAAATACAAAAATTAGCTGGGTGTGGCTAATATACACTTGTAGTCCCAGCTACTTGGGATGCTGAGGTGGGAGAATCGCTTGAGCCTAGAAGGGAGAGATTGCTGTAAGCCAAGATCACATCACTGCACTCCAGCCTGGGAGACAGAGTGAGGCTCTATCTCCAAAAAAAAAAAAAAAAAAAGTTATACAGCTTTCTTGGTTAGTGCATGCATGCCATATTTTTCATTATTTTCCACCTCTCTGTATCCTTATATAAAAGGCATTAGTTGGGTTTTACTTTATTTTCAATTATTTTAATTTTTATTGTCCTTTTAAATGTAACTAATGATTTATTTGGGTTGAAACCCACCACCAATTTGTTTTCCATGCCTATTCTATTTCTTCTTATCTCCTCTCACATCTTGTTTTGGATTTATTATTTTTATTATTTAATTTCCTCCTTCTCTATTAGTTTCATAGCTCTGCAGTCTTAGAGTTATTTTAAAAGATGACAGTGGATTATTTTAGAGCTTACAACATGCATCCTTCACTTATCAAAGTCTAACATGAGCTAGTACTTTTTGTTGTTGTTGAGATAGAGAGAGTCTTCCTCTGCTGCCCAGGCTGGAGTGCAGTGGAGCAATCTTGGTTCACTGCAACCTCCACTTCTTGGGTTCAAGCAGTTCTCCTGCCTCAGTCACCTGAGTAGCTGGGACCACAGGTGTGCACCACTATGCCCGGCCAATTTTTGTATTCTTTTTTAGTAGAGACAGGGTTTCACCATGTTGGCCAGGCTGGTCTTGAACTCCTGACCTTAAGAGATCTGCCTACCTCGGCGTCCTAAAGTGTTGGGATTACAGGCATGAGCCACCGCGCCCAGCCTATGAGTTAGTACTTCTATGCTCTTCCTAGTCAGTACAAGAACCTTGGAACAGGAACTAAATTTACCCCCAGTGACTTATATGCTAATATTTTTGTGTATTTTAAATATATATGTGTGCATAGATGTATCTGTGTGTTTTTTGTGTTTTTATTCTTATTTATGTTGAGAGTGTAGAGCTATGTAAGAGTAAAGAGAATTGTGTAATGAAGCCCCGAGTATCCATTCAATTTCAACAACAATCTCATGGCCAAGCTAATTTCATGTATACTCTTTCCTGCTTCCCTCTACCCCACATTATTTCAGTGCAAATCCCAGATATATAACTGTACCCATACATATTTCAGTATGTTTTATTTATTTTAAACCCCACAATATATCATTTTCTATACTACTGTAATTTCATACCAATAACATTCATTTAGATTTACCCACACGTTTACCTCTTCTGTTACCCTTTATTTTTATTTATAAAAATATCTTTGGGAAGAAATATCTTTCAGCACATGGTCAAGGATCTCCTGAGGGCTATGTCATGGGCAAAATATACATATATATTCCATATATATACACACATATACACACACACACATATATACACATATACACACACACATATATATATTCCACTTTCACTTTTTTGTTTGTTTGTTTTTTGAGACCGAGTCTCGCTCTGTGGCCCAGGCTGGAGTGCGGTGGTGGGATCTCAGCTCACTGCAACTTCTGCCTCCTGGGTTCAGGTGATTCTCCTGTCTCAGCCTCCTGAGTAGCTGGGATTACAGGTGTTAGCCATCACGTCTGGCTAATTTTTGTTGTTTTTTTTTTTTTGAGACGGAGTATCGCTCTGTCACCCAGGCTGGAGTGCAGTGGCAAGATCTTGTCTCACTGCAACCTCCACCTCTCAGGTTCAAGCAATTCTTGTGCCTCAGCCTCCTGAGTAGCTGGGATTACAGGCATCCACCACCACATCTGGCTAATTTGTGTATTTTTGGTAGAGATGGGGTTTCACCATGTTGGCCAGGCTGGTCTCGAACTTCTGACCTCAGGTGATCCACCTGCCTCGGCCTTCCAAAGTGCTGGGATTACAGGCATGAGCCACCATGCCCAGCCATTTTCACTTTTGAAGGATATTGTTAATGAGCATAGAATTCTAGGTTGGCAGATATTTTCTTTCCTCAGTTTGAAAACATGATTCCCTTGTATCTGATTTCTCCTGCTTTTATTGGGAAGCCAATTCTCAATCTAATTTTGCTCATTTGAAGGCAATGGCTTTTTCTGTTGTTGTGTTTTCTGAGGTGGAGTCTCACTCTGTCACCCAGGCTGGACTGCAGTGGTGCAATCTCAGCTCACTGCAACCTCTGCCTCCTGGGTTCAAGTGATTCTTCTGCCTCAGCCTCCCAAGTAGCTGGGATTACAGGTGTCCACCATCACACCTGGCTAATTGTTGTATTTTTAATAGAGATGAACTTTTGCCATGTTGGTCAGGCTGATCCCAAACTCCTCATTTCAGGTGATCCGCCCGCCTCAGCCTCCCAAATGCTGGGATTACAGGCATGAGACAGCCCACAACCCTGGCCTGCAGGCAGTATCTTTTTTCCTCTGGCTGCTTTGAAAAGTTTTGTCTTTGTTTTGAGCAGTTTACACTGATGCATTTAGGTGGCTCCTCATTCCATGACTTGATTCTTTTTTGTCCATTTTAGAAAACTGCCAGCTTTATCTCTTCAAGTATTATGTCTTCCCCATCCTCTCTCTACTCTCCTTATGAGACTCCAATTTCACATGACTTATGCCTTGTTAAAGTATCCCCCATGTCTCTTAATCCATTTCCTGTATGTTCTATCTGTTTTTCTCTTTGTACTTCAATTTGTATAGTTTGTATCAAACTATCTCCCAATTAGCCGGGCGTGGTGGTGGGTGCCTGTAATCCCAGCTACTTGGGAGCCTGAGGCAGGAGAATTGCTTGAACCCGAGAGGTGGAAGTTGTAGTGAGCCGAGATCATGCCACTGCACTCCAGCCTGGGCAACAGAGTGAGACCCTGTCTCAATAAATAAATAAATAAATAAATACCAGTTCACTATTTTTTTTTATGTTTGTGTCTAGTGTGCTGTTCAAATTGAGTTCCTAATTCCATTTTTTTTTTAGACTTTTTTTTTTGAGTCTCTATCTGTTGCCCAGGCTGGAGTTCAGTGGTGCAATCTCAACTCACTGTAGCCTCCACCTCCCAGGTTCAAGCGATTCTCATGCCTCAGCCTCTCGAGTAACTGGGATTACCACCACGCCTAACTCATTTTTGTATTTTTAGTAGAGATGGGGTTCTGCCATGTTGGCCAGGCTGGTCTTGAACTCTTGGCCTTATGTGATTGGCCTACCTCTGTCTCCCAAAGTGCTGGGATTATAGGCCTAAACCACCACTCCCAGCCTCCTTTTTTTTTTTTTTTTTTTTTTGAGACGGAGTCTCGCTCTGTCGCCCAGGCTGGAGTAGAGTGGTGCGATCTCGGCTCACTGCAACCTCCCCCTCCCAGTTCAAGTGATTCTCCTGCCTCAGCCTCCCGAGTAGCTAGGACTATAGGAGCATGCCACCATGCCTGGCTAATTTTTGTAATTTTAGTAGAGATGGGGATTCACCATATTGGTCAGGCTGGTCTTGAACTTCTGACCTCAGGTGATCTACCCACCTCAGCCTCCCAAAGTGCTGGGATTACAGGCGTGAGTCACCACGCCTAGTGCATCCATTTTTTGTAGTTGCCAGTTTTCTGATGAAATTCTTAATTGTTTCTTTATATCCTTGATATACATGTAAAGAACTTATTTTAAAGTACATGGTCTGATGATTTTATAATCTGGAGATCCTATGGGCCTTTTTAAAAGTTGTCTGTGCTTTCTCTTGAGCTTTTTTCCTGCTGTCTTATTTCCTTGTTTGCTTAGTTGTTTTTAATTTGGCAATGGAAGTTGTGTATAAAAATCGTTACAAATAATTTTTTTTTTTTTTTGAGATGGAGTCTCGCTTTGTTGCCCAAGCTGGAGTGCAATGACGTGATCTCGGCTCACTGCAACCTCTGCATCCCAGGGTTCAATTCTCCTACCTCAGCCTCCCAAGTAGCTGGGATTGCAGGCAGGTGCCAGCACGCCTGGCTAATTTTTGTATTTTTAGTAGAGATGGGTTTTTACCATGTTGGTCAGGCTGGTCTCAGACTCCTGACCTCGTGATCTGCCCACCTCAGCCTCCCAAAGTGCTGGGATTACAGGCGTGAGCCACTGCGCCCAGCCAGAAATAATTTTTAAAAATAATTTTGAGCCCCAGCATGATGGCTCATGCTTGTAATCCCATCACTTTGGGAGGCTGAGGCGGGCAGATTGCTTGAGCCTAGGAGTTCAAGATCAGCCTGTACAACATGGTGAAACCCCATCTCTACAAAAAATAAAAAATTAGCTGTGTGTGGTGGTGGTGTGTGCCTGTAGTCCCAGCTGTTTGGGACGCTGAGGTGGGAGGCTCACTTGAGCCTGGGTGATCGAGGCTGCAGTGAGCCATGATCCTGAGACTGCACTCCAGCCTGGGCAACAGAGTGAGATGCTGTCTCAAATAAATAAATAAATAAAAATAAAATACTTTGAGGCCTAGGGGTCTAAAATTCTGAGATCTCCTTTATGCATTTGAGTGACTGAGATGATCTGAAGCTGGATCCAGTGCTCCTGAGGGCTGCTTTATTTCTGGTTGACTGTGACTCCTAGAGTAAGAAACCTGCACCCCACATGTGGGGCATTATGGCATCCCCTCCCTCAGCCACATGAGTAAGTCAACAGCACTGCTCTAGACCAGGTGTGGTGGCTCACACCTATAGTCCCAGCTACTCGGGAGACTGAGGCAGGAGGATTGCTTCAGGCCAGGAATTTGAGACCAGCCAGAGCAATATATTATTAGGTTGGTACAAAAGTAATTGCAGTGTTTGCCTTTAAAAGTAATGGCAACCCTGTTTCAGCAAAATAAAAAGCAAAAAAAAAAAAAAAAAAAAAAAAGAAAGGAAGAATCAGCTGGGCGTGGTGGCTCACGCCTCTAATCCCAGCACTTTGGGAGGCCAAGGCGGGCAGATCATGAGATCAGGAGATCGAGACCATCCTGGCTAACACGGTGAAACCCCATTTCTACTAAAAATACAAAAAATTAGCCGGGCATGGTGGCAGGCGCCTGTAGTCCCAGCTACTCAGGAGGCGGAGGCAGGAGAATGGCATGAACCCAGGAGGTGGAGGTTGCAGTGAGCCGAGATCATGCCACTGCACTCCAGCCTGGGTGACAGAGTGAGACTCCGTCTCAAAAAAAAAAAAAAAAGAATCACTGCTCTGTCTCTCAGCCTCCTCTTCCAAGATTGGCCGTCGCCTTGAGGGGAATGCTGGCCTTGCCTGTCTCCAGCCCTGTACCTCTCTGCCTCCTATGCCTTTAAGCACATGTTTTCTATTTGCTGGGCTGTGAAATCTGCTCTTCATCTGATGGGGTTTGCTTTATAGGTGACTAGATCCTTTTCTCTTGGTGGTTTTAGAATTCGCATTTTCACATTGACCTTAAATAGTCTGATTATAGTTTGCCACGGCAAAGACCCTTTGCATTGCATTGTTTGGGGATATTTGAGCCTCCTCTATCTGGATGTCTAATCTCTTGTTAGATGTGAGTAGTTTTCATTATTATTTTATTAATGGGCTGGCATGTGGGCCGTGGTTCCAGGCAGGCTCAGAGGGGCAGCTGCCTGATGTCTGGACAGCTTCTCTTTCTGTCTTTTCTTACCTGGACTCTGGGTTGCTTGTTAGCTGCTTCTGCCAGTTCTGAGTTTTCAAGGGGAGAGGGGCCCAGTGATGGCTGTTCTTTGAAGGAAAGGGAAGAATGTCTCCTGTTTAACATGTTTCTATGTTTCCAGTTACTTGGTTAGTTAGTTAGAGCCAGGGTCTCTCGCTCTGTTGCGCAGGCTGGAGTGCAATGGCATGATCGTGGCTCACAGCAGCCTCCACCTTCCAGGCTCGAGCAATGCTCCCACCTCAGCCTCTCAAGCAGCTGGGACTGCAGGTATGTGCCACCATGCTTGGCTGCCTTTTTAAATTTTTTTTTTTTTAATACAGACAAGGTCTCACTATATTGCCCAGGCTGGTCTTAAACTCATGGGCTCAAGTGATACTCCTGCCTCGGCCTTTCAAAGTGCTGATATCACAGGCAGGGTTTCCATTTTTTAAAGCTCCCAGCAGTGGTATAAACTCCTCCTTTCCAGAGAAAGCGCACTCTGTCCGCATCCCTCATGTTGTCCTCTCCTGCCTCTGCTTAGGGTTCACTCCGGGGGAAAGTGCCACTTGAGAGTTTCCTTTTTGTGTGTGGTTCTGACTGACTGCTCCCTGCTCACAGATGCTGATTCTCAGGGTGGGGTCCCTGAGGCCTGGAGTGTGGCCTCTGACGACCTTCAGGGCCAGGTGTGGAATGAGAGCCTGTGGCCACATGGCCCCCGGTGGGAGACGTCCCGCCGCCCTTTGCTTCTCTGTGCCACTCTGGCTGCACAGTTCAGAGCCTTGGGAAATGTTAACCAGTAGGACCTAGACGGGGAGGTGAGAAGGGGTCACCCCCCAGGTGTGCCTGTGGTGAGCCTTCGTGCTGAGCAGGTGCAGGGAGGGAGGCCCAGGTGCACACACCTGTGAAGTAGGGGCAGCTGGCTGGGCTCCTTGACCTGCTCCAGAGCTTCTTATTTTCTGGCCACTTCACCTGCAGAAGGCCCAGGTGGCTGTGGCCTCTAGGGTCCCTTGCCTGTCCTCAGCTCCCAACTGGGAGGGGCAGAGGGAGGAGGGGGTGGAGACCCCAGGCAGCAGGGCTCTGGGAGCAGTGGGGCCCTGGGTCCCAGGGGTGTCTGGCAGGCCCCTCCTTACTCTACGTCTCGGCCTCTGGATGGAGGTGCTGGCTGCAGTCGGGCTCTGCCTCTGACTAAGGGTTGGGGAAGTGGCGGGTGTGGGCTGCTGCCCCGTGGGGCCTCTGAACAGACCCCAGGGCCTCTGCCAATCATGACTCCTTCCTTTCAGCTGGACCCGCAGGCCCTGCAGGACAGAGACTGGCAGCGCGCCGTCATCGCCATGAATGGGGTACGTGTCCGTGGGACTCTCCTGGCGCCCACTTCCCCCAGAAGGATAGGGTGGCCTCTGTTCATTTCAAATCAGTCAGAGGTGGCTGAGCCTGAGGCAGCATCTGAGAGGGAGCCTGGTTGGAGAAGGGAGGGCCCCCAAGAGCAGAATCACCATGCACGGGAATCGTCATTCATTGGCTGGAATGCAGTTGCCAGCCAGGCCCTGAGCATCCCTCCTCAAACAAAGGTCTCATGGCACCACCAGGACAGGTGGGGCCTCCACTCAGGGACCTGGGGGCTGCCCATAGAAATGGAGACCCCTGATTTGTCTTTAGGTACCCCAGAAAGGTTTAGACCTTAAAAGCAATGACACACCCAAAAAGGCCCGGGTATAAATGGTAAAATGTTAATATTTGAGATTCTTGGCTTTTTCTTACATTATTCTGTCTTTCCTTCTTAATTTTTAATTGTTACTAAGAGAAAGCTGGTCACAGTACACTATAATCTCAGCTACTCTGGAGGCTGAGCCAGGAGAATCACTGGAGCCCAAGAGTTTGATTACAGCCTGGGCAACATTGCAAGATCCCATATCTAAAAAAAAAGCAAGCAAGCAAGAGAAGCAGCGGGGATTTTAGGAGGTGCTTCTGCAGAAACCAGTCGTTTATATCATCTTCAACAATCCTGGCTCTTGCTGAAGTAGACTAGGGGCTTCCCCGAGGGGCGGCTCCACCTCATGCTGAGACCTCTGCATGCCTTGGGGGTGGAAATATTTGATGAGACTCCCAGGGGTCCTTGGGACCTTGGGCTGTGAGGACCAGAAGGATTAGAGGACTGTGCCCCTTCTCCCCACTGTAGATCGAAGTAAAGCTCTCGGTCAAGTTCAACAGCAGGGAGTTCAGCTTGAAGAGGATGCCGTCCCGAAAACAGACAGGGGTCTTCGGAGTCAAGATTGCTGTGGTCACCAAGTGAGTGGGGAGGGGCTTGGGCTCACGCACTGAGGGTGCCTGTCCCTTCAGCTGTTTCTGCAGAAAAGAGCATGTGTGGGTCTCTCCTCTCTGTGCATGGCCACTGCACGGTGAGGTCAGGCCCCAGGGAACACGGCGTCTTCAGCTACCTCCTGTGTTTCCTGCAAACCAGCTCAGGAATGTCCTTGCCACCTTGCTTGGAAGCAGTAGGCTGGCTCCAGGAACTGCCCAAGTGCAGGGTTTTCTGCCCTTGCTTGGAATTAGTCACGGTCCCAGATTCCTGTTGAATGGCCATAACCCCTGCCCCTTTGTCACGAGTCAGTTGCCAAGAGAAGCCTGTTTGGTTTGAGAGCAGTTCATGCAGACATAGACCACTTCCTCTGAGAATTCATTTGCTTCCCCAGGATGGAATCTGGCTGGGCCTCTGACCTTGCTGGTCACGTGGGCCGGGGCCTCCATCAGTCATACCCTGGACTCCTATCTGTGTCTAAACACCACGCCCCACCCCCAACTGCACGGCAGCCACTCGCATAGCACTCTGGGAGGGCTGTGGGCATGAGCAGCGAGGACTCCATGAGCAGCTCCCCCAGATAAGCCCTGCTAATGAGGGGGCTTGCGAAGCAGCTTTGATGTGCTGGTAAATCCAGGTGCAAAACAGAACTCAAGTTAGGGCCTCCGCACAGCACTGCGTTCTAACTGTGAAGGATTCTTACTCTAGTGTCCTGTGTGGAGGTATTGGAATTGTCCATTGCTAAGACTCAGAGGAGAAAAGCACTTAGCATCGCAGGACTTGGAGCACCGGTGCTGAGGCAACCCTTCATTCATTCGTCGGATGTGTGTTAAGGCCCAGGGCAGGGGTCAGGGATTCTCCTCTCACACAGCACGTGGGTGGCAGGACCAACACCGGGTCTGACCTCCCAGCCGGGGGCACAGGCTGCTAACCCCAGGCCTGGAATCTGTCAGATGCCCTTCCTGTGCTGACTTGACTTAGACAGGCCTCCTGACCTTCCCGCAAAGGTCATGTGTGATTCGCAGGGGTTCTGGCCGCTTGAAAGGTTCCTGAGAAAGCACATGCCATGAGGACAGAGCTTGCAGAGGGAGGACAGGCATGCAGAAGGCTCTGTGTGCAGCCCCAGACCTGGGTACCTTCGTCACCGTCCTCACCCCACCTCCGGGTGTGCAGATAGGGAGCAGGCCTCCTGTGTTATGGCCCAAGCGGGGCTGTTAGGACACTGAGAACATTCCCTCCTCCCGCAGGAGAGAGAGGTCCAAGGTGCCCTACATCATGCGCCAGTGCGTGGAGGAGATCGAGCGCCGAGGCATGGAGGAGGTGGGCATCTACCGCGTGTCCGGTGTGGCCACGGACATCCAGGCACTGAAGGCAGGCTTCAACGTCAGTGAGTGTCGGCCTGCGCAGGACGGGATGGAGGTGTGGGCAGTGGTGTCCGCGATGAGATCTCAGAGTGCTCCATGGCCCAGGCATGTCACATCCTTCTCTGTGTCTTTTCTTCATTTACTGTTTTATTATTTTAAAAAAAGAGAAAACAAGAGTTGTACAAACAGCTTCTATAGAAGCCAGTTTTTACACCATCGTACCCACTCATGCCACTTGGTGGAGTGGACCAGGGGCTTCTGTGGGGACTTGGCCTTCCTGCCTTGGGGGTGGACAGGAGGTGGAAGCCCAGGACTCAGTGCGGTCTGTCCACTGCCCTGTATGAGGATGTGGTGGGCAGAGGGCACTGATGAAATTCAGCGCAGGCCGGGGCTGCAGCATCTCCGCCTCCATCTCACCAACCCTCACAGGCCTTGAAGGACCCAGACTGGCCTCAAATGCCAGGGGAGGGCACTGAGACCCCAGAGGGTCCTTCCCAGCATCTTCAAAGCAACAGGATTTTGTGCCTGCAGACCCTTCTTTGCAGCACACACCACCCACCCTGACCAGGACCCCTAGAATGCCCAGCATCCCTGGGAGGGCCCTGTGGTAGTTTCAGCTCCCTCTGGGGGCCCAGAATGAACCTGGCCTGTGGTGAGGATGTAAGCACCAATGGCCAATTGGGTCCAAAGGAAGACACCGGTTCAAACACTGAAACCAATCAGATTCTCCCACGGCCTTCCTGCTATCAGACGACACTGGTGCAGGGGTGGTTGCTATGTACAGGGCAGAGCCACCCAATCCCCACGCAGGCGCTGTGTCCTGCCACGTTGGCCTCCTCCTGGCCATCACATCAGGCCAAGCAGGGGAGAGGAATGGGAATGCCCACGCACCCCTATCAACTCTGCAGACACAGAACCATGCACAGCTCTTGGGAGGAGTCAGATGAGCTGCTCAAAGCCCAGGAGGGACCCGCACAGTGGTCAGTGTGGCAGGGACGGTGCTTTAGCCAAGGCAGGGATGGTGGGTGACTCACTCAGGATCTTCAAGGAGGCCGCTGCATTTCCGTGCTCTTTCCAGATAACAAGGACGTGTCGGTGATGATGAGCGAGATGGACGTGAACGCCATCGCAGGCACGCTGAAGCTGTACTTCCGTGAGCTGCCCGAGCCCCTCTTCACTGACGAGTTCTACCCCAACTTCGCAGAGGGCATCGGTGAGCACTGGAGGCCTTGGCCTCATGGGAGACGTCTCCTCCACGTGCACTGCTGCCCTCGGAGGCTGTGAAAAGCGAGGTGTGGGAACCTGAGCTGTAACCCCTCTGCCGTGGTCGGCATTTTAACCCAACCTCAAAAAGCAGGGGACCAGAACCGAGCCTGTCCTGGAAGGCCTTGCCCATCCCCAGAGGGCTCCCCATCCCTACTCCTCAAGGAGACCAAGAGGCTGAAATAGTCAGCACTGCTGTGCTATGGGGTCCTAAAGTCTGCTGTCCTCCTTCCTGCAGACCAGGGCTGAAGGAGGGTGCCTGGGTGCTCTTGCCATGGGTCCTGGTCCAGCCAAGCATGGTTTCAAACATGACCTGACCCTTAGTCAACCTGGAGGCTGATGTCTAGAGCGGGTGCTGGTGCGTGCAGCACCTGTGGCCTCTGCATCACCCTTAGGGCAGGTCTGCCTCCCGGGCCCATGCACAGAGGACCTGGTCTCCCAGCCTGCAGGTGCCCCTGTGGTGTCCAGGACGACGAGGGGGTCTCTGTGTACTTGGTGGGGCTGGGACCCTCCCACTTCCCACCTCCTTGTGTCCCTCACTCCCCTGTTTCATTCCATGCTGAGCCTCCCCTGCCTTGGGCTCCCTGGGGAGGGGGTGGTGGCAGGAGTTGCCCGAGGGCAGCTCTGCCCATGAGCAGCTGCTCTAGCGGCTCCTCCTGCTGCTGTTCGCCGGGTGCTGCTGACCCCTGCGAGGTAGAGAAAAGGCGTTCAGGTGGTTCACACCCCACACAGGTGCCCCTCACAGGGTCCTCACTGGCGGCCAGCGCTGTGGGTGTGACGATGATGACAAGCCTAAACTGCGCAAGGACTCGTGTCCCGGGCGCTCCATGTGACCACCTCGGGAGAGGTCTCCGGCTTGTCGTAACCCAGGGGAGTGACCCACTGCCTCCTGCAGCTCTTTCAGACCCAGTTGCAAGGAAGAGCTGCATGCTCAACCTGTTGTTGTCCCTGCCGGAGGCCAACCTGCTCACCTTCCTTTTCCTTCTAGACCACCTGGAAAGGTAGCCCAGCTCTCTTGTGGCTGCCCAGGACTCCAGGTCTCCAGGCCGTTGGGGTGCCCCTCTGCTCCCACCAGACCCCCAGCACCAAGGACCTTTTCCCCCGACCCCTGTCTGCAGTAACTCACTGCTTCTAAGGACTAGCACCACTGCCACCCCCACCCCTGCCTCTCCTCTTTGCCACCCTCCTCCCTCTGCACTGTGGCCTTAACAAAGAGCTCAGAGCTTTGGCCGTGGCCAGCAGTGCACTTGGACCCCCCTCTTCCCTCCCAAGCACATCATGAAGACCTCCCCATCAGCCCAGAGCTGGCCCCTTGTCCTGGGCCACTGAGACCCAGAAGTACCAAGGCTGGAGTCAGCTTGCAGCACAGCCAGGGTCGAGGTCACTCCCTCCCTGAGGACTCTAGCACGGCACAGCCCCTCTGCCTCTCTCCTGGTGGTGGCGTTGAAACAGCACCCTCTGCTTCGGTCCTCTACAGGGTGGCAGAGAAGGAGGCGGTCAATAAGGTGTCCCTGCACAACCTCGCCACTGTCTTTGGCCCCACGCTGCTCCGGCCCTCCGAGAAGGAGAGCAAGCTCCCTGCCAACCCCAGCCAGCCTGTCACCATGACTGACAGCAGGTCCTTGGAGGTCATGTCTCAGGTATGGGAAGACAGTCTCCAGCCCATGCAACCCCAGCCTGACAGAGGTGGCCTCTGCCTGCCCCACCCCCAGTCCTGCCCATCTTCCGACTTGCATTGTATGTGGTGGTGGCTGAGATTCAGAGAGAGGGACTTGCCTAGGTTTGCATGGATGGGAGTGATAGGGGGTGCCCAGGCCACCTCCTGGTCCTGCTGGTGCACCTTGCTGGGGGCTTAAAACCACCCCAAGTGTTCGGGTGTGGTGGCTCATGCCTGTAATCCCAGCACTTTGGGAGGCCGAGGCAGGACAACTGAACCCAGGTGTTTGAGACCAGTCTGGGCAATGTAGCAAACCCCATCTCTAGAAAAAATACAAAGAAAAATTAGTCAGGCATTGTGGCACACATCTGTAATCCTAGGTATCTGGGAGGCTGACACAGGAGGATTGCTTGAGCCCAGGAGTTAGAGGCTGCAGTGATCCATGATGGAGCCACTGTACTCCAGCCTGGGGGACAGAGCAAGGCCCTGTGCATCTCTAAAATAAATAATCACCCCCCACCCAACAAGTCATGCCTTGTCAGGACCCCACCCCACCCCCGTCTCACTGTAAGGGGTTCATGACACCAGCAGGGGTTTCTAGCACCTGAGGTGGACTTGGGGGCTTGGGCCCCAAAGACCTCCCCACCAGCAGCTGTGAGCCCCCCTCTGAGCCACTCTCCTCTTCCCCACTCTGCGAGGGCAGGACGAGGTGCTGCTGTACTTCTTGCGGCTGGAGGCCATCCCTGCCCTGAACAGCAAGAGACAGAGCATCCTGTTCTCCACCGATGTCTAAAGGTCCCAGTCCATCTCCTGGAGGCGGACAGATGGCCTGGAAACCTCTGGCTAATCGGGCCATCTGTAGAGTGGGAATCAAGATTTTCTGAGGCATCCTTGGGCCACCCCCAGGTGTCAGGCCATCTGCCAAGAGACAGCGGCCCAAAGCAGAAGGACAGGTGGCCTGGGCAGATCCCGCCCAGGTCTGAAAGCCCCAGGCTGGCCTCAGACTGTGGGTTTTTTATGTGGCCACCCGAGGGCGCCCCAAGCCAGTTCATCTCGGAGTCCAGGCCTGGCCCTGGGAGACAGGGTGAAAGCAGTGGTTTTTATGAACTTAACTTATAGAGTCCAAAAGATTTCTACTGAATCACTTGTCAAGAAGCGCCCTCTCTGGGGAGAAGGGAACGTGACTGGATTCCCTCACTGTTGTATCTTGAATAAACGCTGCTGCTTCATCCTGTGGGGGCCGTGGCCCTGTCCCTGTGTGGGTGGGGCCTCTTCCATTTCCCTGACTTAGAAACCACACTCCACTTCTAACAGGGTTTGAGAGGCTTGGTCAGCACTGGGTAGCGTTTTGACTCCATTCTTGGCTTTCTTCTTTTTCTTTCCAGAAGGATTTTTGTGCAGAAATGGGTCTTTTGTTGCCGTGTTAGTCCTCCTTGGAAGGCAGCTCAGAAGGCCTGTGAAATGTCGGGGGACAGGACCCCCAGGGAGGGAATCCCAGGCTACGCACCTTAGGGTTCGTTCTCCAGGGAGAGCGACCTCGTCCCCCGATCCTGACCGCCCTTCCGGCCCACGCTCTCCTGTTTGGCTTCCACAGGCCTGGACTTCTCTGGCTTCTCTGCCCACACACTCCCTGCCCCCAGTGTCCCTGCCCCTGCCCCAGCACAGGTGACTTCATTTCTGTCCTCTCAGCTCAGTGGACTCGCTCATCTTTTGTATAAGTCTCCACTTGGTGGCAGCAGCTTGCTGATGACTTGTTTTAAAACTTTCATCCTAAATAACCTTTTGATACTTGAATATTTTTAAGTTTTATACATAGTTTCTAATTTTTTTCCGAACAGATCCAGATACCTAATAAGATGCTGGAATGTAATCCCTGGACAATCCGTGTCCTGGCAGCATTTGGTCTTCCTCTAAGCGCCTGGCTCCGCTGTTCTCAGGAGTGGGTTCTGAAGTCTCTGGAGAACAGGATACGTGGAGGGTTAGGAAGGGGCCAGGCCTAGAGACGGGAGACTCCCTCCCGGAGCAGGTGGAGGCACAGGACCATTCGCTACCCCATCTGCCGGCACCTGCGGGGGAGCCCAGGCATTCTTTGTAAGCCCTCCTGACCACCTGGCTCAAAGAAAACAGAAGCATGGAGGCCGCCAAGTATTTTCAAGAAATAATCCCATGAACATGGCATCACTTTTTTAGAAAGAGGGGCTTGGGGCAGGCAGAGGAGAGAAGGGAGATCAAACTGAGAGCCAAGTTTCCAGACGGTCCTGCAGGAGGAGAGGATGCAGCTGCCCAGAGGGAAGCAGGATCACATTTAAGGAAGTGTGTGGGGTCCCTGGATGACACCAGCACCCAGTGCGGCTCTGTCTGGCAACCGCTCCCAAGGTGGCAGGAGTGGGTGTCCCCTGTGTGTCAGTGGGCAGCTCCTGCTGAACCCACAGCTCACTGGGGAGCCTGACAGTGGGGCCATGTGCCTGACACTCCTCTCTGCTTGTGGACCTGGCAAGGCAGGGAGCAGAAAACAGAGCTACTTGAAGGCTTTCTGTCTGCGTCTGTGTGCAGTGTGGATTTAGTTGTGCTTTTTACTTGCTGGGAGAGCACAGCCACCATTTACAAGCAGTGTCACCCTCGTGGGTGGCGAGGACAGAACAGGAGCCTCTGCTCTCTGTACCTATCTGGGCCCGGTGGGCTCCCTTGTCCTGGCTTCCATCTCTGTCTCAGCGACCATTCAGCCCTGCACAGGAACACATGTTGCTTAGAAAAGCCAAATCCAGCCCTTGTCTCTGCCTCCTCTGGTCTCATGATGTGCATCTGTTACCTTGAAACTGGAAACCAGTCTATCAATGTCTGTGCCAATTTTTTATTCCCTCCCCAACCTCCTTCCCCATACGACTTTTTATTTATGTAGGATGTGTGCTGTCTAATGATGGGATGACCACACTTTTCCATGTTCTAAAAGTGCTCCTCTCCCACAGGGTCCCAGGGCTGGTGGTTGCTTTGGGTCTACAGCTACGTCTTACCCGCCTCCTGCCTCAACAGCCTGTGTGGTGGCAAAGCCGGTGTGGGGCTGGGGAACGCAGCGTTCTCCAGGAGGGGACCCGGCTCTCCTTCTGCAGTGCAGGCGAAGGCCTAGATGCCAGTGTGACCTCCCACAAGGCGTGGCTTCCAGACTCCCCGGCCGGAAGTGATGCTTTTTTGCCGCGGGCCCTGGGTTTGAAGCAGCCTGGCTTTCTCTTGGTAAGTGGCTGGTGTCTTAGCAGCTGCAATCTGAGCTCAGCCACCTACACACCACCGTGGCCGACACTTTCATTAAAAAGTTTCCTGAGACGACTTGCGTGCATGTTGACTTCATGATCAGCGCCGCTGGGAAGAACCCCAGAGCCGGTGGGGTGGGGCTGGAAGCAGCAGGTGCAGTGATAGGGCTGGGTGCCCAGGAGGCCTCAGTGCTCAATCAGGCCAAGGTGGCCAAGCCCAGGCTGCAGGGAAGGCCGGCCTGGGGGGTGTGGGTGAGCACAGGCAGGCACCAGCTGGGCAGTGTTAGGATGCTGGAGCAGCATCCGTAACTCCACTGAGTGGGGTAGTCTGGTTGGGGCAGGGACCGCTGTTGCTTTGGCAGAGAGAGAGGATCCCCACTGGGGAGAGGCTGTTCTGACTCTGCAGGTGGGACAGGGACAGATGGCCACCAGGGTGACCCGGCTGGTCTTCCTTTGCTATGCTAAGCCCTGGGACATGGAGGATTCCTGCCACACAGCCTGGGCCCGGGTTCTTACCTGTGGCCACCGCTCTGGCATGAGCCCCTCAGTCTTGGGTGGTTTCTGCCTGGTCCGGGATTTGGTGTTGCTGCTGAGTCCAGCCTTTCTGCCACCTCCGCATGGGCCGTGGGTGGTGATGTCAGCTGCCTCCCACCTTGGCTTCAGTAGCTCACCCAGCTTACAGGGGAGCTGCCCTGGGCTGGAGATGGGCATGCACCCTGGGTCCTACTTGAATGAATGCAGCTTGAGGAGACCCGGCCATATACACTGGGCCACAGGTTACCCTCGGCAATGCCCACATCAGCCGTCAGCCTGAGCCTCCCCAGGAGAGCAAGGCTCACACGACAAAGGCTGCCCGTGGCCAGTGAGGTGGCTGAGCCCAGCCAGGACCTTTCTCGGACTCCCGGGATGTGGCTCTGCTCGTGAGCTGCCTGGTCAGCTCTCTCGGGGTGAGAGGGGCTTGTCACACGGGCCCCTGCCTGCAGTGTGACCCTTCTCAGCTTCTCTCAGCAGCCCTGCCTGCAGAGTGTCACCACCACCATGATCATTTCCCTGACACTGCGAGGGTCGGGGGACGTCCTGGGTAGAGACAGGGCCCGTGGCAGCAGCAGGCTCAGGGGCGCCCTACACTGGTGGGCTGGGGACCTGGTGGAGACCACGCCAAGGGCTGGACAAGGGGACGAGCCTCCACCCTGGCCTCTCCGCAGGCCTCAGCAGCCCCTCCCACAGGCAGAAGGGTTGACACTGGGTTCTGCCCTCACTGCAAGAGCTGCAAGTGCCACGTGCTGTTCTGCCCAATCTGGTGTCTGCAGGTGAGGAAAGGACTGCCGCTGGCCCGTTTCTGAGTGTTCAGCACCTAAGGGTGACAGCACTGTCTGTCCCTACCCTCCGGGTCCTGTTTGAAGATCAAACCCATGCTCACAGGACAATTTTTTTTTCTTTTAGAGACAGGGTCTCACTTTGTCACCCAAGCTGGAGTGCAGTGGTGCGATTATAGCTCAATGCAGCCTCCAATTCCCGGACTCAAGGGACCTTCCTGCCTCAGCCTGCCAAGTAGCTTGGACTATAGCTGTGTGTTTTATTATTATTTTGTAGACATGGGGTCTGGCTATGTTGTCCAGGCTATTCTCAAAATTCCCGGCCTCAAGCAATCCTCCCGCCTCAGCCTCTCAAAGGTTGGGATTACAGGTGTGAGGCAAGGCACCCAGCTCAGCCACAGAGCCCTATTGCATCTCTCTTACTAGGAGCAAGAGCTGACTGCCCCCTCATCCCCATTCCAGAGTGTTGGGGCTGTGTTGAGCCGAGGCCGGGCCACTGGCATGGCTCAGGGAGCGGGATCATTCACTGCTGCCCCAAATCTGAGATCATTCCACCTTGACAAGACTTCCTCATCCAATCCCTTTACTTGACAGCTGGGGAAACCAATGCGCACAGAGCACCCCCAGCTCACTCGGGGTCTCGGAGCTGATCCATGAGCGGAGGCTGAGATCCTGGGATCTTGTCCCCCAGCCTCCCGGCAAGCTTACTCCCTTTCTGCTGAAAGAGATGGGGCCGGACCTCGACCAGCAGCCCTGGCCTGGACATGACTGTGCTCATGCAGGTATTGAGGCCGAGACGCCCTGGCATCATATGTTTTTCTGTTTTCTTTTTTTTTTTTTGAGACGGTGTCTCACTCTGTCACCCAAGCTGGAGTGCAGTGACATGATATTGGCTCACTGCAACCTCTGCCTCCCGGTTAAAGTGATTCTCCTGCCTCAGCCTTCCAAGTAGCTGGGCCTACAGGCTTGTACCACCATGCCTGACTAATTTGTGCATTTTTACTAGAGACGGGGTTTCCCCATGTTGGCCAGGCTCATGTCGAACTCCTGACCTCAAGTGATCCACCTGCCTTGGCCTCCCAAAGTGCCGGGATTACAGGCATGAGCCATGGCGTCACTTAAATGTAGTGAGAGGCCGGGCACAGTGGCTCATGCCTGTAATCCCAGTACTTTGAGAGGACGAGGCTGTCAGATCACCTAAGGTCAGGAGTTTGAGACCAGCCTGGCCAACATGGTGAAACCGTGTCTCTAAAAAAAATAGAAAAAAATATCCCTGCATGGTGGTGAGTACCCGTAGTCCCAGTTACTCAGGAGGCTGAGGCATGAGAATCGCTTAAACCTCGGAGGCGGAGGCTGCAGTGAGCTGAGATGGCGCCACTGCACTCCAGCCTGGGTGACAGAGCAAGACTTTGTCTCTAAATATTTAAATAAATAAATATGGCCGAGCATGGTGCCTTAGGCCTGTAGTCCCAACACTTTGGGAGGCTGAGGCAGGTGGTTCATGAGGTCAGGAGCCCGAGACCAGCCTGGCCAAGATGGTGAAACACTGTCTCTACTAAAAATACAAAAATTAGCCAGCTGTGGTGGCAGGCACCTGTAATCCCAGCTACTTGGGACACTGAGGCAGGAGAATCACTTGAAACTGGAAGTCAGAGGTTGCAGGGAGCCGAGATTGCACCACTGCACTCTAGCCTGGGCGATGGAGCAAGACTCCATCTCAAATAAATAAATTAATAAATACAGAGCAAGATTCCATCTTAAATAAATAAATAAATAAACATACACCTGTAATCCTAGCAGTTCGGGAGGCTAAGACAGGTCGATCACCTGAGGTCAGGAGTTCGAGACCAGCCTGACCAATATGGCAAAACTCCATCTCTACTAAAAATACAAAAATTAGCCAGGCGTTTTGACGTGTGCCTGTAGTCCCAGCTACTTGGGAGGCTGAGACAGGAGAATTGCTTGAACCCAAGAGGTGGAGGTTGCAGTGAGCCAAGATCTCGGCTGCACTTCAGCCTGGGTGACAGAGTGAGACTGTCTCAAAAGGAATAAAAAAAATACAAAATAAAAAAAATGTAGTAAGATTGCAGAGTCGTGCCGCGGAAGCGTGCTGGTCCTATCCATGTAGTGAAGGCTGATTTCATACACAAATGTCACAAGAACTTTTTTTCTTTTTCTTTTTTTTTTGAGACGGAGTATGGCTCTGTCACCCAGGCTGGATTGCAGTGGCGCGATCTCAGCTCACTACAAGCTCTGCCTCCCGTGTTTATGCCGTTCTCCTGCCTCAGCCTCCCAAGTAGCTGGGACTACAGGCCTGTGCAGCAGATGCAGGGGGGCCACTAGGCCCAGGCAGTCTTGGGACTTGTGTGTCTCCTGCTGTGCATCCATACTGGGTGCTTTAGAAACGGCAGGCAGACCAGAAGCCCCTGTTGCAAGTGAGGACAAAGTGTGGGAAGGCCGTGAGGGTCTGCAGTCCGAGATGGCCTGGTCCTCAACCTGCAGTGCACTGTTGATGCGCTGGAAGGCCGCCTCCTTCTCCCGGTCCAGGTCTTCAGCAGTGACCCGGTACCCCATCTCTAAGGGAGGTGGCAGCATCAAAGGCTCCCCTCGCCTGCGTGGCAGCAGGGGAAACTTGCATCTACGGGGCCTAGAGGCCTGGGATCTGGGGGAGCCACCCCTGGGGGCGAGTGTCTGCCCTGGTGCTGTATCTGCCGTCTTTTCACACTGGATGTGACCCGAAGAGACAGCCTGAGGTCCGTCCTCACTCAGTGTGTTTCAGGAACTGAGGGTCAGCTGGCAGTGGGATGAGGCTGGCCCCTCTTCCGCTTTCGTTCCGGGAGGCCTCCCGTAGAGCTGTAGGGGCTCGAGATGGCATTTCATTTGGGGCACGAGCTGGTCCGGGAGGTCTGGGATCTCTGGTTCTGACCTCTGGGCACCTGCTGCAGCTGTGGCTGAGGCCCAGAAATGTGAAGGGCCTCCATCCACTCCAGTAGTGACCCCAACGTGGGGTTCAGTGTGGAGGGGGGAGGGGCTGCTGTGGCAGCTGCAGGAGCAGAAGTGCCACGCCTTGTTCTTCTCATGCCTGCATCCATGCTTGCAGCTGGGAAGGGGGCAGGAATCAGCGAGGTGACCTGGGCTGAGTCCTGGGAATCAGAAGAGGTGGCAGGAAGGGGATCTGAGGAGGAGAACAGGGGGCCTGGTGGTCTGTGCTTCTTCCCAGACACGGGAGCTGTAGAGGGGACCTCTGCAGCAGATGCTAAGGGGGCCAGTAGGCCCAGGCAGTCTTGGGACTTGTGTGTCTCCTGCTGTGCATCCATACTGGATGCTTTAGAAACAGCAGGCAGACCAGAAGCCCCTGTTGCAAGTGAGGACAAAGTGTGGGAAGGCCATGAGGGTCTGCAGTCCGAGATGGCCTTGTCCTCAACCTGCAGTGCACTGTTGATGCGCTGGAATGCCGCCTCCTTCTCCCGGTCCAGGTCTTCAACAGTGACCCGGTACCCCAGCTCTAAGGGAGGTGGCAGCATCAAAGGCTCCCCTCGCCTGCGTGGCAGCAGGGGAAACTTGTGTGTACTGGGCCTAGAGGCCTCGGATGTGGAGGAGTCATTCCTGAGGGTGAGTGTCTGCCCTGGTGCTATATCTGCTGCCTTTTCACACTGGGTGTGACCTGAAGAGACAGCCTGAGGCCTGTCCTCACTCACTGTCTTTGAGGAACTGAGGGTCAGCTGGCAGTGGGATGAGGCTGGCCCCCTCCTCCGCTTTAGCCCCGGCAAGCCTCCCGTGGAGCTGTAGGAGCTGGAGATGGCATTTCGGTTGGTGCAGGAGCTCGTCCAGGAGGTCTGGGATGTCTGGTTATATCTGATTTCTGACCTCTGGGCATGGAGGTCTGTCTGCAGAGGCCCGGGCCTGGGCACAAAGGGAGAGAGGCCTCCATTGTCCCGCAGGGGCCGAAATGCAGACGGTGCATCCCCGGTGACCTCGGGGACCCTTCTCTGATCACCAGGATTCTCTTGGACTCTAGGGTCCTTGTCCTGCTCAGGCATCCCTGCCCCGCTCTCCTTGAGGGCCCTCAACACTATCTTCCCTGGACACAAGTCTGGGGACAGCCGGGTGTTGTGGACCCCAAAGGGGTGACTCCCGGCTCCTGGGCCCCACAGAGAGTCCATGTTCTCAGTGCAGTGGCTGAGCTGGAGGACGCCCTGGAACTCGGAGCACACAGCACTGGCTTGCTGTGGTACCTGTGCAATCAAATTGAAGGCAGGATCCCAGGAAGGAACGCAGGGCTTGCAGGATCACCGAAAACCTTCTTAGAGTTGTCTTGACACCACTGATGTCAAGTGTCCGGGTGCTTGTAGGATGGCCTGCCACTCAGTCCACGGGCAGGAGCAACGGGGAGATCCCACAAGCAAAGTGAACTGGGGGATGGGCTGAACGGGCTCCAGGCAACTGAGCCCTACTGGCAGGTCCTCGGCCTGGGCCCGAACAGGAAGGAGGGGCACAGAGTGCCCAGGTAACCGCTCCTGGGAGCAGTGGGGAACCGTCGGTTGCTTGAACTCTCGAGAGCTGGGCTCTGAGCGTCCTCGTCCAGCCGCCAACTCCGCCAAAGGCTAAGCCAGCAGTTTCTTCTGTTGCCGGGCAACGCGCCTTTTAAACCTGAGGGAGCGGGCGCGTGAGCACATCACGGCGCCCGTGACAGAGCGAGCTTAACGGATTAATAAGCGCAGCCAGGTACCCGCGCGAGGCACTTGCTGGCAATGGCGGGAGGCGGACGTGGGGGGTCATGCAATAGGTACTGGAAGGAGAGAGGCGGGCACAAAGGTCGCGGGAGGAACAGGTGCCCACAATGGTGGCAGATCTGCCCGTGGATCACTGAAGATTCCTGCTCTCCTGCTGAGGTGGAGATTGCAGTGAGCTGAGATCGCACCATTGCACTCCAGCCTGGGCAACAAGTGCAAAACTCAGTCTCCAGATAAAGAAAAGAAAAAGAAAAAAAAGAGGCCGGGCGTGGTGGCTTATGCCTATAATCCTAGCACTTTGGGAGGTCGGGGCAGACGGATCACGAGATCAGGAGTTGGAGACCAGCCTGGCCAACATAGTGAAACCCCGTCTCTAGTAAAAATACAAATTTAGTCAGACATGGTGGCACGCGCCTGTAGTCCCAGCTGCTCCGGCGGCTGAGACAGGAGAATCACTTGAACCCGGGGGCGGGCGGGGAAGGGATTGTGATGCGCCGAGATCGCGCCACTGCACTCCAGCCCTGGGCAACAGAGCCAGACTCTTTTTTTTTTTTTTTTTTTTTTGAGACGGAGTCTCCCTCTGTCGCCCAGGCTGGATTCCAGTGGCCTGATCTCGGCTCACCGCAAGCTCCGCCTACCGGGTTCACGCCATTCTCCTGCCTCAGCCTCTGGAGTAGCTCGGACTACAGGCGCCCGCCATCACACCCGGCTAATTTTTTGCATTTTTAGTAGAGACAGGGTTTCACCGTGTTAGCCAGGATGGTCTCGATCTCCTGACCTCGTGATCAGCCCGCCTCGGCCTCCCAAAGTGCCGGGATTAAAGGCGTGAGCCACCGCGCCGGGCCGAGACTCTGTCTTAAAAAAAAAAGGCCGGGCGCGGTGGCACTTTGGGAGGCGGAGGCGGGTGGATCACGATGTCAGGAGTTGGAGACCAGCCTGGCCAACATAGCGAAACCCCGTCTCTACTAAAACTACAAAAAATTAGCCGGGCGTCGTGGCGGGCGCTTGTAGTCCCAGCTACTCTGGAGGCTGAGGCAGGAGGATGGCGTGAACTCGGGAGGTGGAGCTTGCAGTGACCCGAGATCTCACCACAGCACTCCAGCCTGGGTGACAGTGCGAACCTCCATCTCAAAAAAAAGAGAGAGAGAGAGAGACAGAGAGAAAAAGTTTATTGATTTAATGAACTTTTATGCCTGTGTTCTTCAATTTGCTTAGGAAACAACCACACTTGAGAGCTGGGAATGTGGCCCTGATTGTGGACATGAAATATGTGGTTTCTTGCAAAAACTAGACACTGAATAATTACGATTTAGTTGAGCTAGAAATCCATTTGATTTCTTCCATATGTTTCCAAAATTTTCATTCTTTTTTTTTTTTTTTTTTTTTGAGATGGAGTTTTGCTCTTGTCCCCCAGGCTGGAGTGCAATGGCGCCATCTCAGCACCTGCTGGCAATGGCGGGAGGCTGGGGACGCTGGCGGCATAGGTACTGGAAGGAGAGGCGCGCGCACAAAAGACTTGAGAAGACCTGGCGCGCACAATGGCTGCAGATCCGCCAGTGGATCACTGAAGATTCCTGCTCTCCTGCTGAGGCGGGGATTGCAGTGAGCTGAGATCACACCATTGCACTCCAACCTGGGCAACAAGAGCGAAACCTCGTCACACACACACACACACACACACACACACACACACACACACACACACAAAAGAAAAAGAAAAAATAGTGGCCAGGCGTGGAGGCTCACGCATCCCAGCACTTTGGGAGGTCGGGGCGGGCGGATCACGAGATCAGGAGTTGGAGACCAGCCTGGCCAACATAGTGAAACCCCGTCTCTAGTAAAAATACAAATTTAGTCAGACATGGTGGCACGCGCCTGTAGTCCCAGCTACTCCGGCGGCTGAGACAGGAGAATCACTTGAACCCGGGGGCGGGGAAGGGATTTGTGATGCGCCGAGATCGCGCCCCTGCACTCCAGCCTGGGCAACAGTCAGACTCTCTCTCTTTTTTTTTTTTTTTTTTTTTTTTGAGATGGAGTCTCCCTCTGTCGCCCAGGCTGGATTCCAGTGGCCCGATCTCGGCTCACCGCAAGCTCCGCCTACCGGGTTCACGCCATTCTCCTGCCTCAGCCTCTGGAGTAGTTGGGACTACAGGCTCCCGCCACCACACGCGGCTAATTTTTTGTATTTTTAGTAGAGACGGGGTTTCACCATCTTGGCCGGGCTGGTCTTGCACTCCTGACCTCATGATCCACCTGCCTCAGCCTCCCAAAGTGCTAGGATTATAGGCGTGAGCCACTGTGCCCGGCTTTTGTTCTGATTTTTTTTAAAAATTTGACTTTGTTTACTTTTTATTTTATTTTTATTTAGAGACAGGGTCTCACTATTTTGCACAGGCTGGTCTCGAATTCCCCGGCTCAAGTGATCCTCTTGCCTCGGCCTCCCAAATGCTGGGATTACAGGCATGAGCCACTGCACCTGGCCTTAACTTTGAAATGAAGTTAGAAATGTACATTTTATTATTATTATTATTATTATTATTATTATTATTATTATTTTAGAAACAGGTCTTGCTCTGTTGCCCAGGCTGGAGGGCAACAATGGTGCAATCACAGCTCACTGCAGCCTCCACCTCCTGGGCTCAAGTGATTTTCCTGCCTCAGCATCCTGAGTAGTTGGGACTACAGGTACTCATCACCACAGCTAATTTTTATTTTTGTAGAGACAGCGTCTCACTATGTTGCCCAAGCTGATCTCACACTCCTGGGCTTGAGTGATTCTCCTGCCTCGGTCTCCTAAAGTGCTAGGATTATATGTGTAAGCCACTGTGCCCAGCCTAGAAATGCACATTTTAGACACACATTTACTCAACTTTCCTATTGCCTGCCCAGGACTATCCAACTGTATTTTTGTGCCTCAGAGTCCTTTCACACGTTCTGCTTTTACTGGGAACTCATAGGCAGTAAGATCAAATGCTGACCTTTGAGGCATCTACGCATTTCCAAAACCTGCTTCCTCTCTCATTTGCCACTTTATTTATTTATTTTTTGAGATGGAGTCTCACTCTGTTGCCCAGGCTGGAGTTCAGTGGCACGATCTCGGCTCACTGCAGCTCTGCCTCCTAGGTTCAAGTGATTCACCTGTCTCAGCCTCCTGAGTAGCTGGGATCACAGGCAAGTGCCACCACACCCAGCTAATTTTTATATTTTTGGTAGAGATGGGGGTTTCACCATGTTGACCAGGCTGGTTTCGAACTCCTGACCTTGGCCTCCCAAAGTGCTGGGATTACAGGTGAGAGCCACCATGCCCATCCTCATTTGCCACTTTAAATTGGAGAAGATGAAAAAATTATGCATCCTCAAAAGCTCAGGGTTTCCTATTTGGGACTTCAATTACATAGATTCATTTTTTTGTTTCCAAGCTGGGTGCAGTGGCTCACACCTGTAATCCCAGCACTTTGGGAGGCCAAGGAGGGAGGATTGCTTGAGCCCAGGAGTTCAAGACCATCCCGGGCAACACAGTGAGACCTCATCTCTACTAAAAATAATAAAAAAAAAATTAGTCAGGCATGGTGGCACTCGCCTGTGATCCCAGCTACTCAGGAGACTGAGGTGGGAGGATCCCTTGAGTCTAGGAGATTGAGGCTGCAATGAGTTGTGACTGCACCACTGCACTCCAACTTGGGTGACAGAGTGAGACCCCATTTCAAAACAAACAAACAAACAAACAAACAAACAAACAAACAAAAATATTTGTTTCCAAATGGCACGCAAGGAAGGTAGTAATCCCTGAGTGTTAAGCCAGCAGATTTTGCCACTTCATTTTGTGTGCTAACTCAAGAAATCAGGACACCTGATGAGTTGAGGTGTTCAAGGTAAAGCTCTGCTATGCCCCCTCCTTCATAGGCTGTTCTGCTTGGGCCTCCCAGTGATGGAGGACTACCTCTTTGCTTGCTAGAGTCTCTATAGTTTTCTTTTCTTTTTTTTTTTTATTAATTTTTTTTTTTTTTTTTTTTTTTTTTGGAGACAGAGTCTCACCCTGTCGCCCAGGCTGTGGCACAATCTCGGCTCAGTGCAACCTCCGCCTCCTGGGTTCAAGTGATTTTCATGCCTCAGCCTTCCAAGTAGCTGAGATTACAGGCATGTGCCACCACGCCCGGCTAATTTTTTATATTTTTAGTAGAGATAGGGTTTCACCATGTTGGTCAGGCTGGTTTTGAACTTCTGACCTCAAGTTATCTCCCTGCCTCAGCTTCCCAAAGTGCTGGGATTATAGGCATGAGCCACCATGCACAGGTGAATGGAATAGTTTTTCATTCACCACAGTTTGTGATTGTCTCTACATTGTGAAGTGACAAGTTCTCTTCTCTTTTCCTTCTGCCCCTCATCACCTTTTTCTTCCTCATTTCTTTTTTGAATTTTGCTGTCTTGAATTGGTGTCTAAAGGATGACATAGCAGACAAGGGGACTGACACATGAACTCTCATGAGTTACTGAGGAGTTTCTCAGTGCTCTGTCTGCATCATCTGCTCGCTCTCTCCTTCCTAGGTGCTAGCCTGCCAACCTGCTTTGAGAAATTGGAAATGAATTGGGGGGTAATCAGCCTCCCCTTGTACATGTAGGGACCGCATCTCCAATGCCTTGCTTTACATAATGACGAATGGTGTTTTGCTTACCTACTTCCACACAAACTGCTGATATAGTTAGGATTTGGGAAAGGGGAAGAAGGGAATTTTGGGTTTTGAGGAGTAGCTGGGGCTTGAACAAAGAAGAGGTAGTAATGAACATTCCTGGGGTGAGGCAATTAGTTAGCTGAGGGAGAAGAAGGCATATAATAAATTAGGGATTGACAGACTGTCTGTAAAGGGCCAGATAGTAAATGTTTTAGTCATTGAAGACCTTAAGGTCTCTGTTGCAACTAATCAACTCCATCATTGTAGTGCAAAAGTAACCACAGCCACTACAGATGTGAATGAATGTGACTATGTTTCAATAACATTTTCTTTTTTTCTTTCTTTTTTTTTTGAGACAGTGTCACTCTGTTGCTCAGGCTGGAGGGCAGCAGCCTGATCACAGCTTATTGCAGCCCTGACTTCCCAGGCTCAAGTGATCCTCCCACCTCAGCCTTCCAAGTAGCTGGGACTACAGGCACAAGCCACCACGCCCCACTAATTTTTGTATTTTTTGTAGAGGCGGCGTTTCACCATGTTGGCCAGGCTGGTCTTGAACTCCTGAACTTCTGGGCTCACGCTATCCACCCTCCTTGGCCACCGAAAGTGTTGGGATTACAGGCATGAGCCAGTGTCCAGCCCAAAATAGTCTTTTGATTTTTTTTCCCCAACCATTTAAAAGTTCAAAACATTCTTAGTTTTTGGGACGAAAAAAAACAAGTGATGGGTCAGATTTGGCCCTGGATTGTGGTTTGTTGACCCCTGTCATAGAGGAACAGGAAGCAGAGAGGACTGGTTATAGGGCCTGGGAAACCAAGCCAGGGAGTTAGACTTAAGGTAGTGTGAAAGAGGAAACCATTTTTGTAATGTAATGAAAAATTTAAAGGAAGGATATTTTGTATTTATATGTGTTCCTGGAAAATCTCATTTTATTCAAAACATATTTTCACTATGGAAAATTTCAAACATTTACAAAGTAGAGAGAATAATTTAATGAAATACCAAGTGATGTATTTATCACCTACCTTCAACAATTACCAGTCCTAGGTCCTTTGCATTTCTATTTTAGAATCAGCTTGTCACATTCTACAAAAAAGCTGGCTGGAATTTCTGTCGGGATTGTTTTGAGTCTGCAGATAATTTCAGGGGAAGAATTGACTTCTTAATAAAATTGAATCTTCCAACCCATGACTATGGTATATTTCTCAATTTATTTAGTTTTTCTTTAATTTTTCTCAACAATATTTTGTAGTTTTCAGTGTACAAATCTTTCCAGTTTTTTGAAGGGATGTGGTCAGATTTACTCCTATTTCATATATTTTGATACTGTGAATTTCAGCTTCCAGTTATTCATTGCTAATATATAAAAATACACTTGGTTTTTGTATATTAATCTTGTATCCTGAGACCTTAATGTAATTTGTTTTCAAAGCTTTTTTGTGGATTCCATTGGCTATTCTGTCAATGTTGTCTGTGAATAAAGACAGTTGTACTTTTTTCTTCCCACTCTGAATGCCTTTTATTTATTTTTCCTTCCTTTACTGCACTGGCTAGAACTTCTAAGTACATAATGAATAGAAGTGTAACTGCCCAATGGGTTCACCTTGCCCATTGCCTAGACAGAGCTGATTCACGAAGACGGGAATTGCAATAGAGAAAGAGTAATTCAGGCAGAGCCTGCTGGGTGGGAGACCGGAGTTTTATTATTGCTCAAATCAGTCTCCCTGAGCATTTGAGGAGCAGAGTTTTTAAGGACAGCTTGGTGGGTGGGGGGAAGCCAATGGGCCAGGAGTGCTGATTGGTCAGGGGTGAAATCAAAAGGAGTTGAAGCTTTCTTCTTGAGCTGAGTCCGTTCCTGGGTGGGGGCCACAAGATCAGATGAGCCAGTTAATCGATCTGGGTGGGGCCAGCTGATCCATCAAGTGCAGGGTCTGCAAAATTTCTCAAGCACTGATCTCAAGAGCAGTTTAGGGAGGGTCAGAATCTTTAGCCTTCAGCTGCATGACTCCTAAACCATAATTTCTAATCTTGTGGCTAATGTGAGTCCTACGAAGGCAGTCTGGTGCCCAGGCAAGAAGGAAGTCTGCTTTGGGAAAGGGCTGTTACCGTCTTTGTTTTAAACTATAAACTAAGTTTCTCCCAAAGTTAGTTCAGTCTACACCCAGGAATGAGCAAGGACAACTTGGAGGTTAGAAGCAAGATGGAGTCAGTTAAGTTAGATCTCTCACTGTCTCAGTCATAATTTTGCAAAGGCAGTTTCAGTCGTGGTAGAAGTGGATTTCTTTGTCTCATTTTTGATCCTATGGGGAAAATGTTCAGTCTTATGTCATTAAGTATGATATTAGCTACAGATATTTCATATATGCCATTTATCAAGTTTAGTAGGTTCTCCTCTATGTGGAGTTTTGTATTTTTTTAATAAGGAATGAATGTTGGGTTTTGTTTAGTGTTTTTCTGTGTGTATTGAGATGATCATATGGCTTTCCTGTTTTAGTTTACAATGTTGGTGAGTTACATTGACTTTTGCATTTTTTTTTTTTTTAAGACGGAGTCTCACTCTGTCACCCAGGCTGGAGTGCAGTGGCGCAATCCTGGCTCACTGCAACATTTGCCTCCTGGGTTCAAGCAATTGTGCTGCCTCAGCCTCCCAAGTAGCCAGGATTACAAGTGTGCACCACCACACCTGGCTAAATTTTGTATTTTTAGTAGAGGTGGGGTTTCGCCATTTTGGCCAGGCTGGTCTTGAACTCCTGACCTCAAGTGATGCACCCATCTCAGCCTCCCAAAGTGCTGGGATTACAGGCATGAGTCACTGTGCTCGGCTGATTTTTGAATGTTAATCCAACCTTGTATTTGTGGGATAAACCCTACTTGGTTATGATGTATTATCCTTTTTTTCTAGATTGTTAGACTCAATTTGCTAAAATTTTGTTTGTAATTTTTACATTTATTTTCACAAGAGATATGGGTCTGTACTTATCGTAGTGTCTTTGTCAGATTTTGGCATCAAAGTAAATGCTGGCTTCATAGAATGAGTTGGGAAATCTCTGTTTTCTGGAAGAGTTTGTAAAGAATTTGTTTTATTTCTTCTTTAGTGGAATTCCTGAGTGAATCCATCTACACCTGGAGTTTTCTTTGTAGGAAGGTTTTTAACAACAAATCCAATTTCTTCAATAAATATAGAGCTATTCAAATTACCACTTTTTGATGAGCTTCGGTAGTTTGTCCTTCAAGAAATTAATTTATTTTATCTAAGTTCTTGAATTTACTGGCATAAAGTGGTTCCTAATAGTCCCTTATTATCCTCTCATAGCTGTAGAATCTGTAGTGTTGTCACCCCTTCCATTCCAGGCCAGTGGGGTGACTCATGCAGAGTAGAGGGAGTTGATGAGAAGAGAAAGGGAGAGACACATAGTTGCCAGTATTTTTCAGCAGTAATTCATGCTGTTCACATCATACCTTTGATTTTTGTCTGTTTTTCAAGTAACAGGCTGAGGCAGAAGAATCACTTGAACCCTGCAGGTGGAGGTTGCAATGAATTGAGATCACGCTATTGCACTCCAGCCTGGGCTACAGAGCAAGACTCCATCTCCAAAAAAATGAAAATTAAACATAAGTAAATGTGAATTTCAGATAAATAGCGATGACTCTTTTGGTCTAAGTATACCCTAAATGTTGTCTGGATAAAAGACACTTAGGTGAGTGCTGTGGCCAGGAAGGCAAGAGGGATGGGGGACCAACCAGCTAGAGACAAGGGAAGGTATCACTAAGGACACGGCAGTGGAGCTGAGTCCTGAAGTGACACACGAGCAGTTATTTCTCAGGGAAGAAAGTGGTAAGGGGTTTTCAGGGGTAGGAACAGTAGGAGCCAAAGTGTGGGTATGTGAGAGTGTGTGACTATGTGTGCACGTAAAATGGAAATGAGACGGAGGGATGGGTTGGAGCCTGGATTTGAAGAAGCAGGTATCGGCGCTGGGGTATTTGGCCTGGGACAGTGAGGCATTATTTTACAGAAGAGTGGCCTGGTGGGATGTGTGCTTTAGAGTGTGGACACACAGCTGTGGCACAGAAGGATTGCTGGCAGGGGAGGGCGACAGGAGGCTGCCAGAGTTGTCCAGCTGGACTTCTTCCCTGACACAGACAGGCTGGCATAGGATTGGTGTGGTAGTGGGGATGGGAAGGAGGGAATGCCGCGAGGTCAGGAACTTCCTCCAGTCGCCAAGAGGCGTCTTGACCGTTTAAAAATGTCTCTGAAGACTTAGCACACCAAGGCCCCCTATAGTCCCAGGGTATAGGCCACCCTTGGGATTAGAAGAAACCCCTGGGAGCTGTGGTGGGGTGGGTGTGGCTGTTGGAGGTGCCCCTATTCAGACTCTTGCTCTACCATTTGCTTTGGGATCACCTTTTACAGTGGATCGGATATTATAATACCCACTTCTTATGATGAAAAGGAACTGAATGAGTGTGGAATCCCTAGGACCCCGCTGGAATATAATGGGCCCTCGGGGTTTAGTTTCTTTCCCTCTTGCCGGTGAGGTTTGAGAGGGACTGGAGAACAGTGGATTTTGACCATCCATTTGGGGTTGTCAGTCTGTGCCAGGCCAGCTGGAGACTACAAAACGGAGGTACAGGTAAGCAATGAGGCCCTGTGGTTCATTCTCAGATTTCATTCCGGGAGATCAGAGAGAGCCCTTTCTGGAACTGTATCCTTTCTTGGGAAATATGGGTGGAAATCCGAGGGCCCTGTGCATAGATTTTCCCTTCTCTTTCAGCTCTGCCAGCTGCCAGAACTGTGGCTTTCTCAGCAGATTGTCTGTACACATGAGACCTTATTTACGGAACGATTTACAGAAAGACAAACCCTTCCTTCCAAGTTTAACCAGTCCCCTTATACCAAGGTTTCCCAGCCTTGACTGTATTGATATTTTAGGCTGTATAATTCTTTGTCGTGGGGGGCTGTCCAGTGTGTTGTAGGGAGTTTACTAGGATTCCTGGCCTCTTACACACTCACTGTCTGTAGCACCTTGCCTCCCACCCAGTTGTGACAACCAAAAATGTCTACAGACAGTGCCAAATATCCCCTAGGGTACAAAATTATCCCCTACTCCTCATTAAGTACCACTGCTTTATACTCACTAGACACAAGGAAAAAGACCTTCTTTTATTTATCTTTTTTTTTTTTTTGAGACGGAGTCTTGCTCTGTCATCCAGGCTATTGCGCAGTGGCGTGATCTCGGCTCACTGCAAGCCCCGCCTCCCAGGTTCATGGCATTCTCCTGCCTCAGCCTCTCGAGTAGCTGGGACTACAGGCACCTGCCACCACGCCCGGCTAATTTTTTGTATTTTTAGTAGAGACAGGATTTCACCGTGTTAGCCAAGATGGTCTCGATCTCCTGACCTCGTGATCCGCCTGCCTCAGCCTCCCAAGGAAAAATAACTTCTTAGCATTTTTATTAATTTCTTTTTAACCTAACCAGTGAAATGCTTGTTGAAAAAAAGACTTCATTTTTACTAAACTGAATTTGAATTCCAATCTATTTTAACTTATTTAGTTTAGAAAGGCTTCCTTTGCACCATTGTCAAACTTTCAAATATAAAATTTTAAGTTGTTTTTTTTTTTTTGGACATAGTCTTGCTCTGTCGCCCAGGCTGGAGTGCAGTGGTGTAATCTTGGCTCACTGCAACTTCTGCCTCCTGGATTCAAGCGATTCTCCTGCCTCAGCTTCCTCAGTAGCTGGAATTACAGGTGTCTGCCACCACACCCAGCTAATTTTTGTATTTTTAGTAGAAACGGGTTTTCACTATATTGGTCAGGCTGGTCTCTAACTCCTGACCTTGTGATCCGCCCTCCTCAGCCTCCCAAAGTGCTGGGATTACAGGTGTGAGCCACCGCTCCTGGCCAATTATAAGCTTTTTAGAAAGGATTTTTTCTAAGGGTGGGGTTTCTGAGTCACTGAAATAACTTGCCATCCCTGACCTTGGACTGTTACACCATTTTTCCTTTGACCTTTGATCTGTGATGAAGTAACTTCTGGAAGTGGGATATCAGGAGTTATGTTCTTGTTGGTTTACACATGTTATTTTTTACAAGAACTCTATAAACTAGATTTTATCAGTTCTTTTTTATAGGAGAAGAAACAGATTTGTAGATACATAAAGTGATTAAGTGATTTGTCCAGAGTCACACAACTTGGATGGCAGAACTGGAGCTTGAACTCAGGTCTCTTGACCTTTAAGTTCAGTTCTCTACTCACTGTATGGGAGACCCGGAAGGAGATTCTTTTGGTGTGTCACATAGCCTTACCATTGCTCTGTCCTATGTAACGTCATCAATTATGTGAATTATCTGACATTACAAGAGTCAGAAGGTGTCGTAGAGATGCCTTAGAGTCCAACTTCCTTTTTATTGTAGATGAGAATACTGGGTGGCCAAGTGACTTAGATTGAAGACAGCACTTGTTAGAAGGAAGACTAATGGGTTTCAAGTCAAAGTCAGAATTTAAAAGTATCCTAAATGCTGGAAACTTGAGCTGATTTACCAAATGAAAATTTTAACAGATAAAGGTTTAGATTTTTTAGAATATAGATTACACAGCAATGAAGAGGAAACGCTGGGCATGGTGATGTGCTCCTGTAATCCCAGCAACTTGGGAGGCTGAGGCAGAGCTCGGGCTGTAGTGTGCTATGATAGAGAAAAAAAATTAAGAAGAAAAGGAAAGAAGTGGGATGTTGCTTACTGTACAGTTTTTTCAACATTTCTGCATGTTTGTAAAATTTCATAATAAAACATTAGGGGAGGCTGGGCTGCAGTGGCTCATGCCTGTAATCTCAGCATTTTGGGAGGCTGAGGCAGTGGGATCACAAGATCAGGAGATCGAGACTATCCTGGCCAACATAGTTAAACCCGTCTCTACTACAAGTGCAAAAATTAACGGGGCGTGGTGGTACGCACCTGTAGTCCCAGCTACTCGGGAGGCTGAGGCAGGAGAATTGCTTGAACCTGAGAGGCGGAGGTTGCAGTGAGCCGAGGTCGTGCCACTGTACTCCAGCCTGGCGACAGAGCGAGACTCCATCTCCAAAACAAAAATAAAAGGGGGAAAAAAGAGAACAGTAGCTTAGCAGCAGTTTGTGTGGTAAAAGACTTGAAAATATTAGATAACCATGAACTTATCATGAGCCTCTGGAAGCTCCTAGAAAAGCAGATTTTTTTTTCTTAGATTAAGGTAGGAGCAGCTCAGTTTCTAGATCGAGGGAAATAATAGTCTTGCTGAGCTCTGTGCTTGCCAGACCAGATCTGTCTTGTATCTGTGCCCACTTCCGAGGTGCCTGTCATACTTTGATGCCAGTGGACACAGGGTACTGAAATCTGGAGGAGTGGATGGGGAATGTGTGGTGCTGACTTGGAAGGAGGGCCAATTTAGGGAATCGCCATGGTGGTCTTCAGATACTGGGGGAGTTGTGGAGTGAGAGTGGTACTTTTATTTTGAACATAAAGCTTAGATTAAGGGAGAGCAAAGACATTACAGGGAATTAGATGCCCATTCTGTTTTCCTCATCCCTGACCCTCCCATTCTGTATCTTCAGTACAGCAGCGCAGGTTAGTCTTTGGGAACTGCAAGTCAGGTTATAGGACTGCACGGCTTTTATTCACCGTCCTGTGTCACATGAAGCCCAGGGCTTGACTGGTCTTCTGGCCCTTGCCGACAAGTCCTCATTTTGACATTTCTGTATTCTAGCCATACTGTATTCTAGCCAAGTCATTAGAGTTCTTCAGTTGAACCTGTGTTTACTCTCATACCTTCGAGGTGTACCTCCTACTTTGTTGCCCAAAGTAAGGCAGAATTGGGGATCTTTCTGCTTCCATTGTATCCTGTACATATACTTGCCCTGTTTTTTGTTTTTTAAAGTAGGTTCATAAAGGATGGGGACCTATTTTGTTCATTTACATGTCCTGTTTATTCCTGTAGACTGTGAACTCCTTGAAAGTAGGTATTTTTGTCCTAGTCCTTTTTTTTTTTAGATGGAGTCTCACTTTGTCGCCCAGGCTGGAGTGCAGCGGCATGATATCGGCTCATTGCAACCTCTGCCTCCCGGGCTCAAGTGATTCTCCTGCCTCAGCCTCCCGATTAGCTGGGATTACAGGCACGCACCACCATACCCAGCTAATTTTTTATATTTTTGGTAGAGACAGGGTTTCACCATGTTGGCTAGGCTGGTCTCAAACTTCTGACCTCAAGTGATCCACCTGCCTCGGCCTCCCAAAGTGCTGGGATTAGAGGCATGAGCCACTGGGGCCGGCCTGTCCTAGTCTTTATATGCCCATATATTTGAGTCCTCCTTGACTAGGTTCCCAGAGAATTGGTGCTTGGCTTGCCTGGACACGGAATAAACGTTTATTGATAAATAAATGTTGTGCCCACAATGACTTGTCTCATAACTTTTTAGTAGTCAGGATCCTCCCACAGTAGACTCTTGTAACTACAAGAATATTTTTTTTGTCGATGTTGCACGTAGAGTTTCCTGTAAAATGGCTTCCAAGATATTTTTCATTTCTAGTAAAGAGTCTGTGAGCCGAGTTTTAAATAGTATTATTTCTACCTTATGTGGTAGGTAAGAGACAGCCCTTTGTTTTCCTCAGGAGGTTTTAATTATATGATCTCCTTGTAGAAGTAAAGGAAACTCTGGAGCTTCCTGTGTGGCTGTGAATGTGTAATTAGCTTTGGGCAGGGCTCCCAGAGCTGTGAACCCTGTCCTGAGGAGCACTGGGACATTCTAGTGAGCGTTCAGGCCACCCAGATTGCAGCCTTGTAAATGAAGGGTTTATTTCTCTAATGAGAGTGGTTTGTGTCTTCACCCAAATAATATTTTAATATTAAATTATGGCAAATATTTTAAATTTAAAAGTAGATATATATAAATTAGTATGATTTTTAAAATAATTTCAATAATTGTTTTAAAAAGTAATTTTAATACATGTCAATAATTTATTTTAGACTCAAGGGGTACACGCACAGGTTTGTTGCATGGGTATGTTGCACGATGCTGAGGTTTGGGGTACGGATCCCGTCACCCAGGTAGTGAGCATAGTTTTTCAACTCATGCCCATCCCTCATTCCCTTCTTCCAATTAGTATGATTACAACTAAGAATTTTACTTTTACAGCTCTAATTTAATACATATGGATCTAGACCTGGCAATAAATATTCTGCTCTAAGAAAGGTTTTATGTTAAATAACATGGTAGTTAGTCCCTTCAAAATAAAAAATGTTGATTAAGAATACCAGCACGGTCCCGGCGCGGTAGCTCACACTTGTAATCTCAGCACTTTGGGAGGCCGAGGGCGGATCATCTGAGGTCAGGAGTTCGAGACTAGCCTGGCCAACATGGTGAAACCTGTCTGTAGTAAAAATACAAAAATTAGCCAGGCGTGGTGGCAGGCGCCCGTAATCCCACCTACTCGGGAGGCTGAGGGAGGAGAATCACTTGAACCCGGGAGGCAGAGGTTGCAGTGAGCTGAGATCGTGCCATCGCACTCCAGACTGGGGGAGAAGAGCAAGACTTCATCTCAAAAACAAAAAGTATACCAGCACTGATGACAACATTGGACAAGTAGACAGATCCAGAAGGGGCAGGTTGAGCTGTGTAGTTTTAGTGTTGTCACGGTTTGTTAATATGTTGTGAAATATTCATTGAGATCAAAATCTGGCATTCCTAACTTGTGTTATGTGTATATTGGAGGCCATATGGAGTGGCAGAAGTGAAGTGAGGTTTGAATTCAGACCGTTGTTCCTCAAGAATGAATTGACCTGGAGAGAATTACTTGCAATCTCTGATCCTTAGTTCCTTCATCTAGACATACCCACCTGGGACCATGTGAGGATCCAGTGAACTGTACAAGGTACCACACAGGACATGGTGCTTGCTGCCTGGGGGAGGCTCAAGGCCTTCAGTGCCTTTCCCTGTTATTTTGGGAGTAGTGCATCTATTTTGGTGTTTTTAAGAAACACTGTTTGACAAATACATGAGGCATACTTCATGGACTATTGTTTCAGATTATTCTTAGAACACAGAGGCAGGATCCACAATGTTTTTATGAGGAAAGCTACTTTTTATTCCCCCAAACCTTGACTTTCCTGGACTAGAGGTCTCAGTGATGTGTGCTGATGTGACACCCTTGAGCAAAGTTGGAGAAGAGAGAGTGGTAATTTCCACCACTTCCCCTTCTCCAAGACACTGGAAGTGCTGTGAACTGTGCTCCTTCGCTCCTCTGCTCTGTAATCTCTACCTGGAGGGCTCTAGAGGGGCTCTAGGGAGGAGTGTCAGCCAGTGATTTCTCCATCTCGACCAGGTAGGGACCCAGGATCTTCTGGTGAATTCTAATTTGTTTTTTTATGAGCCTGAGGGTCATTTTAGGAATTTGTGGAAGCATTTGTGATTGTCTCAATGGTTGGTGGGTGCTATAGGCATTTATTTAATAGGTAGGGCCCATGGAATTCAAGGCTTAGTGTGGTGACAGTTCTGTAAAATAGAACTTTTCCTATGATCTGCACAGCTTTAGAATATCTTTTTTTTTTTTTTCTGAGACCAAATCTTACTCTGTCACCCAGGACAGAGTGTAGTGGTGTGATCCCAGCTCACTGCAACCCGGGTTCAAGCGATTGTCCTGCCTCAGCCTCCCAAGTAGCTGGAATTAAGAGATGTGCCACCACGCTCGGCTAATTTTTGTATTTTTAGTAGAGGCGGAGTTTCACCATGTTGACCAGGCTGTTCTCGAACTCCTGACCTCAGGTGATCCATCCACCTCGGCCTCCCAAAGTGCTGGGATTACAAGCATGAGCCACTGCGCCTGGCCTAGAATATCTTGCTGAATAACTTATGTAGATAGAAAAAAACTGTTTAAGGCTGAACCTATAACTGAATTCCATTTTACATAAAGGATTTTTTAAAATGTAATTTTAGTAGAAATGGAAATTTCAGGAAATGGAATTAGTCTAGACTTTGAAGGGAAATTATCTCATTTTGTTCTTAGTTTTACTAAGTGTATTACTAGTCTTGGTTCTCTCACATATATATATATATATATATATATATATATATATATATATATATATATGTATCCAGTGGGAAAGAGAGAGTGAGATATGTTTATATATATAGTATATTTAACTATATTTAACCAATATATATGATTGTATCACACGCATCCTATTGGTTCTGTTTCTCTGGAGAAAATATAAGTATTCACCAGTTGCCCTTTATCTATGGTTTTGCTTTCCATGCTTTGAGTACCTCATGGTCAACCAAGGTCTGAAAATATTGAATGGAAAAATTCCTGAAACAAACAGTTGGTAAGTTTTAAATTGTGGACTGTTCTGAATGACATGATGAAATCTTGTGCGGTCTCATTGTCACACCTGGAAATGAGTCCTCACTTTGTCCGATGTATCCATGCTGTGTGTGCTGCCTGCCCATTAGTCCCTTAGTCTTGGTTATCAGATTAACTGTCTGGTATCACAGTGCTTGTAACCTTTATTTCACTTAATAATGGACCCACAGTGCAGGAGTAGTGATGCTAGCATATTGTATTATTGCTTACTTTATTATTAGTTATTGTTGTTAATCTCCTACTATGCCTAATTTATCAACTTAACTTTATCATAGGTGGTATGTATACATGGTCCCCAACTTGCTGTGGTTCGACCTAAGATTTTTCAACTTTATGATGGCGTGAAACTGTCACATTTTTAATGTCATGTATAATATTCAATAAATTACATGAGGTGTTCAATACTTTATTATAAAATAGGCTTCATGTTAGATGATTTTTGTCCACCTATAGGTTAATGTAAGTGGTCTGATCATGTTTAAGATAGGCTAGGTTAAGCTATGACGTTCAATAGGTAAAGTGCATTAAATGAATTTTTGACTCTTGATATTTTCAACTTACGATATTTTTATTTCATCATAAGTTGAGGAGCATCTTTATGTATAGGCAAAAACATAGTATATATGGAGTTGGGCAATATCTGCATTTTTAGGCATCCGTAGGGGTTCTTGAAACATATCCCCCTCGGATAAAGGGGAAGCATTCTATTTATAACAAGATCCTTATTAAAGGAATTGGCTCATGCAATTATGGAGGCTGAGAAGTCCCAAGATCTGCAGTTGGCCAGCTAGAGATCCAGGAGAGCTGATGGTGTCATTCTGATCTGGCTCTGAAGGCCTGAAAACCAGGAGAGCCACCGATGTAAGTTTCTGTCTGAAATCCAGCAGGCTTTAGACCCAAGGAAAACCAATGTTTGTTTCAGTTTGAGTCGGACGGCAAGCAGAGATGTCCCAGCTCAGCAGTCAGGTGGGAGGGGCTCCCTCTTACTTAGCCTTTTTGTTCTATTCAGGTCTTACAGTTGATGAGATGAGGCCCACCCACATTAGGGAAGTTAATCTGCTTTAGACAGTCCACTGAATAAAACGTTAATTTCATCCAGAAACACCCTCACAGAGACACCCAGAGAAATATTTGACCAAAAGTCTGGGCACCCCATGATGCAGTCAGAAGACACATAAATTAACCATCACACTAAGAGTGATTCATCTTTTTAGGTAAATGAAGAATCAATCACATTATTGATAGCATTCATGATAGGTAGTGTGGTACCTGAGTTGCCAAAATGACATACTCAAATGAAGAGTATTTGTAGCTGTGAAATTCAGTGATTCAACTTAGAGATGTGGATTTCTGACCATTCTGCCTGAAAATTTACATATTGAAATTTATATTTATTTATTAAAAATGGTTTTTATATCATAGTTGCTGTGTTAAGTAGATATTTTTGGAAGATATATCTAATAAATAAGTTATTTCTGAATTTCATTTCAGGATAGTAAAGGTATATTTTCAATTGTTTTTAAAGAAAGGGGATGAGGCATGATGGTTCACACCTGTAATCCCAGCTACTCGGGAGGCTCATTGGGAGGATCCAATGAGCTTGGAAGGTCAAGGCTACAGTGAGCCATGATTGCACCACTGGACTTCAGCATGGGTAACAGAGTAAGATCCTGTTTCAAAAAAAAGGTGCGCAGGGGGTATTTGGGTCTGATATGGCCAAGAACCAGCGGTCTAAGTGATCTCAAGCTGCCAGCCTCCTTGAGCAGTCTGCATCTCAGCATCTTTAAAGCTTTGACTGTGTTTCTTTTCTCCGCTTGGACCTCTGCAAAACCGTAGTCTTTCTTCTTATCAGGTCTTTCACAGTGTTGGGATATATTTTCCAGAAATGTTTGTTCGATGTTGTTCATTAGGTTGTTTTTTTTTTTGAATTTTAGCTTTATTGATATGTAATTTATATGTCATACAATGCACTTATTTAAAGTGTAAAACTTAGTGGTTTTCAATATATTCATAGGATTGTGCAACTATCACCGTGATCTAATGTTAGAACTTTGCATCACTCCAAAAAGAAATCCTGTATCCATTAGTAGCCAGCCTCTATACTCCCTACCCCAACCCCTGGCAATCACTCATATTCTTTTTATCTCTATGGATTTGTTTCTGCTAGATAATTTGTATAAATGGAATCATATAATACATGGTCCTTTGTGGCCTTCCTGGTTTTTTGTTCTTTATTTAAAAAAAAAAACAAAACAGGATACATGTGCAGAACATGCAGGTTTGTTACATAGGTATACATGTGCCATGGTGGTTTGCTGCACCTATTGACCCATCCTCTAACTAACGAGGGGAGACTGTTCTCTCCCCTTGTTCCCCACCCCACAACAGGCCCTGGTGTGTGTTGTTCCTTTCTCTGTGTCCTTGTATTCTCATTTTTCAACTCCACTTATGAGTAAGAACATGCAGTGTTTCGTTTTCTGTTCCTGTGTTTGCTGAGGATGATGGCTTCCAGCTTCATCCATGTCCCTCCAGAGGACATGATCTCATTCCTTTGTATGGCTGCATAGTATTCCATGGTGTATATGTACCACATTTTCTTCATCCAGTCTATCATTGACAGGCATTTGGGTTGGTTCCATGTCTTTGCTATTGTAAACAGTGCTGCAATAAACATACCGTGTGCGTATACATATGTAACAAACCTGCATGTTGTGCACGTGTACCCTAGAACTTAAAGTATAATAAAAATATATATGTATATAAAATAAACATACCATATGCATGTGTCTTTACAGTAGAACGATTTGTATTCCTTTGAGTATATACCCACTAATGGGATTGCTGGGGTATTTCCGGTTCTAGATCCTTGAGGAATCACCATACTGTCTTCCACAATGGTTGAAGTAATCTACATTTCCACCAACAGTGTAAAAACATTCCTATTTCTCCACAGCCTTGGCAGCATCTATTGTTTCTTGACTTTTTAATCATCGCAATTGTGAATGGCATGAGATGGTATCTCATTGTGGTTTTGATTTGCATTTCTGTGATGATCAGTGATGTTGATATATAGACCAATGGAACAGAACAGTGATGTTGATATATAGACCAATGGAACAGAACACAGACCTCAGAAATGACACCACACATCTACAACCATCTAATCTTTGACAAACCTGACAAAAACAAGCAATGGGGAAAGGATCTTCTATTCATTAAATGGTACTGGGAAAACTGGCTAGCCGTATGCAGAAAACTGAAACTAGACCTCTTCTTTACACCTTATAAAAAATTAACTCAAGCTGGATTAAAGACTTAAACGTAAAACCCAAAACCATAAAAACCCTAGAAGAAAACCTAGGCAATACCATTCAGGACATAGGCACAGGCAAAGACTTCCATGACAAAAACACCAAAAGCAATTGCAACAAAAACCAGAATTGACAAATGGAGTGGAGCCTGGAGTGGCCTGACTGCCCACCTCAGCATGCTTTATATACTGAGGTTGGGCAATGGGGTTCCTGGACTGTGTGTTCTGATTGGATGAGAGAAAAGCCTCTAGGCCTACTCTGATTGGACTTTATTATCATGTTCTGACTGGATGAGAGCAAGTATTAGGACAACCAAACAGAGCATGAAAATAAAGTCCAATCAGAGTAGGCATAGAGGTTTTTCTCTCATTCAATCAGAACACGCAATCCAGGAACCCCATTGCCTAACATCAGCATAGTGGGCCGTCAGGCCATTCCAGGATTTTCTGCTTAGCAGTGACCTGCTGTTCCGTGCTAGCTTAGGAAGCCACCTACTGCACGCTGGAGGCTGGAGGCTGGAGGCTGGAGCCTACGGGCACTGTGGCTCTCCTCATGCCTTGCCTCGCTGTGGTAGGTGGTGGCTACTGAGACTGCAGTGCCCCAGGAGCGGTAAGAGGGCCACCAGCAGGGAAGGCTGCTCCTGTCGGGCTAGAGGACGAGGACATGGGAGAGCTACTTGCCCCACGTTGGGGGCTGGGGCCTGTGACATGGCACCTCGCCTTGCTGCAGTTGGTGGCAGCCACAGAGACGGCAGCGCAGCTGAAGTGGTAGGAGGGGAGAAAATAGTTTTGGGGTAGATGGAGGGGTAAAGAGGGTGGTGAGTGCCAAAGGGAAAAAAGGATGGCGAGCAGGAGAAGGCGTTGCAGACAGAGGGTGGGGAAAAAGATGGTGGGAAAATAAGTTTTGGGGTAGATGGAGGGGGAGAAGAGGGTGGTGAGTGGCAGGAGTGGAGAGAAGGCTTTGAGAAAAGATGGGGGAAAATGTTTTTGGGTAAATGGAGGAGCAAAAGAGGGTGATGAGAGCGTGAGGGGGGAAAGAGGGTGGCCAGGGAGAGGAGGAAAAGATGGTGGGGAGAAGGGTGGTGAGCGGGAGAGTAGAGGGGGCTTTGCGAAAAGAAGGTGGGGAAAAATGGTGGGGAAGAAGTTTTGGGGTAGGTGGAGAAAGACAAAAGGGTGGCGAGAGGGAGGGGGCTGAAGGCAGTTGGGAAAAGAAGGTGGGAAGGTAATGGTGGGGGGACAAAGGTTTTGGGTAGATCTTTTTCTGATTTTTAAATAAGATTATTTGTATTTTTGCTTTTGAGGAGTCTTTCTGTATTTTGTGTATGAACCACTTGCCTGATGCATAATTTGCTAATACTTTCTTCCGTTCTCTGGATTGTTTCTTCATTCTATTGATTGCTTCCTCTGCTTTGCAGAAGCTTTTAAGTTTAATGTAATTCCATTTGTCTATTTTTGCTTTTGTTGCTTGTACTTTTGATGTCTGTTTGAAAATTCCTTGTCCTAACCAATTTCATTAAGCATTTATCCTATGTTTTCTTCTCTAGTAGTTTCATAATTTCAGGTCCTCCATTTAAATCTTTGAGTTGAATTTTGTGTATGATAAGATAACGGTCTAGATTTAGTCTTCTACATGTGGGTGTCGGGTTTTCCTAGCACAGTTTGTTGAAGATATTGTTATTCCAGAGGGTGTGTTCTTGGTACCTAGGTTGAAAATGAGTTGACTGTAAATGCGTGAATTTATTTCTAAGTTCTCTATTCTGTTTCATTTGTTTATGTCTGTCTGTCTCTCCCCTGCCCCTTTTTTGATAGTACCATGCTGTTTTGATATTATACTATGGATTTCCAGTTACTATGGATTTATAGTATATTTTGTAGTATATTTTGAAATTAGGTAGTGTGATGCTTCCAGCTTTTCTTTTTATTCAAGATTCTTTGGTCTCTCTGAGGTGTTTTGCATTTCCACATGAATTTTAGAATAGTTTTCTATTTCTATGAAGAATGTCTTCGTAATTTAACATGGATTGCATTGATTCTGTAGATCACATTGAGTGATAGAGATATTTTAACAATATTCTTCTAGTGCATGGACGTGGGATATCTTTCCATTTTCTTGTGTCTGCTTTAATATCTTTGATCTATGTTTTCTAGTTTTCATTGTAGGATCTTTCAGCTTTTTGGTTAAGTTTATCCCTAGGTATCATTATTTTGGAGGGTGGGGGTGGGTAGCTACTGTCCTGATTTCTTTCTTACGTGTTTCACTATTGGTGCATGTGTATGCTACTCATTTTTGTATGTTGATATTGTATCTTGCAACTTTACTAAATTTATTATTTCTAGTAGGTTTTTTTGTGGAATCTTTAGGGTGCTCTCTCTATGTATATATGATCATGTCACCCTGCAAACAGAAACAATTTGACTTTTTTTTCCCCCAATTTGGATGGGTTTTATTGCATTCTCCTGTCTAATTGCTCTAGCTAGGACTTCCAGTACCACGATGAATAAAAGTGGTAAAAGTAGCCACTTGTTCCTTACAGGAAGAGCTTTTAACTTTTCCCCATTGATTACGATGTTAGTTGTTGGTTTGTCATATATGGCCTTTCTTGTGCTGTGTTCCTTCTGTACTCCTTTTGAGTTGTTATCATGAAGGAATGTTGAATTTTATTTTTTTCAGCATCTGCTGAAATGATTATATGGTTTTTATTCTTGATTCGCTGAATGTGATGTATGACATTTATTTATTTGTGTTGAATCATTCTCATATTCCTCTGGTGAATCCCCAAGTATTTTGTTAGGATTTTTTGCATCTGTGTTCATCAGCGATATTTGCCTGTGGTTTTCTTTCTGTGTTGTGTCCTAGTCTAGTTTTTGTAGCAGGCTAATGCTGACCTCATAGAACAAGTTTGGAAGTACTCCTTCCTCTTCATTTTTTGGGGAATATTTTGAATTAAATTAGTATTACCTTTTTAAAAAATGTTTGGTAGAATTCAGCAATAAAACCATAATTTTTCTGTTTTTCTTTGATGGGAGATTTTTATTACTGCTTTAATTACATTGCTCATTATTAGTCTGTTCAGGTTTTTTATTATTCTAGCTTGTGAAATTGCTGCGTTCCCAGAAATTTATTCATTTCTCCTAGATTTTTCAATTTGTTTGTATATAGGTGTTTTTAGTAATCTCTTACGATCCTTTGTGTTTCTGTGTTATCAATTGTAATGTCTCCTTTTTCATCTATGATTTTACTGCAGTTTTCTTTCTTTTTTTCCTAGTCTCGTTATAGCTTGTCAATTTTTTTTTTCAAAAACCGCAGCTTTGTTCCTTTGTTTTTTTGTATTTTTTTGTTTCTATTTTTAAAATTTCTTCTCTAATCTTCATGATTTATTTCTTTCTACTAATTTTAGCATTTGATTTTTCTTGGTTTTCTCATGACTTGAAGTGTACTGTCAGCTTGGCTATTTGAGATCTTTCTACTTTTCTGATTAGGCATTTATAGCTATGCACTTCACCTCTTACAACTGCTTTTGCCGCATCCCACAGATTTTATGTTGTGTTTCTAATCTTATTTGTTTCAATGAATTTTTAATTTCCCTTATTCATTTCAATGAATTTTTTTTTTTTTTTTTTTTTTGAAACAGAGTCTCGCTCTGTGGCCCAGGCTGGAGTGCAGTGGCGCGACCTCCGCTCACTGCAAGCTCCGCCTCCCGGGTTCAAGCCATTCTCCTGCCTCAGCCTCCTGAGTAGCTGGGACTGCAGGTGCCAGCCACCACTCCCGGCTAATTTTTTGTATTTTTAGTAGAGACGGGGTTTCACCATGTTAGCCAGGATGGTCTCAATCTCCTGACCGTGTGATCCGCCCGCCTCGGCCTCATTTCAATGAATTTTTAATTTTTTCATTTATTGGTGGTTTGTGAGCATGTTTTAATTTTCATATATTTGTACAGTTTTTAAAGTTCCTGCTGTTACTGATTGCTAGTAGTATTCCACTGTGATCAGAAAAGATACTTGATATGATTTCAGTTTTTAAAAATGTGCCGTTACTTGCTTTTCGGCCTAACACATAGCCTATCCTGGAGGATAATCCATGTGCTACTGAGTAGAATGTGCATTGTGCAGTCGTGGAGTCGTGCAAAGCTGTGTACATTTCTGTTCGGTCCATTTGGTATAGAGTACAGCTTAACTGATGATTTTTTGTTGTCTGGATGATCTGCCCATTGACGATAGTGGAGTGTTGATTATAGTGGAGTGTGGAGGTACTCTACTATTATTACTAATTTTTTTTTAAGATGGAATTTTTCTCTTGTTGCCCAGGCTGGAGTGCAATGGCGCAATCTCAGCTCACTGTAACCTCCGCCTCCCAGGTTCAAGGGATTCTCGTGCCTCAGCCTCCCGAGTAACTGGGATTACAGGCATGTGCCACCTCACCCTGCTAATTTTTTGTATTTTTAGTAGACACTGGGTTTCTCCATGTTGGTCAGGCTGGTCTGGAACTCCCGACCTCAGGTGATCCACCGGCCTCGACCTCCCAAAATGCTGGGATTACAGGCGTGAGCTACCGCGCCCGGCGGGAATCTTAAAAAGTTTAATAAATGGAAGCAGGGTAGAATTGTGCTTACCAGGGACAGGGAGGTGGGAGAAAAGGGGACCTGTTGGCCCAAGAGTACAAAGTTGCAGTTATGTGATTATAGTTAATAATACTGTATACTGGAAATTTGTGAAGAGAGTGTATTTCAGGTGCTGTCATCTAACTATGTGAGAAGATGAGTTCATTAGTTTGACTGTAGTAATTATTTAACTGTGTATATGTATGTATATATACAAATACATATAGATTTTCATATATATGAATCAAAACAGGCTGTCCACTTAAATATATTCAATTTTATTTTAAACATTAAAATATGAAACAAAGAAAAAAAAGCATGCATAGTCTCACACTCAATTACCGACATATATAAGTGCACTGCTAATCAGAACAGTGAATTAAATGTCAGTTATATTTGTTTGTTTATATTGTAACCTTTCCTTTTATTTTCATTTATTTTCTATTTATAATTATGCAAATATTTAAAGAGTTCACAATGAAACTATGTATTAAATACCCTCCACATATTTTAGAAGTGATGAATGTTGCTAGTTTTACGTCATAGTCACTGTAAGAATGTTCCCTTGGGAAGTGTTATCTTCTGTTGGTTTGTATTTTAATAACATTCACCACTACCAAGAGAGAGCCTGGGTTTTTCTAATCTTTACCCACCATAAATAATGTTATGATGAATGCCTCTGAGCATATATCACTATGGGCAATTAAGCATACTTCTGACAGCTTCTCAGATTTGGAATTGCCGATCCAAAAATCAATGAACATGTTAAAATATGACAATTACTTTTCACCCTCAAATATGCTGGTAAAAATCGCGTTTTCATTAATTTTATGTAATAGTACCAGTATCAATTTTCCCACACGTCACACTACAATTAAATACTATAAATTTTATTAATTCCTATCTATATTACAGGCAATAAAATCATCTCATTGCTCTTTCAACTTGAAGTTTCTGATTACTGTAATTCCAAATGTACCGTGACATATTTATTATACGGTTTATATTATATTTTGTGAACTCTATTTTCAGTCTCCTTTACTACAAAAGGGAGTATGTGTGGAAACAAAATTGGTGTTATACAAGAGTATCTTTTCCTTGTCTAAGATCTGTTTGAAATAGGCAAGAAAAAAAATGACATATTCATTCAAACAGTACAATATCTGTGTCCGTTTCACAGTAGCAATACAATGTAAATAGAATCACACTCATATCTCCCATGACAAAACTAATGCCTTATTTACAACATTCATTTTGCATTGAAAAATCATTTTTTATTTTTTCAGCTACGTATGGTCAATTTCTCTTTGTATGTTGCATAGCTTCCAATTGCATGTAGAAGTCTTTTATTTTTCAGTCGTTTTGGGATACAGGTGTTTTTTGCTTACACGAGTAAGTTCTGTAGTGGTGATTTCTGAAATTTTGGTGCACCCGTACCTGAGTGGTGTACATTGCACCCAATATGTACTCTTTTATTCCTCACCCCCTCCTACCTTTCTCTCCGAGTCCCCAAAGTCCATTATATCATTCTTAAATGCATTTGCATCCTCATAGCTTAGCTTCCACTTACAAGTGAGAACATATGATACTTGGTTTTCCACTCCTGAGTTACTTAGAATAATGGCCTCTGGCTGCCTCCAGGTTGCTGCAAAGGCCATTATTTCATCCCATTTTATGGCTGAGTAGTATACCACTGTGTATATATACCATATTTTCTTCATCCATTCGTTGGCTGATGGGCATTTAGTTGATGGGTATGGTTGATGGGCTTCCTATTTTTGCAATTGCGAATTGTGCTACTATGAAAACATGCATATGCATCTGTCTTCCATGTAATGACCTCTTTTCCTCTGGGTAGATACCCAGTAGTGTGATTGTTGGATCGAATGGTAGTTCTACTTTGAGTTCTTTGAGAAATCTAGGAGTCATTTTAATATAGATAATTGAATTGCAGTTAATTCTCCATCCAGTTTTCCACACTGGTTACTTACTACCACCGATTTGAGGCCATTTTTCATTTATATTACTCGATCATTTTATTCAGTCACATTTCTAACAGTATATGCTGTTTCCAAAGCATATCATGTGAACAGTTTAAAATTCTCAAAGTATAATTCTTTGTTGAAGCATTTGTAAGTTTTACACAAGCCCTTATATGATCTGTTTTGATTTTTAAATCATCATCTCTTCTATTTTACTTATATTTACTTTTCTTCTTGTGAGATGTAATCTCATACAAACTTTATAGATAGGAAGATGTTGGGAAACTATCACATGGTCTGTTATGTTGTGTTATTTTAATAGGCCAAATTATTTGATGAAAAGAGAAATCTTGATAGTTTTTTAATTATGTGGGACACGGCATTATTTTATCAGAAAACTGTATGTTGAAAATATTGCATTGTTGTGTATAGATAGAGTGGCATGGATTCAATTTTGTATGCATAAATTAAATTTGTAATGTTTAAGCAGTGGATTAGAATTTTAACATGCTTTCACTTCATTTGGTCCTGTTAGGTAAGCAAGGGATCTTGTGTGTTGGAAAAAGAATTACTTTGGTGCAGCCGCCCAAGAGGAGCTTGGGGAGGACGCTGGCCCGCGAGGCTCGTCGCAGACAAGGTGGCGGCGATGTCCGGGAGCCAGGCCAGTGCCGCGGCGGCAGCGTCGGGGCCTTTCGCGCGGCAGGGCGGCCTGGGCTTCGGCCTCCCGCCGGTTCCCTGGAAGCGGGCCCGCGGCTAGCGCGGGAGCAGCAGCAGAGATGGAGGCTCCAGCGCCTCTCTCTCTTCCCCGTCCGCCTGAGCCAGGGGAGGCCAGGCGGCCCGGGTGTCTGGAGCCGGGGGTCTGCTGTCCGAGAATGAGAATTTTCTTCCCCCAGAACGTGGAGACTGTTCGATCACCAGGAGCACAAAGTTATCATTGTTGGGCTGGATAATGCAGGGAAAACTACCATTCTTTACCAGTTTTCTATGAATGAGGTTGTACATACATCTCCTATAATAGGAAGTAATGTAGAAGAGATAGTGATTAATAATACGCGTTTCCTAATGTGGGATATTGGTGGCCAAGAATCTTTTCGTTCTTCCTGGAACACTTACTATACTAACACAGAGTTGATAATAGTTGTGGACAGTACAGACACATGATTTCTGTAACTAGAGAAGAACTCTATAAAACGTTAGCGCATGAGGACCTAAGGAAAGCTGGATTGCTGAGTTTTGTTAATAAACGAGACGTTAAAGAATGCCTGACTGTAGCGGAAATCTCCCAGTTTTTGAAGCTACCTTCTATTAAAGATAACAGTTAGTGGCATATCCAGGCATGCTGTGCTCTAACTGGCAAGGGATTGTGCCAAAGACTTGAATGGACGATGTCACGACTTTAGATTACATGATCTCTTCTAACCTCATAGACTTTGTATAAATGAAGTGCTGGACTTTACCTGAAAGCTGCAAAAATTAATGGTTTAGATATATTTATAATAAACTGATTTAAACTTTTTCTATAAGAAGAAAAATTAAGACCACTTATTTGAAAAGAAAGATGGAGAGGGAGGAGGAAGAAGAGAAAACGGCCGGGCGGCGGCGGCTGTAGGTTGTGCAGCGGTAGCGGCTCTCCCCCGCGGCGGACGATGGACAGCCAGGACAGGAAGGTGGTGGTGTACAACAACAGCACCGGGCTTGTGAAGTGTGGTTATATGCAGGCTCTAACTTTCCAGAAGACATCTTCCCAGCTTTGGTTGGAAGACCTATTATCAGATCAACCACCAAAGTGGGAAACATTGAACAAGGATCTTATGGTTGGTGATGAGGCAGGTGAATTACGATCAATGTTGGAAGTTAATTACCCTATGGAAAATGGCATAGTAAGAAATTAGGATGACGTGAAAAACCTGTGGGACTACACGTTTGGACCAGAGAAACTTAATATAGATACCAGAAATTGTAAAATCTTACTCACAGAACCTCCTATGAACCCAACCAAAAACACAGAGAAGACTGTAGAGGTAATGTTTGAAACTTAGCAGTTTTCCGGTGTATATGTAGCCATCCAGACGGTTCTGACTTTGTACGCTCAAGGTTTATTGACTGGTGTAGCGGTAGACTCTGGAGATAGTGTGAGTCATATTTGCCCAGTATATGAAGGCTTTTCTCTCCCTCATCTTACCAGGAGACTGGATATTGCTGAGAGGGATGTAACTAGATACCAGGTTGCTTCTATTGCGAGGATATGCCTTCAACCACCCTGCTGATTTTGAAACGGTTTGCATGATTAAAGAAAAACTGTTACGTGGGATATAATATTGAGCAAGAGCAGAAACTGGCCTTAGAAACCAAAGTATTAGTTGAATCTTATACATTCCCAGATGGACATATCATCAAAGTTGGAGGGGAGAGATTTGAAGCACCAGAAATTTTATTTCAGCCTCACTTGATCAGTGTTGAAGGAGTTGGTGTTGCTGAATTGCTTTTGAACACAATTCAGGCAGCTGACATTGATACCTGATCTGAATCCTACAAACACATTGTGCTTTCTGGAGGGTCTACTATGTATCCTGGCCTGTCATCAAGGTTGGAACGAGAACTTAAACAGCTTTACTTAGAACGAGTTTTAAAGGGTGATGTGGAAAAACTTTTTAAATTTAAGATCCGCATCGAAGACCTACCCCTCAGAAAGCACATGGGTGGTGCAGTTCTAGCAGATACCATGAAAGACAAAGACAACTTTTGGATGACCCGACAAGAGTACCAAGAAAGGGGTGTCCGTGTGCTAGAGAAACTTGGTGTGACTGTTCGATAAACTCCAAAGCTTGTTCCCATCACACCCGTAATGCTTTCTTTTTTCCTTTATTGCCAATCTTTTGAACTCATTCAACGCCTGGACATGGAAGAGGCCTCTGTGTGCCTTTTGACTGGAAAGGTCAAGTTTTATTCTGGTGTCTTGAGGAAGCTTTGTTAAATTTTTGTTAATGTGGGTAAATCTGAATTTAGTTCAACTGCTTCCCTACATAGACAAGCGGGCTAAGGGTCCTGTCTGCTGCTTTGTTTCTTCTAAGTAGGCATTTAGATCATTCCTGTAGGCTTCCTATTTTCACTTTGCTGCTCTAATGCCGCTAGTTGTAGTCTTTAGCACGCTAGGTGGTATGCCTTTATTAGCATAATGAAAAGACTTTAACAGGAGCTTTTACGTATTACTGGGATGGGGGGTGGTTCGGGATGGGTGGGCAGCTGCTGAACCCTTCAGGGCATTTCCTCTGTAGTATGGCACTTTCATCTGTAGCTTTAAGTACCTTAAAGCGTCTCCTGTGAACATCTTAGGGAAATGTTAGGTTCAGAACTAAAGTGTTTTGGGTGGTTTTTGTTGGGGTGGTGGTGGGGGTAACAGTGGGCGGTCTTCTGATTTTTATTTTTGAGGTTTTCTCACTGGAGTACGTAGAGGAACTTTATTTACAGTGCTTTGATTTGGCAGGTTTTCTTCTACTTGTGCTCTGCCTGGAGCTGTTTTCATATGATATAAAAAGCACAAGTGTAGTATTCCATTACTATGGGGCTTAGGGATTTATTTGTTTTTTAAAATCAACTATGTTAGCTGGGACTAGACTCCCTACAATCTATCAATGGAAAAGTAACATTTAAAAACCCTTTTGGTAATTCAAATTACAGATTTAAAAGTGCTTAAGATCTGGTGTTTTGTTAATGCTTCTGTTTATTCCAGAAGCATTAAGGTAACCCATTGCCAAGTATCATTCTTGCAAATTATTCTTTTATATAACTGACCAGTGCTTAATAAAACAAGCAGGTACTTACAAATAATTACTAGCAGTAGGTTATAATTGGTTTAAAAATAACATTGGAATACCATACTTGTTGCTAATTGGGTAATTTTCATTAGTTTTTTTGTTTGTTTGTTTTGATTTGAAAACTGGAAGTAGAGTAACATTTGACTGTATTAAAATGTTGACCAAAAAATCAAGATTTAAAATTTTTATTTGTACTAAAAAACTAATCATAACTGTTAATTCTCAGCCATCTTTGAAGTTTGAAAGAAGAGTCTTTGGTATTTTCTAAATGTTAGCGGACTTTCCTGCCAGTGTCAGAAAATCCTATTTATGAACCCTGTCGGTATTCCTTGGTATCTGAAAAAAATATCAAATAGTACCCATAGATGATTTATTTCTAAGTTTGAAAAATAAAAAGAAATTGTATCACACTAATTACAAAATACAGGTTCTGGAAAAAATATTTTTCTTCATTTTAAAACTTTTGTTAACTAATAATGGCTTTGAAAGAAGAGGCTTAATTTGGGGGTGACTAAAATCAAAGAAATTATTGACTTGAGGGTCTCTGTTTTGTAGGAATACATAATTAGCTTAAATAAACAGCAAAAGGTTAGTTTTAATTATGTAGCTTCTGTTAATATTGTGTTTTTTGTCTGTCTTACCTCAATTTGAACAGATAAGTTTGCCTGCATGTTGGACATGCCTCAGAACACATGAATAGCCTGTACTAGATCTTGGGAATGTGGATTTTAGAGTCACTTTGCAATAAGTTCTTACATAAATACCTCCAACCTTTTGAAAATGGAGCTTGTTAAAGGACGCCTATGTAAGGCCAGTGCCTACTGGCAGTTGGGTTCGGGGAAATGGGATTGACTTGGCCTTTGGTCCTTTGATCATAATTTTAAAATATGGGAGTAGAAAACAACAAAGAATGGAATGGACTCTTAAAACAATGAAAGAGCATTTATCATTTGTCTCTTGAATGTAGAATTTGTTGTTTTAATAATTCTGCTGGTAAATGTGACGGTTAAAATGGTGTATTATGTATACATATTGTAATTTAGAAATTCCATTTTATAATGTTACTATTCCAAGGTGAAATAATGCATTTAAATTTGATATTTGGGTGGAGTATTACATTTAACTGGAGTTGTTGTCAAGTATGAATCCCTCAGGAAAAAAAAAATCTGTTTTAAAAAGCAATCTGATTCTTAGCTCTTGAAACTATTGTTACTTAAATTTCCAGTAATTAAAAATTATAAATTTTTAAATTAGACTTGCCAATACTTTGATCTTTGAGAAGGGTTTCTTAGAAATACATTTAGTAATGTCCCCAAGAATTAGTCTTACATTGAAACTTTTTTCTTTAAAACATGGTATTGGTTGTTCACTTTTACACAGTTCTGAGTACTGTTAATATCTGGAAAGTATCTTGAGATAGTGGAAAGCTAAACAGTCTAAATTTAACATGAAATACTTCTTTTTGATTCAGAAAATAAAATCAGATTTTTTCAAAGTCAAAGAAAAAGAAAACAAAGATGAAGTCTCACCTTCCAATTTGCTTTCTCATTAGTTTTATCCAAAGTAAGTTATTAAAGCTGTGATTGACATTTTTCTCTTAATGAATCCTCTCAGGACATTGTGTAGCCTGTGGTAAGTACAAAGGGAGAGGAAGACATTTTGAATTTTAAGAATTTTATTATCAGCATAACTCTCCCGAGTTGAATGTTGTTTTCTTCTTGTTCCATTAAGTCAAAATACAAATCAGCAGAGATACTCAGTTTTCAATATTTTAAAATGTGATGTTACTTATGAAAAGTATATTAGTTAAGGTTGTGCGTGTATTTTGTATGTACCTCAAGTTCAAGTTAATGGCATTGATTTATGTTCTAAAGAAAAACAAATAACAAATATTAATAATATCCTTCATTATAACCATAATGAGATAAGAATTGGCATTGGTGTTCAGTGCCATTTTATATTTTCTCCCTATGTTCTCTGTATTGTACTAACTTTCATGCGCGTCCGTGTGAAGAGACCACCAAACAGGCTTTGTGTGAGCAACATGGCTGTTTATTTCACCTGGGTGCAGACGGGCTGAGTCCGAAAAGAGAGTCAGCCAAGGGAGATAAGTTTGGGGCCGTTTTATAGGATTTGGGTAGGTAAAGGAAAATTACAGTCAAAGGGGGTTTGTTCTCTGGCGGGCAGGAGTGGGGGTTGCAAGGTGCTCGGTGGGGGTGCTTTTTGAGCCAGGATGAGCCAGGAAAAGGACTTTCACAAGGTAATGTCATCAGTTAAGGCAAGGGCCGGCCATTTGCACTTCTTTTGTGGTGGAATGTCATCAGTTAAGGTGGGGCAGGGCATAGTCACTTCTTTTGTGATTCTTCAGTTACTTCAGGCCTTCTGGGCGTATACGTGCAAGTCACAGGGGATGCGATGGCTTGGCTTGGGCTCAGAGGCCTGACACTAACCAACCTCCCAAATCATTGAGCTGTTTGTTAAAAAGAAAAAAAAGGAAAAGGAAAAAGCATGACATTGTGTATCGATTTTTTTGTTGTTGACCAAAATCACACACATGGAAACATGTAATTCAACAGAGTGGGATAGCGATCAGATTCTTGGCTTAGTATTACTAATGGGCAGGATTTTACAACGAGCAACTATCAGATTATTCCTTTCAGTGATTCTTATGGCATCTAAATTACTGAATAAATTATTAATCAGTGAATCAAATTGATTAAAATTATTAAATGAATGCTCAGCATTAGTTGAAAACTGTTGTGTGAAACATGTCTACCCAGAAAAGTAACATTCTATAAATACTATTAAACAACTTAGCTATATTATTTTTAGGTATTAAGTTATATGTCAAGCAGTTAAAGTGAATTTCAGAGTAAAAGTAAGGCATGTTTCTGAGCAACATTGATAATTCCTTAATTTGCAAATTTCTTCTTTCTTACTTGGATGCTTGGAATATAGTGTGAGATTTTTTATTTCTAAATTTTGTTGTATCTTCTATTACATAACTGCATTGTTTGACAATTATAAAATGCAAGTGTTTTTTGAATGATTTTAAGAATTTGGCTTAAAAACTGATTGATACAATGTATTATTTGTACTAAGAAGTAACTTGACCCAAAACACCCTTTATGTTTGCTTAGGGTATTTTTCTTCAATGCCTGAAAGTTAAAGGTATTCCTGTCACAACTGTAAACAAACTTACCCTAAATGTGTTAAAACATATTCTTGGGTACTCTATTTGTGTATCTTTCGTGCCTTGAAAATCTGAAGGTTAATCCAAACTCACATGTTTTAGCGTATTTGAGAAAAAAAAACTACTTTTAATATCAGCCTTTTAAATTTCATGAAGATTTTGGTGAGGAATAATAGTATATACTTTATTGACAAAACTTGGAAAGTTTCTTTCTATAAAATGGGAAATACTCAATATCTAAACCCAGGTCAGTCATGGGAGATCAGTATTTATTTAACGTTGGATGTTTTGTGTTTTATATTTATAATGTTCAAAAATGCAAGCATAACATTTAATCTTTGTCCACATGGTTTTACAAAAGTAAATCTTAAATTACCTCGCTTTTCTCATATGTTCTCATACTTTCTCAAATCACTATAAAGAATTACTTGTTATCTATTAAAAATCCCCTTCACTCAAGTCTGTATTATGGTTTCACCAAATATTCTGTGATGTAGCCCAGAAAATCCACACCTTTTGTACTTTTTAATTTGAATAATCATGTGCTTAGTCCCTTGGATTGCTGCCACATCAGTTTAACATGAAGCACATTCCCATGTCATCAAGGTGTTGGCTCAGATTTATTCTTAATTGGATGGTTAAAGCATACACTACCTTGTTACAGTTGGTTTAGTGTAGTGGATTATTGACATGACACCATGAGAACATGTGGAATTTTATACCACATTTATAAAACATGATTTTGTTTTCTACCCTTCAAGGTAAACATGAAAAGTAAGGTGGTATCTGTGTACTTGTACATAAATCCAAAATTATAGTTGGGAAAAAAATTTATATATGAAAATGTCAAAAAAATTACTTTGTTGCAAGAAAGAAGGTTAATTGATTATTAGGACTTTTGATAAGTTAGCAAATCGGATACTGTTTTCAAATCTTAGATTCAGTATTGGGCTAACAATAGTTCTGTTTTAAGGTTTCTATGAGGACTAAATGAGAGAACTTACTAAAAAATGCATTCAATATGTGTTTATTATGTCATTATCTCGTTACTCCCTTTTTAGGGTTTATGATTCAAGTCTCATAGAAGTTTAAATCACTTGTCAAATGTAACCTATTTCAGAATCACCAAGGACTTAACGCTTTTTATTCTAAAAACTGTTTTGTAAAATGTGGAATAAATGACCAGTGCCATTATTCAGTCCAATTTGTTTATTTTACATCAAAGAAATCTGAGTCACAGAAGGCTTACTGTATCAGCCCATGGCCAGGCCATTAGGTTTTGAGTAGGACGGAAATTGTGATGATACATACTTTCATATTTTGAGATGTATTGATATTGTGAGTACAAAAATGATGATTTGATAACAGCATAGAGTGTGGTAATCCAGCAAAATACATTATATTTTGAAATGTGAAGAATATTACTGATTTTGAGTTTGTGTTTTGTTTTAATCTATGAGAAATATTGCATCTCACATTTGACATGTTTAAAAATGTACGCATATCTCGCTGGGTGCAGTGACTCAGGCCTGTAATCCCAGCACTTTGGGAGGCTGAGGCGGGCAGATCACGAGGTCAGGAGATCGAGACCATCCTGACTAACATGGTGAAACCCCGTCTCTACTAAAAATACAAAAAAAACAAATTAGCTTGGTGTCCTCCATGCAAAGCCTGTGGTGGGTCTTGCTCTGGGACTAGTTGAGCAGCATTGCACTCGTGTTGGATGCGGGAGTTTCATGGTTTGTTCTTTCGGTATGTCTTTGGCCTTCTATTAAGAGTTCCTTGACTTGAGAATGATTGAGAAGTGTACTTTTCAGTTTCCCAAGTACATATTTTTGGGGGAGAGGACTGTGTTGCATTTGGCCAGAGAATATGTGACCTTTCGGTTGTTGAGGGACTGGTGTGTACCCCTGGGGGCTCGGTATCCACTTGGAGGTTGGGTGTCCGTGTGGAACCTGATGTACCTGTGGACCTGGTTGCCCACATGGGTCCTGGTGTCCACCTGGAGCCTGATGTTTCCCAGGGGCCTGGGTATCCACTGGGGTCCCGATGTTCATCTAGGAGCTGGTGTTCACCTAGGCCCTGATAGTCACCTGGGGGCTGGGTATGTACCTGAGGCCTCATGTCCACCTGTGCTGTAGGTATCTATGCATGGGCTGTGTGCCAACCTGGTGCCTCATGTCCTCCTATGGATTAGATACCCAACTAGGGTTTGGTGTTTACCTGGAACCTGATATCCAATGGGGCCCAAATTCTCCACCTGGGGACTGGTGTCTGGATGGAGTCTTACAGCTACCCTGGGGTGTGGTGTCCTCTTGAGGTGTGGCTGTGAACATGGGGCCTAAAGTCTACTTAGAGTTCAGTGTCTACCTGGAGCCTAATGTGACCTGGGGCCCTATGTCAACCTGGGGCTTGGTATTTAGGTCGGGTTCGGGCGACCACCCAGGGATTGATCTCAGCTGGGGCCTGATGTTTTCTTAGCGCCTGGTGTTCACCTGAGGCCTGGGTGTCAACTTGGGACTGGATAGCCAACTGAGGCCTGAGTGTTTCTTGGTGACTGAGGACTTCCTGGGACCCATATTTCCTGGACCCGGATTTTCACATGGAGCCTGATGTCTGGAGTTCTGAGTTCTAGGTGTTTACTTGGGACCCAGATGTGCACCTTGGCAGAGCCTCCGTAACAAAGGCCTAGGGCCACCAGGAGGCTGTGAAAAAGAAGCAGGGCGTCTCTTTCCCCGGACACTTGAGAGTTTGTCAGAGCCTTCAGCGACAGAGCAGGTGCCCTGGACATAGGAACCCAGGCACCTGGGCACTGACATCACCTCAAGGGCCACTTGTGCCCCAGGCTATAGAGTCTCCTGAGCCACCAGGGGGTGCGCGGAGTGGGGAGGGCATTTGTTCACGTGCAGCGGCCTCTTGCCACTGCCATCTGTCTCCACAGCTAAGTTGCGGGACCTGTGGGAAGGAGGGGGAGGGCAAAGGTCATTGTCACACCACCTGGGCCGCAGGTGACAGGCAAGCTCCCACTGAGGCTGCATGGAAGTCCCCACAACCCTGGTGGAGGGTAGGTTCCAAGGTGCAGCCCCAGCCCTACCCCTAGCCTGGGGTGAACACCTGGGCCTGGGAGGGGCAGCAGTTTATGGCGCTGCTGTGTCCCAAGGTCTCAGGAAGCCTGGGGCTCCTTGTAGGTGGAGAAATCAAAACGATATGCTTGAGTTTTCAGAATAGCCCAGGGCTTGCCCCAAGTTCTCGAATAAAGGTAGTTACCCCGTTCCAAGACAGAGCTAATCAGGGCTGAGAGGAATGGAGGCGGGAAGGCACCAGCACGCAGAGGCCCCCAAATCCCCAGCAAGGCCCCCTTACTCAGGCCTCTGCCCCAGAGCCAGGGTCTCCCAGCCACCTCCGATGTAAGCGCAGGCTCCTGACCCAGCGCAGGCTCCTGCCCTCGCCCTGCAGTCCCACCCCGTCCTCCAGGCCGGCCCTCCTGCACCATTCTTGCCCCTGACATTTCTTTTCCAAGCAACAACCAGAAATATTCCTTTAAAGTGAAAGCAGATCTTACCATCTCATCTTGTTTCACGCCACCTCACCCTGGGTTCCCATCATTTCCCAGTAATGCCCAAAGTCCTGGGCCCCTGGCTTGGGCACCTCGAGACCAGTGAGTGTAGGATGCTGGCTGCCCTCGGCTAGGCTGGCCATGCTCTGCTCAGCCAAGCCCCTGTCCTTCCTGCAGGTGCCAGTCCGTCCCTGCCTGGCCAGCACCCCCGTGCCCACGGGCCCCTCCCTCCCTCTGGGGTGCCTGACTCCCCTCCCCAACCAGCTTTGCAGCCCTGCCAGAGCCACTACTAACACCCTCCTCCTCCTCTTCCTCCTCCTTCCCATTCCTCCTCCTCCTCCCCCACCCCTTTCTCCTCCTCCACCCCCTTCTCTCCCTCCTCCCCCTCTTCCCCCTCCCCCCGGCTTCCTGGCATTTGGTTTCAGTGCCGTGTCATTTAGAGTAGCAAGAGTTGCTGCAGCTGTTAAGTCTACTGTGATAAAGTCACCATGGTCTCCCTGGTCCTGGGAGCAGCTCTGTGGGTCATTCCTGACTTCATATTCAAAGCCTGATTAAGTCAGTGACCATGGAGAGAGCTCGGCTTCATGGCCAACAACATCCAGAGCCTCCTTGGGGCTTCCCAGAGGTGCTCAGACCCTCAGGGGCAGCTCTTTGAAGCCTGACTCACAGGAAAGGGCAGGGTCCCCTCAGGTCCCGGGAAGGGGAAAGGCAGAGCAGTGGTCAGTGAGCCGCATCCCAGAGGCCTCCGCATCAAGGGGCCTCAGCTGCCCTCTTTCCACCTGGCGGCTCAAGGAGCAAGCCCTGGGCCAGGAGCCCCTGCCAGGAGGCCTTCCCTCCCACCCACTCCTGGGCAGCCCCACATGGGCCAGGGACTCCACACGTGCTGCCAGGGCCCCTGAGGCCCAGGGATAGGAGCTGGCAGGCAGATATGCTCTGGCCACCTTGTGCTGACACAGAGATGTGACGGAGGAGGTTGGGATGTCATTGTGTGACTAGGGAACAGGCGGGCAGCACGTGACCCCCTGCCTGGGACAGGGAGCTCCTGGGCCTCTGGCTTGGGCATATGAAGAGCAGTCATGAAGTCAGCCCCAGGACCTTCATGCCGAGGCTCGGCTACAGCCAGGCAAAAGCCATCCCCAAGGGGGACCCACTCTCTATGCTAAGGCAGGGGCAGCAGCCAGGGCCCTGCCCAGGGCAGAAACCCTCATGGCAAGGAACAGCAGGCAGTGGGGACCGGGCCTCCTCCAGGCTCCCACCTCCTCCATTCTCGGGAGCACTGCTGGGACTGGCTTCGCCATGCACTCAGACGCCTCCGTCCTCCCTGGGCCTCTCACGGTTAGGCCAGCACCACTCCCCATGGCCTTCATTTGGGGTGGTGGCCTCAGCGTCTCTCCCCAGAGTAGAGCCCATGGCCCTTGTGACAGGAAGGTAAGTTAGGAAGGCAGATCTCTAAGCAGTTCCCTGCACTAGAGTCTGCGTGACTGGTCACTCCCAGCCAGGCAGGCCATTCTGCAGCATGGACATCAGACCGGGGCTTGCAAGCCCAGCTCTATCCTCCTGGCTCAGGCCCCTCTGAAGGCACAGAGCAGCAGAGCTGGGTGGGTGTCTTCATTACACAACCCTGTGAGGACAGGAGGGAACCCTGCTTACTTCCCAGAGCTGGAGCAGGGCCCCTGCAGACAGCAGCCGCCAGCAGTTAAGAGAGGTGCAGCCTTTGCAGGGCAAGGGACTCAGGCTCCTAAGGACACAGGTGCCCAAGACCACTTTGGGAAAGGAATTTTTTTCATACCAGAGGCACCTGAGAGGAAAGCCCCATTGTGAAACCAAGTCCCCACCCAAACCCCTTCTGAGGACACACAGGCCATTGGTTATTCAACTGGCAGCTCAGGAAAGGCTGCAGCCAAGGGCCCAGGTGGCTGTGAGGCCCACAGGGCCCGCTGGGAACACGGGGGTGCTGGGGCTGGAGCACCCCACCTTCAAAACAGCCAATCGCAAGGCAGGGGCTGGGCTCCCCTGGCCATTCCTCCCCGGGCAGCTGGCATGCTGAGACAAGGCATGAACATTTCTTTCCTGGAGCTGGAGGCCTCATGTGACTGCCTTTCCTTCCCCTTCCTCATGTGACTGCCTTTTCCTTCCCCCAGCCACCTGGGGAGGGGCAGAGCAAACACCAAGGCCTGGCAAGCTCCACAGAAGGACTGTCCCAAGCATCACGTGGGTCAGGCCCAGCTGCTGTCAGGGTGCAGGGGACCCAAATACATAGGGAGACATAGGGAGATCCCATCTTTACAAAAAAACTTGAAAATTAGCCAGATATAGTGGTGCATGCCTGTAGTCCCAGCTACTTAGGAGGCTGAGATGGGAGGATCACTTGAGCCCGGAAGGTTGAGGCTGCAGTGAACCATGGCACCACTGCACTCCAGCCTGGGCAACAGAGCAAAACCCTACTTAAAAAAAATGTTTGAAGGAAATCAAGCACTGAGCACAGAGGGGTTAGTCACTTTGTCACTTTCCCAGGGTCACACAGCTTCTAGGTAGGATCTGAGCCCAGGCCATCAAGCACCTGTCCCTTCTCTCAGTCACTGAGCTCAGCTGTCCTCCTGAATTGTCTTCTCTCATTGGAGTAACGTCCTGACACAATCAGCCTGTTGTGTATTTTAAGTGCTCACCACACTGCAGACCCCTCCATCCTAAGCCCAACTTTGACTCAGTTGCTCCCCTAGGCAGCTGGTGAATCGAAGTGTGGCCTGGGAAGATTGTTAACACTTGTTCATGGTCTCCTGCCATCAACATGTCAAGAGTGGTCTCTATTTTGACCTTTCCTTTCCTTTCCTTTCCTTTTTCCGTTCCTTTTTCCTTTCCTTTCCTCTCTCCCTCCTTCCCTGCCTCCCTCCCTCCTTCCTTCCCTCCCTCCCTTTTTCCCCTCCCTCCCTCTTTCCCTCCTTTCTCTCTCTCAATCTTTCTTTTTCTCTTTTCTCTCTCTCTCTCTTTTTTTTTTTTTGAGTTTCACTTTTTTTACCCAGGCTGGAATGCAATGGCATGATTTCAGCTCACTGCAACCTCTGCCTCCTGGGTTCCAGCAATTCTCCTGCCTCAGCCTCCTGAGTAGCTGGGATTACAGGTGCCCCGCCACCACACCTGGCTAATTTTTGTATTTTTAGTAGAGATGAGGTTTCACCATATTTGCCAGGCTGGTCTTGAACTCCTGACCTCAGGTGATCCACCTGCCTGAGCCTCCTAAAGTGCTGGGATTACAGGCATGAGCCACCATGCCAGTCCTTGAATATATTTTCTTAAGATTATGGTTCAAAGATACAACAAGATCATGAAGGTTTAAATACGGGATATGCCAGAAAAGTGATCTAGGGTCAAGGAAATCTCCTGCCCATTCCCAGAGGCATCCCAGTCGGCACCTGGACAGACAGCAGGTTTAGCCCCGACGTCACCCCCTGACATTGGAGATGTCAGTGGGGCCTGCCTATTAGCATTATGTTCTGAAGCTTACTCTAAGCAGATCCATATTAAGCCTGAAGAAAAATGACTGGCACTTCATAAGTGCTATAAAAGTGTTCAAATGTGAAGCATCTGCAGGATTAAGGCAGACACATAGCAGTGGTTGCCTCCAGAGAGGAAACCTGGTTGGCTACCAGACGCGGAAGGTGGAAGGTCTCTTTGCAGCCTTTATATGAGCAGGATGCCTTATAGTTCCTCAAGGGGATCTGCTGTCATCTCCTGTGACCTTCACATGAGCCCTGTGGGGTGGGTGGAGCAGAGCTGTGACCCACATTTTACAATTGAAAACTGAAATTTAGAGGGGCTGAGTGACTTTCCCAAAGCCACAACACTGAGGAGGGATGGGCTGGAGCTAGCAATGTAGTTGGTTCCCTGGAGCTGGAGATCCCTGAAGCAGAGGCCCTCTAGGTCTCACCCTGGGCCCCTGAACCAGGGCTTCCCTCACTCCATTTCCCAAATCCTCTTGTTCCAGGATTGCTTTGGGAAGAGCTGATGTCCTGTGGGAGGTGCCTGACCCAGCCTTCCGCCACTGCATTTTAATCCCTGACCCAAAATATGATGCAGCTGATCCCAAACAAAGGCCCCTTGAAGGATCAGGGTGTCCAGTCTGTGTCACTCCTCCCCCAGCACCGTCACACAGTGAGCTGCCTCAAGGTGAGGTGTCCAGTGCTCCAGCGACCACCCTGAATAATTAGTGACTGCTTGACTCCCAACTGCCTCAGAGCTCACGACAAGTGGAGGAACTGGTTTCTTTCTTAAAGACAGATGTGGCTGCAAGCCAGCCACAACCTTAAGACAGCATCACAAAACATTAGTTTCACCAAAACTCACAAACTGTTATGAGCAGGGCAGGTGAATTAACTAGGGAGGATGCCTGCTGGGCTGATGCTCGGGGGGTTTGGTGAGTGAAGCCCACAAGCTCCCAGGGTCTCATGGACTGAAGAGCTAAGCAGCTGTCCGAGCAGCCTGGGCTCAGGCCTGGCTGAGAAGGGGCAGTGACTGCTCCAGCACAGAGCCTGCACCTTCCTGCTCACATCCTTCCTTACCAAGAATCAGTCTCTACAAACTCCTCCTCCCTCCCCTAGACTTCTGAAAAGACAGGGGCAGAGTCCATCTCCTCTTACACGGTATGTCGATAGCTGCAGCCTGGAGACCCCCAGCCCAGGATCCTTCCTGAGGACCACCCAGGGCCTCCTTCCCTCTGTCACCAAATGTGCATTCCACTAACCCAATGGCACTGTTCTTTCTACTCAGAATCAGGTGCTCACATTAGACAATATAAACAGGCCATATCTACAGAATGTTAGAGGTGAAACCCTCATGGCCTCCTCTACGTATGGTGGCATCCTCCCAGATTCTGACTAGAATGACGCAGCCCAGCAACAATTATAAACCAGACGGATTTAGGGTTCTGAAAGGCCTTTTCACCCAAAAAACATGGGGGAAAATATGTGGACTCTGGCTGGGGAGAGATTAAAGGAGCCCTGGGGCTCATGCTTCTTATAATTCCCACCAGAAGGCTGACATCCAGGGACTTCCGCTGCAAGAGGCAAATAGTCAGTAAGTTCTGTAAATGGAGATTTAGGTCCCTTGCAAAGGGGACAGTTTATTTCAAGAGAGGAGACATGGGTTGAATGCTGGTATGTTTTAACTCTGCAGTACAAACAGTTGCAACAAGTGTGGTGAACTAATCACCCAACAGCCCTTTGCTGCCTTGTCATTGTGCCTTAAGTGTAAGTGAATATATTCAATGCCACTGCGTGCACACTTTGGTTAAAAGGTTCAAATTACAAATATTGTGTTATGTATATTTTCCCACAATGGAAAACACGCACAGCCAAGCCCAGATGCCAGTCTTGCTAGCAGCCTTCCTTTAGCTTCAAGAGTAGGCCGAGGCTCATCTGATCGCTCCAGGTATCTTGGTAGTTTATGATCGAAGTCGTCTGCCTTGGAAGAGAAATTAATGGAAAGAGGAGAAAACTTGAGAATCCACACTACTCACTCCACAGGGCCAAGAACTCTCCCTCCCGTGCGTTGCTGATCCATCTCAGTATTTCCTGTGACCACCTTCTTTTTCAGCTGAAGACTTTGCACCTTAAGGGGTTCCCAGGCTTTTCACCTTGGCTCTTGTCAGGACTGATCCTCTCAGCTACTGTCCATTTCACCTCCATTCATGTCCGTGCCACATCAGGCTGTGTTGTCCAGATGGAATGAATCCACCCCAAATGTCCCTTTCTGGAGGAAGCCACCATTATGCTCTACCTCCAACACATCCACACACACCGAGGCACCTCGCTCACACAAGGTGTGTGTCCTCCAACAAAGTTTCACACTGTAAACCCAGATAACTTTTGAAACCCAAGTTCTGTTGATCCCCTACTTCAGGTGCTCCACAGATGCTCATTTGTCTACAAAACACTGCCCCAGACAACTAAATAGTCCAACGTGACCAGCAGAATTTTTATGCTAATTCTGATATTGTGTTGAGAGTACAAGTGTTTTTCCCCTTAAAATTTCTGACTTTGTTACTGACAAAAGTATGTAACTAATGCTTTTTTTAGCTATGCTGCCAAGCACATTTACATAAAAATATACTTTTAGATTGTTTTGACAATTTGACAAAGATGATAGGAACAATGATAATCTTATTTGTTTTATGGTAATCTTTACATGTTACTTTCATCATTTCTTACATGTTGGGGCCTACCATACGTTGTACAGTGAAATTAGTGCTATGCATCATGGTTGGAATATAAATTGGCAAAGGAAATTTAGAAAATAGTTCTCTTATTTCTTAAAAAAAATTAGACCAGGTGGCTGGGCGCGGTGGCTCACACCTGTAATCCCAGCACTTTGGGAGGCTGAGGCGGGCGGATCACGAGGTCAGGAGATCGAGACCATCCTGGCTAACACGGTGAAACCCCCATCTCTACTAAAAATACAAAAAATTAGCCAGGCACAGTGGCGGGCGCCTGTAGTCCCAGCTACTCGGGAGGCTGAGGCAGGAGAATGGCGTGAACCCAGGAGGCGGAGCTTGCAGTGAGCCAAGATCGCGCCACTGCACTCCGGCCTGGGCAATGAGCAAGACTCCGTCTCAAAAAAAAAAAAAAAAAAATTAGACTTGGAACAGTGGCTCACACCTATAATCCCAGCACTTTGGGAGGCAGAGGTGGGTGAATCACCCGAACCTAGGAATTTGAGATTAGCCTGGCCAACACAGCAAAACCCTGTCTCTACTGAAAATACAAAAATTATCCGGGTGTGGTGGTGTGTGCCTGTTGTCCCAGCTACTCGGAAGGTTGAGGCACGAGAATTGCTTAAACCTAGGAGGCGGAGGTTCCAGTGAGCCGAGATTGTGCCACTGCACTCCAGACTGGGTCTCAAAAATAAAAATAATAATAATGACCAAATGTCATTATGCATTACATGACTGTGTATGAATGCTCAAAGCTACATTACTCATCACAGAAAAAAATAATTAACTGTCCATTAACTGATAAATGAATAAACACTCTCTGTATGAATAAACACAGCAGACTATGAAGGAAAACACATGACCGGCATGTGCTAAAGTGTTGATTAACTTCAAACATAGTATGCTAAATGAAGGAAGTCAGATTCCAAATATATATATGTGTTCATTTCTATTAAAGAAGGAGGAAATTTATGGAGATGGAATATCATAGCAGTGTTGCTTAGGGCTAGAGATGGGAGGGGGGATTAACTGCCAGTGGGCAAGAGAGAACTTGCACACAGTATCAATCTAATAAAGCATCAAATTGTATACTTTTCCAGTGGGTGAACTTTATGATGAGTTCACACCCAATAAAGGGCATATCTCTTGCACCCTGCCCTCTGCGGGTGGACGCCAGTTCCCAGAGGCTATCAGTGACTGAAGGTCCTTGTGATTTCCACGTGGTAGCTTCTGTGAAGAGCCCGGTGGGCAGAGGCCCTGGCTGAGTCAACAAGGCTGACAAGGCTCATGGCTGTGTTCTGGATGCAGGCCCAGCAGATGTTTGAGGGGGAGGTGGCGAGCCTGGAGGCCCTCCAGAGCACGGGCCTGGTGCAGGCGCCGAGGCCCATGAAGGTCATCGATTTGCCGAGAGGTGTGGCCGCCTTTGTGATGGAGCATTTGAAGATGAGGAGCTTGAGCAGGTGAGCATGTGTGAGAGACCCATAGGCACACATGTGTACAGGCAGAGAGAGACTCAGAGGAGACAGAGTGACACAGAGAGAGACAGAGATAGGGATGGGCAGAGGGAGACAGAGAAATGGAGTAGGCTCTGGCTGAGCCATCCACACAACTGCCCAGTTATCAGAGGCAGGACCAAGAGTTCCACCCTGCCATTCTTAATGGAGATTAAAAGTTACTGCTTTCTGATATATGACTTTTTTTTAAGATTAGTTTGCTATAATGAGGCTGCATAAAGTAACTATATATTATATATATATATTTTTAAAACACAGTCTTACTCTGTTGCCCAGGCTAGAGTGCAGTGGTGCAATCTCGGCTCACTGCAACCTCTGTCTCCAGGGTTCAAGTGATTCTCCCACCTCAGCCCCCTGGGTAGCTGGGACTACGGGTGCCCGCCACCACAACTGGCTAATTTTTGTATTTTTAGTAGAGATGGGGTTTCATCATGTTGGCCAGGCTAGTCTCAAACTCCTGACTTCAGGTGATCCACCCACCTCAGCCTCTCAAAGTGCTGGGATTACAGGCATGAGCCACCGTGCCCGGCCTGCTTTGTACTTTATAGTACATTAATGCCAGTGCACTTTGGGCAGAATGAAGCTGATCTATGAATTATCTGGAGTCCTTATATTTTTTTATTTTTTCTTTTCTTTTCTTTTTTTTTGAGATAGAGTATCACGCTGTTGCCCAGGCTGGAGTGCAGTGGCATGATCTCAGCTCACTGCAACCTCCACCTCCTGGGTTCAAGCAACTCTCCTGCGTCAGCCTCCCAAGTAGCTGGGACTACAGGCACCCACCACCACGCCCAGCTAATTTTTGTATTTTTGGTAGAGACGGGGGTTTCACCATGTTAGCCAGGCTGTTCTCGAACTCCTGACCTCGTGATCCACCTGCATCGGCCTCCCAAAGTGTTGGGATTACGGGCATGAGCCACTGCACCCAGCCTCTACATTTTTCTCTAGTTATTAAAGTCATACATAGTCATTGTATGAAATGTGGAAAATACAAACTCGTGTGAATACATAAAGCCACCTTAATTCCATCAGCAAAGAATAATCACTGTGAACATTCTGACACATGATTGCCATCCCAGTGTTTTGTTTTGTTTTGTTTGTTTGTTTTTGAGATGGAGTCTCACTCTCTTGCCCACGCTGGAGTGCAATGGCGTGATCTTGGCTCACTGCAAGCTCCGCCTCCTGGGTTCACGCCATTCTCCTGCCTCAGCCTCCCGAGTAGCTGGGACTACAGGCACCTGCCACCACGCCTGGCTAATTTTTTGTATTTTTAGTAGAGACAGGGTTTCACCGTGTTAGCCAGGATGGTCTGGATCTTCTGACCTCATGATCCGCCCACCTCGGCCTCCCAAAGTGCTGGGATTGCAGGCATGAGCCACCAAGCCCAGCTGGCAATTGAAAAATTCTTAGCCCCAGGAGAAAGAAGTACAGGTGCTGAGGACAGGCCCTCTCCCAGACAGTTTGTTTATAAGCTGAGGCTGCCATTCATGTTTGACACTGTCTTGTCCGGAAACGGTATGTATCACATTACGTATATTGCCAGATTTTCATACATGAACCAATTTGAAATGAAATAAAACAACAAAGCATCATGTCTATTTTGGACAAAAACAGGCAATCTTTCCTTACTGTGACTCTTCCTCCAGCAGCCTCTCAGGGAGGCCAGGAGGACAGAGTGTCTGGCTGGCAGTGTATTGGCAGTGTTGCTTATGGATGACTCGGGGCCCTAGCTTGAGATGGACGCAGCACTGGCGTGCACAGGTGTGGTAGGTTTGCCGCATGGGCTCAGCTGCTGCTGGGCCATCCTCCTGGGTGGGAGAGGCTTGGAAAAGAGGAGCAGGACTGGGATGAGGTTCAGAGTCCTCAGCTGTGGAGCTAGAGGCCACCTAAACCAACAGGAAATGGGCCAGGCATGGTGGCTCAAGCCTGTAATCCCAGCACTTTGGGAGACCGAGGCGGGCAGATCACGAGGTCAGGAGATCGAGACCATCCTGGCTAACACGGTGAAACCCCGTCTCTACTAAAAATACAAAAAATTAGCCGGGCGTGGTGGCGGGTGCCTGTAGTCCCAGGTACTAGGGAGGCTGAGGCAGGAGAATGGTGTGAACCCGGGAGGCGAAGCTTGCAGTGAGCTGAGATCGCGCCACTGCACTCCAGCCTGGGCGACAGAGCGAGACTCCACCTCAAAAAAAAAAAAATCGACAGGAAATGCTCAGTCTCCCCTGTGCCCAACTCTACACTGTGATGCAACAAGAGCGTCCCTCACCTCTCCCGCCACGTTGAACTTGCCGCTGAATTGCCACTATCTCCCTGACCTCTCCCTAGACCACCTCAGCCTCCAGGGACCTACATATGCCGCCGGTGCATTTCTCCTTTGTCACATAAGGTTTTGTGATTGACGAAAAGCAATCTTACTTTGGGAGCCTGGGTCTATACAAAATATTGTATTATATTTATTCACTAAGCCTATTTCTTAAAGATAATCAGTTACAGATATTTTGAAAATACAACGTCAGGTCACTTAAAAATACCCGCTGTTTCCCATGTGGTAGGTCTGCTCGCAGGCTTGCATTTCTATCCCACGTCTGTGCTCCTTGGTCAGAGGCGCTCCTGCTCACACAGGCAGGAAGGGCGGCTCCTCATAGAGGGAGGTGTGGGCCGGGAGCTGATGCTCTAACTCTGCTGCACCAGGGAGCTTCAACGAGGCTGACAGGCCTCACTGACCACCAGGGGTCCTGCTGGTTCTAATTCATCAGTGTCCATGGGTAGCTCACAGAATTTGAGTATTTCTGAGGATTTTTTCCTGGCTTTATTGAGGCATAATTGAAAAATTTTAAAATGTGTATATATAAAGTGTACAATGTGAAGTTTTGATATATGCAAACTATGAAATGACCACCATCAAGCTAATGAACGTATCCATCGCTTCACATTGTTGCCATTTGTGTGTGTGGTGAGGATATTCGAGGTGCACTTTCTCATAGATCTCGAGCGTGCAATTAATCACTATGAACTACGGTCACCATGCTGCGTGTCAGGTCTCCAGAACGTACTCATCGCATCACTGAAACTTTGTGCCCTTTCACCGTCTTCCCCATCTTTTTCATTCTCCGACACCACCCTTCTACTCTGTTTCCATGACTTGGACATTTTAGGCTAATGGCTGGGCAAAAATCTGTGGTATGTACACAGAGAGATGACATCAGCTATGTGAGCACGGGGGCCGCCTTTTAACCATGAGTGGTGTCTTGGAACTCCGTATGCCCAGGTACTTCCAGGCATATACATGGGGGTGGGTCACCCCTGCACTGCGACCAGTGAGCCTGCCGCTGAGTGATGAATGCCACCCAGTAGTCTTGAGCTTCCACATGCCCCGCCCCCCACCACTCACCCTGCAGCTCTCTCACAGAGAAGCTCAGGAGCCTGGGTCATTCTCTGTACCTCATTTTCCGAGGCGTGGGGCTGGAAAGCCCGTGGGCAAGGCTGTGGTGAGCCATGAATGCGTCAATGTGTGGAAAGCCCACAGCGGCGGTGGGGTTCCCTTGGAGAATGTAGATGAGGCACCTGTGCTGTGTAGGTGGGACACATCCCCTGAGGAGACACACTCCCACACACATTCACAGTCACACCACACGACACCCACGCAGACCCCCCAGAGCCCCATGCACAAAAACCCACCCACCTAGAGGGACATGGCTGCTCCAGGGACTGTACGATGAGGCCACGGTTCTTTACCTGCAAAAACCGCTCCTTCCACCACCCCTGCCTGGTGGCCAGCAGGAAGCTGGAGTCAGATCTCCAGACTGAAGCCAGCAGGAAAGCCCCGCCTTTCTTTTCATCTGGATTTTTCAGCAGCAAGTCAGTGATTGCAGAATACAGACTCCTTTCCTGAGGCCACCTACAATTACAGGAGAGAAGAGACCATGAAGACCAAGTCACGTACGTGGTGTTTCTCAGGCCTTTTGTTCCCCCTGTGAACACAGAATCCCAGATGGAAAGCAGTGGTCAAAGGCTCCAGAAGCCAGCACAGACGACACCTTGTGGGAGGTGCAGGCTCTCCCTGGCAGACGCGTCTCTCTAGTTCACTGTGGCTGCCAATCACAAAACTCTTAATCCAGAGAGAACTTGCTGCTGAGCAAAACTTCCCCTTTCACACAGCTTGAAGCCTGATGTTGCCCCTCCTGACTGTCCTCTCTAACCAGTGTCTTCTGCAAGAGTCGGCCAGAGTCAGTGCAGGCTGCTAGAACAATACTGGCTGGGCGTGGTGGCTCCTGGCTCTTATCCCAGCACTTCGGGAGGCTGAGGCAGGTGGATCACCTGAGGTCAGGTGTTTGAGACCAGCCTGGTGAACATGGTGAAACCCCGACCCTTCTAAAAATACAAAAATTAAGCCAGGCATGGTGGCTGGCGCCTGTAATCCCAGCATTTTGGGAGGCTGAGGCGGGCAGATCGCTTGAGCCCAGGAGTTGGAGACCAGCCTGGGCAACACGGCAAAACCCATCTCTAGTTTTTTTTAAAAAAGGAAAAAAAATCAAAGAGGAGAAAACACTTCCTAACTCATTATATAAGGCCCTCCTTACCCTGATGCCAAAAGAGACAAAGACTCTACAAGAACATAAAACTACAGTATCCTTTATCAATATTAATGCAAAAATCAACGAAATACTAGCAAACCTTATACCATAATGAATGGATTATATACCAGGAGCACATGGAATTTTTTCTCAGAGTGGAAGGATCGTTCAACATAGGAAAATCAGTCAAAGTAATACACCACATTAATAGAATGAAGGAGAGAAAAGCACATGGTAGAGAAAAAGCTTTGACAAAATTCAACTCATTTTTGATAAAAACAAGGAATGGCCGAAAACTCCCTTAACATAAGACATAGATGAGAAACCCACAGCTAACACCATACTCAATGCTGAAAAACTCAAAGCTTTTCCCCTAAGGCTATGAACTAGACAATGATATCGGCTTTCATGACCTTAATAAATTATTGTGGTAAGAAAACCCATGAGACATACCCTCTTAACTACTTTTTGTTTTCGTGGGGGTATTTTTTGTTTTTTGTTTTTTGTTTTGTTTTTTGTTTTGAGACAGAATCTCACTTTGTTGCCCAGACTGGAGTGCAGTGGTGCGATATCAGTTCACCACAACCTCTGCCTTCGGGTTCAAGCAATTCTCCTGCCTCAGCCTCCCGAGTAGCTGGGATTGCAAGCGCCAGCCACCATGCCTGGCTAATTGTTGTATTTTTAGTAGAGACAGGGTTTCACCATGTTGGCCAGGCTGGTCTGAAACTCCTGACCTCAGGTAATCCGCCCACCTCGGCCTCCCAAAGTGTTGGGATTACAGGAGTGAGCCACCGTGCCCAGCCTACTTTTTTTTTTTAAGTGTAGAGAATAGTACTGTTAATTACAGGTACGTTGGTATACAGCAGATCTCTGGCACTTAATTCATCTTGCTTAACTGAAACTTCATGCCTGCTTATTAGATATTTTCCCTTTCCCCCAGTCCCTCGCAACCACCAATCCACTCATTGATTCTATGTATTTGATCATCTCAGATACCTAATATAATTGGAATTATGCAGTATTTGTCCTTCTGTAACTGGCTTACTTCACCTAGGGTAATGTCCTCAAGGTTCATCCACATTGTCGCATATTGCAGAATTTCTTGATTTTAAAAGGCTGAGTAGTATTCTGTTGGATGTGTATACCATGTTGTCTTTATCTATGCATCCACTGAGAACATTAGGTTTTTTCTGTATCTTAACTATTGTGAATAGAACTTATGAACATGGAAGTGCAGGTATCTGAGATGCTGATTTCAATTTTGGATAAATACCCAGAAATAGAATTGCTAGATCATTTTGTAGTTCTATTTTTAACTTTTTAAAGAAGCTCCATACTGTTTTACATAGCAGCTGCACCATTTTGCATCCTCACCAGCAGCATAAAAGGGTTCCAATTTCTCCATATATTTGCCAGCTCTTGTTATCTTTTGTTTTTTTTTAAAAAAGGCAATCCTGACAGGTGTGGGGTGATATTTCATTGTGGGGTTTTGTTTGCATTTTCCTGATAATTAGTGAAAGTTGAGCATTTTTCATATACCTGTTGGCTATTTGTATGCCGTTTTGGAAGAAGGCTTTTGCTCATTTTTAATTGGTTTGTTGGTTTATTTTTGCTATTGATTTGTAGGAGTTTCTTATATATGTTGGAAATTAACCCCACTTTTTCTATTTAGTATAGTATTGGAAGCCCCAGCCAGAGTAATTAGGTAAGAAATAGAAATAATTCGGCCGGGCGGGGTGGCTCACGCCTGTAATCCCAGCACTTTGGGAGGCCGAGGCGGGCGGATCACGAGGTCAGGAGATCGGGACCACGGTGAAACCCTGTCTGTACTAAAAATACAAAAAATTAGCCAGGCGCGGCCGGGCGCAGTGGCTCACGCCTGTAATCTCAGCACTTTGGGAGGCCAAGGTGGGTGGATCACTTAAGATCAGGAGTTCGAGACTAGCCTGATCAACATGGTGAAACCCCGTCTCTAGTAAAAAAAAAAAAAAAAAAAAATTAGCTAGGCTTGGTGGCGCAAGCCTGTAATCCCAGCTACTTGGGAGGCTGAGGCAGGAGAATCACTTGAACCCAGGAGGCAGAGGTTGCAGTGAGCTTAGATCACACCATTGCACTTCAGCCTGGGCCACAAGAGCGAAACTCTATCTCAAAAAAAAAAAAAAAAATCTGTATTCAAGATAACATAATCTTATACGTTGAAATTTTTAATTTCCACCAAAAAAACACAGCACTAATAAAGGAATTCATCAAAATTGTTGTGTACAAATTCAATACACAAAAATCAGTTGGAATTCTATAAACAAGCAGTGAACATTTCAAAAGGAAATTAAGAAAAATTATGTTTACATTAACATCAAAGAGAAGAAAATACTTAGGAATTAGCTTAACCAAGGAGATGAAACGTGTATAAACTGAAAACTACAAACATTGCTGAAGGAAATGAAAGAGGACGTAAATAAATGGAAAGGCAACACGTTTATGGTTTGGAAGACTGACTATTGTTAAAACGACAGTGCTGTACTACCTAAAGTGATCTCTAGATTCAATGCAATGCCCATCCAAATCCCAACAGTGCTTTCTGCAGAAATAGAAAAACCATCCAAAAACTAATATACAGTCACCAGGGACCCCGAATAGACAAAACAATCTTTAAAAAGACCACCAAAGATTTATACTTCCTAATTTCTTCAAAACTACAGTAATCAAGACAATATGGGACTTTTGTAAGGAAAGAAATATAGACCAATGTAATAGAATAGAGAACCTAGAGATAAACCCTAACATACATGGTCAAATGATTTTCCACAGGATGCCAAGGCCATTCAAGACAGAAAGAATAGTCTTTTTCAGCAAACGGTGCTGGGTAAACAGGATATCCGCATGGAAAAGAATGAAGATGGTACGTTGCCTAACACCATATAACCATAACTCAAAATGGATCAGAGATCTAAGTGTAAGAGCTAAAAACTCTACAACTCTTAGAAGAAAAGATGGGGGACAAGTTTCATGACATTGGATTTGGCAATAATTTCTTGACTGTGGCACTAAAAGCACAGGCAACAAAAGAAAAAATAAATTGGACTTCATCAAAATTTAAACCTTTTGTGTATAAAAGGACTTTACTAAGTGAGTTAAAAGACAATACACAGAATGGGATAAAATACTTTATCAGAGACAAACTACATCTGGAAACTGCAAATCATGAAAGGACTGAGAATGTTTGAGGGTCAGGTAAAATTATGGTTAAAATATGGTTAAAGGCTGGGTGCGGTGGCTCACTCCTGTAATCCCAGCACTTTGGGAGGGCGAGGTGGGTGGATCACGAGGTCAGGAGATCGAGACCATCCTGGCTAACACAGTGAAACCCAGTCTCTACTAAAAATACAAAAATTAGCCGGGCATGGTGGTGGGCGCCTGTAATCCTAACTACCCGGGAGGCTGACACAGGAGAATCGCTTGAACCCGGGAGTTGGAGGTTGCAGTGAGCCAAGATCACGCCACTGCACTCCAGCCTGGGCAACAGAGCAAGGCTCCGTCTCAAAAAAAAAAAAAAAAAAAAGGTTAAAATGGGGGAAGAGCAGTGGGAGATGGAGGTGGGTGTTTGGGTGTAAGTAGGATTTGATTGTGAAGGCTTTGTGTGTGTCCTGGACTAAATAAAGTATGTGCCCTTTATCCTCCTGGACATGAGCAGTCGACTTTTTTTTTTTTTTTTTTTTTTTTTGAGATGGTGTCTCTCTCTGTCGCCCAGGCTGGAGTTCAATGGTGCTATCTTGGCTCACTGCAAGCTCCGCCTCCCGGGTTCACACCATTCTCCTGCTTCATACTCCCGAGTAGCTGGGACTACAGGCGCCCACCACCACACCCGGCTAATTTTTTCGTTTTTTGGGTTTTTTTTTTTAGTAGAGACTGGGTTTCACTGTGTTAGCCAGGATGGTCTCGATCTCCTGACCTCGTGATCTGCCCGCCTCAGCCTCCCAAAGTGCTGGGATTACAGGCGTGAGCCACCGCGCCCGGCCGAGCAGTCAACTTCTTAACCCATTAGTAAATTGCAGGCAGTGGTGAATCGTGATTGGACTCCTGCTTTAGAAACCTCCACACAGTCTCGCGCCTGCAGCCCGTCCCGCCCCAGCCGCTGCGGCCTGCACCGGACCCAGAGCCGCCATGCCCAAGTGCCCCGCGTGCGACAAGGTGTACTTCGCCGAGAGGGTGACCTCTCTAGGCAAGGACTGGCATCGGCCCTGCCTGAAGTGTGAGAAATGTGGGAAGACGCTGACTTCCGGGGGCCACGCTGAGCATGAAGGCAAACCCTACGGCAACCACCCCTGCTACGCCGCCATGTTTGGGCCTAAAGGCTTTGGGCGGGGTGGACCCGAGAGCCACACTTTCAAGTAAACTTGGGTGGGGGAGACTCCATTCTTGGCCGCTTCCTGGGCCACTGTCCAGGCAAATGCCAGGCCTCGCCCCCAGATGCCCAGGGCTCCCTTGTAGCCCCTAATGCTGTCAATAAACCTGAACACTTGGGAGAAAAAAAAAAAAAGCTCCACACAAACAGCTGAGTGGAGAATGGACTTGAGTGGGAGATCTAGTGAAAGATAAAGAAAATTCACAGGAGACCTTGTGGGGCTCTAGGAAGGAGATTGAGAGACAGAGGTGGTGTTTCTGGGTGGAGATGAAAGGTTTGAGGGAAGATTAGAGGTGAAGCCTGCGGAGAGGCAAGCATTAAGAGCAACCCTAAGACTTCAAGCCCCAGAGCCTGAGTGCATGAGGCCACGACTGATGGAAGGAAATTTAGAGCAGGACCAGATGATGTGGGCAACAGGGAGAACCAGGAGTTCACTTTGGAATGGGATGTCTTTGGTGCATTCAGGACTCTGTGTCGAGATGTCTAACAGGCAGTGGGAGAGTGGGATGTGCAGACTGGTCAGGAGTGAAATCTGGGCCAGGCAATCCTAGCACTTTGGGAGGCCGCGGTGGGCGGATCACTTGAGGTCAGGAGTTCAAAACCAGCCAGGCCAACGTGGTGAAACCCCGTCTTTACTAAAAATACAAAATTTAGTGAGGTGTGGTGACGGGTGCCTGTAATCCCAGCTACTCAGGAGGCTGAGCCAGGAGAATCACTTGTACCTGGGAGGTGGAGGTTGCAGTGAGCCGAGATTGTGCCACTGCACTCCTGCCTGGGTGACAGAGCAAGACTGTCTCCAAAAAAAAAAAAAAAAAAAAGATCTGGGCTGGAGTTATCCATGTGGGAATCCTTCTCTTCAGGAACACGGTTTGAGCACCTGCCCTGCACCGGTCACTGGGTGTGGTGTCAGGGATGCCTCTGTGAATGAGATGCCATGGGCTCATCACCAGGAAGGGGGCACACAAGCACTGGGCATCTCCTGTGAAAGTACTGTGCTAAATGACCCCAGGCAGTGGTCAAAGAACCCGACATCCAGTCTGGGCACTTCGGGAAGCATCCCTGAGGAAGAGCCACCTGAGTGGAGACTTGGGGAATTGGCAGGGGTCAGCCAGGCACAGACAGATGAGAAAGATGCCTGAGGAGAAAAAACATGTGCAGAGGCCAGACTGAGAGAGCGCAGGCCCTGCAGGCACATAGAGACATTCAGTGTGGCTGAAGCACAGGGACCGGGACCTGGAGTGGAGGTTGGCCACAGAGATGGGACTGGAGGAATGGACGAGAACTTGACGAGCCAGGCAAGTGGAGGGTTGGGACTTCACCCAGTGGACCCTTGCATCCAAAGTCTTATATGTTTTTCTTTTTTTTTTTTTGAGATGGAATCTTGCTCTGTTGCCCAGGCTGGAGTGCAGTGGTGCAATCTCGGCTCACTACAACTTCCGCCTCCCAGGTTCAAGCAATTCTCCTGCCTCAGCCTCCCAAGTAGCTGGGACTACAGGTGTCTGCCACAACGCCTGGCTAGTTTTTGTATTTTTAGTAGAGGTGGGGTTTCACCATATCAGCCAGGGTGGTCTCAAACTCCTGACCTTGTGATTCACCCGCCTTGGCCTTCCAAAGTGCTGGGGTTACAGGCGTAAGCCACTGCACCCGGCCTTATATTTTTCTTAATTCTGGAAGTTTCTCAGTTGCTTTTCTTTCTCTCTCAAAGACTTCGGTTCCATGAAGCGGAGTTAATCACACTCCTTAGTTCATGGTGTTCTGCCATCTGCAGACTGCCCAAGACTGTCTCTTATGTTCTTTATCTACTTTTCCCATCCCATTCCTCCTTCCTTCCCCAACACATCATTAAATACATATGGCTCCTGGGGAATATATGGTGATGTTTTATGCATATACATTTGTATAAAATTTACATAAATGCAATGGCACTTAGTCTTTAATCTTCCCCCTCACCCATTTTGGCTCTGTTTTTTTTTTTTTTTTTTGGAGACAGAGTCTCGCTCGGTCGCCTAGGCTGGAGTGCAGTGGCACGATCTCAGCTCACTGCAAACTCCGTTTGGCTCTATTTTTTAAAGCTCTTCATTTCTTTTTGAGATGGAGTCTCACTCTTATTGTCCAGGCTGGAGTGCAATGGTTGGTCTCAGCTCACTGCAGCCTCCTCCTCCTTGGTTCAAGCGATTCTCCTGCCTCAACCTCCCGAGTAGCTGGGATTACAGGTGCCCACCACCACGCCTGGCTAATTTTTGTATTTTTAGTAGAGATGGGGTTTCACCATGTTGGCCAGGCTGGTCTGGAACTCCTGACCTCAGGTGATCCACCCACCTCGGCCTCCCAAAGTGCTCGGATTACAGGCATAAGCCACCGCTCCTGTCCAAAGCTTTTCGTTTCTATGTGCACACCCAATTCATGACATCTGGCTGCTGCTCACATACTCCTGTAATCATGGACACCTAGGTTGCTTCCAACTCCCAAGCACTACAAAGGAGCAGCACGAGGGAACTCAAGAGTTGACAGAACTGTCCTGCACCTTAACTGTGGTGGTAGATACATGACTGTATGCATTTGTCAGAACTCACAGATCTGTACATCTAAAATATTGAATTTCACTGTATGTAACTTTAAAAATTGAATGAAAATACGGTGGTGGTGAACATCCCTTCAACTTCCTTCTTATAGATGAGAATTTCTCTAATTTAGGGTTTCCTGGCACTACTGACATTTAGAGCTGTAGAATTCTTTGAGGTGGGAGGGCTGTTCTATGCATGGCAGGATGGTGAGCTGCATCCCTGGCCTCTACCCACTAGACACCACTAGCATCTCCCCACCCAAGTTGTGAACCAAAAATATGTCCATACATTGTCAAATGCACTCTGAGATCAAAACAATCTTTTGGAAGCCACTACCCCACCCTCTTGTGTACCAGGATATCTAGGTACATATTTACATAAAAATGAGTTTACATCATAAATTGGTGTCAAAGCAGGCACAGAGCTCAGTTTTCCTGTTTATAGTTATTGTGAAGCATGCTACACTACAACAGAAGAACGTACCAATACGTGAATGCATCAGTTAATCACCAAATAACCACCCATATAATCACAGCCCAGGCCAAGAAGCCTCTCCCGTGACCTACCTTCTGTTTCATTCTCTCCTTAAGCGGTGTCAAACATGCTGCTATACCCATCCTGAGTTATTTGTTATGTTTTTCAGTTTTGGAATCTCCAAACTGGTTCTTTTCTACAGTTTGCTCAACATTTAAATTTTACCTCTTGGAATACTGTTGATAACTCACATGACTTGAGCACCTATGGTTCTATTTCTGTTGTCTTGTTTCCTCGGCTTTGTCTTATTGTCCTCTTATATTGGTTGCTGTTGAACAAGTACCATATATTGCATGGAAATATTAGATTGATGACAAAGATGTTAGTATCCTGCAGAGAGACTGTTTGCTTCTGGCTGATGACTGTGGGGTATTAACAATCCAGGTGGTTTAAAGGTGGGTTCTCTACTGGGAAGTCTTATCTTTGTCAAGCTCCTTACTACACTGTATCCCTGAGGGTCTCAAACCAGAGTGTGCAAGTTACCTACAACCCTCCATGCTGCTACTGGACTTCAGTATTTTTTTCAAACAGACTCACAAATATGTCAAAACAAACCTGACTTCTCACTCAATGGCTCCTTCCAGAATCTGTGGCATGAGAAGCAGTCCCAAATACCAGGGTCATATTCCTGATTTCCTTCTGCCAGATATTGGCACTGTTTTCTCTGCTTTCCCATCCCTTTTGTTAAATATAGTGAACCCCAAGTTTCTCTTCAAAGAATCAGTACGTCACTGTGTTCAGCCCTCTTAGATTCTCCATTTTAAAGTGTAACTTCCTGGTTCCCTTCGCCCACTTGCTTCTAGTTTTGGTAAACAACTTTCACACCAGTCTTAATCAGTAGTTCGCGTCTGTTCCCCTGGTCACCTGCTCCATCCTGACTCACCCCTGGTCACTTGCTCTGACCTCAGTCGCCTTTAGTTACCTGTTCCTAACCTTCCTTTCTGCCAAACTACTCACCCCACCACTCCAGCTTGTACTCCTGCTCTTTTTAAAAAACAGCCAATCGGAATTAGCTTAGACTGTGTGGTCCAACCGTAACCAATAAGGGAATGGCACAGCAGTAGGGGCCACATGCATGAGGAATAAGAACTCCTTCTCTTCCCCTGTCCAGGTGTGCTCTCACCATTGTTCCATCTGCAATGAGCACTGTTTCTGCAGAAAATAAAAACTGCCTTGCCGAGAAAATTAATGTTTGAGTGCTATTCCTTTGCAGCACAGGGAACAAGCATTTTGTTTCTAACACTTTGATGCTGTTCAGCTTTCTAATATTTTCTTCAGCTTTGAGCTGTACTCAGTGCAAAGATCAATATGTTGTTTATTTGTTATTGCCAGAGTCAAGTTCATTTTTTGAATTATTGTATTGCTACATCATAGACCAAATGGATTTCTTATGGATTTTTTTTTTTTTTTTTTGAGACGGGAGTCTTACTCTGTCACCCAGGCTGGAGTGCAGCGGTGCAATTTTGCCTCATTTCAACCTCTGCCTCCCAGGTTCAAGGGATTCTCCTGCCTCAGCCTACCAAGTAGCTGGGATTACAGGTATGTGCCAGCATGCCCAGCTAATTTTTGTATTTTTAGTAGAGACAGGGTTTCACCATGTTGGCCAGGCTGGTCTTGAGCTCCTGATCTCAAGTGATCCACTCACTTCAGCCTCCCAGAGTGTTGGGATTACAGGCGTGAGCCACCACACCCAGCCCTGACAGACCTTTAATTAGCACTCCCAACCCTGGCTCAACAATGTGAAACTTAGGTGTTGTGATACATTACAGACATTTTTATCTGTAAGCCTCTGAAATGAGACTCGTCTTGGAAATATTGAATACCCAGCTTCCTTCACCCAATTTATAAAGAACTAATAGGCTAATTGGATATTTCCCTGGTCACAGCAGTATTTCTAGTTATCTTAGAAAAGCAACAAATTAGTATATTAGGAAGGCTAAAAACATTTTTAAAATAAAAAGAGCAAATCATGTTTAATTCATGTTAAAATCATTGATTTTAACACAAATAACTTTATTGAATCACATCATCTTAAATTTAACAGTGTTAGGAATAAATGATATATTGTATTTATGAACACTCAGAAAGTTTTAATGCCTACTTTCAGTTCTAAGAGATCTTTTTTAGACTTCTAGAAATTGATCATTATAAATCATATTCTAACTTAAGAACATGTTATCTTAGCATTTCTTAAATTACAGACCCAACTCAATGTTTACTGCTGTTGGCAGTAACTGCTCAGGAGGACATTACCTAGGTTACAATGTGTTTTCTAAAGTCTTTCCATTTTATTTCTTGTAAGACCAGTTCAAATTGTAAACCTAATATATAATCAAGCGATTATGTTTCCAAATATACCTTTTCTTGTATATTTGAAGTTAATCCCCACCCCTACACCCACCCCCACAATAACACTCTATTTATGAGTATAAGAAAACAAAACAAGGCCAGGCGCGGTGGCTCACACTTGTAATCCCAGCACTTTGGGATGCTGAGGCGGGTGGATCATTTGAGGTCAGGAGTTTGAGACCAGCCCGGCCAACAATACAAAAGTTAGCCAGGCTTGGTGGCACATGCCTGTAGTTCAGATACTTGGGAGGCTAAGGCAGGAGAATCGCTTGAACCTGGGAGGCGGAGGTTGCAGTGAATCGAGATGACACCATTGCACCCCAGCCTGGGTGACAGAGCAAGACTGCATATAAAAAAACAACATCAACAACAACAACGACAACAAAAACCCATTGTTTCCTGAGTCTAATTAAGGATACTTTTAGGTGGAAAGAAAAAAGTCCGCTTTCAAAAAAAAGTCATAGCTTCACTTAAATAACTTACTGAAGACTTCTGATTATGATACAGCTAACATAATACACTGGGACTGTGCAATAGAATGAATTAAACAAATTCATTAAGAAAGCTTAGTTTTCCTTCTTTGTGGAAAGACTAATCAAATGTTTGTGTTCCTAAGCTGCCAATCTTTTGTTTTGTTTTGTTTTGTTTTGTTTTTGAGACAGAGTCTCACTCTGTTGCCCAGGCTGGAGTGCTGTGGCATGATCTCAGCTTGCTGCAACCTCTGCCTCCTGGGTTCAAGCGATTCTTCTGCCTCAGCCTCCCGAGTAGCTGGGATTACAGGCACCCGCCACCACACCTGGCTAATTTTTGTATTTTTAGTAGAGACGGGGTTTCCCCATATTGGCCAGGCTAGTCTGAAGCTCATGACCTCAGGTGATCCGCTCACCTCAGGCTTCTAAAAGTGCTGGGATTACAGGCGTAATCCAGCTTTCCTTATGACCTTTCCACCAAAAATCCATCCAAATTCCCACCCCAGCACAAGGAATAACACAATGCTTCCTATATAGCTCATCAGTAATAGGTTAATTCTAAATACAAATATTAAACAGAAATTCAGTGTTGTTACTTTTATGTCTTCCTTTCCTGTCCTTTAACAAAAAAAAGTTTCAAAAATAAAGTAAACGTAGTTTTCCAAGTAGAGTTTACTTGTTCACAGATGTACTCTCTCTGTGACGAATGCCCCATCTTTTCAATTCTTAGAGTGGCCCTGCTTGGGGTGGAAAATGTTCAGTCACGTTCAGCTGTGAGATCTCTGTCACATATTTGAAAGGGAAACTGCAAGCCAAACCCTGTCAGTTCTCCTCTCTGGAAAAATCAGTCTGTGGTAGTATTGAGAGTAGAACATATCACTCTGAATCTCTCCTGTGTCCAATCAAAAACGATGAGAATTTAATGCTATGGACCTAGGAAAATATTTCAGACATCCTGCTTCAAAAGGAAGACAGGCTTACACGTTGTGGTTTCATTAGCACATCAGGTCTTCTTCTGCAGGTCAAAGGTAAAAGAGACGAGTTGACAAGGAACGATTCGGTTCCTGGTGAATGGACTGCCCCACGAGGTAAGCCAGCTTGTGGGCATAGTGGCAAGGCGCTGGAACTCGGATGATGCCCTTTAGTAGGAAAAGAAAATACACAACTAAATTTTTTTCACTTTACATCTACTTTCCCTAAATTTAAATTCATAGAAGCCAGTTCAGAGGTCCAACATTGTTCAATGTTGAATAGTACATTTAAAAAATCTGAAGAAAAAAGTAACAAAAAGTACTTACTGGCAAATTATAATACATGTGGCATAGACAATATGTTAAACGCTGTACTGTATCTGGGCTCAAGCCAATCGTGTCATAGATGACGTTATAATGAGTGGGGGTAACAGTCCCATCTTGCACAGACTGACTCACAATAAAAAAGTCATACCTGGAAATATAGGACATGTGGGTATCAGCTCATTTTAGAAAGAGGGTATATAGTAAACTTAATGTCTGAAATGAAAACATTTAGTATAATTGCTTACAAAAATCTATTCTATAGATTAAGTTTCCTTTACATTTAGAAACCTAACTGATAAACAACGATTTGAGAAATCAAGTCTATAGAAGGCAATTAAATCACTGACACAGTAACTCTCGTGGGATTTTGCCTTCAAGTACATGCACTGAAACCTAGAGGAAGAAACAAGATTGGCACATTTGATCTGATATGGCCATAGATAATTCTATTCGGAGATTCTTGGATGAAGGCCTGCTGCCTCGCTGAGAATCACTGGACTATATTTAAACTGTTTTTTTTTTTTTTTTTTTTTTTTTTTTTTTAGACGGAGTCTGGCTCTGTCGCCCAGGCTGGAGTGCAGTGGCGCAATCTCAGCTCACTGCAAGCTCTGCCTCCTGGGTTCACGCCGTTCTCCTGCCTCAGCCTCCCGAGTAGCTGGGACTACAGGCGCCCACCACCACACCCGGCTAATTTTTTATATTTTTAGTAGAGATGGGGTTTCACCGTGTTAGCCAGGATGGTCTCAATCTCCTGACCTCATGATCTGCCTGCCTCGGCCTCCCAAAGTGCTGGGATTACAGGCATGAGCCACTGCGCCTGGCCTTAAACTTCTTAAACAATACAACCGGTAAGATTGATCTATGTGTTATAAATATTGAATTTATTTTTATGTGTACAATCTTATGTTGTACTTTATGTTTATGATACTTTTTATTTGCTCCATCCTTTAATCCTTTCCTGCCTTATGTTAGATTGATCAAATGTTTCTGCCTTTCCTTCATTTTACTTCATTTCTCCTCAACTCTTGGTATGAATATCATTAATTCCACTGTGGTTTCAAGTAAGTCTTTCATTTGTATAATTGACAAGTATAGAGCAGCAGCAGCTTTATCATTTTCCCTGGTAACTAAAGAATCTTAGTGTATACTTTGACCTCATAATTCTTTTTCTATGTAAGTGCTATATCCAGTATTTTAGGTCTTGTTTTAATATACCCTATAAATTGTCATGTATGAAATCAAGGCTTTTTTATACTCCATCGTAACTGATCAGCATTGCTTCTTGCATTTCATTCTCTCTTAACTGTTTGATTTCCTTCTTCCTGAAATACAGTCTTTTTGGGTAGCTCTCTCAGTGAGTATCTGGTGGATCTGTTAATGTATATACTGTATAGGCACTAACTGAGCATGTTTGTATTTCACTGTCACCCTTGATAAGTTAGCCGGGTATCAAATTCTAGCTTGATGGTTATTTTTAAGCATTTTAAAGATATTTCATAGTATTCTGATTTCTACTCTTGCTGAATGTGATTTTTATTGTTTGTAAATATATTATTCCTGTGGTTGCTTTTAAATTTTCTTATGCCTGCTGAAGTTTCACTATAACATTTCTAAGTGTGAACTTTTATTGATTTTTGCTCAAATCTTGTTATTCTTCAGTCTTAGGATTCAGAATCTCAGACTTTCTCTTTGAATATTGCTCCACCCCACCACACCCCCATCATATCTTATCTACTACTGAAACTTCTATTTGGTATAGAGCAAATCTTATTTTGCCTTACATTTTTCTAAACATTTTTTCATATCTTCCATATCTTTATGGCTCCCCACTGCATTATGGGAATTTTGTGAACATATGTTCCAGTTAACAATTTGTTTTCTTTTATGTCTAACCTTCTCTTTAACCCTTCCACTGATTTTTCTTCGTTTTGACTATATTCATGTTTGTTAGATATTCAAATACAAATTGACCTTTTCATTAGATATTCTTACGGCCTTTATTCCTTTTTATATCTTTTCTTATTTCAATACATTTTTATATAGAATGTCTCTAACCATTTCATCTTCTGGAAGTTGTATCTAATCTTAATGTCTTAAAGGCTGGCTCTAATTCATAATGACTTGCATCCTCATAACAAGAAAAAGACTTCTAAATTACTGTTTGGAATTACTTCCTTGTGTCCATGAACAACAGAGCTGACTATACGAAACTATTTTGTAGCATATTCAGTATTACTTTCTGAACACATCATTTCCTTGTTCAGGTTCTTAGGATAAGTGTCATACAAAATGTTTCACATAAAAGAAACTGGTCTCTTTTTTCACACTGCTGTTTTATTTTTGTTTTTGTTTTGAGAAGGAGTCTCACTCTGTCACCCAGGCTGGAGTGCAGTGGCACGATCTCCGCTCACTGCAAGCTCCGCCTCCCTGGTTCACACCGTTCCCCTGCCTCAGCCTCCTGCCTAGCTGGGACTACAGGTGCCCGCCACCATGCCCGGCTAATTTTTTGTATTTTTAGTGGAGACGAGGTTTCACTGTGTTAGCCAGGATGGTCTCTATCTCTGGACCTCGTGATCTGCCCGCCTTGGCCTCCCAAAGTGCTGGGATTACAGGTGTGAGCCACCGTGCCCAGCCCCACACTGCTGTTTTAAAGCAGAAAGACATTTTAAAAATTGAAACCTCTGGCTGGACATGGTGGCTCACACCTGTAATCCCAGCACTTTGGGCCACCAAGGTGGGTGGACCACTTGAGGTCAGGAGTTCGAGACCAGCCTGGCCAACACGGTGAAACCCCGTCTCTACTAAAAATACAAAAAATTAGCTGACATGGTGGTAGGCACCTGTAAGCCCAGCTACTTGGCAGGCTGAGGCAGGAGAATTGCTTGAACCTGGGAGGAAGAGGTGGCAGTGTGCCTGTGCCAAGATTGCGCCACTGCACTCCAGCCTGGGCAACAGAGCAAGACTCCATCAAATAGATAGATAGATACCTACCTACCTCTCAGGCTACTGCATAAACATTTTGATGGTCGTGATATAGTCAATATAATTTGATTTGTGATGACTCCAAATTGTCAATATAAACATCATTTGCTATCTTTTGTATTCGTAATTAGAAGGGTTTTAGGGCCACACTGAAGTTAAATCTTACGTGGTCACAGACATTTACAAAAGTTTGATGAAGAAACTTCGACAACCAGAAGACTCATCGCGATTTCTAGATTTAAATGAGGAATCTCTGCCCAATAGTAAAAAAAACAGACCAAATTAGTTCTAAAGAATCAGCAGTGCTTTAAGGTAAAGTTATTGGAATTAAGTGATTGTGCTGAACTGAAGGAAATTGAGAAAATCATAGAACCATGTGCAAAAAATACAGGTGGCTTACCATTCATTCCTAGTCAACTCTACATCAATAACTGTTCCTGGAGGTGGATTTTGAAAATTGCTTCCATGTTTAAGAAAAAATCTAGTGTTTATTCGTTTCTTCACCACAATGAAAGCTAGAGTGAAACTTAAAAAAATTAGGGTAAGTGTCACTATGTTTACTCAGTCTTACCTCAGAAGTACACAGTGTATTGAAACATCTGCTTTACATTTAGGACCCATTAAGAAGAACAGACAGCAGCCCTCCTTACACCCTAATTTTACTGTCTAAGCTCCATGTGCCCGGTTGAAGCAGTAAATGGGGAGGTATTTATTCATAGCCACCCACATCCCAGGGGAAGGGTCCCTTCCTCACAACTTTAGGATCATTCCTACAATCCCTGCTGAGCAGCGGGCTCTCAACAGGAGTTTTACAAAAGTGGAGTTTTATAGGTTTTGTAAGTCTTAGGGCTGGAGATCCCCACCAGCTGGCTCCTCCAGCCTGGAAACACACAAAAGTCTAGGATAAAAGAAGGATAAGTGTGAACTATTGGCAGACTATGTTCATGGATTTCTTCTTTTTTTGAGATGGAGTCTCACTCTGTCCCCCAGGCTGGAGTGCAGTGGTGTGATCTCGGCTCACTGCAACCTCCCTCTCCCAAGTTCAAGTGATTCTCATGGCTCAGCCTCCCAAGTAGCTGGTATTACAGGTGTGCACCACCACGCCTGGCTAATTCTTGTGTTTTTATTAGTAGAGATGGGGTTTCGCTATGTTGGCCAGGCTGGTCTCAAACTCCTGACCTCAAGTGATCTGCCTGCCTCGGCCTCCCAAAGTGCTGAGATTACAGGCGTGAGCCACCACGCCAGGCCATTCATGGATTTCTATGAGTATCTGAATTTAACAAGCCTTCCCACAGCAAGACTTGAAACAAAGTAGGAAGATTCCCTGGAACTTTGTGGTGGAAGCGGTCTGCTACTGCCAGGTCCAATTCTGCTTTGCATTCTGACTTGCGTGTGGAACGTAAAATCAAAGCAGAAGGGTCTTCCCGGCGCTCCCCCACCCATCCACAAAAGCCACTATTTATATCAAGCTCCTACTCTCATCACACATTGTATTGGTGTTTTCCCCTAAAAAACATCAGATTTTTTTTTTTCAAAGACTAAAATGTAGAGCTAAAATCTGCACAGTACGATTTTTTTTGAGACAAGGTCTCACTGTGTCACCCAGGTATGAGTGCAGTGCTCCTAGGCTCAAGTGACCTCCCCACCTCAGCTTTCTGAGTAGCTGGGACTATAGGCACACACCACCATGCTCAGCTAATTTTTTCATTTTTTTTTTTTTTTGAGACGGCGTTTCACTCTTGTTGCCCAGGCTGGAATGCAATGGCGCGATCTCGGCTCACTGCAACCTCTGCCTCCCGGGTTCAAGTGATTCTCCTGCCTCAGCCTCCCGAGTAGCTGGGATTACAGGCATGCACCACCACGCCCGGCTAATTTTTGTGTATTTTTAGTAGAGACGGGGTTTCTCCATGTTGGTCAGCCTGGTCTTGAACTCCTAACCTCAGGTGATCCACCCTCCTCGGCCTCCCAAAGTGCTGGGATTACAAGCATGAGCCACCGCACCCGGCCAATTTTTTCATTTTTTGTAGAGATTGGATCTCACTATGTTGCCCAAGCTGGTCTTGAACTCCTGGGCTCAAGGGATCTGCCCACCTTAACCTTCCAAAGTGCTGGGATTACAGGCATGAGTCACTACACATTACAATTAATACAACCTACTTGTTAGGAGAGATGGTTTTTAAGTAGGTCGACATCTTTTTCGCTTCATGGTCAAGCAATGCTTGAAGCTGACCATCTCCCACTCCATCCCGATACACAATAACAGAATGTGGCATCGATGATTCGTTTTTACACCAGACATCCAGGGCAGCTAAGAGGAAATCAGAAAAAGTAAATAAACCGTTACTTGGAACAAACTAGCCTTTGCTGCTTTTGACAAATTCTAGGTCCATCTTTCAACACTGCAGCTTTCAGGGCAATTTTACTGCTTAAGTCCTGTCTATTCTGGGGTTCCTCAACAACAGCACTATGGAAGTTTTGATCCAGAGAATCTGTGGTGGAGGTGGTGGAGGTGGGGTCAACCTATGCATGGTAGGATGTTTAGCAGCATCTTTGTCCTCTACCCACTAGACTCAATGCCAGTAGCACCTCCACCCCAGTTGTGACACCAAAAACTAAAGGTTCAGTCATTACCAAGTGTCCCCTGGAGGCAGTAAGTCCATTGGTGGAGAACTACTTGTATAGTGTCGGGTTCCCCGACCGCTACAAGACACTGACCTTTCAAGCAGATCTCCAGCTCTTTCACAAGCTCTTCTCCTGTTTTCTGGATGACACATTGAGAGTACCACCTGTTCACAGAAAAACCACCAGTTTGGAAAACAAGATTCTTAAAATCTCATTTGAGTCTGCATTAATCTATGGGCAAAAAATATTACTATCAGTAGTTAAGGACATTTTAGCATCAATTCATATCTCTACGGAGATCAAAGTATTGGTCTCTTTTGATATCTTAGGCATTTTAGAAAATTTTGAGTGCATACAAATAGTCAAGTAGAATGGAAGCATTTATTCACATTACTACAAATTAATCATGCTTTATTGTACAAGACGACTGCAGTTTCGCCTATGGGGGAATGCAATAAAAGGAAATCCCTGTGCTCCCCCTGGTTCCTGCTTTGGGACCAATGCCCTCAACAATGGCTCCTCCATGTTCCCCCTCACTGAGGAAGGGGTTTGCTTTGGAATGGTGGCAGCTGTTGACACAACTTCAACATATCTAGTAAAATGGTATGCTGTCTCAAGTTTCTATCCCCTTACCGCATTCTTATTTACTTCACAGTAACCCCATCTGACCACCTGACATTGTGATGTATCTGTCTGGCTGCCTCTTCTCACTAGGATTTAATCCATAGAGCATGACCAGGCGTCTCGGCTCCACATTTTCACTGCTAGTGTCAGCATCTGAACATGGTAGCCACTCAGAAAAATCTGTTGACAGCTCCAAGAATGATTTGGCTCATGATGGTCTCTGCTTTCTTGGGTTTGGAGTATGTAATTGTAATATTTACTTAGCTATGTGTGTTTCTCTTTGTTCAAGGTATTGGCTATTTTCTTTCTTTCTTTTTTTTTTTTTGAAACGGAGTCTCGCTCTGTCACCCAGGCTGGAGTGCAGTGGCGTGATCTTGGCTCACTGCAAGCTCCACCTCCCGGGTTCACGCCATTCTCCTACCTCAGCCTCCTAAGTAGCTGGGACTACAGGCGCCCACCACCATGCCTGGCTAATTTTTGTATTTTGTTTTAGTAGAGACGGGGTTTCACCATGTTAGCCAGTATGGTCTCGATCTCCTGACCTTGTGATCTGCCCGCCTCAGCCTCCCAAAGTGCTGGGATTACAGGCGTGAGCCGCCGCACCCGGCGGTATTGGCTATTTTCATAATTTTTTGGAAGTTTTTATTTGATTGGAAAGCAGATTTTACACTATTAAAATAAGTATTACTTGAGAAAAGCATCTGTTGAATAATTGAAAGTATAATTTTTCCCTATGATTGCAACGCTATTTTCAAACAAAAAGTAGAGCAAAACAATATTATCATATTGAAGCAGAATATGACTGGAAAAAAGTCATCATCTATGGAAATAAAGATGGATCTTCCTTTAAAGATATTCCTGAATTACACCTAGTGGGCCACAATCATTATTAAACAGAGGTAATTTGCAGGACATACATCAAGTAATGTGCAAAGAGGACTGCAAACTTAAGACTGCAAACGTATTTCAAGGTGCAGTGTGGTTTCTACTCTGAGAACAGAAAATAAAAGGGCCCTGGGAGAAAAGGAGAGCATAGGATATAGACACACATCTCCTTTTGGAAGTACATCACTTGCAGGTATAGGAAGACAAGATCCTATACTTACAGATCTCTGGCCACTAATTATGTTTCCATGTCTCTTTACCCATGCACATCTGAACTATTTCACTATGTGTTAATGATCTCCATTTAAGACATTTACTGATCAGAGCCTGTGGTAGGCAGAATTCTACCTGTTCTAATCCCTAGAGCCTGTGATTATGGCAGAATACCACCCCTGTGATTGTTATGCTATATGGCTCTGTTGACTTTATGATAAAAGTTTTCCAAATGAGTCATTTGTAATTACATGAGCTCCTTTAAAAGCAGGGATGTTTTTTCTGGCTGATGGCCAAAGAGGAGGTCAGATTCAAAACAGAACAAGGGCTCAATGTGCTATGGCTGGTTGGAAGATGGAGAGGGGTTTGCTACATGAGAGTGATCAAGACTGGCCTGCAGCTGACGGTCAACAACAACAACAACAAACAACAACAACAAAAACCAGGGACCTCTGTCATCTAACTACAAAGAAATGGATTCAGCCACAATGACATGAGCTTGGAAGGGGAGTGCTATCAAGCCTCCAGATGATAATGTGGCTTAGCTGACACCTTAATTTATGCCTTGTAAGGTCCTGAGAGCGTGAACTACCAGGTGTCTGATCAGAAGAACCGTGCAGATAAAGACAGGCATTGTCATAAACTGCCACGTCTGTGGTATTTTAGGCAGCAATGGAAAATGATGTAGAGCCAGCCAACCATGCAAAATGTTCTGGGAACATAACTTTGCCAGAAAAATCAGGAGACTACATGATTAAGAATAACTCATCTGTCAAATTCCCAACCTCTTGAGTTAACACATATTAATTAGGTTCATCTTTTCTATTTGGTCCACAGTCAGCTACTAACTAAACATGTCTACCAGAGCTTACTTACTTTGTTAATTCAGCATTGGTACTTGCAACAAATCCTGCTATTGATTTCTGTCGATTTACGATATCGTGGAAACAATCAATGCCAACGAACATTGTTCTTTGTACCTTAAGTTTGTTTTTGAAAAGGTAATGGAGTTAGAACGTGAGCAAAATTTAAGCATTAACAATTAAGAGAATCTCAAGTTTTATTAGAAGTAAGTTAAACGAAGTCAGTGAAATACAACATACGTCTGTCTCCACCTTCCAGAGGGCTCCTCCCATCTTGCAATTCATCTGCTGGGCAATCTTGGTGACGATGGTCCTTGCCTGGACTTTTTCTAAGGTCTTTTTCACCACACACTGGCTTGGAATTGGGCATTTGGTACATAGGTATCTTTTTATGCTGTCATATCTACGTTTGTCATCATTGGGCAGGATACAAATCACCTTGAAAACCAGCAAACATGACATTCCCTAAGATACAACAACAGTGATACAGGAAAGAAAAACCATCTGGAGCAGGCAACTTAGGTGGAAGACTAACAAGCTAGAGTCAATTTATTAAGAAAATATATGAGCCCAAGAGGGCGAAGGGTCTAGAGCCATGTTATTAATTATAACATAATTATATCAACTTATATGTATTTATTAGAAAATTATTACATTAGTTATTACTTAATTGGAAGGGTGAATGTGTAGAAGAAACAAATTATAATTAACATTATAAACTATAATTAACATTAAATTGTTATAAGTGTTTAAATTATAGTGTTGTAAATTATAGTTAACATTGTTATAAATTACAATTATAAATTACATCAATTGCTTAAGCCTGCAATATCATTTCCATCCTAGTTATTCAGGTTCCAGGAACTTATCACCATGTTGACAAGGATGGGTTAAAATCAGGCTGAAGGATACAATGATCAGGACAGTCACCATTTACAGGACTATCACTGAGAGAGGAGAAAGGAAAAAAACAAAAAACAAAAAACAGTTAAGGCAGGTCCACACTAAAATTCTTTTAAACAGCCTGAAAAATCAAGCTGCAGCTGCACAGATAAGGGAGCAAGGCCTAACGCAGAAATGCTTTTGTTCTTTGTGTAATCAGCAGGCTCCCAGGAAAGTTTCCTCTGCTTCTACAGACAAGTACACAGTGCGGACTCCATGGGAAGTTGCATAAGGGGGAGGCTTGGCTGAGACAGGCCTGCAGCTGCACAGATGAGGACAGTTACACAGACAGCTACACAGATAAGGGAAATTTCTTAGAAAAGCTTTTGTGTTTAACTGTAAAATGGCAACCCTCTCGGGCCCCCTCTCTGCTGCAGAGAGCTTTCCTCTTTTGCTCCAACCTTACTCTTGGTGTCCACACTCCTAAATTTTCTTGGCCATGAAACAGAGAGCTCGGATAACACCGCAGACGACGAGACGGTTTCATTGACCCTAGACAGCTTCCTCATGATGTATGTATAGGGCACTTGCCGAGTGGTTCACTTGGCAAAGTTAATACTTTCAGCAACCCACTGAAATAAGTAGTAGTATCCCCATTTTACTGCTGAGTAAGCAAACTTAGGAGTTACTGAAACTGCCTGATTTTCCAAATTTTCAAATATTGGGTTGGATTTCCAGTGGGAAACTAAGCAGTTAGGCAGACTGGTTACTAATTGGCCTGTTCCTGACTTGCTTGGGAAAATAATTATTAAGTTATTTTTAACACGATGATGTTTATAGGAAGTTTTTGGTGGACATCTTTTATCAGATTAAGGAAATTCTCTTCTTATTCTATACTGTTTTTCTTCCTTTCACATGAAAGGGTGTAGAATTTCAAATGCATTGTCTGCATTGACAAGTATTTGTCCCATAGTTCAGACTAAACAGTTAATCATTTGCATTTTTTTCTGAAGGTGACTTATTTCAAATTTTCAAATGACTGGCATATAGTAGCTTTTGGTGTTTCATATTTTATTAATCTCTGGTGAATCTATACTGATGGATTCTACTTTTTCTTTTTTTTTTTTTTTAGCTTTAGTCTTCTTCAGTCTTGACAGTATTAAATTTTGATATTTTGAAAAGGACCAGCTTTAAGTTTTTTGGTTTTTGTGCAGAGATGAGTGGTGAAATTAGAATTATGTGTACAGATTAGAAAACAGCATCACCGGCTGGGCGCAGAGGCTTACGCCTGTAATCCCAGTACTTTGGGATGCCAAAGTGGGCAGATCACAAGGTCAGGAGTTCGAGACCAGCGTGGCCAATACGGTGAAACCCCGTCTCTACTAAAAATACAAAAATTATCCAGGCATGGTGGCGGGCACGTGTAGTCCCAGGTACTTGGGAGGCTGAGGCAGGAGAATAGCTTGAACTGGGAGGCGGAGGTTGCAGTGAGCCGAGATTGCATCACTACACTCCAGCCTGGGTGACAGAGTGAGACTCAGTCTCAAAAAAAAAAAAAAAAAAAAGCATTACTTCAATATTAATTTTCTTAATTGGGTAACGTGTTTAAGTAAGAGTATGTTCCTTTGTTTTCAAAATACCCACTGATGTGTTTAGAGATTAATGAAGCAGCATATCATGCACACACACACAGTAGCTGCCATGAATTACAATCATATGCATATGGTGAAGGAGAAAAAGAATAATTATACAACTGTGGTCAAATGTTTGGGTTATCTGGATGATGGGTATACAGGGGGTATTTGTATTATTTTTCCAATTCTTCCTGTAAGTCTGAAATTACACTAAAATATAAGATTAAAAGGAATAAAGTTTCCAAATATCTAAAAAAAATGAAAGGTTTAGATCGGATTAATGCATAATTTTAAATAGAATATTTGTAAAATTTTGTGTTTAAAATGAGGACTATGTTCCCTACTGGCATTTTTACTACAAATGTCTGATTTTCAGGAATGAGTTATTAATATTAAATGCAAAGTGACTTTTTTTATTCTTGTAGCCTTAATACTAGATTTGCTTCACTTCCTGTAAAGAAAGCTGTAACCTGAATATACGTTTGTGGCAGGCCAGTTTTTACTAATGTAGGCCTCCATCACAACTCTTTCAGTACTGAGTGGTTAAGTTAAATATTAACAGCTAAAAAAGTCAGTGCCCTTATACAAAGGCTGGAATGTAACAAAAGCCCACCAAGAGTTTTGCCTAGGCCTTTCCTGGGCCTCACAGCATGACAAAATAACGAAGGAATTCTTAGCAGGACCCATTTAGGATTAAACAGGTTTTACTGGCGGTCTGAAGAAAATCCCCAGGCCTCCACAAACAAGTTTATTGGAGGTCTGAAGGAATGCCCCAAACCTCCATGATTTAGCAGCAGACAAGCTAAGGGTAATCACCGTAGCACCTAGACCCATTTAGATTAAGTAAATTTACTGAGTCTCCAGAAGAAGGTCTTCAGGACTCAGACCTTAGTTATAGATGAAAAGTTAATCACTTATGGCCGGGCATGGTGGCTCACGCCTGTTATCCCAGCACTTTGGGAGGCTGAGGCGGGCAGATCACAAGGTCAGGAGATTGAGACCATCCCGGCTAACACAGTGAAACCCTTTGTCTACTAAAATATAAAAAATTAGCCGGGCATGGTGGCGGACGCCTGTAGTCCCAGCTACTTGGGAGGCTGAGGCAGGAGAATGGCATGAACCCGGGAGGCGGAGGTTGCAGTGAGCTGAGATCACACCACTGCACTCCAGCCTGGGCGACAGAGTGAGACTCCGTCCAAAAAAAAAAAAAAGAAAAGTTAATCACTTATGTCTTTAGATAAATGCACACTTAGACATAGACATATAGCTTAGAAGGTATATAAGCTCTGAAAACTTTGTAATTTTGAGTTGGTCTGGAGATAATTTCCAGGCCTTCTCCCTGTAACTCGTTACAGAAATAAAAACTCTCTTCCACCCCAGTCTGCATCTCATTATTGGACAGTGAGAAACAGCAGCCCGGCCCCTCAGTTTGCTCCGGGAACACTTTCATTTCCTCTATTTCTGCCTTATGTATCCCAACTCGCATTTATAGGATTTTAATTCTTTATTATTCACATACAGGTGTTTCCTCATCATGACTCATTTAAAATAGTGATCTGCAAGCTGTCTGTACCTACCATAAAGAAAACCGACACATCCCCAAACATCAAGTACTTGTGAATGCCTGGTCATGTCATTACCAGTCACATTTATGAAGTTCACATTTTATTTTAGGTACAACATAAATATGTGGCCTGCTATCTTTTTATTACATCAACGTATTTTCTTACACAGCCTTGTTCTGCCTTTACCTCATGCCACATGGCTTGATTCCTAGTTACATACATGAATCCCCTTCTATTGCTGGTCTATGGAGATTTCCATCTGTACTGGAACAGTTTTATAAGTGATTTTTAGTCCCTATTATATGGATCATTTCCATCCATTTGGGGTACATAAGATTGTGGACACGCTTCCCCCATGCCATCTGACATAATGCCTTAAAATATTTAAGGCGATACCTTAAGAAATTGTTCCAAAAGGCAAATCTAGGATGAATAAATGAGTAAATGAGTAAAAGTAGGACAAGTTCTTCTTCAAGAGGCAGAAGTTCTTTAAAGAAAGCCCCACATTAAAAAGGTAATCTTGAGGCCGGGTGCGGTGGCTCACGCCTGTAATCCCAGCACTTTGGGAGGCCGAGGCAGGTGGATCACGAGGTCAGGAGATCGAGACCATCCTGGCTAACACAGTGAAACCCCGTCTCTACTAAAAATACAAAAAATTAGCCGGGTGTGGCGGCAGGCGCCTGTAGTCCCAGCTACTCGGGAGGCTGAGGCAGGAGAATGGCATGAACCTGGGAGGCGGAGCTTGAGCCGAGATCACGCCACTGCAGTCCAGCCTGGGTGACGAGTGAGACTCTGTCTCAAAAAAAAAGAAAAGGTAATCTTGAGCTTTTCAGGCAGATACCAAATGAGCAAAGAGATTCCTGTTATGAGAATAAGCTGGAATTCAAACAGCTGCCAAAGCCCCTTTTACTCTGATTCTAATCCTAGAACAGGAAGCTTTGCTGGTTCCCAATGGGGGCTTCTCTTACCAAGAGGGGGCCAGGAAAGAATAAAACAATACTCAAGTAACAGGAAGCAACACATAAAACTTAAGTCCAACAGGATTTCAAAATGCAGACATTACATTTCAGAATGCGTACGGCTCACATAAGGTATTCTTCAGGGTATCCTACAAGGGTTCCCTAGGGGCAATTAAAAGAAGAAAGTCTAGGCTTCATGTAAAACACAATAGGAAAACATTCTGGTTTCATGGTCAAGAAACAAAGACATCTTCCCACCTCTACCCCTCAAGATCATCCTGGGGGAAGAAAGAAGATGAACTAGTGTAAAGAGCCCAAGAAAGAAAAAGAATTTGCTGTAGTAATTCAGATACAACATAATGACAACTTGGTCTAAGACACCAAATGGAAGAAAGGAAAGAACAGACTCCTAGAAAAATACCAGGCAACTATTGCCTGGCACAGTGGCTCATGCCTGTAGTCCCAGCACTTTGGGAGGCCGAGGTAGGCAGATCACTGGAGGTCAGGAGTTCGAGACCAGTCTGGCCAACCTCATCTCTATTAAAAATATAAAAATTAGCTGGGCATGGTGGTAGGCGCCTGTAATCCCAGCTACTTGGGAGGCTGAGGCAGGAGAATTGCTTGAACCGGGAGGCAGAGGTTACAGTGGGCCGAGATCATGCCACTTCACTCCAGCCTGGGCCATGGAGCAAGACTCCATCTCAAAAACAAACAAACAAACAAAAAACAACAACAACAAAAAAAAACAGGCAAGAAGAATAATAGGCTAGAAGATCGTGATCACAGACTTGGCAGGTTACACCTGCGGGTAAAAGTAATGAATGTGATTATTAATACCCACACTACTTTACATTTGTATGGTGTATTTTTTCAAGTTAGGAGATTTTAAAAGTAATTACGAGTCTCCAAGTCTGAGAAAATTAGCATACGATTGTGATACTCAGGAATAGCTAAACCATGAAAGTTTGTATTCAGCTAATAGCAGGTTAATCTGCTTTCGTTGGCAAGTTCAGGAAACCAACAACAACATTTTGAATTCTAAAATACTTATCAAGATGGTTTGGAACAATAACTAAAAGATTGTACATGTATCAACTAGACACTTACCATCTGCAGTGTTGGTCTAGTATATTTCCGTAATGTGTCTATATAGGAGTTAGCATCACCATCTACTTCAATCCTAAAAAATAAATATAGCATCCACATCCAAAAGATACCAACCAGTGAAACAAACGTTTCACCCAGCAAATTAAATACAAAGTAAGACATGATAAAATACCAAGATATGCATTTCAGTAGAAAGTATGTTTAAAAGAAAAAAGACAGTAGACTTTCAGTTTCCGATTCTACTTGTAAGGAGCTTTGACATCACTACTCTGCCCTAACAGCAAGTCAAAAGCTAAACAGACTGAAAACAATGAACAGCTCTCCTAGGATTTTCAAGAGAGGTGAGGACACAGGGCAAATCACTGCCTCCAATATTGAAGAGACAAATAAGCAAAAACAAGGAGTCCTGGCTAGCTGGAGCAAAGACTCTGGAAACTTCCCAGGGAAACAGTTCCTGGGTCAGACCACCTGAACTGTAACTGATGAATTACTGCAGGCTCAGCATGGACAACTGTGAGGGTTAAAAATTCCAGGTATACCCAGTCACAGGAGGGTCCCCACAGTTTTGAGAGTTTTACCTCTAGGAGCTTGACCAGGTTCTCACAGTAAAAACCAGAGGAAAATTGTCTAGTGCTTCCAGCAGGGGGAGGGGAAAAGAATTTATTTTGAAATACACCAGGGTCCTGTGTTCCTAACAAACCCTGCCCTCAGGAGAAGCTAGTTAACCAGAACATAACTTTTTTTTTTTTTTTTAGAAAAAAAAACCAAAAAAAACAACGTTTAGGTTCAGGGGTACACATGCAGGTTTGTTATATAGGTAAACTTGTGCCCTGAGGGTTTGTTGTACAGATTTTATCATCCAAGTACTAAGCAAAAGAAGCCGAGGCTGAGAAGACTACATACTGTATGAGTCTAACTAGATGACATTCTAAAAAGGCAAAACCATGGAGACGGTAAAAAAATAAAAAAATAAAAAAATAAATAAATTAGTGGTCCTCAGAGGTTGTGGTGCAAGGGGCAGGTGGTGGTAGGAAGGGATAATTAGGTGAAGCACAGAAGACTTTTAGGGCAGTGAAAAATACTGTGCATGAAACCAATGGTGGATACATGTCATATACATTTGTCCAAACCAGTAGAATGTACAACTCCAAGAGTGAACCCTACTGTAAACTATGGACTTTGGGTGATTATGATATTTCAATGTAGGCTCATCAGCTGCAACAAATGTACCACACTGGTAGGGGATGTTGATGGGGGAGGCTATGCATTATTGGGGGCAGGATATATATGAGAAGTCTCTAATCTCCTCTTACTTTTGCTGTAAACCTAAAACTTCTCTAGAAAGTTTTTTAAGTTCAGTTTTTGGAAACATGCGTGAGAATTCTTAATATTCTCCCATCCATTCACATCAAGTTCTTAATTCTCATACCTTCTACAACATGTATCTTAATAGCCGTAAACCATATATCACAAAGTCTGTTTTAATATTTTTTGACTAGAGATTAGACTTTACAAACTCTAAGGTTTTGATACAGTGACCAATTCCTACAATTTAATATTTTAGTTATTATACTTTAAGATTGCTAACAATCGATTTTCAAATGGGAATTTCTGCTCTACTTACATTTCTGCTGGTTTCATAGTTATGCCCATGGGGGCTGTGACACTCTGTAGATGACCCTTTAAGGACATGGCTTCTCTGTGACTGCTCCTGCTATAGAGTATGAGCCAACTATGTAGTGGCATTGCATTAAGTAAGGGTAATTCTCTTATTTCTCTTGACCAGTCTCCTTGTGAATTGGCTTTAACCTGGAAAAGAATTATAAGACATGGCATAAAACTTTATTTTAAAGATCAACTTATCTGAGATCCTGTACGCTGTAAATCCGTGCTATCTCCTATAGAAATGTTACAATTATAAACTTGAATGGCCAATGTAGGTATTTTTTTCATTAAGATATAGGTTAATAGGACTGAAATTCTATCCTAGGTGTTAAAAATTTTAATTGAGAGGCCATTGCAGGGGAGATGGCTCCAGAGCTTTAGGTTCCTATGTAGGCAAAGCAAACTCCAGTATAAACAGTAAAGCAAAGCCAGAGACTTTACCAATCAGAAACTTCCAACTACCAACTAGGGTCCTTCCACTCTAATAGATCAAATGTATTTTGTCCTATTTTGCATCGGCCTATAATAGCTCACTGTTCACACTGCTGCAGCAGAACTCTCTGAACCCCTTCTGATTGAATGCTGCACAATTGGTGAATCAGTCTTAGTGCAAATAAACTTAATTTTATTTGAAGTTTCTTTTGGAGCTTTTCAGTGCTGTTAGACTCAGACTGCCTCCTCATACTGTTCTATCACAGCATGTGCTCCCTAAATATTTAGTCTTTTAGTGGGAACTTTATTCCAAGGAATGACACTTGAGACATTTAACCAAGGATGGAGTAAGATGGCCAAATAGAGGGCTCCACTGATCATCCCTACAAGAGGAACACTAAGTTTGACAACTATTTGTACAAAGGGAGCACCTTCATAGGAACCAAACATCAGGTGAGCACTCAGTGTCTGGTTTTTACTTTATATTGCTGAAAGAGGCACTGAAGGTAGGAAAAACAGTCTTGAATTGCTGACGTCACCCTTCTCCCACCCCTGCATGGTGCCAAGAATCTGTGCAGTTGGGAGAGGGAGAGCACAGCAACTGTGAGGCTTTGCATTAAAATCAGCACTGCCCTGTCACAGCAGAAAGCAGAACTGAGCTGTCCTCAGCTGATGGCCACCCATAGGGGGAACATTTGATTCTGGCCCTAGCCAAAGGGGAATTTCCCAGCCCAGTGGTCAGAGCTCGAGTTCTGGAAAGCCTCAGCACCATGGGCTGGGGTGCTCTGTGGCCCTAAGTGAACCTGAGAAACAGTTTAGGCCACAAAGACTGCAATCCCTAGGCAAGTCCTAATGCTGATCTGAGCTCAGAGCTCATAAACTAGGGGTGGAGGGGTAGGGGACAGGATCTACTGAGGCACCAGCCAGGGTAGCTAAGAGAGTGCTTGCATCATCCCTCCCCCAACTCAATGGCAGCACAGCTCAAAGCTCCAAAAGAGAGCCCTTCTTTCTGCTTCAGGAGAAAAGAAGGAAGAGTGAAGACTTTGTCTTGTATCTTGGATACCAGCGCAGCTACAGTAGGACAGGACAACAGTCACGGTTGTGAGGCTCCCATTCTGGACCCTAGCTCTTAGATGACATTTCTAGACATACCCTGGGCCAGAAGGGAAACCTGTTGCTTTGAAGGGAAGGACCCAGCCCAGGCAGGTTTCATCACCTACTGACTAAAGAGCCCTTGGACCCTGAAGAACCAGCAATAATACCCAGGTAGAATGTGAGGGCCTTGGGTGGACTCAGACATGCTGGCTTCAGGTGAGAACCAGCATATTCCCAGCTGTTGTGGCTATGGGGAGAGACTCCTGCTTGAGAAAAGTAGAGGGAAAAGTGGAAGAGTAAAGGGGACTTTGTCTTGCACCTTAGGTGCCATCTCAGCCACAGTGGGGTAGAGCATCAAGCAGGCTTTTGGGGTCCCCAATCCCAGGCCTTGGCTCGTGGATGGCATTTCTGGACCTGCCTGGGGCCAAAGTGGAGCACGCTGCCCTGAAGGGTAAGTCCTAGGCCTGGCAGCATTCACCGCAAGCTGACTGAAGAGCCCATGGACCTTAAGGGAACAGTGGTAGTAGCCTAGCAGTACTCCCTATGGGCCTGTGGTGGTGGTGGCCATGGGGTGAGGCTCCTCTATGTGTAGAAAGAGAAGGGGGCCGGGCGCGGTGGCTCACGCCTGGAATCCCAGGACTTTGGGAGGCCAAGGCAGGTGGATCACTTGAGGTCAGGAGGTCTGGCCAACCTGATGAAACCCCGTCTTCTACTAAAAATATAAAAATTAGCTGGCTGTGGTGGTGGGCGCTGTAATCCCAGCTACTTGGGAGGCTGAGGCATGAGAATCGCTTGAACCCAGTAAGTGGAGGTTGCAGTGAGCCAAGATTGCACCACTGCACTCCAGCCTAGGCGACAGAGCAAGACTGTCTCAAAAAAAGAAAGAAAAAGAAAAAGAAGGAAGGGAAGAGTGAGAAGGTCTGCATCATGTGATTTGAGTGCCAGCTCAGCCACAGTACAAAAGAATACCAGGTGGGTTTCTATGATTTTTGACTCCAGTCCCTGACTCCTGACTGGCATTTCTGTACCTGCCCAGGGCCTGGGGGAACTTACTGCCCCTGAAGGGAAGGACATAAGTCTGGCTGCTTTACCACTTGATTGCAGAGCCCTAGGGCCTTGAGCCAACATAGCTGGTAGCCTGGTGGTGGTCACAGTGGGCCTTGGGCAAGACCCAGTGCTGTGCTGGCTTCAGGTTGACCCCGTGCAGTCCCATTGGTGGTCACCGCAGGGATGCCTGTGTCACCCCAAACCCAGCTCCAGGCGGTTCAGCACAGAGACACAGAAAGTAAGCAAACAAGACTCTCTGCCTGGTAATCCAGAAGTCTTCTGGATCATATCAAGATCATCAAGGTGATATCACCATGAATCTGTGAGAACCATAGCATTACTGTGCTTGGAATGTCCCCTGATGCAGATATGACTTAGATCACAATACCCAAGTACTTCTGAATACCTGGACAGCCTTCCCAAGGAAGATGAATACAAACAAGCCCAGATGGCGAAGAGAACAATGAAAACCTAACTTTCAATGCCCAAACACTCATCAACTTCCCCAAGCATCAAGACCATCCAGGAAAACACGGACCTCAGAAAATGAACCAAATAAGGCACCAGGCACCAGTTCTGGAGAAACAGATATGTGACCTTTCGGACAACTCAAAATAGCTATTTAAGAGGAAACTCAAAGAAATTCAAGATAACAGAAAGAATTGGGAATTCTAGTAGATAAATTCTACAAAGAGGTTGAAATAATTAAAAAGATTCAAGTAGAAATTCTGGAGTTAAAACATGCAATTGACATATTGAATACATCAGAGTCTCTTAAGAGCAGAATTAAATCAAGCAGAAGAAAGAATTACTGAGTTCAAAGGCAGGCTGTTTGAAAACACATAGAGGAGACAAAAGAAAACACAGAAGCATGCCTACAAAATCTAGAAAATAGCCTCAAAAGGGAAAATCAAAGAGTTACTGTCCTTATAGACAAGGTAAAGAAAGAGATAATGGTACAAAGTTCACTCAAAGAGATAGCAGAACTTCCCAAACCTAAAGAAATATATCAATATCTAAGTATAAAGTGGTTACAGTAGATTTCACCCATAGACAACTACTTCAAGGCATTTGATAATCAAACTTTAAAAGGTCAAGGATAAAGAAAGGATCCTAATAGCAGCAAGAGAAAAATAACATAGAATGGAGCTCCAATACATCTGGCAGCAGACTTTTCAGTGGAAGCCATACAGATCAGAAGAGAGTAGCATAACATCTTTAAAGTGCTGTAGGAAAAAAAAAATTACCCCAGAATAATATACCCAGTAAAAATATCCTTCAAACATGAAGGACAAAGACTTTTCCAGACAAACAAAAGCCGAGGGATTTCATCAACACCAGATCTGCCCTACAAAGAAATGCTAAAAGGGGTACTTCAATCAGAAAAAGAGGAATGTTGAGGAGCAATAGGAATTCATCTGAAGGTACAAAACTTACTGGTAATAGGGCCGGGGGCGGTGGCTCATGCCTGTAATCCCAGCATTTTGAGAGGCCGAGGCGGGAGGATCATGAGGTCAGGAGATCGAGACCATCCTGGCTAACACAGTGAAACCCCATCTCTACTAAAAATACAAAAAAATTAGCCGGGCATGGTGACAGGCACCTGTAGTCCCAGCTACTCAGGAGGCTGAGGCAGGAGAATGGTGTGAACCCGGTAGGTGGAGCTTGCACTGAGCCAAGATGGTGCCCACTGCACCCCAGCCTGGGGGACAAAGTGAGACTCGGTCTCAAAAAAAAAAAAAAAAAATTAGCCGGGCATGGTGACAGGCACCTGTAGTCCCAGCTACTCAGGAGGCTGAGGCAGAGAATTGCTTGAACCCAGGAGGTGGAGTTTGCAGCAAGCCAAGATCGTGCCACCACTGCACTCCAACCTGGGCAACGGAGGGAGACTGTCTCAAAAAAAAAAAAAAAATTTCTAAAAGCTCAATTAGAAATGAAACGGGAGGCTGGGCACAATGGCCCACTCCTGTAATCCCAGCACTTTGGGAGCCCGAGGCGGGTGGATCACAAGGTCAGGAGATCGAGACCATCCTGGCTAACATGGTGAAACCCCGTCTCTACTAAAAACACAAAAAATTAGCCAGACATGGTGGCAGGTGCCTGTAGTCCCCGTTGCTTGGGAGGCTGAGGCAGGAGAATGGCATGAACCCGGGAGGCAGAGTTTGCAGTGAGCTGAGATCATGCCACTGCACTCCATCCTGGGCAACAGAGCAAGACTCCATCTCAAAAAAAAAAAAAAGAAAGAAACTGGAGATATTACAACTGATACCACAGAAATACAATAGATCATTCAAGGCCACTATGAACACCTTTACACACACAAACTAGAAAACCTAGAGGAGATGGATAAATTCCTGGAACCGGAAATATACAACCCTCCTAGATCAAACCAGGAAGAAACAAACTCTGAACAGGCCAATAACAAGCAGTGAGATTGAAATGGTAATATAAGATGCCACCAAAAAAAGTCCAGGACCAGATGGATTCACAGCTGAATTCTGTCAGACACTCAAAGAAGAATTGGTGCCAATCCTACTGAAACTATTCCAAAAGACAAAGAAAGAAGGAATCCTCCTAAATCATTCTATGAAGCCAGTATCACCCTAATACCAAAACCAAGAAAGAAGAAAACAAAAGAAAACTATATAGATCAATCTTCCTGGTGAACATAGATGTAAAAATTCTCAACAAAATACTAGCTAAATGAATCCATCACCATATCAAAAAGATAATCCACCATGATCAAGTGGGCTTTGTACCAGGGATACAGGGATGGTTTAAAATATGCAAGTCAATAAACGTGCTACACCACACAAACAGGATTAAAAACAAAAATCACATGGTTATCTCAATAGATGCAGAAAAAGCATTTGATAAAATCCAGCATCGCTTTATGATTAAAAACCTCATGGCCAGGCGCGGTGGCTCACACCTGTAATCCCAGCACTTTGGGAGGCAGAGGTGGGCCAATCACGAAGTCAGGAGATCAAGACCATCCTGGCTAACATGGTGAAACCCTGTCTCTACTAAAAATTAGCCGGGCCTGGTGGCATGCACCATAGTCCCAGCTATTTGGGAGGCTGAGGTAGGAGAATCACTTGAACCCAACAGGCAGAGGTTGTAGTGAACCAAGGTTGTGCCACTGCACTCCAGCCTAGCTGACAGAGTGAGAATTTGTTTCAAAAAAACAAAAACAAACAAACAAAAAAACCAACCACCCACAAAAAACAAACCACCTCAGCAAAATCGGCATAGAAGGGACATACCTTAAGGTAATAAAAGCCATAGGATATAAATAGAAACATAAGTTAAAAAGCAAAGGACACAAGTCTCAAATTGAAGAAAATCAAAATTATATCAAGTACTCTCTCAGACCACAGTGGAGTAAAACTGGAAATCAGCTCCAAAAGGAACACCCAAAATCATGCAAATACATGGAAATTAGATAACCCAATGATCATTCAGGAGCAGGTTAACGGTGAAAAGTTGAAAGCATTCCCCCCCAAGAACTGCAACAAGACAGATGCCCCCCGTTTCACCACTTCTATGAAACATAGTACTATAAGTCCTAGCCAGAGCAATCAGACAGGAGAAAGAAATAAAGGACATCCAAATCGGCAAAGAGGAAGTCACACTGTCACTGTTTGCTGATGATATGATTGCATACCTAGAAAACCCTAAAGACTCATCCAACAAAGCTCCTAGATCTGAGAATTCAATGAAATTTCAGGATATGAAATTAATGTAACAAATCAGTAGCACTGCTATACATCAACAGCAACCAAGCTAAGAATCAAATCAAGAACTCAACCACTTTTACAATAGCTGCAAAAAAAAAAAAAAAAAAAGGAATATACCTAACCTAACCAAGGAGGTAAAAGACCTCTATAAGGAAAACTACAACAGACTACTGAAAGAAATCACAGGTGACACAAATGAAAACACATCCCATGCTCATGGATGGGTAGAATCAATATTGTGAAAATGACTATACTGCCAAAAGCAATCTACAAATTCAGTGCAATTCCCATCAAAATACCATCATCATTCTTCATAGAACTAGAAAAAAAAATCAAAAAAATCCTAGATTCATATGGAACCAAAAAAGAGCCTGCACAGCCAAAGGAAGACTAAGCAATAACAAATCTGGAGGCATCATATTATTTGATTTCAAACTATGCTACAAGGCTATAGTCATCCAAACAACATGGTACTGGTATAAAAAATAGGCACATAGACCAATGGAACAGAATAGAGAACCCAGAAATAAAGCCAAATACTTGTAGCTAACTGGTCTTTGACAAAGCAAACAAAAACAAAGTGGGGAAAGGATAACCTATTCAACAAATGATGCTGGTATAATTGGCAAGCCACATGTAGCAGAAAGAAACTGGATCTCATCTCTCACCTTATACAAACATCAACTCAAGATGGATCAAAGACTTAAATCTAAGACCTGAAGCCATAAGAATTCTAGAAGATAACATCAGAAAAACCCTTCTAGACATTGGCTTGGGCAAAGACTTCATGACCAAGAACCCAAAAGCAAATGCAACACAAAGATAAATCAATGGGACTTAATTAAACTAAAAAACTTATGCACAGCAAAAGAAATAATCAGCAAACAGACAACTCACAGAATGGGAGAAAATATTCCCAAACTATGCATATGATGAAGGACTGATATCCAGAATCTACAAGGAACTCAAATCAGCAAGAAAGAAAACAATCCCATCAAAAAGTGGGCAAAGGACATGAATAGACAATTCTCAAAGGATATACAAATGGCCAACATGAAAACATGTTCTAATGACCAGGAAAATGCAATACCGCCTTACTCCTGCAACAATGGCAATTAAAAAAAAAATCAAAAGACAGATGTTGACATGGATGTGGCAAGAAGGGAACACTTTTATACAGCTGGTGGGAATGTAAACTAGTACAACCACTCTGGAAAACAGTGTAGAGATTTCTTAAAGGACTACAAGATCTACCATTTGAACTAGCAATCCCACTACTAGGTATCTGCCCAGAGGAAAAGTCATTATATGAAAAAGATACTTGCACATGCAAGTTTATAGCAGCACAGTTTGCGATCACAAAAATATAGAACCATCCCAAATGTTCAGTCAATGAGTAGATAAAGAAAATGTGTATATTCATACCATGGAATACTACTCAGCCATAAAAAGGGTTTGCAGCAACCTGGAGTTGGAGACCATTATTCTAAATGAAGTAACTCAGGAATGGAAAACCAAACATTGTTATCTTCTCACTCATAAGTGGGAGCTGAACTATGAGGATGCAAAGGCGTAAGAATGATGCAATGGACTTTGGGGACTGCGGGGAAGGATGGGAGGGGGTGATGGATCAAATACTACATGTTCAGTACAGTGTACACTGCTCAGGTGATGGATGCACCAAAAGTACAAATATCACCACTAGAACTTATCCACGTAACTACCTGTTCCACAAAAACCTATTGAAATAAAATTTAAAAAAACAGAAGAAAAATGTTTTAAAAAGCAAACGACAAATTTAAAATAGAGTTTATTCATTTTCTTTTTGCTTGTTTGTTTGCAAGCAGTGTTGTCGGCACCTTAAAAGAAGGGGTTATAAGACAGTATTTGCAAACCTTATGGTAACTTCAAAAATATGCAATGGATACACAAAACAAACAAGTTATAGCATACTAGAGAAAATCACCTTCACTAAAAGGAAGGCAGGAAAGAAAGGAGGAAGAAGAGACTATAAAACCGGAAAACACATAACAAAATGGCAGGAGTAAATCCTTACTTCTCAATAATAACACTGAATGTAAATGGACTAAACTCTAATTGAAAGAGTGACCGAATTAAAAAAAAAAAAAAAAAAAAAAAAAAAAACAATGATCTGCTGCCTGCAAAAAACACTTGACCTATAAAGACTCACATAGACTGAAAATAAAGGCATGAAAAAACACAAAAAAGGCCAGGTGCGGTGGCTCATGCCTGTAATCCCAGCACTTTGGGAAGCCGAGGCAGGTGAATCACAAGGTCAGGAGTTCGAGACCAGCCTGACCAACATGGTGAAACCTGTCTCTACTAAAAATACAAAAAAAATTAGCTGGGCGTGGTGGCACACACCTGTAATCCCAGCTACTCAGGAGGCTGAGGCAGGAGAATCGCTTGAACCCGGGAGGAGGACATTGCAGTGAGCCGAGATCATGCCACTGCACTCCAGCCTGGGCGACAGAGCAAGACTCTGTCTCAAAAACAAAAACAAAAAAAACAGGAATAGCTATACTTAGACAAAATAGATTTCAAGACAAAAACTATGAGACAAAGAAGGTCACTATGCAACAATAAAGTGGTCAATTCAGCAAGAGGATATGACAATTGTAAATATATATACACTCAACACTGGAGTAACCCAGATATATAAAACAAGTATTATTAGAGCTAAGGAGAGATAGTCCCCAATACGATAATAGCTGGAGACTTTAACATCCCACTTTCAGCACTGGACAGATCTTTCAGACAAAAAAGGGAAATGTTGGCCTTAACCTGCACTATACACCAGAGGGACATCGTAGTTACAGAAGATTTCAGCCAATAGCTGCACGATGAACATTCTTTTCCTCAGTACATGGATCATTCAAGGATAGACCATATATTAGGTTACAAAAGAAGTCTTAAAACATTCAAAAGACAAACAAAGCATCTTCTCTGATCACATGAAACAAAACTAGAAATCAAAAACGAGGAATTTTGGAAACTATACAAACACATGGAAACTAAACAATATGCTCCTGAATGACCACTGTTCATGGGTCAAATTAAGGAAATTGAGACTTTTCTTGAAACAAATGATAATGAAACCATGACATACCAAAACCTATGGGATACAGCGAAAGCAGTAATAAGAGGGAATTTTATAGCTATAAGTGCCTACATCAAAAGAGCAAAACTTCAAACCACCTAATGACGCATCTTAAAGAATTAGAAATACAAAGCCAGATGTGGTGTCTCACACCTGTAATCCCAGCACTTTGGGAGGCCGAGATGGGCAGATCACTTGAGGTCAGGAGTTCAAGACCAACCTGGCCAAGATGGCAAAATCCCAGGTGCTGGGACTCGGGAGACTGAGGCACAAGAATTGCTTGAACCAGGGAGGTGGAGGTTGCAGTGAGCCAGAATCACCCCACTACACTCCAGCCTGGGCAACAGAGTGAGACTCTGTCTCTAAATAAATAAACAAACAAACAAACAAAAGCAAGAGCAAACCAAGCCTAAAAGAATGAAGATCATAGAGCCAAGAAAAATGAAATTAAAATGAAGAAAATATAAAAGATCAATGAAACAAAAGGTTTTTTGAAAAGATAAACAAAACGGACAAATCTTTAGTCAGACTAAGAAAAAAAAAAAAAAAAAAAAAGAAGATCCAAATAAGTAAAACCAGAGATGAAAATGGAGAGGACAACCAATATTGCAGAAATGTAAAGGTTCATTCCTGGCTACTATGAGCAACTATATGCCAGTAAATTGGAAAATCTAGAAGAAATGGAAAAATTACTAAACATATACAACCTACCAAGATCAAACCATGAAGAAATCCAAAACCAGAACAGACCAATAACAAGTAATAAGATCAGAGATGTAATAAAAAGTTTCCCAAAGAAAAGCCCAGGACCTGATCGCTTCACTGCTGAATTCTGCCAAACATTTAAAGAAGAACTAATACCAATCCTACTCCTATTCCGAAAAATAGAGGAGGAGGGAATACTTCCAAGTCATTTCATGAAGTATTACTAAAACCAAAGACACATCAAGAAAAGAAAACTACAGGCCAATATCTCCAATGAACACTGATATAAAAAATCCTCAACAAAATACCAGCAAACAATTTACTAACACAGTAAAAAAAGTTCATCACCAAGTGGGATTTGTCCCAGGGATTCAAGGATGGTTCTATGTAGGCAAATCAACATGATATATCCACAGAATGAAGGACAAACTCATATGATCATTTCAACTGATGCTGAGCAGCATTTATTAAAATTCAATATCCCTTCATAATTGAAAACCCTCAAAACCTGGGTATAGAATGAACATATTTCAACATAATAAAAGCCATACACTTCAGACCCACAGCTAGTATGGGAAAAAACTGAAAGCCTTTTCTCCAAGATCTAGAATACAACAAGGATGCTCCCTGTCACCATTGTTATTCAACATAGTACTAGAAGTCCTAGCTAGAGTCATCATACAAAAGATTAAGATAATCCAAATTGCAAAGATAGGATCTGATATTTGGAAAAATCTAACGACTCCAAAAAAAAAAAACATAGAACTGATAAATTTAATAAAGTTGCAGGATACAAAAAAACAAAAAATCAGTAGCATTTCTATATGCTAACAGTGAACAATCTGAAAAAGAATCCCATTTACAATAGATAAAAATAAAATACCTAGGAATTAACCTAACCAAATTAGTGAAAGATCCCTACAATGAAAACTATAAAACACTGATGCAAGAAATTTAAGAGGCCACACACAAAAATGAAGATATTCCATGTTCATGAATTAGAAGAATCGATACATTAAAATGTCCATATTATCCAAAGCAATCCCTATCATAATACCAAGGGTATTCTTTATAGAAACAGAAAAAACTATCCTAAAACTTATTTTAAAACCAAAAGACCCAGAATTCCATAAGCTATCCTAAGCAAAAAGAACAAAACTGGAAGAATCATATTACCTGACTTCAAATTATACTACAGAGCTATAGTAACCAAAATGGCATGGTACTGGCATAAAAACAGACATATAGACCAGTGGATCAGAAATAGAGAACCCAAAAATAAATCCATATCTACTGTGAACTCATTTTTGACAAAGGAACCAAGAACATACATTGGGGAAAGGACAGTCTCTTCTGTATATCCATATGCGGAAGAATGAAACTAGATCCCTATCTCTCACCATATATTAAAAAAAATTAAGATGGCTTGAAGACATAAATCCAAGACCTCAAACTATGAAACCACTACAAGAAAACATTGGGGAAACTCTCCAGGACATTAGAGTGAGCAAAGATTTCTTGAGCAATACCCCACAAGCACAGGCAACTAAAGCAAAAATGGATATGTAGGATCACATCAAGTTAAAAAGCTTCTATGTAGCAAAGGAAACAAAGTAGAGCAACAACTCACAGAATGGGAGAAAATATTTGCAAACTACCTGTCTGACAAGGGATTAATAACCAAAATCTAAGGAAAGCAAACAACTTTATAGGGGAAAAATAATCCAATTAAGAATGGACAAAACACTTGAACAGACATTTCTGAAGACATACAAATAGCAAACAGGCATATGAAAAAGTGCTGATATCAATGATCAGAGAAATGCAAATCAAAACTACAATGAGATATCATCTCACCCCAGTTAAATGGCTTTTATGCAAGACAAGCAATAACAAATGTTGGTAAGGATGTGGAGAAAAGGGAGCCCTCATACGCAGTTGGTGGGAATGTCAATTACTATAACCACTATGGAGAACAGTTTGGAGGTTCCTCAAAACACTAAAAATAGAGCTAACATATGTTGCAGCAATCCCACTCCTAGGCATATAGCCAAAATAAAGGAAATTAGGATATTGAAGAGATATCTGTACTTCCATGTTTATTGCAGCACTGTTCACAATAACCCAGATTTGGAAGCAATGTAAATGTCCAACAGATAAATGGATGAAGAAAATGTGATACATATACACAATGGAGTACTATTCAGCCGTAAAAAAAACAATGAGACCCTGTCATTTGCAACAAGGCTGGAACTGAAGGTCACTGTGTTAAATGAAATTAGCCAGGCACAGAAAAATGAGCTTTACATGTTCTCACTTATTTGTGGGATCTACAAGATGAAAACAATTGAACTCATGGAGATAGAGTAGGATGGTTACAGAGTCTGGGAAGGGTAGTGGGAGGTTGGAGGAGAATGTGGGGATGATGGTTAATGGGTACAAAAAATAGAAGAAATGAGTAAGACCTAGCATCTGCTAGTACAAAAGGGTGACTAAAGTAAAAAATAATTTGTGTATTTTAAAATAACTAAAAGAATATAATTGGTTTGTAACATGAAGGACAAATGCTTGAGGGGATAGATACCCCACTTAACCTGATGTGATTATGCACTGCATGCCTGTATCAAAATACCACATGTAACCCATAAATATACATACCTACTATGTACCCACAAAAACTAAAGATAACAAAATTTAAATAAAGTTTTTTTGACATAGGTTAGTGAATTACTTTGATTCTAGGTACTTGACTCTTAAGGATATATTTGAAAAAATGGATCTTCCAAATGCCATGAGCAATTGTCCAGAATATTAATTAGATAGACATAATACAGAGCTTACTATGTGCCAAGCACCTTACATTCATTCTTAGTGTTTCTTATTGGCTCAATATAGAAAGAATGAGCAGTCTGAAAAAAGAACAGCAGTCGTAGTCATTACTGAGACTCAAGTTAGTTCCTTTTTGCTTTACTCTTCATTTGACCCCACCATGACATGATGATTTTGAAACTGTCTTACCATTCTTCTGCCTTGCACGATGTTTGCGTTTTTCAAAACTCTTCCCGGGACGGACAAAAAATTGGTATCAAATTTCAAATCCCAGAGTTGAAGTAACTCTCGTACTTTTTTATTACTGAAAATTAAAATATTGCCAACATGATCAAACCAAATAAGTAAAAGCAGCTAGCCATTTGTGCAAGGCAATTTCCTTCTATTCCAAGGTTCACCATCACTTGTCCGCAGCATTGAGATGCGGCAGTACCTTCCCTGAAACTCAGAAATCTTGTTTTTGCTTTCATGTTCATATAGGTACTTATAGCCTTTTGATTTCATTCTTCCCCCCCGGCCTCCTAATCTTGCAATGACAGAAAAACTAGAGTTGTCCCCCAACATCAAAATTCTTCCCATTGTCACTTGCTTGTAGAAGAATCTGACATGCCAGGGCTGAGATGCCATCAGCTTCACTGGGACACCATGCACATGTACACACACTCAGCCAGAAAAGCAGCACTTACTCTTGTAGAGTATTGATGAATTCTTTTAATGTATGATGCCTTCTTCTTGGACTCAATCTTGTATGTTTAGCCAATTCTTTCACAATGCTATAATCTTTACATATTTCATCTGTTAGACCTTTAAAAAAATCCAAAAGATACAGCTGAACAAGCATGAATTTGAGTGAGGACTAAATTATAACAGCTGGAGGAACCTACTACCAAGGAGACACCCTTCGAATTCCCTGAAAAGCCTGCGTTAAGTCGTAATTATACCTGACTTTAAAGAGGGGCTGTAATCCATCAGTACCTGTCATGTGGCACAGCTGAGGAATCAGCAGGATAGGTTCACGTTGTGTACCCGTTAGGCCCTTTTTCCATCTGCCCTGGCTGACCAAAAGTGGCTGTTTCTTCACTGTGACAATTTCTTTATGTTGCTGCTCAACAAACAAGAGACCAGCATGACCATCAGTGAAACCTTAGAAACATCACACACAGAGGTTCAAAAGTGCATGTGTGGGACTACAAATGAAGGGCCACAGGCGTGCTGGTGATATAGGTTCCCCAAGTTTAATAGTGTACTATGAATACTCTCAAAATTCTCTTACCTTTGATATGCCACGGATCTTTTCTTGTGAGCATACTTGGCCAAATACAGGACTCCCACCAAACATGACGCTGGAGTCGTCAAGCTACTCTAACATTGTATATGAGAATGGGTGAGACAGTATCTGAGGTTCTCACCACAGTCTTGCCTTTAAAACTCCCAAAGCATACTGAAAACCGTCAAGAGGACAGTTTAAAGAGGGGCTGTAAGCCACCAGTACCTGTCATGTAGCACAACTGAGGAATCAGCAGGATAGTTTCACATTCAGGATAGGTTCACCCGTTAGGCCCTTTTTCCATCTGCCCTGGCTGGCCAAAAGTGGCTGCTTCTTCACAGTGAACACTCAGATTGAGGAATCCATGTCTTACAAGATTAGCACATAACTGACATCATTTTACATGTTAATCATTTTTATTCTTTTTGGACTGAGTTCTACAGGGCTGAGATTTCTAGATAAGTAATATTTTCTTATCTGAAGTCTTACCACATTTGATTTTTTTTCTTTTTTTTTTTTTTGAGATGGAGTTTCACTCCTGTTGCCCAGGCTGGAGTGCAACGGCGCGATCTTGGCTCACTGCAACCCCCGCCACCCGGGTCCAAGCAATTCTCCTGCTTCAGCCTCCTGAGTAGCTGGGATTACAGGCACGTGCCACCATGCCCGGCTAATTTTGTATTTTTAGTAGAGACGGGGTTTCTCCGTTTTGGTCAGGCTGGTCTCGATCTCCTGACCTCAGGTGATCCGCCCTCCTTGGCCTCCCAAAGTGCTGGGATTACAGGTGTGAGCCACTGCGCCCGGCCCATATTTGATTATCTACCAAACAACCCAACCACATTTAAAAAACTATGGTAGTAGGCTGGATGCAGTGGCTCATGCCTGTAATCCCAGCACTTCGGGAGGCCAAGGCAGGCGGATCACCTGAGGTCGGAAGCTCGAGGCCAGCCTGACCAATATGGTGAAACCCCGTCTCTACTAAAAATACAAAAATTAGCCAGGCGTGGTGGCAGGTGCCTGTAGTCCCAGCTACTTGGGAGGCTGAGGCAGGAAAATTGCTTGAACCTGAAAGGTAGAGGTTGCAATGAGTAGAGATCATGCCACTGCATTCCAGCCTGGGAGACGGAACGAGACTCCAACTCAAAAAAAAAAAAGTATGATAGTAGCCACTTTTAAGACTGAAAGAAGGGAAAGAAGGGATCACACTGGCACCATTCTAGTTATGTGACATTACCCTATATACAAGGCACGTGGATGCATGGATAATAGATAAGTCAAGCTATAATCCCCTAAAAGGAAAATATGTATGTTTATATGACAAATATGTTCAAGTAGCTAAATAACACAAACTGAAATACATGAAGGTTTACAATTTAAATATATTTAAAGAAATACAGTTTCATACCTGCCTGTAGTAGTCTATATAGGTGATTTTGCTGCCATCTGATTTGTTAAATGTGTCTTCAGGATTCTGCTTCCAATCAATATCATCTACTCTGTAGGTTTTGTTGTTGTATCTGTGGAATAATTACAATATGGTATTATTTGACTTATTCATCACATGGAACCATCCACACAGAAAATAGACATTTTTAATCCTGCAAGGAATTGCAGAATATATTAGATTTACTTAAGATGTAATTCACATACTGTACAACTCACCCATCTGAGCATACGATCACCTGGTTTTTACTACAGCCACAGAGTTGTGCAATCATCAAGACAAAGCAGCAGCATAACCATAGGCAGTCACTTCCCATTTTAGCCTAATCCACCAGCCTTCAGGCAGCCACTAGCCTACTTCGTGTCTCAACACATTTGCTCATTCATTTCACGTAAACTGAGTCATGCAACGTGTGCTCTTTCCCGACTGGCTTCTTTCACTTAGCATCATGTTTAAGGTTCATCCATGCTGTAGTAAGTCTTGGCACTTAATTCTTTTCATTTCCAAATAATATTCTATTGTATGATATCCCACCTTTTGTTTATCCATTCACCAGCTGGACATTATGGTTGTATATACTTTTGGTTACCATGAATAAGGTTATGAACATTTATGTGCCGATTTTAATAAATATGTTCTCATTTCTCTTGTGTATTTAAGTAGGAGTAAAATTTCTGGTTCATATGGTGATGATATAGGAGTTAAAATGGAATTTAGGTGGTTAGTAAGGGTAAAAGTTCTCGGTGGAATTTTCTCTTAATAAAAAAGCAGCCTCCAAATCATTTTTCTAACAAAAAGCAGCCTGAAAAAATCAAGCTGCAAACATAGATAAGCAAGCTGGAAGCTTACATAGTTGGATGCTGGCAGTTATGCCAGAAGCCAGTATATCCAACATGGAGGTTCTCTTCCCTTCTCCTTGTCCCTGCCATGTGTGCAGGTGTTATGGTGCCCGCCCACCAGATGGAGATCACATCTGCATAATGAAAGATTAGGGTGGGATGGCCAGCCTCTTCGCAGGCTATGTAAATGGCACACCTGGTCCAACCAATCCTCTGGGCCCTACGTAAATCAGACACCACCTCCTCAAGCCCCTCTATAAAACCAACTGCATCCCTCTGCAAAGCAGGAGATTCATTCGGAATGCCCCTCCCCCTGCAAGGGGGCACTTTTCTCTTCTTTCACCTATTCAGCTTTCCGCTCCTAAACCCACACTTTGTGGGTCTATGTCTTTGTTTTCCTTAGTGTGAGACAAACCTCATATATTTCCTCAAACGAGGCCACTTCAGTAATGCATATCGTTAGCATTTTAAGAAAGTGCCAGACTGTTTTACAAAGAAGCCATACCATTTAATATTCCTACAAGCAGCATACGAGAGAGTTGCTTCTGATCTTTCCACATCCTTGCCAACACTTGTCAATATCTAATTTTAACCATCCTAGTGGGTGTGAAATGATATCTCATTGTGGTTTTCACTTGCATTTCCATGATGGCTACTGATGTTAAACGTTTTCACGCATCTATTGATCATTTGTACATTTTAAGAAATATATCTGGAGAAGTATCTAATCAGATCTTTTGTCCATTTTAAAAATTATGTTGTCTCTCAAGTATTGTTTGTATATTCTAGATACAGGTTACTTATGTGATTTGCAAACATTTTCCCCAGTTTTTCCAGTTGTGTTTTCACAATTTTGATAGTATAGTTTGAATAAGTTTTTAATTTGGTGAAGCCCAATGTATCTATGTTTCTTTTGTTATCACTTCTGCTTTGAGTGGCTTATCTAAGGTTTCCCTAGCTCAAAGTCAAAAAGATTCAGTCCTATATTTTCTAAGAATGTTATGCTTTTAGTTCTTACATCTAGGTCTATTGAGTTGGTTTTTGAGTTAAACTGGAATTGTGTGAATTGCATGAGGAAGAAGCAGGTGGATGTTCAGTTGTCCCAGCAACATTATTGAAAAGACTATTCTTTCCCCTATTGAATTGCCTTGACACACTTGTCAGAAGTCAGCTGACGAAGTGGAGGGTTAACCTTCTGTACTCTATTTCATTGGTCTCTGTCTGTCTTTAGACCAACATCACACTGTCTTGATTACCAGAACTTTCTGGTAAGTTTTAAAATTGAGAAGTGTGAGTCCTCAAATTGTGTCCCTGTAAGGTTGTGTTGGCTAAGTAACTGGTTCTTTAAATCCATTCTCTTACCAATTTAAGGTTTCTGCTGTAGAAAGATTTTAAAACTTCCTTCAAATGGGAAATTGCTGATGGGTTATAACTAAGCACTGATTTTTAAACCAGCTAAATGCCCACAAAAGAGCAAAAGGAAAGAAATTCAGAAACAGCTTAGTGTTATGTGCAAGGTAGGGTTCAGAACAAATGGACTGGCATTAGGGATTTCAAGAAGAGTGAAGTCTACAATTGACACATTCTTCTCCCAAGTTGTATAACCAGAGGAGAGACGTGTTCAGTTGTTCTTGCAATTTCTACTCCTCAACTTCAACATTTAGTGATTAGAAAACTATAGGACCATCTCTTGGGGTGGGGGAAGGGGGAGTTAAAGTGATTGGATAGGTTTTTAAAAGACAGACTTACTTTGTCAGAACAATTGATCCAATTAATTTATTAGTTACTTCCTCTCGGATGTTTCCTGTCTGGGCCTGGGCAGATGTTCTCTTTATGAAATCATAAGCAGTTTCTATTCGGAGCAGTTTGTGGCTCACATCGGCACAGAGGGTAATGCTGTTTTCGTATTGAAGAACAGAAGTAACATAACCAAGCCAGATTTCCAAACTGGTACTAGAATAAATTACATGAGAGTATTAGTCCGATCTCTTCACATAAAGCCAAGGGTTTCCAAGCCTAAGCTCTGGGTCTAAAAATTGGTACTTAGGAGTCAGTTTTAAGTATTTATTCTTAGTCTTTTGAAGGACCTTCAGATAAACATTTATCAGATGTGCTATTTTTGTTCAACTATGTTTTGTCACCCACAGGCTTAAAGTGTCATATCCATATTTATCTGTAACATAACTTATGTTTAATATACACATATACCAGTGAGTAATATATATAGTTGCTATGATTGAAGATATTTTCAAAGACAAATTATACATTTTGGATGATTGTTTAGGCTTCTTAATGTGTGTGCAACAACTGAATATCTCAAACGTTTATATTTGTCATGCTAAGATTTTTAAAGTAACTCTTACTGAGTTGACATTACACTAAATTGTTCATGGTCAGTGGATACCATTTAAAAGGCCATCACTTTTAAGGCATACCACTTCAAATATGAAATGAATAACTTTCTCAAAAAATCCTACGTTTAAGTCTGCAGAGTGTGAAATTTTCTACTTTATACAAACCCATGACGGTATAACTGAATGGCCTTCTTTTTGGTATAATAGTTGCGACCAACTTGTTCAAAATCCAGCAGCTTGAAAGTTCTGGAAATGGAAAGAATAGATTTTGTTGAAAGTACAGGGTACATTATTAAGCATTTGGTAAGACACATAAGGGAAAAAAAATCTGTCAATGACTGTTTATATTATCAATGAACACAAAGTACTTGTTAACTAAGTTACATGATGAGGTGGATATTAAGGTTCATTTAACCTCATTTGTTCCATCTCCTTATAAACATAATATTGTAGAAAGGTTACCAAAATGTTCTTCATTCTCAAAACTGAACTAAGGTCTCTTTTTCAAACTGTCTTTTTTTGGAGACAGAGTCTCGCTCTGTTGCCCAGGCTGGAGTGTGGTGGCACAATCTCTGCTCACTGAAACCTCCACCTCCTGGGACCAAGTGATTCTCCCGCCTCAGCCTTTCAAGTAGCTGAAACCACAGGCACCTGCCACCATGCCTGGCTAATTTTTGTATTTTTAGTAGAGGAGGGGTTTCACCATGTTGGCCAAGCTGGTCTGGAACTCCTAACCTCAAATGATCCACCCGCCTCAGCCTCCCAAAGTGCTGGGATTACAGGCGTGAGCCACCACGCCCGGCCTCAAACTCTGCCTTTCAAATTTTAACTTTCAATATTTTGTCATTGTAGTGACCACAGAATAAAAAATGCATTTGCTACAGAGACATACACAGATGTGCACAGCTGATGTCTATTACTCTTTCTAGGCAGGTATGAGACAAAGAACGGGCATCGGCCAGGAGAAGAACATTGAGGATAAGCCACTGAACTTGCATATTCCAGTTGAGCCTCAAGTATCATTTCATCTCCAAGACCCTTCACTCTCTTAATACATGAGGACTAGGAAGAACACTAAGTGCTAGAAGCAAATGGCTGTATTCCACACCACTACACAGTAAAACAACCGAATGAGTATCAAAGAAACTCAACCCCGGTAACATACCTTCTAAAGAGAATGTTGTAATAGCGTAGGCAATCTGGCGACGTGGGCGTGAGTTCTTTGGAAAACTCAACTGTAATCTTCACGATGTTTTTGTCTTTGGTTGTGCTCAACCATTCCACTCTCTGAGATTAAAAAAAAACAAAAAAAAAAGTCCAGATATTCTTCCAAAAAACTAAACTTCATTGCACGGCAAATCACCATGTCACCTGGCTATCCAACACACCATCGTGATGGAGCAGTCTTTCCCACAAAAGTACGTGCGTGTGGAAAACATGATTCACAAGAGTGAAGAGTTGGAATTAAATATTTAAGTCGAAATATTTTACTTAAGCTCCTGAAAGCAATTTAATTGTTCAGTTAATATAAAAATTTAAAGAAGAAAATAAGTTCTCTAACTTGTTTTCTGCTAGGAGTGGGGGGCTGAAGTTTCAAAGGAAACAAATAGAATAAAAAAAAAAGTATCCAAACTTTGTCAGCATTTTTGAGCCACATTGTATTATTAAATTTCATTTAAGCATTAAAATCAGAGGCATTATTGAATATCAGTGATAACCGAACATGGCACATAGGTTTCACAACAAGTCATATGGGCAAGAGAGCCTTGGGATGTCTCAACAAACAACTGCACAAAAACAATAGGTGTTTTATTATAATAAAGTGAAAACAAGAGAAAGAACACAGGAAAATGTGAAACAACATTACTTAACCCGCTCTTTTAGTGGCCGAGATAATAATAAAGAGTTTCCATCAAATATATGGCGCTCTCCAAATTTCCTTCTATGTTGATCAAGTAAAATTGTACGGAGATTTCCATCTTCTATGTCTGGTTTGTAGTCAACGTTGTATTTATATGCAACCCACTGAGGACGAGATATCACTCGGAAGTGGTTGGCGAGTAGCTGTACCACTGTACCCTCTGAACCTGAAAAATGGAGCCACATGACAATAAAGAAACAGACTGATTGGGCCCAAAACAAACAGTTTGGACACTACAATATTAAAAGCCAAAGTTAGGGCTGGGCACGGTGGCTCACGCCTCTAATCCCAGCACTCTGGGAGGCCAAGGCGGGTGGATCACCTGACATCAGGAGTTCCAGACCTGCCTGGCCAACATGGTGACCCCATATCTACTAAAAATACAAAAAGTTAGCTGGGCACAGTGGCAGGTGCCTATAATCCCAGCTACTCGGAAGGCTGAGACAGGAGAATCACTTGAACCCAGGAGGCAGAGGTTGCAGTGAGCTGAGATCATACTATTGCCCTCCAGCCTGGACAACAAGAGCTAAACTCCGTCTCAAAAAAAAAAAAAAAAAAAAAAAGAAAAGAAAAGAAAAGCCAAAGTTAGGTCAGACAAGGAGATAAATGACATTTGTAATGCACCTGATGTCCAGAATGCCTATCAATTCAATGAGCCCTTATGCAAGCATACATTTAGGAAGTTTAAGATACTGAATAGATTGAAAATTAGAACATTTGTGGTTTCCAAAAGGAGAGAAAGCGCCACCCTATGTAATAATATTTAATTTTAAAAAAAGTCTCACTGCAGGCCAGGGCACAGTGGCTCACACCTATAATCCCAGCCCTTTGGGAGGCCCAGGTGGGAGGATGGTTTGGGCCAGGAGTTCCAGACCAGCTTGGGCAAGGTGGGAGGCACCTCTACTTACAGTGATGACAGAAGCTTTCCAGAATCTATTAAAGTTTTTATCGAAAGTTTAAAATGGGCCAGGTGTGGTAGCTCATTCCTGTAATCTCAGCAGTTTGGAAGGCCCAGGTGTAAGGATGGCTTGGGCCAGTTCTAGACCAGCAAGACCGTGTCTCTACAAAATTTACATACACACACACACACACACACACATATATAAAATATGTATATATTACACACACACACACACACACACACACACACACACACACACATTCGGGCATGGTGGTGCCCACCTGTAGTCCCAGCTACTTGAGCTGGGATCAGCTCAGGATCAGCTGAGCCCAGGAGTTTGAGGCTAAAGTGAGCATCACTGTACTCCAGCCTGGGCGACAGAGCAGGACCTTGTCTCTCAATGAAAAAAAAAAAAAAAAAGTTAAAAACGAACAGCTCCATAAACATTGAGTTCTAGACCAACATACCTGTTTTTGAGTCTTTAACATGCTTCATATCTTGCCTGGTGTTCACCACCAGGTCTTGAAAAACTCCACCAATCCTTCTCTCCTGCAAGGGCGCTGTATGCAACCCAGCCTCAGGTCCAGGTTCCTTCACCCCTGCATAAATGTAAACGCCAGAAGTTTAAACAATAAAAAGGGAAGAATAGAAAAGACAGCATTAACACCCAGCATAAGTTTGTTAGAGGTAGAAAAGATGCCACCCAAGGTTCCAAAACACATTTCCGTGATATGTTGCCGCAAAAGCGTAACCTTACCCAGAAACCTTTCCCAAGGAGTCCCCAGTTCACATCCGTGGTTGCCTTGGCACTTTATTCATTCCTGCTACATATGTGCCCCATTTCTTTGGGTATTTGTTCATGGTACAAGATTCTAGAAACTTTGGTTCTGTCTTTAAGCCTATCTCCTGGCGCTATGCTGCCCCCTAGTGGGCATCATAAAATGCCAAATAAGCCAATCATTTAAAAAATCTATAAAACTGGCTTTTAATACAAAACTGATCTATCCTTTCTATTAAGAGCAACTAGGAAAGGATCACACTCACTATTTCAACTTACATTCTAAGGTTCATATCGATGTAGCTATTCTACAAAGTTAACATTTAAATGACAGCACAATGCGGTCTTTCAGTGACGAGAGGCATCCTGAAGGAATACGCACACGTTATTGTAAATCCCGTACACCTAAATGGCCAAGACGTCTGTGCCTTGGGTTACAATAATGGTTTGCCTCAAAATTTTACTTCTGGAGTCTAGTTTTTAGTTTATGATGATCTTACAAAGTAAGTGTCTCCATTTCTGTGACAGACTAACTACATTTTACACATAAAATTTGAAACAATTTTATCAAACTCCCAACTAGTTCCTGACACATCCAGCAATCAAATTCATCATATTAAAATGTCAGCAAAAGAAAACAGGTATCCTAGCTTGGCACCTTGGCACTCGCTACAAACCACATACTTTTATCTTTTCAGACGGAGTCTAACTGTCACCCAGGCTGCAGTGCAGTGGCACTGTCTCAGCTCACTGGAACCTCTGCCTCCTGGGTTCAAGTGATTCTCCTGCCTCAGCCTCCCTAGTAGCTGGGACTACAGGCGCATACCACCATGCCCAGCTAATTTGTATATTTTTGGTAAAGATGGGATTTTGCCATGTTGGCCAATCTGGTCTTGAACTTCTGGCCTCAAGTGATCCACCCACCCGGGCCTCCCAAAGTGCTGATGTGAGCCACTGCACCCAGTCCATGTAATTTACACATACTATTTAATAACAACCCTTCAGATAGGATCTGATTATTAAAAATGTGTTTTAATTTATTCAAATGTATAAGCTCATTTTATAGGTTCTGGATTTTGTAACCATTTGTTAATATTTATCTATAATACAATTCTTTTTTAGTGTTTCAAGTTTTGACTCATCACAAGCTATTTTGCTATAGAAAGCAAAGAGGAGAATCCAGACTGAAGTTGGATCACATTAGCCGAAACCTTAGCAAATGACAATATCTGAGCCTGTGTGCATGAGTGCTGTATAAACGAGGATAACCTGTCAGCCTGCAATGTAGGTAACAGGTTCAACCTGTTAATGCCACAATTTAAAGAGGAAAGAAAATGGTGTTCTTAGAATTCCATTAAGTTAACTTAGAGTTATCATCTGCAGATGTGTCATCTAAATTTGAAAAGCAATTATGTTGAACTGGCCAATAAACAGTGACCTCCATCTCCCTTCCACAAGTTAAGACACAAGGTGAAGAAAACACCATCAGATAATTCACTGCACAAAGAGAGACAGTTGCAAGCTGCACACACTTCCCATCCCACCAAACCTCACGGGAGTCCTGAGGCTATCTAGAACCTTCTACCGCTGTGGTAGCCCTTCACACATGAAGCATCCCCTGCCCCTCATGTCCTTCTTGCTTCCTTTCACCTTGAGACTGTGCTCCTCCTCCTGCTCCTCCTCTTGCTGCTCTTGGCTGCAGAGGTCTAACCACTGGGACTTCCTCCTGCAGCGGCCGGGGTGTCGACTGCAACTGAGGGGGCTCCTGGGTCTGCATGTTTTTGGAAATAGAAATAATGAGCAGTGCCCTACTGTGTTCATTCTCCCTCCAAATGGCACTCGCAGGGCACAAGGCAAAGGAACTTCCTCTGAAAAGCTCACATTCCAGTGACATAAACTAAGTTGTAATAAGCAACATACATAGCACCTTGTGTGGTAATTGCTAAGGAAAAAAACAAAAAAAGGACAAAACAAACCGAGGAGAATCAGGAATTACTGGGAAGGTAGGGTGTGAAGGGGCAGGTTTCACTAGCTGATGGGGGCAAAAGCGGGCCTCAGTGAGAAAGTGACACAGAACCCAAGACTTGGAGGTACTGAGTGAATTAGCAAAGTTACCCAAGCCAGCAGTGGAAGAAAAAGAGCAGAGTTCTGCAGTTGGGAACGTTCAAGGAAGAATGAGGCAGCCAGTGTGGCTGGAAGAAGAGGGTGAGAGATGTCAGTGAGATGAAGGGAAGGAGGTCATTTTAAGGAAATTGCTTCTGACTGATAAAATGAGAGCTGTGACAGAGGCCAGGTGCAGTGGCTCACGCCTGTAATCCCAGCACTTTGGGAGGCCGAGGCAGCCAGATCACCTGAGATCGGGAGTTCAAGACCAACATGGAGAAACCCCCGTCTCTACTAAAAATACAAAACTTAGCTGGGCATGGTGGCACATGCCTGTAATCCCAGCTACTCAGGAGGCTAAGGCAGGAGAATCGCTTGAACCCAGGAGGCAGAGGTTGCAGTGAGCCAAGATCACGCCATTGCACTCCAGCCTGGGCAACAAGAGCGAAACTCTGTCTCAAAAAAAAAAAAAAAAAAAAAAAGCTGTGACAGGATACCAGGCAGAGGAACGACATGAACTAATTTGTCAGGTTCCATGTTGGGAACAGGCTGAGAGACAAGGAAATAGCAAGGGATGTGAGCTGTTTGGGCCAGAGGCCAGGATAGGGGTGGTGAGAAATTGTCTGATACTGGATAGTTTTTGAGAAAACAATCCCGTGGTTGTTTTTGAGAAGGGCTTGAGGTCATGGAGATAGGATGAAAGCACAGACTTTTGGCCTGAGCAAATGGAAGAATGGAAGTCCTTCTGATGAGGTGGGTATGGCATGCTGGGGAGGGCAGGTTGGGAGTGTGAGTTGTCCACGGACACCCGTGGGGGTGTTAGGTGGTGCAGGAGAGGTTCTGGCCAACGAGATAAATATGGGGACCTGTCCACACACCAGAAAGCATTTTGACACTGGATAACTTCACCAAGGGAGTGAGAATATGGAGAAAAAAGATGAGGCTCAAGGGCTGGGTCTTGGCAATATCAAGAGGCCATAGAGGAGAACTCCACAAAGGAGAGCAAGTGGGGGTGGTCAGTGATGAAGGAGGTAACCTAAACGCCAAGCGGAGGGAGTTGACAGGAGAAAAGAGGTCTCAACTGTGCCAACTAAAAGTGAAGAGGCAAGTCTGAGGAGAGCTGCCCTGTGAATCTGGCAGAGTGGAAGGGCCCAGGGAAGGTTTCTTGATGAATGGGAGTGAACTCAGTGAGTCTGTAGACAGACGGGAATGATTTAGGAGAACACACACCTGCTGACTTGGGAGACAGAAAGGCAAGCTGCAGGAGACATGCCCTAGACAGAGGACTGGCTAAGGGGCTAAGTAGAGATATTTGCTTTAGGTAGGAACAAAGATGGTGCCCTAGGATCTCCAGTGAGGGGCTGGACTATGGGTTCAGATGCTCATGAGTGAGGGGACAAGAGAGGGAGCCACTGACACTCTCATTGGATGCTTTGTCTGTCTCGGTGGCACAGAAGTCTATGTTGAAAACCGAGAATTAGGACCAGGAGGAGGAATTGAGGTTGGAGGGCTTAGGAGAAGGAGAGGAGCAACAGTCAAACAGCAGAATAAGTGGACCTGGAAGGCATCGTGCTACTTCCATGCAGTATATGGTCCCCCTGGAGGTTGTCAGATGGGGCCCCGCAGCGCCACTATGGATCCTGCTGTGTGAATGTAAAGTGGATATGCAGTAAGAGAAGACAAAACAGGGCAGGCATAACAAGTTTTCAACAAGGCTGGAAACTCTTATCTAACTCAGGCTATGCCAGTACCTTCAGGAAGTTGCTCATTTTGGGTCACTTCCAAAGAGGAGTCATTGGCTGAAGCCAAGAAATCTAGAAACCTTTGCATCCACTTTGGGCTGAAAGTCAGTCTGCTTGCACATGTGAAAATGTGAGAAGGAAGCAGTGGAGAGTACATCTGAGTAGATAAAGCCTCCCCATGCTGCCATCTATACAGCCTGACTTTTCTTATGAACTTTTATTAGTCCTCACTTAGCACTATACCTGAACTAGCTTCGCTCAACAACCAACTCTATGTTCTTTTCAGTACAGGCACATATCTCTTGCAGAAAGGAAACAACGTTACAGGGCTCACTGTAGCTGATCCAGGTGCTCTGGGTCCCCCAGGTGCCTCTTGTTGGTAGCTCTCCCTGCGGCGGGCTCTGCCTCGGGCGCGAGTCCTTGCCCTACCAGGCATTGTGGTCCTGAAGGTGATGACCCTGAAGAATACAGTTATATTAGACATCTCTGTGGAGTTGCCTGGTGTCTTACTCTCTTTAGGGTTGCTACAACAGAATATCTGAGGCTGGGTAATTTATAAAGGAAGAGGTGTGTTTGGCTCATCATTCTGATGGCTGGAAAGTCCAAGACTGGGCAGCCCATCTGGTGAGGGTCTCATGCTGCTTCAACTCCTGGTAGAAAAAGCAAAAGTGGGGGAGAGATGTGGACAAAGACCACATGGCAAGAAGGGAAACGAGAAACTGAGGAGGCCGGACTCTAACAACCAGCTCAGGCAGGTGCTAATCCAAACTCACTCACCTCCAAGGCAGGGAATTAACCTATTCATAAGGATTCCACCCCCAGGGCCCAAACACCTCCCAGTAGGCCCCACTTCCCAATGCTGCCACATTGGGGATCAAATTTCAGCCTCAGTTTTGGTGGGGACAAGCCATATCCAAACCATAGCACCTGGTAATGTTTTTTTTCCGTTACTATTACTTCCAATAAAGCATCTGGTTACTAACGACACACATTCTCCTATCACATCAAAAAGACTGACTGCCCCCCGAGTCAGCAGAGAAGCATCCTATAATAAAAGACAGGAGACCTGGTAAAACTTTTTTTTCTTTTTTTTTTTTTTGAGAGGGAGTCTTGCTCTGTCACCCAGGCTGGAGTGCAGTGGCGCAATCTCAGCTCACTGCAACCTCTGCCTCCCGGGCTCAAGCAATTCTCCTGCCTCAGCCTCCTGAGGCACACACCACCGCACCCAGCTAGTTTTGTTTGTTTGTTTTTTATTTTGAGAGAGTCTCACTCTGTTGCCCAGGTTGGAGTGCAGCGGGGAAATCTCGGCTCACTGCAACCTCCGCCTCCCGGGCTCCAGCGATTCTCCTGCCTCAGCCTCCTGAGTAGCTGGGATTACAGGCTCGTGCCACCACGCCTGGCTAATTTTTGTATTTTTAGTAGAGACGGGTTTCACCATGTTGGCCAGGCTGGTCGCGAACTTCTGACCTCAGGTGATCCACCCGCCTCAGCCTCCCAAAGTGCTGCGATTACGGGCGTGAACCACCGTGCTCGGCCAAACTTCTCTAGAAATTTAAGGAAACTATGGTTATCTTCCACACAGAGACTCACAAGACACTAGGGGTTACTACGCTTGTCTGTATGAGTCAGTTGAGTACTGGGTTCTTCTCACCTCCCAGGCATCCCCACAAGCACAGCAAGGAGCCCAGGTGCCCCCAGACCCTCCCACCCCACACTTAAACCTCAGCTCCCGCATCCTGAGTGGGACCTCCGCCCACCATCTCCTGCCTCGGCCCTTTGGACTCCGCTCCCACAGCTCACCTGCCCTCCGTCCACAAGAATTAGGCTGATCTGTGCGCTATGCACCGGCGCTCTGTGGCCTCGGGTTCTTGGTCCCAACACCGCAGCGTCCCGGCGCTGATCTCCGCGGGGTCAGAGGCGCAAAGCCCCTTTTCCAAGAGGGAGATCCTCTTGCCTTTCTGGGCACACAGCCCCACGCCCCGCACCGGTCACCAAAATGGCCCGGGGAAATACACGGACCAGCCCAGCCTCCCGCAAGACGTGCCGCACACTCAGGAAAGCAGGCGTCGCCCCCGCCCCAATTCAATTTCAACCCTGGGGTCCCGGCCTCTTCTGGCGCCGCCTCCGTCCGGCCGAAAGAGGCCACGATGAGCTGCACGTGGCGGACTCAAGAGATGCCGCGAAGTCTCCCAGGGATGGGAGTGGGGCTGGCTCGCCCTGCCTTCTTGCCTCACCATTAACCATTCCTGGATTTACCTGCCAGGTGCTCTTACAAAACGATGTGCACTTGGAGCCCCAGGATGCAGCCATTACCACTTAGTAGCTTTAACCAACTCCCTGCTGGGGCCGGTGTAACTAAATGCAGCTGCTATGACCGTCCTTGGATTCAAACCTAGAAGCACCCTTACTCATCTGGTAAGCACTGATCTCTAGAGGTGGATCCGCTGTCATGGGTAAACTTTCCAGTAGTTCTTAAATAAAAATAAAATAAAAAACCTTGTCTCTTGTATCTGCTTTTTCATCTATTTATTCCAGGTTTCTGTCATTCTTTTTGACCTTGCCGTGTGTGTGTGTGTGTGTGTGTGTGTGTGTGTGTGTGTGTGTGTTGAGACAGGATCTCTCTCTTTTGCCCAGGCTGGAGTGCAACAATGCAATCTCCACTCACTGCAACCTCAACCTCCCGGGCTCAAGAAATCCTCCCACTTCCGGGCGTCCTAATTGAGAAGATTCACAACAAAACCCAGCGGGAAAAGTTTGCCTGCCATTGGCATGGCTGATGAAGACTAGAAGTTTTAGCCAGTCTCAAGGGGCAGGGTTCTGTGAAAAGGAACAGTGTGGTTTGGGAGAAATGGATAAACTGAGCCTCGCTTGCCCTCGTGCCTGGGGGAGAGAGGCAACAAGTCTTAACAAACCAACATCTTTGAGAAAAGATAAACCTGGAGATAATAACATAAGGGAGAGCTGAGCCAGTTGTCCTGTGGACAACTTATTTAAAAATATTTCAGATATCAAAATTCTAGCTGTATGATTTGTTTTGAATTTTGTTTTTATTTTCAAGAGGGCAAATGGATGGGAATTTGTCAGCGTTCTACCAGGCAAATTCACTGTTTCACTGAAATGTTTGGATTCTCTTAGCTACTGTATGAAAAGTCCGATTATATTGGTGTGTTCTTACAGTTGGGGTTTTGCAATAACTTCTGTATTTTAATATAAATAAATTCCTAAACTCCCTCCCCTCTCCCCCATTTCAGGAATTTAAAATTAAGTAGAACAAAAAAACCAGCGCATCTGCTACAGTCGTCACTCTATTGTCATGGGGATCAATCTTCACTAAACTTGAAGCAGTCGTAGCTTTGGCAGTGTTTTGGTTCAGACACCTGTTCACAGAAAAGCATGATGGGAAAATATTTCCTGACTTGAGTCTTCCTTTTTAAATGTGAATTTGTATTTCTTTTTAATTATTTTAAAATATTTAAACCTTTTTCTTGATCTTACAGATCGTGTAGATTGGGGTTGGGGAAGGATGAAGGGCGAGTGAGTCTATGGATAATGAAATAATCAGTGACTGAAACCATTTTCCCATCATCCTTTGTTCTGAGCATTCGCTGTACTTTAAGATACCCATCTTTTTCTTTTTAACCCTAATCTTTCACTTGAAAGATTTTATTGTATAAAAAGTTCCACAGGTCAATAAATTTAGAGGAAAATGAGTATTTGGTCCAAAAAAAAAAAGGAAAAATAATCAAGATTTTAGGGCTTTTATTTTTTCTTTTGTAGTTGTGTAAAAAATGGGGAAAAAAAGCAGAATTTTAATGTGAAGACATTTTTTGCTATAATTATTAGTTTTAGAGGCATTGTTAGTTTAGTGTGTGTGCAGAGTCCATTTCCCACATCTTTCCTCAAGTATCCTCTATTTTTATCATGAATTCCCTTTTAGTCAACTGTAGGTTATTTAAAATAAATTCCTTCAACTTAATGGAAAAAAAAAAAAGAAACCCTCCCACCTCAGCCTCCTGGGTTCAAGAAATCCTCCCACTTCGGCCTCCAGAGTAGCTGGAACTGCAGGTGCTGCCACTACTCCTGGCTAATTTTTTAGTATTTTTTGTGGAGACGGGGTTTCACCATGTTGCCTGGGCTGGTCTTGAGCTCCTGAGCTCAAGCGATCATCCCATCTCAGCCTCCCGAATTTCTGGGATTACAGGTGTGAGCCACCATGCCTAGCCTAGGTTTTTTGTTTTTTTGTTTTGTTTTGTTTTGTTTTTGTTTTTGTTTTGAGACAGAGTCTGGCTCTGTTGCCCAGGCTGGAGTACAGTGGCGTGATCTCAGCTCACTACAAGCTCTGTCTGCTGGGTTCACGCCATTCTCCTGCCTCAGCCTCCCGAGTAGCTGGAAGTACAGGCGCCCGCCACCAGGCCTGGCTAATTTTTTTGTATTTTTTTTAGTAGAGACGGGGTTTCGCCATGTTAGCCAGGATGGTCTTGATCTCCTGACCTTGTGATCCGCCTGCCTCAGCCTTCCAAAGTGCTGGGATTACAGGCGTGAGCCACCGCGCCTGGCCTAGCCTAGATATTTTTTAAAAATCACCAATTCTTTAATATTTTATCACAGTTACATCCAGATCCTTGATGTACACATTGAATGCCTGTCAATTATGAGAGAAATAGTTAGTTATCTGGCACGGTTTCTTAACTAATCTTTGTCTTACTGCTTTGAAATTGCACCATTATCCTATAGAAATCTGCATGCGTTCTCAGCTTGAATTCCAGACTCAGTTGTGCACTGTTGGCCAGGCACAGAGTTTCATGCCTGTAATCCCAGCACTTTGGGAGGCTGAGGCAGGAGGATTGCTTGAGCCCAGTAGTTCAAGACTAGCCGGGGCAACATCAAGACACCGTCTCTAAAAAAAAAAAAAATTAAAAAATTAACTAGGATGGTGGTGCACACCTGTAGTCCCTGGTGCTTGGGAGGTTGAGGCAGGAGGACAGGAGGATCGCTTGAGCCTGGGAGTTCAAGGCTGCAGTGGACTATGATCATACCACTGCACTCCAGCCCGGGTGACAGAGTGAGACTCTGTCTCAAAAAATTCTGCACTGTCTATGGTGCAGCAGTAACTATTTGTTTACTACATCTTGAAAATATCCTAAAGATTTGAAAAGCCTGAACCTGCTAAGCACTTGAAAATTCCTGGCCAGCTGGGCGGGGTGACTCAGGCCTGCAATCCCAGCACTTTGGGAGGCTGAGGTGGGCGGATAACCTGAGGTCAGGAGTTCGAGACCAGCCTGGACAACATGGTGAAACCCCGTCTCTACTAAAAAAAATAAATAAATAAATAAATAAATTAGCCAGGTGTGGTGATGTGTGCCTGTAATCCCAGCTACTTGGGAGACTGAGGCAGGAGAATTGCTTGAACCTGGCAGGTGGAGGTTGCAGTGAGCTGAGATCGAGCCATTGCACTCCAGCCTGGGCAACAAAGGCGAAACTCTGTCTCAAAAAAAAAAAAGGGCAAAGAGAAAAAGGAATAAAAAGACAAAGCAGAATACGTCCCAAGAACTGGGATAACTATAAAAGGTGTAACATGCATAATGGGAATATCATAAGGAAAGAAAGAGAGAAAGGAACAGGAGAAGTATTTGAAATAATAATGACCGAAAATTTTCCAAAATTAAAAACAGAATTAAATCACAGATCCAGGAAGTTCATAGAACACTAAGCAAGATAAATACCAAAAATTATACTCTAGGCATAATATTCAAACTGAAAGGACAGTGACTTGCCCAAGGTCACACAGTCAGCAAGTGACAGAAGTGGGATTAGAAGGCAAGCCTACCTATCCCCAGAGCCAACCTCCTTTGCCCCTCACCTGGGTTCATCCCCAAGCTCACAGGCCAAAAGCCTGCAAACTGAGTCAGGAAAGAAAAATTCCTGTCCATCATTTCTCACTCTGGGGAAGGAAGGTAAAAAGAGTGCTCACATTCACTGTCAGGTCTGATAGACTCTCCTGCAACTACTTTTCTGAGGACAAATTGCTGTTTCCAATGGCTGATGGCTTCATCAGTGCAAAACTCTTATTGGGGACTGCACAGAGCTGACATTTGCCACTGTTTTGTGACCATCACAAAAAGAATCCTATATTTTGTTTTCCCTTTTTCTTTTTTTGTTGTTGTTTTTTGTTGTTGTTGTTTGTTTTTTGTGTTTTTTTTTTCTTGAGATGGAGTCTTGCTCTGTTGCCCAGGCTGGAGTGAGTGCAGTGACACAATCTCGGCTCACTGCAACCTCCACCTCCCAAGTTCAAGTGATTCTCCTGCCTCAGCCTCCCAAGTAGCTGGGATTACAGAGGACACCACCATGCCCGGCTAATTTTTGTATTTTTAGTAGGGACAGGGTTTCACCATCTTGGCCAGGATGGTCTTGAACTCCTGACCTCGTGATCCACCCGCCTCAGCATCCCAAAATGCTGGGATTACAGGCGTGAGCCCCCACGCCTGGCCTGTTTTCCCTTTTTCATTCTGCAGACATCAAAGGAAAACAAGAAGCAGGAAGGTCTGTGGCTGACAGCAATGTCTCCCTCAGCCCTTACCTCTATGGGTGACAGGGCCAAAGCCTCACTGTCCTGCCAGCCACTGTGAACAGACAGCATTCTCTGCCCCAAGAACGCAACTCTGCAGGTGGAGGAGGCCCAAGGAGAGAGATTTCATTTTCTGTTCCTCTTCTAGGGGCTGACAGCTTGGACAATAGTTTCTCAGAAACAAACTTTATTCTCAAGGAGATGAGCATGTCTGAGCCTGGAATGTTTATGTGAACAAATATGGTTTTTCTCCCTGCTCCAGCCTCAGCCTTGGCCATGAGACAAGGTTTCCTCTTCACCATCTGTGGAAGGCTCATTTTTGTTCCATGGGCTCAGCTTGTCTGTGCCTGGGACAAAGAGCCGCAAGGTGGTGCTATTGTCTTAGGTTAATAAAAACGAGGCCAACTATACAGTCCTCCTTGGGTATCCACAGGGATTGGTTCCACAGTCTACCGCTGATACCAAAATCTGTGGATGCTCAAGTCCCTGATACAAAATGGTGTTGTATTTGTATACATCCTATGCACATCCTCCTGTATACCTTTAAATCATCACTAGATTATTTATGATACCTAATACCATGTAAATACTTTGTAAGTAGTTGTTATGTTGTGTTGTTTAAAGCAGGAATGTCCAATCTTTTGACTTCCCCGGGCCACATTGGAAGAATTGTTTTGGGCTACACATAAAATACACTAACACGGCCAGGCGCCATAGTTCATGCCTATAATCCCAGCAGCTTGGGAGGCCGAGGCGGGTGGATCACAAGGTCAGGAGATCGAGACCATACTAGCTAACATGGTGAAACCCCCTCTCTACTAAAAATATAAAAAATTAGCCAGGTGTGGTGGCGGGCACCTGTAGTCCCAGCTACTTGGGAGGCTGAGGCAGGAGAATGGCGTGGACCTGGGAGGCAGAGCTTGCAGTGAGCCGAGATCGTGCCATTGCACTCCAGCCTGGGAGACGGAGCGAGACTCCGTCTGAAAAACAAAAACAAACAAACAAACAAAAAACAAAATTAGCTGGGCATGTTAGCACACACCTGTAATCCCAGCTACTTGGGAGGCTGAGGCAGAAGAATCGCTTGAATCCTGGAGAGAGAGGTTGCAGTGAGTCGAGATTGTGCCACCGCACTCTGGCCTGGGCAACAACGGCAAAACTCTGTCTCAAAAATAATAATAATAATAATAATAAATACACCAATACTAATGATAGCTGATGAGCTAAAAGAAAAAAAAATCCCCAAAATATCTCATAATGTTTTAAGAAAGTTTACGAAATTCAAAGCCACATTCTAAGCTGTCCTGGGCCACATGAGACCTGTGGGGCTGTGGGTTGGACAAGCTTGGTTTAAAGGATAATGACAAAAAAAAGTGTTTGTATATGTTCAGTTGGTTGTTTGAATCCACAGATGCAGAACCCATGGATACAGAGAACCAACTGTATACTAACTGCTGCAGCTTGTTGAGCCACCCTGCTAAGCGCTTTATGTAGATCAAAGCATTTCATCGTAACAGCTTTGTGAAGGGGGCAGTGAAGCACAGAGGGATGAACCCGCTTACCCAAGGTCACACAGCTAGCAAGTATTGAAGGCAAGACTCAAACCCGTCAGTTTTCCATAGTAAAAGTGTCAGTATGACGACATCAACTGTCCCTGCCTGGACAGAGCCATAGGTTTTTCTGAAGTATGTCCTTCTTACTCTTTAGGCGTTAATATGACTGAGCAGCTCAGCTTCAAAATACATTTTTAACTATTTTTATTTTAATTTTTGTAGCCTTAGCCTTGAAATGTATTTGAAACCCTTTTTTTCACTCTCTTCCCCCCAGACACTCCTTGTACCATGGTAGCTTATCTAATTATGTGCCTTTTTAGAAATTCCAGGGGAGGCTAATTTGAAAATAAACCAAGCATGGCCAGGCACAGTGGCTCATGCCTGTAATCTCAGCACTTTGGGAAGCTGAGGCGGGTGGATCACCTGAGGTCAGGAGTTCGAGACCAGCCTGGCCGACATGGTGAAACCCCGTCTCTACTAAAAAAAAAAAAAAAAAAACAAAAATTAGCCGGGCATGGTGGCAGGCACCTGTAATACCAGCTACTAGGGAGGCTGAGGCAGGAGAATTGCTTGAACCCAAGGGGTGGAGGTTGCAGTGAGCCAAGATCGCACCACTGCATTCCAGCTTGGGTGATGGAGAGAGACTCCATCTCAAAAAAATAATAATAATAAATAAATAAAAAGAAAGAAAGAAAAATAAACCAAGCATGAAGACCCAGCTACAGAATTCTCCCCTACCTAGGGGGATGGTCTCGAGGAGGATAAGCTACACCTCAGCCAGACATGATGGCACCCACCTGTGCTCCAGGGGGACAATAACTCAAAATAGCCACCGGGAGAAGACACATAGACCCTGTACCCTTCACCACCCCTGCGTGCTCCCCATGCCAAGTTTCCCTTTTTAAACCCTTTCACTCAGCCCTAAAACTTAAAATGGTCTCTTGGAGGCATGAGCCTGGTCATTTCCTAGCTGCTAACATTTAAAGAAAGTTACTTTCCGGCCGGGCGCGGTGGCTGATGCCTGTAATCCCAACACTTTGGGAGGCTGAGGCGAGCGAATCATGAGGTCAGGAGATCGAGACCATCCTGGCTACCACGATGAAACCCCGTCTCTACTAAAAACACAAAAATAGAAAAAGAAAAAAAGTTAGCCAGGCATGGTGGCGGGCGCCTGTAGTCCCAGCTACTTGGGAGGCTGAGGCAGGAGAATGGCGTGAACCTGGGAGGAGGAGCTTTTGTGAGCCAAGATCACACCACTGCACTCCAGCCTGGGCGACAGTGCAAGACTCCATCTCAAAAAAAAAAAAAAAAAAGAAAGTTACTTTCCTTTCAGCACACTTCACTTCTTGCATTTTGGATCCTGACTGGTGAGCAGCCAGACTTGTGTTCAGTTACATTAAGATGGCCTTTCTTTTAGAAAATAATGGAGACAGTGGATGTGTGAGGTTTTCTTGTCCTTCATAACCAACATTTCAAAAGTTGCTATTCTATAATTTTTTATTTCCAATTTTCAGGCCCAAAAGATTCAGGATTGAAGACTATTTCTCTCTCTTGCCCTCTTTTTTTTTTGGAGACAGAGTCTTGCCCTGTCGCCCAGGCTGGAGTGCAATGGCATGATTTTGGCTCACTGCAACCTCCACCTCCCCGGTTCAAGCAATTCTCCTTCCTCATGCCCGGCTAATTTTTGTATCGTTAGTAGAGACGGGGTTTCACCATGTTGGCCAGGCTGGTCTCTTACTCCTGACCTCGTGATCCACCTGCATTGGCCTCCCAAAGTGCTGGGATTACAGGCGTTGAGTCACTGTGCCCGGCCTATTTCTCTTAATGAACAAGCTATAGTGCTCAGTTGGCCAACAGAACTGTGTTGGTAGCCTACTCTTACTGGAATACATTCGATAACACAGTGTATATCATAAATGCACCAAACAGTAAGAATTATTATCATATCAAAAGCAGCAATTACAAAAGAAGCAGTGTTAAATTTTAAACAGAATGAAAGATTAAACCCTTAGATTTGATAATCATATTAATAAAGAGAAGTAAATCTTATCAATATAAGTATTAAGTACTAAGTAGTTGTATATTTCACAATGTAAGTAAATCTTATATTGAAGGAATAAAGTCTGCATAATAGGAGCTCATTAAATAGCAACTTCTATGAGCAACAGGACAATATTATGTCCCTGGCATTTGGACTTAGACAAAAACCTTTGTGGAATCATAGCCTGTCCAGGTATGTGCTGTGTGACCCTGAGCAGGTGATATCATCTCTCTGAGACCCTGTTTCCTAGTATGTTGGGTATTGAAAACTTATGTCACAGGGGCCTGTGGGGGTTACAGGAGCCAATCTGTGCAAAGAGCTCAGCAGGTGCTGAGTGCTCAGCAAGTTACAGCTACTGGAGTTAAAATCACTACCACAGTGGAGAAGAGCCCTGGCAAAGGCTGCAGTCTCCATTCTACCCACTGGGAAATCCGAACGGCTGACCAGCTCCCCTGTCTTTCCCAAACTAGGATCCCAGGAATTAGAAATGGTGGTGCTTAGGTGGGTGCACAGCAGCATCTAGTGGACTAGAAGGAGAACTGAAGAAGTGTCACAATGACATCGGGAAGAGAAAGTTTTAAGGCTGGGGAAAAGGTTGGCAGAGAAGTCAGGAAGGAGGCCTGCATGTGCCGGGTGTCCCCTGTGGGGAGATCAGATGAGGTACCTTAACAGTTATCTGGACCTCAAGCCCCCATGTGCTAGCTGAGGGCGTCCTTCTCCCTCCCCAGGCCTCCCTGGGTGCTGGGTCTCTGGGTCCTATGGGCTCAGGGGCCCATCTTTTTCAAGTTCTGCTCCACGTGTCTGTGTCCAGCTGAGGGCACTGACCCCACTGCCCCAGTCCCCAGGGCTTAGATGCCAGGACAGTAGAAAGCTGTGTGCCAGGGCATAACCAAGGTGTCCTCCACTGCTCTGGGCCACACATTGGCAGCTGGGCCCTGTGTCCCTCTGACACCGGATCCTAGGGTTTCTGGCTCTGCCATCTCTGCTGTGATGCTCCATTCCAACCATGTGGCTCAGCAGGGAGGGCATTACACACTGTCCCTTCCCCCTTTTCCATACTCCTGCCTTCCTGCATGCCCTGCACAGGAACCCTCTTCCCTTCTCCTTTTGCCAAAAGAATTCAGAAGATACCAACTTTCTCCTCTTTTCCTGTCTGCAGTGGAGGTCCCGGCAGGACCCCCTCCTGAGCTGTGAGGGTTAAATGGGAGAAGGTGTATTGAGCTTGAAGCACTGGCAGGTCCCACAACGAATGCTCAAAAAATGGAAGCCTCTGCCACCATCTGCATCATCCCCATCAACCACAGGAGCAAAGAGCCCGCCTTTTCTGAGAAGAGCATTTACATATTGATAGAAATTCCGCGGTTTTATTTATCATCACGTCAGTTTTAAGGATGTAAGTAGGTACACATATACATATGTATCTAAAATATATTAAGTTTTTAAAAGTAGGTTATTAAAGGATATGTACAAGACACTCTAGATTTTTTTTTTTTTTTTTTTTTTTTGAGATGGGAGTCTCACTCACTCTGTTGCCCAGGCTGGAGTACAGTGGTGCGATCTTGGCTCACTGCAACCTCCGCCTCCCAGGTTCAAGCAATCCTCCTGCCTCAGCCTCCCAAGTAGCTGGGACTACAGGCACCCGCCACTGCGCCCAGTTAATTTTGGTATTTTTCGTAGAGACGGGGTTTCACCATCTTGGCCAGGCTGGTCTTGAACTCCTGACCTCATGGTCCAGCCGCCTCAGCCTCCCAAAGTGCTGGGATTACAGGCATGAGCCACTGTGGCTGACCAAGATGCTCTAGATTTTTAAAATAAATATACATACTCCACATGCTCAAATATAAGCTGAATCTGTAACCCAGCAGCTTAGCAGCCTAACCTCAAACCGCATTTTAAAACTTTTTTTCCTTTCCCCTTTCCTCTCTTCTGCTAATCTGAAGATGTAACTTAGACAAAGTATAGACGTGTTTCCTCTCCTCTTGAAATCCAGCCTTGGAATGTGCTGTGAACCTCCACCCCCTTTCTTTTCCTGTTCTATGCCCCCATGCCTTATGCACATTTATTTACCTAGTTGTTTGGTAAGCACACACCATACTCACTTATCTGGTCACATATTTCCTTAGAAGCTTCAGTAGTCAGATCCTGATACGAACCATGCACCTCCTCCAGCCATGATGACGCCGGCCACTTCCACAGATGGAAAAATAATTCAGGACAAGCCACTGGAGGGGGTCACACCACCTGACACCTCCCAGTCCCCCTGCCTCTTTTGCCTTCCAAATCCTCCCTTTAAAAACCGCTTTGGCCGGGCGCGGTGGCTCACGCCTGTAATCCCAGCACTTTGGCAGGCTGAGGCGGGTAGATCATGAGGTCAGGAGATGGAGACCATCCTGGCTAACACAGTGAAACCCTATCTCTACTAAAAATACAAAAAATTAGCCGGGCGTGGTGGCGGGCACCTGTAGTCCCAGCTACTCGGGAGGCTGAGGCAGCAAAATGGCGTGAACCCGGGAGGCGGAGCTTGCAGTGAGCCGAGATCACGCCACTGCACTCCAGCCCGGGTGAAAGAGTGAGACTCTGTCTCAAAAAATAAACAAATAAATAAATATCTTAAAAAATAAAATAAAATAAATAAAAACCCCTGCGTTCATCCGAGCGCAGTGGCTCACGTCTGTAATCGCAGCACTTTGGGAGGTCAAGGCCGGAGGATCACGAGGTCAGGAGATGGAGACCATCCTGACTAACGCGGGGAAACCCCGTCTCTACTAAAAATACAAAAAATCAGCTGGGCATGGTGGCATGTGCCTGTAGTCCCAGCAACTCGGGAGGCTGAGGCAGGAGAATCGCTTGAACTCAGAAGGCGGAGGTTGCAGTGAGCTGAGATTGCGCCACTGCACTCCAGCCAGATTGGGCGACAGAGCAAGACACCGTCGCAAAAAACAAACAAAAAAAACCCCTGCGTTCTTTCCTCACGTGGAAGAGTGGAATTGCTCTCTGCTCTTGCCCTTGCTAGCATAGATTATAAAATTCTTTCTTTTTAAATCACATGTCATTATCATTTTGACTTCTTTCTACAAGCAGTGAGCAGCTGGGCCCTTTTGCTGGTTACAACATGAGTGACTGGGGCAAATACATCAATCAAGGTTTATCAAGCCAGATTTAGGTTGTTTCTGGGAAAAACACGAGCCAAACATGCACCTGTGGCTATTTTTCTGAAAAGGTTTTTCAGGAGATTTCCTATTTTTTTTAAGAAACTTTATTTTATTTTATTTTATTTATATCTCTATGTATTTATTGAGATGGAGTCTCGTTCTGTCGTCCAGGCTAGAGTGCAGTGATGTGATCTCTGCTCACTGCAGCCTTCGCCTCCCGGGTTCAGGCGATTCTCCTGACTCAGCCTCCTGAGTAGCTGGGATTACAGGTGCATGCCACCACACCAGGCTAATTTTTGTATTTTCAGTAGAGACGGGGTTTCATGATATTGGCCAGGCTGATCTCAAACTTCTGACCTCAAGTGATCCACCCACCTTGGGATTACAGGCGTGAGCCACCATGCCCAGTCGGGGATCAGAGTTTTTAAAAATGATTTGGTGGGTATGGGCTCAGGAAGTAGGGAGTGCTTATTGGTCGGGTTGGAGATGGAATCATGGGGGTGGAAGTGAGTTCTTGCTGATTTCTCTTCCTGGATGAGATCGCAGGACTGGTTGAGCCAGATTATCAGTCTGGGTGGTGTCATCTGCTGCATCGGAATTCAGGGTATGCAAAATATCTCAAGCACTGATCTTAAGTTTTGCAACGGAGATTTTATTCCCAGAAGCAACTTGGGGAGGTTCAGACTCTTGCGGCCAGAAGCTGCATGGCCCCTAAGCCGTAATCTCTCATCTTGTAGCTAATTTGTTAGTCCTACAAAGGCAGGACAGTTCCCCACGCAAGAAGCGTCTTTTTTTCAGGAAAGGACTATTATCAGTTTTGTTTCAGAATTTAAACTATAAACAATTCTTCCCCAAGACTAGTTTGGCCTATGCCCAGGAATGAACAAAGACAGCTTAGGCGTTAGAAGCAAGGTGTGGTCGGTTAGGTCTGATCTGTTTCACTGTCATAATTTTCTCAGTTATGAGTTTTGCAAAGGCCCTTTCAATGGGGTGACTATAGTAAGTTAATTTTCCTCCTCTTTCTTCTGGTTTACCCAAGGGCATGTGGAGTCATAGAACTGTCCAGCAGGCACTGAAAGTAAAAAGTCTGTGATAAACCACCTAAATTTCTAGCTAGGCTAGTGGGAAAGGGGTCTCCTGCACATCAAGGAGTAAGGGGATCATCCTTGGTTTGTTTTGTTTTTATCTCCCCAGTTGCAAAGCTGTCCTGCAGCCTCAGCAATGGCAGAGGGACCTAAAGCCCTGAGAAATCACTTGGCTCACTGGGCAGAGGAAAAGGAAAGAGACTTCTGCATCTGAAAAGTATAGGGGAAATCTCTTTTTGTTTCTTCCTGTACTTCACTTGAAAGGCTGACCTAGACGCGTGTAACTGCACAGCAGCACGGGTGCTGCAACACTGATAGGAGCATGAAAACGGAACCCTGCAGAATCCTGCAGAGGAGAAAGCTAAAGGGGATCACTTAAATGGATGTATGAATTAACATAAGTCCTAGGATCACCCTGAACTATGCATGCACAGAAGCAGAGCAAGGGTTTTGAGAAACGAACTATAATATAAACCACCACTCAACTCCCAGATTTACCCAAGTGGATACACCAGCATAGCAAAGGCTTGAAAACTGCACTGAGACTGGAACAACTGTCAAAGAAAACAGGACAGGGCTGGGCACGGTGGCTCACACCTGTAATCCCAGCACTTTGGGAGGCCAAGGTGGGCAGATCACGAGGTCAGGAGTTCAAGACCAGCCTGGCCAACATAGTGAAACCCCGTCTCTACTAAAAATACAAAAAATTAGCCAGGCGTGGTGGCGGGCGCCTGTAATCCCAGCTACTTGGGAGGCTGAGGCAAGTGAATCGCTTGAACCCAGGAGGTGGAGGTTGCAGTGAGCTGAGATTGAGCCATTGCACTCCAGCCCAGGTGACAGTGTGAGACTCCGTCTCAAAAAAAAAAAAAAAAAAAAAAGAAAAGAAAACAAGACAGAATATGTGGTTTAACCTAAACTATGTTGAATGCTCAATACGACAACAATAACAACAACAAAATGAACATTTCTCTGGCAGATTTTAGTAAGAACCAGAATCTCACAATATAATAAGCAAACTGTCCAGGATACTCTCCAAAATTATGCGGTAGAACATAAGACAAATCTGACCAACTCTCAAGGGAAAAGATAATCAAAAATCCGGCCTTGAAAGACCCACATGAAGGGACAATTTATGCTTTAATCAGAAGTTTGGTTAAAATTTAATTCTAGTTAAAGTTATAATTAGATTTAAAATTTAGAGGGAAAACATCTATTATAACCATTCTCAAAAAAATAAAATAAAGGTAGTACTCTTTTTTTTTTTAAGACAGAGTCTTGCTCTGTCACCCAGGCTGGAGTGCAGTGGTGTGATCTCAGCTCACTGCAAGCTCCACCTCCCGGGTTCAAGCAATTCTCCTGTCTCAGCCTCCTGAGTAGCTGGAGCTACAGGCGCCCGCCACCACGCCCAGCTAATTTTTTGTGTTTTTAGTAGAGACGGGTTTTCACCGTGTTAGCCAGGATGGTCTCGATCTCCTTACATTATGATCCGCCCGCCTCGGCCTCCCAAAGTGCTGGGATTACAGGGGTGAGCCACCGCGCCCGGCCTAAGTACTCTTAAAATTAATGGAAAGCTACAAGTCTTCATCAGAAGAGAAGAAATTATAAAAAAGAAGCAAATGGAAATCTTAAATGCATATGCAACATCTAAAATGAAAAATGTACTGATTCAACTCAATTATAGACTGGAGAAAAAAATCAGTGAAATTGAAGATATGTAAATAGAAATGATACAATATGACGAACAAAGAAATAAAGATTGAGGAGTAATTCTCTGAACCTCAGAGATGTGTGGGACACTATCAAAATTTCTTTTTTTTTTTTTTTGAGACGGAGTCTCGCTCTGTCACCCAATCTGGAATGCAGTGGCGCCATCTTGGCTCACTGGAAACTCCGCCTCCCAGGTTCACCCCATTCTCCTGCCTCAGCCTACCGAGTAGCTGGGACTGCAGGCGCCCGCCACCACGCCCGGCTAATTTTTTTTGTATTTTTAGTAGAGACGGGGTTTCACCATGTTAGCCAGAATGGTCTCGATCTCCTGACATCATGATCCGCCCGCCTCGGCCTCCCAAAGTGCTGGGATTACAGGCGTGACCCACCGCGCCTGGCCTACTATCAAAATTTCTAACATTCTGCCCATTGGAGTGCCTGAAAGAAGAACTTGATGCAGAATAAATTGAGGGGAAATTGACTGAAAACCTCCCAAACTTGTGAAACATAGATCCAAGAAGCTCAGAAAACCCTCACCCTGCTAGATTATAACAACCTAAACTAAAGAAAAAAGTCTAGAAAACAGAGGGGGGAAATGACACGTTATACACGAGGAAATTACAATATGAATGCTTGTGATTTCTCAGAAAGATGCCAGAAGAAAGCAGAACCACATTTTTAAATGTTGAAAAAGAGCATTGGCCGGGTACGGTGGCTCATGCCTGTAATCTCAGCACTTTGCGAGGCTGAGGCAGGTGGATCATGAGGTCAGGAGTTTGAGACCAGCCTGACCAACATGGTGAAACCCTGTCTCTACTAAAAATACAAAAATTAGCTGGGCATGGTGATGGGTGCCTGTAATCCCAGCTACTCAGGAAACTGAGGCAGGAGAATCACTTGAACCCGGGAGGCAGAAGTTGCAGTGAGCTGAGATCGCGCCACTGCACTCCAGCCTGGGCAACAGAGCAAGACTCTGTCTCAAAAAAAAAAAAAAGAAAGAAAGAAAAAAGAAAAAGAGAACTATCAACCCAAGATACCATATGCAGCAAAAATATCCTTAAAGATTGAAAGAGGAAAAGGAAAAAGAAAAAGAATGAATGACATGGAGATGGGAATAAAACTAAGAGACTTCATCACTGGACAACTTACTCTAACATTATGTGAAAGAAGTACAAACGGACTGAAATGAAATTAGATAGGCAGGAAGCTTGGAACTACAGGAATAAAGTAAGAGCAAGAGAAATGGTACATATATGTGTAAATGTGATACCCTATTTTTCTCCTCTTAATTTTTTTTTTTTTTTTTTTTGAGACAGAGTCTCACTCTTGTCACCCAGACTGGAGTGCAGTAGTGTGATCTGGGCTCACTGCAACCTCTGCCTCCTGGGTTCAAGCAATTCTCCTGCCTCAGCCTCCTGAGTAGCTGGGATTACAGGTGCCTGCCACCACACCTAGCTAATCTTTGTAGCTTTTTTTTTTTTTTTTGGTAGAGACAGGGTTTCACTATGTTGGCCAGGCTAGTCTCGAACTCCTGACCTCAAGTGATCCGCCCGCCTCAGCCTCCCAAAGTGTTGAGATTACAGACATGAGCCTCCATGCCCGGCCTTAAATTCTTGACTATAAGTAAGACTTGTGACAACAAAAATTATAGTACCATCTCAGAGGGCAGCGTTCAAATATGCAGATGTGGCACATAGGACAACTGTAACAAAGAGTGAAGGGTGTCAGCATCCATGTGGCCATTAGGTGACTACATTTTACTTGAATTGGTAAATTATTAACTCTAATTAGAAGGTGAAAGGTTTGGTAAATATACTGTTATTCCCATAACAACTAAATACAATTACAAACTCACCCCCCAAAATTATGGAACCTCAATAGCTCTATATCCAGGAGATATGAATAAAGCAGCTAAAATATTCACATACAGGTTTTTGTGTGAAAATAAGTTTGATTTCTCTTGCTTAAGTACCTTGAAGTGAAATTGCTGGGTCATACAGTAAATACATCTCTCCCAACCTGCCTCCACAGGATTGGGTTAGCACCTGCACTTCTGTTCTTAGAGGCTCTTCCCTCTGGTATTCTTGGGGGAAAAACCAGATGGATACACAGATGGCTCACTTCAAAGTTGCCATATTTTGGCCAGGCGTGGTGGCTCACGCCTGTAATCCCAGCACTTTGGGAGGCCGAGGCGGGTGGATGACGAGGTCAGGAGATCGAGACCACGGTGAAACCCCGTCTCTGCTAAAAATACAAAAAAAATTGGCCGGGCGTGGTGGCAGGCACCTGTAGTCCCAGCTACTCGGGAGGCTGAGGCAGGAGAATGGTGTGAACCTGGGAGGTGGAGCTTGCAGTGAGCCAAGATTGCGCCACTGCACTCCAGCCTGGGCAACAGAGCAAGACTCCGTCTTAAAAAAAAAAAAAAAAAAAGTTGCCATATTTTTCAGGGGCTGCAGAGCCTGAAGCCCAGCTCCTGAGCAACTGCCCCTCTGCTGACTTGGGGGAATCCCCATCCTGCATGGTACCCTGACACCTCAGGGGTATGTCCAGTGCAGAAAAGGGCTACTGTGCCTGACAATAACCTCTCAACCCTCATGGCAAACACCTTCAACTCTCAGCAGGAGATTCAGAGGTACCAAATAATGCACAGAGCTGAGCTATGGCCTTTGATCATGCCATTCCTTTTCCTTTTTTTTTTTTTTTCCAGATGGAGTCTTGCTCTGTCACTCAGACTGGAGTGAAGTGGCGTGATCTTGGCTCACTGCAACCTCTGCCTCCCAGTTTCAAGTGATTCTCCTGCCTCAGCCTCCTGAGTAGCTGGGATTACAGGCACACGCCACCATGCCTGGCTAGTTTTTGTATTCTTAGTAGAGATGGGGTTTCACCATGTTGGCCAGGCTGGTCTCAAACTCTTGACCTTGTGATCCACCCACCTTGGCCTCCCCAAGTGCTGGGATTACAGGCGTGAGCCACTACACCCGGCCCTGCTCATGCCATTTGTTTGCATGTCCTTTGTGCATGTCACAGTTATTGGTGCTTTTGTTACATGTATGTACCTATTCCTCATGAATTCTGTGCATACACACCCAGTCCTTGCTCGCATGTTCCAAAGATGCATCACAGAAACATCCCAAATAGTATGTGTTTTTAATTTTTCCAGGTTGGCAGCAAAAAGAAAACACTCAGAGCTCAGTTCTGCAAACCAAGGATCAGACTCTACTTGGCATAAATTTAAACTAAATTGTTATACATTTAAAATTTTAATTGTAATCCCCAGGGTAGCCACTAAAAAATAAAAATACACAAAAAAAGAAATGAGAAGGGAGCTAAAATTGCACACGACAAAAAATCAATTAAATGCAAAGGGAGGCGGCCGGGCGCGGTGGCTCATGCCTGTAATCCCAGCACTTTGGGAGGCCAAGACTGGTGAATCACGAGGTCAGGAGATCGAGACCATCCTGGCTAACATGGTGAAACCCTATCTCTATTAAAAATATACAAAAAAAATTAGCCAGGTGTGGTGGCAGGCGCCTGTAGTCCCAGCTACTCAGGAGGCTGAGGCAGGAGAATGGCACGAACCCGGGAGGCGGAGCTTGCAGTGAGCCGAGATCACGCCCCTGCACTCCAGCCTGGGAGACAGAATGAGACTCCGTCTCAAAAAAAAAAAAAAAAAAAAAAGCAAAGAGAGGCAATAATGGAGACAATGATAAATAAAAAGACATACGATATATCAGAAACAAATAGAGAAAGGTAGAAGTATGAGTAATTACTCTAAATGTAAATAGAATAAAATTTCCAATTAAAAGGCAGAGATTGAGAGAGTGGATAACAAAACATTATCTACCTACATGCTGTCTCCAAGGGATTCAGTTTATATACAAAAACGCAAATAGACTGAAAGGGAAAAGATGGAAAAGATACTCCACACAAAAGAGATTATCAACATTGCATCACAAGTTCTAGTCTGCAATTATGCAACAAAAATAAATAAAAACCATCTGGGCCAGACATGGTAGCCCTAACCTGTAATCCCAGCACTTTGGGAGGCCAAGGCGGGTGGATCACCTGAGGTCAGGAGTTTGAGACCAGCCTGGCCAACATGGTGAAACCCTGTCTCTACTAAAAATACAAAAAATTAGCCTAGCGTGGTGGCAGATGCTATAATCCCAGCTACTCAAGAGGCTGAGGCAGGAGAATTGTTTGAACCTGGGAGGCGGAGGTTGCAGTGAGCTGAGATCGCACCACTGCACTCTAGCCTGGGCAATAAGATCGAAAGTCTGTTTCAAAAAGAAAAATCTAGACTGGGCACGGTGACTCACGCCGGTAATCCCAGCACTTTGGGAGGCCGAGGCAGGCGGATCACCTGAGGTAGGGAGTTCGAGCAGCCTGACCAACATGGAGAAACACTGGATTTACTAAAAATACAAAATTAGCCAGGTACGGTGGCACATGCCTGTAATCCCAGCTACTAGGGAGGCTGAGGCAGGAGAATTGCTTGAACCTGGGAGGCGGAGGTTGCGGTGAGCTGAGATCATGCCATTACACTCCAGCCTGGGCAACAAGAGCAAAACTCCATCTCAAAAAAAAAAAAAAGGAAAAAAGAAAAAAAGAAAAATCTAAATTGGAAAAGAATAAGTAAAACTATCTTTATTCTTTTTTTATTTTTATTTTTGTCGCCCAGGCTGGAGTGCAATGGCACAATCTCGGCTCACTGCAACCTCCGCCTCCTAGGTTCAAGCAATTCTCCCACCTCAGCCTCCCGAGTAGCTGGGACTGCAGATGTCTGCCACCATGCACGGCTAATTTTTATATTTTTAGTAGAGACAGGGTTTTGTCATGTTGGCCAGGTTGGTCTCGAATTCCTGACCTCAGATGATCCACCCGCCTCGGCCTCCCGAAGTGCTGGGATTACAGGTGTGAGCCACCGCACCCAGCCAAACTATCTTTATCCTTGGATGATATGATCTTACATATGGAAAATCCTAAAGAATCCACAAAAATTATTAGAGATAATAAATCATCAAAGTTGTTGGGTACATGATTAATATTCAAAATAAGTTATTTCTGTCCACTAATAGTGAACAATCCAAAAAGATAATCCACACAAAAGATATTAGGTGTGGAGTTGGAGTATTTCTTCCATCTTTTCACTTTCAGTCTATTTGTGTCTTTGTATCTAAACTGAATCCCTTGGAGACAACATGTAGTTGGATCATGTTTTGTTATCCATCCACTCTCCCTTGAACAACTGAACAATTTTTCTTTTTTTTTTTTTGAGACAGAGTCTCGCTCTGTCGCCCAGGCTGGAGTGCAGTGGCACAATCTCGGCTCACTGCAACCTCCACCTCCCGGGTTCACGCCATTCTCCTGCCTCAGCCTCCCAAGTAGCTGGGACTACAGGCGCCCGCCACCACGCCTGGCTAATTTTTTGTATTTTTAGTAGAGACGGGGTTTCACCGTGTTAGCTAGGATGGTCTCGATCTCCTGACCTTGTGGTCCGCCCACCTCGGCCTCCCAAATGCTGGGATTACGGGCGTGAGCCACCGCACCCAGCCACAATTGAACAATTTTTCAAGTCAAAAATTATTACAAGACAAAGAAGGACATTACATATTGTTACAAGAGTCAATTTATTGAGAATATATAACAATCGTAAACAAATATGTACCCAACAGCAGAGCTTCAAATACGTGAAGAAAATGACACAATTGCAGAGAGGAACACACCATTAAACAATTAGAGTTGAAAAATTCAATGCCACATTTTCCATAATACATATAATAACCAGAAAAATAAACATCAATTTTAAAAAAAAGGGAATGTGAACAACAGTATAAGCCAACTAGACCTAAGGGACATCCAAAGAAGATACCACACAAGAGCAACAAAACATACATTGTTGTCAATTGCACATGAAATATTCTCCAGGATGGACCATATGTTAGGCAACATAACAAGTCTTGGTACATTTAAAAGACTGAAATCATACAAACTATCTTCTATGCCCAGAATGGAATGAAATTAGAAATTAAGGACAGAAGGAAAACTGAAAATTTAAAAAATATGTTGAAATTAAACACCATACCTTAAACCACCAATAGATCAAAGAATAAATCACAGGAAAAACCAGAAAATACTTTGTGATAAATAACAGCAAAAACATAACTTCCCTAAACTTAAGGGATTCATGAAAGTTGTGCTTAGAGTGAAAGTTATAGTTGTAAATGTCCCCCTTGAAAAAGAAGAAAAATCTTTTTAAAAAATCTAAAATCAATAATTTTACATTAGACCTTAAGGAACTAGGAAAGGTAGAGCAAACTAAGCCTAATCCTAGCAGAAGGAAGGAATTAGTAACAATTAGAGTGAAGACAAAGAAAATTTCAAAATAGAAAAACAATAAAGAAAACAAAACCAAAAGCTGATACTTTGAAAACATCAACAATGGTAAAAGACTGAAAGCTTTCCCCTAAAATCAAGACTAAGACATGGGTGCTCACTTTCTATTTTTTCCTTTTTTTTTTTTTTTTTTTGAGACAGCATTTCTCTCTTGTTGCCCAGGCTGGAGTGCAATGGCGCGATCTCAGCTCACTGCAACCTCCGCCTCCCAGGTTCAAGCAATTCTCCTGCCTCAGCCTCCTGAGTAGATGGGATTACAGGCATGCGCCACCATGCCCGGCTAATTTTTGTATTTTTAGTAGAGACGGGGTTTCTCCATGTTGGTCAGGCTGGTCTTGAACTCCTAACCTCAGGTGATCCACCCATCTCAGCCTCCCAAAGTGCTAGTATTACAGGCATGAGCCACCGCACCTGGCTTTTTTTTTTTTTTTTTTTTTTTTTTTTTTTTTTTTTCTGAGACGGTCTTGCCCTGTCGCCCAGACTGGAGTGCAATGGCGCGATCTCGGCTCACTGCAAGCTCTGCCTCCCGGGGTCACACCATTCTCCTGCCTCAGCCTCCCAAGTAGCTGGGACTACAGGCAACTGCCACCGCACCCGGCTAATTTTTCGTATTTTTAGTAGAGACAGGGTTTCACCATGTTAGCCAGGATGGTCTTAATCTCCTGACCTTGCGATCTGCTGGCCTTGGCCTCCCAAAGTGCTGGATTACAGGCGTGAGCCACCGCGCCTGGCCCAGCTAATTTTTTTGTATTTTTAGTAGAGACAGGGTTTCTCCATGTTGGTCAGGGTGGTCTCGAACTCCCAACCTCAGGTGATCCGCCCGCCTTGGCCTCCCAAAGTGCTGGGATTACAGGAGTGATCTACCATGCCCAGCCAATTTTTGTATAGTAGAGACAGAGTTTCACCATGTTGGCCAGGCCGGTCTCGATCTCTTGACCTTGTGATCTGCCCGCCTCAGCCTCCCAAAGTGCTGGATTACAGGATTGAGCCACCTCACCCAGCCTAGGGACCCTACTTTCAGCCAAAGCCCCAGGAGCTTTGACAGCATCCCCTTATTGCAAGTGGGAGGCCCAACACCACTAAAAGCAAAGCAACGCTTAGATGCATGCACATTCTTCCCTTTACTTCTAGCAACCCTGCCTCTAGTGTGGACAGAGCAAGGAGCAGCTTTGCCTTCAGGCCTCCCTCATTGCCTGCCCAGGGCTTTGTTGGGCACAGAAGTGTTGGGCCACCAACCAGCTCATTCTTCTCTTGTTCAGGATGCACAATCATGGGGTCTAGGAAGCAAAAGTTGACCAGAAAGAACAGCTTGCTTGGGGTGTAGCCAGTGTTAGTTCCCCTCATCCTGGACCTTGTTTCTGCTCTGTCTGGGTTTCTAACACAAATTCATCTCTGATCTCTGCATTCCTCTAGTAAACCAGAGAGCCAAGACCTCTAAGGAGCTCTGAGGGGAAGGAAGCAGAATGAGACCAGAAAAAGTCTCCCTTTTGTAGTGAGAGTTCCACTGTGGAGCCAGGAGACCGATGTGTTTGTATTGTCAACCTGGTCTGTCCTGCTCCTGCTCCTGCTCCTATATCCTGGGGGATCCCAGTGAGAGCATCCCTTCCTGGTTTTCACTGGAAGTTGACCTGGCTGGAGAGTAGAGGGCATAGTATTCTCTTCCTTACATCATTGAAAGGGGCCATGAGTCTCCCTAAACTTCTACCTTGCTTGTCCTAGCTGTAAGAAGAGGTTCCTCACTTTGGGAGGCTGAGGCGGGTGGATCACGAGGTCAGGAGATCGAGACCATCCTGACTAACAAGGTGAAACCCCGTCTCTACTAAAAATATAAAAATTAGCTGGGTGTGGTGGCGGGTGCCTGTAGTCCCAGCTACTCGGGAGGCTGAGGCAGGATAATGGCGTGAACTCGGGAGGTGGAGGTTGCAGTGAGCCGAGATTGTGCCACTGCACTCCAGCCTGGGCGACAGAGCGAGACTCTGTCTCAAAAAAAAAAAAAAAAAAAGAGGTTCCCTTCAACTGGCCCCCAGGGCCTGTTTCCCCAGGCTTTGGCTTTGGTGCATATTCCTCATGGATGAGCACTAGGTTGGATGCCCATGGATCCAGCCTAGCCCTAGGGAACAGCTCCTGAGGGAGACCAGGGCACTGGTCCTATGGACCCTGCCCCACCAAGTATGTCAACTCTCTCCAGAGATACCCATTCCATTCCCACTACCTTCCCTGCAACCTGCAAACTTTTTCTCCTACAACCCTTTCTTCTTCAATGTATTTTCTAAATAAAGCCTTGTGATTGTTTATTTATATAATTGCAATGCATCTTTGCTCTGTAAATCAAGTATGGAGAAATATTGACTTATGTTAAGTAAATGTATGGCAGATGGGCGGAGACAGGTTTCTCGGTGTTGGAGTAACGGGAGCATGGAATGATCCATCTGGTAATGGATTAGAGTCGGGGACATCAGTGTAAACTCCTGGTTAGCTTCATAAAGATACAGGTGGTTACATATACCAATATTTATAGATATATATACAGTATATATGCAGGTTCACATACACGATTTTTACATTTTTAATTAATGTATTTATTTATGTAAAACCTGATCTCACTGTCATCCAGACTGGAGTGCAGTGGTGTGATCATAGCTCACTGCAGCCTCCAACTCCTGGGCTCAAGCGATCCTCCTGCTCTAACCTCCTGAGTGGCTAGGATTACAGTCGTACACCCCATACCCATGCAGCTATTTCTTTTTTTAAATGTTTTTGTAGAGACAGGGACTCACTTTGCTGCTCAGGCTGGTCTCAAACTTCTGGCTTCAAATGATCCTCCCACTTCAGCCTCCCAAAGAGCTGGGGTTTTGTGCATGAGCCACTGCATGCAGCCATAGTTATTTCCTGGCTCTATCAGCTGACACAACCTGGAAGCAACAACATCCCAGTAGCAACAACCACACCCAGCACCCAGATCTTGGTTTCTTTCCCTTCCCTCCCCTCCCCTTCCCTCCCCTCCCATCCCCTTCCATCCCCTCCCCTCCCTTCTCTCTTCTCTTCTCCTCTCTCTTTCTTTCTTTCTTCCTGAGACGGAGTCTTGCTCTGTAGCCCAGGCTGGAGTGCAGTGTCACAATCTTGGCTCACTGCAATGTCCACCTCCTGAGTTCAAGCGATTCTCCTGCCTCAGCCTTCCCAATAGCTGGAATTACAGGTGCCTGGCACCAAACCCAGCTATTTTTTTTGGTTTTGTATTTTTAGTAGAGATGGGGTTTCACTGTGTTGACCAGGCTGGTCTTGAACTCCTGACCTCATGATCTACCTGCCTCGGCCTCCCAAAGTGCTGGGATTACAGACATGAGCCACCCCACCTGGCCAGATTTTGGTTTCTAACACCAGTCTCCAAATTAAGAAACCAAGGCACCATGGAGAACTAGTTGATCCTATGACAAGTGCAGCAAATACACAAGATAAACCTGGAGCATTATATATAGTACCAGAAAGTCAGGAAGTACAAAGAGAGAGTACCCACAATGACAGGGTATCAAAGGGACCCTGCAGCCAACTAAGAGAGCCCAATAGTCAAAGCTAAAACAATTTGAGCCACAAAATAAAGTAGTATTTGATTATAACCCAAAGTATAAAACAAATATCCATGAGTGCAGGCTGATGTAAAAAATATATTGAGGCCGGGCACAGTGGCTCACGCCTGTAATCCCAGCACTTTGGGAGGCTGAGGCGGGTGGATCACCTGAGCAAGGAGTTTGAGAGCTGCCTAGCCAACATGGTGAAATCCCGTCTCTACTAAAAATACAAAAAATTAGCCAGGCATGGTGGCGGGCACCTGTAATCCCAGCTACTCAGGAGGTGGAGGCAGAAGAATTGCTTGAACCCAGGAAGTGGAGGTTGCAGTGAGTTGCGATCGTGCCATTGCGTTCCAGCCTGGGCAACAAGAGTGAAACTCCATCTCAAAAAATATATATATTGAATAAATTAACAAACAATAGAGAAGAGACAAATCTACCATGCAGAATAATTTTGAGTAACTTAAGTAGATACTTCACCCTTAATTACGTGGAGACCCCACTCAGTAAGTGCAGGCTGCATGTAGTGACTTCCTTCATTAGACTACAGTATGGAGGGGTGAAGGAAAAGAGAAACTTTACAGTGGAGAAACCTGACAAACACTGCCTCAAGACAGGTGATCAAAGTCAATATCCACAGTGATAAACCATGCGTGGCCGGGCGCGGTGGCTCACGCTTGTAATCCCAGCACTTTGGGAGGCCGAGGTGGGCGGATCACGAGGTCAGGAGATCCAGACCATCCTGGCTAACACGATGAAACCCCGTCTCTACTAAAAATACAAAAAATTAGCCAGGTGTGGTGGCAGGCGCCTGTAGTCCCAGCTACTTGGGAGGCTGAGGCAGGAAAATGGCGTGAACCCAGGAGGTAGAGCTTGCAGTGAGCTGAGATCACGCCACTGCACTCCAGCCTGGGTGACAGAGCGAGACTCCGTCTCAAAAAAAAAAAAAAAAAAAAAAAAAAAAAAAAAAAAACCATGCGTGTACCCTTGACATGATATGAACAAATGGCACTTACTCTGTGATCTTCCTCCTACTGTGATCTAGTCAACAACTATTCACATATATATTCTGTTAGGATAACTTTTCACCCCACAAGATGTATTGGGTTGTGTGGATTGTCAAAAGCTCAACTTCTTGCTATTTACAGAATTTGGAAGTTCCCAAGACCACCCTCAGGTTTCACATTTCAGTGTAAGGACCCACTAAACTCACTGAAAGCTGTTATATACCCAATTACCTTTACAGCAGTGAAAGGATACAAATGACAACCAACCCCCACAGGAGGTGCATGGGGCAGAATTCAGGATGGTTCCAAGGATGGAGCTTCCAGTTGTCCACTCCCTGGAGTCGTAGACAGAGCCGATCTTCCCAGCAATAGTGTGTGACAGTACACACAGAGTATTGCCAATCAGAGAAGCTCACCTGAGCTGTGGTGTCGAGACTTTATCTAATGCTCATTCACATAGATGTCGTTGACCATCTACATGGCTGACCTTGGTGCCTGGAGAGGGTGAATGATACCATGTGGCTCAAAGCCCCTACCATACATCCACTGTTAGCATGAACTCTCTGCTGTGACCCAAGGCCCCCAGGTAAACAAAGACACTCTTATCAGGCAGAACATTCTAAGAGCTTAGAGATCACACCCCATGAGCCAAGGGCAAAGGTCAGACTTCCCTTTGAGTAAGGTTGATCCTTTATCGCACACTATTGAAATAAAAATTCTGTAGGTATAGACAAAAATGATATGGAAGATACAAAAATGATATACAAGGAGAATTAGTCTCCGCAGAAGACAACAACCCCAGCAGTTCCTTGTCTGATAATGTCTGGCTGATCAGGGGGCAACTGGGAGGAAGATTCACAAAACAGGCCAGCACTTCTGACACCTGCTGAGACTCTGCCCTATAGTTTTTCTTACTATTTATTATTTCATATTTTGTGAAAAGGTAACACGTTTTTAATAATAAAAACAAAAGGCCAGGTGTGGTGGCTCACGTCTGTAATCCCAGCACTTTGGGAGGCTGAGGCAGATGGATCACGAGGTCAGGAGTTTCAGAATAGCCTGGCCAACAGTGAAACCCCGTCTCTACTAAATATACAAAAAATTAGCCGGGCATGGTGGTGGGCACCTGTAATCCCAGCTATTTGGGAGGCTGAGGCAGGAGAATGGCTTGAATCCGGGAGGCAGAGATTGCAGTGAGCCAAGATCATGCCATTGCACTCCAGCCTGGGCGACAGAGAGAGACTCTGTCTAAAAAAAAAAGAAAGCAAGCAACTGTTGAAGAGGGTGCCCAGTTGAAGGCAATTCTTCCTCCCATACGTTAGTAAAAGAAATTGATACCCGTTACACAGCCCAGAGAGAGAAGCTGCAGGATGCTGTCTGGCCTGCCTCTTTTTTTTCTATCAAATTTCCCCTATATCTCTTCTTTTTTTTGAGACAAGAGTCTTTAAGCGATTCTCCTCCCTCAGCCTCCCGAGTAGCTCCCAAGTAGCTGGGATTACAGGTTCCCGCCACCATGCCTGGCTAATTATTGTATTTTTAACAGAGACAGTGTTTCACCATGTTAGCCAGGCTGGTCTCGAACTCCTGATCTCAGGCAATCCGCCCTCCTCAGCCTCCCAAAGTGCTGGGATTACAGGCATGAGCCACCGTGCCTGGCCCAAATTTCCCCTGTCTTTTTATCAACTTAAATTGAGCAAGTAGATACTCATTAAGTGACTCAGAGCAGGTGTCTTTTCTATTCCAAGAGCTTTCACTAAGATCTGCTTCAGCAGCTTGTTCAAATTGTTTTATCATGGCCAGGTGCAGTGGCTCACGCCTGTAATCCCAGCACTTTGAGAGGCCGAGGCGGGCGGATCACAAGGTCAGGAGATCGAGACCATCTTGGCTAACACGGTGAAACCTCGTCTCTACTAAAAATACAAAAAATTAGCCGGGCGTGGTGGTGGGCACCTGTAGTCCCAGCTACTCAGGAGGCTGAGGCAGGAGAATGGCGTGAACCTGGGAGGCGGAGCTTGCAGTGAGCCGAGATCGCGCCACTGCACTCCAGCCTGGGCGACAGAGCGAGACTCCATTAAAAAAAAAAAATAGCTGGGCATGGTGGCACGTGCCTGTAATCCCAGCTACTCAGGAGGTTGAGGCAGGGGAATTGCTTGAACCAGGACCCAGGAGATGGAGGTTGCAATGAGCCGAGATCGTGCCACTGCACTCTAGCCTGGGCTACAGAGCAAGACTCCGTCTCGAAAAAAATAAAAATTGTTTTATCACATCTTCAGTAAATTAACAATCCTATGTACTTATATGGGATTTACACCATGAGTCTCCGTAAACACGATATCATTTCATTCTTATCCTCATGACTGCACTGGAAGATAGATAGGCAGGCAGAATTAGCACCCATCCCATTTTACAGATGGGAAAACTGAGGCTTAGAGGACAAAGAATGCTATTCAGAGTACAATGGCTATGCAACAGGAACCAAGATAACTTTAGCAGGGACATCCTGGAGCTTTCACGGATCATCTGGAAGGAACACTTTCCTCTTCTACTTTCTCTTGGACTCACCCACAGGCACATGCCCTGAGGTCTATACTCTTCATTCTGATCGCCTTCTCCCATCTCTTCAATAATAATGTTCACATTGAATAACTTCAGCCCTCTAGCTGCAATGATTGTAGCAGAGAGGGCCACCTGACCCGGGATAAAAGCTACCCACTGGCTGGGCTAATCCAATCAGATTTTGAATTTTGGAGATAAGGAACACTGGGCATTCACTTTATTATGTAAAATGCCTTTTATTTTACCTTTAATTTTATAATTTAAGATGCTAAATCAATAAATTAAATTATCAAATGTAATCTAATACATTAATTTAAAATAAAATTTAAAATTTTGTGAATTTGTTTTAATAAAATGTTTTTAAATTTTTATTATGTTGTTTTATTCCCATAGCAAACTTAGATTTAATGGGTGCCCTTGTTTTACTGATAAGAAAATTGCAATTCTATAAAGTTAAGGGTCATGGTCAAGGTTGCACAGCTAGTAAGTACAAAAGATGAAACTGAATCTCTTGTATGTCTGACCAGAGGCACCAGTATTTGATTCTGCCTCCCTTAGTGGGACCAGCTCTCCCTCACCCACCCCAATATTCTGCACTCCAATAATTAATTCTTTACTAAACAATGTGCAATTCCCCAAATGTATTGCACTGGTTGTCACCTCCGAGCCCTTCATGCCATCCTGGATCTGCCACTTACTACCAGTCTTTGTGCAAGTTACTAGTCTCATTGACTCCAACTGCTCTGTGTGCAGCATGGAAAACATCCGTTGTAACTGGTTGTGACATTTACCTCACAAGGTCAATGTGAGGGTCAAGTGATGGCTGTGAAAACACTTTATACACTTTAAAGTTCTGTGCCAACATCAAGTAACACAGTACAAAACAATGACTGCCTGGGGGTGCCAACACAGGAAGAGACCCTAAGAGACAGAAACAGTTGCTCTATTGAACTGCTAGATGCAGAATTGTTTTACATTCTACTGATAGAAATGAGCTTTATACAAAATACAAATTTAAAACCTAGAATAAAATGGCTGGGCGCGGTGGCTCACGCCTGTAATCCCAGCACTTTGGGAGGCCAAGCCGGGCGGATCACAAGGTCAAGAGATCAAGACCATCCTGGCTAACATGGTGAAACCCTGTCTCTACTAAAAATAAAAACAAATTAGCTGGACGTGGTGGTGAGCGCCTGTAGTCCCAGCTACTCGGGAGGCTGAGGCAGGAGAGTGGCGTGAACCTGTGAGGCGGAGCTTGCAGTCAGCCAAGATCGTGCCACTGCACTCCAGCCTGGGCGACAGAGCAAGACTCCGTCTCAAAAAAAAAAAAAAAATTGAATAAAATCATGATAAACGCTATGAAAGAAGCAAAATGCGAAGGGGAAGCCTGCAGGGACCTGGATCCTCTGAACCCCAGAAGGAAGAGATTGACGTGTGTAAGAACTGACAGGAGGGGTTCAGAACAGGGGGAAGAGTGGCGATCCACTTTACAAGGCTGTGGCAGTCGCCCAGCTAAGAGGCAGTGATATGGGCTGGCAAATGGGAGTGGGAATAGAGGAAAGTAGACAGATTCAAGGCCCAAAGCCTGGCTGAATCAATCATACTCAACGGTGGAAAATTCAACGCTCTGCCCTAAGAGCAGGAACCAAACAAGAATGCTCTCTTTCACCACTTCCATTCAACGTTGTCCTGGAAGTTTTAGGCATGCCAATCAGGCAACATTGTATCATATTAAAAAGAAGCAAAAGGCATCCAAGTTGGAAAGAAAGAAGTAAAACTATATACATTCGCATATATAGAAATACAACCTTATTTTTGTTGTTGTTGTTTTGTTTTGTTTTGAGATGGAGTCTCGCTCTGTTGCCCAGGCTGGAGTGCAGTGGTGTAATCTCAGCTCACTGCAACCTCAGCCTCCTGGGTTCAAGCAATTCTCCAGCGTCAGCCTCCAGACTAGCTGGGATTACAGGCACCCACCACCACGCCCGGCTAATTTTTGTATTTTTAGTAGAGACTATGTTGGCCAGGCTGGTCTTGAACTCCTGACCTCAGGTGATCCACCCACCTCAGCCTCCCGAAGTGCTGGGATTACAGGCATGAGCCACAGCACCCGGCCTGAAATACAACCTTAAATATAAAAAATCTTAAGGAATCCACAGCACAGGCCAGGTGCGGTGGCTCACGCCTGTAATCCCAGCACTTTGGGAGGCTGAGGCAGGCAGATCACGAGGTCAGGAGATGGAGAACATCCTGGCTCACATGGTGAAACCCGTCTCTACTAAAAATACAAAAAAATTAGCCAGGTGTGGTGGCGGGCGCCTGTAGTCCCAGCTACTTGGGAGGCTGAGGCAGGAGAATGGCGTGAACCCGGGTGGCAGAGCTTGCAGTGAGCCAAGATGGCGCCACTGCACTCCAGCCTGGGCTACAGAGCGAGACTCTGTCTCAAAAATAATAATAATAATAATAATGAAAGAAAATAATATTCATGAATTACATACGTAATAAGGGTCTAGTATCCAGAACACATAGGGAATTTGTACAACTCAATGACAAAAAGACAAACAACCCAATTAAAAAATGGGCAAAGCACTTACGTAGATGTTTCTCCAAAGAAGATACAAAAATGGCTCACAGCATATGAAAAGATGTTCAACACATTACTCATAGGGAAATGCAAACCAAAATGACAATGAGGTATCACTTCACACCCACTAGGATGACTATAATAATAATACATTTTAAAAGTTTTGGCAAAGATGTGGAAAAATTGAAATCCCCATACATTGCTGCTAGGAGTACAAAATGGTGTAGTCACTATGGGAGTGCAAAGGTTCCTAAAATGTTAAACATAAAATTATAGGCTGGGGCCAGGCGCAGTGGCTCACACCTGTAATCCCAGCACTTTGGGAGGCTGAGGTGGGCGGATCACGAGGTCAGGAGATCGAGACCATTCTGGCTAACACGATGAAACCCCATCTCTACTAAAAAATACAAAAAATTAGCCAGGTGTGGTGGCAGGCACCTGTAGTCCCAGCTACTTGGGAGGCTGAGGCAGGAGAATGGCGTGAACTGGCGAGGTGGAGCTTGCAGTGAGCCGAGATCGCGCCACTGTACTCCAGTCTGGGTGACAGAGCGAGACTCTGTCTCAAACAAACAAACAAAAAAATTACAGGCCGGGCGCGGTGGCCCACACCTGTAATCCCAGCACTTTGGGAGGCCAAGGTGGGTGGATCACCTGAGGTCAGGAGTTCGAGACCAGCCTGGTCAACATGGTGAAACCCTATCTCCACTAAAAATACAAAAATTAGCTGGGTGTGGTGGCGGGCACCTGTAATCCCGGCTACTCGGGAGGCTGAGGCATGAGAATCACTTGAAGCCAGGAAGTGAAAGTTGCAGTGAGCCGAGATCACGCCACTACACTGCAGCCTGGGCAAGAGCGAGACTCCGTCTCAATAAATAAATAAATAAATAAATAAATAAATAAATAAATAAATTTACCATATTACCCAGCAATTCTACTTCTAGTTATATACCCATGAGAATGAAAATGAAAATATTTGTAGACACAAAAACCGGTACACAAATATTCATGGCTGCACCATTCACATTAGGCAAAAGGTGGAAACTCTCCAAACGTCCATGAGCTGAGGAATGGATAAAGAAAATGTTGTCTAGGCCAGGCGCGGTGGCTCACGCCTGTAATCCCAGAACTTTAGAAGGCTGAGGCGGGCGGATCACAAGGTCAGGAGACAAGACCATCCTGGCTAATACGGTGAAACCCCGTCTCTACTAAAAATACAAAAAATTAGCCGGGCATGGTGGCAGGCACCTGCAGTCCCAGCTACTTGGGAGGCTGAGGCAGGAGAATGGCATGAACCAGAGAGATGGAGCTTTCAGTGAGCTGAGATCACACTACTGCACTCCAGCCTGGGCGACAAAGCGAGACTCTGTCTCAAAAAAAAAAAAAAAAAAAAAGAAAATGTGGTCTAGCCATACAATGGAATATTATTCAGCCATAAAAAGGAGTGAAGTACTGCCGGGCGCGGTGGCTCACGCCTGTAATCCCAGCACTTTGGGAGGCCGAGGTGGGCAGATCACGCGGTCAGGAGATTGAGACCATCCTGGCTAACACGGTGAAATGCCATCTCTACTAAAAATACAAAAAATTAGCCTGGTGTGGTGGCTGGCGGCTGTAGTCCCAGCTACTCGGGAGGCTGAGGCAGGAGAATGGTGTGAACCCGGGAGGCAGAGCTTGCAGTGAGCTGTGATTGCACCATTGCACTCCAGTCTGGGCAACAGTGCAAGACTCCGTCTCAAAAAAAAGGAGTGAAGTACTGATAAATGGTACAACATGTATGAACTTCAAAAGACATTATGCTAAGTGAAAGAAGCCAGATCCAAAAGGTTGTTTTGTATGGTTCCCCTTATATGGAAAGCCCAGACTAGGTAAACTCATAGAGACAGAAAGCAGATTAATGGCAGTCGGGGGCAACAAGAGTGACTGTTTAGTGGGTATGAGGTTTCCTTCTGGAGTAACGAAAGTATTGTGGATCTATGTAGTGGTGATAGTTGCACAATACTTGAATGTACTGAATGTCACTGATTTGTCCACTTTAAAATGCTTAAAATGGTGAATTTTATATGAATATTGCTATAATAAATTAAAAAGGGTTGCTGATGGATAGATTTGGGCTAAGAGTGTAGGAAGGAAATCAAGACTCTTCTGGTTACCTTTACGGAGTTAAGGGCTGAAGGGGCCTTAAGTGCTCACTGCACTCCGGTCATAACTGCACACTTGCCGGGCACTGTGGCTCACACCTGTAATCCCAGCACTTTGGGAAGCCGTGGCGGGTGGATCACCTGAGGTCAGGAGTTCGAGACCAGCCTGGCCAACATGGTGAAGCCCCGTCTCTACTAAAAATACAAAAATTAACCAGGCGTGGTGGTGCATGCCTGTAATCCCAGCTACTTGGGGGGCTGAGGCAGAAAAATCGCTTGAACCCTGGAGACGGAGGTTGCAGTGAGCCGAGATCGTGCCACTGCACTCCAGCCTGGCGACAGAGCGAGACTCCATCTCAAAAAAAAAAAAAAATATATATATATATATATATATATATATATATATATATATTTATATATATATATAACTGCACCCTTTCTCTTCTTTGTCTAGGCATGCTCATCCCCACCTTGGGGACTTTGTACCTGTTCTCCCTTGCATGCACCTAAAATGATCTTCCTCCAACTCTCAGCCTCGCTGCTGCCCTCTCCATTCATAACTCAGTCATGCTCTCACCTCCCCAAATAGTACCACAAGCCTGACTGGCTTCTTCCCATCTGTCACGTCTCAGGCCACGTCACCCCGTGGACACTCACTATCACACCACCCAGCTCACATGCTTTATTGATCACATTGACCACAATCTGGTATTTTGCTGATGTGATCACTTTATTATTGCCTCTCTCTTCCCCCTGGCTCAAATGTGAGCTCCATGCAGGAAACAACATCATGTGACTTATTCATACTCTGTCCCTCATGCTGGGCACATTGTGGGCTCTCAAACAAAACACTGAAAAAATGAATGAATGAATGAATGAATGAAACTCATCTGGGAGAAAGTAGAAAAAAAAATCCAGCCTTAAGTGAAAATCAAGAAGAGAAAAGTTGAGATTGTCTATTTATGGGGAGAAGCAGGGTTCCTTTACATCCTCGATTTTAGACTTGGAAATCTGTTACAGTGAAATCACTTCATTCATCAACCTGCTGCTCACCAGGGCTGCTCATCAAAAGGAGCCACCAGGCTTTCTCTAAAAATTCCCCTGGAGCCTCCCGCCTTCATTCCCTGGGTCCAGGGTTCCCATACTCTGTGAAATCACATTCACATCATTCACCTACCAGTGAGTTCTTTCCTTCACATGCTCACACAGCATCATCATCCCATCCTGTAAAATGCTCCTTGCTCCATACCTAGGAGGCCCTGAAAAAGAAATTCATAAACCTACTGTGGTGTCACTCACCACTCACCATCTACAATGTTGACTTTTTTCTGTGCTGGCTCCCACCAGGGACCCAAGCGAAGTCTGATGCTCATACATCACCAGCAAGAGCCCCATGAGAGCCAGTGCTAATGGACGAAGTTCTGGCCTGGAATACTCCCTAAACTTCCATTTCTGTGCTTTATATAGAGGTGGCCCACCCCACCTGCTCAACCACGACTGGTTAAATCTAATCAGGGTCATCTTGTTTCTTTAGCAGATGCTCAATTATCCAGCATCCCTTGCAATAAAAGTGATCAAGGCCGGTTGGGCGGGGTGGCTCATGCCTGTAATCCCAGCACTTTGGGAGGCCGAGGTGGGCGGATCACAAGGTCAGGAGATCGAGACCATCCTGGCTAACACGGTGAAACCTCGTCTCTACTAAAAATACAAAAAATTAGCCGGGCGTGGTGGTGGGCACCTGTAGTCCCAGCTACTCAGGAGGCTGAGGCAGGAGAATGGCGTGAACCCGAGAGATGGAGCTTTCCGTGAGCTGAGATCGCACTACTGCACTCCAGCCTGGGTGACAAAGCGAGACTCTGTCTCAAAAAAAAAAAAAAAAAAAAAAAAAGAAAAAGAAACAGATGCAAGTAATACCATCCTTTTCTTTCTGCACTGATATTGGGTATGAGATCTGAACTTGCGGTAGCCATTTTGAGGCCATGAGGTATGAAGCCACAAACCAAGAATGATGGAGTTAAAATACAAAGAGCCTGGGTCAGTGATGCTCTCAATCAGCCAGCGAATCAATTCACGGGGTGACTTATTCATTAGACACAGTATGCCTGGGGCCCACAATAATTTCAAGGGCCCATGAAAATGTTTTAGTATCTTTGGAAATCAGAAGGATAAACAGCCTGAGGGCACAGCCAATACAGGGAGGTGGGTACACCTGCCCTCCTTCAGGCCCTCACCATCAACACCCCTCCATTCTTTCCCAGCCATGTCCATGGATGTTAGTAGATAGCGGCGTGCAATTTCAAAACGAGGCATCTCTATTCACATTTGCAGTGATGTCTGAGCCCCAAACGAACAAATAACATACTTCACTGCATCACCATTTACTCTACCTGTTACAGTTTTAAACAGTTTCAACTTTTGAAATTATATCCTATGGAAGTAATTAAGGGTTCTCTTCAATTACAAAAGTGTTCATGATAGCAAAAGTGTATTCAATCAAAATGCTCAATAATGGAAGACAATATAATTTATGAAGCATCCATACTTATGACATCCTTTTTCAGATATGAAAATGAATGATTTAGATCTATATTTATTGACATAAATGTTCTTTTCTTCTTTTTTTTTTTTTTTTTTAGACAAAGCCTCACTCTGCCGCCCAGGCTGGAATGCAGTGGCGCGATCTCAGCTCACTGCAACCTCCGCCTCCCAGGTTCAAGTGATTCTCGTGCCTCAGCCTCCCGAGTAGCTGGGATACAGGTGCCTGCCACCACGCCCGGCTAATTTTTGTATTTTCAGTAGAGACGAGGTTTCACCATGTTGGCCAGGTTGGTCTCAAATTCCTGACCTCAGGTGATCCACCTGCCTCAGCCTCCCAAAGTGTTGGGATTACAGGCGTAAGCCACCGCCCCCGGCCGACCGGCTGACATAAATGCTCATTTTTTTTTTTTTTTTTTGAGACGGAGTCTCGCTCTGTGCACCTCCCGGGTTCACGCCATTCTCCTGCCTCAGCCTCCCGAGTAGCTGGGACTACAGGCGCCCGCCACCACGCCAGGCTAATTTTTTTGTATTTTTAGCACTGTGTTAGCCAGGATGGTCTTGATCTCCTGACCTTGTGATCTGCCCGCCTCGACCTCCCAAAGTGCTGGAATTACAGGTGTGAGCCACCGCGCCCGGCCAAATGTTCATTTTTAAGTGAAAAAATAGGTCAATATTTTTCTTTCTTTTTTTTTCTTTTTTTTTGTGAGATGAAATCTTGTTCTGTCGCCCAGGCCCTTATGCAGTGGTGCGATCTTGGCTCACTGCAACCTCTGCCTCCCTGGTTCAAGTGATTCTCCTGCCTCAACCTCCCAAATAGCTAGGACTACAGGCGCACACCACCATGCCTAGCTAATTTTTTATATTTTTAGTAGAGACAAGGTTTCACCATGTTGGCCAGGCTGGTCTCGATCTCGACCTCGTGATCTGACCACCTTGGCCTCCCAAAGTGCTGGGATTACAGGAGTGAGCCACCACACCTGGCCTATTTTTCTTATTCACGTTCATGAACATAGATGAGTACATAACACTGAATAATTTTATCAGTAAGGTGATTTCAACTGCAAGTAAGAGGAAACCCTAACTCAATGACTTCACAATGAGGAAATGTATTTTCCAAAATAACAAGAAATTCCGAATCGTTGGGGGTGCTCTGGCCCCACTTCTCTTGGCTCTGCCCACCTCCCTGTATTGGCTGTGCCCTCAGGCTATCAGGCAATGGCAGCACATAAAGTGCTAGTGCCCAGATGTGGAGCTTTCAAGAGTGGAGAAATCATTCCCAGAAGGCACCTAGCTGACTTCTCCTGTGTCTCATTGGCCAGAACTGTGTCACTTGCTCACATCTAAACCGACCACTGACAAAGGAAACAGGAGCATCATGATTTTTATTTATTTACTTATTTTTAATTTTTTTATTTCAATAGTTTTTGGGGGAACAGGTGGTGTTTGGTTACATGAATAAGTTCTTTAGTGGTGATTTCTGAGATTTAGGTGCACTCACCACCCGAGCAGTGTACACTGTACCCAATGTGTAGTCTTTTATCCCTCCCCACTCCATGCTTCCCCCAGAGTCCCCAAAGTCCATTGTATCTTTTTGTGTGTGTGTGTGCGTGTGAGACAGAGTTTTGCTCTTGTTGCCCAGGCTGGAGTGTAATGGCGGGATCTCGGCTCACTGCAACCTCTGCCTTGCAGATTCAAGCAATTCTCCTGCCTCAGCCTCCCGAGTAGCTGGGATTACAGGCATGCACCACCACGCCCAGCTGATTTTGTATTTTTAGTAGAGACGAGGTTTCTCCATGTTGGTCAGGCTGGTCTCAAACTGCCAACCTCAGGTGATCCACCCACCTCGGCCTCTCAAACTGCTGGGATTACAGACATGAGCCATCGCACCGGCCCATTGCATCGTTTTTATACTTTTGTGTCCTTATAGCTTAGCTCCCACTTACAAGTGAGAACACAGAATGTTTAGTTTCCCGACTGGGTGCGGTGGCTTACGCCTGTAATCCCAGCACTTTAGGAGGCCGAGGCGGGCGGATCATGAGGTCAAGAGATCGAGACCATCCTGGCCAAAATGGTGAAACCCTGTCTCTACTAAAATTACAAAAATTAACTGGGTGTGGTGGTGCGCACCTGCAGTCACAGCTACTAGGGAGGCTGAGGCAGGGGAATCACTTGAACCCGGGAGGTGGAGGTTGCAGTGAGCCAAGATTGTGCCACTGCACTCCAGCCTGGTGACAGAGTGAGACTCCATCTCAAAAAAAAAAAAAAAAAAAGAAAAGAAAAGAAAAAGAAAAGAAAAAAAGACTGGGTGTGGTGGCTCACGTCTGTAATCCCAGCATTTTGGGAGGCCAAGGCAGGTGGATCACCTGAGGTCAGAAATTCCAGACCAGCCTGGCCAACATGGTGAAACCCCGTCTCTACTAAAAATCCAAAAAATATATAGGTACTCCGGAGGCTGAGACAGGAGAATCACTTGAACCCGGGAGGCGGAGGTTGCGGTGAGCTGAGATTGCGCCACTGCACTCCAGTCTGGGTGACAGAGTGCGACTCCATCTCAAAAAAAAAAAAAAAATGTTTACTTTCCCATTCCTGAGTTACTTCTCTTAGAATAATGGTCTCCAACTCCATCCAGGTTGCTGCAATGCCATTATTTCATTCCTTTTTATGGCTGAGTAGTATTCTGTGGTATATATATTATATTTTCTTTATCCACTCATTGATTGATGGACATTTGGGCTGGTTCCATATTTTTGCAACTGCGAATTGCAGGAGCACCATGATTGACTTAGTCCAGTCAGGACCTACCTAGATGGGAAGAAGAACAGGGTCTTCCAAGGCAGTGGCCAATGTGTAGAGTTGGATACCTGGGCAAATTCAGTTTCATTAAAAAGAGGGGGAGGCAAACGAATATTGAGGTGACAACTGTATTAGTCAGTGTTCTCCAGAGAAACAGAACCAACAAGATGTACATATATACACACATATAAATATATGCACACTTATATATGTATGCATCTATACATATATAAGGAGATTTATTACAAGAACTTGGCTTATACAATTATGCAAGCTGAGAAGTCCCAGGATTTGCAGTCAGCAAACTGGAGGCCCAGGAGGGCTGATAGTGCAGTTTTAGTCTGAGTCCGAAGGCCCGAGGCCCAGGAAGAGCAGAGGTTTCAATTTGAGTCAGAAGGTGGGAAAAGATGTCGCAGCTCAAACAGTCAGGCAGGAGGAGTTTCCTCTTGTTCTGCCTTTTTTTGTTCCATTCAGATCTTCAATTGATTGAATGAGGCTTACCTACATCAGAGACAGCAATCTGCTTTACTCAGTCGATGGATTCAAACATTAATCTTATCTACAAACACCCTCACAGTCACGCCCAGAATAACCTTTGAGCAAATGTTTGAGCACCCCTGGTCCAAGCAAGTTGACAGATAAAATTCACCATCGCAGCAACAAGGAGTATCTGCTGCATAGGGCATGCAACACAACATTAATCAAGATTTCTCTGTATAGTAAGAGGCTCAAGAGTGCCTCGGCCTGAATCTAGCCTCTCTTACTTTCCAGCTGCATGTCTTGGTTAAGCTGTTTTTTTTTTCTCTCTTTTTTTTTTTTTGAGACGGAGTCTAGTTCTTTTGCCCAGACTGGAGTGCAGTGGTGCAAGCTTGGCTCACTGCAACCTCTGCCTCCCGGGTTCACACAATTCTCCTGCCTCAGCCTCTCGAGTAGCTGGGATTACAGGCACACACCACCAGGCCCGGCTAATTTTTTTTTGTATTTTTAGTAGAGACAGGGTTTCACTATGTTGGCCAGACTGGTCTCGAACTCCTGACCTCATGATCCGCCTGCCTCGGCCTCCCAAAGTGCTGGGATTACAGGTGTGAACCACCACGCCTGTGTTGGCCAGGCTGGTCTCGAACTCCTGACCTCAGGCGATCCACCCGCCTCGGCCTCCCAAAGTGCTGGGATTACAGGTGTGAGCCACCGCGTCCGGCCTAGCCTGGACTTTCTTAGCATTTTTCATTTACGCTGATCACAGAGCTGACCTTTCCCAGCTGAGGGCGCTGAAGAAACATTGCTGGAGAAAGAGGCTTCTCTTAACTGGTTCCAGCTGCTGCACCACTGGTCAGCGCTAAGGGTGTGAGGTGTCATAGGCCAGGTAATGGGATTCTCAGACACTGGGGGAGGCTTTGGGACCCAGGTAAATTTTCCTATTCTGGCCACAGGGAGAGTGCAACTCTTCCCAAGCTGATCTTAGGTGATGGTGCCCCTAGTGGTGAGTGTTCCAACTGCAGCAGGGTGCAATCCCTGGTCCCATGGAATTCAGGGTTCCAATGTCACCTGCTCAGTGGGGCCTCCCTCAACCACTCTGTTTCATAATAAAATCCCCATCTGTCTGGGCCCTCCCTGTCTCCCCTGCCTACTTTGTTTTCCTCCAGAACTTTCCAACATACTCTATTATTTGCTTATTTTATTGTCTGCTTCCTAAGCTCCACGAGGGCAGAGCTTTTTGCCTGTCTCGTTCACTTAGAAGTATCTAGCACAGTCACCTGGCACACAGTAGGTGTTCATAAATATCTGTTGACCTGAGTTGCATGCAGGTCAACCATGCCCTCCTGCCAGTTGCAACTGCACCAAACACCATGGAGTCCTTTATCTTGGAGGAAAAGCTCCAGGTTTTCAAGGACCAGCACAGGTCAACTTCCCAGACTTTGTGCTTGGCAGGAAAAGGAAAAATGTGGGTTTTGAAAAATGATTCCCTAGAGTGAGGCTTAGGCACCCTACCACCTTCCTAAAGTACCCCAGTTAACTTAGGGGTGAAGCCAAGGAGAGGAACTAATGGATCAATCACTTTGGTCCTCAGGTCAGAATCCTGGCGGCCACACACTTGTTAAACAAACAGGGATGAAACCCCCTCCAGGCTTGGCTTTGTCAATGACATAAGGCTCATAGGGTTAGCGTGGGGTGGAAGGAGGGTCAATAAGATCATGTGAGCAAAACCCAAAGCCCTTAGCGCAGTGCCTGCCACATAGTAGGTGCGCAATATATGATTATTTTTGCTGCCAAGCAACCATTTCCCATTCTCCTGGGGGACTTGCTGGAGATTGTGGAGCAGGGGTTTGTGATTGAGACACCTCTCCCCAAGCCAATGGGCAGGCTTGTGTCCCAGGTCAGGACAATCAGGCACTCCCTCCATAGGATGAAAACCTTAAACGAATGGCATTCTCTTTACCAGAGCAGCAGTGCCCTAACCACACTGTCCTTGCCAGGCAAATATTCCCAAGATTCCCCTTTCTGGCCTTCCAGAGCCACCTTGATTTCATCCCATTTCCCAGTTCTCCAGGCTCCCATGGGCTCTGGGATCACATATTATCTTCCCAGTTTATTTCCTTTTGCCTGAGGAAGCCAAAGTCAGCTTCTGTGGCTTACGGCCAGAGACCCCTGACACTGACCAATGGAAAAAAGGGGGCTCTGGATCCACTGCTGCACGGAGAGGCACTCTAAGCTGCCCTCTAGTCCTTCTGAAGGAAGGCCTGAATACTGGGGGACCCTAAAAGGCATTGCAAATCCTTAACATCACCATCAAAGTCATACAGGGTTTTGGCCCTGCACCTCTCTGGCCAACATCCCACCACCGTCCCCATTGTTCACACCACTCCAGCCCCACAGGCATCTGTGCTATTTGTCACTGTTTGACTGGACACACTCCCTCCTCAGGGACTTTGCATTTGCTGTTCCCTTGACTCAACTGCTCTTCCTCCAGAAATCCCCATGGCCTACTCCTTTTCCTCTTTGCTTAAATGTCACCTGCTCAGTGGGGCCTCCCTCAACCACCCTACTTCAGAATACGATCCCCAGGGGTCTGGGCCCTCCCTGTCCCCCTTGCCTACTTAATTTTTCTCCAGAACTTTCCAGCATGGTCTGTCCTTTTCTTACATATTTTGTTGTCCGCCTCCTAAACTCCATGAGGGCAGAGTTCATTGTCTGTCTTGCTCACTTAGAAATCTCTAGCACAGTCACTTGGCACAGAGTAGGTGCTCAATAAATATTGACCTGAGTTGCATTCTGGGTGGATACAGTTAGGGACTTGGGGTGACCAGGGGCTCTTGATGGAACAAGGCTTTTCCCACAGAGCCCACTGCTTGCTCAGCCCCAGAGATCCTGGCTGACAAGTGCCTCCTTTTGGGGCCAGACTCCTGGGAAAACCCCACTCCTCCAGTGACCTGCATGTCGGGGAGGGAGCCACTTAAGTCCCGGCCTCTCCTGAATGGATAACCAGTGTATCTTGGAAGACTCTTTTTTTTTTTTTTTTTTTTGAGATGGAGTTTCACTTTTGTTGCCCAGGCTGGAGTGTGGTGGCACAATCTTGGCTCACTGACACCTCTGCCTCCAGGGTTCAAGCAATTCTCATGCCTCAGCCTCCTGAGTAGCTGGGATTACAGGAGCACGCCACCATGCCTGGCTAATTTTTGTATTTGTATTTTTTTTATTTTTTGAGACGGAGTCTCACTCTGTCGCTCAGGCTGGAGTGCAATGGCGCCATGTTGGATCACTGTAACCTCTGCTTCCCGGGTTCAAGAGATTCTCCTGCCTTAGCCTCCCCAGTAGCTGGGATTACAGGCAGCTCGCCATCATGTCCGGCTAATTTTTGTATTTTCGTAGAGACGGGGTTTCACTATGTTGGCCAGGCTGGTCTCGAACTCCTGACCTCAAGTGATCTGCCCGCCTCGGCCTCCCAAAGTGTTGGGATTACAGGCGTGAGCCACCGCGACCGGCTGGAAGACCCTCAATAATAATAATTAATAATAATAACAGTAACAGTGGCAAGCATTTATGCTCGCTGGCCTTTCCCCCTGGGTCTGTATTAAGGGCTTCACATCCAATATCTCACTTAAGGCTCAGATCGTTCTGAGACCCATTATGCCCATTTTATACCACATTATACCCATTTTAAAGATGAGAAAACTGAGGCTTGGAGAATATCGGTAGTAGCCCCACCATTTCCTGTGACTTCCTGGAGCCTGGCCCACAGAGGAGGGTTCAGGACGGACGCTTTCCTTCCCCGCCCTAGGGAAGAGGGAGGGACGCGGGCGCTGGCGTGGAGGTTGGGGGAGCCTGAGAGGCTCGGGCGCTGGGTGCGCGGGAGGGAGCGTGCGTGCTTGGCGCGAAGGCTCCTGGCGCAGGCGACCCGGCTGCCCCGCCGAGCGGTGGCTTTCCGGAGGGGTGGGGCGGCCGCCTCGGGTCCTGACGTCGGGCGCCCTCCGGCCGTCACTCAGCGCTCGGCCCCGCCCCGCCGCGGCTGCAGCAGCAGCGCCGCGGCCGGAGGAGCTACCGCCGCCACCGCCGCCACCGCCTCCTGGGACTCGGAACGCAGCGCTCGGAGCCATGGCCTCGGCCCCCGCGGGTAAGAGGCCGCTGGACACGAGGGCGGCGGGAGGGCAGCGCCCGGCCCCCGCACCCTCTCTCGGCTGACCCGCGGCTCTCGTTTCTTGTCCCACAGAGGCGGAGACCCGACAGAGGCTGCTACGCACCGTCAAGAAGGAGGTGGGTGCCGGGGTGGGGGCACTGGGCAGGACTCCCCCGGCAGCAGCGGCCAAACGGGAAAAGAGTCTTCGTGGAAGGGTGGCCTCTGGCGGCGGGGGGGCGGCCAGAACAGGTGTGGGGCTCACCTGGGTGGGCATTGACCTCCCGCAGGGCAGGAGGCGCAGCGAGGGAGTTTGGGGGTGGGCGTAGGTGTGGGGAGGCTTTGGCCCATTTGAGGCTTTTTGCGGGGGCGGATGTAGCGTGAGGGCCCTCCAGGTGTGGGGCACACCTGGATGTATCCCGATAGGACCTCCTCTTGTGGAGGAGCAGGTGGGCGCGGCTCAGGAAGGGGACCTTCCAAGAGAGAGAAGCTGCTAGGGGGACGCCCCCCACAGGGTGTGCTGGAGGAGGGGCTCTGAATGGGGCTGCCGAAGGTGGGGCACGCTTCAGGAAAAGGCAGAAGGAAAATAAAACCTCCCTTCCCAGCCCCCGAATTCTCAGTCCTTGGAGCCACCTCCAAGAGCCAGGGGACTCCCTCCCTGAGAGTCACGGGTCAGTGAGCTGCTCCCCTGGCAGTAGGGGTCCCTTCACTCCCCCCGCCCCACTCCCACCCCACATTCAGAGGGTGAGAATCAGAGAGGTTCTGCCATTCCTCTGCCCCTCCACTCTCCTTGGGGTCAGCGCGTGGAGAGGGGGGCAGTCTAGTCTTTAGGGCTCATGGCCAATGACCTCCCAGAACCCCATAGACAGAATTTATAGTCCTTGGGGTAGCATCTCGATGCCTGGACTGCGTGCTCTGGTGTGTATACCTGCATGGGTGAGGACCTGTGGCTGTGAGTGTGTGCGTATGAGAATGTCTGTGCATCTGTCTGGAGATACCTAAGTGTATCTCTTTGCACTGTGTGTACACGTATCTATGTGTGTCTTTGTATCTGTTTTTGTGAGGGTGGGTCTGTGTGTGTATATTGTGTGGTGCATGAGTCTGTGAATGAGTGATGCTGTGAGTGTGTGTGTGTATCTTGAGTAGGTGTGTGGCATGTGATGCATGAGTCTGCATGAATAACTAGGGCTGTGACTCCGTCTGTGTGCGTGTGTCTTGTGTGTTGCCCTCCCCATTCTTCAGTCTCAGACCCCATTGCTGCTGTGTCTTCATCACTTTTGAACCTTATCAGCGCTTAGCCCAAGGCCTTGCATGGCAGCAGACATCGTGGGCTGGCCTGGTTTCTGGGCCTGGCTTTCAGTGTGTGTGTGTGTACATGCGTGCATGTGTGTGTATGTGTTGGGGGTGTTGGCTGAGGTGGCAGCATCAAGCATCACTGATGACCCCTCCTTCCCTGCACAGTGGCAGACAGCCACCAAGGGCAGCCTCGAGGCTTGGACCTGTTGCTGCTCCTCCGTCCTCCGGGAGCATGAGTATGTGCCTGCGTGTGTGTGTGTGTGTGTGTGTGTCTCTGTGTGTGGCATGTCCTATTTTGTTTAAAGAATGAGCTCCAGGGCTGCTTGCACATTCTAGCATTTTCGAATGAGACATGCAAAATACATTGGATCCCTCAGAAAGGCCCAGAAGTTTTCAGCTCAGCCCTTGTATAGACTCCTGTGGGTATTCCAAGGGAGATCCATCTAGAACCTCTTATCTTTTTTTTTTCTTGGTGTTTTTTTTTTTTTTTTGAGACGGAGTCTCGCTCTGTTGCCCAGGATAGAGTACAGTGGCACAGTCTCCACTCACTAAAAACTCCACCTCCTGGGTTCACGCCATTCTCCTGCCTCAGCCTCCCAAGTAGCTGAGACTACAGGAGCCACCATGTCCGGCTAATTTTTTATTTTTTTATTTTTAGTAGAGACGGGGTTTCACCACGTTAGCCAGGATGGTCTCGATCTCCTGACCTCGTGATCGCCTGCCTCGGCCTCCCAAAGTGCTGGAATTACAGGCGTGAGCCACTGCTCCCAGCCTAGAACCTCTTTTCAATAGAACTCACAGACCAACAACATCCTTGTCACTTTCAGTGGAGGGGCATGTACCTTACAAAGCACCTGCTGTCTTTTTGTTCGTGGTTTAACCAGACCTACGTGTAATATGTGTCCCTGAGATGTTTTTGCCTGGGGTAGCTTTGTTTTTAAGGCAATGGTTGGTTGAATGGGGAGGGGGCTGCAGGCAGAAGAGAACACCAGTAAGACATCTGGGGAAGGCTCTGGCTGAGGCCCAGGTCCCAGCTCAGCTACCATCTTCCTCAGTTTCCTGCGCAGGTTCCTTCTTCTCTCTAGGAGTCAGTTTCTCCATCTGCAGAAGGATGCATTAGTATCAGTGTCCTCTAAGGTCTGACCCGTGTCAGTCTAGTTTGGGTCTTGGGCTCAAAGAGGGGGAATAACTTGCCCAAGAGCACACAGCCAAGATGGGACAGAGTTGGGACTTACCCCCCAGGTCTTTTTGATGTCAGAGCCACACTCTGACCCTCCCATCCCACAAACATGCTCATCCAAATCTACACGGTGCCACACCTTGGACAGAATGTGTGGGCAGTACAGTTTCTACTGTACAGATGAGAACACTGTGGCCCAGAGACAATAAGTGACATTTCAAGGGCACAGAACCAGTGTGAGGGAACAGGTTCCGTTCTTCTGTCTTTTGAGTTCCTATTCAACATAGGTACCCTAAGAACATGGCAACAACTCGGTGCCCCCCAAAGCACGTCTCCCCTGTCCTTTCCTTCCTTTGCTTACCTCTTTGGGGAGCATCTCTCTCAGTGTCAGAGAGCCAGTCTCTAGTGGAACAGAAGGGAAAGCTCTTTGCCTAGAAATCTGAGAGTCAAATCAGATCTCCCTCCTCCCCACTCTCTGGGTTCAAAGGAGCCACATCTCTGCCTGTCACAGCCTCACCCAGAGACTGCATTGTATGTACACATATCTACATGTGTCTGTGTGTATATCTGTCTTCTGTGTGTACATCTGTTTCCCCAGCCTTCTTTCTAGAAGGAGTGCCTTAACAATCGACATCTCTAGATAGGCTGGGCAGCTCTGCAAGGTTTGCCAGAGCCACTGCAGCCACGAAGGGGCCAACAGAGGCTGGGAGCTGGAAACTGTCCAGTGCTGGCCTGGGGAGCCAGCTGGACACAGCACCCATGAGGCAGGTCAAGAAGAACTTTGGGCTCAACTAGAGCTGGATTCCAACCCCAGATGTGTTTATTTACTGAGGGCTGTGTGTCAGACCCTGGGCTAGGTTCTGTGGATATAGCAGGGACAGGCCCCTTGTAGATGGGCCCTGTCCCTGTCCTCCTGGGGCTGACCTTGCAGCGGAGGAAACACACTCCCAACAGTTACCTTATCAAAATTACAAGGATAATTACAGGCTGTGAACAGAGATGTGAAGGAGAGGCACCCGGGGCTGCAAGAACCCAAAACAGGGACAACTGACCATGTGCAGGGGCCCAGGATATGACGTTTCAGAAGACAGGTGCAAGATGAGTAGGACTTTAAGGTGAAGATAAGAGGGTTGAGAGACACTAAGAAAAACCATTCCTGGCAGAAGGTTTTGTACATGCAGAAGCTTTGTGGCTGGAGGGAACACTGTGAATTTGAAGGAACCGAAGTGACCGGAGCAGAGACAAAGGAGAAAGGTGCAGATGCGGAGAAGGCGGAACATGTGGTCTTATCCCAAAAGCAAGGGAAAGGAATGGGGAGGACATCGAGAACAGGGAAAGAAGGTGATGGAGCTGAAATTGCTGGCCTGTTCACTGCACAATCTTAGACAAGATCTGTCTTTACCTTTATCAGTGTGTGGGTTTCCGTTTATTCATAATGGGGATGAAAATGATTCAGCTGGCAAGATAAACCCTGCGAGAACACCCACCACGTTAGCCTGAGCTCCTCCAGGGCAAGCATCCTTTTTTTTTTTCCCTCTGTCCTCGGTACCACCAAGAGAAAGCTGGAAACAAGGTGGCCTCAGCGTGATTTCCTCCAGTTAAATCTGACCAGCTCTATCTTGGCTCCTTCCTGGCTTCCTTTACCCTCCCTGCCAACCCTTAATTTTGTTTTGGTTCCCAGAGCGAGCAGGGACTGGCTTCCCGTTGCCATAACAACTGCCATTAAAGGAGCCAGCCATGTGATGCCAGTTGATAATGGAAGCAAAGTGACTAACTGCCTTGTTTTCCTGCCTCTGGGCTGGGCCTAGAAAGCCTCTTAATTGGAGGGGAGAATGCAGGGGCTGGTGGGAGGCAGATGAGACCCCAGGAAGGAGACAGGGAGATGAGGCAGGTCCTGGAGTGGAAGCTACATTTAGCTCTGCGACCGGAGCTGGTGGAAGGGCTGTAATTGGGGAGCCATCATCATAGCTGCTGAACAGAGCCTGTTTGGAGAACTGAGCCTCCCAGCCTCTGGGTTAGGGGTGATGAGATGGGAGAGGCAGGCAGGACTTGCTAAGAAGGTTGGAGAAAAACGAGAGAAGCAATTGACGTTACCATGGGGACCCTGCAGTTTTACTGTGACCCAGTGGTTCTTAATGAAGGGGAGCAGTTTTGTCTCCCGTCCCTAGGTTTGGTTGCCAGATAACATCCAGGTCGCCCAGTTAAATTTGACTTTCAGATAAACAGTGAGTAAGTTTTTAGTATGAGTATGTGTTGCTAAATCTGGCAACCCTACTCCAGGGGACATTTGGCAATGTCTGGAAACATTTTTGGTTGTCACAGTTGGGGGTGCTATCAGCATCTAGTGGGAAGAGGCCAGGGATGCTGCTCACATTCCTGCAATACACAAGACACCCCCTCAGCCCACCACCACTAGGAGCACAAAGAAGTGGCCAGCCCAGAATAACTCTTGTTAAGGCAGGAAAATCTGCTCCCCGCTCACCCTACCCATCCTGCACCTGCTGCGCCCTTCACTTCTCTAGGCTAATTTGATACGAATGTACTGTTCTTGAACAACTCATTCTTACTGCTTTTAGATTGTCTTGAATGCATATTTGGAGTCTAAAGCCGGGGTGGGGGTGGGCAGGGGCAGGGAACGAAGTCTTGGCTCCCTAGCCATGTCATTTAGGGGAAACTTCCCCAGAATGCCTCAGTTTCTCACCTGTAAAATGGACTTAGGCCATAGAAGAGAGATTGGACTATGTAATAACATTAGCAATTCCTGGCCGGGCACTGTGGCTCATGCCTGTAATCCCAGCCCTTTGGGAGGCCAAGGTGGGATGATCACTTCAGGCTTGGAGTTTGGGACCAGCCTGGGCAACATAGCAAGACCCCCATCTCTACAGAAAACAAAATAAAAATAGCCAGGCATTGTGGTGCATGCCTGTAGTCACAGCTATTTGAGAGGCTGAGGCAGGAGGATCCCTTGAGCCCAGGAAGTTGAGGCTGCAGTGAGCTGTGATCGCATCACTGCACTTCAGCCAAGGCAACAGAGCGAGACCCTGTCTCAAAAAAAAAAAAAAAAATTATGACCAGGCATGGTGGCTCATGCCTGTAACAGCACTTTGGGAGGCCAAGCTGAGTGGATCACTTGAGGTCAGGAGTTGAAGACCAGCCTGGCCCAACATGGTGAAACCTCATCTCTACAAAAAATACAAAAATTAGCCGGGTGTGGTAGCATGCGCCTGTAATCTCAGCTACTCGGGATGCTGAGGCAGGAGAATCGCTTGAACCCGGGAGGTGGAGGTGGCAGGGAACTGAGATGGCGTCACTGCACTTCAGCCTGGGTGACAAAGCAAGACTCCGTCTCAAAAAAAGAAAAAAAAAAAGAAAAGAAAAATTAGGCATTCCTAATTTCCTACGTGTTTGCTGGGGGCTTCTGGCTTCCTCTGTGCTGGGCATTGTGCCATGAACTTTCTGAGCATTATCCCCTTCACTCCTCATAAAAGCCCTAAGGGAGAGAACCATCATCTCTTTCCATGATAGATGAGGAACTGGAGGCAGAGAGATGTTATGCAGCTCGCTTTAAGGTCCCACTGTCAGTCCGTGGAGAAGTCAGGATTCAAACCTCATGTTGCCAAGATCTAGGGGGATGGCCTCATGACCTTGGCTTACAGTGGGCAGTGGTGGGCAGCTATGAGCTTCAGAAAAGTCCCTGGAAACACAGCTTGGCTTCAGGCATGTGCAGGGGAAGGAAATGGGGCAGGAAAGGTCCATTAGTCCCAGCTTGTGCAGGGCTGTATGTGCCAGGCTGTGCCATTTGAACTTCCCATAGTGGATAATGGGGAGCTATAGAAGATTTATGAGCAAGGGAGGGTTTTGCTTAGGGCTGTACTTCAGGAAGTTTCAGCTAATAGCAGGGACCAGGATAGACAGTTTCTGCCAACTCTTAGAAGAAAACTTTCTCCCTCCCTCTGTTATTTTCTTTCTCCCCCACTTCCGTTCTTCCTTCCTTCCTCCCACAAATATTTATCAAGCATCTACTATGTGCCAGGCCCTGTTCTACAAGCTGCAAACTGAGAAGTGAGTAAAGCAATGTCTTTGCTCATATGCCCTCATTCAGTGTACAGTATAGTGGCAGGAGGGCATATAGAGAAAACAAGAAATATGTATTAAAGGTAACAAGAGCTCCAAGGAAAATAACGGCTGGAAGAGATGGGAAAGGCTTGCCAGAGGAGGTGGTCAGGGATGGCCTCACTGATGGGATGGTGTTTGAGCAGAGACCTGAAGGAAGGAAGGGAGCAGTGTCAACATCTACAGGAAGTGTGTGCCTGGCAGAGGGAATAGCGTATGCAGAGGCTGTGAGTTGGGAACAGACCAGCTGGGAGGCCAGTGAGGCTGGAGTGAAGTAAACAAGAGTAGAGATGAGGTTTGAGAGAGTGGGAGGCTGATTGTTCAAGACCTTGTCCATCGAAGGCATCGAAGGCTTTGGCTTTGACTCTGGTGAGATAGGAGCCATGGGAGTATTCTGAGCAGGGGAGGAACAGGCAAGTTTTGGGGACAAGTTGAGAGGAAGCAAAGACACCAGATCATCAGATAAGACAGGAAACGTCTGCCTTTGCTAAGCTTTTCCATTCTTGGGCTGGAATCACAGCCCCCCACCCACTACTCGCCCCACTGTGCCAAGGAGAGACTCCAAAAATGCATGTGCTTGAATGAATGCAGGAATGCCAGGTGGGCTATTTTGGGGCTCTCCGATGCTGGCAGGATTGACTCAAATCAGCTTGCGTGTGTCGTGTTTGCTGGCTTAAGAGGGCAGAAACGCTCCTCATGAATAATGCAGCCATATCCACCCGATGCGTTTTGATGCTTTTTCAGGTCTCTGGCAACCTGGCTTCTGGGAGCTTTTGCTAGTGATGAGCATCTGTGGCAGCTTAGGCACCCTGGTTCGATGTGGTGAGGATGGCAGGAGGGCCCCTGGCTTGCCTGGCTGTGTCTCTTGTACCATATGGCTGGGTCTCCCCCAGCCACCTCATGAGGTGCTCCAGGAGCTGGTGGTAGCATTTGTTGCTGGCTGGCCGGTAGGAAAGGGCATTTTGGTCACCCCTAAGGGCCCGCAGTTGCTGTCTGCAGAGCCCAGGATGGGAGGTGAGGAGACCTGTGTCCTTGTTCCAGTTCTGACCCCAACAATGCTTGTGGCTCCTAACAGGTCCCTTCTCAAGGTCTCACTTTCCTGCTTTCTAAGTGGACGAGGTTGGACAGCTCCAGGATTCCAAGAACCTCAACTCATCTAATTTGGCCAGTGTCACTCTCTGAGAGCCAAGTCTTTGTTTTTTCCACTCTGAATTTGCCAAGTATTTATTCAAGACTAATTAAAACTAAGTAGCTGGTAAGACTTTTGGAGTGCCTTCAGTTCACTCAAGGAAAACCAGGGCTTAACTAATGTCATTCTAATGGGATAAAGATTAAAAAAACAAAACAAAACAAAACAAAACAAAAACTAGCATATACTGGCATTTTATATTGATGACCTCATTTAATTATTGATCCCCCATGAAGTAGATAAAATCCCCTCTTTTATGGATAAGGAAATCGAGGCACAGAGATGGCAAGGAGTTCGCCCTAAGGTCTCAGAGATTGTTGTTGGTACAGCAAGGGGTCTGGCTGCACAATCCTCCTCTGTATCACTCTTGAGCTAAAGCCAGCAATCCACACAGGGTTCCAAGCTCCACCGAGAGTGTGGGGTCAGGGAGAAGGCCACAACAGCAAGGGCCTCAATTACCACTATGCTATCACTGTCAGGCAGTTGGCAGTATTTATGGAGGGGTCAGGCACACCGCGTGGCTCACCCTTTTGGGAGTAAGATGGACTCAGTCCCAAAAGGACACTTTGCCGCCCTTTCTGGTCACATCTGAACTTAAAAGATGCCCTCAGCACAGGATCTTGCTGTCTCTAGGTAAGCCCTGACCTGGAGGTGCTACAGCCCCCAGGGCAGTGCTGTGGAATTTAGTCAGAAGAGATATTTCTTGAGGTCCAAAGGGACAAGCCCTCTAATGGGCTGAGTCTTGGCTGGCTGCATCGCCATCATGGGGAGGGCAGCTGGGTCTTCCCTCTGAGGCTGGCTGCCCATCAGCTCCTGGAGACAGTCCCTCAGCCTAAGGAGCTCAGAGTCCCTGGTGACTTTCCTGGCCCTGCACTTGGTTGCTGTGCACCCCTGGACAAGGGGGCTAAGAATGCTAAACTCAGATGTGGGGCAGTGTATTTTTCTTTCACTTAGTGATATAGAAGATGAGATGAATAGATTTCTATGTTTTTTCTTTGCACAATTTTGCAGGAACTCAGATTGTGGGTATTTGCAAAGAACAGTAACAGTTCCTTTTGCAGTAAGGCCTCATTGAGAAAATGGATAGCTGAGGTCCTGAGAGTTCAAGAGACTTGGTGATGTTACCAAAATGCTGGGGTGTTGGTGTGGGTCCTGCTGCTGGCCACACAGAAGGCCAATCACTGAGATAAGTATTGCCCGGGAAGAAGTCTTTAGTTGAGTCCCGCAGCCGAAGAGATGGGAGATCAGGCTCACATCTATCTTCCTGACCAACTAAACTCAGAGGTTTATATAGCAGGAAGAAAATTTAAGTGCATGGAAGAAAACTGGAATTAGAGGGGCTGGGTGCAGTGGCTCACGCCTGTGATTCCAGCACTTTGGGAGGCCGAGGCAGGCGGATCACGAGTTCAGGAGATCAGGACCATCCTGGATAACATGGTGAAACCCTGTCTCTACTAAAAAAATACAAAAAAATTAGCCGGGCGTGGTGGCGGGCGCCTGTAGTCCCAGCTACTCAGGAGGCTGAGGTAGGAGAATGGCGTGAACCTGGGAAGCAGAGCTTGGCAGTGAGACGAGATGGCGCCACTGGAGGGCGAAAGAGTGAGACTGTGTCTCAAAAAACAAACAAACTGGAATTAGAGAGGGGTAAGGAAAAGGAGTTGGTCAGCAGGAAGCAGGTGGTGGGTTATGCAGTCATGCTGGGTAAGGGGTGTTGCATCTCTGTCCAGATGCAATGATCTGGTAAGTTTCAGTTCCTTGGGGGAGGCCTGATGTTTGGTTTCCTGAGAAAGGAACTCAGATAAGACAAATGTAACTTTCTGGAGTTTTAAAACTGGGAGGGTCAGTTTCTATGTATATTCAAAAGAAACCATAAACATTAGTTCTATGGGATAGTTGGGCCAGTTTCAGTGATACTTGGGGCATTGAATGAATTCCTTTTTAATTATTATTATTTGGTAAATTATGCTTACTTGGTAAATTAGAATTGTAGCAACTACCATTTACCAAATATTGCTGTAAGTGCTTTGCTGTCTCATTTAATCCACAAAACAACCTTCCTACACAGTAGGTACGAGTAGCAACTGCTTTTTACTGACAAGGAAATTCATGCTCAGAGAGGCTAAGAAACTGAACCAGGACTACAGAGCTGAGAAACAGCAGAGCAGGGTTTGTTAGCCAGCTCCATCCTCCATCCTTTTCAAGTCGGATAAACCCTGATAAAACTAGGTAGAATGATAATAAACATAAACAAAATGAGAAAGTGAAGCTAAAAAATTGATTTCTTTTTTTTCTTTCTTTTTTTTTTTTTTTTGAGATGGTGTCTCGCTCTGTTGCCTAGGCTGGAGTGCAGTGGCACGATCTCAGCTCACTGCAACCTCTGCCTCCTGGGTTCAAGCGATTCTTCTGCCTCAGCCTCCTGAGTAGCTGGGAATACAGGCATGCACCATCATGCCTGGCTAATTTTTGTATTGACAGGGTTTCACCATATTGGCCAGGCTGGTCTCGAACTCCTGACCTTGTGATCCGCCTGCCTTGGCCTCCCAAAGCGCTGGGAAAAATTGATTTCTTGGTTTAAGTGTTTGGGAAGTTCAGGTGCACCTATATCCAGGGGCGCCAATGATGTCATCAGGACACTGTCTCTTGCCATCTCTCTGCATTGCCTTCTTCTGTTTTGGCATTATGCTCAGCCTCTCTGTGGGGAGGTAGAGTGTTGCCCAGCAGCTCTAGGGGCACATTCTGCCAGCTTGGCATTTCTGCAGAAAAGAAAACCTTCTCTTCCTAAGGGTTCTAGCCAAAGTCTTGGGATTTGGTCTCACTGGACCACTGTGGGTCACTTGCTTCTTTTGTGCCAGTCACAGTGGGATGGATTGCTCCACTTGGTCATGGGGGGGTGAGGGGTGGAGTTAGCCCTGTGAGAGTAAGGAAACGGACACCAGAGGAGAGTTACGGTGAAATCACCAGACAGGGAGATGGAAGGCAGGCAGACAAACCACAGATGTCCACATCAAAGGGCTGAGGGCGCCTGCATTTGGAGCTCAGCCTGTGATGCGGGAGGTATACACTCCTGTGCTCTGTGCCTTCCTACAGTCCCGAGTGCTGCCTGGGGATGTACTATGTGCCAGGTGATTATACTGGATCAAGGATTTCTATTCTACGGGTGTGCAAATCCCTGAAGTTGTAGAAACATCTTGTACTTGCTGTATGGAGAGAGTATCCTCAGATCCTCAGCTTTTTTTTTCTTTTTTTTTTGAGATGGAGTCTCACTCTGTCGCCAGGCTGGAGTGCAGTGGCGCCATCTCGGCTCCCTGCAACCTCCGCCTCCTGGGTTCAAGCGATTCTCCTGCCTCAGCCTCCTAAGTAGCTGGGATTACAGGTGCCTGCAACCACGCCTGGCTAATTTTTGTATTTTTAGTAGAGACTGGGTTTCACCATGTTGGTCAGGCTTGTCTCGAACTACTGACCTCGCGATCTTCCCACCTCAGCCTCCCCAAGTGCTGGGATTACAGGCGTGAGCCACCGCTCCCGGCCATGAGTATCCTCAGCTTTCGTCAGGACCTCTAAGCAATCCACAACCCAAATACCCAAGTACGGTTTAGCATCACCCTGTGTCTTGTTTGGGGCTGGTGTAACAAAGTACCGTGACTGGGTAGCTTCAAAACAACAGGAATTCTCTAGTGACTAGAAGTCTGAGATCAGGGCGGCAGCATGGTTGGTATCTGGTGAGGGCCTTCTTCCTTTTTGCACACTGCAGACTTTTAATCATGTCCTCACATGGCAGAAAGGGGGTGAGAGGTCTTTGGGGTCTCTTTTATAAGAGCACAAATCCCGACGGGGTGCAGTGGCTCACGCCTATAATCCCAGCACTTTGGGAGGCCGAGGCGGGTGGATCACCTGAGGTCAGGAGTTCGATACCAGCCTGGCCAACATGATGAAACCCTGTCTCTACTGAAAATACAAAAATTAGCCGGGCGTGGTGGTGGGCGCCTGTAATCCCAGCTACTCAGGAGGCTGAGGCAGGAGAATCGCTTCAACCCAGGAGGCAGAGGTAGCAGTGAGTTGAGACCATGCCACTGCACTCCAGCCTGGGCAACAGAGCAAGACTCTGTCTCAAAAAAAAAAAAAATAAAATAAAATAAAACAAACAAAAAACAGTACTAATCCCATCCAAGAGTCATCCTCATGGCTTAAATTACCTCCCAGAAGCTCTTCCTCCTAATACCACCACTTTGGGATTAGGATTCTATTTATTTACTTATTTATTTAGAGACAGAGTCTTGCTCCATTGCCCAGGCTGGAGTGCAGTGGTGCGATCTCGGCTCAATGAAGCCTCTGCCTCCCAGGTTCAAGCGATTCTCCTGCCTCAGCCTCCTGAGTAGCTGGGACTACAGGTGCCTGCCACCACATCCGGCTAATTTTTGTATTTTTGTAGAGATGGGGTTTCACCTTGTTGGTCAGGCTGGTCTTGAACTTCTGACCTCAGATGATCCACCTGCCTCGGCCTCCCAGAGTGCTGGGATTACAGGTGTGAGCCACCGTGCCCAGGCGTGGATTAGGACGTTAAAATATGAATTTTAGAGGGATATGCCAAAACACTGGGTCTGTAACTCCCTGCAGAACGGTGTGATACAGAGATGATTGCAATACGGTTTCCTGTCCTCAGTGTGCCCAGAAATGAACTGGTACCTCTTAGTTTCTAAACCAGTTCCAATAATAATAGCTTTCTGATAAAAATAACAATAATTGGCCGGGAGCAGTGGCTCACGCCTGTAATCCCAGCACTTTGGGAGACCGAGGCGGGCGGATCATGAGGTCAGGAGATCGAGACAATCCTGGCTAACATGATGAAACCCCATCTCTACTAAAAATACAAAAAATTAGCTCGGTGTGGCGGTGTGTGCCTGTAGTCCCAGCTACTCGGGAGGCTGAGGCAGGAGAATGGCATGAACCTGGGAGGCGGAGCTTGCAGTGAGCAGAGATTGCACCACTGCACTCCAGCCTGGGCGACAGAGCAAGACTCTGTCAAAAAAAAAAAAAAACAATAATCACAACCCCAGTAATAATTATAATTAGTATTTATTGGGCACCTACTTTGTCCAGGCCTGCCTTGTCCCAGTATGTTAGCCGCGAGTCACAAGTGCATATCTGCATTTCAATCAAGTTAAATTTAAATTAAATTGAAAATGCAGTTCCTCAGTCACACTAGCCATATTTCAAGCGCCCAGTAGCCACGTTTGGCTGATGATAACGTGGGACAGCACGGGTATAGAGCATTTCTCAAAAAGCCTATCCTGTTCCAGACAGTATGCTATGCACTTTATATGCATTAGTGTATGTAATGTCAAAAGAGAGCAAACCCAAGAAGCATCAGAGGGAACAGATGAGGAAACTGAGGCCCGAGGTCACCCAGCAAATAGCAGAGCTGGAGATTGACCTGTTGATGTTTTTACTTACCCAGAGTGCCTCCCTTGATCTGGCACCAGCTATGTGCTGGGTCCTGTTTGAGGCCCTCTGCCTCTATTTATTATCCCATTTTACAGATAAGTACTATAAATTGAAGCACAGAGAAGTGAAGTGACTTGCCCAAGGTCACACAGCTGGTAAGAGATGGAGACAGGATTTGAAACCAGTGTTAGACACACTATTGGATTGCTTCTTCTAAGGTCAGATGGAGGTGGTTAGTCCTTATCTAGAAAGGTGATAAGTGCTTTCTGATGTACCTGTGTGTGTTTTAAGCAATAATTTGGGAATTTCCTTTTCCGTTTTCTGCAGCTGCCCAAACCACCTTCCCCTCCACGCCCCCAAGTTTGGCTGTCTTCCAGGGATCTTGGGTGGGCTCCAAGTCTTCGTGTATCTTCCTCATCCATGAGGCCCCTGGGTCTGTGGAGATGGGGGTGCTGCCAGGGAAGCCAGACGCAAGCAGTGGGCAGGCACCCAGGAGGAGGCTGGCCAGTCTCCAGGGTGTGGGCTGGGAATGGAAAACGTGCAGGCTGGCTTCTCTGGGGATAGAAGGAGGCTGGGGAGTGTCTTCACAGCTCCATCCTCTCCTGTGCATGGGCGTGGCAGCCTGAAGGACCTTTATACAAGAATGTCCCCGAGAGAATGCCTTGGAATCAGGCCCCGGGGGAGCCTTCTGGTCAAGGGGTGTCTGAGGAACCTGGGCAGGGTGATAAGGGGAGGCTCATTTGTAGGAACCCCAGCCCCAGAACACCCCTTCCAGGTCATGGCAGGTTGGCTGGCCCTCACACTGTCACAGGACAATGCTGGTGCCTATTTATAGCAAGCCAGTGAACGATTAACTCGGGCCAGGTTGGCAGCAGCCAAGTTAGCGGTGTTTGCTTCTCCCATAAGCCCCAATAACCATGTTTAGGGCAGGTTATGCGGGGAGGAATTGGAGGAAGAATTTTTCTAATACTCTAAAGGTCCACAGGCTCTTATCATTTTTCATTCCCCCCTCCCCACTGCCACCTATCCCATGGCCTGTGTGGCTTTGTTTTTGTTACCTATGCTGTGTGGAAGTGACAGGAAAGATGGAAGGGTGTGGCAGGAGTGGCGGGGGCACGTCTGTCCTAAAACTGCATGTGAGAGGAAGTCCAGGACAGGAAACTTTGATCCATTCACCAGCATTTGCTGAGCGCCTACTGTGTACCAGACTCTGTGCTGGGCATGGCGGAGACAACAGTGAGCACAACAGGTGAGATCCCTGCCTTCAGCCTAGAGGGCAGAGGCGGATAATGACCGTGCAAACAGATGAAGAAATGCGATGAATTCAGAAATGGATGAGAAAACAGCAATGCAGTGGGGAGAGAGAGGTTGGGATGAGTTGGGTAGGTGGCAGCTTACCTGGGCAGTCATGGCAGGCCTCTCTGAGATGGTGGCATTTGATCTCATATCTTTTTTTCTTCCTTTCTTTTGCTTTCTCCTTTTTCCTTTCTTGATGGAGTTTCACTCTTGTCACCCAGGCTGGAGCGCAATGGCGTGATCTCGACTCACTGCAACCTCCACCTCCTGGGTTCAAGCGATTCTCCTGCCTCAGCCTCCCGAATAGCCAGGATGACAGGCGCCCGCCATCATGCCCAGCTAATTTTTGTATTTTTAGTAGAGATGGGGTTTGACCATGTTAGCCAGGCTGGTCTCGAAATCCTGACCTCAGGTCATCCACCCTCCTCGGCCTCCCAAAGTGCTGGGATTACAGGCGTGAGCCATCGCGCCCAGCCTGAGCCGATATCTTGATGATGAAAACAAGAGGCTGTGTAGAGAACTAGGAATGGCAGAGGGAATGGCAGGAGCAAAAGCACTGAGGCAGGGAGGAACGTGCAGCATTGGAGGAAGGCAAGGGAGCAGGAAGTGAGGAGGAGAGAGATGCGAGACAGGCCAGGGACAGAGTGTTCCCCTGAATGTCCCCCTGGGGAGGTGGCAGGGAAGGTTTCTGAGCTGACACCACCAGACACCTTCTCTACAAAAGCTCCAAAGTCCATTGCAAGTCATGGTGGGCTGCGGGCACAGGGGATCCCATTGCAAAGGAGGCGCTTGGCCTGTCTGCTGAAAGTCGGGATCCCTGCTAACATCTTCCATGACTGACAGTGTGAGGAAAGGACATTGCTTTCTTATTTTCCCCCCCAAAGTCTGTATTTAAGACTTATTAAAGTCTTATTGGAGCAGTTATAGGTTCTCAGAAAAGCTGAGCAGAAGGTGCAGAGATTTCCCTCATATCCTCGACCCTGCCACATGTGCAGCCTACCCCACTGTCAACATCCTCGGCCAGAGTGGTACCTTTGTTAGGATTAATGAACCCACATGGACGATTATCCCTCAGAGTCTGCAGTTGACATCGGGGTTCACTCTTGGTGCTGTGCGTTGTGTAGGCTTAGACAAATGTCTGAGGGCATGCATCCGCCATCACAGTATCATGAGGAGAGTGTTTCCACTGCCCTGCAAACCTCCCATGCTCTACCTGTTCATCTCTCTCTTTTTTTTTTTTTTTTTTTTGAGACAGAGTCTTGCTCTGTTGCCCAGGCTGGAGTGCAGTGGCACGATCTCGGCTCACTGCAACCTCCGCCTCCCAGGTTCACGCCATTCTTCTGCCTCAGCCTCCCGAGTAGCTGGGACCACAGGTGCCCGCCACCACGCCCGGCCAATTTTTTTTGTATTTTTAGTAGAGACAGGGTTTCACTGAGTTAGCCAGGATGGTCTCGATCTCCTGACCTCCTGATCTGCCCGCCTCGGCCTCCCAAAGTTCTGGGATTACAGGCGTGAGCCACCGCGCCTGGTCTCATCTCTCTTTTCTTTCCAACCCCTGGCAGCCCCTGATCTTTTCACATCTCCATAGTTTTGCCTCTTCCAGAATGTCATATTGGAATTGCATAGTACATAGTCTTTTCAGATTGGCTTCTTTCACTTAGTAAAAGGCATTTAAGATAGGACATTTCTTTTTATCACCACGATTCCTCTTGGGGAGCTGATGTGGAGCAGAGAGGGAGCCAGGTGGTGCTGGGCATGCAGGGAGAGGTGTACTGTGAAAAATGATAGCCAAGGGCAGAGGTGGAGCTGGCAGGTGCCACCGTCCCCTGGCTCTGGGAGCAGCAAGTTGGCTGTGACTGTGATGTTTGGTTTCAGAGGGCTAAGGGAGCAGGTGCATTGGTTGCTCTGCCACTGGGGTCTCCACTGCAACATGGGGCTCCAGAGCAAGAGACTTTGATTTAAGTCCCAGCCTCCTCACAGGTCTGATGGTCTGATGGTGTTTGCCTCTCCCAGGACAGCTGCCTCATTGGGAAAATGGGAATAATAACAATGACACCTACAATGCATGGTAGTTGTGAGTCTTTGGGCTCAAGTGTGTAAAGCACCCAGTTGTGAGAAACACCCATAGGTGTCTCTTGAATGAATGAACAAACCTACTGTGTGCCAGGCTCAGTGCAGGAAAGACAGTCCTGGATTTGAATCTTGCCCTGCCATTTCTAAGCCTTGTGCTCTCGGGCAAGTCATTTCACCTGACCGGAACTCAGTTTCCTCATCTGTAAAGTAAAGAGGGTAATTGTACTCATTTCACAGAAATACTATGGAGATTAGATGAGATCATACCCCCAGGCATGGTGCCAGGCACTCAGTAAACAACATTTTATAAATAAATGCTGGCTATGACGACTTAAGACAAATGTATAAAGCACTGAGCATGCAGCAAATGTTTTAAATGTATTGTTTTGCCAGGCGCGGTGGCTCGCACCTGTAATCCCAGCACTTTGGGAGGCTGAGGCAGGCAGATCACGAGGTCAGGAGGTTGAGATATCCTGGCTAACATGGTGAAACCCTGTCTCTAATAAAAATACAAAAAATTAGCTGGGCGTGTTGGCAGGTGCCTGTAGTCCCAGCTACTCAGGAGGCTGAGGCAGGAGAATGACGGGAACCTGGGAGGCGGAGCTTGCAGTGAGCCGAAATTGCGCCACTGCACTCCAGCCTGGGCAACAGAGCGAGACTCCATCTCAAAAATAAAATAAAATAAAATAAAATGAATTTAAAAAAAAATATTGTCTTGGCTGGACGCAGTGGCTCATGCCTGTAATCCCAGCACTTTGGGAGGCCAAGGCGGGTGGATCACTTGAGGCCAGGAGTTGAAGACCAGCCTGGGCAACATTAAAAAAAAATTAACCAGGCAAGGTGGTGCGTACCTATAGTCCCAGCTACTCGGGAGGCTGAGGCGGGAGGATTGTTTGAGCCCAGGAGTTCGAGGCTGCCGTGAGCCATGATCGCGTCACTGTACTCCAGCCTGGGCAACACACTCTGTCCCTAAAAATATATTTAAATAAATAAATGTATTATCTTACGCCAGTGAGGCAGATGCTGATATCACCCATTTCACAGATGGGAAAGCTGAGGTTCAGAGAAGGGACAGGATTTACCCAAGATCATGCATGGATAAGCTGGGATTGGGATTCTGGGAGTCTGATTCCAGAGCCTGATGCAGCAGGTGTTACTCTAGGAGCTCAGAAGATGGGCAACCTGCATGGAGTGCTGGGTTCAGGAGGGAATGCGGAGAGGGGCACGTGACTTGGCCCTGCAGGACTGGGGGATTTTTCCAGAGCTGGAGACAGAGCTAGGAATGGGTGAGGATATCAAGTGGAGGGGACTGCATGGGCAAGGACCAGGAGGTGGGAGTCACCTGGGTCACACAGAAGGAATGGCACATGTGACCAGAGCCTAGGGTGTGGGAAGGGAAAGAGACAGGATTTAGCAGGGAAGGAAGGATTGGCCACAGCATAGAACCAGGCACAGCTTGTAGGGCTGTGGCACCGTCTCTCCCCTTCCCCACACCCCAAGTCTGTTGGTGTCTGTGCTTTGGAGCGTGCCAAAATACTCCTGTCCCCACCCCATCACCATCACCAGCCCCATTCCAACCCCTCCCAACTGTCACCTCCTGTGTGCCTCACCCTAATAGATTTAAAAATTAAAAGCCACCAGCTCTTTCCATAGGCTGTTTCTCCCTGATACAATGTCCTTAATCTGTTCCTTCCTTTGAGCTCCACGGTGGCTATGTGGGGGCAGTCACGGGCGATTTTTTTCTCTCCTTTACAGTGGGAGAAACTGAGACCCAGAGAGTTAACATATATTTGTTCTTCAGATCTTGAGCCATCACCACCTTCAGGAAGCCCTCCCTGACCTTCCCCACTACGCTGTCAGGTCTGGTTTCTTTGTTATTCACCTAGAACCAAGGTGCAAAGAACTGGTCTCACTTTGTAACGATTTACCCATTTTGTGATTCTGTTTATATCTTTCCATCTCCCTGGACTGTAAGGCTTGCGAGGACAGGGACCATGTCTGCTTGCTCCTCGGTGCCTGTCTCGCAGGAGCACTCGAGAAATATTGAGTGCATGAATGACAGTTTTGGTTCCTGTGATATGTGCAGGGAAGGAGGTGTTAATGGGACATGGAAGAGGCACACTTATCCCAGCTTAGGGGATGGGGAGTCCAGGAAGGCTTCTAGGAGGAGGTGACACCTTGGCTGAAGCCTGAGTTGCAGCTAGCCAGCTGGAGCATTCGGAGAGGGGCACCTGGCAGAAGGCACCATGTGAGCAATGGTATGGAAGTGAGCACATAGTGCCACCTTTGGGGACCAGGGCTGAGGGTCAGTGGTCCAGGTAGGGCTGGAGATGTTGGTCCATGCAACTTATCCTGAGAGTCCCAGGTGCCTGTCAGAGCAGCAGAGTGACACAGCCTGCCTTCTGCTCCTTCCCATTGCTCCAGTGGTTGTTGAGGGACCCTTGAGTCACCCCCTCTTCTCCCCGCTGTGCTCACTTACTAAGTTATTTTTATTATTTATGTTTTATATTTTTTGAGACAGAGTCTCACTCTGTCACCCAGGCTGAAGTGCAGTGGCATGATCTCGGCTCACTGCAACCCCTGCCTCCTGGGTTCACACGATTCTCCTGTCTCAGTCTCCCTAGTAGCTGGGATTACAGGCATGTGCCTCCACACCTGGCTAATTTTTGTATTTTTAGTAGAGACGGGGTGTTACCGTATTGGCCAGGCTGGTCTCGAACTCCTGACCTCAGGTGATCCACCCGCCTCAGCCTCCCAAAGTGCTGGGATTACAGGCGTGAGGCACTGTGGCGGGCCTGAGAGTTATTTTTAAAGCCACCCTGCAGGGCCCTCCAGGCATCCCAATTTAACCATCCCCTCCACTGCCAGTTTCTTCCGGAGGTAAGCGTCAGGGAGCCCATGTCATAACTGGGTGCTAGCTCAGTGGTCCTCACCCCACCTGCATGGTACTTACTCCATCTCAACCACCAGAGACCCCAGGTGGGGAGTAGAGGTGGGGCGCTCTGATTCAGCAGGCCTCAGAGGAGCAGGGGACAGCTGGCCCGGGTGATTTTTATTTAGACCTACTGTGTGCCACAAGCACTGTGCTGGGTGCTTTAAACCAGGGGTGTCTGTGGGCCAAATGCAACCTATTTGTACTTTTTAAGGGTTGTAAAAGCAAAAGATACTATGAGATAGATTGTATGTGCCTGAAAATAGGTTTGCCAGTTTTAGCAAATAGAAATTTAACAAATAAAAATAATTTGCCAGATTTGGCAAATAAAAATTCAGAATGCCTTGTTTAAATTTGAATTTCAGAGAATCAATCAATAATCCATGTAATATTTGGAGCATACCTATACTCAAAAGATTATTCTTTGTTTATCTGAAATTGACATTTAACTGGGCACCCTGTAATTGATCAGGCAGTCCTACCCCAAACCCTAAAACATTTGCTACCCAGCCCTTTAGAGAAAAAGTTTTCTGATCCCAGCTTTAAATACGTATCAATGGGATCTAGAGCCAAGGGGGCTTAGGACACTGCCTGGAACCAAGCTCAGTAAGCATTAGCTGCTGGTGTTAGTGTTACTAATGTAGTCCGATTATCGTCAGCATTTACCGAGCACCTGCTGTGTGGCCAGGCACTGTCCTGGGGGCTCAAGCTCTTCATGGGAGAGATGGATGCTAAATAGATGAGCCCAGAGATGTATAAAGAGAGGTCAAGTGCATGAGTCCTAAGGAAGAGTAAGCAGCAGAGGAAAAGGGTAGCGATGGCAGGTGTGAGGCCCTGTTTTAGACAAGGTGATCAGGGAGGCTCTCTGAGGGGGAGATATTGGAGCTGACCACAGAATGGAGTGAGGACGTGGCTTTCTGGGGGCTACCTCTTTTCCAGCCCTCATGGTGTGCCCGGCCCTGTTCAAGTGCTGTGTATGTTTTGCTCATGGTATCCTCGCACAGCAGCCCTATGAGGTGATGCAGGTACCATCCCCGTTACACAGATGAGGAAACTGAGGCCCAAGGTCACCCAGCAAATGGCAGAGCTGGAGACTGACCTGTTTATGTTTTTACCCCCCTAGAGTGCCTCCCTTGATCTGGCACCGGCTGTGTGCTGGGTCCTGTTTGAGGCTCTCTGCCTCTATTTTCTGCAATCTTTATGACAGCTCCGCACCCTGGGGCATGTAAGTCTCATCTGGGGTTCAGAGGAGTAAACCCAGCCCAGTGTGGGGAGGCAGGGATGAGAAGCAAGTTAATGTGGAACCTGGCAGGACTCAAGGTGGGCAGCGGAGGGTACCTGGGTGTGGGCAGGTGGCAGGTGAGAGGACTGGAGAAGACAGGGCAGGCCCAGGAGACCCAGAATCCCCCTTCCTGCCTCACGGATTGCCCTGGGTTTCCCTGCCTGGAATTAGCACTCACTTGCCCTGAGTCCCTCCTGAGATTAATTCTCTTTTTATGCTGTTTAAATATTTGCAGGTGGGGAGAGGGAGGGAGGGCGGGGCTGGTTTCTGAATGGTTGCAGGGTGTGGCTGGACGTGGTGGGGCAGGTGCTCAGAGGCCTGACGTGGAGGGACGGGGCTGGGCTGCAGCCTTGGAGGCCAGCTAGGTCCTGACTAGCCAGCAGGTGGGAAGCCCAGGGAAGGCGGCACTGAGCTGAAGGACGCCTCAGCAGCCGGCCGTTCACCTGATGCCCATGAGCACCTCCTGGGTAGTCCGTGTCATCTCAAGCACCTCTGTCATTTGAAGAATCCCTGCTGTGTGTCAGGCACCATCTCCAGGATCTCATTCAGGCCTCCTCACCTTACCCCTAAGAGGGAGGGGTGCTGATTACCACCCACCTCACTTAACAGATACCCACATGACGTTGGAAACTTGCCCAACATCACACATACAGTGAATAGCTGAGGATTCGACTCCAAGTCAGTGACTCCACATTCTGGGCTCTCACTCTCTCAGCTGCCTCCTGACACCCTGTCCTTTATGCTAATTTGCTGGTTCCAAAAGGAATGAGCTCCCCATCATTGGAGGAATGCAAGCAGATGTTGGCGGACCCCTTAGAGTGGATGCTGGGGAGGGATAAAAGCCTCCTGACCACCTGGACCTTTGTGGACCCCTATCTCCTGAAAGGCCCCCTTTGGGTGTGATTGGTGCAGTCTTGGCAGGCAACCCAGGTCTCCTAACTCCCAGTGTGGTATTTCCTTTGGTCCTCAAGTTGGGAGAAGCTGAGGAATCCCTTCTCATGGGTTTCCTAGCACCTTGATTTTCAGATGACCCAGTACTGGGTGGGGCTGGAGGCAGGGCATTAAGGCAGGCCATACAGAGAGGCCTAGGTTCGAGTTCCAGCAGTGCCCTTTCCTGGCTGTGTGACCCTGGGGAGAAATTGCATAAACTTTCTGAGGCTCAGTTTATACACCTTTAAAATGGGGATAATAATGCTCTTTTGAGGATTAAATAAGTATTCTATAAAAGCACCTGGCACGTAGAGGATGTTCAAGTAAGGAACTTTGCAAGAGAAAAGAAAACCTCATTAAAAAGGGGGCAAATGACATGAACAGACACTTCGCTAAAAAAGACATGCATGCAGCCAACAAGCACATGAAAAAAAGCTCAACATCACTGGTCGTTAGAGAAATGCAAATCAGACCACAGTGAGATACCATCTCACATCAGTCAGAATGGCCAGGGTTGCAGAGAAAATGGAATGCTTACACACTTTTGGTGGGAGTGTAAATTAGTTCAGTCATTGTGGAAGACAGCAATAATTCCTCAAAGACCTAAAGACAGAAATACCATTCGATCCAGCAATCCCATTACTGGGTATATAACCAAAGGAGTGTAAATCATTCTGTTATAAAGACATATGCACGCCAGTGTTCACTGCAGTACTATTCACAATAGCGAAGGCATGGAATCAACTTAAATGCCCATCAGTGGTAGACTGGATAAAGAAAATGTGGTACGTATGCACCATAGAATATTATGCAGCCACACAAAAGAATGAGATTGGCTGGGCGCAGTGGCTCACGTCTATGATCCCAGCACTTTGGGAGGCTGAGGCAGGCGGAACATGAGGCTAGGAGATCGAGACAATCCTGGCTAACACAGTGAAACCCCATCTCTATTAAAAATACAAAAAAAAATTAGCCGGGCATGGTGGCGGGCGCCTGTAGTCCTAGCTACTCGGGAGGCTGAGGCAGGAGAATGGCGTGAACCCGGGAGGTGGAGCTTGCAGGGAGCCGAGATCGTGCCACTGCACTCCAGCCTGGGCGAGAGAGTGAGGCTCCATCTCAAAAGAAAAAAAAAAAGTGAGATCATATCCTTCGCAGGAGCAGGAGTGGAGATGGAGGCCATTATCCTTAGCAGACTAATGCAAAGCAGAAAAACAAATACCACATGTTTTCACTTATAAATGAGAGCTAAATGATGAGAACGTATGGACACAAAGAGGGGAGCAGCAGACACCAAGGCCTATGGAAGGGTGGAAGGTGGGAGGAGCAGAAAAAAATAACTTGGCTAATAGACTGAGTACCTGGATGATGAAATAATCTGTACAACAAACTCACGTGACATGAGTTTACCTATATAAGAGATCTGTACGTGTACCCTTGAACTTAAAACGTTTGTTTTTCTTTAAAAGCACATGTTCAAGTAAATATTCTCTTACTTAATCATTCGGTTCAAAACAGCCTCCAGCTTCTGCTGTGAGGCAAGGTATTCATTAGAACAAGGGCCCTGGATCTGACTCCTGCCACCTTTGAGTAACCTAGGACAGATTACGTGGGGAAAAAAAAATCTGTGCCTCAGTTTCCCCATCTATAAAATGGAATGATTTGGGGACTCACATCATCTGGGTTGTTGTGGTTATACACAGTTCCTGGAACGTAGTGAGTGTCCAGAAAAAGTGAATAATGAGCTTCACCACCATAAAGTTCCTACACACAGGCCACAGTGATCCCAGACCACCACTGCCCCTGGACCACCCCACACTCCCTGGGATCTGTCAGCTTTCAAAGTGGATCAAGCCCAAGCCCACATCTGAGAGCCTGGAATGGGGAGAGGGTGAGCTGAATTCCAGCTCTTCCTTCCAGGGCTGCCTGGCCCTCTTCCCCTGTCCACAGTCTGGTCTGTGCCCCGGGATGGGTTCGGAGGAGTGTGTGGCCTCCTCTTTCTTCCTGCATGGAGACAATGCCCTCTTCTGCAGTGTTCAAGGGTAATAACCTGTTACCCTCCTTGCTAATTAACCAGCCTTTTCAATTTCATCTCCTGGCCTCGGGCTGTCAGCTCGGGAAGATACTCTAGCCTGTAGCTGGGATATCAAACTATCCTGGGAGATATAGCCAGTAGCTGGGTAGCAAAGGTGGAAGAGGTCTTCACTTGGATCCCGACCCTCAGGCTGAGAACTACCTGCACCCTTACCCAGGTGCAGATCCATTCCCAGGGTAAGAAGGTTGCAGCCAGCTTCCTGGCTGTGTGACCTTAGGAGAGGAGCTTAACCTCTCTGAGTTTTGAGATCCACAGCTGTAAGTGGACAACCTTCTCCACTCTGCAGCGTTTGGACTTGAGACAGTGTGTGAATACTGTCATGGGGGCAACAGGAAATAGATGGCTCCCCCAAACCCAGTACGTTAAGGCAAATTTAATAAAGGGGCTATTGACTAAGGTGGGTGGGAGGAAGGATGCTGGGAGTCCACAAGGAAGGATGTAGTGCCCTGTGGCTGTTAACATTGGGAACCAGGAACCATCACCACCCCTGGGTCTGAAAGGCGGGAGGGAGAGGTTACCAGAAGGAAGCTTTTCCTTTCGCTTGAACTCTAATGAACTTTGAGCGTGCATGAGAATCACCGGGAGGGCTTGGTAAATGCCTCCAGTAGTTGGGGAAGGGGGTTAGGATTAGCATTTGCATTTCCAGCCAGTTCCTAGGTGATGCTGATGCTGCTGGCCCATGAGTGAGCAGCTCTCCTACTGCATAGCACTTTCTCTGAACCTCTTATCTCATCTGACCCTCTGGCTCACTGCACTAAAAGCCCCTCCTGGACAGGGCTGTGATTCCTTCCCTGAGGCTCTCCACACCTTGCACCCAGTATCACAGCCCTGATTAGAGGGGCTAGGCTTCTGCATCCTGTGTGGCTGAATTTGCAGGCATTGCACCATTTGCAGCTTGTCTCTATTGACTTGGCCCAGACGGGTTCACGCTGCAGGTTAGTGGTCCTTGATGGAGACGGAGGTCAGCGTGCAGGAGGGTTAGGAGGAGGTGCTCTTAGGATCAACACCAGGAGGTGGAGCGCAGGTGGGTTAGGAGGAGGTGCTCTTAGGATCAACACCAGGAGGTGGAGCGAAGCAAGCAGGAGAGGCAGAGGGAGAAGTCGGGCCATGATGCAGCCTCAGGGGAAGCCTCGGCCAGCCCTGCGGGGAGTTCCAAGGGGAGCTGGGATGGCCTGTCTGAGTTATCCTGAGTTGGGGCAAAGTGGCTGGAGGTTTATACCTCACATGCAGCAGTCATTGGATGTGCACCTCCCGGGAAGGAGCAAGACCTTGGAGGAGGCTCTCTGGATACCTAAGGCAATGTCATGTCCCCCATGGGGCTGACAGCTGAGGGTCTTTGACAGTTCTGATGGGATCTGGGTGGTGCAAGGCAGCAACTACCTCATCAGCCAAATTTGGCCGAGGAGCCTGGAGGCAGTCAGGGCCTTCTCACGCTCCCTCCTCTGCCCTTTCTTCCCATCCTTGGTTCCCATGGCCCCTGTACCCCAAACTCAACTCCTTCCTCAACTCCAAAACAAAAAGCCCTCTTGATATCCTTTGAACACACAGGCCCCCAGCGGAGACACCTGCCTATGGCTTTGCCAACAGCCGGCCTGTGCGTCTTAATTTTTCTCAACCAGGCCGTCCTGTAATACAGAGAAGTAAAAGTCCCCAACGCCCCAACCTAGCGTGCACTGAAATGAAGAATCAACACATCAGTGTTGTTACCCTCCAGGTGCAGTGGTTAGAAAGAGGAAGGGGAAGAGACTGTTTGTTCTGTGTTGTATCACTGAGTCCTAGAGAGGAGGCCTAGGTTGGCTGGGTGCATCATTCATCCCACCCAGAGAGTCGGGGCAGCAGACGTCTGCAGGGAGGCCCCCCGGAATCCTGGCTCCCTGGCTCAGCCCGTGGCTGTCTTGGGGCAGGCACTCCCTCAGCTGTCCAACACAGTCCTGGGGTTTGGAGATTTGATGAGTTAGTTCATCTGATCCCTAGATCTGGGTCAGTGTGTGGTGGGAAGAGGCTTCCCTTAGAATCAGATTGACCAGGGTTTAAACCTCAGATTTGTTGATGATCTTGGGCACCTAGTAACCAACATCCCTGATCTTTAGTGATAGTAACTCCCTGGGGGCATATGTTATGAGGATTCTGTTTGCTCGCCATGTCTGTGTGGCAAGTGCCGGGCACATATAGATAAGAGGGTTAGTGTTATTTTCAGAGATAGTCATTGGCTGAAGCTTCTAGAGGTGCAGTTAAGAGTGTGGGTTTAGCTTCCATTTCTGCCCACTATTTACTATATGACCTTGGGCATGTTACTTAATCTTTCCTTAATCTTTCTGCCCCTCGGTCTCATCATCTGAGAACTAGGTATGAAATAGAAACTGTCCTCACAGCACTGTGGAGAGGGCATAATGAGCGAATAATACAGATCAAACAAACCTAGATGCCATCTGTTAGCTGAGTCTGGCACACGAGAAGGGCTTGGTCAGAGGGAGAGATGATGAAGATGATGAGGATGATGAATATGATGGTCATGGTGGTGCCATCAGTGGATCTGTTACTTCACTAGGGCTGCCCTTACGGTACACAGAATGGGCAGCTTGAATGACATAAACTGATTTTCTCACAGCTCTGGAGATGGAAATCCAAGATCAAGGTAGCTGCAGGACTAGTTCCCTCTGAGCTCCATGAGGGAAGGATCAGATCCAAGCCTCCCTCCTTGGCTCATAGGTGGCCATCTTCTCCCTGATCTTCACATGATCTTCCCTTTGTAGCTGTGTCTAAATTTCCTCTTTTTTTTTTTTCAGACGGCGTTTCATTCTTGTTGCCCAGGCTGGAGACAGTGGCGCGATCTTGGCTCACTGCAACCTCTGCCTCCTGGGTTCAAGCGATTCTCCTGCCTCAGCCTCCCGAGTAGCTGGGATTACAGGCATCCACCACCACGCCCGGCTAATTTTTGTATTTTTAGTAGAGATGGGGTTTCACCATGTTGGCCAGGCTGGTCTGGAACTCCTGACCTCAAGTGATCTACCCTCCTCGGCCTCCCAAAGTGCTGGGATTACAGGAGTAAGCCACCATGCCTGGCCAATTTCCTCTTATAAGGACACTTATAATCATATTGGATTAGGACCCACCCTAATGACCTCATTTTAACTTAGTCACCTCTGTCAAGATCTAATCTCCAAAGACAGCACATTCTGAGATAGTAGTGTTAAGATTTCCACATGTGGGCCAGGCGCGGTGGCTCACACCTGTAATCCCAGCACTTTGGGAGGCTGAGGCAGGTGGATCACGAGGTCAAGAGATCGAGACCATCCTGGCCAACATGGTGAAACCCCATCTCTACTAAAAATACAAAAATCAGCTGGGCGTGGTGGCCAGTGCCTGTAGTCCCAGCTACTTGGGAGGCTGAGGCAGGAGAATCAGTTGAACCCGGGAGGTGGAGCTTGCAGTGAGTTGAGATTGTGCCACTGCACTCCAGCCTGGCGACAGAGCGAGACTCCGTCTCAAAAAAAAAAAAAAGATTTCCACATATGAAATGGAGGTGAAGGGAACACAGTTAAGCCCATAGCGATGGGGGAGGTGACATTTTGCATGATGAGATTCCCGAGGGTGGAAGAGGCACGACAAAGGAAAGGAATGGAGAATGAAGGCATGCTAGACAGTGGGAGGTAGGCACATCTTTGAGGCCAGAGGAATAAGTGGGGACACCCTGAAGGGTGGTGCTCACTTGAGGGCGTCTGCTAGTTGGTGACAGAGCTAGAACTTTCCAAGGTTGGCAGCTCCTCTTCCCACCCTCTCACCATGTGCTCTGGAGAAAGCTAGGGGTTTGCCACATGTCCTGAGCAAGCTCATGGCTTCCTTTTGTGGAGAGAACAGATGGGGCCCAGTAGCCTCTGCTCACTATGAGGGAGGACACAGGCAGGTGGCCGCGCTCCTGCATCAGAGCCTCTCTGGAGGTGACAGCAGATGGTTGCCTCCAAGGAACAGGATGTTGGCAGGATGGCTACAACCTTAAGAGAGGGCCAGCCACTGTGTATGGGAGTTGTCAGTCACGTCAGCACTGACCCTGAGAGCTGTCCCCGACTGCAGACCACCTAAGTAGGCCGTCTGGGCCATGACTCAGGATACAGGAGCAGTTTCCTTGGCTGGAGCTGCGAAGTAGACCAGCCTGCTGGAGCCAAACATTCTTGTGCAGGGTTGGCCCTCGGGCCAAATCCAGCCTTCCACTGGTTTTTGTGAATAAAGTTTTATTGGGACACAGCCATGCCCATTCATTTATGTATTATCTATGGCTGCTTTCATGCTACAAGGGCAGAGTTTAATAGTTGACATGGAGATCATATTACCCACAAAGCAGACATTATTTACTCTGTAGACCTTTACAGAAAAAGTTTGCCGGGTACATGGAATGGGCAGCTTGAACGACATAAACTGATTTTCTCACAGCTCTGGAGATAGGAATCAAAGATCAAGGTGTCTACAGGACCACTTCCTTCTGAACTCTGTGAGGGAAGGATCTGATCCAAGTCTCCCTCCTTGGCTTATAGGTGGCCATCTTCTCCCTGATCTTCACATGATCTTCACTTTGTATATACGTCTAAATTTCCTTTTTTTTTTTTTTTATTGTGACGGAGTTTCATTCTTGTTGCCCAGGCTGGTCCTCTGTTTTGGAGTCTGAAGTCTTAGATGTCAGGCCTGGCCCTGGATCTTCCTGGTTATGCTGATTTAGAGGAATGTCCCCTGCCCTCTGAGTCTCAATTGCCTCCTCTGCCAGCGGGGATTGTATTCGCGTGATGTTGTGAGGCAAGGTAGGCTGGAGAGAGCTTTGCAAACTGCGACTCACTCAAGACATACGTTATTCTCTGCGTTCAACCTGCCTATTGCCTCCTCCCCCTCCTTTCCTCCTAGGCAAAACTCTTTTCATACCTGCTCCATACTGCCCTTGGTGGTGATGTTTCCCCCTGCAAAGTTAATTTTGCTGTTTCTTCTTAACTTGATTTTTACCTGCATAAACATGCCTGATGCAGGGAGGTGGGATGCACAGACCAGATGTAACTTGTTCCAGGGCAGCGGGGGTGTCTCTGTCATCATTATTCAAATGCTACTGATTGTTGAGCACACACCGTGTACCAAGCCCTATGCTAAATGCTTTACCTGCGTCGCCTCATCTAAACCTCCCCATTCATTCAACAGATAGATATTGAGTGCATGCTCTGTGCCAGGCCCTCTGCTGGGTCTTGGGAGTAGAGCACCACCAGATGGCAGGATGAATTCCTGACCTCATAGAGCGTAGAGGCCATTACGTCAGAGAGTTAGGGAATAAGGTAAATAAGCAAAATCATGTAGCGTGGTGGACATGTGAAGGACTATGGAGAGAAAAAAGGCAGAAAAAGGGGTATGTTGGGTACCAAGTGGGGTGCAGGTTGGGGAGTTGCAATTTTAAATAGGATCGTCAGGGAAGGTGACATTTGAAGAAAGAGTTGAGATTGCTGGGAAAAGAGCATTCCAGGCAAAGGGAACAGGAATTGCAGAGGACATGAGATGGGCTCTGCCCACGGAGCTGGGCAAGCAGCAAGGAGGCCTGTGTGTGTAGAGCAGGTGTTGGGATGGGGGAGAGGGGCTTGGGAGGTCAGCAGAGGGGCCTCCTTGTGTGAGGTGGTGAGGACTTGGGTTGTCACTCTGGGTGAGACGGGAGCCATGGAAGAGTTCTGGGCAGAGGAGGGACGTGGTTTGATAGAACTTTTCTTTAACTGAAAAATATTCATTTATTTATACTATGTGAACATATACCATATGCACATTTTAAAATGGTAAAATATACATAATATAAAATGTGCCTTCTTAACCATTTTTAAGTGTACAATTCAGTCTTGAGTACATTTACATTCTTGTGTGCCAACCTCCAGATCTCTTTTCGAAAGATAAACTCTATACCCATTAAATAATGCCTCCCCATTTCTCCTCTCCCCAGCCCCTGGCAACCACCATTCTCCTTTCTTTCTCTTTAAATTTGACTACTCTAAGTACCTCTTATAAGTGGAATCATGCAGCATTTGTTATTTTGCGTCTAGATTATTTCACTTAGCACAGCGTCCTCAAGGTTCATTCGTATTTTGGCATGTGTCAGAATTTCCTTCCTTTTTAAGGCTGGATAGTATTCCATTGTGTGTGTAGACCACATTTTGTCTATCCATTCAGCCATCGAAGGACACTTGGGTTGTTTCCACCTTTTGGCTACTGTGAATAATAGTGCTGTGAACATGGGTATACAAATATGACTTTGAGACTCTGCCTTCAGTTCTTTTGGGTGTATGCCCAGAAGTGGAATGACTGGATGATATGCTAATTGTATGGTTAATCTTTTGAAGAACCACCATACTGTCTACCATAGCAGCTGCACCATTTCACCTTCTGATCATTGCACAAGGGTTCCAGTTTCTCCACATCCCCACCAACACTTACTTTCTGTTTTTTCATAGCAGCCATCCTAATAGGTGTGAGTGGTATCTCATTGTGGTTTTGATTTGCATTTCCCATTGAACATCTTTCCATGTGCTTGTTCGTCATTTGCACATCTTCTTCAGAGAAATGCCTATTCAAGTCCTTTGTCCATTTTTGAATTCAGTTGTTTGTTGTTGAGTTGCAGTTCTCCATATATTCTGGACATTAACCCTTTATCACATAGATGATTTGCAGATATTTTCTTCTATTTCACGGGTTGCCGTTTTCACTGTTTATTTTGTTCTTTGATCCACAAAAAGTTTTAACTTTGCTGTCCAGTTTACCTATTTTTAATTTTGTTGCTCATGCATTTGGTGTCATATCCAAGAAATCATTGTCAAATCCAATGTTGTAGGGACCAGCCCCACAGGGTCGGTGGGTCTCTCCCTGTGTGCGGCAACAAGAGAGTGTAGAAATAAAGACACAAGACAAAGAGACAAGAGAAAAGGCAGCTGGGCCCGGGGGACCACTACCACCAATGCACGGAGACCGGTAGTGGCCCCAAATGTCTGGCTGCACTGTTATTTATTGGATACAAGGCAGAAGGGGCAGGGTAAAGAATGTGAGTCACCTCCAATGATAGGTAAGGTCACGTGGGTCACATGTCCACTGGACAGGGGGCCCTTCCCTGCCTGGCAGCTGAGGCAGAGAGAGAGAGGAGACAGAGAGAAAGACAGCTTATGCCATTATTTCTGCATATCAGGGACTATTAGTATTTTCACTAATTTACTACTGCTATCTAGAAGGCAGAGCCAGGTGTACAGGATGAAACATGAAGGCAGACTAGGAGTGTGACCACTGAAGCACAGCATCACAGGGAGACGGTTAGGCCTCCAGATAACTGCGGGCGAGCCTGACTGATGTCAGGCCCTCCACAAGAGGTGGAGGAGCAGAGTCTTCTCTAAACTCCCCCGGGGAAAGGGAGACCCCCCCCCCCCCTTTCCCAGTCTGCTAAGTAGCGGGTGTTGTTCCTTGACACCTTTTGCTACCGCTGGACCACGATCCGCCTGGTAACGGGCGTCTTCCCAGATGCTGGCATCACTGCTAGACCAAGGAGCCCTCTGGTGGCCCTGTCCGGGCATAACTGAAGGCTTGCACTCTTGTCTAATGGTCACACCTCACTATGTCCCCTCAGCTCCTATCTCTGTATGGCCTGGTTTTTCCTAGGCTATGATTATAGAGTGAGGATTATCATAATATTGGAATAAAAAGTAACTGCTACAAACTAATGATTAATGATATTCATATATAATCATATCTAAGATCTATATCTGGTATAACTATTCTTGTTTTATATTTTATTATACTGGAACAGCTCGTGTCCTCTGTCTCTTGCCTCGGTGCCTGGGTGGCTTGCCACCCACACAATGTCATGAAGCTTTCTCCGTTTTCTTGTATGATTTTTATAGTTTTAGCTTGTGTTGAAGTCTTTGGTCCATTTTACTTTAATTTCTGTATGTGGTATAAGGTAAGGGTCCAATTTTATTCTTTTGTATGTAGCTATCCAGTTTTCCCAACACCATTTGTTTTAAAGACTATCCTTTTGTTACCAAAACACCAGGGATTTGGTCTAGGTCCTGCTGATCACTGCACAGAAAGCCGATCACTGAGATGACAAGTATTGCCAAGGAAGAAGGGTTTAATTGGGTGCTGCAGCTGAAGAGAAGGGAGCTCAGTCTCAAATCCATCTCCCTGACTGACTAAAACTAGGTGTTTATATAGCCAGGAAGAAATGCAACAATGTGTAAGAAAACAAGAACTAGGGAGCACAAGGAAGCAAACATGGTGAATGAGTGGGTTCCCTTCCATCTGTGATCTGGTGAGTTTCAGTTCTTTGATACTTTTTTTGACAGGCCTGAAGGACCTTCTCTGAGGAAGGAACTCAGATAAATACAAGTTTCAAGCTTTTTAAGACCACAAGGGTCAATTTCTATGTTTATCAAAAAGGACAGTTTATGGGGTAGTTGGGTCAGTTTCACTTTCTTCTTTGAATGGGCATGACACCCTTGACAAAAATCATTTGATTATATATGTGAGGTTTTAGTTCTGGGCTCTCTATTCCATTTGTCTAAATGTGTGTTTTTTTTTAATGACAGTACCACATTGTTTTGATTTCTGTAGTTTTGTTATAAGTTTTTAAATCAGGAAGTATGAGACCTCGAACTTCATTCTTCTTGTTGAAGATTTTTCAAGAATATTTTTCAAGACTGTTTGATAGTCAGGGTTCCATGAGATGTTCCTTGATATTAATTTTAGGATAGATATTTATGTTTCTGCAAAAAAAAAAGCACCATTGGGATTTTGATAGAAATTTCATTAAATCTGTCGATTACTTTGGTAATATCAACATTTTAGGAGTATGAAGTCTTGGAAACCATAAACAGAGGATGCCTTTCCATTTATTTGTCTTGTTTTTATTTTGAGATAGAGTCTTGCTCATTTGTCCAAGCTGGAGTGCAGTAGTGTGATCATGGCTCACTGCAGCCTCAACCTCCTGGGCTCAAGCTATCCTCCCACCTCAGCCTCTCAAGTAGCTGGATTGCAGGCACATGCCACCATGCCTGGCTAGTTTTTGTATTTTTGTATTTTTTTGTAGAAGTTGGGTTTCACTGTGTTGCCCAGACTGGTTTCAAACTCCTAGGCCCAAGTGATCCTTTTGCCTCAGCCTCCCAAAGTGCTGGGATTATAGGCATGAGCAACTGGACAGTGACCGACCATGTTCTTTTAATATGCTGTTGAATTCTGTTTTTAGCATTTTGTTGAGGATTCTTGCATGCATATTTATCATAGATATTGGTCTGTAGTTTTTTTGTGACTGGCTTTGGTTTCAAGGTAGCCCTGACCTTATAAAATGAGTTTGGAAGTGCTCCTGCCTCTTTAATATTTTTGGAAGAATTTGAGAAGAATTAGTTTAATTATTTTCATGTTTGGTAGAATTCAGCAGTGAAGCCATGTGGTCCTGGGCTTCTCATTATTGGAGGGTTTTAACTTACTGATAGCATCTCCCTGCTATGATACATCTGTTAAAATTTTCTATTTCTTCATGATTTAGTTTGTATATTGTGTGTTTCTAAGAATTTATTCATCTTATCTAGGTTATCCAATTTGTTGGCATACATTTATTTGTTTATAGTATTCTCTTATAATGGTTTTTTCTGTGGCATCAGTTGTAATGTCCTCATTTTCATTTCTGATTTTAATTTTGAGAATTCTTTTTTTTCTTAGTCAATCTTGCTAATGGTTTGTCAGTTTTGTCGATCTTTTGGACAAACCATCTCTCTTTTTTTTTTTTTTTTTTTTGAGATGATATCTTGCTCTGTCACCCAGGCTGGAGTGCTGGAGTGCAGTGGCGCGATCTCAGCTCACTGCAAGCTCCGCCTCCCAGGTTCACGTCATTCTCCTGCCTCAGCCTCCCGAGTAGCTGGGACTACAGGTGCCCGCCACTATGCCCAGCTAATTTTTTGTATTTTTTTAGTAGAGACGGGGTTTCACTGTGTTAGCCAGGATGGTCTCGATCTCCTGACCTCGTGATCTGCCTGCATCAGCCTTCCAGATTGCTGGGATTACAGGTGTGAGCCACCACGCCCGGCCTGGGCAAAACATGTCTTGATTTTGTTAGTTTTCTCTGTTTTTAAATTATCTTTCATTTATGGCTGCTCTAATCTTTATTTTTTAATTTTTGAATTTTTAATTTTTATGTATTTATTTTGAGAGGCAGTCTCACTCTGTCACCCAAGCTGAAGTGCAATAGTGCGTTCTCGGCTCACTGCAGCCTCCACCTCCCGGGTTCAAGCAATTCTCCCACCTCAGTCTCCCAAATAGCTGGGATTACAGGCATCCACCATCATGTCCGGCTAATTTTTGTATTTTAGTAGAGACAGGGTTTCACCATGTTGGCCAGGCTGGTCTTGAACTCCTGACCTCAGGTAATCCGCCCGCCTCAGCCTCCCAAAGTGCTGGGATTACAGGTGTGAGCCACCATGCCCAGCCTAATCTTTATTATTTCCTTCTTTCTGCTAGCTGTGGATTTAGTTTGTTCTTCTTTTTCTTGTTCCTTAAGGTGTGCAGGTAACTTGTTTCTTTGAGATCTTTCTTATTTTAATGTAAGCATTTCCAGCTGTAAGTTCCTTCTTAGCACTGCTTTTATAGCAGCCCATATTGTGTTTTTGTTTTTATTGGCCATGTTGTGTTTTTGTTTTGTTTTGTTTTGTTTTTTAAGACGGAGTCTCGCTCTTTCACCCAGGCCGGACTGCAGTGGCGCTATCTCGGCTCACTGCAAGCTCCGCCACCCGGGTTCACACCATTCTCTTGCCTCAGCCTCTCGAGTAGCTGGGACTACAGGCGCCCACCACCACGCCCGGCTAATTTTTTGTATTTTTAGTAGAGACGGGGTTTCACCGTGTTAGCCAAGATGGTCTCGATCTCCTGACCTTGTGATCCGCCCGCCTTGGCCTCCCAAAGTGCTGGGATTACAGGCGTGAGCCACCGTGCCCTGCTGTGTTTTTGTTTTTATTTATCTCAATATATTTTCTAATTTCCCTTGAGATTTCTTCTTTGACACATTTATTATTTAAGAGTACACTGTTTATGACTCTTATTTGTGGGTTTTCTAGTTTTCCTTCTGCTGTTGATTTCTTGTTTCATTCCATTGTGAATGACAAAGATGCTTTGTATGATCTCATTTTTAAAAAAAATGTATGATGACTAGTTTTGTATCCTAAGATATTCTCTCTCCTGGAGAATGTTCCATGTGCACTTGAGAAAAGTGGGCATCCTGCCATCATTAGGTGGAGTGTTCTGTACATATCTGTTAAGTCCAGTTGTTGGTTTATAGTGTAGCTCAAGGCCTCTGTTTCCTTATTGATATTCTGTCTGGTTGTTCTATTGACTTACCTTTTAACGAGATCCTTCTGGCTGTATTAAAATGAGCTTCTTAGAAGTGGATGCAGGGAGACCAGTAAGAGTCTACAGCATTGATTCAGGGGAGAGGTGATGGTGACTTGGACTGGGAGGTGGTGGTGGAGGGGCTGAGAAACGGTTGGAATCTGAGAACATTTTGAAGGTACAACCAACATATTTGACTGAATCTTTAGAAGTTGGTGCTGTTTTTTGTTTGTTTTTTGTTTTTGAGATGGAATCTCGCTCTATCGCCAGGCTGGAGTGCAGTGGCACGATCTCGGCTTACTGCAACCTCTGCCTCCCAAGTACTGTTGTCCTAAGGGGGTAAAGGAATTTGCCCAAGTTGTGATAAGTGTCTCATCCAGGATTTGAACCCAGGTCTGTCTGTCCCCAAATTCTCAGTTCTTAATTAACCATGTACATTCATGAAAGTGCTCCTGACCCAGCTGCCTGGACTCCCCCACCCCCAATGTCTCCCTGACAGTCCTCTACCATCTACGACTAAGCCTGGACTCACTCCCTCTGTTGCTACATTCCCAAATGTCATCAGGGTCTGGGTGCTTGGCAACTGCCTTCCAGCAGTTTCTCAGCATCACCGTGTCCTGCCTTAGAGGAGCAAAGGAAAGAAAGAGGTAGATTCCTGCAGAGGGGAGAGAGGTGTGCAAACGCTCTGAGACCACCTGGGCTTCATGACATGTTGCAGAAGGAGCTCAGCCCCTGGAGTCAGACAAACCTGGGTCCAAACACCAAATCCAGTCCTCATAGCTGTGTGACCCCAGACAGATTACTCCACCTCTCTGGGCCTCTGTTTCCTCCCCTGACAAATAGGGATAATAATGTTACTGCTCTATTATCCACAATTATGGTTATAAGAAAATATATATTTTTTTTCAAATAAAATACTCTACCAAAGCCTGAGGTCAATCATGATTCTTTGAGCCATTCATTTTCCAAAGAGAACTTTATTGAGCACATACCATGTGCTGGAACTCAAGGTAGTTGTTGGCACCATAGCCATAAAGCAAGGAAACACAGAATGGTTGCCCTCATGGGGATCAGAGCCTGGCAGGGAAAACAAGTACTGACCAAATGTTACACGTCTGATGGGTGTTTCAAGAGCAGCTTCTCTAGGAACCCAAGCAGGGGAATTTGATGTCCTGAACCAGCGACATTCCAGCCAGGGCCAAAATAACGGTGATGGGAGGCCAGGGAAGGTTTCAGGCAGAGCTGATGACCTGCATGCAGCCGACATTTATTTGCAGCACATTTTGCAGACATTTATTGCGTGCCAGGTTCTGTGCTCAGCACATGATGATCATTATCTTGTTCAGCCTTCCCAAGTGCCTTGAAGCTGGTGCTATTTCTATAAACTTTTTAGCCAAGGAGAAAACTAAGGTTCAGAGAAGTGACATGATTTGCCTGAGGAAACACAGCTAATAGTGGGAGGAGCCAAGGTACAGCAGCAGGAGCCATGATGGGAGAAAAAAAAAAGAAAGTGATAAGTTTCAATTTCTACTCTGCTCCTTCCTACCCTGTGACCTTGAGTGGTCCGGTTTGCCTCCACGAGACTCCATTTCCACATCTGCAAAATGAAGCCAACTTCTCATGGGCCTCCCTAGATAGTTTTCAGGGTTAGAAATGCTGCAGGCAATGCCCAGCTTGGAGTTGGTGGAGCACTGAAATCAGGAGCTGTTCACAGCGCTGGTGCTGACTTGGTTGTGTGGGGTGGGGGTGGTGAGCCAGCTCTAGGGGGACACTGCCATGTGTTTCTGCAGAGAAGGTGGACAGGGATGCACCAAACTGTGTTCATCTCCAGGAGGTAACCAGAAGGCAGGGAGAGCAGGCAGGGAGGGCCTGGGACAGCTCTCAGATGGATGCATGGATGTGCTGGCCTGGTGGAGTCTGGATGGGCCACAGGACAGTGGGAAACGCTGTGGGTTCCACTGGGTGGGGGTAACTCAGAACTTTGCTTTATTTACCCCAAACATCAGAATCCTCAGGGTGACATAGAGCTGGAACAGGCCTTTTGGATTGTTTTCCAACCTCCTCAACCTCAAAGTGGGGTAACTGAGGTCCAGAGAGGAGACGGACTTTGCTTAAATCCTACAATGACTCTGGGCAGAATCAGGCCCAGAATCTAGTGGAGCAGAAGGTATTCAGGCTGCCAGAGGATCAACACCAAGAGCAGAGAGGCACAGCTGCCCTTTTGCACTGTGTCCCTGTGCCTGGCACATTAGAGGCACTCAGGTGAGAATTCTTGAGCAAGGGAGTGCGCAGGGAAGAGCACACAGCCTGGGTGTCTGTCTCGAGCTGGAACCTGTCTCTGATAGCCAGCTCTGCCTCCCTGGGTAAGTGCTTTCATCTTGCTGAGCATCCATTTCCCAAAATAAGATCAGAAACCCACTTGGGAGGTCTCCAAGCAGGGATTTGAACTCAGGTCTACCTGATTCCAGGGCAGGTTTTTTTACCCTGCACTTTCTTGATTCCTTTATATATCTTATTCATTCATACACTGATTCATTCATTCATCCAGTCATTTAGAAAATGTTGATTGAGCATCTGCCCTGTGCCAGGCACTGTTCTAGGCTGTGCAAATTCAGCAGTGAATGAGGCAAATGAAGTTTCTGCCCTTGTGGAACTTAAATTCTAGAAGAGAGAGATAGACGGTCAACAAATCAACAAATAGAATGGGAATAGTGGTAGACTGGGCGCGGCGGCTCACGCATGTAATCCAAGCACTTTTGGAGGCCGAGGCGGGCAGATCACTTGAGGTCAGGAGTTCAAGACAACATAGTGAAACCCCGTCTGTACTAAAAATAGAAAAGTTAGCTAGACGTGGTGGTGGGCACTTGTAATCCCAGCTACTCGGAAGGCAGAGGCAGGAGAATGGCTTGAACCCGGGAGGCGGAGGTTGCGATGAGCCAAGATTGTGCCATTGCACTCCAGCCGGGGCAACAAGAGCGAAACTCCGTCTAAAAAAAAAAAGAATGAGAATAGTGGTGAGTGCCCTACAGGAACTAAAACAGGGGATGGGAGTGGGGAGGGGTCTGCCTTAGACAGTGTGGTCAGGAAAGGAGATGACGTTTTGTGAGATGCCTAAGAGAAGCAGCAGCCTGCTGTGTGAAGAACCTGAACGAATAATTGATAAAATGAGAAGCATGGAGCTGTGACAGGCCTCAGACCTCCAAAAGACAAGGCGAGGAGGGGGAAGGAAAGCAGGTGTCAAAACATCCCAAACAGCCTGAAAGGCCTTGTGGGGAGCAATGCAGCCCTTTTGGGGCACCTATACCCAGGTCACCTTGGTCACCTTGGACCTCTTCCCCTCCGGTCACCTTTGCCTTCCAGGTGAAGCAGATCATGGAGGAGGCTGTGACACGCAAGTTTGTCCACGAAGACAGCAGCCACATCATCTCCTTCTGTGGTGAGTCTGTGACCTGGGAAAGTGGCTTCTTTCTCTGTGGGCTGCCTCGGGGAAGTGGTGTCTTGGAGCCACTGTTTTGCTTTATGACTCTGAAGTTAGTTTTGGATTCCAGAGGGGGACTCGATTGGAGAATTTGAAAATACAGAACAGTGTAGAGAAACAATTAAAAATGACTTCTGTACCCCATGAAGAGGTCAGTGTGGTTAACACCAGAGGGGTTGTCTTCCTGTAGGCACCATTCACACCGACCACACCCCAAGTGACACACAGTCTTGCATCTGAGGAATGGGCTCCCTGTCCCTCACTCTGCCTGTGGCTATTGCTAGGTAAAGGGAGAGGGTAGATGGGGACTTTTAAAAAAGGGAACTAAGAGCCCGTGACACATCCTGAAGGATCGCGTCCATCTGGCTCAGCAAAGAAGGCAGGCCGAGGGCTCAGAGCGTGACTCAGACATGTCTCCTTGAACCAGCTCTGCTCACAAGCTTCTGGAAATAACCCCATGGCCAGGCTTTTGCTGTACTTTGAGAATGGCTAGAGATGGGGTCTGAGTGTCTCTGAGGTCAGGATAATCAGTGTGTACATAGAAGTGGGAGTCTTTCTGTCTCCCTGAAAATGTCTTAATTTAATAATTGGAGTGTCTCATAATGCAGGACATGTTCTAATTCCCCTCCCGTGATCTTGGTCCTGTGGAGAGGCCTGAGCTGGGAGAGCTGGCCAGCCCATCAGCTGCCGTCCAAATGGCTGGGGGCACCACCCCACGGGGCCCACAACATGCTGAGCACACGCTGTGACCCGGGAGGCAAGGACCTCAGTTCACCCTCTCTTCAGCCAGGCAGACCTGGATCCACCTCTGCCGCTTTCTTGGGAGGCAAGGACCTCAGTTCACCCTCTCTTCAGGCAGGCAGACCTGGATCCACCTCTGCTGCTTTCTTGTAATTGACTTTGGGCAAGATCTTTCTTTTCTTTTCTTTTCTTTCTTTCTTTCTTTCTTTCTTTCTTTCTTTCTTTCTTTCTTTCTTTCTTTCTTTCTTTCTTTCTTCATTTCTTTCTCTCTTTCTCTCTTTCTTTCTTTTTTTTTTTTTTTGAGACAGGATCTCACTCTGTCACCCAGGCTGGAGTGCAGTGGCACAATCACAGCTCACTGCAGCCTCAACCTCCTGGGCTCAAGCGTACCTCCCACCTTAGCTTCCCGAGTAGCTGGGACCACAAGTATGTGCCACCATACCTGGCTAATTTTAAATTTTTCTGTAAAGATGGAGTCTTGCCATGTTGTCAGGGCTGGTCTTGAATTCCTAGGTTCAAGCATTCCTCTCTCCTTGGCTTCCCAAAATGAAGATCTTATTTTTTTTTAAGTGGGATGTGTTTATTTAAACATATAGCTCTACACACATACACACATGCACATAATTACATACATATATGTATGTGTATATATACATATATATGTATTCCCAGTTTTTTATGTGTTCCTGAATATTTTTATTTCCAAATAAAATTATATGCATGTCCATCTTAAGACTTGCTAGCCTACCTACCAATTAACTTAGAGGAATAAAAGTAATAAAAATAGTATAATAATTCAGTAGCTCTACTCAAAAGTATTTGGGTGGGAGAAATTTGATGGCACTAAATGAAGCCTAAAGAATCTCCTCAAGGTTTCTTTTGTCCATTGTTTCTTATAAGCTGTTGTCAGGAAGGATTAAACTATGTCTACAAAGCCTGAATAGTCAGTTCACTTACATCGCCATAAGCAAATGAAAAGTACTGCATATGTAAGTTAAAATTAAGATATCTAAGAGATCATCTCCTCAAATATTTTAAATCTATGGGCAGATTAGGCAATATTTGTTTTTTTGTTTGTTTGTTTTTTGGGGTTTTTTTTTTTTGAGACGGAGTCTCGCTCTGTCGCCCAGGCTGGAGTGCAGTGGCGCGATCTCAGCTCACTGCAAGCTCCACCTCCCAGGTTCATGCCATTCTCCTGCCTCAGCCTCCTGAGTAGCTGGGACTACAGGCGGCCGCCCCCACACCTGGCTAATTTCTTATATTTTTAGTAGAGGCGGGGTTTCACTGTGTTAGCCAGGATGGTCTCGATCTCCTGACCTCGCTCTCCAGCACCCAGCATGTCCCAGATCTGCCCGCCTTGGCCTCCCAAAGTGCTGGGATTACAGACGTGAGCCACTGCGCCTGGCCCGAGATTAGGCAATATTTGATCATTCATTCAAAACAAAGTGTTTTCTAACTCAAAAAAACAAAACAAAACAAAAACAAACAAAAAACCATGGTGATGAGACCAAAACTTCTCAATATTTCTCCTTGCACGTAGCATAACCTTGGTCAAGCTATGCCCCCTGAGAGCACTGGTTTGCTCTTTAGAGCTCTTACTTCATGAGTTTTGTCACAAGAATTAGGAAAGGTAAGTCTTAACAATTATCCGACACCCAGCAGATGCCTAATAAGGAGTACTTCTTATATAGTCACTTTTTCAATAAACATTGATTATGCACCTATACAAGTGTGAGCTCCCTGTCTCTGGGGTAAGACAGAAGGTAAGAAGATTGAGAGGGCTCTCCAAGGTTCCAGTGTCTGACAGAAGCTCTGGGACATGCTGGGTGCTGGAGTGCATGGGCAGGGCAGGGTCTGCTGACTGCCATGTCCCTGCAGCGGCTGTGGAGGCCTGCGTTCTGCACGGGCTTCGGCGGCGGGCGGCTGGCTTCCTACGCAGCAATAAGATTGCAGCCCTCTTTATGAAAGTGGGCAAGAACTTCCCGCCGGCTGAGGATCTGAGCCGCAAGGTGCAAGACCTGGAGCAGCTGATCGAGAGCGCGTGAGTGCAAAGCATGGGGCACAGGTGGGAGCAGCTCCCCCAATAGTCCACAGTCCTCCCTGGGTCCTGAGAGAGCCTGCAACCCCTAGCACTCTTTTCAGTCTCCATCCTGCTTCTCAAACCCACCAGACTCTTTCCCACCCCAGGGTCTTTGCACGTGCCTCACCCTCCACCAGACTCACCCATCTGATCGTCCATAGCTGCTTTCTTGTCATCATTCAGACCTATCGTTATCTCAGAAAATTCCAACTCTCACTCCATCTTCTCTTCCATATCACCCTGTTTATTTCCCTCCCCGTTGTTGTTGGTTGGCCATCTATAGTTATTCATGTCAGGTTTGTTTGTTTGTTGTCTGTCTATCTCACTTGATGCAGAACTTCATGAGAGCAGGCAACTAGATCTGTTTTCTCCCATTATGTCTCAAGCATCCGGGCCAGTGTCTAGCACCTGGTAGATGCCCAAGAAACAATTGTTGAGTGAGTGCCTGCTAGGACCCACGGCCTGTTCTAAATGCAAGGCAACCAAAGTTTGATAGAACCAATATGGCCTCTGTCTGCATGGACCAGACACGAGGGCCTCATATCAATAGGCATATTATAACACATTCAAATACACTGACTAGAAGTTAAAAAAAAAACTCTCATACTGAAGTAACCTTTGAATGGGGGAGGTGGCTTCCCTCCCTCATCTTGGTGACTGGTGGTATGTGTTGGGGGAGGCTCATGGACAGAATGTGTGCATGTGAGCACCTTCAGCCAGAGCCACTCCCTGGGAGGTCCTGTCTGCACAGCCAAACCCCCAGTCTACAGCCTGGTCAGGGAATGACAATTTGGTTTCAACTCCTGGCAACAAATTCGGTGCTGGTGGCTTCCCAGAGGAATGTGCTGTGATTCTGAAGCTGTGATTGGGCGTTCTGGGGAAAAGCACATGGATTGATTGGTCATGTCTGTCAAGGGCAAAGGCAGGGAAGACACAAGCATGTCCTATGTTTGCAGTCTCTGCTGTGGATGGTCACTCCACTTCACTGGATGAGAATGGCCCTTTCCTTGCATTTCAGGCCCTGCCTGCCCAGGGCTGCTGGCCAGAACGGTATGGTGGTCAGAGCTCAGGATTTGACTCTGTCAACTCCCATTTGGAATGACTTCTCAGCCAACTGTTCTTTGAATACCTTCCAGTCCATCTGCTAAGTTCCCAGGTGTTTGCAGATAACTTCTTAAAGGATTAGATTTGTCATGGGCCTTCCACAACACTGGGAGTGACCTCCTAGTGGAGGAGTTAGAGATGCCTGTGCAAGTGGTAAGGGAGAAGCATTTATTCATATATGCAATCACTCATTCATAAACATTTACTAAGCTTCCTCTATACGTCAGCCAGTGTGCTGGGCCCTGGAGATACAGAAATGAAGAGGGCCAATGCTTGCCACATGGTAGACTCTCAGTAAGTATTTTATTAAAAAAAAAAAAAAAATGAGTTGCGGCCAGGTGCGGTGGCTCATGCCTGTAGTCCCAGCACTTTGGGAGGCCAAGGTGGGCAGATCACCTGAGGTCAGGAGTTCAAGACCAGCCTGACCAACATGGAGAAACCCTGTCTCTACTAAAAATACAAAATTAGCTGGGCGTGGTGGTGCATGCCTGTAATCCCAGCTACTTGGGAGGCTGAGGCAGGAGAATCGCTTGAACCCAGGAGGCAGAGGTTGTGGTGAGCCGAATTGTGCCATTGCACTCCAGCCTGGGCAACAAGAGTGAAACTCCGTCTCAAAACAACAACAAAAAAAATGAGTTGCCGATTTCATATCCTCAAGATCAAAGCATGGAGGGGACGACAGAAAAGTGAGCAGGGAGCTCAGCTCCAGAGGCTGACAGAGTACAGACCAGCTTTGGTTGGTCCAGGAGGGCTTCCTGTAGGCAGGAGGCAATGCCCTCGCTGAGACTTACAGAGTGAGAGGGATCAGCCTGGGAATGGGTGGGGAGGGAACCCGGAAGAAGCGGCAGCCCAGGGAAAGGCTTCAGATGAGACTCTGGTGGCCTCAGGCATCTGCACGTATCTCTGTCTGGCTGGATCATGGAGTCATAAGCGTTAGTGGTAAGGAGATTGCTGGAGAGGTGAGTGGGACAAGGTCTTGGAGCTCTCTGCTGGTCTTGTTGAAGAGCTTGCTTCCCAAGGGCACTGGGGACCCAATGAAGGATCTATACTCCAAGACTCTTCTTGGCCCACCCTCCTTTCCAGGAGAGAGAGGTGGGGGGTATCAGTATGAGAATCTGGCTTGCCCTAGGAAAGTGTCTTGTTTAACCACATCTGCACACTCACTGGGTATTACTATTTTTTCAACTCCTGACCAGCTTGCTAGCGGCAATATGGGCTCTTCTTGTTTAGCTGCCATTCCTTCATTTTCCTGAGAGATTGAACATTCTCCCATTTGCCAATTAGTCCTGTGTAGATTTGCTCTTGTGAGTATCTATTCCCGTCTTTTATTGGTCTTGAAGGAGAAACCAGATTCAAGGCCTCCAGGAGAATGTGCGGAAGCTGCCGAAGCTGCCCAACTTGTCCCCACTTGCCATCAAGCATCTGTGGATTCGCACAGCCTTGTTTGAGAAGGTCCTGGACAAAATTGTGCATTACCTTGTGGAAAACAGCAGGTGAGAGGGAAAGACCTGACACCTGGCCATGCTCTGCCCCCACCTGCCGGCCGTTGTGGAAATTGCACCCCCTGGCACAAAGCTGCTTTCTTTTTCCCCTTGACAGCCACTAAATTTGAAAGTGATTAAATGCTTGGAAACTTGGGTAGATTCAAGAGCTTAATGGCAGTGCAAGGTCTTCGGATTTAGGGTGGAGTATAGGGATCCTGGGTTTCTTCCTTCTCCTGTGGATTACTCCATTCAATAACTGTGTGGCCCTAGAGAATCGCTTAGCCTCTCTGTGCCCGTTATCTCTTTTGGTAAATGGCATGGGGATTCCCGATACTCCAGAGAAGTGAGAAGGGAATTTGGTGAATATGCAGCATTTTGCAAATGCATGGTGAGGCTGGGCGCAATGGCTCACGCCTGTAATCCCAGCACTTTGGGAGGCCGAGGCAGGTGGATCACGAGGTCAGGAGATCAAGACCATCCTGACTAATGCGGTGAAACCCCGTCTCTACTAAAAATACAAAAACAAAATTAGCCGGGCGTGGTGGCAGGTGTCTGTAGCTCCAGCTACTCAGGAGGCTGAGGCAGGAGAATGGTGTGAACCCGGGAGGTAGAGCTTGCAGTGAGCTGAGATTGCGCCACTGCACTCCAGTCTGGGCAACAGAGCAAGACTCCATCTCAAAAAAAAAAAAAAAAAAAGAAAAAAAGAAAATGCATGGTGAGCCTTTTTAACGTTTTCTCCACTAGTTTAGATTAATCTGATGTGAAAGTTTTATAGTGTGAGCCCTCTTGGGTAACCATTCATCCATGCATTCATTCATCCAGCAAATATTTAAATGAGGACCTGCTGTGTACTGGCATTAACCTAGACGTCAGGGATATAGTGGTGATACCTTTCATGTCACAGAGCTTGTATATCATCGCAAGAGCAGTGAGGAGCCATGGAAGAATTTATCATCTGACACTCCTTGTGGCCAGCATGCCTCTCCAGCCCCCAAGAGGTGGCAGGAAGGGAGGGGGGGGTGGGGGGAGAGAGAGAGAGAGAGAGAGAGAGAGAGAGAGAGAAATATCTCAGAATCTCTCCATCTTTCAGAATATGAAAGTGCTGGCTTAACCACATCTTCACACAGTGGATGTTTTTATTATCATTCTTTGCCCCTTTGCAAGGAAAATATGCATGAAAGTGGAGAGAAAAGTCCCCCTTCTCATGAAGTTCACGTGCTTGTAAGGAAAACCAGCCAACAGTCATGCTGATAATACCTGATGGATGTTCCAAGGGGGCGTGGTGGCGTTGATAATTTTCTCCCAGTGGTCAGGGAAAGTGTCCTGGATGGCGCAACGGTTAAGCTTCCATTTGAAGAGCATGGAGGCATTAGCCAGGTGATGGGATGGGGAACAAAGTGTTTCTGGTGGAGGGAATAGCAGGTGCAGAGGCCTAGAGACAGGAAAGAAACTGCAAGAAATCCAAGCTCTGGATCTCCAGTTCCCTATTTACCTTCTAGTAATAACATGTCTCTGCCTCCTGCCCCATGAAGGTTTCTGGGCCTCTTTAATTATTGCCTTTGGCATATGACCTTGAGCATATGACCTGCTGATTAAGTTGGTCAAAGGGAATTAGTAATTTATTTGAGAAGCAATGTCAACCTGCTTTTTTTCCATTTCAACTTTTTATTTTTAATTTACATTTACATAGAAGTTGCAAAATTAGTACAGAGATTACTAATTGCCTAACCCCAATGATAACATTTTACATACCCATAGTGCAGTGATCAAAACCAGGAAATTGACATTGGTACAATACTATTAACTAACTGCAAAACTTTTTTGGATTTCATCAATTTTTATATTTACTGAATTTTTTTATACAGTTCTATGAAACTTTTAACGCATGTGTAGTTTCATATAACCCACATCACCATCAGGATACAGAATTATTCCGAAATAAACCTCATCACCCCAAAGAAACTCCCTTCAGCTACTTCTTACAGTCACACCTCGGTTCCAACTCTACCTGCTAATTTTTAAATTTATTTTTATTTTTGAGATGGAGTCTCACTCTGTTGCCCAGGTTGGAGTAGAATGGTGTAATCTTGACTCACTGCAACCTCTGCGTCCCGTGTTCAAGCGATTCTCATGCCTCAGCCTCCCAAGTAGCTGGTTTTACAGGCATGCACCACCACTCCTGGCTAATTTAGTATTTTTAGTAGAAACAGGGTTTCACCATATTGGGCAGACTGGTCTCGAACTCCTGGCCTCAGGTGATGCTCCCACCTTGGCCTCCCAAAGTGCTGGGATTACAAGCATGAGCCACTGTGCCTGGTCGTTTTTTATTTATTTTGAGACCCCTACTTGCTGATTTTTAAGGCAGCATGTTCAAAGTTTTTGATCGTATAATTCTGCTGATTTTTAGAAACTGGGTGATGGCAAAGTGAAAAGTGTTTTGATGTATTATCTTCAGATTTGACACCAAAATGTACAGCCTTGATATTGAATAAGTCCAGAGCATGTCAATTCTGGCTCATACGATATTCCAGTTGATGGAAGACTCTTGGGGGGTAAGATTACGATGATGTTGCCACCATTTTGTGAGAATTTCCTGATGTTGGGCTCTGTGCTGTGCTATGTAAGCAAGTTGTCATTTAATCCTTCCAACAATCCAGGCATTTGAGTTCTATACTTCCTCCCATTTTACAGCTGAGGACCAAAGCTCAGAGAGGGGTGTCACTTGCCCAGTGACACACAGCAAGGCAGGGAGAGGCAGAGCTGGGCTCCCACCCACTCTGTCTCACTCCAGATCCTGTGTCCTTTACTTCCTTCTGTATGTTGGCAAGAGCTGAGCCATGTGGGCTCAGCCCAAGCCTGTATCTGCCTGCTCTGTGGCCTCCAGCAAATAAATCGCTTACCCTCTGTGGGCCTGAGATCCCTTGGGAGGTCAGAACAAGGTTCTTTTCAATCCTGAAATTGTTTCTAGACTGTATGAGTTTTCAAGAAATTAGAAACCACTACACAATAACTCAAACAAACAAATCCAAAAACATTCAGCACAAACATTGTGTTGATGGTGTATTAGTTCGTTTTCATGCTGCTGATAAAGATATACCCAAAACTGGGAACAAAAAGACGTTTAATTGGACTTACAGTTCCACATGGCTGGGAAGGCCTCAGAATCATGGCAGGAGGCAAAAGGCACTTCTTTTTTTTTTTGAGATGGAGTCTTGCTCTGTTGCCTGGGCTGTAGTGCAGTGGCGCCATCTTGGCTCACTGCAAGCTCCGCCTCCCAGGTTCACGCCATTCTCCTGCCTCAGCCTCCCGAGTAGCTGGGACTACAGGCACCACCACGCCTGGTGAATTTTTTTTTTTTTTTTTTTTTGTATTTTTAGTAGGTATGGGGTTTCACCGTGTTAGCCAGGATGGTCTCGATCTCCTGACCTCATGATCCGCCCACCTTGGCCTCCCAAAGTGCTAGGATTACAGGTGTGAGCCACTGCGCCTGGCCAAAAGGCACTTCTTACATGGCGGCGGCAAGAGAAAAATGAGGAAGATGCAAAAGCAGAAACCCCTGATAAACCCATCATATCTCGTGAGACTTAGTCACTATCACAAGAATAGCATGGGAAATACCAGCCCCCATGATTCAATTACCTCCCCCTGGGTCCCTCCCACAATATGTGGGAATTCTGGGAGATACAATTCAAGTTGGGATTTGGGTGAGGACACAGCCAAACCATGTCAGATGGCATCACTTGCTATTTTTCAGAGCCAGATCCCAGGGGGCATTTTTGAGCATATTTGAGGCCAGTGCTCTCAATATTAGTTATCAAGGCAGGAAAGCCTGTTACACAGCCTTTCAGTACGCACTGCTGCTAAACAGCATTTGGTTGCCCCAGTAATAGAAGGGCAGACATCATCTGAGCCTCTAAGTCACTTCCTGTCTCAAATGGGAGATGTGGTAGAGGCAGATAGAGTCAGCCAGGCCTCCACAACCTGCTAATTATTATTCTTGTTACTATTATAAAGGCTCTATCATGACCATGTGTTAAGGAGGTACATGCTGAGCACCCCGCTAAATACCTTTAATTTTTGGTTCTCTCAAAAGTCCTTCCAGCAGGCTGGGCTTACAGGTGGCTTATGCCTGTAATCCCAGTGCTTTGGAGGCCAAGGTGGTGGGATCACTTGAGGCCAGGAATTCAAGACCAGCCTGGGCAACATAATGAGACCCTATATCTACCAAAAATTTAAAATTTGAAAATTAGCCAGTGGTGGCGCATGCCTCTAGCCCCAGCTAATTAGGAGGCTGAAGTGGAAGGATCACTTGAGCCCAGGAGTTCGAGGTTACAGTGCGCTTTGATTGTACCACTGCACTCCAGCCTGTGTGACAGAGAAAGACCTTATCTTAAAAAAAAGAAATCCTTTTTTCAGCCCTATGAGCTATATTATTATTATCCCCATTTTACAGATGGGGCAGCTGAGGCTCTGGGTGGTAACCGAGTGACACTGGGGATTGAACTCTCATCTGTGGATTGTGCGTCCTCTGCTGGTCTCCATCCAAACCTGCATATTCTCTCCTCTTGCTAGTAAATACTATGAGAAGGAAGCTCTCCTGATGGACCCTGTGGACGGCCCCATCCTTGCATCTTTGTTGGGTAAGTTGTCCTGTGTGCTGAGCTTCATCTAGACCCGTGGTCTTGAGTCTGAGGGGCACCTTCTCCAGGACTCTCTCACCCCTGTCCAGCCTTGCCCATGGAAATGCAGCACTGTTCTAGCTGGCTGGAGGGGAGGGTAGTGAGATGGGCGGCCATCTGCTGGTAGACATGCGGGAGGACTTTCCGGGGCAGTGGGTTTCCAGCCCCCACATGCCCCTCAGTGGGGCCCTGTGCCCTAGAGTACACCAAGATGAAGACTGCAGATCACTTCTGGACCGATCCCTCGGCTGACGAACTTGTCCAGAGGCACCGCATCCACAGCTCCCACGTGCGGCAGGACTCGCCCACCAAGCGTCCTGCCCTCTGTGTGAGTGGGGTGGACAGTGGGGCAGTGGGAGGGACCTTACATGAGGGCAGGAAGCAGGGTAGGAGCCCTGAAAATCACCCCAGGCCTCATCCCTCTGTCTCCCGTCACTCTCTACCAGATCCAGAAGAGGCATTCCAGTGGCAGCATGGATGACCGGCCATCCCTCTCTGCCCGCGACTACGTGGAGTCCCTGCATCAGAACTCCCGTGCCACCCTTCTCTATGGCAAAAACAACGTTCTTGTTCAGCCGGTGAGAGGTTATCTTGGGCCTAGATCTTGCACTGAGGGTCTCACTCCAGGTTATAGAGGAAAAGGTCTCTCTGGCTCCAGATTGCCAATCCATTCATCCATTTATGCACTCACCCATGCACACATCCACCCGCCCAACACTCATTCATCCATCCATCTATATTTACACGCACCCATCCTTACATCCATCCATCCACCCATTGTTATATCCATCCATCCACCCATTGTCACAACCATCCATCCATCCACCCATCTTTACATCCATCTATCCAACCATCTTTACATTCACCCATCCACCCATCTTTACATTCACCCATCCACCCATCTTTACATCTATCCATCCATCCATCCATCCATCCATCCCTCCATCTATCCATCCATCCATTTGTCCATTTATTTTCCTGTCCATCTCTTCACTCACCTGCATACCCAGGCTTCTATCCATCTGTTCGCTCTTGTTCTCACTTCATTGATTCAGCAAACATTTCCATGGACCTGCTATGTGCTAGGTGCATATGGTAGCAAGATCTTCATTCTCATGGCCAATATTTCTTGATGCTTCCTATGTGTCAGGCACTGTGCAAAATGTTTTCAACTGTATTAACTCTTAAACCTCCCAACGACCCTTTGAGGCAGGTACTGTTATTGCGGGCCTCAGTATTATCAGATGGTAATACTGAGGGCTGTACAGGTGAAGGCGCCAAGACAGTTATGATTTGAATTCAGGCCAGCTGGTGCCATAGTCAGTGCCATCACTCAGTCACCTTCTCTGCCCCATCACATGGCTAGGCTGCAGGGATGGGTGGTAGGTGAGGCATATGCAGTTCCTGCCTTCATGCAGTGTCTCCTTTCGCTGTCCCCTCACCAGGGCCATTTGGTTGCATGGTCATTGTGGTGTTTGGCCTCAGCGGGAGGAAGCAAAGGGAAAACCATCAGCCACTCCATCTCTGCAATCACAGTTTTAATCACTGACTGACTTTGAGCCAGTCACTTTTCCCTCTGAGCCTCCGTATCTGCATCACAATGGGTACAAAACCCTATTGCCGCAAATCTAAGAAGCCATTAATTTAAGATATACAGTTTCTTTTCTTTTTTTTTTTTTTTTCTGAGACAGAGTCTCGCTCTATTGCCCAGGCTGGCATGCAGGGGTGCGATTTCAGCTCACTGCAAGCTCCACCTCCCAGGTTCACACCATTCTCCTGCCTCAGCCTCCCAAGTAACTGGGACTACAGATGCCCGCCACCACGCCCAGCTAATTTTTTGTATTTTTAGTAGAGATGGGATTTCACCATGTTAGCCAGGATGGTATCAATCTCCTGACCTTGTGATCTGCCCGCTTTGGCCTCCCAAAGTGCTGGGATTACAGGCGTGAGCCACTGCACCCAGCTAAGATACACCATTTCTTAACGTAATCTAAACAAATTTAAAAATGTTATTTAGAGGACCAAGTGTGGTGGCTCATGCCTGTAATCCCAGCACTTTGGGAAGCTGAGGCAGGAGGATCACAAAGTCAAGAGTCCAAGACCAGCCTGGCCAATATGGTGAAACCCTATCTCTACTAAAAATACAAAAAAAAAAAAAAATAGCCAGGCATGGTGGCATGTGCCTGTAGTCCCAACTACTCGGGAGGCTGAGGCAGAACTGCTTGAACCCAGGAGGTGGAGGCTGCAGTAAGCCAAGCTCGCACCACTGCACTCCAGCCTAGGCAACAGAGCGAGACTCTGTCTCAAAAAAAAAAAAAAAAAGCTATTTAGATTATATACAGTGTTTTTGTTTTGTTTTGTTTTGTTTTATTTGCTACTTAGAAATTTTAGCTTATGCTTTTTGAAAGAGGTCTTTGAAACTTACGTGGATGTAGTTTTGTTTTGTTTTTTAATCTATATCACTTTTATAAGTAACACACAGGGAAAATATCATTGAAATACATTAATTAAGATATTCTTCAAACTTCTTCCAGTTCAGAGTTCCATCTTCCGTATCACTTTTTGACTTAGAGTCATCAGTGCCCTCATTTTTCCACACATTGTTTTCTGTTCCATCAAGAGAAGGAGTTAACAATCATCTGTGCCTCTACTTGTTTTTGCAAATAAAGTTTTATTGGGACACAGCTACAGCCTATGACTGCTTTCAGGCCTTGCTGGCAGAGTTGAGTGGTTGCAGCTGAGCTTGTATAGCTTACAGAACCAAACAATATTTCCTATTTGTCCCTTTACACAAAATGTTTGGTGGTCCCTGATCCAGGAGCACAGGAAGTGCAGCATTTCTTGCAAGAATGTCCACTCTCATCTCGGGGATGTTTTTTGTTTTTTGTTTTTTTGGAGACAAGGTCTCACTGTCACCAGGCTGGAGTGCAGTGGTGTGATCATGGCTCACTGCAGCCTCAAACTCCTGGGCTCAAGCAATCCTCCCACCTCAGCTTCCTGAGTAGCTAGGACTACAGGTGTGTACCACCATGCCTGGCTAATTTTTAAATTATTTTTTGTTGACATGGGGTCTCGCTATGTTGCCCAGGCTGATCTAAAACTCCTGGGCTCAGGTAATTCTTCCACCTCAGCCTCCCAAACCTCTGGGATTGTAGGCGTGAGCCACTGCGCCCAGCCTGTGATGGTTCTTAAGTCCTGTAAAGTATTTGGTTGCTTTGCAAGAAAATCTTGGCCAGGCACGGTGGCTCATGCCTGTAATCCTAGAACTTTGGGAGGCCAAGGCGGGTGGATTACCTGAGATCAGGAGTTTGAGACTAGCCTGGCCAACATGGCGAAACCCTATCTCTACTAAAACCTTATCTTTACTAAAAAAAAATACAAAAATTAGCTAGGCATGGTGGCAGGTGCCTGTAATCCCCACTACTCGGGAAGTTGAGGCAGAAGAATCACCTAAATCCGGGAAGCAGACGTTGCAGTGAGCCGAGATCGCGCCGCTGTCCTCCAGCCTTGGCAACAGAGCGAGACTCCATCTCAAAAAAAAAAAAAAAAAAAAAGAAGAAAGACAATCTGGACTTGTGGGCTTCCCTGCAGGGATGAATTACGTGCCTGCCTTGCCAGCATCTCACAGGCACTCTACCGCTCTGTTCCCAGCCTTCCTATGGGCACAGCAGGTTTCCAATTCAAAGTTGAATCGCAGTCAAATCTTTTTGAAGACATGTAAAATAGCACCTACATTTCACATGTGAAATAACAACCATGCCCAAAACTTAATTGAAGTGATGACGCTTTGAACAGCTGTGGCTGAGTCTGTGCGAGACCAGGCAGGGCAGCCACGTCACAGTTGTGATTAGAAGACCTGCACCCATTTCAGGTACATGAAAACGTGAACAATCAAGATGTGTGTCTTTGGATCAATGAAATACTGCACTGCTCCTCCCTTGGGGTTATAGGTGCGTGTGGTTAAATCAAGACAGTGCGTGTGAAGGCTGAGCCGTGATTGGGACACACTTGGTGCTCAGTAAATGTTAGGGTGAATTTGATGGAGGGGTGGTGACATCACCCTCCCCACACACCCACCTGGAATAAAACAAAGCCGGTGAGAATTCCTGTAGGTAAATCTAGGGGAGAAAAGGGACCGGCTACTGGGCGGGGAGTGTAGGGGGGGTTTTTGGGAGGAGGTCTCTGAGTATTGTCTCTAGGAAGGGCCCTAGAGCTCAACTGCCATCTCTTTCTCCCTTAAGCCTAGCCAAGATAAATGCCTTCTGTTTTGAAAAGCGTGATTTTCAGTGGGGCAGAGCCTCCTTCCTGGCTCTGAAGGAACCTGGGGTCAGGGACCCTGGAGCTCAGGAGGAAGTCAGAGTGTGAAAGTGATGGGGGTGGGAGGCTTTCACAGCTGGACGATGTAGAACCCATTTGGGAGGCTGGCTGCAAATGGCTTTGCTTAGCATGGCCATCTGGAAGGAGGCTTTAGAGTCTTCCACATGGCCAGGGCCTTGAAGGGATTAACCCAACCTCTTAGTTCTGATTATGTGTTCTTAAATCAAACGGGCCAGGACCTATGTCCACAGCAACTCCAGCACCATGGCCAGACCTGAGTCCTCCTCTCTCTGCAGAGGGACGACATGGAGGCTGTGCCAGGGTACCTGTCCCTGCACCAGACGGCTGACGTCATGACCTTGAAGTGGACACCCAACCAGCTGATGAACGGGTCTGTGGGGGACCTGGACTATGAGAAGAGGTAGGGCACTGGGTCTGATACGTATCCCTTGGGTCCCTCCACTCGCCTTGGCACAAGGAAGTTCCTCCCCGGGGGAGGGGAGGTTTGTATCCCGCCCCTGCTTCTGCCCCCTCCTCTGCCTGGTTGTTAGGACCACTTGGCTCAGCCTCCCCGCAGCTGTGGCCTCCCAGGAAACTCAAAGGCTTGAGAGGACCTGGAAACCAACTGGAAGAGTCTTAGGGCATGGAAGTTGGCAATGCCCTGGACAAAACCATCCAGAGGGAGACATCTTTATAGAGATCTCCTAAGCCTGCAAATGGCAAATATTCTTCAGTCTCTGTCTTCCCTCTCCCATCATTCAATAAAAAGGGAAGGCAGGAGGTGTTAGCGAGCATCTGGTCCAGGGCTGCATCTGCCATGAAATCTTGTGATTTATAAGACCCAGCAAAGGCTTTCGAGTCACACTTGAAAGAAATGCTGGGACAGGGGATTTCCTGCTGCAATGCCTGGGTTCCAGCCCAATTAGGGAAGACTTTAGGAGGAACAAAGAAAGCCATGGTGCAGAGGTGTGGCTGGTTCAAATATTTTAGCTTGAGGAGGCTTGGCTGCTGGTGGGGAGGAGAAGCAGTGGTTTTTCCTGCTCCAAGTCCACATCGAATCTTATTTTACATTTTATTGCTTTCCTAAAAAAACTTTCTACAATGAAGAATTTTTAACCTAAAGATAGACAGAACTCAGGTACCCATCGCCCTGCCCTCGTGGCCATGAACCCATCCCCTTCTCCCCAATAATATTATTCTGGGCCGGGTGTGGTGGCTCACACCTGTAATCCCAGTGCTTTGGGAGGCTGAGGCGGGTGGATCATGAGGTCAGGAGTTCAAGACCAGCCTGGCCAACATGGTGAAACCCCATCTCTACTAAAAATACAAAAATTGCCAGGCATGGTGGCACACACCTGTAGTCCCAGCTACTCGGGAGGGTGAGGCAGGAGAATTGCTTGTACCCAGGAGGCAGAGGTTGCAGTGAGCTGAGATCATACTGCTGCACTCCAGCCTGGGTGACAGAGCGAGACTGTCTTAAAAAAAAAAAAAAAAAAAAAAAAAATATATATATATATATATATATATATAATTTTGAAGCAACATGCAGACATGATATGATTTCATCTGTAAATATTTTAATGTGTATCTCTAAAAAAATAAAGACTCTTTTCAAGAAACATCAGGCCTTGGAGTGATGAAAAGTGTTCTCTAGGCTGGGCGCGGTGGCTCATGCCTGTAATCCCAGCATTTTGGGAGGCTGAGGCAGGTAGATCATGAGGTCAGGAGTTCAAGACCAGCCTGGCCAACATGGTGAAACCCTGTCTCTACTAAAAATACAAAACTTAGCTGGGCATGGTGGCGGGCACCTGTAATCCCAGCTACTCAGGAGGCTGAGGCAGAGAATTGCCTGAACCTGGGAAGCAGAGGTTGCAGTGAGCCGAGATCGCGCCACTGCACTCCAGCCTGGATGACAGGGCGAGACTCTGTCTCAAAAAAAAAAAAAAAAAAAGTGTTCTCTAAGCTGATTACTTCCTGTGCAGGAGTCACCATCTGTCCTCAGAGCTGGTCAGTGGGCAGGACAATTGGTCCTGTGCTGGGCACAATAATTCAGCTCCAACTAGACCCTGTAGTCTCTCTCTCTCTCTTTTTAAACATTTTAATTTTATTTATTTATATTTTATTTTATTTATTTATTCATTTTTTTGAGACACTGCCTCGCTCTGTCACCCAGGCTGGAATGCAGTGGCGCGAACTCGGCTCACTGCAACCTCTGCTTCCTGGGTTCAAGCGATCCTCCCACCTCAGCCTCCTGAGTAGCTGGGATTACAGGGACTTGCCACCACACCCAGCTAATTTTTGTATTTTCGTTAGATACGGGGTTTCATCGTGTTGGCCAGGCTGGTCTCGACTCCTGACCTCAAATGATCTGCCCATCTCGGCCGCCTCTCAAGGTTATTTTTATTTTTTTTTAATTTCTATTTTATTTTATATGGAGATGGTTTCTCGTTTTGTCACCCAGGCTGGTCTTGAACTTCTGGCTTCAAGTGAGTCTCCCACCTCGGCTTCCCAGAGTCTAGAGTTTCTTTCTTTCTTTCTTTTTTTTTTTTTTTGAGACAGAGTTTTGCTCTTGTTGCCCAGGCTGGAGTGCAATGGCACAATCTCGGCTCACCACAACCTCCGCCTCCCAGGTTCAAGCAATTCTCTTGCCTCAGTCTCCTGAGTAGCTGGGATTACAGGCATGCACCACCATGCTAGTTTTTGTATTTTTAGTAGAGACAGGGTTTCTCCGTGTTGGTCAGGCTGGTCTCGAACTCCCAACTTCAGCTGATCCACCCGTCTCGGCCTCCCAAAGTGCTGGGATTACAGGCGTGAGCCACCGCACCCGGCCACCCAGAGTCTAGAGTTTCTAATCAGGCGACCATCATGGAAGAATAGGGGAGGGGTCCCAGGGGTGCTCTGGGTCTCTTTATCTTAAACCTTGGTCTAAAGCCTTCTTTGACCTCCCTGCTGAGTCCAGATCACACAAGCCCTGAATCTCCATTGTAGCATTTAGAAGATTGTAGTCACACAGTCCATCTGTGCCTGTGTACCTACCATCTTGCCCTCGAGAGCTCAGTGCCTTAAAGGCAAGGGTCCCGTCTTGTTCGCTTCTTATCCCCAGCACCTGCCACAGGTTGTAGTACATAGTAGGTGCTCAGATCATCTTTGTGAAATGAAGCAGGGAAGTCAGGACCTGGATTCATTCACTGGATGTTTACTGAGCCCCTACTCTGTGCCAGCCACTGTGCTAGATGCAAGGGAGACAGATGCAAGGAAAGGAGGGGAAAATCTTTACCTTCTCAGAGCTTACATTCTACTGGAAGACAATGAATGAGCAAGGAGATGGATGGACATACGCTATGGAACCAAGCCTTTGCTCCACTGTCACCTTGCTGGGTGACCTGGGGTATGTCACTCCACCTCAATGAGCCTCAGGGTTCCCTTTTTATCAAGTGGGGGAGTAGGACGAGATATGGTCTCCTTAGAACTCAAGGCATTCCCAGGGGTCTGCAGGGGCTTCTCAAACACTGAAGCGTCTTGCACCCAACGTCAAAGCTTTCACAGCGCGAGGACCCTGTTTGTTGCTTGGACTTGAGCCCAGGGTTGTGTGGGCCAGAAACCTGATGCTAATGTTTTGGGAAAAGCATTGGATCCGAGGATTGCCAAGCCCCGCCCCAGCGCAGATAATCGGGGACCCGTGTTTCTGCATCATCTTTCGCTGTTGGTGAACAGGCACCTCATAGGCACTGTTTTTGTTTGTTTGTTTGTTTTCTTGAGATGGAGTCTTGCTCTGTCGCCAAACTAGAGTACAGTGGCACAATCTCGGCTCACTGCAACCTCCGCCTCCTGGGTTCAAGTGATTCTCCTACCTCAGCCTCCCGGGTAGCTGGGACTACAGGCGCCCACCACTATGCCTGGCTAATTCTTTTCTATTTTTAGTAGAGACGGGGTTTCACCATGTTGGCCAGGATGGTCTCGATCTCTTGACCTCGTGATCCACCCGCCTCCGCCTCCCAAAGTGCTGGGATTACAGGCGTGAGCCACCGCGCCCGGCCATCGTAGGCGCTTTGATACTGAGTTCGGTTGAATCAGAACTTCTAAGGTCACTGCCCAGGAGCTGGGGCATCTCTAGCCCTGGGCCATGAACTCCTGTCTATCGTTGTTATTCTCACCAGAACCTGAGGCTCAATGGAAGATAAATGGCAGGAGTCAGAAATGTGGGGGTTGGTGTGTCGGGAAGGGGTTTGCCCCAGGAGCTCCAGCATCCCTTGGGGGACCAAGAAGCAATGAAATGGGGTGGTTTTTGTCTGAGCTTGTGCAGGAGCTCTTTTTTTCTTCTTTTCTTTTTTTTTTTTTTGAGATGGAGTTTCGCTCTTGTGGTCCAGGCTGGAGTGAAATGGCATGATCTCGGCTCACTGCAACCTCCGCCTCCCAGGTTCAAGCGATTTTCCTGCCTCAGCCTCCCGAGTAGCTGGGATTACAGGCATGTGCCACCACGCCTGACTAATTTTGTATTTTTAGTAGAGACGGGGTTTTTCCATGTTGGTCAAGCTGGTCTCAAACTCCTGACCTCAGGGGATCCATCCACCTCAGCCTCTCAAAGTGTTGGGATTACAGGCATGAGCCACTGTGCCTGGCCAGAGCTCTTTTTTCTTTTCACAGCCAGCCTCACTCTTGCACAGCCACGATCCTCACTCACTAGCTGGGTATTCCAATGTTAAAGAGAAAATGTCACGAAAAAGCTAGATATTGGGGTTCTGAAGTCAGGCTGGACTTGCCTCCGATCTCAGCCCTACTGTGTGGAGCAGCAGTGGAACCCTCCTACCCTGCTGGTGGACAACCAATTTACAGACCAACTTGGCAGTTTCTTGTAACATCCCCTTACCTTGTGACCCAGCAATTCTGCTCATAGGGATCTACCCAAGAGAAGTGAAAACTTAGCCCACACAAAAACTTATACACAAATGCTTATAACAGCATTATTCATAATAGCCCAAGACTCCAAGACCGGAAGCAACCCAGATGCCCATCAACTGAAGAACGGATGTAGACATTTGTGGTCCATCCATGCAACAGAATATTACTTGTCTATAAAAAGAGATAAATCACCAGTGGATATTACAACATGGATGAACCTCAAAAGCCTTATACCACACAAAAGAAGCCAGCCACGAAGGGTGCATGTTGTAGGATTCCATTTAGATGAAATGTCCAGAAAAAGGCACATCTGTGGAGTCAGAAAGCAGATTATTGTTGGTTGCCTAGGGCTGTGGGTGGGAAGGAAGACTGATCGCAAACAGGCAAGAGGAATCTTTTGGGGGTGGTAAAAATGTTCTAACACTGGCTTGTGATGATGGTTGCCCAAATCTGTACATTTACTCATCAAACTGTACACTTACAGAGAGTAAATTCTATGGTGTGTAAATTATACCTCAGTAAAGCTGCTAAAACACGCAAATGAAAATGAGAAACAGCCCTTGCTCCTTCCTAGCTCTGTGGCCTGAGACAATCAACTACACTTCCTTGAGCCTCAGATTATTTATCTGTAAGATGGGAATGTAGTCAGGGAACCACTGAATAAGCATATAGGGAGAATTTATGTAACGGAAGTGCATGGAAAACCCTTAGCTGGGAGCCTGGCACCTGGACAGGGCTCTCAGTCATGAGGGCTGTTGGTGTCATTTTCATGGATCCAAAGAGACTGTGGCCACAGAGCTCCTCCTTGCTGATGGCTGGTGGTAGCTTTGTTCACCGGGCATTCCAGTGCTCAGCATTCACTATGCACTGTGAACATTGTCTGAGCATCACAGAGAAGTGAACAAAGCAGAACCATTCTGCAGGTGTTCAGCACCTTTGAGGAACCAGAGGAGAGGACAGGTGGTTGCAACCCAGCGTGATGGGCACACAGGGCTGTGGGAGCCCAGAGAAGACACCCTGGCTAGACTGGGTATGGGAGGGGCTCAACAGAGGCTGCTGCCCTTGTGTTCTTGACTGTCCTCGAAGGACATTTACTTCCGTGAAGTCTGGTGAGGCTGATTCTGGTACAGGCCAGGGCAGGAAGGGCTTTCAAAGAGAAAAGGTCCCCAGCAGTGTGACTTGAGGGTTTCTCTGAGCCTATCCCACTTTTCTCATTTCACAGCTAGGGAAACTGAGGGCCAGAAACTGAGGTAGGAACTGGCTAAGGTCTCTGGTGGAAGTGGGATTTGAACGCTGCCTGACCTTGAAGCCTATGTTAGTTTGAGTCCTCCAAGAAGCAGACACCAAGACAGGATTGAACCAGCAGAGATTTATTGGGGACACACCTGTGCAGGTTAAGGGAGGGGCAGGAGCAGACAGGGAGAGCCTTCAGACTGCCATGCGGGGAGGGAGAGAAGGAAGGAAGGAAGGTTGGGCAGAAGGAGTCTGAGACACAGCATGGCTCTAAGAACATTTGGCCAGGTCAGTTGGAAGTCTCCGGTGGACCATTGACTGTTAGAGGAGTTCCTTGTCTTGCAGGAATGGGCGGCACTAGTACCCCGGCCTGCTAGGTCCTGGCTGGGAGCAGCCTAACGGAAGCCTGGCTTTGGTGCAAATGTGGTGATAGATCCAGGGAGTGGCCTCTGAAGTTAATCCGCTCTGCTCCCCTCAGCAAGGTCTTCTGAAGGAGATGTGAGTGGTGCATTTCCATGGCCACCACAAAGCCCAAGTTCCTGTGGCCTCCACCTCCCAGTGTGTTCTGATGAGAAAAGCTATTTGTTTCAGGACAGCAGCAAGGTTTTGAGCTGGAAATGGAAACACTTAAATAATCATAGGGACCACTTCCCAGGTACGCACTTCTTAATGTATCAGCTCTGTGTTGAGCCCTTCAAATACTTGATTCTATTTAATTCTCACAGCAACACAATGGGGTGGGTGTTATTCTAGCCCCCATTTTATAGATGAGGAAACTGAGGCTCAGAGAAACCCTCGAGTCACACTGCTGGGAACCTGTGAAGCTATTGAGAGGCTATCCTGACTCCTGCGCGTGGACACATAGTGGCCTGGAGTTAGGATGTGAGTTAGTCAAGACTCCTAGATGCCAGTTAGAGAAAACGAAATTCAAGCTGACTTAAGCACTGGCCCACATGAATTGAAAACTCCAGGGGTAGTAGCTTCAGGCATGGATGGATCCAGGGACTTGAATGACAGGGACCTGCACTCTTTCCATCTCTTTGCTCTGTCTTCCTGTCTTTTGACACCATTCTCAGGCATAGTCGCTTCCATCTTCAGACTTCTGCCCTTACCACTACTCTCCAGACAGGATGGGGCATCTCTTTCCCAGTCATTCAAATGGAAATCTAATAATTGAGTCTCATTGGTTCTGCCAGAGTCAGGAGTCAGTCCTGCACTGAACACTGTGGCCGGAACAGTGGGACAGGTTGATTGGCCAGGCCTGGGTCAGGTGGCCATTCCTGGAGTCCGAGGGTGGAGAGTGGGTGGGGTCGACCTCACCTCCCATATGAACTGGGGGTGGGAAGGATGGTAACCTCGGAAAATTGGGGTTCTGAGACCAGAAAAAGGGGAGATAGAGTCTGGGCAGGCTGGGACACAGATGCTGGGGACCTAATGGGAAGGGTGGAGGAGCTCCTGGTTGTGGTCTGCTGGCCTCTGAGCCCCTCCGCACAGTGGGGTAGGCAGAAGTCCTGCAAGCCTGACCCTCCGTCCGCTTCCAGCGTCTACTGGGACTATGCCATGACCATCCGCTTGGAGGAGATTGTCTACCTGCACTGCCACCAGCAAGGTAGGGACTGTGGGGACAGGAGGGGTCTGCGTATTCCTCTTGGATCCCCTGCCTGTCTCCATCCCTGCCTATTCATTAGCATCATGAGCGAATGATATGGTGGACACCCCATGTTACCTGTGCAACCTTAGGCAAGCGACCTCACCGCTCTGTGCCTCAGTTTCCCCATCTGTAACATGGGAATTATAACAGGACCCTCTCATGGGGTAGTTGTGAAGATGAAGTGATGTATGTTAAGGGCTCAGCATGAAATCCACCTATGGCTATGGCGTTAGCTGCTGACACTTACTAAGCAGTGATAATGTGCTAAGCACAGTTCTGAGCACTCACATGCCCGTTATTCAGTCATCACAGCCACCCACTGACAGGGTGACATCATTTCCATTTTGGAGGAGAGGAAGCAGCTTAGTATAAGGGCACACAGTCTGGAAGCTCCAGAGCCGGGACTGGACCCAGCTTTTTGTGACTCTAAAGTCAGTGCTCTGAAGATTGGGATCAATAACTGCAGTACTTCTTTAAAGCCAGAAGAAAGTACAGTCAGAGTAAGCAGAGGGCCATCCTGCTTTAGAAAGCAAATGGTCCGTGCCTCACCAAGGAACAAAACACGGTGATTTAAGCCTTTTACATGAGACAGACCTGGATTCAGACCCAGACTCTGCCATTGATCAGCTGTGTGACCTTGGAGAAGTTACTTAACCTCTCTGAGCTTTGGTTTTACTATTTGTAAAATAGGCAATAATAGATAGGACTCTTAGGGATATTGTGAGTATTTCAATAAGACAGTGCCTCTAACATGCTGCGCTTGTATTCAGTAAGTGCTCAATACACGCTAGCCAGAGTCAGCTACTGCCCCGAGACAGGGGAAGTCTGAAGGCCTCCATACAAAAATAGGTCAGGTAGACTTGTAAAGGATTCCTGAGGAGCGTAGGGTTCTAGGGGGCGTCTTTTTCCTCTGGTGGTTAATGTCAGGGAGGTCAACTCGGTTCTTCTTGACTTTGTCCTGTAGTCCCGTCAGAGGTGGATGGTGGATGAGATGAGAGAGACTCAGGGGAGGTAAAAACTGCTCCTGACCTTTGCCCAGGACTTTCCCAGAGCCTCAGAGCAGGATCCCTGGGTCTGGCTTGGCACCCCTGGGGGATGTGCTTGCAGGAAGGGGCTGTCACCGTGCCTCATAGTGACTTCCACTGGGTCTTCTCTGGCTGGTGGTGGCGGCAGTTGACAGCGGCGGGACAGTGGTATTGGTCAGCCAGGACGGGATCCAGAGGCCGCCCTTCCGCTTCCCCAAGGGCGGGCACCTCCTGCAGTTCCTCTCGTGCCTGGAGAATGGGCTGCTCCCACATGGGCAGTTGGACCCGCCACTGTGGTCCCAGAGGGGTAAGGTGAGTGATCATCGGGACCCAGGGAGGCTGGGGTGGAGGCTGGTCACAGAGGGTGGTTGTTTTTGCCTGTGTGCCCTTATGTGGCTATGTGGCCTCATGCGCTCTCCACTGATACCCTCAGACTAAGCAAGTTGTGGGGACAGATGTGTCCCAAGGACCTTGTTTTGGGACATGTTTTTGCAGGGCAAAGTGTTTCCTAAACTGCGCAAGCGAAGCCCTCAGGGTTCTGCCGAGTCCACATCTTCAGACAAAGATGATGATGAGGCCACGGATTATGTGTTCAGGATCATCTACCCTGGCATGCAGTCGGAATTCGGTGAGCTGCCCTGTCCCGGGCCCCGGGGAGTCACCTGCTAACTGATCCTGAAAATGACTCCAGGTGTTTGAAACTAGAAGATGACAGGTCTGGATTCTGGGGCTAACAGGAGGATCTGGAAACAGAAAGTCGGTTTCTTGGCAGCCTCAGTTTCCCCCCAAATAAGAACAATAACCACCCTCTACTTGTCTAATAAAGTTGCCACTAGGAGAGGTGGCCTGGGGTAGTGGCAATGGCATAGGCTCTGGAATCCTGGCTGAACTTGGGCAAGTCATCTCAGCCCTCTGTGCCTCAGTTTCCTCATCTGTAAAATGGGCATGTTCATAGCACCAGTTTCATAGTCATTCTGGGGATTAAACGAGGTAAGGCGGCCGGGCATGGTGGCTCATACCCGTAATCCTGGCACTTTGAGAGGCCGAAATTTGGGAGGGAGCACTTTGGATTGCCTGAGCCCAGGAGTTTAAGACCAGCCTGGGCAACATGGCGAAACCCTGTCTCTACAAAAAATACAAAAATTAGCCAGGTGTGGTGGCATGCATCTGTGGTCCCAGCTATTTGGGAGGCTGAGGTGGGAGGATCACCTGAGCCTGGGGAGGTCGAGGCTGCAGTAAGCCGTGATTATGTCATTGCACTACAGCCTGGGCAACAAAGTGAAGGCCTGTCTCAAAATAAATGCAAATTAAAATACTTTTTAAATGAGATAAAGCATTTCACACATACAGAACACTCAAATGTTGCTGCTGTTGTTAATATTCTACTTCCCCTTTTATAAAGATTCAATGAGATGATGAGATATTCATTGTAGAGCCCATAGAGTAAGGCCTTGCACACAGCAGGCCCTCAGTAAGTTGTAGTCAAACTTTACACCGGTAGAGGCGAAGCAGAGCACCAGGCACTGGCACATGAGATGGGGGTGAATTCAAGCAGGTTGCACGGTGCCTGCCGTGACACAGATGCGCAGCAAATGGAAGTTCTTACTAGTAAGCGCATCACCATTGCAGGGCTATGGTGAGGATTCAGTGAATTAAGATTTGAAAAGTACTTAGAAGAGGGCCTGGCATTTATGAAGCATTGTATGGGTGTCTGTTAAACAAATCAGTATTGAGTGGTAGGTTCTTTCTGTTCACTTCATTTTATTTAACATGGAGCGGCCCTCATGTTCCCATCCGAGGATAATGGCTCTGAGCCTCCCTTTGCTGAAGCAGCCACGTGCTGGGCAGTGAGAGGCTCTTTTGAGAGCAGATGTCCTCCTGGACAAGGCTGGAACCCCTTAAGCGCTACAGTGTCCTGAAGTGTTCATGACCATGTCTGTTCCTGCCCTGGATCAGGGCCTCCCAGCCACTCCATGGAACCAGGCGCCCACTATCCTGGCTGGACACCAAGGCTGTTATGGGCCCCAAGGCTGAAGGGGCTCCATGTATGAGGGTGAAATCCCCTGGGATGTTGAGCCAGCGTCTGTTCTGTTGCCCATGAACTTGGGCTTCCCACCCCTGTGAAGACCAACATTCATTAAGAGTTCTACTCGAGAGCCAGTTATCAGAGAGGGCCAGATCCTCTATAGTTGCCTTCCCAGGAAACTCCACAGCTTCTCATCCAACAGGCAATGTGTACACTCCCGCTGGGAGCTAGGCAGAGTGCTGGGTGTTTAATTTATTTGGAGATTCTCTATGTCATCCTCCTGTGGCTTGATGAAGGCCAGTGGAACAGTGAGGACACTGGCTGTGCTCACCCACATCCTCAGCATTTCCCATTCTGTGCATGCTATTCAGCTACCAGCTGCAGCTCCCTGCCTCAGTATCTCTTTGCCTGAGGGTTTTCTCTGGCCACAAGAGTCCCTTCTGGCCAGGGATGGGGCATATTGGAAGCATCGGGGAACCAGTGCCTCCCTGGAGCAGCCCTCAGCTTATGGCTGATAGGAGTTAGTGTATCAATATCCCAGCTCACTGTCCCTTTGTGAGGCAAACTCTGACATACATGTTCGGCACAGTCTCCCAGAGCTTCCATGGGAGATTAAGCACAGTTACCTCTATTGGTAACTTGCTTGGCAACTAACCCTTTACTCCCTCCCCTTTTCTTCCTTTGTCTCAATTTGCCTCTCCCTTACTGATGTGCCTTTGGAACTTGTACTTGGATCCTTGTCTGCCCTTGAGGAAACTCCCAACTAATTCAGTTTATCTAGAATTGGACATCTGAACCTTAGCGTTACTGTCATTTGGGATGGAATAATTCTTTGTTGTAGGAGGTGGTCCTGTGCATTGTGGGATGTTGAGCACCCACTAGATGCCAAGTAGCGAACTTACTTTGCTCTAAGTTGTGACAACCAGATATGTCTCTAGACATTGCCAGGTGTCCTCTGGAGGGTGGCAAAATTGCCTCTGCTTGAGAACCGTTGGTTTAGAGAAAAGAAGGCATCACTGTATTCAGCTCTGCCACTGCGGTGTGGTTAAGTGACCTGTCCTCCGCAGGCCTCACTTCCTTCTCTGTAGAATGGGGTAACAGCAGTCCCCACCAGCAGCATATTCTGAGGAATCAGCAAGATCATTCCTAAAACACCTGGTGACCTGACATGGGGCCTGACGCTTGGCAGATGCTCAGTAAGCAATAGTAGGTATCGTGTCTTGAGTGCCACTGTGTGCCAGGCCCACTTCTGTCTGCTGTCCCACTGTCCCTATCTTAACTCATTCCATCCTCACCATTAGCCCTCCCAGGTTGTCATCACCATCCCCCATTTTGCAAGGAGGAAACTGATGCACAGAAGGGTTAAGCAACTAGTCCAGGATCACACAACTAATTCTTGTCATGGCTGGGATTTGAACGCTGGGGGTCTGGCTCCAGAGCCTGTGCCTCTAACCACCACTCCATGCACATCGTTTTGACTGGCAGGGAGAGGGCATTGTGGTTTCACTCCCTTCAGTCTCAAGGTCAACTTCAACCCACATGGAAATGGCAACCGCATCCTTGGTTGATTTTCTGGGGCTTGAGCCGCACAGGCTTAAGAAAAACAGTCATCCTGCGGTTTCCATTTGTGAGAGGTTTCCATCTGTAAGAGATAAGAAGTTCTTTCTGAAAGAGTGCCTAAATCAGAAGTCAACAAACCCCTTTTCATGGGCCAATTTCAGCCCACTCACCTGTTTTTGTAAATAAAGTTTTATTGGAACACAGCCACATCCATTCATTTATATATCATTTATGGCTGTTTTCATGCCACAGCAGCGGAGGTGAATCGTTGTGACAGAGGTCATATGGCCCACAAAGTTGAAAGTATTTACTGTCAGGCTTTTAACAGAAGAAATTTGCAGATATATGCCTTAAATATAAAGGATTTCACCCTGTGGGAGGGGAGATATGACCACAGATGTTTCTAAGCTGCCTCTCAGTGTCTCATCAGACCTGTCTCCGCTGGGTTCTTTGCCTGCCCCTTGTGCTCTGGGGAGGCAAGGACAAGTTCCAAAATATGTGGACAGGTTCACATCAGATAAGGGCATTTTCAGACCCCTCTGCTTCTGAGATTGTCTCTGTACTGTCTAGCAGGGTAGCCATGGGCTACATGTGGCTCTTGGGCTCCTGAAACATCTCCAGGGCAGATGGGGATGTGCTGGAAGTGTAAGACACACACTGGATTTTGAGACTTTGTTAAAAAAAAAAGTCTCAATAATTTTATATTGATTAGATGTTAAAATAGTAACATTTTGGATAGACTAGGTTAGACAAAATATATTGCTGGAATTGATTTCACCTGTTCTTTTAACCTTTTAATGTGGCTACAAAAATTTTTAAATTATGCCAGGCCCAGTGGCCCACGCCTGTAATCCCAGCACTTTGCGGGGCCGAGGCAGGCAGATCACGAGGTCAGGAGATTCGAGACCATCCTGGCTAACACGGTGAAACCCCATCTCTACTAAAAATACAAAAAACTAGCCGGGCGTGGTGGCACATGTCTGTAGTCCCAGTTACTCGGGAGGCTGAGTCAGGAGAATTGCTTGAACCCGGGAAGCGGAGGTTTTGGTGAGCCGAGATTGTGCCATTGCGCTCCAGCCTGGGCAACAGAGCGAGACTCCATCTCAAAAAAAAAAAAGAAATTTTTTTAAATTACATATGTGGCTCAATTGTAATTTTTTTTTTTGGCAGGGTCTCGCTCTGTTGCCCAGGCTGGAGTGCAGTGGTGCGATCATGGCTCACTGCAGCCTCAACCTCCTGGGCTCAGTCGATCCTTCCACCTCAGCCTCCTGGGTAGCTGGAATCACAGGCACAAGCCACCATACCTGGCTACTTTTTTTTGGATTTTTTGTAGAGATGGGGTTTTGCCATGTTGCCTAGGCTGGACTTGGAACTCCTGGGCTCAAGCAATTCATCCGCCTCAGGCTCCCAAAGTCCTGGGATTGCAGGCGTGAGCCACCTCCCAGCCTCTTGATTGTGTTTCTATTGGGTAATGCTGGTCTAGCGTGGGGTTTCTCAGCCTCAGCACTGTTGACATTTAGGGCTGAATAATTCCTTGTGTGGGGGTTGCCTTGTGTTTTCTACGATGTTGAGCAGCATCCCTGGCCTCCAGCTACTAGATGACAGTAGCACCTAATTAATCCCCAAGGCGTGAAAACCCAAAGTGTCTCCAAACATCAACAGGATTGCCCTGTTTTGAGAACAGATGGTGTGGAGAGACAAGTGCCTATGAGAAACAGCTGAGGGAGAAAGAGTAGGCTCAGAGTCAAGTCCTCAGGCCAGGCACAGTGGCTCATGCCTATAATCCCAGCACTTTGGGAGGCTGAGGCGGGAGGATGGCTTGAGCCCAGGAATTCGAGATCAGCCTGGGCAACATGGCAAAACCCTATCTCTACAAAAAATTTTAAAACATTAGCTGGCCATGCTGGCACGTGCGTGTAGTCCCAGCTACTCAGGAGACTGAGGATGGAGGATCACTTGAGTCTGGGAGATCAGGGCTGCAGTGAGCCACGTTTGTGCCACTGTACATCAGCCTGGATGACAAAACAAGACCCTGCCTCAGAAAAAAAAAAAAGTCAAATCCCCTGGGTTAGGATCTTGGCTCCTCTCCTCATTAGCTGGGTGGTTTTGGGCATGTTGCTTAAACTCTCCATGCCTCAGTTTTCTAATCTGTAAAAGGGGTTAATGATAGTACTGTACTCAGTAGGGACAGCAGTTGTTAGTGGAAAGAGGAGAGGGACTTCAGTCAAAAAGACTAGATACGTCTGTTACTGCCTGGCAGGGCTTTGGGTGATTAAGTCATGCCATCATTCTGAGCCTCAGTTTCTTCTTCTGCAAAATAGAAGAGGGAGGATGCATCCCTCACAGGGTCGTGAAGAACAATAACTGGTTTCCTTAGGTTTGCTCAGGTCGTAAACTTCCTAGCCTGACACTCAGCGCATAGTTGGCACTTTATAAAAATCAGCATTCTTTCTTCTAATTGAACACAGTGAATGTGGGAGCTGTGTGGAGCCGGGAAGGGGGAGGGTTGGAGCCCCCAGAAACTGGCTCTTCCAGCTGTCTCAGTGTCCTGCCCACCGCAGAACCCCCACCTCACTGGTTCTTTCTGTTTTGTGTCTCAAGTTGCCCCCGACTTCTTGGGCAGCACTTCCTCCGTCTCTGTGGGCCCTGCCTGGATGATGGTTCCTGCAGGCCGGTCCATGCTGGTGGTGGCCAGAGGGAGTCAGTGGGAGCCAGCCAGATGGGACACTACTCTCCCCACGCCAAGCCCGAAGGAGCAGCCCCCCAGTAATGTCTGGGATCTCCCCGTCCCCAGGGGCTGGGTGCCAGCCACCTCTGCCATGTTGTCATTTGAGTTCTGGTCCCAAGGGAGATGGAGGCAGGAAGGGAGATGGAGGCAGAGGGATTGATGCCCTCCTGCTGTCCAGCCTCCACTCTATGGAAGGCAGCTTGCAGTGTTGTAGGTTCAGTAGCGAAGGGATCAATTGGTGATGTCTGCATGGATGTGGGTGTGAGAGGCTGAGATGGAGGAAGGCATGGTTGCCATGCTTGGGCTAAACTGGTCAGTGCATCCCTGAGATTGGCTAAGAACTGGGGCTTTTCTTCTAGAACATTTTACAGGGGCTTACTGATCTTGGCTAGCTCATGGGTGAGTCTACATGGGGAAGAATAGTGTAACAAGCCACATTTGGTGGCTGCAAGAATTACATCGTACAGGCAGCTTCCTCTTCTGTCTGTGGGTAGGGGCTGACCTTGTCAGCTACGGAGCTCTGATGGCAAGAGGAGCAGTTCCACAACTCTCCCTTACCTTGGGGCCCAAGGAAGAGTCAGGGTATTACCAGTTGTCCTGTGGGGACCATGACATATGGGAAAAAAAGTGTGCAACTCTCTTCACTTCCTACAGCAGGGATTAGAAAACTAAGATTCATGGGCTGAATTCAGCCCCATTCTGTACCAGCCTATGAGCTAAGAATGTTTTTTCAATTTTTAAATGATCCAAAAAAGCCAAAAGGAGAGTAATATTTTGTGACATGAAAATGATATGACATTCACATTTCAGTATTTATAAATAAAGTTTATTTTATTAGAACATGTGCATGCTTCCTTTTTTACATTTTGTTTATGGTTACTTTTGCACTAGAACAACAGAGTCAGGTGCTTATGACAGAGACCAAATGGCTTACAAACACTAAAATATTTACTAGCTGTCCCTTTACAGAAAAAGTTTTTATGGATCCCTGTTTTAAAGAAGATAAAAGAATGGCGTGAACCCAGGAGGCGGAGCTTGCAGTGAGCCAAGACCACGCCACTGCACTCCAGCCTGGGCAATAAAGCGAGACTCCATCTCAGAAAAAAAAAAAAAGAAAGAAAGAAAAAAGAAAAAGAAAATAAAGCTTTTGCACCTGTCTAGGACTACCAAGAGGCCAGGAAGTTGACTATAGAAATGGTAATGCATATGTCCCCAGTATGTTTGTTACGTGGTTTTGTAGACTCTGCAGTTCTTATGAAGCTGAGAAAGAAAAATAAATAAAGGAAGCTATGAGTGCTGTATCCTGAGAGTGGCTGGTCAGGAATCACCAGTGTCCAAAAGTTAGGAAATCAGAGTCCATCGAATATACCTGCTGTATCAAAATTGCTTTAGAAATACAGATTTGAGAGCTCTGTCTCTAGGATTTAGTTGAGTAGGCCAGGAGTGTGGGGCAGCCATATTGCTTTTTAACAAGCTTCCCACGTGATTTTAGGGAGTTGCTAATATGTTTGAGACCCACTTGCTGGAGCAGCTTTAGCCTCAGGACCATGGACAGCGCAGGTGCCCTCTTCCTCAGCAGGGGCTTCACTGGGTCTCTGGCACTTGGGTGCCCTGCCTCATCTATTGAGTCAGGCTCCCTTCCATCTCAGCCATGAGGCCTGTCTCTTCTCCAGAATCATCCAGCAGGCTCCCCTTCCCTCCTGCAGCATCCTGTGAGCATGACTAAGTGACAACATGGCAAGGCTTGGCCTCCTGCTCTGGGATTGGGCCTGGTTTCTTGGCTCTTGGCTCTCTGTGTCCTCTTCTTCTCTCTTTGGCTGTCATCAGCTCTGCCCCAGATTTTGGTGGTGGCTTTCATTGGATCAGGCAAACTCAAGGATGATTAGGGCTGCTGTTTCCTACTGTCATCTTCAGGGTCTTTTCCTATCTCTGTGCTGGCTGGGGCGGGTGAGCTGCTTGCTCTAGGGTGAGATTTCTGTGACCCACATAGGTTTAACCAGGGTGATTCTTCTGCCCCTCCTTCTATCCACCACAGTGCCCCAGGATCTGATGGACGTCTCTGTAAGCAACCTCCCATCCCTGTGGCAGCCCAGTCCCCGGAAGTCCTCCTGTTCATCCTGTTCACAGAGTGGCTCGGCTGATGGTAGCTCGACCAATGGCTGCAACCATGAGAGGTATGAGGGGCTTGAGCTGCAGATGGAGAGAGCTGAAGGATGTACCAGAGATCTGTAGATGCCCATGTCTTACCCTGCACTGAATTCAGAGTGAGCATAACCTGCGGACTCAGGCAGATATAGGTTAAATCCTGGCCATGAAATCCTAGCTGTTAGAGGTTACATGTAATAGTCAGGATAAACAAGGTTATGCTGCAGTAACAAACAGTCCTAAAACCTCAGTGGCTTTTTTACAACAAAAGTTTATTTATCATGCATGCTGTGTTTCTATCATGGGTCAGCTGGTGGCTGTTTTTTCCACACTAAAGGGCCTGGGTGATGGAGCAGCTACCATCTTGAATGTTGCCAGTTACAATGACAGGGAAAGGTAGCTCTGCAGAGGTTGGAACCTACGATAAAAAGGCTCTGCCCAAAAGCAGCACATGTCATATCCACTCACAGCCCATTGGCCCCATCCACAAGGGGACAGTAAGTGCAGCCCTACCATACACCTAGAAGGCAAAATAATCCCAGAAATATTATTTAACAACAACCACATCTCAGTTTGCACCCCCACACAGTGGAAATTCCAGTTCTTAACTTTATATGGCTGTGGTAAGGACCAGCTCAGGTAATGGTTTAAAGTGGCCAGAATGTGGCACCTGCACATGGTACTGTTCAGTAAATGACACTTAATGTTTTATTATATAAAGTTAAATCTCAAGCTCATCTTCTGTTTGCCCATAGATCCTTTGTCTCTTTGAAACTCTTCAGCCAATTCATGAGACTGATCTTGTTTTCCCCTGGTCCAACCTGGCCTGGCCTGAGAAAATAGAACCCTTTTGTCCTTGCGGGGCTTCTGTCCTAGTGGGTGGTCCAGTCATCAGCCATAGGATATAAGGGGTGGGGGCTGGCATCAAATTTTTGGAGTCATCCAATCCCCTGGTTCCTCAGGGTGTGGTCCGTGAACCAGCATCAGCACCTGGGCAAATTCTGAGTCTCTCATCCCAAACTTCCTGAATCAGAACCTGTATTTAACGTGGTTTCAAGACCATGTGTATACTTTAAAGTTTGAGAAGTGCTAATATTACTGGAGATTCTTTCTTTCTTTTTTTTTTTTTTTTTTTTTTTTTTGAGACTGAGTCTCTTTCTGTCGCCCAGGCTGGAGTGCAATGGCATGATCTTGGCTCACTTCAACCTCCGCCTCCCGGGTTTAAGCAATTCTCCTGCCTCAGCCTCCCGAGTAGCTGGGACTACAGGCATGTGCCACCATTCCTGGCTAGTTTTTGTGTTTTTAGTAGAGATGGGGTTTCACTATGTTGGCCAGTCTGCTCTCGAACCCCTGACCTCAAGTGATCCGCCCACCTTGGCCTCCCAAAGTGCTGGGATTACAGGCATGAGCCACCGCGCCCCGCCTGGAGATTCTCTTATCATGCATTAGAATCACCTGGGCTAGGTGGCAAAACATATCAGTTCCTGGACTATTTCCTAGAGGTCCTGACTGAGTAGGTATGTGCAGGACCCAGGAATCCACATGTTGGAGAAATTCCAAGTAACTCTTGGGCTGATGGTCCGTGGACCAGTGAGAAAGGCTGCTATAACCCATTGCCCCCTCTCCTGTTGTAGCATCTGCTTACACACTTGGAGTGATGGAGAGCTCACTACTTTGCAGAAAGCGAAGTCTACAGCGGGAAAGCTGTTGATGTGATCCTATTCTGATGTAATCTGAGCAAGTCTGAGCCTCATCAACCTGAGGGCACAAAGGGGAACTCTTTACTGTTTAATGTTCCTAACTGTCTCAATGTGCCTAAGTGGAGGACTTCAGCTATGCTCCTTCTGCCCTGCCCCAGTCTACCTGTTTTTCTGGATGTCTCCTGGGATGTCCTGAGAACAAATATGCAGATATTCTTCCATTCTATCCTCTATGAGAGTGTACAACACTCCCTTCAGCAGTCCTGGATTTCTCCAACAATGCTAGAATCTGACTCCTCTCACCTCTTTCAGCCGAAAAAGTTCCCAAAAATTCCCATGCAAGGAGAAGCTTTGAGGCATCACCTACTTAGCAATCAGCCAGACTCTGAATCCCACTTTGGCTCAGCTTGGTTCAGCTGGATCACTTTACAAATCAGAACTCTTTCTGCAAGTGATAGAAACCCACTTCAAACTGGTTCAAGTACAAAAGGAAATTTGTTGGTGTAACTGAGAAGCTTAGAGGCACAGTGGCTTCAGGCATGGCTGGATACAGATGATCGAAATAGGAATCTCTGTTTCTTCAGCTCTTGGCTCTGCTTGCTTCTATGATGGTTCCATCCTCAGACAGGTGCTTCCTATGCAGTGGCAAAGATGGCTCCCAGCAGCCACTGCCCTATATCCCACTGGCTTAGAAACCCATTCAGAAAAGTGTCTGTTACCTAGTAATTCCAACAAAAGTCCCAGGGCTAATTCTCATTGGCTCAGGTTGGGTCACATGACCATCTCTGCCCCAATCACTGTGACTCCAACCTGAGTCCTGTAGTGGGCAGAGTCATCCACATACAAACCACACAGACAGTTGTGGAGAGCGTGATTTCTCAAGGGAAAATCAGGGGGCCGGTACCAGAAGAGGCAATGATGCTGTACAGGTAGAGGTAATAGCAGCCCTCCCTACAGTCTCCCTGACTGGCTGATATTAATCTGCCCTCTAGAGATAGCACGTGGTTATCCTCTCCAGAAAATCTGGGCTGTGTTTGGATCTATTCTAAGCATCTCCCTCTTTCTCCACCTGCAGGGCTCCCCTGAAACTTCTCTGTGACAATATGAAGTACCAGATCCTCTCCAGAGCCTTCTATGGATGTACGTATAGGGCTCCATTGCCAGTGTGTCTCCGTGGAGCAGCTATTGGTGCCTGCTGTATGCCAGCAATATCAAAAGATACTGGCTCTGGAGTTTGAACCTCTCCTCCTCTATTCCCTAGATGTCTGGTTTCAGTGACGTTACATGAACTTCTCTGAGCCTCAGTTTTCTTGTCTACTGACGGGATAAATTTTACCCCTGGGTCCTGAGAGAGGACAGTGGACAGTGGGGTCCCCTGGGGACAGAGATTTGGTTTAATCACCACTGCATCCCCAGGTGCTACAGTGGAGGATTTGTTTTCAGGATTGAATGAGGACCACGTAGAAAGCCCCAGCACCTAGTATTGCATGCTGTAGGTGCTCAATAAATGTCAGTTTCCTTCTCTCGTGGGCAGAAAGAGCAGAAAGAGTAAGGTGACCTTATCCCTCCCCCAAAACTTAAATATTAAATTCATAATACTTGTATTATGATTATTCCTGTTTAACAGATGAAGACACTAAGGCACAGAGAGGCAAGATGACTTGCCTAAGGTCACACAGCTAACAAGCAGTAGAGCTGAGACTCAAACCTTGGCATGTCTGACTCCAAAAGCTTTGTGTTTTCCTCTCTGCTGTCTTTTTTTTTTTGAGACAGAGTCTCGCTCTGTCACCCAGGCTGGAGTGCAATGGCTTGATCTCGGCTCACTGCAAGCTCCACCTCCTGGGTTCACGCCATTCTCCTGCCTTAGCCTCTTGAGTAGCTGGGATTACAGGCACCCGCCACCACACCCAGCTAATTTTTCTGTTTTTAATAGAGACGGGTTTCACCATGTTGGCCAGGCTGGTCTCGAACTCCTGACCTCAGGTGATCCACCCACCTCAGGCTCCCAAAGTGCTGGGATTACAGGCATGAGCCACCACATCTGTCTCTGCCACCTTGATTTTTCAGTTTTATTTCCCCAGCCTGACAGCCTAGATGGGGAAGATAAAACGTGTGTGTATTTTCAGGAATTCTAGAAACATCTTAATACAACCTGCATGGGTCTGTGAAACAGCAGTGGAGCTCACACCCTGAGTGCCTGGAGAGGCAGGGAGAGTGTGACTTCACTAGGACAGGGGTTTTATCTGTTCTGTTGCCACCCATCCACAGTGCCTAATGCAGGACCTGGCATGAAGTAGGCATTGGGCAAGTATTTATTGGACCCAAATGGAAGCAGGAAGGGGTGGGGGAGTCGAGATGGGTCTGGAGCAATGTCTTTGGACAATGTGGCTCATCCCTAATGGTGACTGAGAACCTGAGTTCTGGAGCGAGGTGACCTGGTTTCAGATCCCAGCGATGCGACTTGGGCAAGTGACATAACCGGTTTGTACCTCAGTTTACCCCATCTATAAGATGGAAATAATGGGCAGGCGCGGTGGCTTGCGCCTATAATCCCAGCACTTTGGGAGGCCAAGGTGGGTGGATTGTCTGAGGTCAGGAGTTCGAGACCAGCCTGGTCAACATGGTGAAACCCCGTCTCTACTAAAAATACAAAAAAATTGGCCGGGCATGGTGGCACACGCCTGTAGTCTCAGCTACTTGGGAGGCTGAGGCAGGAGAATCGCTTGAACCCAGGAGGCAGAGGTTGCAGTGAGCCAAGATTGCGCCACTGCACTCCAGCCTGGGTGACAAAGCAAGACTCCGTCTCAAAAAAAAAAAAAAAAAAAAGATGGAGATAATAATAGTAACTAATTCCTAGGGTTGTGGGGAGAATGGGATGAGTTAAGTTATGCAACTCTGGGCCGGGCGTGGTGGCTCACGCCTGTAATCCCAGCACTTTGGGAGGCCTAGGTGGGCGGATCACGAGGTCAGGAGATTGAAACCATCCTGGCTAACATGGTGAAACCCCGTCTCTACTAAAAATACAAAAAATTAGTCGGGTGTGGTGGTGGGCGCCTGTAGTCCCAGCTACTCAGGAGGCTGAGGCAGGAGAATGGCATAAACCTGGGATGCGGAGCTTGCAGTGAGTTGAGATCGCGCCACTGCACTCCAGCCTGGGTGACAGAGCGAGACTCCGTCTCAAAAACAAAACAAAACAAAACAAAACAAAAAAAACCAGCAACAACAACAAAAATAGTTATGCAACTCTGGGAACAGTTCCTTGCCATGCAGCGTGTGTTGTGTAAGTGTTAGCTATTATATCATCGTCATCATCATCATCCTCCTCCTCCTCATCATCATCACTATGACTGTCTCTTTTGTTAAAGTTTAGTCTGCAGTCTCCAGAAGGTCCAGGGTTCTCTCTGAGAACTGAGGATGAAATAGTCTTGGAGAGCCAGAAGGAAGGGGCACAGCCAGAGCAAACAGCACAGGCTGCCATTTGCTGAGGCACTTTACCTAACACCCTCCAGGTGCCAGTGTGGGCCAGATAAGGGGTGGCACGTTGGTGGATATGCTTTAAGAAGGCAGGGCCATCTTTGAAAGCAAACTTGATGCCCTGTCAGCATCTCCCTGGTTACTGACTTGGGGGGGGGCCTTTTTAATCCAGCTTCAATTTTTGTATTTTTTTTTATTTAAATTTAAAATTTCTACTTTTATTTTAGTTTTTTGAGACAGGGTCTCGCCTTGTCACCCCGGCTAGACGCAATTATGGTTCACTGCACCCTCTACCTCCCTGGCTGAAGCGATCCTCCCACCTCAGCCTCCTGAGTAGCTGGAACTACAGGCCGGTGCCAGTATGCCTGGCTAGTTTTTTGTATTTTTTTTGTAGAGATGTGGTCTCACTATGTTGCCTAGGCTGGTCTTGAACTCCTGGGCTCAACAGATCTGCCCACCTAGGCTTCCCAAAGTGCAGGGACTACAGGCTTGAGGCACTGTGCCCCGCCCTGTTTTTTATTTATTTTTTGATAGATATATTGTGGTTGTACATATTTTAGGGGTACATAGGATATTTTGATAGATGTATCCATTGTGTATTGATCAAGTCCAGGTAATTGTGAAATTCATCACTTCAAACATTTATCTTCATTTGGAGAACGTTACGGTTCTTCTATAATAGCTATTTTGAAATATACAATAAATTATTAACTATAATTTCCCCACTATACCATCCAATACAAGAACGTATTCCATCTAACTGTATTTTTGTACCATTAACCAACGTCTCTGCATCCTTCTGACCTCCTTCCCTTCCTACCCTCTGGTAACCACTAGTCCACTCTCCACCTCCATGAAAACTACTTTTTTAGATCCCATTATAAGTAAGAACATGTGATATTTGTCTTTCTGTGCCTCGCGTTTTTTTGCTTAACATAACCTCCAGCTCCATCCATGCTGCTGCGCATGACAGGATTTCATTCTTTTCATGGCTGAATAATATTCCATCACATTTGTATACCACGGTTTCTTTTTTTTTTTCTTTCTTTTTTTTTGAGACAGAGTCTCGCTCTGTCGCCCAGGCTGGAGTGCAGTGGCGCGATCTCAGCTCACTGCAAGCTCCGCCTCCTGGGTTCACGCCATTCTCCTGCCTCAGCCTCCGGAGTAGCTGGGACTACAGGTGCCGGCCACCATGAGCTAATTTTTTTGTATTTTTTTTTTTTTTAGTAGAGACGGGGTCTCACCGTGTTAGTCAGGATGTTCTCAATCTCCTGACCTCGTGATCCGCCCGCCTCAGTCTCCCAAAGTGTTGGGATTACAGGCATGAGCCACCGCGCACGGCCACCACGGTTTCTTTATCCATTCATTCACTGATGGACATTTAGGTTGATTTTGTATGTTGGCTATCATGAATGGTGTTGCAGTAAACATGGGGGTGCAGATATATCTTTGTTTCCTTTCTTTTGGATAAATATTCAGCTGCAATTTGAACAGGAGTTGTCCACGTTTCACATTCTCTTTCTTGCTGTATGGATTAGAGACAGACAGAGGCACAGCAAGCCCACAGAGTCACTGGCCACCTTCCTTTCTACCCCCTTCTCTGCCTCTAGCCTATGAATTAAATGCTTTGGCTTAGAGCAGAGAAGGGTGCCATCACCCTGACTGAGGCTGAGAAAGGTGATAAGACTTCCCTAGGGTTATAGAGCTATTTAGCAGTCCAGCCAGCAAGTGCATAAAGCTCTGTCTTCCTTGTCTGGAAAAGGGGAAGTTGACAAGAATTCACTGAGTCATGGCGTTTAGTAAGATCAGGAGTGGGCCAGGTGCAGTGGTTTGTGCTTGTAATCCCAGCACTTTGGGAGGCTGAAGCAGGAGGATCACTTGAGTCCAGGAGTTCGAGGCCAGCCTGGGCAAGATGGTGAAACCTCGTCTCTACAAAAAATAAAAAATTAGCCAGACGTGCTGGCGCGTGCCTCTGGTCCCAGGTACTCGAGAGGCTGTGGTGAGAGGATCGCATCAGCCTGGGAGGTTGAGGCTGCAGTGAGCCATGATAATAATAAATAATAGAGCAAGACTCTGTCTCAAAACAAAAATTTTAAAAAATTTGAGGTGGGACAGAACTTGGGAAGTCCCATGAGACAAGGTGAGGGGCTTCAGGTGGTGGATGATGACACTTTCCCTCCCTCCCTCAACAGGGCTGGCCTACTGCAGACACCTGTCCACCGTGAGAACCCACCTATCAGCCCTGGTCAATCACATGATCGTGTCTCCAGACTTGCCCTGCGATGCTGGACAGGGACTGACAGCCAGGATCTGGGAGCAGTACCTTCACGACAGCACAGTAAGGCTTAGCTGGGCTTGGTCTGCAGTGATGCAGAGGCTGCAGGGGGGTCATCTTATTATCTGAGAAATAAGCCCACATGCTTGTGGGGACTTGAGCTGACGTGCTTGGATTCTGCATATGCAAATTGGAGTTCCCCTTCTCCTTGAGAGTTCCAAGACCTACAGCTCACTTCTGCCCATCAGTGTGGAGATTGAATGGGAGGTAAAACATATGCTCACCTGGAAGGAGTAAAGAACAAATCAGTCTGTAGCATTTATTATTAAGCATCAGCTGGGATGGGCACGGTGGCTCACGCCTGTAATCCCAGCACTTTGGGAGGCTGAGGAGGGTGGATCACTTGAGGTCAGGAGTTCAAGACCAGCCTGTCAAACACGGTGAAACCCCATCTCTACTAAAAATAGAAAAATTAGCTTGCCATTGTGGTTGAGTACACCTAAGACTAAAGTGAAATAGGCTTTTAATATCGGAATGTGAATAGATGAGGGGGAAGAGGCCCCAGGGCCCTTCAGGGCAGCCTTCCAACACCATCACTTCCCACAGCGCATGTACAGTTAGGACCTGCTGGCCCCACAGCTTGACTAATTGTAACTGCAAAACCTTTGCCTGAAAATGAAATTTTAAAAAGAAAACAGACAAACTCAACCCCACCATACACCACATACCTGTTAAAGTCATCCTAGTGTGCACAAAAGATATTAGTGTATGAGGTAGCAGCGAGAATTGTACACTTTGGATTAATTTGCTTTAGATAATTTTTTTTTTTTTGAGATGGAGTTTTGCTCTTGTTGCCCAGGCTGGAGTGCAATGGCATGATCTAGGCTCACTGCAACCTCCGCCTCCTGGGTTCAAGCAATTCTCCTGCCTCAGCCTCCAAGTAGCTGGGATTACAGTGCCTGGCCAATTTTGTATTTTAAGTAGAGACGGGGTTTCTCCATGTTGGTCAGGCTGGTCTCAAACTCCCGACCTCAGGTGGTCTGCCCGCCTCAGCCTCCCAAAGTGCTGGGATTACAGGCGTGAGCCGCTGCGCCCAGCCAAGAAATTTTCCTAGAGCTGAGTCAAGATTAATAATTGCAAGATAATATTTTCAAATAAGCATAAGGCAAAAATGGGCTTAAAATTAATTAAAATATTAATTCATTATAGCCTCCCCTTTCTCTTTTTACATAAACGGACTCATACCACATAGTTTTACAACTTATTTTTTTTTTTCGATTAGCGACACACATTGAGCACCTTTTTTTTTTTTTTTTTTTTTGAGATGGAGTCTCGCTCTGTCACCCGGGCTGGAGTGCAGTGGCACAATCTCGGCTCACTGCAAGCTCCGCTTCCCGGGTTCAAGCGATTCTTCTGCTTCAGCCTCCCAAGTAGTTGGGCACCACTGTGCCCAGCTAATTTTTGTATTTTTAGAGACGAGGTTTCACCATGTTGGCCAGGCTGGTCTGGAACTCCTGACCTCGTGATCCGCCTGCCTCGGTCTCCCAAAGTGCTGGGATTACAGGCGTGAGCCACTACGCCCAGCTGAACACCTTTTTATGTGGGTCCCCATAGATGTATCCCTCGCTCTTTTACATCTCTGTGTTGCGTACCCGTGTAGGGACGCATGTTCACCCATTGATGCGCAGTTGGAGAGTTACCTGAGTTTGGCTTTTTCATATGATGCCACGACAGATATCCAAGTACCTGTGACTTTCCTTATTCACGCCAGGATATCTGAGGGCTAGGTCCAAGAAGCAGGACTGCTGGACCACGGAAGTAGATCATAGAAGTAGATCATGCCTCCAAGTAGATCATGGAAGTAGATCATAATGATACAGTTAGGGTGTTGCCAATTAGTATTCTAGAAGGACAGGTGCACAGAAGTTGAGGAATATTGGTGAGAAGTTAGCTCAGGGTGGCCAGGCGCAGTGGCTCACACCTGTAATCCCAGCACTTTGGGAGGCCAAGGAGGGCGAATCACCTGAGATCAGAGTCCGAGACCACCCTGGGGTCAGGAGTTCGAGACCAGCCTGGCCAACATGGTGAAACCCCGTCTCTACTAAAAATACAAAAATTAGCTGGATGTGGTGGCAAGCACTGGTAATCCCAGCTACTCGGGAGGCTGAGGCAGGAGAATCACTTGAAACTGGGAGGCGGAGGTTGCAGTGAGCCAAGATCACACCACTGCACTACAGCCTGGGTGACAGAGCGCTCTGTCTCAAAGAGAAGAAGATAGCTCAGGGTGGCTGGGTGCAGTGGCTCACGCCTGTAATCCCAGCACTTTGGGAGGCCAAGGCGGGCAGATCACTGAAGGTCAGGAGTTCAAGACCAATCTGGCCAACATGGTGAAACCCCATCCCTACTAAAACCACCCCCTGGTTTTCTGTTGACCAAACTCTTTGCTCCTCTCCACCCACCACAGAGTTACGAGGAGCAGGAGCTGCTGCGCCTCATCTACTACGGGGGCATCCAGCCTGAGATCCGCAAGGCCGTGTGGCCCTTCCTCCTGGGCCACTACCAGTTCGGGATGACGGAAACAGAAAGGAAAGAGGTCGGTTACCTGCCATGGGCACTGGGATCTTTGGCAACAAAAGGAGCCAGATACTGTGGGGCTGGGGAGTGCTGGTTCCACGCTGGACCAAGGAAGGGGAGGGAGATACGGGGAAGATGGGAACCTGAAGGCGGCGCTGTCCAATAGAAACATAACACAAGCCACATAGGCAATTTTTACGTTTTTAAATTTTGGACTAAGTGTAGATTATGCAGTTGTAAGAAATTAATGTGGAGAACTATGTGCATCTTTTACCCAATTTTTTTCTGATGGTAATATCTTGTAAAACTGTAAGGTAGTAAAATATCGGAACCAGAAGATTGACATGGTATAATATACTCATCTTAATCAGACTTTCCCAGTTTTACTTGTACTTATTTGTGTGTGTGTGTGTGTGTGTGTGTGTGTGTTTTCTCTGCAGTTTTCTCACGTGTAGATCTGTGTCCATCACCACGGCCAACATACAGTACATTTTTAATGCTATAAGGACCCCCACGTTGTCCTTTTATAGCCAGACTCACCTCCCCCATACCCACACCCTGGCCCTAATTCCTGGCAACCACTAATCATATGTTCTTCATTTCTATAATTTTGTCATCTCAAGAATGTTATATAAATGGAATGATACAGTGTGTAATGTTTTGGGATTGACTTTTTTTCACTCAGCATAAAACCTCATCCAAGTTGTTGAGAGTATCAAGAGTTGATTCCTTTTGATGGCTGAGTAGTATTCCATGATGTGGCTGTAGCACCTGTTGCTAGACAGCTGAGTTGTTTCTGGTTTTTTGGCTGTTACAAATCAAGCTGTAATGAACATTCGTGTACAGTTTTTGTATGAGCATAACTTGTCATTTATCTGGGATAAATGAGTAAGAATGTAATTGCTGGGTCATATAGTAGTCGCATGTTCAGTTTTATATGAAACTGGCAAACTTTCACAGTAGCACATGCCTTTAGTCTCACTCAGCAAGAGGTTCGCTTGAGCTCATGAGTTCAGGTGCAGCCTGGGCAACATCGGGAGACCCTGTCTCTAAGGAGAGAAAATAAACTACCACACTTCTGCAGTGACTGTATCATTTTCTGTGTCCACCAGCAAAATATGAGTGATCCACATTTGCATCTTCACCAGAGTTTTGTCTTGTCACTATTTTTTATTTCAGCCACCTGACATGGATAATTGATATTTCCTTGTTTTAATTTGCATTTCCTAAACGGCTAATGAAGTTGAAGGTCTTTTCATGTGTTTATTTGCCATTGTGTATCTTCTCTGGTGAAATGTCTGCTAACGTCTTTTGTCCACCTTCTAATTGGATTGTTTGGTTTTTTTTCCTGTGGAGTTGGAGAGTCCTTTATATACTCTGATAACAGTCCTTTGTTCAGATACGTGATTGGCAAATATTTCCTCCGAGTCTGTAACTTTTCATCTTGTAAGCAGGGTTTTCTGCAAAACAAATTTTTAAATTTTTAATGAAACTCAGTTTATCAATTTTTCCTTTTATGAATTGTGCTTTTGGTGTCAAGTCTAAGAAAATTTTGCCTAGCCCTAGGTCCTGAAGATCTTCTCCTACGATTTATCCTAAAAATTTTCTAGTTTACATTTGAGGTAAAATCTTTTGAGTTTTTTTTTCTTATATACAGTGTGTCATTTAGGTCAAAGTTCATTTTTCGTTTTTTGGTGTTCAATTGCTCCAGCATCATTTGTTGAAAAGATGTCCTTCCTCCATTGAATTGCTCTTGCACTGTTAAAAAACAGCTGGGGCCGGGCACGGTGGCTCACGTCTATAATCCCAGCACTTTGGGAGGCCGAGGCAGGTGGATCACCTGAGGTCAGGAGTTCAAGACCAGCCTGACCAACATAGCAAAACCCCATCTCTACTAAAAATACAAAACAAAAACAAAAATCAGCTGGGCATGGTGGCGGGCGCCTGTAGTCCCAGCTACTCAGGAGGCTGAGGCAGAAGAATCGCTTGAACCTGGGAGGTGGAGGTTGCAGTGAGCCGAAGTCATGCCACTGCAGTCCAGCATGGGCAATAGAGCAAGACTCCATCTCAAAAAAACAAAACAACAACAAAAAGACAGTTGGGAACATACTTGTAGGTCTGTTTCTGGGTTCTTCTGTTCCGGTGATCTATGAATCTGTCCTTCTGCCAGTACCACTCTGTCTTGATTATTGTAACACATGTGTAATTTTAAATGTTTTCATAGTCACCTTTTTTTTTTTTTTTTTTTTTTTTTGAGACAGAGTGTCTGTCTGTCAGAGTCTTGCTCTGTCGCCCAGGCTAGAGTGCAGTGGTGCAATCTCGGCTTACTACAACCTCCACCTCCCAGGTTCAAGTGATTCTCCTGCCTCAGCCTCCCCAGTAGCTGGGACTACAGGCGCCCGACACCACGCCAAGCTACTTTTTGTATTTTTAGTAGAGACGGGGTTTCACCATGTTGGCCAGGCTGGTCCTAAACTGCTGACCTCGTGATCCGCCTGCCTTGGCCTCCCAAAGTGCTGGGATTACAGGCGTGAGCCACCGTGCCCGGCCCTCATAGTCACATTTTAAAAGTAAAAAGAAACAGATGCAATTCATATTTTTGAGCTTCTTATTTTGAAATATAAATGGTCCCCAACTTCCAACGGTTGGTCTTACAATTTTTTGACTTCATGATGGCTTTATCACGTTATTAAATGTATTTCTTTTTTTTTTTTTTTTGAGGCAGAGTCTCACTCTGTTGCCCAGGCTGCAGTGCAGTGGTGTGATCTTGGCTTACTGCAACCTCCGTCTCCCAGGCTCAAGCAATTACCCTGCCTGGGCCTCCCAAGTAGCTGGGATTATAGGCATGCGCCACCACACCTGCCTAATTTTCGTATTTTTAGTAGAGACGAGGTTTCACCATGTTGGATTATAGGCGTGAGCCACCGGGCCTGGCCTTAAATTGATTTTTTTTTTTTTGAGATAGAGTCTTGCTGTGTCGCCCAGGCTGGAATGCAGTGGCGCGATCTCGGCTCACTGCAAGCTCTGCCTGCTGAGTTCACACCATTCTCCTGCCTCAGCCTCCCAAATAGCTGGGACTACAGGCGCCCGCCACCATGCCTGGCTAATTTTTTGTATTTTTAGTAGAGACGAGGTTTCACCGTGTTGGCCGGGCTGGTCTTGAACTCCTGACCTCAAGTGATCCACCCACTTTGGCCTCCCAAAGTGCTGGGATTATAGGCGTGAGCCACCGGGCCTGGCCTTAAATGGATTTTTTTTTTTTTTTGAGACGGAGTCTTGCTCTGTCGCCCAGGCTGGAGTGCAGTGGCGCGATCTCGGCTCACTGCAAGCTCTGCCTGCTGGGTTCACGCCATTCTTCTGCCTCAGCCTCCCAAGTAGCTGGGACTGCAGGCGCCTGCCACCACGCCTGGCTAATTTTTTGTATTTTTAGCAGAGACAGGGTTTTACCGTGTTAGATAGGATGGTCTCGATCTCCTGACCTTGTGATCCGCCCGCCTTGGCCTCCCAAAGTCCTGGGATTACAGGCATGAGCCACCACGCCCGGACTTAAACGGATTTTTGACTTAAGATATTTTCAACTTATGATGCATTTATTGGGACATAACTCCATCGTAAGTCGAGAAGCATTTGTAATTATAAGTTCACAAGAAGCTGCAAAAGTAAGAGGTCCCAGGTACCCATCACCCAGCTTTCCCCAGTGGTAACAGTTTATGTAACTAAAGTAAGTACACTGTCAAAACCAGAGTGTTAACACTGACACAATACAACTAGCTAGACTACAGGTCTTACTAGGATTTCACCAGATTTTGCATCTGCTTGTATATGTTTTTTTATTATTATTATTTTTTTGAGGTGGAGTCTCGCTCTGTTGCCCAGGCTGGAGTGCAGTGGTGCGATCTCAGCTCACTGCAACCTCCACCTCCTGGGTTCAAGCGATTCTCCTGCCTCAGCCTCCCAAGTAGCTGGGACTACAGGCACCTGCCACCACGTCCGGCTAATGTTTTTTGTATTTTTAGTAGAGGCGGGGTTTCACTAGGTTGGCCAGGCTGGTCTTGAACTTCTGACTTTGTGATCTGCCCGCCTCGGACTCCCAAAGTCCTGGGATTACAGGCGTGAGCCAACTACCCCCAGCCTAAAATCTGGTGGTATTTTACACTCTATATTCGTGTATCACTTGTACTATTATTTATTTAACATTTGATTTAAATTGACTCGCTTAAGATTTATACAACTTATTTTAAAAGATATTTTATATCCCTGCCATAAACGAGAAGCCAGTATAACTTGTCGTGAATAGAAGGAAACTATAAAAATAGAGTGAGATTAAATGGTGTAATTCTGTTCTAACTAGATGTTATAGCCTGCCTAAGGCCTGCCGTCTCTTTGTTAAAAAGGGAGATTATGTTTGGGAGGCCAAGGCAAGAGGATTGCTTGAGGCCAGGAGTTCAAGACCAGCCTGAGCAACATAGCGTGACCCCCATCTCTACAAAAAATTTAAAAACTAGCTGGGCATGGTAGCGTGTGCTTATAGTCCTAGCTACTCAGGAGGCTGAGACGGGAGGATTGCTTGAGCCCAAGAGTTGGAGGCTGCAGCGAGCTATGATTGTGCCACTGCATTTCAGCCTGGGTGACAAAGTAAGACCCTGTCTAAAAAAATATAAAGGATGGAGGGGAGATGACAAAGTATCGAGAAGTGTGGGAAGCATAGGAGCACCAGACTGGCCCTTTCTCCCTGGGGTAATCAGAAAAGTTGAAGGAGAGGAGAAAGCAGAAAGTTTCTGTAGTTCTGTATTATAAGGACCCATGCTAGTGAAATGTCTGAAGTTCATCTCAGTACTAGTGTGAGGCCCCTCCACACTTCACCCATGCCTGGTGGCTTCCTGGGGAGTCAGTAACTGACAACTCTGATGTACAGAGCCCCGTATTCAGAGCTGGGGATGCAGAAGCACATTAGGTGAGGTCCTTCCCAGTTTCATGGGGGTTGTGGTGGTCACTGGTGGGATTGAGGCAACCCCGAGGGCTGCAGGAGCATATGGGAAGCACCTAAGACGGGCAGGGGTGAAGGCAGTCAGAGAAGACTCCTGGAGGAGCTGGTTGTTCGTAAATTCTCAGAAGGAATTACTTTTCGGGCCAAGAGGGTGAAGAAGGGAAGAGAAGACAGCACAGGCAGAGGTCTGGAGGGGAGACCAGCGTGGTGTGGTGTGTGTGTCCGAATGGGTTTAGGGAGGGGCAGGAAGGGCATGGTGGGTGTGAGTTGCTGAGACATGAAGGAGTAGGATGGTGGAGGCAGCAGTGAGAGGGGAGGCTGGAGAGGAAACAAGGATCACGACTGCTAAGTGGTGCACGGTTCAGGGGGCGGGGTGGTCAGGCTGCAACAGAGACCTGGATGGAGGCTGCTGGGGCCATGCATCTAGGTGAAAGTGGTGTAACCCTGGCCCAGGATGGCACTGGGAATTGGGAGGTGGGCAGGGCTTGGAGGAGTCTCAGGGAGGTGGGCAGGAGGGAGTGGCTCAGGCGAGGCCCTTGGGCAGGATGGACCCTCAGTCCCCCTCCCGAAGTCCTGAGTAGCCATAGGAGAGGGTCGGGCTCCCCACCCTCTCTTTTCCCATCCTGGCTCTCCTTACCTAGATCAGCCAATCCGTCCCCGTGGTGCCCAGAGGTCTGGCAGACGCAGAGCCTGTTACCTGGGCTGTGTTACTCAGGGACAATGGAAGCTCCCCACCTCTTTGCTGAATCCCACAAGGAAAAAGCTGGAAATCTGTGGCCCTTCTGTAAGGCCATTGCTGTAAGGAAAGGAAGCGGGTTGGTTTTATTTGTATTGTATCCTCAGCACCTGTAGCCCATGTGGGGTACATGGGAGGCCCTCAGGTCATGCGTTGATTGAGTGGATAGGTGGGGGAAGGTCAGCATCTTGCTCATCTTGTATTCCATATGGCTAGTTTGGTGCCTGGTATGTAATAGGTACTTATCAAATTGAGTGAGTGAATGAATGGATGAATGAATGAGTAAAGAGAGAGGGAAGGTAGTAAAAAAGAAAGAAACAGTCTTCTCACTTTTGGCCGGGCGCAGTGGCTCACACCTGTAATCCCAGCACTTTGGGAGGCTGAGGCGGGCGGATCACGAGGTCAAGAGATCAAGACCATCCTGGCCAACAAGGTGAAACCCCGTCTCTACTAAAAAAAAAAAAAAAAAAATACAAAAATTAGCTGGGCGTGGTGGCGCATGCCTGTAGTCCCAGCTACTCAGGAGGCTGAGGCAGGAGAATCATTTGAACCCGGGAGGCTGCAGTGAGTCAAGATTGTGCTACAGCACTCCAGCCTGGTGACAGAGCCATACTCTGTCAAGAAAGAAAGGAAGGAAGGAAGGAAGCGGAGGGGGGGGAGGGAAAGAAAAATAGAAACAGTCTTCTCACTTTTGTATCCCCAGGGCCTATGTACTATCTAGCACATAGTAAGGACTCAATGAATAGTTGAAATTTATATATGTATGCATGAATGAATAAAGGAAGGAGGGAAATAAGGAAAGAAGTAGCCTTGCTCCCTTTGTGTCTTCAGAGCCTAACCAGTGCTAGGCATAGCATAGTAGGTGCTCAGTTAATATCTGCTGGATGTTAACTGCGTGAATGTTGGATGGATCAGAGCCACTCTCTTCCACGTTGGTCTGGCCCTCCCCAGGCGCCCCTTTGTTGACACCTCGGGTGACATTGCATCTGCCCTGGCAGGTGGACGAGCAGATTCATGCCTGCTATGCACAGACCATGGCTGAGTGGCTGGGCTGCGAGGCGATCGTGCGGCAGAGGGAGCGGGAGTCCCATGCGGCCGCCCTGGCCAAATGCTCATCCGGGGCCAGCTTGGACAGCCACCTGCACCGGATGTTGCACAGGGACTCAACCATCAGCAATGAGGTGATGGGCGGCTGGCCTCGGGGAGCGCGGGGGCTGGGGAAGGTCAGGGTCTGCTTCATTGGGCTGTTCTAAGAGTGGTGAAGACTGGGTGTCTGGGGCCTGGTGACAGTCTCACCCCTGGCTTTTTCTTTAAGAGTGTGCGGTGACTTTGGAATCAGACCTGAATTCAAACTCTAGTCCCACCATTTAGTAGTTCTGGGGTTCCCTACCAGTACCTTTTCTTCTGGGCCTCAGTTTTCTGCATCTGTAAAATGGGAATAATCAGGTGTAGAGGAGGTTCGTGTACAGTCCAAACAAGACAATGTATATAAAGTGCCTGGCGCACTGCCTGACTTTCATTGATTCAACAAATGCTTATTGAGTATCTACTATGTGCAGGTACTATCAGGAATATCCTGGGATATCAGGAATGTTCCAGTGACCCAGACAGACTGGTCTGTCCTCCCAGAACTTCCAGTTTAATAGCCCAAAGTAGGATCTCAGTAAAAAGTAGGATCTCACCACCCTTGACTGAGGGTGGTGGCTCACGCCTGTAATCCCAGTACTTTGGGAGGCCAAGGCGGGTGGATCACCTGAGGTCAGGAGTTCAAGACCAGCCTTGGCCAACATGGTGAAACCCCATCTCTGCTAAAAATACAAAAATTAGCTGAGCGCCTGTAATCCCAGCTACTTGAGAGGCCGAGGCAGGAGAATCACTTAAACCCGGGAGGCGGAAGTTGCAGCAAGCCGAGATTGCATCACTGCACTCCAGCACGGGCAACGAGCGAAACTCCCTCTCAAAAAAAAGTTAATTTTCTTCAGCAGTGATGATATCAGTCATCAATTGCCACAATAACAGTGTGTAACAAACAACCACCAAAAATCAATGACTTCCAACAGTCAGCGTTTATTTTTGCTCACAACTCTGGGTCAGCTGGCAAGTTCTGTTCTTAACTGGGCTAGGCGAGGCTTATTCTGGCACCAGCTGTCCGTAACTGGTCAACTAAAACATTTGTTTATCTTGGTTGGGCTCTCGTATTTGCCTGGGGTGACTCAGCTGTGCTCCACGTGGCTCACTGCCCAGCAAGTTAACCTGGACGTGCTCTCACGGTGAAAGCAGATGCCACAGAGAGAAAGCGGAAATGCACAAGGGTGTTCTAAGCCTCTGCTGAGTCAAGTTTGTTAACATCCCATTGACAAAAGCAAGCCACATGGCCAAGTCTAGTGTCAGAGTAGGCAAGGACTATGAGGTTATAGGGCAGAAGCATGTATACAGGGATCATGGGAAAAAAAAAAGTGGAGCCATTAATAGAACCAGTTACTCTGTGAGTTGAACTGAAATATTGGCCAGAAGTCTCAATTACAGAGCAGTTAAAGGTGGGGTGCTCTAGTTGCAGAGGTGAGAGGTGGGAACCCAGAGGTCAAAGCGGTCTCTGAAGAGGCTCCAGGAAGCAGGGAGTGGTGCCCCCCTTTCATTTTACAGCTAGGAAACTGATGCTCTGAGAGAGGACTTGTGCAAGTTAGGAATAGAGATGCAACTAGACTTTCTGGCTCCCAGCCCAGCAGTCCTTCCTGCTCTGGGCCAGGGTGCAGCCTCACCCTCCCTCCCTCCTGCTCTTTCTTTTCTCAGTCCTCCCAGAGCTGCAGTTCGGGCCGCCAGAACATCCGCCTGCACAGCGACTCCAGCAGCAGCACACAGGTGACCTTGTGGAGGCCTCGCCCCCTCCCACCCACTCCTCTCCCTTCTGCCTGGGGTCATGGGGGTTGGGTGTCCGTCATCTGTAGGTCACTTTTTGCTTTATTTGTTTTAGCTTTTTATATTAGCATTAAACATTGTTTTTTGTTTTTTGTTTAGTAATGCAAGAAATATATGGATCTATCACCCCTGCAAAAAACTAAAACATTGTAGAGAAAGTCAAAGTCTGCTTTGATCGTCCTTAATCTCTGCCTGCCCTCTCTTGAAATAACACCACTATCATGAGTTTGCTGTGTTCCTTTCAAAACCTTCTGTATGCATATACATACACAGAAATATATAATCTATAGCAATGTTTGGTAGTTGTTTTTTAAATGTGTACATAAATGCCATCATATATGTTGTTCAACAACTTTCCGTTTCAATTGGTGAAAAGAGATAACTCAATCTCACTCCGTTTTTAAAGAAAAAAGCTGGCTGGGCATGGTAGTTCACACTTGTAATCCCAGCACTTTGGGAGGCCAAGGTAGGCAGATAGCTTAAGCCCAGGAGCTTAAACCCAGTCTGGGCAACATGGCAAAACCCTGTCTCTACAAAAAATACGAAAAAAATCAGTTGGGCATGGTGGTGCGTGCCTGTAGTCCCAGCTGCTCCGGAGGCTAAGGTGGGAGAATCACCAGGGCCCAGGAGGTTGAGGCTGCAGTGAGCCATGATCACGCCACTGCACTCCAGCCTGGGTGACAGAGTGAAACCCTGTCTCACACACACGCACACACAAAGCCAAGTGCAAAAACATGCATAGTGTGTTGTCACCTTTTGTGTAAGAAGAGGCAATATTAATATCTGTATATATTTGCCTCCATTTTTGAGAATGGTATGAGGAGCAACCAGAAACGAATCAGAATGATTACCGAGAGAGGAGGGGGCAGAGACAGAAGCTACATTTCCTTGAATATGCCTTGCTTCCTAATTTTGATTTTGGAGTAAAAAAAAAACTCTGGTTTTGACTCTGAAGCTAGGTAAACTTTTTACATAATTAAAATCAATTGAATCAAAAAGAAGTTTTTGAAAACACAGAAACACATGAAACTAACCATAAATCAAGTTGGTGACATAACCACACAGGGAAGAAATATTTCAGGTGACTTTGGAACATGATCTTTAACTGTGTACCCTTGATATGATCCAAGAACACAAAGAGTCACAAAAAAATCTCTAAAATGTATTCTGGAGATTTTTTTCATAGTATTTCATGTATATCTAACTTGAAAAATTGATTCATAATAGTCAACCACCTGGGTGTAAAAGTAATAGGGTTTTTTTATTTTTTGTTTTTTGGTTTTTTTTTTTTTGCCTTTTCCGTGTGTTAACTAATTTTTTGAATGAGAAAAATTATGTATACATGAGGCTGGGCACGGTGGCTCATGCCTGTAATCCCAGCACTCTGGGAGGCCGAGGCAGGTCAATGACCTGAGATCAGCAGTTCAAGACCAGCCTGGCCAGCATGGTGAAACCCTGACTCTACTAAAAATACAAAAACTAGCTGGGCATGGTGGCACATGCCTGTAATCCAAGCTACTTGGGAGGCTGGGGCAGGAAAATTGCTTGAACCCGGGAGGCGGAGGTTGTGGTGAGCCAAGATCGTGCCACTTCACTCCAGCCTGGGCAACAGAGCGAGACTCCATCTTAAATAAATAAATACATACATAAAAATAAAATTAGGTACACATGGTAAAAGTCTATATGATGAAAAGTTATTGTCTCCCCTTATTTTGATTCCCTAGTACCCCCTTCTCAGAGTCAACTGCACGCGGGGCGTGGTGGCTCACGCCTGTAATCACAGCACTCTGGGAGGCCGAGGTGGGCAGATCACCTGAGGTCAGGAGTTCGAGACCAGCCTGGCCAACATGGTGAAACCCCATCTCTAATAAAAATGCAAAAATCAGCCAGGCATGGTGGCGAGTGCCTGTAATCCCAGCTACTCGGGAGGCTGAGGCAGGAGAATCACTTGATCCCGGGAGGTGGAGGTTGCAGTGAGCCAAGATTGTGCCACTGCACTCCAGCCTGGGCAACAAGAGAGAAACTCCATCTCAGAAAACAAGACAAAACAGAGTCAACTGCAGTACTTTTTTGTCTCTTTGTGGATTATTTTATGCATACACAAGCACATAGATCACTTTTTTATTGCTGTTTGAGACAGAGTCTCACTCCCATCACCCAGGCTGGAGTGCAGTGGCATGATGGTCACAGCTCACTGAAGTCTTGACTCCCCAGGCTTGGGTGATTCTCCCACCTCAGCCCCTCAAGTAGCTGAGACCACATGTGTGTGCCACCATACCAGGCTAATTTTTTGTATTTTTTGCAGAGACCAGGTTTCACCGTGTTGCCCAGGCTGGTGTCAAACTCTTGGGTTCAAGCAGTCCACCTGCCTTGGCCTCCCAAAGTTCTGGGATTGCAGGCGTGAGCCACCATGCCCAGCCTAGATCACTTTCTTATTTGTCACAAATGGGAGCGTATATTACACCTTGTTTTGCCTCGTTCTTTTCACTGACTGTATGGTATTCCACTGCATGCTTGATCCATATTTAAGCCGATCACCTGTTGTTGGATGTTTAGGTTGCTGATGTAAGTAATGCTGCAGTCGACATGCCGGTCCATCTGTTTTTGTGCACCTTGTCCTCAGGTGTTTGAGTCTGTGGATGAGGTGGAGCAGGTGGAGGCTGAAGGCAGATTGGAGGAGAAACAGCCCAAGATCCCCAATGGGAACCTAGTGAACGGCACTTGTTCCCCAGACTCGGGTCATCCTTCCTCCCATAACTTCTCCTCGGGCCTCTCAGAGCACTCAGAGCCCAGTCTGAGCACAGAAGACAGTGTCTTGGACGCCCAGCGGAACACCCCCACGGTGCTGCGACCTAGGGATGGCAGCGTGGATGACAGGCAGAGCAGCGAGGCCACCACATCTCAGGATGAGGCTCCCCGGGAGGAGCTGGCCGTGCAGGACAGCCTGGAGAGTGACCTCCTGGCCAACGAGAGCATGGACGAGTTCATGTCCATCACGGGCAGCCTGGACATGGCCCTGCCTGAAAAGGACGATGTTGTGATGGAGGGCTGGAGGAGCAGCGAGACAGAGAAACATGGCCAGGCGGACAGTGAGGACAACCTCTCGGAGGAGCCTGAGATGGAAAGTCTCTTCCCTGCCCTGGCTTCTCTGGCTGTGACTACTTCTGCCAACGAGGTGTCCCCTGTGTCTTCCAGCGGCGTCACCTACTCTGTAAGTCACCAGGACCCTCCGTTCCATTTCCTTCTTTCCAGCTGCAGGAGGGTGGGATGTACTACAAGCCTGTTATCCAGAATGACCCCGGAGTCAGACCTCTGGTTCGTTGCATTTTTTCCGTCATGGAGGATTCACTGTAGAAACCCATTTGGGAGAGAAGATAACGTAGCATTTAAAAAGGGGGGCTGGGCACTGTGGCTCACACCTGTAATCCCAGCACTTTGGGAGGCTGAGGGGGGTGGATCACGAAGTCAGAAGATCGAGACCATCCTGGCTAACATGGTGAAAACCTGTCTCTACTAAAAGTACAAAAAATTAGCCGGGCGTGGTGGCAGGCACCTGTAGTACCAGCTACTTGGGAGGCTGAGGCAAGAGAATGGCGTGAACCCGGGAGGCGGAGCTTGCAGTGAGCCGAGATCGCACCACTGCATTCCAGCCTGGACAACAGAGCAAGATCTCAAAAAAAAAAAAAAAAAAAAAAAAAACGTGTACAGTGTTATAATATTTTATGCAACTACTGTAAATGTCAGTGCTTGCATTATTTTAACAGAGTAATAGGTAAGCCATGTAGTAAACTGTCCTAATTTTTGTCTTTCCTGTAAAAAAATTTGTTTTTCCTAGATGTGTTTTCCTTTTCCTGTTTTCTTTTTCTTAGTTTGCTGCATATTTAAAGTCAGTTCACCCCCAGAAGTCTTTGCCACTTTCCTAAATCTCTTTTCAAACATTTAGACATATCATGTTTTTCATTTGTTCTGTGTGTCCAAGGACTTCTCCCCAAAAGCCTACTGATGCCCTCCACTCCACTGCACCTGATGTGTCATTATCATTCACAATCTTCCTCGTCCTGATCTTGAGCTTCCTTTTGTGTCAGTCATGTTTTCCTCTTTCTTAGTCTACTCTCTTATTTAGATGAAGCACATACCTCAGTGGCTTCCACATTTTTTGCTTTTCTTTTCTTTTTTTTTTTTTTTTTTAATTGAGACAGGGTCTCGCTCTGTCACCTAGGCTGGAGTGCAGTGGCGTGATCTCGGCTCACTGCAACCTCTGCGTCCCGAATTCATGCCATTCTCTTGCCTCAGCCTCCCAAGTAGAAGGACTACAGGCGCCCGCCACCACGCCCGGCTAATTTTTTGTGTTTTTAGTAGAGATAGGGTTTCACCGGGTTGGCCAGGATGGTCTCGATCTGCTGACCTCGTGATCTGCCTGCCTTGGCCTCCCAAAGTGCTGGGATTACAGGCGTGAGCCTCCATGCCTAGCTTGCTTCTCTTTTTTATCATTTCTTTGTCCTTCTGTGCTGAATTCTGGATTGTTTGTTCAGATCTCCTTTCAATTCAGTAATTCTCTCTTCCAGAATGTTTTATTTTCTGTCACCTATCTCTAGTGTTTAATATATTTTTTAACATTTTATTTGGCCTTTCTTCAAATATGCTATAAAATGACTTACTTGATTATTTTATAGTCTCTTGCTTTTTTTTTTTTTTTGAAATAGTCTCCTTCTGTGCGTGATTTGGAGGGCAGTGGCGCAATCACTGCAGCCTTCACCTCCTGGGCTCAAGCAATCCTTCCTCCCACCTCAGCCCCACAAGTAGCTGGGACTACAGGGCTGTACCACCATGCCTGGCTAATTTTTTGTATTTTTTATAGAGATGGGGTTTTGCCATGTTGCTCAGGCTGGTCTTGAACTGGCCTCAAGTGATCTACCCGCTGTGACCTCCCAGAGTGTTGGAATGACAGGCATGAACCAGTGCACCCCAGCTTTTGTTCTTATTGTTAACCTCTTCTTTCTTTCTTTCTTTCTTTCTTTCTTTCTTTCTTTCTTTCTTTCTTTCTTTCTTTCTTTCTTTCTGTATTTTTGAGACAGAGTTTCGCTCTTGTTGCCCAGGCTGGAGTGCAATGGCGTGATCTCGACTCACCGCAACCTCCGCCTCCCGGGTTCAAGCGATTCTCCTGCCTCAGCCTCCCGAGTAGCTGGGATTACAAGCACGCACCCACGCCCGGCTGATTTTGTATTTTTAGTAGAGATGGGTTTTCTCCATGTTGGTCAGGCTGGTCTCAAACTCTCGACCTCAAGTGATCCGCCCGCCTCGGCCTCCCAAAGTGCTGGGATTACAGGCATGAGCCACGGCGCCCCGCCTTATTTCTTTAAATACAGTAAACATACTTATTTTATGATCTGTTTCTGATACTTCTAACAACTGAGGCCCTGATGGCTCTGATTCTGTTTTCTTGTATTTATGCCAACCATCACTCCTGGCACCTTCTTTCTCTGAGTGTTTCATGATTTTTGAACATGAGCTCATATTTCTTGGGATATTATCTGCTGTACTATTTAAGACCCAGGTGGAAGGTAGATTCCTCAAGAGAGGGGTTTTCTTCTGCTTCTTTCTAGTGCCAGGGAAATAACAAATATGAGATGACAACTACATTCTCTGATCTTTCAGACCACCCAGGTAATGGGAGTTTGGGTTATAAACCGCATGAGTTACAAACCTGACTTGTGGCTCTTAATTATGCAGGGAGATAACATTTACATTTAATTTAATAACTATGTTCAAGGTATAATCAGTCAGGTATTGTAACTGTTTCACTCAGACCCAAAGTGACAACATTCATGAGGTGAACTGTGGATGAAAAATATTGCTGTCACTGCGGGCAGGCAATTGTTTTGAGATCCCAAGATATTAGTGGGTTTTTCTAGTTTTCCCTTTCTGAGGGTGTGACTCCTTAGGGCCCTACCTTCCTGTAGGAAGGTCTCTTATTAGATCTTCAACTTGAGTAGGGGAGCAAAAACCAATCAAATCTAAGCTTAAATTTTCCCACTTTGGCAGCTTTCCTTAAGGCAAAGGCCAGCTTTGGTGTTTTCTCACCTTTCTGAGTTAGTTTTTGGTCCTTAAATATTTCTTATTTTCTTGCCACATCATTGAGCCATTTTGAAATTAAGGTACTTGTTCAAGCAGCCAGGCCAGTACGTTACCAGAATTTGCCCTCTGTGCAGTTCTTCATTCTCCTTGTCCAGTTTTCAGCAGAGAGAGGTTCACTTCCAGCTATAGTTGTAACTCTCTGAGGGAGAATTTTCATCCTGCAAATTAAACACACCCTCCCAGAAAACAAACAAACAAAATCAAACACCTGGCTGGTCCAGGTGGGAGATGTATTTTCAGTGACAACAGGAGAGGGTTAGGAAGAGGAGATAGGATTGCTGCTTTCCAGTGGGGACTTAGATGTGATTTTTCATTTCTTCCCCCTACCCCCTGCCCCGATGGCCTATAGCCAGAGCTGCTGGATCTGTACACGGTGAACCTGCACCGCATCGAGAAGGATGTGCAGAGGTGCGACCGCAACTACTGGTACTTCACGCCCGCCAACTTGGAGAAGCTGCGTAACATCATGTGCAGGTGGCTGGGGACAGCGAGGGGATCTAGGGGATGGGGATGGTGGGTGGGTGGGATGGGGGATGTAGGGGGCCCGCCTAGAAGTTATTTCAGCTTCTGAAGCTGGCATCATACTCACCTGGAATCTTACTTAGCCCACAGTGAAAATTTAACAACAATAATATAGAACATTTATTAAGCACTTACTGTATACCAGCCACTGTCCTGAGGCCTGTACTATCATCGCTCACTTATTCCTCAACCCGACGAGGTATTAACCCCTTTTATAGGTGACGATGTGGAGGCTCCAGGAAGAGCCTCATTGCTGAGTGGGCATCGGGCAGTGGCTGAGCGGGAACTCATAGCCATGTCTCTGGCTGTAGAATCTGTCCTTTTTCTATTTTTCTTTAAGCCAAGATCTACGACTGGTTATTACTGTTCACTAAAAAGATATTATTCCTGTAATCCCAGCACTTTGGGAAGCTGACGTGGGAGGATCACTTGAGGCCACTTGAGTTCTTCACAGACTTCAAAAAAGTAGAGACTGGCCTGGCAACATAGTGAGACCCTATCACTACAAAATAATTTTTTTTAACTCAACATTTAGCTGGACATAGTGGCATGCACTTGTAGTCCTGCATACTTGGGAGGTGGAGGCAGGAGGATAGCTTGAGCCTAGAGGTTAGAGGGTTGTAGTGAGCTATGATTACACCATTGTACTCCAGCCTGGGTGACAGAGTAAGACCCCATCTCTTAAAAAGTAATAAAAATAATAAAAATAATTATTGATATTTCTTAAAATATGAAAGTAACCCATGCTTGTTAAAAATCTAAATCACTGACAACTCTAATCCCAGCACTTTGGGAGGCCAAGGCAGGAGGATTGCTTGAGGCCAAGAGTTTAAGACCCAGTCTGGGCAACATAACAAGACCCCATCTCTACAAAAGTTTTAATAAATTAGCCAGGCATGATTGTATACGCCTATAGTCGTAGCTACTTTGGGAGGCTGAGGCAGCAGGATGGCTTGAACCTGGGAGGTTGAGGCAACAATGAACTGTGATCACACAACTGCACTCCAGCCCGGGCAACAGAATGAGACCCTGTCTCAAAACAAAACAAAAATCTAAATCAAAGAAATTAGAAGTTCATAAGATAGAAAGAGAAACTTCTCCCTTCATCTCTGCCCGGCAGTGCCACTCACCCAGAATTAATGACTACTAACAATTTAGTAATATCTAATTGATTGTATATTGTATAACATAATATGAATGTACTTTTTTTTTTTTTTAATGGAGATGGAGTCTCGCTCTGTTGCCCAGGCTGGAGTACAGTGGTGCGATCTCGGCTCACTGCAATCTCCGCCTCCTGGGTTCAAGCAATTCTCCTACCTCAGCCTCCCGAGTAGCTGGGACTATAGGTGCACGCTGCCAGGCCCGGCTAATTTTTTGTATTGTAGTAGAGATGGGGTTTCACCATGTTGCCCAGGCTGGTCTTGAACTCCTGAGCTCAGGCAATCCACCTGCCTTGACCTCCCAAGTGCTAGGATTACAGTCATGAGCCATCGCACCCAGCCTGAATGTACATATTTTTTAAATGTTTTAAACTATGATATAGTCTCATAAGTGTTACATTAAAATGAAAAAAATGCTGGGAAGAAGTAAAAATAAACTGACTCCTCCCTGGTTAAGGCATAGGGAGAAATCATGGAAGACTTCACAGTGGTGGTGACCTTTGAGATGGATTTTGACAACGTTAAGAAAACTAAAGAAACCATAGGCTGGGCACGGCGGCTCATGGGAGGTCGAGGCGGCCAGATCACCTGAGGTCAGGAGTTCGAGACCAGCCTGGCCAACATGGCGAAACCCTGTCTCTACTAAAAATACAAAAATTAGCCAGGTGTGGTGGCACACACCTGTAATCCCAGCTACTCAGGAGGCTGAGACAGGGGAATTGCTTGAACCGGGGAAGTGGAGGTTGCAGTGAGCCAAGATTGCACCATTGCACTCCAGCATGGGCAACAAGAACAAAACTCTGTCTCAACAAAAAGAAAAAAAAAAAAAAAAGGAAAAAGAAAAAGAAAACTAAAGAAACCATTTAGCATAGAGGCTAAGATCATATATCCTTGAGTAAGGCCTCCTAGGTTCAAGTACTGCCTCTGCCACTTATTATTAAGTGTATGATTTGGGACATGTCATTTACCTGTCTATGCTTCAGTCCCCTCATCTGTGAAATGGGATAATCCATGGACATTTTTTAAATGTACATTTAAAAAATGTGTACATTCAGGCTGGGTGCAATGGCTCATGCCTGTGAAATGGGATAGTCCATGTTTCACATGACTATTTTGAAAATAGTGGGTTGAGAGGCCGGGCGCAGTGTCTCACGCCTGTAATCCCAGCACTTTGGGAGGCCGAGACGGGCGGGTCATGAGGTCAGGAGATCGAGACCATCCTGGCTAACATGGTGAAATCCCATCTCTACTAAAAATACAAAAAATTAGCTGGGCGAGGTGGCGGGCGCCTGTAGTCCCAGCTACTCGGGAGGCTGAGGCAGGAGAATGTCGTGAACCCAGGGGGCGGAGCCTGCAGTGAGCAGAGATCACGCCACTGCACTCCAGCCTGAGCAACAGTGAGACTCCGTCTCAAAAAAAAAAAAAAGAAAAAGAAAATAGTGGGTTGAGTATACAGTAAGAGCTCGATAAATATAAGCTGTTATTAGTAAGGGACAGATTGCAATTCCTGACAAAGGGAGCTGTAAGGCAAAGATACAGAAACATAAATTTGTGATTTTTTTGTGCAAAGTGAATACGTCAATGTTGCTGGAGAGGAAGACAGTGGGAAGCGATGTTTGAGGCTGTGAAGATGAGTTGAGAGGAGGCCATTACTCCTTGTACCCCCAGTAAAGGAGTTTGGATAACATCCCATCAGACAGCAGGGTGCTTGTGCAAGTTTTGAGCCTGAAGAGGCCTCCTGAGTTGGCCTTTAGGGAGGTCATCCTGGTGGCTGCACATAGGATGTTTGAAGAGAGAGATCGGGGATGGAGATGCAGGCAGGAGGCTGAGGGAGGGGTCCAGGTGAGGGATTGGGGACCGAAGCAGGAGGAACAGAAGGTGGAGTGGGTTGGAGAGGCAGGCCACGGCTGCCATCATTGGCCCCTTGTGTCTCTTCTAGCTACATCTGGCAGCACATTGAGATCGGCTATGTCCAGGGCATGTGTGATCTTCTGGCTCCACTGCTGGTCATTCTGGATGATGGTGAGTGTGTCTTTACTGCCCTAGGGCTGAGGGTGCATTTCCTTTCCACTGCATGGCAGAAGGCTTAATCTCACTTTGTGACTCTGTAGAATGTGGCTCCAGCCAGGTGCTCTGAAGGCCTGTCTGGTGAACACATCAAGATCCTAGTGAAATAAAAAAGTCCTTATATTCCATGGTGCCCCATACTCAACACCCAGACAGGCCTTTGCTAACCACTGATTATATGAATATGAATGAGAACAAACAAACAAAACAAAAAACAAACCCAGACGGCTTCACTGGTGAGTTCTATGAAACATTTAAAGAAGAATTAATGCCAGCCGGGCACAGTGGCTCACGCCTGTAATCCCAGCACTTTGGGAGGCTGAGGCGGGCGGATCACAAGGTCAGGAGATCGAGACCATCCTGGTGAACACGGTGAAACCCTGTCTCTACTAAAAATTAAAAAAAAATTAGCCAGGCGTGGTGGCAGGCACCTGTAGTCCCAGCTACTCAGGAGGCTGAGGCAGGAGAATGGCGTGAACCCGGGAGGTGGAGCTTGCAGTGAACCGAGATCACACCACTGTACTCCAGCCTGGGAGACACAGCAAGACTCTGTCTCAAAAAAAAAAAAAAAAGAAAAGAAGAAAAGAAGGATTAATGCCAATTCTTCGTGAACTCTTCAAAAACGTAGAAAAGGAAGGAATGCTTCTTAACTCATTCAATAAAGCCAGACCTCATATGAGGACTGGGTGTCTCATTGGCACCCAGATACCAATAACAGACAAAGACATAACAAGAAAACTACACACCAATATCCTTCAATAATACAAATGCAGAAATCCTCAACAAAATACCAATAAACTTAATTCACCAAGATATAAAAAAGCTTATACACCATGACCAAGTAGGGCTTATCTCCAGAATGCAAGGATGGTTTGACATGCAAAAATCAATCAATTTAATTCACTACATTACTAAAATAAAGGGAAAAACCCACACAATCATATCAATTGACACAGAAAAACACAACAAAATCCAACACCCTTTCATAATAAAAACATTCAACAAACTAGGAATAGAAGGAAACTAAACACGATAGAGGGCATTTATGGAAACCTCACAAATATCATCATACTCAATGGTGAAAAACTGAACACTTCCTCCCTGAGAGCAGGAACAGGACAAGTATGTCTATTTTTGCCGCCAAAGGTTCTAGCCAGGGCAATTAAGAAAGAAAAAGAAATAAAAGTAATTCAGATTGGAAAGAAAGTAAAACTATCTTTGTTCACAGATGATGTGATTTTGCGTATAGAAGATCTTAAGGAATAAAATAATTAAAACTGATAAGTGTATCAAGGTTGCAGGATATAAGATCAATAAACAAGAGTCTCTTGTATTTCCATACACTTGAAATGAACAATCCCAAAATGAAATTAGGAAAACAATTTTATTTGCAATAGCATCTAGAAGAATACAGTACTGGCTGGGTGCAGTGACTCATGCCTGTAATCCCAGCGTTTCGGGAGGCCAAGGCGGGTGGATCACCTGAGGTCAGGAGTTTGAGACCAGCCTGACCAACAAGGTGAAACCCAGTCTCTACTAAAAATAAAACATAAAAAAAAGTAAACAAAAATAGCCAGGCGTGGTGGCGCATGCCTCTAATTCCAGTTACTTGGGAGGCTGAGGCAGGAGAATTGCTTGAACCTGGGAGGCAGAGGTTGGAGTGAGCTGAGATTGCACCACTGCACTCCAGCCTGGGCAACAGAGTGAGACTCCATCTCAAAAAGTAAAATAAAAAATAAATAAATAGGCCGGGCATGGTGGATCACGCCTGTAATCCCATCACTTTGGGAGCCTCGGTGGGTGGATCACCTGAGGTCAGGAGTCCGAGACCAGCCTGGCCAACATGGTGAAACCCTGTCTCTACTAAAAATACAAAAATTAGCCCAGCATCGTGGCGGGTGCCTGTAATCCCAGCTACTTGGGAGGCTGGGGCAGGAGAATTGCTTGAACCTGGGAGGTGGAGGTTGCAGTGAGCTGAGATTGCGCCATTACACTCCAGCCTGGGTGACAAGAGCAAAACTCCATCTCAAATAAATAAATAAATAAATAAATAAATAAATAAATAAATAAATAAAAGAATACAATACTTATGAGTAAACTTAACAGAAATGCAAGATTTGTACATTGAAAACTACAAGGCATTGTTGAAATAAATTTTAAAAACCCAAATAAATGGAAAGATATCTCATATTCATGGATTGGAAGACTTAGTGTTGTTAAGGTAGCAATGCTCTCCAATGATCTGTAAAGTCAGTGCAATCTCTGTCAAAAATCCCAGCTGCCTTTGTTTTTTGTTGTTGTTTTTTTTGGTTTTTTGGTTTTTTTGCAAAAATTAACAAGCTGACCCTAAAGTTGATATGGAAATTCAAGGGATTTAGAATAGCCAAAACAATTTTTAAAAGGATATGTTGGCCGGGCGCAGTGTCTCACGCCTGTAATCCCAGCACTTTGGGAGGCTGAGGTGGGCAGATCACGAGGTCAGGAGATCGAGACCATGGTGAAACCCCATCTCTACTAAAAATGCAAAAAATTAGCTGGGCACAGTGGCAGGAACCTGTAGTTCCAGCTACTCAGGAGGCTGAGGCAGGAGAATGGCATGAACCCGGGAGGCGGAGCTTGCAATGAACTGAGATCGCGCCACTGCACTCCAGCCTAGGTGACAGAGCAAGACGCCATCTCAAAAAAAAAAAAAAAAAAAAAAAAGATGTTGCAGGACTCACAGTACCTGATTTCAAAACCTACTACAAAGATACTTAAAATAGTGATATTTCTGTAAGGATCAACATGTAGATCAATGGAATAGAATTGAGAGCCCATAAGTAAGCCCTTACATTGATGGTCAATTGATTTTGACAGAGATACTAAGACAATTCAACTCAGTGAGGAAAAACAGTCTTCTCAACTTATGGTGCAAGAACTACTGGACAGACATATGCAAAAGATTGAAGTTGAACCCTTACCTCACACCACATACAACAAACTAACTCAAAATGGATCATAGACCTAAATGTAAGAACTAAAACTGTAAAATTTAAAACAGGAGTAAATCTTTGTCACCTTGGGCTAGGGAATTTTTTTTAGATATGACACCAAAAACATAAAGAAAGAAAAAATAGGCAAATTAGACTTCATCAAAATTAAAAACTTTTGTACTTCAAAGAACACCATCAAGAAAGTGGAAAGAACCCAAAGACTAGAAGAAAATATTTGCAAGTCATATGCGTGATAAAGGACTTGTAACCAAAATATATAAACAACTCTTACAATTCAACGGTAAAAAGACAACCTGGCCAGGCGCGGTGGCTCACGCCTGTAATCCCAGCACTTTGGGAGGCCGAGGCGGGCAGATCACGAGGTCAGAAGATCGAGACCATCCTGGCTAACATGGTGAAACCCTGTCTCTACTAAAAATACAAAAAATTAGCTGGGCGTGGTGGCGGGCGCCTGTAGTCCCAGCTACTCGGGAGGCTGAGGCAGGAGAATGGCATGAACCCAGGAGGCAGAGCTTGCAGTGAGCCGAGATCGCGCCACTGCACTCCAGCCTGGGCGACAGAGCGAGACTCCATCTCAAAAAAAAAAAAAGAAAGAAAGACAACCTGATTAAAGTGGGTGAGGGATTTGAATAGACATTTCTCAATAGAATTGAAGATATGCAAATGGCTAATATGCAAATGGCCAATAAGCACATTAAGGGATGCTCTACATCGGGGCCCCAAGCCCTGTGCCACAGACAGGAACCTTGCCGCACGGCAGGAGGTGAGCAGTAGGCTAGTGAGCATTACAGCCTGAGCTCCACCTCCCTCCTCCTGTCATATCAGCGGTGGCATTAAATTCTCATAGGAGCGTGAACCCTATTGTGAATTGTGCATGTGAGGGGTCTAGGTTGTGCACTCCTTCTGAATATCTAATGCCTGATGATCTGAGGTGGAACAGTTTCATCCAGAAACCATCCCCCCGACTCCACTCCCTGTCCATGGAAAAATTGTCTTCCAGGAAACTGGTGTCTGGTAACAAAAAAGTTGAGGACTGCTGTTCTACATCGTTACTCATTAGGAAAATGGAAATCAAAACCACAGTGAGATACCACTTCATATACACTGGGATGGCTAGAATCAAAACAATAGAAAATCACGGGTTGATAAGAATATGGAGAAATTGGAAGCTTTGGACATTGCTGGTGGAATTGTAAAATGGTTTGGCCACTTTATTATTTATTTATTTATTATTATTATTATTATTTTCAGATGGAGTCTCATCCTGTCACCCAGGCTGGAGTGCAATGGCACCATCTCAGCTCACTGCAACCTCCACCTCCTGGGTTCAAGCAATTCTCCTGCCTCAGCCTCCCAAGTAGCTGGGATTACAGGCGCCCACCACCACATCTGGCTAATTTTTGTATTTTTAGTAGAGACGGGATTTCACCATGCTGGCCATGCTGGTCTCGAACTCCTGACCTCAGGTGATCCACCCACCTTGGCCTCCCAAAGTGCTGGGATTACAGGCGTGAGCGACCATGCCTGGCTGGTTTGGCCACTTTAAAAAACAGTCTGGCAGTTTCTCATAGTAATAAACATAGAGTTATCATACGACCCAGCAATTTCATCCGTAGATATATGCCTAAGAGAATTGAAAATATATGTGCATACAAATACCTGTACATATATGTTCATAATAGCATTATTCATAATACCCAAAAAAGTGGAAACAGTCCAAATGTCCATCAAATTATGAATGCATAAACAAAATGTGGTATATCCATACAATGGAATATTATTTGGCAAAAAAAGGATGATGTTCTGATGCAAACTACAATGTGGGTGAACCTTGAAAACATAATGCTAAGTGAAAGAAGCCAGACACAAAAGTTCACAAATGGTGTGATTCCATTTATATGAAATGTCCAGAATAGACAAATCCATGGAGACAGAAAGACTAGTCGTTGACAGGGACTTGGGGGAGAAAGAGATGTGAAGTTGCTGCTTCATTGATATAGGGATTTTGGGGTTGGGGGGGTAAAGAAATGTTCTGGAACTAATAGTGGTGATTGCACAACATTGTGAATGTACTAAAACCACTAAGTGGTACATTTAAAGGGTGAATTTTATATGAGAATCTCAATAAACCTGTTAAAAAAATGGGGGCTGGGTGCAATGGCTCACACCTATAATCCTAGCACTTTGGGAGGCAGGAGGATTGCTTGAGATCAGGAGTTTGAGACCAGCCTGAGCAACATAGTGAGACTCCATCTCTATAAAAATTTAAAAATTAGCTGGGCATGGTGGTGCACACCTGCAGTCCCAGCTACTCAGGAGGCTAAGACAAGAGGATTGCTTGAGCCCAGGAGTTGGAGGTTGCAGTGAGCTATGATCATGCCACTGCATTCCAAGCCTGGGGGACAGCAAGACTCTGTCTCTAAAATGTAATAAATAAGTCCAGGCCCAGTAGCTCACACCTGTAATCCCAGCACTTTGGAAGGCCGAGGCAGGTGGATCACTTGAGGTCAGGAGTTGGAAACCAGCCTGGCCAACATGGTGAAACCCCATTTCTACTAAAAATACAAAAGTTAGCCAGGCATTGTGGTGGGGACTTGTAATTCCAGCTACACGGGAGGCTGCGGCAGGAGAAACACTTGAACCCAGGAGACAGAGGTTGCAGTGAGCCAAGATCGTGCCACTGCACTCCAGCCTTGGTGACACAGCAAGACTCTGTCTCAAAATAAATAAATAAAATAAAATAAATAGGCAAGGCGTGGTGGCTCAGCCTGTAACCTCAGCACTTTGGGAGGTGGAGGTGGGCAGATTGTGACTAGCCTGGGCAACATGGTGAAACGTCACCTCTACAAAAAATAGAAAAATTAGCCAGGTGTGTTGGCAGACACCTGTGGTCCCAGCTACTCAGGAGGCTGAGGCAGGAGGATCACTTGAGGCTGCCAAGGTCGAGGCTGCAGTGAGCCGTGATTGTGCCACTGCACTCCAGCCTGGGTGGCAGAATGAGACCCTGTCTCAAAAATTAATTAAATAAATAAATACATAATAAATGGGGAGCATAATTCCCCACTTTTTTTTTTTTTTTTTTTGAGATGGAGTTTCACTCTTGTTGCCCAGGCTGGAGTGCAATGGTGCCATCTCAGCTCACTGCAATCTCCGCCTCCCAGGTTCAAGCAATTCTTCTCCCTCAGCCTCCCGAGTAGCTGGGATTACAGGCATGAACTACCATGCCTGGCCAACTACCTACACTTTAGACACGGACTGCACATAGTGACTTGTTTCCAAAAAGTGCAGTATGGAAGGCAGTGATGGGATGAGAAACCTGACAAACACGACCTCAGCCAGGTGACCATGGCCAACATCAGCAGTCATAAATCATGGTGACAGTATATACCCTTATGATGTGATTAAACTGGCCCATTACCTCTGTGGTTTTCCTCTCGATAACCCATAGCCCAGTCTTACCATGAGAAAGGCATCAGATAAATTCCATTACTAATAGTGCAGCATCCTGCAAAAATACCTGACCAGTACGCCTCAAAACTATCAAGGTCTCTAGGCGCGGTGGCTCACGCCTTTAATCCCAGCACTTTGAGAGGCTGAGGCAGGCAGGTCACAAGGTCAGGAGATCGAGACCATTCTGGCTAACACGGTGAAACCCCGTCTCTACTAAAAAGACAAAAAAATTAGTTGGGCTTGGTGGCGGGCGCCTGTAGTCCCAGCTACTTGGGAGGCTGAGGCAGGAGAATGGCGTGAACCTGGGAGGCGGAGCTTGCAGTGAGCCAAGATTGCGCCACTGCACTCCAGCCTGGGCGACAGAGCGAGATTCTGTCTTAAAAAAAAAGGAAAAAAAAAAAAAAACTATCAAGGTCATCAAAAACAAGAAAAGCCTGAGAAACTGCGACAGCCAAGAGGAGCTTAAGGGAACATAACCAATTGATGTAATGTGCTGTTCTGGATGAGAGCTTGGAACAGAAAAATGACATTCAGTACACGCTAAGGAAATCTGAATACAATATGGACTTTAGTTCATAATGTGTCCGTATTGGTTCAACAAATGTACCATGCTAATGTCCAGATATTAATAGAGGAAACCACGTGTGGGGTGCATGAGAAGTCTTTCCTGTCTTCTCAGTTTTTCTGTAAATCAAAACTTTTCTGAAAAATAAAGCCTTTTGGCCAGGTGCAGTGGCTCAGGCCTGTAATCCCAGTACTTTGGGAGGCCAAGGCAGGCAGATCACGAGGTCAGGAGATCAAGACCATCCTGGCTAACACGGTGAAACCCCGTCTCTACTAAAAATACAAAAAAGGTCCACCCCCAACATTGGAGGTCATATTTCAACATGAGATTTGGAGAGGACAAACATCTGAACCATATCACTTGGGCAGCGGGGCATCTGACTGTTCTGTGATGCTTTCTCAGAGGCCCTTGCCTTCAGCTGCTTCACGGAGCTCATGAAGAGGATGAACCAGAACTTCCCCCACGGAGGCGCCATGGACACGCACTTTGCAAACATGAGATCGTTGATCCAGGTATGACCCAGCATCCATTCTTGCTTTGGACTTTTTTGGGAAACAGTTAGTAAAGCTTAGTGGCTCCAGACTGAGCTATTTAGAGCCCACCTGGATTGGAATCCAGGTTTGTATTTCTGCCATACAAACTCAGCATATACTCTTATCTCTGTGGGCCTCAGTTTTCTTATCTGGGAAATAGGTTTTCTCACTTATATGAGTCCCAATAAATTATTAGAATTATCATGGAAATGAAGTAAACTAATGATTTTATAGTGCTTAGCACAGTGCATGTCAGTGCCTCTCAGAGCATAGTCCACGGGCTGGCAACATCAGCCTCACCTGGCAACTTGTTAGAAGTGCAAATTACTAACACGGTGAAACCCCATCTCTACTAAAAATACAAAAAAAATTAGCAGGGCATGGAGGCAGGTGCCTGTAGTCCCAGCTACTCTGGAGGCTGAGGCAGGAGAATGGCGTGAACCTGGGAGGCAGAGCTTGCAGTGAGCCGAGATCGAGCCACTGCACTCCAGCCTGGGCGACAGAGCAAGACTCCATCTCAAAAAAAAAAAAAAAAAAGAAAGAAAAAAAGAAGTGCAAATTACTGGGCACCTTTCCTCCACCGAATAAAAATCTCTGAGTTGGGCCCAGGAGTCTGTGCCATATGAAGCTCTCCAGGTAATTCTGGTGCAAGCTCGATTTTGAGAAGTATTGTAATAAATGCTAGCTCTTTGGCATTCATAGCGATTGGTATATCTACTCCCCAGAGGAATTAAGACACTCAACCCTTTGATTAGAAGGAATGCAAATGTGTTAACTTGAGTAAATATTATGGATGCTTTATTATCTACACACTAGCAGTGGGGCTACAGTTAGCTCTGACTTCTTCTTTAGTGGAACTTTAAAATACTACAAAGTATTTTGGACATAAGAAAGGTAAAAGAGTAATATAATGAACACCCATGTTTCCACCCCCACCTCCCCAAGAAATAACACATTAACCATAGGCCTGGGGTGGTGGTTCATGCCAGTAATCCCAGCACTTTGGGAGGCAGAGGCGGGCGGATCACTTGAGGTCAGGAGTTTGAGACCAGCCCGGCCAACATGGTGAAACCCCATCTCTAACTAAAAATACAAACATTGGCCGGGGTGCGGTGGCTCATGCCTGTAATCCCAACACTTTGGGAGGCTGAGGTGGGTGGATCACGAGGTCAGGAGATCGAGATCATCCTGGCTAACACGGTGAAACACTGTCTCTACTAAAAATACAAAAAATTGGCCGGGTGCAGTGACTCAAGCCTGTAATCCCAGCACTTTGGGAGGTTGAGGCGGGCGGATCACGAGGTCAGGAGATCGCGACCATCCTGGCTAACACGGTGAAACCCTGTCTCTACTAAAAAAATACAAAAAAATTAGCCAGGCCTGGTGGCGGGTGCCTAAAGTCCCAGCTACTCAGGAGGCTGAGGCAGGAGAATGGTGTGAACCCAGCAGGCAGAGCTTGCAGTGAGCTGAGATGGCGCCACTGCACTCCAGCCTGGGCGACAGAGCAAGACTCCATCTCAAAAAAAAAAAAAAAAAAGATACAAAAATTAGCCAGGTGTGGTGGCACACGCCTATAATCCCAGCTACAGCTACTCAGGAGGCTGAGGTAGGAGAATTGCTTGAACCCGGTAGGTGGAGATTGCAATGAGCCGAGATAGCCCCATTGCACACCAACCTGGGTGACAGAGCGAGACTCTGTCCCCCCCCCCAAAAAAAAATTAACCATAGATTTTTCATTATTCGTGTACCCCTTCTTGATGGCTTTTCCCCATCACTCCTGTCCTCCCAGTGGTAAGCACTTTGCAGATTCCTATGTTCACCATTATAATGCATTTTTAAAAATTCTTTTACAATATATGCATATATTCCTAAACAGCATACAACTCTGTTTCTTTACTCCCCACTTTACATAAATATTTTAAATGGTATGAACTCTTGTGCAGCTCGTCTTTATACTCAGTAAGGAGTTTGAGAGGCTCGTCAACCACGGGGCAGTTGATTCCTCTTTCCCGGAAGTACAGTCTTTTGTGTTAGGAGTACAACGCATTCTATCACATTTGATTTGGATCCATTTTCCTGTTGGTGGTCATTTAGGCTGTTTTTATTTGGTTTGGTTTTGCTTTTGCTTTGGGGAATTTGGGGTTTTGTTTTTGGCCTTTATAAACAGTGCTGCGGCCGGGCACGGTTTCTCACGCTTGTAATCCCAGCACTTTGGGAGGCTGAGGCGGGCGGATCACGAGGTCAGGAGATTGAGACCATCATGGCTAACACGGTGAAACCCCGTCTCTACTAAAAATACGAAGAAATTAGCTGGGCGCGGTGGCGGGCGCCTGTAGTCCTAGCTACTCCGGAGGCTGAGATAGGAGAATGGTGTGAACCCGGGAGGCGGAGCTTGCAGTGAGCCGAGATCGCGCCACTGGACTCCAGCCTGGGCGACAGAGCGAGACTCCGTCTCAAAATAAATAAATAAATAAATAAATAAACAAACAGCGCTGCACTGAAATTCTTGTGTGCATCCCTGCTGCATGCACGCAACAACTTTGCTTGGGCATCTACTCAGAGTCCAATTGCTGGAGCAGAGGGAATGCACATCCTCAGTTTTATCAGGCACAACCGAATCACTCTTAAAGTGATTGTACTAGTTTCTTAATGCTCCAGGGCAGTATGGTAAGGATTTCAACACACACCATCCTCACTTGATATTGTCACACTTATATATTTTTGCCAATCTCTTGGATATGATCGAGCATCCCATTGTGATTTATAATTTTTTTTATTTTTAATTTTTGTGGGTACATAATAGGTGTATATATATGTGGAGTACATGAGTTGTTTTGAGACAGGCATGCAATGTGAAATAAGAAAATAGAGTTTGTGGAAAATAGAGTTTCCAATCCCTCAAGCATTTATCCTTTGTGCTCCAAACAATCCAATTATACACTTTTAGTTATTTTAAAATGTACAGTGAAATTATTATTGACCATAGTTACCCTGCTGTGCGATCAAATAGTATGTCCTCTTCATTCAGTTTTTTTCATTGTGATTTTGTTTGCATTGTCTTGATTGACAGTGAAATTGAGTATCTTCTAGTTTTTGGTTCATTTGGATTGTGAAGTGCCTATTCATATGCTTTGCCCATTTTCTATGTACATGTTTTCCATAATTAGAGTCATTTGTACATACTTTTCTTTCTGTACATTATTTTTCAAACATGTTTTTTTCCCACTGAATAGCATATCCAATAGCTGGAGGTATTCGTCCACCATCTGTTTTTTTTTATAAGAGTTTTGTTAAAATATAATTTAGATACATAAAATTTACCCTTTTGAAGTGTACGATTCAGTGGCTTTTCGTTTATTCACAGAGTTATGCAACAACACCAATTTCAGAACATTTTCATTACCCCAGAAAGAAATTCTTCACTAACAACCACTCCCCATCCCCTCCATCTCCCCAGCCCCTGAAAACCAAGGAGCTACTTTCTGTTTCCGTGGATTTGCCTTTTCTAAACATTTCATGTAAATGGAATCATACAATATGTGGCCTTTTGTGACTGGCTTCTTTTACCTAGTATAATGATGTCAAGGTTTATCCTGTATGTATGATGCATTGTAGCATGTATCAAAACTTAGTTCGAGGCCAGGCACGGTGGCTCACTCCTGTAATCCCAGCACTTTGGGAGGCCAAGGCGGGTGGATCATCTGAAGCCAGGAGTTCAAGACCAGCCTGGCCAACATGGTGAAACCCCGTCCGTCTCTATTAAAAATAACAAAAATTAGCCAGGCCTGGTGGCGGGCGCCTGTAATCCCAGCTACTTGGGAGGCTGAGGCACGAGAATCGCTTGAACCTGGGAGGCAGAGGTTGCAGTGAGCTGAAATCGCACCACTGCACTTCAGCCTGGGCAATAGAGTGAGACTCAGTCTCAAAAAAAAAAAATTTGTTTTTATTACGAGATAATATTAAATTAGATTGTATGGATAGGCCACTTTTTATTTATCCATTCATGTCTTGATGGACATTTGAGTTGTTTCCCAGTTGTTGGCTATTATGAATAACACATTACACACAGTCATTCATGTACAGATTTTTATGTGGATATGTTTTTGTTTTCATTTTGTTTTTTTAGATAGGGTCTCACTCTGTCACCCAGGCTGGAGTTCAGTGGTGTAATCATAGTTCATTGCAGCCTTGAACTCCTGGGCTCAAGTGATCCTCCCACTTTAGCCTCCTGAGTAGCTGGGACTACATGCCCAGGCCACCATGCCAGGCTAATAAAAAATTCTTTTTTTTTTTTTTTTTTTTAGAGACAGGGTCTTGCTATGTTGCCCAGGCTGGTCTCAAACTCCTGGCTTCAAGTGATCCTCTTGCCTTGGCCTCGCAAAGTGCTGAGCCACCACACCTGACCAACAGATGTTTTCATTCTTCTTGGGTATATACCTAAGAGTGGAATTGCTGCATCATATGGAAATGATGTATTTAAGTTTTTGAGGAACTACCACACTGTTTTCCACAGCACACACCATTTTACATTCTCAGGAGCAGTGTATGGGGGTTCCAGTTTCTCTGCATCCTCGCCAACACTTTTTATTGTCTGTCATTTTTAATTTTAACTATCCTAGTGCGTGTGAATTGGTATCTTGTTGTGGTTTTGAATTGCATTTTCCTAAGGATTAAGGATGCTGAGCATCTTTCATATGCCGCTTGGCCATTTGTGAATCTTCTTTGGACAAATGTCTATTCAGATCTTTTCCCATTTTTTAAACTGTAACTGGCTGTTAAGGACCGTATGGTGTCTGGTGTGTGGATGTACCACCATTTATTCAGCTGTCTCCTCTGCTCCAACCTTTTCCCAGGAGGCTGATGCTGCCTTTCCTTCCTTGACAGATCCTGGACTCAGAGCTGTTTGAGCTGATGCATCAGAACGGGGACTATACTCACTTCTACTTCTGCTACCGCTGGTTCCTGCTGGATTTCAAGCGAGGTACAGACTTTAAATTGGGGACCTGTGTCCAGACTCTTTGTAGCAGAACTTTCAGGGGAAAAGATCCCGTGGAGGTGAGGTTGAGGGGTTGGCAACAGAGGCAGCAGAGGAGAGAAGCACATGTTTATGGAGTCCAGACTACCGTTTCACCTGCCTTATCTTGCACTGACACTCTGTAGTAGGTGCTGTTAAGATCTTCATCTTACCAGTGAGGAAACCGAGGCTGAGAAGGGTTAAGTTCAGAGCTAGGGAGAGTTAACTTCAGGGCTAGGGTGAGTACAGCCAGGACTTGAACCCATCTCTTTCATTCTGCTGTGCTGCTTTTCAGAGCCCAAGAACTCTAAAGCCCATGAAGCAGGGACTATTTCATGCACGTTTCCAACATGACATAAAAGTGATGTATAACACAGTACCTTGTTGCTATTGTTCAGATTTGGGGTGATGTTAATAATTATAGTATCTGACATGGGCCGGGTGCAGTGGCTCATGCCCGTAATCCTAGTACTTTAGGAGGCCAAGGCGGTCAGATCATGAGGTCAGGAGATTGAGACCTAACATGGTGAAAACCTGTCTCTACTAAAAATACAAAAAATTGGCCGGGCATGGTGGCACATGCCTATAGTTTCAGCTACTCAGGAGGCTGAGGCAGGAGAATCGCTTGATCCTGGGAGGCGGAGGTTGCAGTGAGCCGAGATAACACCATTGCACTCTAGCCTGGGTGACAGAGCAAGACTCCATCTCAAAAAAAAAAAAAAATCTGACATGTATGGAGTGTTTTAGTGCCACGCACTGTGCTGAGTCATTTGTATGTATTATCTCTTTAGTCTTTTTCTGTTATCAGCTTCAGCCCACTTACAGATGAGGAAAGAGACAGGCTCATGAAGAAGTAACTACCCCAGGCTCCCCTTGCCAGCAAGTGATGGAGGAAGGAAGGATTCACACCAAGTTTATCGGACATAGGAAGGCTTGCTTTTCTTTTTTTTTTTCTTTTTTGGAGACGGAGTCTTACTCTTGTTGCCCAAGCTGGAGAGCAATGGCGCGATCTTGGCTCACTGCAACCTCCGCCTCCCAGGTTCAAATGATTCTCCTGCCTCAGCCTCCCGAGTAGCTGGGAGCTGGGATTACAGGCACCCGCCTCCATACCTGGCTAATTATTTTGTATTTTTAGTAGAGGCAGGTTTCACCATATTTGGCCAGGCTGGTCTCAAACTCCTGACCTCAGGTGATCCACCCACCTCAGCCTCCCAAAGTGTTGGGATTACAGGTGTGAGCCACCACACCCGGCCTTTTTTTTTTTTTTTTTTTTTTTTTCGAGATGAAGTCTGGCTCTGTCACCCAGGCTGGAGTGCAGTGGTGCAATCTCGGCTTACTGCAGCCTCCACTTCCTGGGTTCAAGCAATTCTCTGCCTCAGCCTCTTGAGTAGCTGGGATTACAGGCACCTGCCACCATGCCTGACTAATTTTTTTTGTATTTTTAGTCGAGATGGGGGTTTCACCATTTTGGCCAGGCTGATCTTGAACTCCTGACCTCGTGATCCACCCGCCTCGGCCTCCCAAAGTGCTGGGATTACAGTCATGAGCCACCATGCCCAGCCAAAGGCTTGCTTTGAACCGTTGCTCTATTCTTTCTCTTCACTAGACTCAGAGGCCACAGCCGGCTCTGCCAGTGTGTGGGGGGAAAGAAGAAAGGGCTCTATGGGTGCTAATGGAGATGGAGGTGCAGGGATAGCAGGTGTTGCTTGTCAAAGGGCAGGGCAAGGACAGATCCATGTAATTCATACCTGCACGTGCCTGGTTCTGCCACTTACAGAATGTCAGAGCTGGAAGGAACTTAGAACTCACCTGGCTTACACAGCCCATCCTACAGATGGGGAAAACTGAGGTTTCTGGTGGTCAAATGACAGAGCCCAGGTCTCCTGCCTTCTGACCTGAGTTCTATCCACTGCACCAGGGCACAGGCATAAGGCAAAACTTGCCCGGGATTTTCCCACCTTGGGGGGCTTCCCAAGGCAGGGCAACACTGTGAGCCCCGTCACCAATTCTCTCCCCATGTGTGTTGGTGTCTTGGCAGAACTCGTCTATGATGACGTCTTCTTGGTCTGGGAGACCATCTGGGCAGCCAAACACGTCTCCTCTGCGCACTACGTCCTGTTCATTGCGCTGGCTCTGGTGGAAGTCTACCGTGACATCATTTTGGAGAACAACATGGATTTCACAGACATCATCAAATTCTTTAATGGTACCCACATGACTGGGGCCTCATGAGAGGGGTGCAGGCTTCTGGAGGCCCCTTTTGGGCATCTCAGGAGGAATGAAGATGGGCTGAGATGGATGCATGGTGAAGGGGATAAAGAGGGCTCTGCACACTTCTTATGGCTATTTCCAAAAGGACGAGTTCACATCTTGTAATGCTGAGGGTGCATTTTTCTCAGGGATCTGGCAGGGGGACCACAGATGTTGAAATCAGCTCAGGGGCAAAGTCTGGTTCTATCGCTGACCAGCTGTGCCCATGGTCAAGTCACTTCCCCTCTCTCTAAACATCCACTTCCTCATCTGTGAAATGGGCTAGCAGTGTCTGCTTTGGAGGGTTGACATGCATAGGAAAAGCAGGCCCAGGGCAGCAATTTGAGTAACACGAAAAAGACACAGCCTTTGAAATCAGACAGATGCGAATTCTGATCCAGGCTCCTGGGAGCTGTGTGACTTTGTCCAAGTGACTTCACGTCTCTAGGCCTCGGATTCTTCAGGGATAAAATGGTACTAACACTCCCTCCCTCACAGGGAGGTCCAGAGGATTACAGGAGACAACATGGTTAAATCCCAGCACGTGGTACCTGGCTCATAGGAGGGACCCAATAAACAAAAGCTATTGCCACTGTTATCACTATTTAAAAATGTTTTTAATGAAAGAAAGTTCTGGAAAAAAACAAAAGAAAAAAGCCAACTGTGACCTCACTTTTGAAACATTATTAGGGTTCTTAATTTAAGTAAACTTTTTGGGGGAATAATTTTGCATTTTAATTGTCTACTAAAATTGTAGATTGAGAACTGTTTTAGATTTAGATGTACAGAGAATGCACGATACCTTGGCCTCGCTTTGCCTACTGTTAGCATTTACATAACCCTGGTACATTTGCCAAAACTAAGAAATTATCATTGGCACGTTACCATCTATTAAACTACAGGCTTTATTTGGATTTCACCTGGTTTTTCACTAGTATCCTTTTTCTGTTCTAGGGTCTAATCCAGGAAACCACAGTCATGTTTATTTTTATGTTTTTACATAATCAGAATCCACTTGTATATGCCTTTTTTCACTTAATATTTCAACTATTGTCTTTCATATAATCTTTTTTTTTTTTTGAGACGGAGTCTCACTCTGTTACCCGCGCTGGAGTGAAGTGGCACGATCTCAGCTCACTGCAACCTCCGCCTCCCAGGTTCAAGTGATTCTCCCGCCTCAGCCTCCTGAGTAGCTGGGATTACAGACACGCACCACCACGCCCGGCTAATTTTTATATTTTTAGTAGAGACAGAGTTTTGCCATGTTGGCCAGGCTAGTCTAGAACTCCTGACCTCAGGCGATCCGTCTGCCTTGGCCTCCCAAAGTGCTGGGATTATAGGTGTGAGCCACTGTGCCCAGCCAGTCATTTTTTAAAACTACAAAATATATCTCAAGTGACTATTCTATAACTTACTGAACCATTTCTTATCATTAGCATGTAGGTTATTTTCAGTTTGAAGGTGTGATCGAGAGTCCAAAGCAATTCATCTGTTAGCATAAAGATTCCCAAATTTTCTCAATTCATGCACCCCTAGTGTCTCTGTAAAATTATAACAGCACCCCAGGCCAAAAGTTTCATTTAGTAAGTAGTTAAGTCCAAACCGCTTAATAAGTATTTATATCCTAACAATTTAGAAGCCATTGAAAAAATAATACATATGTATCTTTTTTTTTTTTTGAGATGGAATTTCACTCTTGTTGCCCAGGCTGGAGTACAATGGCATGATCTCAGCTCACTACAACCTCCGCCTCCTGGGTTCAAGTGATTCTCCTGCCTCAGCCTCCTGAGTAGCTGGGATTACAGGCATGCACAACCACAAAATACTAATTTTGTATTTTTTTAGTAGAGACAGGGTTTCTCCATGTTGGTCAGGCTGGTCTCAGACTCCCAACCTCAGGTGATCTGCCCACCTCAGCTTCCCAAAGTACTGGGATTACAGGTGTGAACCACCGTGCCTAGCCAATAATACATATATATCTAAAGAAAATAACATTTTTACATCATTCCCGAATAAGCACAATTGCTAATGGGGTGTATGCACCCATTGGGCTTTGCATACCTTCTCAAGCCTTGGAATCAGATTGGACACCACCTCTTTTGTTTTCTATTCCATATTGATTTTCACATGGCACTTACTTTCTTTTTTTTTTTTTTTTTTTTTGTGATGGCGTCTCGCTCTGTCACCCAGGTTGGAGTGCAGTAGCCAATCCAGCTCACTGCAAGCTCCACCTGTGGGATTCACGCCATTCTCCTGCCTCAGCTTCCTGAATAGCTGCAACTGCAGGCGCCCGCCACCACACCTGGCTAATTTTTTGTATTTTTAGTAGAGATGGGGTTTCACCGTGTTAGCCAGGATGGTCTCGATCTCTTGACCTCGTGATCCGCCCACCTCGGCCTCCCAAAGATCTGGGATTACAGGCATGAGCCACTGTGCCCGGCCTTTTTTTTTTTTTTGAGACGGAGTCTTGCTCTGTCACCCAGGCTGGAGTGCAGTGGCGCGATCTCGACTCACTGCAAGCTCTGCCTCCCAGGTTCATGCCATTCTCCTGCCTTAGCCTCCCAAGTAGCTGGGACTACAGGCATCCACCACCACACCCAGCTAATTTTTTTGTATTTTTAGTAGAGATGGGGTTTCACCATGTTAGCCAGGATGGTCTCGATCTCCTGACCTCATGATCCACCCGCCTCGGCCTCCCAAAGTTCTGGGATTACAGGCGTGAGCCACCGGGCCTGGCCCATGGCACTTACTTTCTGTTGCAGCAGCTGCTGAAAACCTAGCTTTGCAAAGACAAAGTCATTGATGGGACCCTGGGTACAGTGGCTTACGCCTATAATCTCAGCACTTGGGCAGGCCAAGGTGGGTGGATTGCTTGAGGTCAGGAGTTCCAGACCATTCTGGCCAACATGGCAAAACTTTGTCTCTACTAAAAATACAAAAATTAGCCCAGCGTGATGGTGCATACCTGTAATCCCAGCTACTCAGGAGGTTGGGATTAGAGGAGGCATGAGAATCACTTGAGCTTGGGAGGTGGAGGTTATAGTGAGTCGAGATCACACCACACCACACTCCACCCTGGGCAACAGAGTGAGACCTTGTCTCAAAAGAAAAAAAAAGAAGAAAGTTATTGATGGGAGTGTAGTGAAATTTGTGAACTCACTCCAGCTAACAGTTGACATGGTGCTCAACTTAGATGGAGTATTCCCACGCTTCCCTCGAAATACCCAAATACTCCACAGTGCCCCTGCAAATCACTATGACACGCTGGGGTACCTTGGTACCCAGTTTGGGAACCATGTCTTAGTTTTAGTGTTTTTCTTTTTTTTCTTTCTACTAAATGGTTTATTTATGATAAATGTCTACGTTTAGGATTATTTGGCTTAGAAGTCTGACCACATTGTGTGGCTCTTGATAAAATTATTTTTTTCTTTGGTTTTTTTGTCCCTTTCTCCTCTTCCTTCTCCATCTTTCCTCCCTCTGTTGCTTCCTCCTTTTCATATCTTTCAGCGTCTACTGTGTGCCCAGCACTGCTCTCAGTCATTCTGTTTATAGGAGAGGGGTGGAAGGACTTCACCTTTTCATTTTTATTTTTATTTTTTTTTGAGACGGAGTTTCGCTCTTGTTGCCCAGGCTGGAGTGCAGTGGTGCAATCTCGGCTCACCACAAGCTCCGCCTCCTGGGTTCAAGCGATTCTTCTGCCTCAGCCTCCTGAGTAGCTGGGATTACAGGCATGCGCCACCACACCCGACTAGTTTTGTATTTTTAGTAGAGACAGGGTTTCTCCATGTTAGTCAGGCTGGTCTCAAACTCCCGACCTCAGGTGATCCACCTGCCTCGGCCTCCCAAGGTGCTGGGATTACAGCCATGAGCCACCATGCCCGGCCGACCTCACCTTTTTATGGCACATCCTGTGAACCAGCATTATCCCATTCAATCCGCACAGTAACTTGGTGAGGTGGCTGCTGTTCCAATCCCCATTTTACAGATGAGGAAACTAAGGTCCAGAGGTAGAGGCCTTCTCCAGGGCCTCTGCTTCCTGAGTCAATCTGTGATGGAGATGCCCCCAGAGAAGCCTCCAGGGGCTGGAATTGTACCCTAAGACTGGACACAGAAGGAGGCTCATGAGATTTTTCTTTCTGCTCTTTCAGAAATGGCTGAGCGACACAACACCAAGCAAGTCCTGAAGCTGGCGCGGGACCTCGTGTACAAGGTGCAGACTCTGATTGAGAACAAGTGAGGGGCACCTCACCCCGGCAGCCTCAGCCAAGCTGCCCCTGCCCCGCTCCTCTGCTTACTTTTCCTCCTGGCTGGATGGGCACCCCGGGAGCGGGGTCCTGGTGTCTGTTCACAAGCGTGGAGTTCAGTGCGCAAAGAAACTACCCTGACTTTTACTTCTGGGCAGATGGGGTGGAGGGAGTACCCCTTCAATTCAGCCTTACATTTTCCTGTTTGACCAAAGATTGCCCAAGTCTGGCGTTCCTCCCTTGCAGGAGGTGGAGGTTGTTGGTGGAGGAGGAGCCATCTTTGTTTGCTGGTGCCCGGAATGGTCTCCTCTTCTTCTTTCCCTATCCCTCCAAACTGTCTTGTAAGATGAGACCTGGGGAGGAAACTTCTTTTTGGAAATTGGTGTAGAAGAGGTGTGTGGGGCTACCTCTATGCTCCTCTGCAAGGGGCCTTTGGCGATGTTCTGGACATGGCTGAAGATTGACTTAGAGATTGACCCTCCACCTCGACATTACTGACATTTGGGGCCAGGTGATTCTTTTTGAGGGGACTGTCCCCTGCATTGTAGGATGCTGAGCAGCATCCCGGGCCTCACCAGATGCCAGTAGTGCCATCCCCCAACCATACCCCTGGTTGTGACAGCCCCCAAAAATGTCTCTAGACATTGCGAAATGTTCCCTGCAGGGCAAAATTGCCCCCATTTGAGAACCACTGGCTTGGAGAAGGGACTACAAATGTACTTCCTCCCCCATTCTTTTGACGCTAAGCCACCCTGGTCCTGACGCCTCCCCTCACTTAGAAAAGGCATACAGGAGGCCGGGCATGGTGGCTCACACCTGTAATCCCAGCACTTTGGGAGGCTAAGGTGGGCGGATCACAAGGTCAGGAGTTTTGAGACCAGCCTGGCCAACATGGTGAAACCCCATCTCTACTAAAAATACAAAAATTAGCTGGGTGTGGTGGCGGGTGCCTGTAATCCCAGCTACTTGGGAGGCTGAGGCAGGAGAATCACTTGAACCTGGGAGGTGGAGGTTGCAGTGAGTTGAGATCACGCCACTGCACTCCAGCCCGGGCGACAGTTCAAGACTCCATCTCAAAAAAAAAAAGAAAAGGCACACAAGAGTCCCTCACACATCTCTCTTGGAGTCTGGGATTCCATCTGTTGTATTTTCTCCTTTTTTCTCCTCTGTCTGATGCCAGAAGATACTTGTTTTCTTCTTTTCAAGAAAAGTATCTCCCCACATAGGCGGTGGACCCAAAAAGTGTAGGCATGAGACGGTCAGAGCTCTTTGGGGTCCTGCTCAGAGTCCCCCAGGCAGGGCAGAGTCTGTATCCTGCTGCCATCTTGCAAGGGAAAACCGCCTCTCCTTCCAAGTATTGGGTCTTGGAAAGGTGTGTGTTTGGTGAAAGCCACTTAATGGTGGTGGGGTGCAGCTTTTCTCTAAGTGCAGTTACTCACTCAGGACAAAGGAGGAAAAGGAAGGCAGAGGTCAGCCAGGGTAGAGGGTGATGTCTGTTTTCCTTGGGAAACATCTGCTGATGAACTGGGTCCAGGGCCGTGCTAGGTCTGGGAACAATCCTCTCCAGGTCTTCACACAGAGTATCACCAATCCACAAACAGACCCGAAGTGAACTAGTTTACTCTGCCTACCTGTCCTTTCAATAGAGCAGTCTTTCCCGCTCTTCTGTTCTGAGAATGCACCCGGAATGGGGGAAACCCAGCAAGCAGCAGAGAGAAAGGCTCTTCCCGGGAGACCTGCCGCCTCTAGGGTGGTCAGAGAATAGCAGCTGGGATTTTGGAGAGGGAGAGGATAGGTAAAGCAGCGTATTGAAGCATTTGCGGAGGGGTGTATTAGTCCTCCCACCCTGAGCACACCAGGACGGGGATGCATCCTTGCCTTGTGTGCTTGTAAAGGCTTCTTTCCCTTGGTATAGCAACTTCAACTGCACCTGAACCTCCAACCTCTGCCCAGCCTCTGGTGCAGGGTGGATAGAGGTCTAGCCAGCCCTTACTTCCTGAAGAGAGCTCTGTGGGAAACTCGAGGCTACAGTAGCTTCCCGGCTCCCAGCTCCTACCCTACCCCCACCAAAGCAGAAACGGGAGACGGCAACGTTCTGGCTGCCATTAGACTTACGTCTCCCTCCCCTACGTCCCCTAGCTTCCCAAGACAGGAAGAAATGTGCAAAAGGCCCCTCCGGAGAAAACTATTTTGCCGTTCAGCTGTTCTTTACAGAGGATGTTATTTTAGTGAGACCCAGGTCCTAGACCTTCTGATTCCTATTTATTTTTTTAACAGACTAGTCTCAAAGTACAGCACAAAATCTCTTCTCTGCCTTCTCTTGTGATGTTCCAGAGAGCATCTGTGGTTGTGATTTGGAATAAGTCATATTTATTTGGTTTACTGTGCCTATTCAGATCTCTGTATGTTGTGTGTGTTTCTGTGTCCTGGAATTGGATGCGTGGGACTCGTTCTGTCCGCGGAGTGCACTCTTTTTTTCAGTGTGGCCCACATATCTTGTAAATGTTTGCTGAAGAGTTGTGTCTATATATAGAGAAAATATATATAAACAGAGAAATATGTGAATCTGTTTTTTTTTGTCTTTTTTTTTTTAATTTGAAAGAAAAAAATGCTTGCTTCTGAGGACTGTGTCCTCCCACTCACACCCCAGTGACCCTATATGGGGTCAGATTTTTGTAATAGCTGCCTGGCCTTTTCCCAGAAAAGGTGAATCACTTCTGACTTCTTGTATTAGCTGGCTCTTACCACAAGTAATGCTGCATTACAAATGACCCAAAAAGTAGTGGTTTAAAACAGCCATGTATTTACCTCATAATTCTGTGGGTCAGCATCCCAGGCTAGGTTCAGCTAGGAGGTTCTTCTGTTCTCAGACTTCTTCATGTGTCTGTGGTCAGCTGATGTCCAGATAGGCAACTCTGCTTCTGATGGTTGTCTGGCTGTTGACTAGGGCAGTGGGGGAAACTGGATTCCGTATCTTGCATCCTCCAGCAGGCTAGCTTAGGCTTGTTTACATGGCTATGATAGCAGATCCCAGAAGGTAAGCAGAAACACACACTGTCTCTTGGTCTCAGCTTCTCTGGCATAAAGTCATTTCTGCCACATTCTGTTGGTCAGAGTAAGTCACATGACTCAGCCCAGCTTCATAGGGTAGGGAAATAGACTGTACTTCCTGATGAGAATCTTTGGAAAGTGACACTGAAAAGGAGCATGGGCCAGGCACAGTGGCTTACCCCTGTAATCCCAGCACTTTGGGAGGCCAAAGCAGGAGGATCACTTGAGGCCAAGAGTTCAAGATCAGCCTGGGCAACATAATGAGACTCCGTCTCTCCAACAAAAACAAACAAACAAACAAAAAAAAAATTAAAATTAGCTGGATGTGGTAGCGTGTGTCTGTGGTCCCAGCTACTCAGGAGGCTGAAGTGGGAGGATTGCTTGAGCCCAGGAGATAGAGGCTGCAGTGAGACATGGTCATGCCACTGTGCCTCAGCCTGGGTGACAATGCAAAATCCTGTCTCAAAAAAAGAAAAGGAGCATGGACCCAGGCTGGGAGATAATTGAGGCCATTTTTGCAAAGAGTCTACCACATTCCCAAAGGTCCAGTGCACAAGAGGGGTTCCCAGTCAGCCATTTGACATGAGAGCATAGCTCTAAATTAACACTTCTCTGAATCCCACCTGCTGAGCTAGCTCATTTCTCACCTCTGATGCTCCCAAAGACAACGAGTTCATTTCCCCCAACATCGCTGGTTCTCACTCATGGCTGCCATTCAGAACTATAGTCATCAGGCAGTGAGCACCTTGCGCAGATCTCCATCTCCATCAGTCTCTAAACATGGACTCAGGAAAACTAGTTTTCAGCTACGGAAGTGCAGCCTGATTTAATATAATGAGCACCATCAAAACTTCAGATTTTAAATAGAAAAAGATTTCCAACTGAGCCAGCAAAGTAGAGGAGAAGTTTGCAGGTGGCATTGGCTGCCTGGGTGTGCCACATCACCACTTTCTTGGAAGACTCCCAGCAGAGGCAAGAATGAAACCCACAGCAGCCGGCAGGTGGGGGCTCTTTTAGTTGGAACATATGCTTCCTCCTGGGGGAAGCATCTCAGAGCAAATACTGGTCCTGATGTTGCCACTGTCCCTTGAAGCCTCCAGTCTCATTTCTCTGACTTCAACCTGAACTCTGTCCGTGGGCTATACTCCTGGAGGGCGCCACTATTGTTTGCAGCTGCCTGGCACGGCCAGACCTGGGGAGTGCTGGGCACCTGTTGCGTGTGCACAGATGCCTGGTCACATGTGCTATTGGCCTTTGATCATTGGCAATATATTTTACAGGGAAAAAAAATCCTAAGAGAACATTTTTGCTTTTGTAAAGGCTTTTCTAAATACATGCACTCGGGCTGGGCACGGTGGTTCACTCCTGTAATCCCAGCAGTTTGGGAGGCCGAAGTGGGTGGATCACCCGAGGTCAGGAGTTCAAGACCATCCTGGCTAACATGGTGAAACCCCGTCTCTATTAAAAATACAAAAAAATTAGCTGGGTGTGGTGTCGGGCGCCTATAATCCCAGCTGCTCAGATCGCGCCACTGCACTCCAGCCTGGGCGACAAGAGCGAAACTCCGTCTCAATAAATAAATAAATAAATAAATAAATAAATAAATAAATGCACTTGAACTTTGCATAGATGCGAAAAGATGGGTCTTGGATCATGAGGCACATTTTCACGACTCAGTGGGGCTGAAGAAGTGGTCTTGGTTTCCATGGGCACCTGCAGTTGGCATCGTGGCCCCTGCTCTTCTCTTCATCCCCCTTTCCTGCACCTCTTTCTCTTTTCCTTCCCCTTCATCATATTCCTTTCCTCCTCCCCCTTCTCTCTCCCCTTCTTTTGCCTCCTCTCCTTATATCAAAGAGCACTTGGATAGCGTCTGTGCTCACATTTTCTACCTGAATTATGCTGGTCTTACACAGAGCAAGACTGCAGTGTGAAGCCCTTTCTGGATGTTCCAATTTTTTTTTTTAAACCATCTGCCATTTCCTTTTCTCCTAGAATTTTCCTTTTGGCTTATAGGAGAGAACTTGGGGCAGCTGAGAAGCACTTTTCATGCCAAGAATTTGGGAGGCCCTTGCCTTCCCATTTCAGAACAGCTGGCAGCCATGTTCTGCCATTTTATTTTATCTTCCTTCTTCCCCTCTGTCCTCTCCAAGGCCTGAGATCTCAGTAGCCCAGGGGGAAGGGAAGTAAGGGTGTAATCAGGGACTGTGATGGGATTTCTCTTCTCTCTCATCTTTTTTTTTTTCTTTTCATCAGATGCTCTTAGAATAGAAGTTCGCTGTCTTGGCTGGCCATGGTGGCTCACACCTGTAATCCCACCACTTTGGGAGGCCAAGGCAAGTGGATCACTTGAGGTCAGGAGTTCGAGACTATCTTGGCCAACATGGTGAAACCCTGTCTCTACTAAAAATACAAAAATTAGCCAGGCATGGTAGCGAGCGCCTGTAATCCCAGCTACTTGGGAAACTGAAGCAGGAGAATCACTTGAACCCGGGAGGTGGAGGTTGCAGTGAGCCAAGATCACGCCACTGCACTCCAGCCTGAGCGACGAGTGAAACTCCATCTCAAAAAAAAAAAAAAAAAAAGAATAGACTGTAGCTGTCAAAGGAAATAATGATTATTTTACAAAAATACTATTTCTTACCAAGGGCTTTGAGTCTGAAGCCTGTTCTTTCTCTCTCACAGAGAGATGTAGCAAGAGTTTGAGAGGCATTGAAGACATGCTAGTACCCCATGAGCCTTTCTTCTTGGAGGATTCAAAGGGGAGTTGAAACAAGAATGACTTTCTCTGCTGAGTGCGGTGGCTCACGCCTGTAAATCCCAACACTTTGGGAGGCTGAGGCAGGCAGATCACCAGGTCAGGAGATCGAGACCATCCTGGTCAACATGGTGAAACCCTGTCTCTACTAAAAATACAAAAATTAGTCAGATGTGGTGGGTGGGGGGCGCCTGTAATCCCAGCTACTCAGGAGGTTGAAGCAAGAGAATTGCTTGGGCAGAGGTTGCAGTGAACTGAGATCATGCCACTGCACTCCAGCCTGGCGACAGAGCGAGACTCTGTCTCAAAAAAAAAAAAAAAAAAAGAATGACTTTCTCACCATACCAACTAAAATCATGTCATATAGCTCTGTCCACATATTCGGGGAACAATAATGTAGGATCCCAGATCTGGTACTATGGCTGTGTGGCCTTGGGCAAATTCCTTTACCTCTGTGAACCCAGAAAATCTGAGGCAGGTCTCAGTTAATTTAGAAAGTTTATTTTGCCAAGGTTGAGGACATGCCTGTGACACAGACTCAGGAAGTCCTGACGACATGTGCCCAAGGTGGTCAGGGCACAGCTTGGTTTTATACATCTTAGGGAGAAATGAGACATCAATCAATATATGTAAGAAATACATTGGTTCGGTCTGGAAAGGCAAAACAACTTGAAGCAAAGACAGGAAGACTTGAAGTGGGGAAGGAGCTTACAGGTCACAGATGAGTGAGACACAAACGGTTGCATTCTTTTCAGTTTCTGATTAGCCTTTCCAAAGGTGGCGATCAGATATGCATCTAGCTCAGTGAGCAGAGGGCTAACTTTGAATGGAATGAGTGGCATGTTTGCCCTAAGCAGTTTCCAGCTGGAGTTTTCCTTAGTGATTTGGGGTAGTTACCTTTCACACCTCTTAGCCTCAGTTTCCACTTCTGCAAAATGGAGATAATAATGCCTCCTTTGGTTCTGGACTCAGTCTTGGCCCCTCCACCCTCATTCACTGGAACTCTCTGCCCCTCAGCATCACTGAGGATGGGGGTGGGAACCCATTTGTCCTGAGTTCCCATCGTCTACCTTTCTTAGGTTCTCAGGTGAGACTTTGATACTTAAGAGAATGCAGCTGTAGGAGGAGAACTCCAGAAAGGGTGAGCCTTGGACCCTCCTGGGCTATGTCTTAGAGAAACTCTGAAATTCGGTATGATAAGGCCATCAGTTCTTGGCAGGAGCATCATCTACACTGACACTGCAGTCTGCATCTGATTCTGCTGTCAGGAAAGGGCTCCCAGCTCCCCATCTTTTTGGCTTCCAAGCCACTGTGCATATTGAGAGCTTGAGCCCAGGACAGGTATAAACTCTAGAGGAGCACAATTTGACACTTTTTGAAGTGCCAGCTTGCCAGTCCATTTCTAAGTCAACTCCAGCAGAATTCAAATGACCAACGGGATTGTGGAGACTTTCCATTACATAAGGATGTGGTACAGGGACGCTCCAATGTCTTCCTGGCTTTCTTTTTTCAAATTTGTGGGCACAGTAATTTCCAGGCTTTGTAGGTGCAGGACTCCTTGCAAACAATGGATGCCTCTTGTTTTGATGAAGAGAAAATTGCAGCACTCCCTCTATTGCCAAATAAAGACAGAGTCTCTCTGTAACTGATTCTGCTTTACCGGCTGGAGAATCATTCCCTTTGGCTTTGCTGAAACAGTTCAAAGAGAAAATTAAGAAACTCAGGGGCCATAGTGAGGTTATTACAGAGAAGAGGCAGCATGTTTCAAGCACCAGTAGGTGCTGTGCAGACTGAGTTTGAGCTTCTACTTGCTGGCTTCCACTTGCCCCTCCTTGTACTGGGATCTGCCCGAGGCTTAAGGCATCTACCCATATGAGACAGGTTTGCACTGAAGTGCTTCTGATAACACTTGAAATGAACCACTGGTCTTCAGTCCATTTGAACCCCTTGGGGTATCTTCCTAGATTTGCTATTACTTTTTTTCTATTGTTCTGTTTTAAAAAGCTGTCAAGTTGTTCTTATTGTTCATACTGAAAGATAAATAACAATCTGTGTTCTCTGTGAACTATGTGTCTTCAGAACAGTGGAATCACTCCTGGGGGGTGTTCATGTATATTCTTGGGTGGGTGTTTGAAGCCAAAAGAGTTTGATTATGAGGAGCTGGATGGATGGGGACAGAGGAAACAAATCCAGGTGTTATTTTGAATCTATCACAGAGTCTGACAGACCTGGGTTCAAATCCCAGCTCTGTCACTGATCGGCTGTGTGGCCTTGGGCAAGTAATTTTACCTCTCTGAGCCTTGATTTTCACTTCTGTGAAATTGGGATAAGAAAGACTCCCTTAAAGAGAGAACTGGCCATTGAGTTTCTGCCTGCTCAGCATCCTTCCCTCCTTCTGGTACCAGCACCCCCTCAACTTTGGGGAACTATAACGGTGGCCTTCTAGTGAGACTCCTGACATGGCCCTCCCTGCCCAGGGGTGAGCACATGACTCATTGCAGGCCGATCAGACCCCTTCCCTGGGATTTATATATACCAAGAGAGGAAAGAGAAGTTCACTCTTTCCTCTGGGGCAGCTATGCTAGGAGATGCCAGCCTAGAGCTGCCTATGACCATGTCTTCTGCAGATAGGAGTCAAGTATGGCTGGGTCCAGATGTTCAGATGAAGTTCTTAGAGCTCCACCTCTCTCCATCTCGTGCTTCTATTCTCCTCCATGCTGGCTTCCACAGAGCCCATGCCCAACTCTGAATCAATCATTCTGACCAGGTGTGATTCGCCAGAAGGGCTCATTTATCCATCTTAAAGCCCAAGGTGGCCACAGAGTGGCTGTGGGTCATTTTTTTTTTTTTTTTTTTTTGAGACGGAGTCTCACTGTGTCACCAGGCTGGATGGAGTACAGTGGCACAATCTCGGCTCACTGCAACCTCTGCCTCCAAGGTTCAAGCAATTCTCCTGCCTCAGCCTCCCAAGTAGCTGGGACTACAGGTGTGCACCACCTCCCCCAGCTAATTTTTGTATTTTTAGTAGAGATGGAGTTTCACCATGTCGGTCAGGTTGGTCTTGATCTCTTGACCTCATGACCCACCCACCTCGGCCTCCCAAAGTGCTGGGATTACAGGCGTGAGCCACGGCGCCTGGCCAACTGTGGGTCATTTTTTATAGGAAGATTAGGGTACTGCTCCCGAAGAAGAGCAATGTATCAACACAGGAGAAATCAACAGATTGACTCCTGGCCGAGCAAGCAGCATGTGCCAAGCTGTAGAGGTGGGAATGTTCCGGGACCAAACTGAGGGTCAGGCTGCTATTTCTCATGACCCAATAGTGAGATGCAGATGAACTGGGGAGAAAGAAAGTTTCCTATTTCCGTAACCAGTTAGAGGGAGAAGGTCTGGAAATTATTGCCAGACCAATTCAAAATTACAAAGTTTTCCAGAGCTTATATATTCTAAGTTATATGTCTACATGTAAGTGTGCACTCATCTGAAGATGTAAGTGGACCGGGCGCGGTGGCTCATGCCTGTAATCCCAGCACTTTGGGAGCCTGTGATGAGTGGATCGCCTGAGGTCAGGGGCTCGAGACCAGCCTGGCCAACACGGTGAAACCCCACCCCTACTAAAAATACAAAAAAATTAGCTGGGTGTGGTGGCACATGCCTGTAATCTCAGCTAATCGGGAGGTTGAGGCAGGAGAATCGCTTGAACCCGGGAGGCGGAGGTTGCAGTCAGCTGAGATCACGCCATTGGACTCCAGCCTGGGCAACAAGAGCAAAACTCCATCTCAAAATTAATTAATTAATTAATTAACTTCTTTTAATCTATAACTAAGGTCTGAGTCTTGAAGACCTTCCTCTGGAGCCTCAGTAAATTTACTAATCTAAATGGGTCCAAGTAATGAGATGATTACCCTTATCTTGTCTCCTGCTAAATCACGGGGATTTGGGGGGTTCCTTCAGACCTCTAATAAAGTTGTTTGTGGAGGCCTGGGGAGTTTCTTCAGAACCCCAGTAAAACTTGTTTAATCCTAAAATGGGTAGTGTTAAGAATTCCTTCGTTATTTTGTCATGCTTTGAGGCCCAGGAAAGGCCTAGGCAAAACTCTTGGTGGGCTTTTGTTACATTCCAGCCTTTGTATAAGGTCACTGGCTTTTAACATTAAACTTAAGCACTCGGTCAGTGCTGAAACAGTTGTCATGGAGGCCTGCATTTGGTGAGTCCTGGCGTGCCACAGGAATAGGACTGCTGTGGGCTTAGAAGTTTACTGTGGCTAGAAGGAGAGGCACAGGGGTTGGGTGGGTGACAAGAGCCTGAAGAGAGAGGTTGGAAATGGATTCTAAAGGGTCCCAGGTAACAGTGTAGTTTCCACATCAACGGGATTATTTTCATAAGGGGTGAGAAAGGTCCTTAACTCCTTCTCCCCACCCCAAAATTGGCTCTTTTTTTTTTTTTTTGTCTTTTTTGAGACAGAGTCTCCCTGTGTCTCCCAGGTGGGAGTGCAGCGGTGTGATCTCAGCTCACTGCAACCTCCGCCTCCCGTGTTCAAGCAATTCTCCTGCCTCAGCCTCCTGAGTAGCTGGGACTACAGGCATGCACCACCACGCCCAGCTAATTTTTGTATTTTTAGTAGAGATGGGGTTTCACCATATTGGCCAGAGTGGTCTCGAACTCCCGACCTTATGATCCACCCGTCTCAGCCTCCCAAAGTGCTGGGATTACAAGTGTGAGCCACCGCTCCCAGCCTATTGGCTCAAAATCTTATACATAATAGGCAGTCACTAAATATTTGATGAGAAAATAAATAATTTTCAAATTATCTAAAACAAGGAAGAATTATAAAAAGAGAAGGGAGAGAGAATATGCGCATGCCAATTAAACAATTTAGTTTTTGAGTGACAACCATGAACTCAGAATTAGCCTGGGCAGTTTTCTTAAAGATGTTGACTTCTCAGCACAGTCCTTGAGGTAAGGATTGTAATAATAGTAGCCAATATTTATTGAACGCTATGTGCCAGACATGGTGCAAAGTGCTTTATTTACACAGAGCATCTCCAGTGAATTCTCAGAACAACCTTATGAGGTAGGTATGATTTCAACTTTCATTTTCCAGAAGAAAAAACTGTTCCAGAGAGGTAAAGTGGCTTGCCTGAAGTCACACAGCAAGAAGGAGCAGAGATGGGATTTGAAGTTGGCTACATGATGATTTCATAAAACTCTGGAGTGTGCCCTTTGTGCTACTCCCAGGAGATTTTTATTTGTTCATTTCTGGCACAAAGATGATTCTCTCGGTGGCACTGGAGAAGATGATGGTCCTCCCTTGGACCTTGGTTGTGTGGGGCCAGCTGATGATGGGCAGGAGGCTGGCCAGGACTGCATTGAGGATAGCAGTCATGTAACCCCAACCCAGCCGGCACTTCCCACCATAATACATGGAGGAGGCTTCGCACACTTCCTTGATGAATGGGGAGGCAAGGCCGATTGGGAAAATCAGCAGACCCACAATCATGGCAGTAGCTGGAGATAGCAGGAAGGAAAGACAATGTGTTGGCCAAGGGGTACCTCACTAACTTTCCATCCCACGACTCATCCACCCTTTATCCACCCATCCATCTATCCACCCACTCATTCATTCATTTGCTTATTTATTGGCTCATCTCTCCTTTTGTCTACCCACTCATTCAACTACGCTTCCAACTATCTGTCCCTTCACTAACCCATCCATTCAAACATACTCTTACCCACTTATTTTCTCTATCCTATCTACATATCCATTCACACATCCATCCTTCTGTCCATCTTCCTACTTAACCACCTGCCTGCCACCCATCCATCTGCTCACCCATCATCCACCCTCATCTTCCATTCATCCATCCAGTATACCCATTTTCCTCATCCATCCACTAAAATATCCACCCATTCATTCATTGTTCATCCATCCACTTAACAACCCACTCATTTTTGCAATTCCCTAACCCACCCATCCATCCATTCACTTATTTATTGGCTCATGTCTCCTTTTATCCACCTACTCACTCACTCAACTACACTTCCACCCTTCTGTCCATCTGCTCATCCATCCACTCAGCCATGTTCATCTCCACTTATTCTCTCCATCCCTCTGTCCACCTATTTATTCACTCATCCATTCATCTGTCCATCTGCCTACTTAGCCACTTGCCTCCCACCAATCCATCCATCCACCCATCTCTCATCCTACATCCATCCAACTATATTCCATTCTATCAATTTTTCCTATCCTTGCATCCATCCATTCATCCATCCACCAGTCCATCCATCCATCTATCCATTCATCCATCTACCAATGTATCCATCTATTCATCCAACAGTTCATTCATCCACTTATCAACACACTCATTCATCCATTCACTAGCTCACCCATGCAGTCACGTGTTCATTCATCAAAACTGTTAGAGGTGCTGCAGTGGGCATTAATGATACTAATGAAATGACTGGACACCTTCTTGCTTCCAAGGCACTCATAAAAGAAATCAGAAGATCCCCTGGCCTCCCTTGCTGCTCTCCAGCCACCCTTGTCTACTTTCAGTTCCCTGCACATGCCTTGCTCCCTTTTTTCCATGCCTTTATTCTTCAGGTTCCCATTACCAGAAATGCCCTTGTACTCTTGGCTAACTTCTACTCATCCTTCCAGACTTGGCTCAGGTGGGACCTCCTCCAAGAAGCTTGCCTTAACCCATGCATACACTGGGCCCATCCATGCACTGGGTCAGGTGTTTCCTGGAGTTTTTTCTAGCATCCTTTGCTCATCCCCACCATGTGAAATATCCACTGACTGATGCCCTCCAACCCCCGCCCCCCCCGCCGCCCAACAAACTAGACACTGCAAGCAAGCCTAGGACAAGGATCATGTCTCCATCAATTGACTCAGCAAATGTTTATTGGGCACCTATTATGTATGAAGCACTGTGCTAGGGGCTGGTGATAACCAGGCAGACAGACATGTCCTTCTCCTCATGGAGCTGATGTTCTTTGGAGAAAGAGGGACAATAATCAAGTAGGCAGATTAGATATTTCAGGTAAGTATGTGCTATGAAAAATATAAAGCAAAGTAAGAAGATGGAGAATCTAAGGAGAGGGAAGATCCCTTAGCTAGAAGTCATGGAAGACCTCATGGAGGCAGTGATATCTGAGCAGAGCCCGTAATGAAGTGAGTAGCAAGACCTGTGAAAATCTGGGGAAAGAGGAGTCCAGCAGAGGGAGCAAGCATGGTGTATATGAGCAACAGATTGCAAATCAGAATAGCCAGAGCACACTGAGCCTGGCAGAGGAAGGAAGAGATGAGGTTGGTGAGGGACTGGGGACTGGGTTAGGTGGAGCCTCATAGGCTACGGTAAGAAGTTCAGATTTTACTCTGAGTATGATGGGAAGTGATTGGAGGGTGGATAAGCCAGTCTGAGTGGCATGATCTGATGTCAGGTTAACAGGACTCGTTTGTCCAGTATGTGGCCAAATAGACACTAAGGGGGAGCAGTGACAGCAGTGAGACCTGTGAGGTGCTTATTGCTGTAATCCAGGCAAGAGATGGTGGAGCATTAATTGAATGAGGATTGCAATGAAGACCTGGCTAGTATATTCAAAAGCTATGTATAAATTACAGAAAAGTGACCCTTCTCAAGAGATGCAGTCTTGCAGGTTCACAGTTTAGCAAGTGAAGTATGGACTAGATTTCAGCATCTTCTCAGTTCTCAGCTGGGCATGCTTGCACAGTGCACAACATCCCCAACTGTGTATGGTGGCCCTGGTAAGGATGACATGAAGTGGATGGATGAGCGAGAAACAAAGGGGGACAGATTATTAGGACTGGGTCAGCTAAGAGCAGTAATGGGTGACACTAAGGATGCCATCTCTCCCTCCCCCTGATTTCTGGCTTGCCAAAGGACCAGGAATAGTCAACAATCCTAGGGTTTATCTCTGAGGTCTGACCCGAGAGGCCAGGCTCTGCTCACAGACTCATTCATTCATTCATTCATTCATTCATTCCATAAATATGTCTAGAGCACTGACTATGTGCCTGTGCATTGGATTTACCTGCCACTGCCTGCACCCCTGGCATTGGAACACTGCTTCTCCTTGGGCACAGCCCTTTGGGGGCCACAGCCCAAGACAGGAGGAAAATTGCATTGAAGGCCAACAGGAGCCAGCCTCCGAGGAGCATCACAGCTGAGACCTGCAGGGAAGAGACAGGAGGAAAATTGCATTGAAGGCCAACAGGAGCCAGCCTCCGAGGAGCATCACAGCTGAGACCTGCAAGGAAGAGACAGAAGGAAGGGTGTTGGCTGGGACAGGGGCAGGTGGATGCTCCCCTGCTCATTGACCAGCTTCTGAGTCCTCGCAGCATGTGGTTTGTGCTATTATGATCTCCATTTTACATAAAAAGAAACTGTCCAAGAAAATAAATTTTCCAATAAAAGTCCAAGAAACTGAAGTCATTTGCCTCAGAACACATGGGTAATTAAGTGGTAGAGCCAGAATGAAGATCCACATTGACTGACCAGCATATAGTACCTTTATTAAGCACTTGCTACATGCCAGGATCATCAGGAGAGGCACCTGGTAGCTGCTGTTACATCACCCTTATAACAATCAATTTTGAAGGCTGTATATTCTTCCTTAGAGGTGCTGGACTAGGAGTCCTTTCCCATTCTCCCCATTGTTGATTTTGGCAATGTGCATCATAGCTGGGACTTTAACACCTTAGCTTTCATTTTTAAACCTAGCAGTGTTTAGAGGGTGGCCAGGTAAGAGCGTGCAGGTTGTATACTGCACAACTCTCAGAGACACGTTGGGGGCCATCATAGATTTGCAAACTGATTACAGTGACTTTCCAGCAGATGGCAGTAGAGCATCCTAAAGAAGGGGCACCTTTTCCTAATTTGCACGAAGGTGCTACATTGGCCGGCAGCTGCCTTTGGAATCATCCTGCATGTTTGTTAAATTATCAGTAGCCGGACCCCACTCCACGCCTACAGAGACAGGGGCTCCGGGTGGAGCACAGAACTTGGCATCTTTGCAAAGTTGCACAGGTGTTTCTGAAGGGCTGTCAGGTTGAAGAACTTCTATGCTCAGTTCTAAGGAGAGTAATGGCAAATTCGAAGCCACTGGGACACTCAGGCAGTGAGGAAAGCCTCCTCGAATTCCGCTCAGCCAGCTTTCCTGCCTTAATGAGTTTAAACGAGCCCCTGAAGACCCAGTGACTTGGTGAGCCAGCTCTCACCTTCCAGGCAAAGTCAGGAATATCCTCCAGGGAACTGAAGGTCACGCAGCTCTGGTTCCAACTGTTGCCCTGAGGCCAGGAGCAGTAGGTGAGGATGCCAAAGGAGAAGGTCGGGGTCTGGAACCAGGCAGGGGAGATGAGGCTGAAGGCTGAGGTGCAGGTCAGAGAGAGCCCCAGAGCTACCCACACACTGCTCAACATTAGGCAGTATCGCTGACCTAGGGGTCAACAGGGAAGATTACTAATGGAGACTGCAGGGACAAGGAGAGAAAGGGGCTGGCCGAGGTGCTCCCTAGCCAGGGATCTGGTGTTATGATCAGACCCCAGATCATCAGCCCCCCTTGAGCCTGGAGATGCAAATGGGAGGTACTAATAACTGTGGTCTGGTAGTGGGGGTTACTTTGCCCTAGCAAATTCTAGAAGTACAACCCCCAAGTCCTAGAATAAATGTTAGCCCTGAAAGACCTTTGAACATTTGCCCCTCCACCTTCTTCATGGCACATCATCCTCACTGGTCCATGCAGGGCTCTTCTCATATTCCGTGCATACTTTCATTTGTTCATTTGTTCGTTCGTTCATTCATTTATCGCTTTTTTTTTTTTTTTTTTTTTGAGACAGATTATTGCTCTGTCGCCCAGGCTGGAGTGCAGTGGTGCGATCTCGGCTCACTGCAAGCTCCGCCTCCCGGGGTCACGCCATTCTCCTGCCTCAGCCTCCGGAGTAGCTGGGACTACAGGCGCCCGCCACCGCGCCCGGCTAATTTTTTGTATTTTTAGTAGAGACGGGTTCCACCGTGTTAGCCAGGATGATCTCGATCTCCTGACCTTGTGATCCGCCTGCCTCGGCCTCCCAAAGTGCTGGGATTACAGGCGTGAGCCACCGCGCACGGCCTATTTATCCATTCTTCCATGGAGCCTCCTCTGTTCTAAAGGGCTGCTTCTACCCAGTCGGGGCACCTTTTAAAAATTCACACACATAGCCGGGCGCGGTGGCTCACGCCTGTAATCCCAGCACTTTGGGAGGCCGAGGCGGGTGGATCACGAGGTCAGGAGATCGAGAACATCCTGGCTAACACGGTGAAACTCCGTCTCTACTAAAAATACAAAAAAAAATTAGCCGGGCGTGGGAGCGGGCGCCTGTAGTCCCAGCTACTTGGGAGGCTGAGGCAGGAGAATGGCGTGAACCCGGGAGGCGGAGCTTGCAGTGAGCCGAGATCGCACCACTGCACTCCAGCCTGGGCGACAGAGCGAGACTCCGTCTCAAAAAAAAAAAAATAATAATAATTCACACACATATGCCCGCCCTTCCTTCCTTCCTTCCTTCCTTCCTTCCTTCCTTCCCTCCTTCCTTCTCTCTCCCTCCCTCCTTCCCTCCTTCCCTTTCTTTCCTTCCTTCCTTGCTTCCTTCCTTCCTTCCCTCCCTCCCTCCCTCCTTCCTTCCTTCCCTCTCTCTCTCTTTCTTTCTTTCAGAGAAAAAAGGTTGGAGTGCAGTGCATGATCATAGCTCACTGCCACCTCAAACTCCTGGGTTCAAGCGATCCTCCCACCTGCTGAGTAGCTGGGACTACTGGGGCAGCTAATTTTTATTTATTTTTATTTTTTTGCAGAGACGTTCCATCACATGTGGCTAATTAGAAACCTTTTTTCTTTTCTGTGGAAACAAGGTCTCCCTATATTGGCCAGGCTGGCCTCAAGGAACACAGATGCTGTTTATAGCAGCCACTTTGTTTTTTTTTTATTTTAATTATTTAATGTATGTCATTTTGTGTGGAGTTAGGTTTGCAAAATTGGTGTGGTGCTGTATGCGTGCATTTCTCATTGCTGCAGATGGTATTATCTTTTTTTTTTTTTGAAACAGAGTCTTGCTGTGTGTCGGCCAGGCTGGAATGCAGTGGTGCCATGTCGGCTCATTGCAACCTCTGCCTCCCAGATTCAAACAGTTCCCCTGCCTCAGCCTCCCGAGTAGCTGGGACTACAGGCACATGCCACCACACCTGGCTAATTTTTGTATTTTTAGTAGAGATGGGGTTTCACCATGTTGGCCAGGCTAGCATTACGTATTGCATTCTGCGTCTTACTTTTGGACTGAAACACCATGGATGTCTTGGTTTGGGTTCCCTTGAAGCAGATCCCAAGGGCCTCATCTCCTAATATCATCACCTTGGGGGTTAGGGTTTCAACATATAAATTTTGGGTGGACACAAATATTCAGTCCATAGCAAGACTCTAGTGAGAATCTGTGAATGTGGTTTGATTTTGCGTATATTTGTTTTTTTTTTTTTTTTTGGCATGATACTGCTTTTCCAATGGAAATTCAAATTTTTTTGTTTGTTTGTTTGTTCATTTGTTTTGTTTTGAGACGGAGTCTTGCTCTGTCTCCAGGCTGGAGTACAGTGGCGCGATCTCAGCTCACGTAACCTCCGACTCCCTGGTTCAAGCGATTCTCCTGCCTCAGCCTGAGTAGCTGGGATTACAGGCACAAGCCATCACGCCCAGCTAATTTTTGTATTTTCAGTAGAGATGGGGTTTCACCATGTTGGCCAGGATGGTCTCCATCTCCTGACCTCGTGATCCGCACGCCTCGGACTCCTAAAGTGCTGGGATTACACGCGTGAGCCACTGCACCTGGCCGAAATTCAAATGTATTTTATTTATTTATTTATTTATTTATTTATTTATTGAGATGGAGTCTCACTCTGTCACCCAGGCTGGAGTGCAGTGGCACGATCTCCATTCACTGCAAGCTCTGCTTCCCGGGTTCATGCCGTTCTCCTGCCTCAGCCTCCCGAGTAGCTGGGACATAGGCGCCCGCCACCATGCCCGGCTAATTTTTTGTATTTTTAGTAGAGACGGGGTTTCACCCCGTTAGCCAGGATGGTCTCGATCTCCTGACCTTGTGATCCACCCGCCTCGGCCTCCCAAAGTGCTGGGATTACAGGTGTGAGCCACCGCGCCCGGCCTCAAATGTATTTTAATATAAAAGTAAGTCAATGTAGAGTCAAGTCTTACTTTAATAATAGTCATGGTTTCACGGCATGGCTGAGACTGGAAGGTGATTTGCTAACAAATAGCCAATCCTGCCATTGATGGCCAGAAAGGAAGCCCAGAAGGGTGAGCCTGCCCAAGGGCACTCAAGGTCAAAAGCAGCTGAGCTGCCAACCAGGCCAAGGGCACTTAGCCAGCTTTGCCAGGCACCTGCGGCACAACCTTGGGTTTCACTTTGGCCATCTAAGCCCAGCCACCCACTAAACATGGCAGGAATTCTGGGGTTAGAGGCCAACCAACCACTCCACCATATCCCTGGTGCGGGACCTGGGGCAAGTGGCTCTAGGCCCATTGCTCTAGGCCTCAGTTTCTCCATCTGTACAAGAAGATTATGAATCCCTTAGTCTGGACTAGGGGCAGACAGTGTTGGGATCAGTCAATGGGCAGGGTGATATGATGGAAAAAGGCAGAGAAGCCCAGATCCTCCCCTTCCCATCTATAGGAGTTTGGGGAGATGGCCTCACCTCTCTGGAAAATGGGAGTGAGGGTTGTTGTGAAGCTTCAAGGGGATAAAGTGTGTGTGTGTGTGTGTGTGTGTGTGTGTGTGTGTGTGTGTGTGTTGCTGGGGGAGGGGCAGAGATAAACCTGGGCAGGTATATCTGGGTCAAGTTGCACGGGCTTTTTACCCCGAGATGAGAAAAACCTCGTGGCTGCTCGCCAGCAAGTGGAATATCCTCCCTTGAGTGAGAGGGGACAGTATTTTTATGGGGTTTTTTTGGTGGTGGTGGTGGTGTTTTCCCTACACCAAAATCAGCCTCTCCTTTGGGTTGGCAAGATAGTGAGGGGTGTAATTCCAGCCAGGAAGCCTGGGAGAGCTGAATCCACCTAGGCCTATGATTGTGCCTCTCTCTGGCTGCGCCAGTGGCTGTCCAGGCGTTTCTCACCTTGAAAGGAGTTTTGTTCTCCAGATAATGCTCAATGTCACCTGGGAAAATCACGTCAACCGTCCAGGTGCCCAGAAACCTAAATGAGGCATTATAACCCGAAACCACATCCGGCCAGGCTGCAATTGGCTGGAATCCACCTAAGGAGAGCTTGAAAGGGACTGAATATTTTCTCCTCTGGCTCAGTGCTTAACTTTTAATAGCAGTCAACAATTTCTGGGCACTCACCAGGCTTCGGTCTAAGCACTTGCATAGGTAAGCACTTGTTACCTATAAGCCTTATGGCCACCTGATGCGATAGATACTATTATAGATAATATTATCACTGTTCCCATTTTACAGATGACAAAACTGAGGCTCAGGAAGCAAGCCATAGAACTGAGACTCATACTTTGGGAATCAGGCTCGGGTTCTGGGCCCTAAGCCCAAAGTGATATTAAGGATTTAATTTAAAGGCCAACGAACCCAACGGCTTACTAGAGCTGCCCAAGGTTAGGGCATGGTCAGCTCTCATGCCTGCCCTGCCCAGGGGACAGGGATGATTCCAGAGAAGCCATACAAAGGCAGAATCTCAGGAGGAGAAATGGGACTGGGAGTTTAGAGGTAGCTGCTAGGGACTTGATATGTCAAGCCAAGTCTCTTTCTTCTTCTGGCTTCTATGTCTTTCTCTGTAAATTGGAGGGGTTGATCAATCATTCATTCAACTTTAATGTGCCCAGCTCAATGTGATCTCTTAACCCCCTACCCCCAGGATACAGTGGTGAACAGAACGTAGTCCCCACCTTCAAAGAGCTTAGAGTTTTGCAGGCAAGACAGACCAACAAAATATAGCAATATGTCCATGTGCTCACTCATTCAACAAATATTTATTGGGTGTCTACAATGTTCCAGGAACTGTTCTAGGTCCTGGAGGATTCAGCAGTGAGGAAAATAGAAAAAGCCCCTCCTTATGGAACTTAGACTCTGGAGGGAGAGAGAGAGACAGGGAGGAAATAAGCAAGTCAATATGTAATATGTTAGATGTCAATAAGTGCCCTAGAGAAAAATGAAGCGTTGGAGGGAGATAGCAAGTGATTGGGTAATTGGGGGATAGTCATGGAAAGCCCCATGAGAAGGTGACCTTTGAGCTGAGCCTGAAGAAGGTGATGGAGGGAGCCACGTGGAGAGGTGTCAGAGGAATATTCCAAGCAGAGTGGGGAGCAGGTGCAAAGGCCCTGAGGGGAGTGTGCCCTTGGCACATTTGAAGATGCAAAGAGGCCCATGTGACTAGAAGTAATGAGGGTAGGAAAGAGCGGTGCGCCTTGTAGCAGAGATAAGGTCTTGCTCTGTTGCCCAGGCTGGAGTGCAGTGGCACAATCACAGCTCACTGCAGTCTCAACCTCCTGGGGCTCAAGCAATCCTCCCACCTCAGCCTCCCAAGTAGCTGGGGCTACAGGCATGCACCAACATGCCTGGCTATTTATTTATTTATTTATTTATTTATTTATTTATTTTGGTAGAGATGAGGTGAGGTCTCTCTATGTTGCCCAGACTGGTCTTTTTTTGTTTTGTTTTGTTTTTGTTTTTGAGACCGAGTCTTGCTGTGTCGCCAGGCTGGAGTACAATGGCGCGATCTCGGCTCACCCCAACCTCTGCCTCTCGGGTTCAAGCAATTCTCCTGCCTCAGCCTCCTGAGTAGCTGGGACTACAGATGCGCACCACCACGCCCAGCTAATTTTTGTATTTTTAGTAGAGACGGGATTTCACCACGTTGGCTAGGCTGGTGTCGATCTCTTGACCTTGTGATCTGCCCGCCTTGGCCTCCCAAAGTGCTGGGATTACAGGTGTGAGCCACCGCGCCTGGCCGCCTAGGCTGGTCTTGAACTCCTGGCTTCAAGAGATCCTCCTGCTTTAGTCTCCCAAAGTTTGGGGATTATAGGCATGAGCCACCGTGCCTAGCCTGGCTTTTCACTTGTGAGTGTGGTAGGGAGTCTATGGCTGGTCTTTAGCAGGGGTATGACATGAACCATCCTAGGTTTTCAAAAGACCACTCTGGCTCCTGGGTGGAGAACAGGCAGAAGGGAAGCAGAGGGAGAAGTCTTCAGAAGATGACTCGTCAGTCAGACAAGAGACAAAGGTGGATGTGGATGGACGTGGAGGTGGGGTTAGGGGAGGAGGACAAAGAGTGGTCAGATTCTGGATTGATTTTGAAGGGCAAAGGTCAAGCTGATCAGATTTGCTAATAGAATAGGCCTGGGGTGTGAGGGAAGGTGAACAGGCAAGGATGCCTCTAGGGCTTTTGACCTGGGACGAAGAACCTGCAGAAGGAACATGTTTACTAGGGCAGCCGGAGGTGTCTGAGTGTGAGGTTGCGTAAGCAAAGCTTGAGATGTGTATCTTCCCCAACCCATCAATCGATATATACAGGCTTGAGTACAGACACAGCTCCACACCATGAAAAAGCCTGGGGTGACACTGGGGACAAGCACAGAGGAAGGGCACCCAGTCCAGCCTGGGGGGTGCAGGCCATGTCCAGGCTGAGATGCACAGATGGGCAAACTGGGTCTGGGAAGGACTTTTATCTCTTATCACATTCTCCCGGCTATGCAGCCAGGTAAGTCCAATTTCTGGATCTATTCCAGCATCTGTCACAGATTGGCTGTGCCACCTAGGACAAATTATGTAACGGCTCTGAGCCTCAGGTTCCCCATCTACAAAAGGAAGGTCTGTGGGACTTAACCCTTTGATGCATTCCTTTGAAGATATGATTTAAAACTATGGATGTTGGCCAGGTGTGGTGGCTCACACCTATAATCCCAGCACTTTGCAAGGCCAAGGCGGGAGGATCACGTGAGGTCAGGAGTTCGAGACCAGCCTGGCCAATATGGCAAAACCCTGTCTCTACTAAAAATACAAAACTTAGCTGGGCATGGTGGCGGGTGCCTGTAATCCCAGCTATTCGGGAGGCTGAGGCAAGAGAATCACTTGAACCCGGAAGGCGGAGGTTGCAGTGAGCCGAGATCACACCACTGCACTCCAGCCTGGGCGACAGAGCAAGACTGTCTCAAAAAAAGAAAAACAAAAAAACAAAACCCCAGAAAACAAAACTATGGATGTTTCCACGTGCACTCTCACATAAGCAAGCATGCACACATGAGCGCACATGCACCCACCCACCCACCCACACACACACACACACACAATTGTATGTCATTTCAGAGGCTCATGGGCCCCCTGAAGCCTGTAACAGCCCCTGAACGTGCTTTGTGCTATCCCAGTTTCCTTCCCTCCTCACTCCTCACCTCAGGTCACTTGTCCCTCCAGACTCACCACACTTTAGGTCAAGACCCTCCAGCGTGGCCACCTCTGCTCAGGCTCCGGCTTTGGATCCACGTCTGTGACCTTATACAATTCTCCTCTCCTTTGAAGGAATAATTTAGCTTGTAGAACAATGCAAGGGCATGCTTGATGAACTGGTCTGAGGGTGTGTCTGTGTGTGTGTGTGTGGTTTTTCCTTCCCACTTCCTTAAATAAAAGCTTTCACTCCAGGCTGCTGGGTGGGCTGAGCAAAGAGGGGAAAGCCATCTCCAGGTGGGGACAAGGGGAGAGTATAGTGTTTTCTGGGTAGGGCAAGGCACCAATAGGGATTAACTGATCTATGATTAAACGCCAGGTGTAGGAAACCACAGATAGAATCTCAGGAGGAGAAATGGGATTGGGAGTTTAGAAGTGGCTGCCACTGTGTTCTCTACCTTTCTGCCCTCATAATTCCAGCCCAGGCAACTGATATGCATATTTCTGTGTATTTCTCATAGGATCTTCCCTGTGAGCTGTGGACGTCTCAAAGTCAGGCACTGTGTCTTAAATATCTTTATCCTTACCACAAAACTTGGCACAGAGTAGGTGCTGGTATTCTTTTTTTTTTTTTTTTGAGACAGAGTCTCACTGTGTCGCCCAGGCTGGAGTGCAGTGGTGCGATCTCGGCTCACTGCAAGCTCTGTCTCCTGGGTTCACGCCATTCTCCTGCCTCAGCCTCCTGAGTAGCTGTGACTACAGGCTCCTGCCACCATGCCCAGCTAATTTTTTGTATTTTTTTTTTTTTTTTTTTTTTTAGTAGAGACAGGGTTTCACCTTGTTGGCCAAGATGATCTCGATCTCCTGACCTTGTGATCTGCCCACCTCGGCCTCCCAAAGTGGTGGGATTACAAGCGTGAGCCACCGCGCCTGGCCTGGTATTCTTTTGCTATAAGTGATGGAAGCACCACTCAAATAGACATGAGAAATGTATTGGTTCACGTAACTGAAAATTCTCTGGGATGGGCTTCAGGCATAGTGGGATCCAGGTAAATAAGCAATGTCTTCAGAACCCCTCTCTCTCTCCAGCTCTCAGTTCTGTTTTCTGCTCAGTTGGCTTCACTCTCTAGGTGGATTCCCTCTAACAATATTGCCCTTTGGTGGCTCCAGGCTGACATTCCGAGACTCAGCAACCCCAGAGAAAAGAAAGCTTCTCTTTGCACACTATTGCAGCAAGTGCTGTGATTAACACTCAATGGACAAACTTGGGTCCCATGCCTACCACGAATCAATCACTGTGGCCAGGCAAATGGGATGCTCTGATTGGCCAGACCTACATCCTGTGTCCTAGGGTTGGGGGTTAAGGTTTGGAAAGTGAGGATCAAGTAAGGGTGTCGCGAGGCTTACCGCCCTTGAAACGACATGGACTGAGTGTAGCGGGTGGGATTCTTCCCTGGAGGAAAACGGAGATGCTGTTGGCAGAGGGGAGATGGCTGCTAGGAAGGTGAGAACAAAAGACATCGTCTCGGTGCACAGGAAATGCGAGCTTTTCCCTGTAGATTAACGAATGAGCACCTGGCAGTTGGTATTGCCAGAAGCAGGAGGTTCCCAGCCAGTTAGAGGCAGAAAATCTCAGTGAAGCCGTGTCTCAGGCTTCATTCAAGTCCCAGCTCTGCCGCCTCAGTCAGTGTGACCTGAGTTGGGGCATCACTGCCTCCTTGGCCTCAGTTTCTCTACCTGTAAAATGAGGGCGTCTGGAGTGGTGGCTGCCTGGGTTTTTTCCCCAGTCACTCATTCAATCATTCATATATTCATTTTTCCCCTTTCAATCAATATGTGTTGAAGGGCACTGGAGTTAGCCTAAACTGGATTTGGATTTCAGTTGTGATGTTTACTCGCTGTATCAGGCTTGACTGATGCACCTTCTCAGGTGTGCTCAGCTGCGTCCTTCCCAGCCAGCCAGCAGCTCTGGACAAGATCAAGCCTCCTCTTGCTTCCGCCTGCAGGCGGCTTGGGTCAGTTGCTGCATCTACTTAGCCACCTAGGCCTGCATCTCCCGCTGTCATTCAAGCAGACCTGACCTGCTTCAAGGGAGGGAGCCCTGGACCCTCCTCTTCTAGGCTCAGGTGAAGCCCTGTGTATGGAATTGGCTTCCCTTGGGGCTGTCTGGAGGCACAGATAACACAGTTGGGCCCAACAGTGACTAATCGTGGACAGAGGATGGGAGGCGCCAGCCGATGAAGTCCTCGCGCTTCCTTCATTCCTTCCATGGTCTGTTTCACGTGGCTTCTGTAGCCAGCCTAGTAAGGCATGTCTTATATTTGCTCTCCCTCCTCCCTTGCCTTGAAGTCCCCTTCCCTTCACCCTTACTGAGCTGGAATTTTATCCCTAATAAAGCATTAGTACATAAAATTTTCCTTGGGCTCTGTTTTCCAGGGAGCCAGGCTGAAATACTAGCTGTGTGACCTTGGGCAACTTACTTAACCTCTCTGAGCTTCAGATCCTTCATCTGTAAAAGGTAGATAATAATAGAGCATCTCAGCGGGGCACAGTGGCTCATACTTGTAACCCTAGCACTTTGGGAGATTGATGTGGGTGAATCGCTTGAACAAGGAGTTCAAAACCAGCCTGGGCAACATGGCAAAATCCCATCTCTACAAAAACACAAAAATTAGCCAAGCATGGTAGCGCATGCCTGTAGTCCCAGCTGCTCGGGAGCCTGAGGCGGGAGGATGGCTTGAGCCCAGGAGGGCGAGGCTGTGTAGTGAGCCAAGATTGTGCTACTGCACTCCAGCCTGGACGACAGAGCGGGACTGTCTCGAAAAAAATTAAGTAATAATAATAATAGAGCACGTCTTATAGGTTGTTGTGGAGTTTAATGAGATAGCACAGGCAAAATATTTGGCTGAATAAATGATAGCCTTCATTAGTATCATTACCGTGAACCAAACGCTGGATTCCAGCATGTGAAAACATTTATGCAACATTGAACTTCATGAATATTTATTGGGTGACAACTCTGTTTCAGGTACTATGCTAGTCTCTTCCCACAAGGACCTCACAGCCTAGAAAGTGAGTGAAAAGTAATTGGGCAATTACACTACAGTGTGATCAGAACTTTAATGAGTGCGGGCACCAGCCCCAGATTCTGCAACATCTAATCAGTTTTGGTGGTTGGGGATGGCTTCTTAGAGGAACTGATGTAGAAGCTAAGATCTGAGGGACATTTAGTTGTTAACTAGATGATGGGGAGGCAGAGGGCAAAGACTTCCTGGTGGGGGTAATGGCATGGGCATAGGACTAGTGTTGAGGGAAAACATTTCAAAGAACATACCGGCTCTCACACTCAACATGCAGATAAATTTTAGGAAAAACAAAATGGATAAATATGCACCAACGAAAATGCATGAACATGGTCTTTGCAAGGGGTGTGTGGGGTGTAGAGCTATACTGTCCAATATGGTAGCCAGGGCCACGTGTGGATTTTAAAATTTATACTAATTAAAATTAAATAAAATGTAAAACTTAGTTCCTCAGTCTCCCTGACCTCATTTTAAGTGCTCAATAGTCATCTGTGGCTAATGTTGGACAGTGCAGATATAGAACATCTCCATCGTTGCAGAAAGTTCTATTGGACAGAGCTGACACAGGCTAATCAGGACCTTCTGGAGGAGGGGACAAAAGACTGCGAAGAAAGGGTTCTGGGAAAATCCCTGGGAAGCACTGTGCTCTATTCTTAGAAAAAGAAAAGCCAGGGCTGGGAGTGGTGAGGTTGGGGGAGGGAGGGGTGTTGCCTCCGGAAACTGTACTACCTGACACCTCTTTGGTCAGGGTCTACCTCTGGGTATGTGCGAGCTGGCATCTCTCACCTAGGCGGGAAGACACAGGAATGCAGGGGGAACCAGCTAAGGTGGGGGCTGACCAGGAAGTCCTGCCCCTTCTGGGTCCAGGTTCAGGAGGACTCTGGGAGTTGTAGTTCAGCACCTCTGGAATCCCCTTAAAGCTTGACAGGGATAGAAGAGCTGACACCCGGTCTGGGCTGGGCATCTCTTGGGGCAGAGAGTAGGGTTGATGGTCAGGGCTGGGGACGTGTCTGGGTTTGAGTCTCCATGGGGGGTGGCAGGAGGAGGACTATCTTGTCCCCTCCCATCCTTATGTTCTGGAATGGAGAGGCGATGCCAAGGTGGAAGCCTGCATTGGCTGGGGAGCTGAGAAACATGGAACATTCCATTGAACAGAACCCCCAGCCTACGCATTCTGGTTCATGGAGATTTGCCCAGGAGAGACAGGAAGTTCCCATAAGGTTAGGGAGGAGGGGCAGCAGATGGCATGTCATCAGCTGTTGGTCATTCATGCACTCAGCATACATTCTTTGAGCACCTATTGTGTGCCAAGCCCTGTTCTAGGCACTGGGAATCGGAGGTGAAAGACAGACAGAAGTCCCTTCCTCCAGGAGGTCTAGAGAGAAGAGCAGACAATCAACGATTTTCCTTTGCTGGTATAACATACACGTCATGTAAAGGCCTGACTTACGTGGATTTTGAAGGATTTTAAGTTTCAACCCAGCCGTTCCTGGTCTCCTACTCACAGACTTCTCTCTGGAAGTGGTAGTTGTCTGTAAAAGCAACTGGGTTTGATCCTTTTGATGACTGTACTCAAGATACCCAGATGATAAGGAGAATGTCTTGAGACATGAGACCTCATGGGACCTCTGCCCCCCAATTCCTGGGTTCCAGCACTGTACACAAGTCAGTTGGGGGTTCTCGGGCTGCTGTTTGGTAAACAGGGTTTACCCTGCCTGGGTCTGATGGTGATGATCAGACCTTCAAAAGGGTTGCAGTGCAAACGGTGTGGAGAACAGGAGCTACCCTTGTTTCTTACACACACCCAACAATTTAAGAGCAAAATGAGGCAAGAAGTCTCCCCACCAATCCTCCTGAAGCCACACAATGTGATGTCTTTTTCTTTTTTTTTTTTTTGAGATGGAGTCTTGCTCTGTCGTCCAGGCTGGAGTGCAGTGGCGCGCTCTTGGCTCACTGCAATCTCCACCTCCCGGGTTCAAGCCATTCTCCTGCCTTAGCCTCCCGAGTAGCTGGGATCACAGGCATCCGCCACCACGCCCAGCTAATTTTTGTAATTTTTAGTAGTGACGAGGTTTCACCACGTTGGCCAGGCTGGTCTCAAACTCATGACCTCAGGTGATCCACCCGCCTCGGCCTCCCAAAATGCTGGGATTACAAGCCACCGTGCGCAGCCTGTGATGTCCTTTTCTTTCTCTTTTTTTATTGAGGTCTATCTTGCTTATAATAAAGGCACATTGATTTTAGGTCCTCCAGTTATTCATGCTCTGTACATTTCCCATAGGAGCACATGTCACAGATTCAATTTGATATACTCGTGAAATTATTTGTTTGAATATCTGTAAGCTGCACAACAGCCTGGATTTTGCCAGCTGCCCACCACTGGGTTCTCCAGCACCCAGCATGCAATAGGTGCTTAATAAAGATCTGCTGAATGAAATGAGTAACGGATAACAGAACAGGTATTTTCTCTTTCAGAGGCGACTTCCTACGATTCTCTCAACTTGTCCACAAGTTCCTGTACCCATTACCCCACAACTCACACCCACAACATAATGGCAGGAGGATGCGCACACAGTAGGCGCTCCAGCGAACTCTCAGGTGCAGTGCCCTTGCTTGGCGCGAGGAGGCGCCAGCACCGCGCACAGACCTTGCCCGCCCCCGGGCCGGCACCAGCAGCCCAGGCAAGTCAGTGGGCCCACATTTATGGAGCGCCTCCTGAAATCCTGGGTTGCATTAGGCTCTCGGGGTCGCCGGCTGGGCAGCGGGTCGGTGCCGGTGGCGGGGGATCCTGGCTGGTGACTGGGGAACATCCAGGGAACGCGGGAGGGTACCCGGAGCAAAGTTCCCAATTGGACAGAGCGGGGTCGGGCCTCGAGGGGCGGGAGCGCTTCCGGCAGGGGTGTCCAAGCGAGTCGTGACCTCTGACCCGCCGGAGAGGTCCCAGGCCCAGGCGCCACTGCGGACTCGGGTCCTGCCTGCTCTGCTCCCCTCCGCGCAGGCGCGGCCGGCGGCAGTTCCCATGGTGACGGGGGCGCGTCCCCGCTCGAGGCCCCGCCCCCAGCAGGCTAGGCTGCGCGGGGCTGCGGGCTCCCAGGGCAGGTGCCGCGGGCTGCGGGCAGGTGGCGGCGCGGCGCGGGCTGGCGGTGGCTCCACGGTAGGTTGCGCAGCGGCTGCGGGCAGTGGGGGCCGGCTGGCCGCCTCCTGTCCCCGGCCGACGAGGTAGCTGGGGGTGACGGCGGCTGGCGAGGGCCGCCAAGTTTCTGCCCGGCCGAGGCCCCGGGAGAAAAGTTGGCAAAGTTGGCCGGGGAAGAGGCGGGGAGCCGGAGGATTTCCCCAGACTCCGGGTCTGCAGGGAGGGAGGATCCCGGTTTGGGAGCCGGGGAATCCGTCTCCCGAGACTTGAGAGTGGATCCCGCGGGAAGATCCCGCACAGGGCAACCAATGGATCACGTGCCACCTGGTTGGCGACTTGGGAGTCGATCCCTGGAGGGGATCGGGCGCTGGAGGCCTGGGGTCCCACTGGATCCCCAGTCAGGGGTGACGGCGAAGGGTGATTCGAGACTGGGAGCGAGAGGATCAATCTCCTCCCATGCCAGCCTGAGCCTTGGGAATGGATTCAGAGAGATCCCGTGGCTAGGAGCTGAGGGATCGCTGGAGATCTGGGTTACTCAGCCTGGAGCTGCTAGGGTCTGGACATTTGTGCGGGTTGGAGGCCCCGGAGGTGGAAGTGGGAAGCAAGGGCGGCGAGCGAGACGGAACCCTGGTCGAGGGGAGCCCGGAGGACAGCGCGGTGGTTCGGGGGGCGTGAGAGGGGCGGCGCGCGGGGCCCCTCGGACGCGGAGGCTCCGGACACGTCCTCTCGGCCTGGCCTGCGCCCCCCCTCCGCTCGTCTTCCCAGGGCGGAGGCGCCCTGATGGGATTAAGCCTCAGTCCCCCTGTTACCAGGCAGGCCCGCGTGGTCCCCGCCCCGATGGCGGCGCGGCCCACCCGGGCTCACGGGTGGGGCCCTCGGGATGGGAAGCGGCTCGTTGACCCCCACCCGAGCCTGACCTTTTCACACCCTGCTGGCACAAACTCGCCTGGGAGTGGGGACGCCGCGCCTTAAAACCCTGCTGTTTGTCCAGTCCCGGAGCAGGCGTGTGACCTCCACCGCGCGACGCCTAGGTGGCTAGGGCTTCCTGCCTGCCGGGACTGAACTTTCTCTAGCCAGGAGCAGCCATTATCTTTTGGAAGGGAAAGGACTGTACCTGTTGCACAAAGAAAAACACTTTCTTTGCACCTTTTTTGTGACCTTGGGCAAAACACTTAACCTATCTGAATCCAGATGGGGACCCTCTGGGCAAAATGGGCTTGGCCTAGGATGGATCGGAATGAAGGGTATGAAACAGGTAGGGGCTCTATAAGTATCAGTGCCTCCCTCAGTCTATGGCCTCTCCTTTCCCGTGCCCCATCCCCTGTGCTTGCCTTACAGTATCTAAAGATTCCAGAAACCCTACTTGCTATCTTTTGAAACCGCAGGATTAGAGAGCTATTTAGCTTAACCTTTCTTCCAAATGGGTTAATTGCCCCTCTGATCCCCCCTTGCAGAGAGAAGCTCTGAGGTTTGGCTAATGAGTAACCAAGACATTTGGACAAAGCTTCTCCCTTGGTCTGGCTTTCCCTCTGCTAATCCATCAAGGTTCCTGGACAAACGTGTGCACCCCCAGACTCTGGCGCCTCCTTCCTTCCTGTTGCAGCCAGGGACAGTTCCCGAGGAATTTGTACAGACACAAGCCCAGATCTTGGTGGTTCTGGCAGGGGGATCCTTTTTAAAGGATTTGCATGCTTGACAAGGGTGCAATTACCCAAGAGAAGTGCAGAGTTTCAATGCAGTGTCTGGACATACATTTCAGCTGGGCACATGAACTGGCTGGCTCCATCAACCAGCGTGTATTGAGCACCTATGTCAGGAGCACTGTAGAAATGGTGTGGCCTAGGGCAACTCAGGATTTGTCCTCTTGGAGTTACTTTCCAGCTATGGAGCAGTCGGCTTGCCCTGCAGTCTAGTACTGATTCTTGATGTTGGGGATACAGTTCTCACCCTAGGTTCAGAGGCTGGAAGCTGCCCCTACCCCCACTGGAGGTCCTAGGGGCTGCTTTTTTTCGTTTGTTTTGTTTTGTTTTGTTTTATTTTGTTTTTTGAGATGGAGTCTCGCTCTGCAGCCCAGGCTAGAGTGCAATGGCGCGATCTCGGCTCACTGCGACCTCTGCCTCCCGGGTTCAAGCAATTCTCCGGCCTCAGCCTCCAGAGTGGCTGGGATTACAGATGCCCGCCACTCTGCCCGGCTAATTTTTGTATTTTTAGTAGAGATAGGGTTTCACCATGTTGGCCAGGCTGATCCCAAACTCCTAACCTTAGGTGATCCTCCTGCCTCCGCCTCCCAAAGTGCTAGGATTACAGGCATGAGCCACTGCGCCTGGCCGGGGCTGTTTTTTATTGAAGGCTGACCTTGGCAGGAGAATGAAGGAGCCAGTTGTCTGGCTCTGAGCATTTCTCCTCACCAGGCTACATCTCTGACCAACTCAGAAACAGAGCCTCACAGGGATATTTTATATGTGCATTCATTCATTTATTTATCATTTGTTCCTTCAACAAATATTTCAAGACACTGTGTCAAAGATGAGGCTAGCAGCCACATCCTTAAGGGGATACTTTATGCCCTGAAAGTCTTTGTGAACATATGCATTTGTCTGGAAGGGGAGAACTATGATCATAGGAGGAGGGGCTGATGCCTTTGGCTATAAGGAGGGATGCGGGTCAGAGAGTTTAGTTTTCTCGACAGCCAGTGGGAAGAGGTTGGTGTTATGGGCTGCAGAAATGGAATAGCTTGTGCAGAAGCCTGGAGGTAGGTGAGTGCCTAGGGTGTTGACTGGGGCCAGGCCAGCCATGCTTAGTGGTTTGGACTTTATTCCTGGAGCGTGGGGCGCTGTGGATCACAGTGGAAGGGTCTCTGCAGGTGAGGGGCAGGGTCAGATGTGTGTTTTGGGAAGCTTGCCCTGGCTGGTGTGGGGAGGCTGGATGATCGGAGGGTCATGCCAGGAGGCTGGGGGCCAGTAAGCAGGCTGCTAGAAAAATCCAGGTGAGAGGCCAGGCGCGGTGGCTCACGCCTGTAATCCCAGCACTTTGGGAGGCCAAGGCAGGACGATCACGAGGTCAGGAGATCGAGACCATCCTGGCTAACATGGTGAAACCCCATCTCTACTAAAAATACAAAAAAATTAGCCAGGCATGGGGCAGGTGCCTGTTCTCCTGGCTACTTGGGAGGCTGAGGCAGGAGAATGGCATGAACCGGGGAGGCGGAGCTTGCAGTGAAGCAAGATCATGCCACTGCACTCCAGCCTGGGCGACAGAGTGAGACTCCGTCTCAAAAAAAAAAAAAAAAAAGAAAAGAAAAAAGAAAAATCCTGGTGAGAGACCGCGGTGCGCGGTGGACTGGACGTAGAGACCAATGGTGTTGGAGGGGTGTTCACTGACAACTTTGACATTGATCAGTGTTACATTTAGAGAGCCACTCACTTTGAAGATCCCTTCCTCAAGGTGGGTGTAACAGTCTACCTGGGGTAAGGAAACCCCTCAGAGGGAGTGGTATCAGTACTGAATTCAGTTTAGCAAACCTGCTTTAGAACCCTGTGCCTGTTCAGGGGTAGGTATAAAACATGCCAGTCCTCAAGGACTTCCTGTGGGGAGACATGGGGCACATTATTCCCATTTCACTGATGCAGGCCTCTGTGGCATTGTGAGGCGTTTGCCAGGCAGCAGTGGCAAAGCAGGAATTTGAACTCCCTTCCAACTTGCAACTAGTGAATATTTGGGTTCAGGTTAAGCCGTAGAGAAGCAACAGAGGAAGGTGGGTTTCAGTTGGGTGTGGAAGGGATAAATTGAAGGAGCCTTCCCGGAGGAGGCAGATAGAAGGGAGGGAGCCAGCCAGCCGGGCGTGGTGGCTCACGCCTGTAATCCCAGCACTTTGAGAGGCCGAGGCGGATGGATCACGAGATCAGGAGATCGAGACCATCCTGGCTAACACGGTGAAACCCCGTGTCTACTAAAAATACGAAAACAAAAAATTAGCCGGGCGTGGTGGCGGGTGCCTGTAGTCCCAGCTACCTGGGAGGCTGAGGCAGGAGAATGGCGTGAACTGGCGAGGCGGAGCTTACAGTGAGCCGAGATAGTGCCACTGCACTCCAGCCTGGGCGAGAGAGCGAGACTCTGTCTCAAAAAAAAAAAAAAAAAGAAGGGAGGGAGGGAATCAGCCAGAGATAGTCCAGGGCAAACCCTGGCCCTGCCTGCTCCTGGCTGTGGCCTTGGGCATGGTTATGGTTTTGAGACTCGACTTCCCTATCTGTAAAAAGGGCTCATGATAGGATACTCCCATTCTCAAAAGGTTCTTATGTGAGTTTACTGAAGCAGTGTATGGACAGTGCTAGGCCCCGTGTCTATGCTCTGTAAGGGGTGGTATGATTATTATCACTATAGCCTGTCATCAGGATAAGTTCCAGGTGGGTGGTGCTTTGCTCAACCTGGTGTGTGCCTGTGTGTGTTGGGGGGAGAGAGGGAGTGACCCACAGGTGATACTTGAGTCTTAAAGGATGAGTAGGAGGGAGGGCTGGGACATTCCAGGCAGAAGCAACAGCACTGGCAAAGGCATAGATCGCCTGGAGAACTGCATGCCAACTGATATACCCAGAATTCAGGATGTGCTGAATGAATAAAAGTTAGACCATGGGCAGCAAAAATTCCTTTTATACCCCAGACACTCCCTGAATTTCTAAACCTGAAGGCTTTGGCAGGTTTGGGACAGAGAGGAGGGCAGGAGCATCCCTGTCCAGGAGTTCACTCTCCTTCTTCCACTCACCCATCCAGATTATAGGAGTGTGAACCTAGATAAGCCATGTCCCCCCGGGACCTCAGTTTCTTCCTCTGTAAAATGGGAGGACTGGGGAGAATGTAGGTAAAGCACATAGTGCATCAGAGCTGCGCTGTTATGCCAGAATCTGGGCTAAGCTCTTTTGTTCCTTTTTTTTTTTTTTTTTTTTTTTGAGACGGAGTTTTGCTCTTATTGCCCATGCTGGAGTGCAATGGCAGGATCTCGGCTTACTGCAGCCTCCACCTCCTGGGTTCAAGTGATTCTCCTATCTCAGCCTCCCGAGTAGCTGGGATTACAGGCATGTGCCACCACGCCTGGCTAATTTTGTTATTTTTATTAGAGACAGGGTTTCTCCATGTTGGTCAGGCTGGTCTCGAACTCTCGACCTCATGTGATCCACCCACCTCGGCCTCCCAAAGTGCTGGGATTACAGGCACCCGGCCTTTTTTTTTTTTTTTTTTTTTAATATTTTACAACAAACCCAGGTGGTGCCTGTTTTTGAGACCCTCGACTTTACAGTTCATGAAACTGAGGCTTCAAGAGGTTATTGATGTGCTGCGAGGTCACGCAGCGGGAAAGTGGAAGAGCTGGGATTTGAACCCAAAGCTGTCTGCCTCAAAGCCATGCCCTTCCCACTTGCATGGCTCCCAACACAAGGAGGGGTGCTTCTGCCTAGTCTCACTACTCAAACTGCTGCCATTTAAGAAGAAGCTAAGGCCAAGCACAGTGGCTCCTGTCTGTAATCCCAGCGCTTTGGGAGGCTGAGATGGGAGTATTGCTTGAGCCCAGGAGTTTGAGACCAGCCTGGGCAACATAGCGAGACTGTCTCTGAAAAAACAATTTAAGACCGGGTGAGGTGGCTCACGCCTGTAATCTCAGCACTTTGGGAGGCTGAGGTGGGCGGATCACCTGAGGTCAGGAGTTCGAGAGCAGCCTGGCCAACATGGTGAAACCCCGTCTCTACTAAAAATACAAAAATCAGCCAGGCGTGGTGGTGGGGCACCTGTAATCCCAGCTACTCGGGAGGCTGAGGCAGGAGAATCCCTTGAACCCCGGAGGTGGAGGGTGTGGTGACCTGAGATCATGCCATTGCAATCCAGCCTGGGTGACAGAGCAAGACTCTGTCTCTTAAAAAAAAAAAAAAAAAGGTTAAAAATTAGTCTGGCGGTCAGGCACAGTGGCTCACACCTGTAATTCCAGCACTTTCGGAGGCAGAGGCAGGTGAATCACCTGAGGTCAGGAGTTCAAGATTAGCCTAGCCAACATGGAAAAACCCTCTCTCTACTGAAAATACAAAACAAAACAAAAAAATAGCCAGGTATGGTGGCACATGCCTGTAATCCCAGCTACTTGGGAGGCTGAGGCAGCAGACTGCTTGAACCTGGGAGGTGGAGGTTGCCCTGAGCCGAGATTGTGCCACTGCACTCCAGCCTGAACGATAGAACAAAACTTCGTATCAAAAAAAAAAAAAAAAAAGAAAAGAAAAGAAAAAAAATTAGCCTGGCAGTGTGTCAGGCTGTGTCCCATCTAATTCAGAGGCTGAGACAGGAGCATTGCTTGAGCTCAGGAGTTCGATGCTGCAGTGAGCTTTGATTGCACCACTGCACTTTAGCCTGAGACAGAGTGAGTCCTTGTCTCAAATAAATAAATACATAAATACATAAAAATTTAAAAAATTAAAATTAAAAATAAAAGGAAGCTGGTCAAGCACAGTGACTCAAACCTGTAATCTCAGCACTTTGGGAGTCAGAGGTGGGCGGATCACTTGAGGGCAGGAGTTTGAGACCAGCATGGCCAACATGGTGAAACCCCATCTCTACTAAAAAAAAATAAAAATAAAATTAAAAAAAATTAGCTAGGCGTGATGGCAGTTGCCTGTAATCCCAGCTATTCAGGAGGCTGAGGCATGAGAATCACTTGAACCTGGGAGGTGGAGTTTGCAGTGAGCTAGATGGTGCCACTGCACTCCAGCCTGGGCAACAGAGTGAGACTCTGTCTCAAAAAGTAAAAATAAAAGGAAGCTAACAAACAATCGAGGCACA